>NC_000001.11:19349163-20599163 GCF_000001405.40 Homo sapiens | reverse complement strand
CCCATTGCCTGGAACTCTCTTTCCCTTTTGCGCACTATTCACCCTACTCAGGGCTCTGCTCAAATGTCACCTTCTCAGAGACGCTTTCTCCGATCACCTATCTAAAATGGCTTCCTCCCACTACTGCCTCCAACTCTCTGTATCCATTTCTCCTGCTTTAATTTTCTTCATAGCACTTAACAGTCTCCTGAAATAAATGTCTTTATTATCTAATTCCTCCTATTATATTACAAACTTTCTGAGGGCAGAGATTTTGTCTCTAACATGTGTTGTGGTATGTCCTGGGCCTGGAACAGTGAAGTCATGGGGCTCTCAGTTTCTCTTATGGATTGAATGTTTGTGTCTCCCTAAAATTCTTCTGTTGAAGTCCTAACCCTCAACGCTATACTATTAGGAGGTGGGGCATTTGTGAGATAACCAGGTTTAGATTAGGTCGTGAGGGGGCAGCCCCCATGATGGGATTAGTGCTATTATAAGAAGAAGAAGAGACTCTTAAACTCTCTCTCTCCATCCTGTCAGGGCATAGTGAGAAAATGGCCAAGTCAGAAAGAGGGCCCTCGCCAAGAACTGAATCTTGGACTTCCCAGCCTCCAGAACTGTGAGAAATAAATGTCTGCTGTTTAAACCACTAGTCTATGGTATTTTGTTATAGCAGCCTGTTTTAGTCCGTTTTGTGCTGCTGTAACGTAATATCCCAGACTAGGTAATTTATAAAGGACAGAAATTTATTTGTCATAATTCTGAAGGCTTGGAAGTCCAAGGTCAAGCTGTTGGCAAGTTGGTGTCTAGTGAGGACCCAGTCTCAGCTTCCAAGATGGCGCCTTGAACATTGCATCCTCTGGAGGGGAGGAACACTATTCCTCATGTGGCAGGAGAGTGAAAGAGAGAGAATCCATACTGTAAGCCCTTTTTATAGCGGTATTCATCCACTCACCGGGCAGAGCCCTCATGACCTAAACACCTCTTATTAGGTCCCACCTCCCAACACTGTTGCATTGGCAATTAAACATAGCGAGACCCTGTCTCTAAAAGTGTATATAAATAATAAATTTGAAAAGAGAAGCCCTCCAAAGTACGCTTATGCATTTTGGAGGGGGCAAACCTTCAAACCACAGCATGGCCTGAGCTAAGATGGCTAACCATTATTGAAAGAGTGGAATTTTCCACTTCAGTTCTAGATGCTTAAGACGCAGAGGAATAACTGTATTTGGAGCCTGTAACAAATTCAAGTAATTTCCTTGAATTTTCTAGCTCAAAAAAAAAAAAAAAGGCAAATAAAAAAAAAGGAAGGAAGCCTTTGCCCACGTACTGCATCCTGAAATGCTGTGCAATTTTGTTTTGCTTCTCTCAGCCCAGAAAGCAGGCTGTCTTCTGACCAGGCAAACCAATTCTGTTTCTGCTATTGCCTTTGCTTACTTCAAAACATACATGAGAGAGATTGGGATGGTGCTAAGTTAGAAATCCATAATAATAAGATAGGACCAAATAATACTACGATCATAGTGCCAGTATTACTAATTGCTTTCTTTTACTGGGCACTCATAGGCCAGGCACTCTGTGGAGTGCTTTACCTGCATAAGGTCAGTTAATCCTTTTAACTGTTGGGTAAGGTAAATACTGTTAGAACACCATTTTACAGAAGGTAAAAGTGAAGGCTGGTGGCAGGAGGCCAAAACATGCATCCTGGCCTGTGAGATACGATGGACTCTTCTTTTTTCTTTTTGAGACGGAGTCTCGCTCTGTCGCCCAGCCTGGAGTGCAGTGTCACGATCCTGGCTCACTGCAAGCTCCGCCTCCCAGGTTCACGCCATTCTCCTGCCTCAGCCTCCCAAGTAGCTGTGATTGCATACCACACCCGGCTAATTTTTTTTGTATTTTTATTAGAGATGGGGTTTCACCATGTTAGCCAGGATGGTCTTGATCTTCTGACCTCATGATCCACCTGCCTTGGCCTCCCAAAGTGCTGGGATTACAGATGTGAGCCACGGCGCCCGGCCAGACTCTTCTTATTCTCTATGGCCTTGCAGGAAGGAAGGCCATGTTTTGAGGTGGTTTGGTGCTTAAGGCAGGGCTGCGGTCAGATGTTATTAAGACATCAGCAAGACTGAGTGTGGTGGCTCACGCCTGTAATCCCAGTACTTTTAGAGGCTGAGGTGGGTGCATTGTTTGAGTCCAGGAGTTCGAGACTAGCCTGGGCAACATGTCAAAACCCAGTCTCTACAAAAAATTTTAAAAATTAGCTAGGCATGGTGGTGCATGCCTGTGATCTCAGCTACTTGGGAGGCTAAGGTGGGAGGATCGCCTGAGCCAGGAAGGTCGAGGCTGCAGTGAGCTGAGATTGTGCCAGTGAACTCCAGACTGGGCAACAGAGTGAGATCCTGTCTCAAAAAAAAAAAAAAAAAAAAAAGACATCAACAGGGAAAGAAGCTCACAATGAGGCTATTTGGGCCCAGCCACCCAGAGAAAAGAATAATGCCAGAAAGCACTGCACCCACTCTCTTTTCTGAGGGATCCTAGCAAGATTAAAGCAGTATTCTCACACTCAAGCAAGTGGGCATCAGAATGTTTTGGAGGGCTTCTCTTTTTAAATTTATTTATTTTTATATTTTTTAGAGACAGGGTCTTGTTATTAGTTGCCCAGCTGGAATTTGAACTCCTGGACTCAAGCAATCCTCCTGCCTTTGCCTCCTGAGTAGAGGGCTTCTTAAAACACACTTGTAAGCCTCTTTCCTGGAGTTTCTGATTCAATAGGTCTGGGCTGGGTTGGAGCTCAAAAATTTCAAATTTTCACAAGTTCCCAGGAGCTGCTGAGGCTGCAGTTCTGGGACCACGTTTGAGAATCACGTGAGGAATGTTCTGTCCATATACTTGAAGAAATACGACACTCTCTCCATGTTCCTAACCTCCTCCCACTGCAAATGCACCATTTCAGGTATGAATTATATTCGAACTCAGCTATTTAGTCGAGGGACTGTAGTAAAGCTTGCCTATGTAATGAGACAATTTTTTTTTTCGAGATGGAGTTTCACTCTTGTTACCCAGGCTGGAGTGCAATGGTGCGATCTCAGCTCACTGCAACCTCCGCCTCCCAGGTTCAAGCGATTCTCCTGCCTCAGCCTCCTGAGCAGCTGGGATTACAGGCGCCTGCCACCACGCCTGGCTAATTTTTGTATTTTTAATAGAGACGAGGTTTCACCATATTGGCCAGGCTGGTCTTGAACTCCTGACCTCAGGTGATCCACCCACCTCAGCCTCCCAAAGTGCTGAGTGAGATTACAGGTATGAGCCACCGTGCCTGGCCTTTTTTTTTTTTTTTTTTTTGAGAGAGTCTTGCTCTGTTGCCCGGGCTGGGCTGGAGTGCAGTGGCGTGCTCACGGCTCATTGCAATCTCCACCACCGGGGCTCAGGCCATCCTTCTGCCTCAGCCTCCCGAGTAGCTGGGACTCTAGGCATGTGCCACCACGCCTGGCTAATTTCTGTATTTTTTGTAGAGATGGGGTTTCACCCTGTTGCCTAGGCTGGTCACAAAATGAGCCACTTTTGAGTGACAGTGGAGAGGACTAACTGAAGTTCCTTGGCAGGGGGAAACAGCGGGAAACGGGGCGTGATGGGAGCTGGGCTGTAAGCTGAAGACCCAGGTTAGAGAAGCTTGCTCTTACCTAGACCAGAGATGCTGTGGTGTTGGGGGGATGGGGCCTGGGGTCCATCAGCTGCTGAAGAGAGGGGCTGGTGTCAGGCACCAAGAAATGCTTCTAGGAAAATGCATCCAGGCAGAGAAAGGGAGACCAGGGACAGAATCAGAACAGCAGGGGGTGGTTTGAGGGAAAATGGAAGACTCAGATTTAAGAATTAAGCCAAGGTAGGCTGGATTCAGTGGTTACTTAACCAAGACATCCTCAAGTGTCTTCTAAAATGTGGTGTGTTCCTCTCAGAATTCACCCCAGCTGGTTGAGTAAAGTGGCTTTTTCCCTAAATGGCAGACGGAGAGGAAAGGAGGAGGAAAGAGGGAGAGAGACCACTGTCCTAAGGTCATGAGCTGAAGAAGATAAACCCTCCCATCCCTTGGGTTGTGCCAGCAGAGTTGGCAGAAACTACAGCCAAGAAGTCTTGTGTCTGGGCACCATCCTGGGACCCTTTCTGGCACTGTCGTGGTCTCATCGCCAGATGCATACTCCCCACGAGCCCAGGGACACCTCGTGCAGTGCCCCTAGGGTTACAGGTGGTCCTTCTCTTCCCTGCCCATCACCCACCCGGCGCTGCACGAACACCGGCTGAGCCTCAGCCATGTGCAAGGCCCGGAGCTGACTCCGTTTCCGTGGACCATTTTCTTTGCTTTCTTTCTTTTCTTTTATCTTTCTTTCTTTTTTTTTTTTTTGAGATGGCGTCTCGCTCTGTCGCCCAGGCTGGAGTGCAGTGGTGTGATCTCGGCTCACTGCAACCTCCACCTCCCAGGTTCAAGCGATTCTCCTGCTTCAGCCTCCTGAATAGCTGGGATTACAGGCACCTACCACCATACCTGGCTAATTTTTTGTATTTTTAGTAGAGATGGGGTTTTACCATGTTGGCCAGGCTGGTCTCGAACTCCTGATCTCAGGTGATCCGCCCAGCTCGGCCTCCAAAAGCACCGGGATTACAGTCATGAGCCACCGCGCCTGGCCCATTTTCTTTGCTTTCTCAATCCTCCTTCTGTGCCATCTCCACTCTCCTCTTTGTGTCCTCACTTTTTTTTTTCCCTTAGCAGCTCTTTCCTCACCAGTGAGCTCCTCTTTCTGTACCTCTCCCTCGGCTCTCCCCACAAGCAGTCACGAATGTTACCAGCCCGAGGTGCATCATGAAAACCTAATTGCTGTAGTTGTTAATCACCATCCTGGGTGGCCCATCTGTGAGGGGCACAAGGCCCTGGCCAGGGTTGGGAGTAACAGAGAGAAAATGATGATCATTATGAAGTCTCGATAGCAAGGCCGTCTTTGCAGCCAGGCCTGCTTTTGAATTGGATGGGACACCAGCTGCCTTGGAGGGGGAAGCCTTCACCTGTGCCGGTCTTGTGTTTAGCTGGAGAAAGTCACAGACCTGGGCAGACCTGTTCTGCCATAAGCTGTAAACTCACAGTGTCTAAACTCAGCTGTGCCGTTTCTGCCTCCTGATCAGCTCTGCTTCACCCCATGAAACCACACCAGGCTTCCTCTGGGTGTCCAGGTGCCCCCTGCTCCAAGCCCCAACTTACTGCATCCACCCCCTATTCTGCACCTGGCCTCACTTCCTACTTCAGTAATGTGTGAATGATAAACAGGCCAGGTGCAGTGGCTCATGCCTGTAATCCCAGTACTGTGTGAGGCCAAGGTGGGAGGATCATTTGAGGTCAGGAGTTCGAGACCAACCTGGGCAACGTAGCAAGACCTCATCGCTATAAAAATAAAAAAGATTAGCTGGGCATGGTGGTACATACCTGTAGTCCCAGCTACTTGGGAGGCTAAGACAGGAGGATAGCTTGAACTCAGGGGTTTGAGACTGCAGTGAACTAGGCTCGCGCCACTGTACTTCCAGCATGGGCAGCAGAGAGACCCTGCCTTTAAAACAAAAACAAAAACAAAAGAATGGAAACCAGAGACTGCTTGCACTCATGTTCCCTGATGCCCAGAAAAAGCCCACCTGCAGGACAAGAGAAAGAGACCTGCACCCAGAAGGATAAAGAAGGATGTGGTGATGTTTGTGTTCCTGGATCCAGCTACCCTGAGACAAGCACTACCCTTGCCCGCTCTGGTTCTGGTTGCTTTCTGACGTTGACCATAGGAAGTACTCTGATTAGTGCATGTGAAACTCATTGTCCCCCATCATGAGGTGGCTGTGATATTACAGGAGGTCATCTAAATGAAGTCCTTAGTGAGCTCACTCCATTGTAGCTTCGAATACTGCTGCTGGTCCCTGCCCAGCACGTCCCCAGCACACAGTCCAGCCATGCCTTCAATGCCTCACCTCAGTCAGTGCCTCATCATCATTCACCTGGGCCACCTGGCTGGCGATCCTAAAGCCATGTGCCTTTACTTTATTTCTTATTTTGTTTTTTATTTTTTGAGACAGGGTCTCATTCTGTCGCCCAGCTGATGTACAGTGGTGTGATTACAGCTCACTGCAGCCTCGAACTCCTGGGGCTCAAGTGATCCCTCCATCTCAGCTTCCCAAGTGTCTGGGACCACAGATGCACGCCACCACATCCAGCTCATTTTTGTACTTTTTGTAGACACGACGTCTTGCCATGTTGTCCAGGCTGGTCTCGAACTCCTGGACTCAAGGGATCCTCCAGCCTCATCCTCCCAAAGCACTGGGATTACTGGCATGAGCCACCGCACCCAGCCTTTATTTGTAACACTGCCCATGCCAGGCCCGGTCCATGTGTCCCACACAATATCTCTCGGATCATTCCTTTCTCTTCATTCTACCTGTCCCAGTCCTAGTAGAAGCCTTTCATTCATGTGTTCAACAAACCTTACAGAGGCCCAGTGATAGGCCAGGAAGTGTGCTGACACTGCAGACAGGTCAGTGAGTGGAGCAGATACTGTACCCTGACACTGTTCCTCTGTCCCCGCCCTTGCTGAGCACCTGTCACACTAAATGTCATCACACACCACTTTTATGTTACTCTTCTTCTTAATAACATTCCTTGGCTCCCTACTTCCTACCTCTTCAAATCTTAGTGTCTCTGTTTGGCCTCCAAAAGTCCTCCACAATCTGCCTCCAGATAATAAGAATAATGATAGCATTAATAGTGGTAGCAGAAGCAGCTATCATTTGTGACCTTCTTATTACGAGGCAGAAAATGCGCTGAATGCTTTATAAGCATTTACTCATTTAAAGCCTCACAACCAGGGGTGAAATTCTACATACTCAGCGCAGGCACCAACCGATCAGAGTGAATGCTGCCTGCCATGCCGTGTCGTGCCAGGCATACCAGCATACCAGCTGAATCTGGTTCTGTTCACAGTCATCCTGAAAGGTGGGTTTTATGATCCCTGGCTTAAAATGTGTGAGCTGGCTGGGTGCGGTGGCTCATGCCTGTAATCCCAGCACTTTGGGAGGCTGAGGCGGGTGGATCACCTCAGAGTTCGAGACCAGATTAGCCAACATGATGAAACCCTGTCTCTACTAAAAGTACAAAAATTAGCCAGGTGTGTAGCGGGTGCCTGTAATCCCAGCTACTCTGAGGCTGAGGCAGGAGAATCGCTTGAACCTGGGCGTCGGAGATTGCAGTGAGCCGAGATCGCGCCACTGCACTCCAGCCTGGGTGACAGAGTGAGACTCCATCTCAAAAAAAAAAAACAAAAAAAAACCCATAAATAAATAAAATGTATGAGCTGACACTCAGAAAGGTGAAGGGTCTCACCCAGAGTCACACAGTTGATAAACACCAGCCTTCCAACCCAGGAACCTCTGACTCTGAAGCCTCCATTTCACTCTCTAAATCCCCATCACACAACCCTTTCTCTGGTGACACCAGGTCTTTCCCTGCAATGCAAATGGGCCACAGTCCTGTTTATCTCCTCCATTCCTTCCTTCCACTGGATGAGGCTCGAGCCTTCAGTCATCACCTATGCAATATGAGGGGACTGCCATGGGGGCAGGGATTGTGTCATCCCTGTTCACTGTGATATCCCCAGCACCTGGCACCTTACCTGGAACAGAGTTGATGTTCAGCAAATATCTGTTGAATGATCAGTATGAGGGTGACAGAGGTGTGGACTTCACTGGAAGGAGCTCCCAGGTGTCACTTATGAGTGAAAGTGTGCCTCCTTTATTGTGGGTTTGTTTTTTTTTGTTTGTTTGTTTTTGAGACAGAGTCTCGCTCTGTCGCCCAGGCTGGAGTGCAGTGGCACGATCTCGGCTCTCTGCAAGCTCCGCCTCCCAGGTTCACACCATTCTCCTGCCTCAGCCTCCCGAGTAGCTGGGACTACAGGCACCCATCACCACGCCCGGCTATTTTTTTTTGTATTTTTAGTAGAGATGGAGTTTCACCGTGTTAGCCAGGATGGTCTCGATCTCCTGACATCGTGATCCGCCTGCCTCGGCCTCCCAAAGTGCTGGGGTTACAGGCGTGAGCCACCATGCCCGACTATTGTGGGTTTTAAAACAAGAAAGGACCCAAGCATTCTGGCATGGGGGTCCCCTGGCTCTGGAGGCACGATGAGGCTGTCTGACCTCCTGCTGTTCCAAGCAGAACACCAGTTCCAGTGCTGGAAAGCATGGATGGAAGGCAGCCATGCTGGCCCCACAGGCCAGGAAATGCTGTGGCCGAACATGCTGAGCCCCCATCACCACCACCTGCCCCACCATCCCTCTTCCTTCTGCTTCTCCAAACGTACTCATCTCATTCATTCATCCAATCAGTCACTCAACAGTTATTGAGTGCCTGTTCTGAGCCAGGCAGGTGCTACGTCACAGCACGAGAAAGTCAATGGCACAAAGATTCAAGACACAGCTCCTGCCCTCTGCAGCACAAAGTCCCAAGGGAGAGGCAGATACATAAGTGGACAGTGATGACACCATGTGATAAGCACGGCAGGAGGGGTCAGTGTGGGTGCCGGGGGATTGTAGGAGGGCCCTTTCTGTGCCATCTGGAAAGGATGTGGAGGCTTTCGAAAGAATCAAGGGCTGATTTCCACATTCAAGATTCTGCAATGTTGTGAGTTGCAATGGTGTTTGCGGTGGTGGTGAATGTTTGTTGTTTGTGGTGGTGGTTAATGTTTAATATTCACCTCAGCCACCAAAACAGGTCTGAATTTCAACACGGTACTCAGAGATCCTTCACTCCCCACAGAGCAACAGCTTTTGGAGTCAGGGGAAGTCTGGGTTCCAATCCCAGCTCTGTGATTTTGAGCTCTGAAACTTTCCAAACCTGTTTCCTTCTCTGCCTTTCAGGGTTGCAGGGGTTAAATGGATAGCATTAATCACCTTCCTTTCACAGGCTGTTAGCACTCAATCAAACCTGCTTCTCCCACTCAAAGATGTTTAAGACCCAGGCAAGTCACACCCGACAGAACCTCAACAGACAGGGAATAATACCAAGGGGTACCTCCACACCATGTCCCCTACTGCCCTGAAGGAGAATGCCTCTAAGCTTAGCAAAAACAAGCTTGAATTTTTGCTCACATGAACTTTTCTACAAAAGCAATAAATCAAAGAAAAGAGTTTAGGAACAGATTAGAGCAGACTCAGATGGGCTCAGGTTCCATTACCCGCCCCCGCCCCGCAGGGCGCTGCTCACTGCTGGACTCCGAAAGCCCAGCTGGCTTTTCTCCTCCAAGATTCTCCACCGACCACCCCCGACAAACACGTCACCACCCTGGCCAGCACTGAGCACAGTGGGTGGAAGGAAGAGAGCAGGGCTTTGGGGAACCTCCAGCCCAGGGTTTCACCACCAGCGCCCCGTGTGACCTTGGGCAAGTCATGTCACCTCTCGAGACCTCCGTAGTTTCATCTAAAGACGAGCATTAACACTTAGGTCAGTGGGCAGGAGGTGTGGACTTAGTGTTGTGGAAGCCTCAGTAAGGTGCCAGACATATCCGAGGCTGGGAAAGCACGAACGCTCTCCCTGCCTGCACCCCAGGACTGTTGATGTTTTTGATTTATGGCCTCCCCTTCCTGCCTCCCATCCAACTTCCTTCCTCATCCCAGTCCTCTAAGCATTGAAAGACCCTGGATTTAAGCCACATTTGAGCGCGGTCTGGGGCAGTCGGCAGGGTAGGAACATTCCAGCGGAGACTGGGGGAAGAAGGGACAGAGCCGCGCTCTTGCCACTGCCTGTGCCTCTGCGCCTCTTCCTGTACATCTTCCTCTGACCCACCACCCAGGCTGCTGGGCTGGGGGACCCTGGGGTGCCCACCTTTACCTTTGAAGATTCTCCCCTCCTGGGTGAGCAGGGCAGCCCCCACAGGAAAGTGACTGTAGGGGCAGTAGGCTGACTTCTTGGCCTCCTGGGAGCAAACCAGCAGCTGCTGGACACACTCAGGCTTCAGGGTGCAGGCAGGACGCTTCTGGGCCATGTTGGTACCCCGGGCAGGCAGCAGAGCAGCGGGAAACAGGAGCTCCGGCCAGCCTGGGCTGGGGCCCCAGACACGATTGCAGCTCCTCCCCTTGGGTGTGTCCCTGCAGCCAGACCGCAGGCTCTCAGGTACGCAGCTTTCAGGATGCAGGGTCTAGGAGAGGAGCCTCCCATGGTTTGGACTCAGCAGGTGTGGTGTAAGACAGTGCCTACGTGTGCTTCACACTCTCCCTTAGGAACCACTCTCACTGGTGGACACACTGAGGGGTGGGTCAGAAGGTGGTGCCACGCTACTGGAAGGGGAAGCTACTGGGTGGGGCAGTGTGAGATCTCAAAGGTCCAAGCTCCAAGGGCTGACAGTCCTCACTTTGTTAAATCACTTTTTCTCTCCTTCACTGAGGGAAGGGCTGAGGCTGAAAGGGCAGGGCTGGGGCAGCCACTGCGGCATCCCGAGGCAGGAGGCATGAACAAGCTGCAGTATAACTGAGAACTTCTTTATTTTCACCCATTTTCCTTCCAACTTCTCTTTGCCCTAGCCCAGAATTAAAAAGTGTCTCAGCTGCTGGGTGTGGTGGCTCACTTTAGGAGGCTGAGGCAGGAGGACTGCTTGAGCCCAGGAGTTTGAGAACAGCCTTGGCAATATGGCAAAACCCTGTTTCTACAAAAAATACAAAAATTAGCTGGGCATGGTGGCATGTGCCTGTAGTCCTAGCTACTTGGGAAGCTGAGGTGGGAGGATGGCTTGAACCCAGGAGGCAGAGGCTGCAGTGAGCTCAGATTGCACCACTGCATTCCAGCCTGGGTGACAGAGAGCCAGACCCTGTCTCAAAAAAAAAAAAAAAAAAAAAAAGTATCTCAATTGGAGGGTGGAGTTAACCGTTGAGATTATTTACTCAGGCCCCCTCATTGTTTTGTTGGCAAAATAGATATTGGTGTTGGTGGTAAAGAAATGTGTTTGCATCCTGGTTCTACTACTTTCCATGTGTACAAGCTTTGGCAGGTCACTTGACCTCCCTGAACCACAGTTTCCTCATGTCAACAGCAGAGATAGTAATAATCCCTGTTCTAGATCCTGAGACTGTAGAAGGGCTCCAGCTTTGGAGTTTAGTAAACCATGGTTTGAATTCCATTCCTGCCATTTATTAGACATATGACATTGGGAAGGTCACACACCATCTCCCTAAGCCTCAGTGTCCTCATCTGCAAAATGGGTGCACTAACATGATTTCACTTCCAGAGTTGTCATGAGGATTGAATGAGATAATGCGTGTACAATGGGTGTGGCTGGAGAGTCTGGTGACGTTATGATGTGAACACCATTTGTGACTCCACACAAACTGGGTTATTGTCATTAAGTGACTCAGCCAAGATCACATAGGGCAGAACTCCAGCTAGAGTGGCCAAAGACATCCAACTGTTTCCACACCCCTGGCCAGCAGGAGAGTTTGGATGGGGAATGGGGAAGGGGCAGGGGGAAAGGCAGGGGAAAGGAGGAGAAAACAAGGCAGTATCTCGTGTCCTGCATGCTGGCATCTCTGTGTCCCAGACTTGGAGCTCTCAGCCATATGTGGACATCGCAGACACCCAGCTGGGCCGCTGAAGAGTTGGGTAAAGTTTGCTTCCTTTCCTCCTTGCCTCCTCTCCCTTCAGATCCCCTCCCCTCCCACTGCATCCAGCCCTCAGAGAGGCAGCCTATTGCCTCCTGCTGGGGCTGAGGGCCTCTCCACCCATGCACTTTCCTACTGTCTCTATAACTTTGGCATCTAGAGCAGTTTCCTGGATCTCAGAGGGCCAAGGATGTCTCAGGACACTGTGTGCCCACTCAACGTGGGAATAATTCTAAAGCTTTTTCAGGCCAAGTATAATTACTACTGGGAAAAGAGTTGTAGTGCCCTGCTGGTCTGCCAGGCCTGTCAGAGACCTCAATAAGTCATCCCGTTCCTGTCCCCTGCCCTGTCTCAGTCTGCCCCACCCAGCCCTGCCCAGGCCTGGGACCGGCCTTCAGGACTCCTTGACTCCACAGTGCTGGGAGAACCTAGATGACCTCCCAAGCTACTCATGGCCCTTGGCACCTTCAAAGCTCTTTACCTGCACGTGGTCATACGTGAGGACAGCGCTCATTCCAAACCCAGCTGTATGGAGCGTGGGTGCCAGTGGTGGCTCTAGAATTCCTTTTTCTTTTTTGAGACAGTCTCACTCTGTTGCCTAGGCTGGAGTGCAGTGGCGTGATCTTGGCTCACTTCAACCTCCGCCTCCTGGGTTCAAGCAATTCTTGTGCCTCAGCCTCCCAAGTAGCCTGGGATTACAGGTGTGTGCCACCATGCCCAGGTAATTTTTTCTATTTTTACTAGAGATGGGGTTTTGCTGTGTTGGCCAGGCTGGTCTCAAACTCCTGGCCTCATGTGATCTGTCAGCCTTGGCCTCCCAAAGTCCTGGGATAACAGGTGTGAGCCACTGCACCTGGCCTAGAATTCCTAATGGAAGGGGCTTGGGGTGGTCATTCGGTTGGAAGGAGAAAGTGGGCTTGGAAACTTGCTTAGAGCTAAGTTACAGATCAATAATATGAACAGCACTTTCTAAACATGCTTTTATTTTTACTTTATGTAAAACTAAGAAAAGTTGGCTGGTTGCAGTGGCTCACACCTGTAATCCCAGTGCTTTGGGATGCCAGGGTGGGAGGATAACTTGAGATCAGGAGTTTGAGACCAGCCTGGACAATGTAGCAAGACCCTATCTGAAAAAAAAAATCTGCTGGGCATGCTGGTGTGCACCTGTAATCCTAGCTACTCAGGAAACTGAGGCAGGAGGATCACCTGAGCCTAGGTGTTCAAGGCTGCAGCAAGCTGTGATTGCACCACTGTACCCCAGCTTGGGTAACATTATGTTATGAGACCCTGTCTCAAAAAAAAAAAAAAAAAGAAAGAAAGAAAGAAAGAAAAATTAAGAAAAGTTAATTGCCCAGCTCAAAGAATAGAAAATCCATGGAGAGTGTTTTGCACCGTGGTGGAGATTTTCAAGGGTCCAAAGCCCTCCCTAAACCCTGCTCCCAGGCCTTCACACCGTGAGATGATACGTGAGGTATCATCTCTAACCAGAGTCTAACCAGAGTCTTCATGTTAGAGTCTAGGTACCATGCACTCACTTATTCATTCAATGAATAGTTATTGATAATAGGAACTAACATTAATTTAGCTCTTTTTATGTGCCAGACCCTATGCTAAATATATTATTTGAATGATTTCATTTAATCCTCACCACCAGATAGAGATACTATTATTGCCCATATTTGACTGATGAGGACACTTGAGCTCATAGAGATCACAGCCTCAAAAAAGGATCTCAGGCTGGGTGTGGTGGCTCATGTCTGTAATCCCAGTGCTTTGGGAGGCTGAAGCTGGAGGATCGCTTGAGGCCAGGAGTTTGAGACCAGCGGGTGCAACATACTAAGACCCCATCTCTACGAAAATTTAAAAAAAAATTAGCCAGGTATGGTGGCACATGCCTTTAGTCTCAGCTACTCAGGAGGCTGAGGTGGGAGGGTGGCTTGAACCCAGGAGTTCGAGGCTGCAGTGAACTATGATGTTGCCACTGCATTCCTGGGTGACAGAGCAAGATACTGTCTAATAATAATAATAATAATAATAATAATAATAATAATAATAATAGATCTTAAACCTGAGTTTGTCTGTCATCTGAATCCTGGGCTCTCATCCATCCCAGAATTCATAGGAGGAGCCAGTATAATGGATGGGCAAGGGGTGCAGGACTTGACATCAGACCCATCAGTTTAAATATTTTTTCTGCTACTTATCACCAGTGGTATCCCCGGGCAAGTGATCTGTGCCTCTTTCCTCATTGATGCAATGGGACAACACAAGGACCCATCTCTGGTGGATCATGGTTTTATTCTGCTCAGGAAGGCTTCCCATCTCTTTTGTTTTATTTTGGTTCTTTTAGGCAAGACCTCTTGGTGGGCTGCCAATCATTGTGCTTCCACCCCATGAGCAGGTACAAGCAGTTGACACAGGATGCGCCAATCAGAGACCTCGCTTTTCTGCTGAGTCAGTGGGAATGTTGGTTTTTCCCATTGTGGTTGCTAAGTAGGAAGATACAACTGTTGCTGGCAGCTAGCTTCCCCCTCTTTGTAGAGTGAGCTTGCTTGCAGAATGAAGCCTGATGGAGAGAAACAGAGCTGAGAGATGGAGGGAAAGAACCCCAATTGCTCAATGAGTGTCTGGATCCAGCCATGCCTGAAGGCATGTTTCTAGATTTTCCTTTAATTGAACTAGTAAAATTCACTTCTATCTTAAAGTTGTTTGAGTTTTGTTTCTGTCAATCCTGTGGCATCTAGAGGAACATATTACTTCCTAGGATTGTTGTAAAAATCAAGCGAGATAATATACATAAAGCTTTTAGCATGGCGAATGGCACATGGTAAGTGCTTAACAAGTGTTAGCACATGTTATAGCAAATAGTGTGTGCCAAGCCCTGTGTTCGGTACCAGAGAATCAGAGGTGGATGAGACTCGGTGCCTGCCTTGAGGATCTCACACTAGTGAAGGAGACAGATAAGCCAACAGACAGGCATAAAACACTATAAAATGAGATTAGGTACTGGGTCTCATAGCAATACAGAAAAACTATTGTTTGGAAGGAGTGGTGGAGTAGGTAGGTTAGGAAAAGCTTCCCAGATAACAAGAGGATAAAAGGAGTCTTTTTTATTTTATTCTTTTTTTTTTTTTTTTTTGAGATGGAGTCTTGCTCTGTCATCCAGGCTGGAGGGCAGTGGCACGATCTTGGCTCACTGCGACCTCCACCTCCTGGGTTCAAGCGATTCTCCTGCCTCAGCCTCCCGAATAGCTGGGATTACAGGCGTGTGCCACCACGCCTCACTAATTTTTTGTATTTATTTTAGTAGAGACGGGGCTTCACCATGTTAGTCAGGATGATCTTGATCTCCTGACCTTGTGATCCGCCCCCTGCCTCGGCTTCCCAAAGTGCTGGGATTACAGGCGTAAGCCACTGCACCCAGCCCAAAAGGAGTCTTAAATGATGGGTGGCTGTTCATATTGGACAACGTGGGTACAGCAAATACTGTCGGAGCCTCACCCACACCCCCTTAGCCATCCCAGATGTCACCTCCAGCTTTAACGGGTAGTTCCTAAACATACCCATGGCTTCTTACCTGAAGCATTCCCTGGGCATATGAGTCTGCTCAGCCCATGCATAGGGTAGATAGGGTAGGCCAGAAATGTCAGGGAGTAACACTCCCTGGAAGGATTATGATCCATAATATATCAAGAATTCTTTTTTTTTTTTTTTTTTTGAGACAGAGTCTCGCTCTGTTGCCCAGGCTGGAGTGTAGTGGCGGGCGCAATCTCCGCTCACTGAAAGCTCCGCCTCCCGTGTTCACACCATTCTCCTGCCTCGGCCTCCTGAGTAGCTGGGACTACAGGCGCCCGCCACCAAGCCCGGCTAATTTTTTTGTATTTTTAGTAGAGACGGGGTTTCACCGTGTTAGCCAGGATGGTCTCGATCTCCTGACCTCGTGATCCCGCCCACCTCGGCCTCCCAAAGTGCTGGGATTACAGGCATGAGCCACCGCGCCCGGCAATATATCAAGAATTCTTAAAACCAGTAAGAAAAGACAAACATCCCAACAGAAAAGTAAGCAAAAGACTTGAACAGATATTTTACAGAAGAGATGGGGATGGAAAAAACTTCTCTACAAACTTTCGCTTCTTCAAACTTGGCTACATAAAAATTAAGGAGTTTTGTTTGATGAAGGACTTCATGGACAAAGCCAGTAGAATGTTGAAAAAAACAGGAAACAAAGATCTTTTCGGCTGGGCTCAGTGGCTTGCACCTGTAATCCTGGCACTTTGGGAGTCCAAGGTAGGAGGATCGCTTGAGGCCAGGAGTTCCAGACCAGCCTGTGCAACATGCCGAAACCCCATCTCTACAAAAAATACAAAAAATTAGCCAGGTGTGGTGGCACACGCCTGTAATCGCAGCTACTCAGGAAGCTGAGGTGAGAGGATGGCTTGAGCCTAGGGAGGTTGAGGTTGCAGTGAGCCATGATTGAGCCACTGCACTCTAACCTGGGTGACAGAGTTGAGACTCTGTCTCAAAAACAAACACACAAACAAACAAAACTCTTTTCGATGGCTGGAATGATTGCAAATGATTAATATAGTGACTATGTAAGGGACGCATGACAAATCAACAAGAAAAAGACAAGGAACTCCATGGGGAGATGGTCAAAGGATATGTATGGATGGGCAATTTACAGTAAGGGAAGTATTTGTACAACATTTAAAAATATTCACAGAGATGAAATTAAGACAGTGAGATGTCACTTTTCACTCATCAGAATGGCAAAAAGAAAAAAAAGTTGGATAATGATAAGGGTTGGCAAAGATGAGGAGAGACTTGAGCCCTCCTCACTGCTGCTGGGATTTCGAACCGGTATAACTTTGTGGAGAGCAACTTAGCAGGGCTCAGTGAAATTAGGTATGCGCTTACCTTGAGATTCAGCGATTCCAGCCCTAGGTCAACAGAGAAACTCTTACCTGTATCCATAAGAAAATCTGAATGAAGATATATTTTGAAAAGTTTTATTTATTATTATTATTATTTTTTTTTTTGAGATGAAGTCTCACTCACTCTGTCATTCAGGCTGGAGTGCTGTGGTGCAATCTCCACTCACTGCAACCTCTGCCTCCCTGGCTCAAGTGATTCTCTTGCCTCAGCCTCCCAAGTAGCTGGGACTACAGGCACGTGCCACTATGCCCGGCTGATTCTTTGCATTTTTACTACAGACAGGGTTTTGCCATGTTGGCCAAGCTGGTCTCAAACTAATGACCGCAGGTGATCCACCCACCTCAGCCTCCCAGAGTGCTGGGATTAGAGGCATGAGCCACCCCTCCTGGCTATCAAAAGTTTTAAGGTTTTACTTTTCACTTTTAAGTCTTTCATTCATCTGGAATTAATTTTTATTAATTTGGGTATAAGGCAGGGATCCAATTTAATTTTTTTCCATATGGATATCCAATTATTTCAGCACTATTAATTGAATACTCCCTCCTTTCCCCAGACATCTACAATGCCAGCTATGTTCAATTTCAAATTTCTATATGAGTGAGAATGATTTTGGACTCTCCATTCTGTTCCACTGGTGAATTTGTTCATTCCTACACGTATACCGTACCTATCTTTATTATTATAGTTTAACAATAAGTCTTGATTTCTGGAGATGTATCTCCCCATTGGGCTTTTGCTCTTCTATGTAAATTTTAGAATCAGTTTTTCAATTTCCGTTGAAAACCATCTTATCTTGCCTCTGGAGGAGTTTGTTGGAATAGTCCATTTCTTGATATTTTGGTAGGATTTTTTTTCTGTAAAACCATCTGAGCCTGGTGTTTTCTTTTAAGAAAAAAAAAAACAACTAAACTATTGGCTGGGTGCAATGGCTCACACCTGTAAACTCAGCATTTTGGGAGGCTGAGGTGGGAGGATCCCTTGAGCAGGAGTTTGAGACCAGCCTGGGCAACATAATGAGACCTCTTCTCTACAAATAAGTAACTAAATAAATAATTAATATCTAATCTAAATTGTCAATTTAATGTATTTAAAAATTGTAGGGCTATTCAGATTTTCTATTTTTTCTCAAGTCAGTTTTAGTAAACAAGTTGTGGCCTATTTTTAAAATTTGTTCATTTCATCTAAATTTTCAAAATTATTGACATAAAATTACATATGATATTCTATTCTTATTTTTGAAATCTCTGATATATTGGTCTTTATCTGTGACTTAACACATAGTTGATCTTTGCAAATGTCCCATAGGTATAAGAAAATTTGTGTATTTTTAGGTTTGTTGGCCATAAAGCTCTATATAGTATTTAGAACTTATTAACCATGCTCTTCAAAAAACAATATCTCGGCCGGGAGCGGTGGCTCACGCCTGTAATCCCAGCACTTTGGAAGGCCGAGACGGGCAGATCACGAGGTCAGGAGATCGAGACCATCCTGGCTAACACGGTGAAACCCCGTCTCTACTAAAAATACAAAAAAAATAGCCGGGCGTAGTTGCGGGCGCCTGTAGTCCCAGCTACTCGAGAGGCTGAGGCAGGAGAATGGCGTGAACCCCGGGGGCGGAGCTTGCAGTGAGCCGAGATCGTTCCACCGCACTCCAGTCTGGGTGACAGAGCGAGACTCCATCTCAAACAAACAAACAAAAAAACAGTATCTCCCTTATTTCTGTCTAACTGATCTATCACTTTCTGGGAGAGGTTTGTTAAAATCTCCAACTACAACTATTCATTTATATGTATTTTCCATGTATTCCTATCAGTTGTTGCTTTATATCTTTTGAAGCTATATTGTTAGGTACATACATATATATTTGTTAACATTATATCTTCTTAATTGATTGTTTCTTTTATTTGTATATAATGTCCCTCTCTATTTCTCATGCTTTTAATAAAATCTTATATCCTTTTCTTTCTGATACTAATGTTAATAGTTTAGGAATCCCTTTAAGAGTTCTTAACCTTTATTTTACTATAGCCTGTGCTGGCAACCAGGTGAGGCCTATGAGTCCCCTTTTTTTTTTTTTTTTTTTTTTTGAGACAGACTTTTGCTTTGTTGCCCAGGCTGGATGGAATGCTGTGGCACGATCTTGGCCTACTGCAGCCTCTGCCTCCTGGGTTAAAATGATTCTCCTGCCTCAGCCTCCTGAGTAGCTGGGATTATAGGCACGTGCCACCATGACTGGGTAATTTTTGCATTTTTAGTAGAGACAGGGTTTCACTGTGTTGGCGAGGCTGGTCTCAAACTCCTGACCTCAGGTAATCCACCCGCCTTGGCCTCCCAAAGTATTGGAATTACAGGAATGAGCCATCGCGCCTAGCCAAAATAAGTTTTTGTTTTGTTTTGTTTTGTTTTAAGATGGAGTCTCACTCTGTTGCCCAGGCTGGAGTGCAATGGCACGATCTCGGCTCACTCTAACCTCTGCCTCCTGGGTTCAAGCGATTCTCCTGCCTCAGCCTCCTGAGTAGCTAGGATTACAGGCGCGTGCCACCATGCCCGGCTAATTTTTGTATTTTTAGTAGAGACAGGGTTTCACCATGTTGGCCAGGCTGTTCTCGAACTCCTGACCTCGTGACCTGCCTGCCTCAGCCTCCCAAAGTGCTGGGATTACAGGCATGAGCCACTGCTCCCAGCCAAAATAACAGTTTTAAATGCACATAATTATAAAGCAAAATAATTGTATTGAAATAGCTATCAGAATAGTTAAAATATTTGTGATATTATATTGTATGTACTTTCTTTGTTTTTTTTGAGACAGAGTCTCGCTCTGTTGCCCAGACTGAAGTGCAGTGGTGCGATCTTGGCCCACTGCAACCTCTGCCTCCCATATTCAAGCGATTCTTGTGCCTCAGCCTCCTGAGTAGCTGGGATTATAGGCACGTGCCACCACACCCGGGTAATTTTTGCATTTTTAGTAGAGATGAGTTTTTGCCATGTTGGCCAGGCTGGTCTCGAACTCCTGGCCTCAAGTGGTCAGCCCACCTCGGCCTCCCAAATTGCTGGGATTATAGGTATGAGCCATCACGCCTGGCCTGTCATGCATATATTTATTGACGGTTTTAATTATTCCCCTTTCTTCCTCTACCATTTTGAATAACATGGTTTGTTGGTAGTAAACTTTACAATTGAATGTATAGATTATAGGATATCAACCTGGGATTGTGACTAAACCAGAGAAGAAGTGAACATCACCCAAGTTCCCTGGAGTGGGAGATGGAAGCAGTAACTGCTGGGGCTTTGGATGTTCCTGTCTGAGCAAAGAATAAGAGTGTTTCTTGTCTGATTGAGGTACGTTTGCATTACTGTGGGTGGTGACACGTTGTGGTTGTTTCATGGAAGTTTAAGAAGGGAATGCAGCTTGGAAATGGAGGTTGAGTGACTAAGAGTGAGTGGACTGTGGCAAGGGCCAAAGACCGACCCAACTCAGCCCCTCTCCAAACCTCCTTCTTTCCATCATGACTTCTTGTACTTTAGAGGCTGGACGGCTAGAGAGGACATTTCCAGACTCTCATGCAGCTAGGATTTCCACGTGTCACCTGGCTTCTGCCAAGAAAATGCAAACAAACCAGAAAGGGAAGGTACTGGGAGGAAGTGGCCACACGGTTCTTCTGGCTGCATCGTGGTGGAAGCGTTTCGGTTGTTCTGAGGTGGCTGCAGCGGAGGCCCTAATTCCAGATCAACTTCTGGCTTCTTGGTGCTAAGCGGGTGTCAGCAGCTTTGTGACGTGGAGCCTCCTGCACTGCAACATGGGTAGCGAGGGTCTTGAGTCAGCAGCAGTGGCAGAAGCTCTCCAGCTAGGCTCATTTTACAGTGAGATTCAAGGGTTATTCCTGGAAGCTCAGCCTAGAGTTGGCCTCTCAACCCTTCCAACGTGTCTGAAACCAACCCGATCACCCTCGTCAACCCATTCCTATTGGGCCTGCTGGGTGGACGCTGTTGTCTGCAATGGAACCCTGACCAATCACTATATATTTTTTTCTCCCTTACCCCCTCTTTTTCTGCCTTTTATTACATTGACACTTTTCCTTCTACTCATTTGAAAATTATTCCTTTTCTTTTTCTTTCTTTAGTGGTTAGCCATAATTATTGTTTGTATTTATGTTAATTTCCCCTGTCAATTTATCAAGTTTATCGACATATATACTTTCTTTCTCAACAAGACAGCACCTTAGAATATTCTCACTTCCTCTGGCCCCTGCCGCTCTACTACCAAGTAGGTTTTCTGTGGTGCTCCCAGGGAAAGGGCTGACGAGGCAGGGAGGGAGGCAGTGACCTTGCTGGTTTGTGGTATTGTCAAGAACTGGAAGTGAATCATTCCTAACTCATACTTTTACCTCTTTAAAAAATTGTGCTGGCCAGGTGTGGTGGCTCATGCCTGTAATCCTAGCACTCTGGGAGGCCAAGGCAGAAGAATCACCTGAGCCCAAGAGTTCAAGACTGGCCTTGGCAACAGAGGGAGACCCTGTCTCTACAAAAAATTTAAAAACTAACTGGTGTGGTGGCGTGCACCTGAAGTCCCAGCTACTCAGGAGGCTGAGGCAGGAGGATCGTTGAACCTGAGAGGCCAAGGCTGCAGTGAGCCTTGATTGTGCCAGTGCACTCCAGCCTGAGTGACAGAGTGAGACCTTGTCTCAAAAAATAAAATAAGTAAATAAATAAATAAAAGTGTGCTGAAGAGGCCGGGCGTGGTGGCTCATGCCTGTAATCCCAGCACTTTGGGAGGCCGAGGCGGTGGATCACGAGGTCGGGAGATCAACACCACGGTGAAACCCCGTCTCTACTAAAAATACAAAAAATTAGCTGGGCTTGGTGGTGGGCACCTGTAGTCCCATCTACTCAGGAGGCTGAGGCAGGAGAATGGTGTGAACCCCGGGGGCGGAGCTTGCAGTGAGCTGAGATCGCGCCACTGCACTCCAGCCTGGGCGAGAGAGTGAGACTCCGTCTCAAAAAAAAAAAAAAAGAAAAGTGTGCTGAAGAACAATATATCTCCACATGTATCATGTAAGAATATCAGCACACTGGAAAGCCAATGCTTATTTAATGGGGCATGGTTCAGTTACTTTTCCAAAGACTTTGGAATCAAATTTCTACTGCTTTTTCTGTGTATACATTCAACAATTCAACACATATTTATTGAGTAACTACTGTGTGCCAAACACTGTTGTATGCTCTTAGGATGCATCAGTGATCAAAGCAGACAAATATTCCTGCCCTCAAGGAATTCCGTCTTTTTTTTTTTAATTTCTATTTTTGAGAAGGAATCTCGCTCTGTTACCCAGGCTGGAGTGTAGTAGCAAGATCTTAGCTCACTGCAGCCTCCACCTCCTGGGTTCAAGTGATTCTCCTGCCTCAGCCTCCCAAGTAGCTGGGATTACAGGCACATGCCACTACACCCGGTTAACTTTTGTATTTTTGTAGAGACGGGGTTTCACCATGTTGGCCAGGCTGGTCTTGAACTCCCGACCTCAAGTGATCCACCTGCCTCGGCCTCCCAAAGTGCTGGGATTACAAGCGTGAGATACCGCACCCGGCCAAGCTTACCTTCTAACAGGGGAGAAAGGTAATAAAAATGAGCATAACAAATACATACGTTATAGAGTATGTGAGGAGGTGATAAGTTCCATGGAAAAAAGGGACAAGTAGGCAGGGCTGGGGGACAGGTAATGCTGGGGGAGAGGGGCAGAACATGGTATTCAGTCAAGTAGTCAGTGTGGGCCTCATTGAGAAGCAAATAGTTGAAGCAGGTGAGGGGGTGAGAGCCAAGCAGATATCTAGGGAAGGGTGTTCCCAGCAAAGGGGACAGCCACAGCAAGGGCCTTACATCCTGGAGCAAGCCTGGTGCATTTTATCTTATTTTAAATATGCTATTGAGAAGCACTCTCTCTTTTTTTTGTCTTGAATCCAGGACCTCAAATTTCTGCTTCTGGCCGGGCACAGTGACTCACGCCTATAATCCTAGCACTTTGGGAGGCCAAGGCAGGCAGATCATTTGAGGTCAAGAGGTCAAGACCAGCCTGGCCAACATGGTGAAACCCTGTCTCTACTAAAAATACAGAAATTACCTGGGTGTGGTGGCATGAAGAATGGCGTGAACCTGGGAGGCGGAGCTTGCAGTGAACCGAGATTGCGCCACTGCACTCCAGCCCGGGCGACAGAGCGAGACTCCGTCTCAAAAAAAAAAAAAAAAAAAAAAAAAGAAGAGGGAACAGCTTGAACAATGGCTCAAGGTGCTGCCCACCCTATTTCTCCATAGATATTAATGATGGAATCTTTAAAATGTCGAAAGTATGTGGTCTTGTTCCGGGGCCTGCAGAGGAGGATGCTGGGGAGAGTTCCAGGCTATGGCAAGTCCCTGGGATTACAGGCATGCACCCCCACACCCGGCTAATTTTTGTATTTTTGACAGAGACGGGGTTTCATCATGTTGGCCAGGCTGGTCTTGAACTCCTGACCTCAGGTGATTTGCCTGCCTCGGCCTTCTGAAGTGCTGGGATTACAGGCATGAGTCACCATGCCCGGCCAAGCCCTTGTCCTTTAAAGAGAGGGGCTTCCTACTCCCTGTGGGGTGAGGCTGTGAGGCATGGGTTGGGGATGGGTGCAGAGGGTCCCTTTGCCATACCAGCTGTGGGGTCAGGCAGGCAGGCCATGCCCTTGTAGGGCCCAGGACATGACATGCCCTCCTTCCCCAGCCTCCATGCTGAGGGACTTGCCGGGGGTGGAGACCAGTGAGTGGGAGAGAGGGACTTTGAGAGGACCCTGGGTAGGGGCTCATCCCAGGGTGAGGAACAGCGATCTGTGAGGGGCCCTTCCTGCCAGCGAAGATTCCAAGATGGGTTTTTACACGGACCAGGTTCTGCCTGCAATAAAGCCCATCCACAGATGAGACTCTCCCCTGGAATGGAGGATGGGCAGGTTGAAAAGGGCCCAGGGGGTGCCAATGAAAGGACCAAGACCCATATACAACAGGCCTGCTGTGCCCCTGCCTCCCTTAGAGAAAGGCCTGGTCCCTCTTCTTTTCTTCTACCCACTCCCGCCCAGCTGAATGGTCCCCTGTCACTTCCTCCCCATCAGTCCTTTTAAACAACATTCCACCGAGATAGGGTGAGTGCGCCCCCTACTGGACCCCGGGGCCGTTCAGGGATGGAGGACGTGAGCTGCGGAAAGGAGCTAGGCATTCTGCCAAGTGCTGGCTTTGAGACAGTGCAGACTGCGGGGACCCGGCTCCCTCCTCTGGACCCCTGTTCCCTCCCCCAGTCTTCTTCCCTCGACGTTCCACACCCGATTTCTTTCAAATGTCCCTGCACAAGCTGTGGCTCCCAAGCCATCACTATCCCAATCACTTGTCCAGATCTGCAGGTGCTGAACTCCTTGCTGCCTCGGGGCCTTTGCACTTGCTGTTCCTGGAGCCGGGGAGGGTTTTCCCTGAAACACTTTCCTTCAGGGCTCACATCAAATGTCAGCTCCTCAGGAGGCCTTCTCTGACCACCCAGGCTGGGTCAGGGCCCCCATAGGTTGTTCTTTGGGCACTCAGGTTTTTCCTTTAAGGCCAAGTCATGACTTCAATTACAAATGAAGGAGGTAACAAGTAATTCAGAGTCAGTCTCCCCAGAGAGGCCTCTCCAACTTCATAAACATAAGCTGGATCTTGACGGATGAGTCGTTTGGCAGGAGTTGAGCAGAGAAGAGCATGCCAAGAAGAGGGAACAGCTTGAATGATGGCTCAGAGGTGCTGTCAACTCTCTTTCCCTATAGATATGAATGAGAAAATACCCTATAGATAAGAATGTCAAAGGTATGGGGTCTCGTTCCAGGACTCGTGAAGGAGGATGCTGGGAAGAGCATCTTAGGGGTTACAGGGACTAGCACAGGGGTTCCGCTTTAGGTAGGAAGAATAGAGAAGGCCTTTTGGCCTGAGGAGGTGACAGTCCCATGCCCCACTGTGCCTGCAGCTTCTCCCATGGTGCCTGCCTTTTCTAGTGTTTAATAGACCATATGCTGGAACAGGGACGAGAGACTGACTAAAGTTGGTTTCCTTGACCTCAGTCTCCCTCCAGCTTCCACCTCTTTTAGCTGCTCATAGTGAAATCCCCTCTCTCTGTCTCTGTTTCCTGTTTCCTGTTTCCTTTCCTTTCTTTTTCTTTTTCTTTCTTTCTTTTTTTTTTTTTTTCTGAGACAGAGTCTCGCTCTGTTGCCCATAATGTATTCCTGCTAAGGCTTTGATCCCCAGCAAGATGCTGAGATGGCTCTTGCTAAGATCTGACACCATCATTTGCAACTTTGAAGATTATCTGATGTGTCAACTCCTGGTTTCTTGTTTTCTTTCCACTTTCTCTTCTTTTCTTTCTTTCTTTCTTTCTTCCTTCCTCCTTCCTCTCTCCTCCCCTTCCCTTTCCTTTCCTTCCTTTCCCTTCCCTTCTCCTCTCCCCTTCCCTTTCCTTCCCTTCCCTTCCCTTCTCCCCCTCCCCTTCCCTCCCTTCCCCTCCTCTCCTTGCTTTCTTGCTTGCTTTCTTTGATAGTGTCTTGCTCTGTTGCCTAGACTGGAGTGCAGTGGCAAGATCATAGCTCAATGTTACTTCAAACTCCTGGGCTCAAGCATCTTCCCGCCTCAGGCTCCTAATGTTTTCTTTTCTTTACTGGGCTTCTAGGATGCCACGTTTTCCTGGTTTTCCTCCTACTTCTCTGCCTTCTCAATCCTTGCCTACCTTCTTTTCTGCTCAGCTACCAAAGGGCAGTGCCTCATAGCTCAGTCTTAAGGTCTCTTGGCTTCTGTCTACATTTGCTCCTTCTCTCCAAGGTGATCTCATCCACAATTATAGCTTGAGATGCCATTTTAGAATCATCATTCCTACACCTGTGTGCCTTGCTCTTGGAAGCTCTTGCATGGATCCAACTGTCCACTTGACCTCTGCACTTGGATGTCTAATTAGCCTCTTAATGCAGGAAGATCTAAAGCAACTTCTGTTTCTCTTCTCACTCAACCCTGAACCTGTTCCCACCCCACCCCAGTCTATGCTTCAGCTAAAGGTATGACCAGTCACCCAGTGACTTGGGCTAGAAGTCGAGAAGTGCCCCTGAATGCCTTGTTTCCCTCACCCCCACATTCGATCTATCTCCATGCCCTGGCTCTACCTTCGAAACCTGTTTTGACCCATCAGTCAACAAGTGGATAAAGAAAATGTTTTATATATACATATATATATGAAAATGTGATATATATACATATATATAAATGTGATATATATACATATATAAATGTGATATATATACACATATGTATATATAAATGTGGTATATATATATACACACACCATGGAATACTACTCAGCCATGAAAAGGAATGAAATAATGGCATTTGCAGCAACCTGGATGGAGTTGGAGACCATTATTCTAAGTGAATAACTCAAGAATGGAAAACCAAACATCTTATGTTCTCACTTCAAAGTGGGAGCTAAGCTATAAGGATGCAAAGGCATGATACAATGGGGACTTGGGGGGAAGGGTGGGAGGGGGTGAGGGATAAAAGACTACACATTGGGTACAGTGTGCACTGCTCGGATGATGGGTGCACCAAAATCTCAGAAATCACCGCTAAAGAACTTATTCATGTAACCAAACATCACCTGTTTCCCCAAAACTATTGAAATAAACAACAACAAAAAACAAACCTGTTTTGAATCCAGCCACTTGTCACCATCTTCAATGTTAGAGCCCTGGTCCAAGATACCATCATTTTTCACCTGGACCCTCTCAGGGGCTTGCTGACAGGTTCTCCTGCTTCCTCTCCTACTGCTTTTTCCACTATGGCATCCTCCTCCCAATCCTATCCTTTAAAAAGTGGCCTGAGTGTGCTTTCCGAAACATGAATATCCCAGAGGTATCCCGACACCTAGACTGGAACCTCAAACCTTCGTCATAGCCTGGCCCTGCCCACCTCCATGGTCCCATCCCCTGTAAGTTTCCCACCATCCACTATCCACATCTAGTCCCAAGGAGGTTTTAGACATATCAAGGTGAATCTCATTATAGGATCTTTGCACAAGCTGCTCTTACTACCTGGATGTCTCTTCCCCGGTGTCTTCAAATAATACCACCTCCAAGAGGCCCTCCTTAACTGCACATCCCATCATTCATCACTGTTCCATTACCTGGCTCAATTTTCTTCAGGCACTTATTGCTGTCTGGTAACATTCGTTATGGGTTTACTGTCTGTCTATAACAATAGATGAATGTCTATCTTGTATCCTGCTTTGTCTGGGCAGCTAGATCTGTGTCTGGCACACAGTAGAGGCTCAAAAAACATAGAAAGAAGGGAGAGAGGAAACCCCCAAAGTGTAGTTTAGGGCAATCTCTGGGGCTCCATAAGAGACCAAAAAGCCCATATGACAGCTGCCAATCTTGGTTCCTTAATCTTAAATGACTCCTGATGGGAGTGATGATTCACTATCTGGAATTCTTCTCTTCTCCCCAGTCTTTCCTTCTTCGTTCTTAAGAGTAGTCAGACTAATGTCCACCCAAGGCAACTGTTAACCTCCCAAACCCACAGCCACTATAGATAGATTTAGTGTGACCTTACAGAATTCTCCAGTATCTATCATTTTATACTTGAGTAACTACAAAGGCCAACATAGAGCGTTCCAAAAATGAAGAAACTTGGCTCTAAATGATATAGTGACAATAATAACTATATTTTGGGGCTATCGTTTTGTGCCAAAAAAGATTTTAAATGCTTTCAATGCATTTCCTCATTCGATCCTCAGAAACGCTCCTTGAAGTTGTTGAATCAATTATCTGTTACTGCATAAAAAACCACCTTAAAATGTAGTGGCTTAAAAGAACAACTATTTTTTTTGGCCCATAATTCTGTAGGCCAGCAATTTGGATTGGGCTCAGCTGGGTGGTTCATTCGCTGATCTCCCTGGGGTTGCTCATGTGCAATCATCCAGCAGCACAACTGGGGCTAAGATGGCCTCACTCATGTGTCTGGTGGCTGCTGCTGAAAGTCAGCTGGGACACGTGTCTCCAGCAGGCCAGCCTGGGCTTCTTTCACATGATGGCAGAGCTCCACAATAGCAAGCCTTATGACATTTTTCAAGCCGTCACTTGAGTTGTGTTTGTTGATGTCCCATTACCAAAGGAAGTCACATAGCCAAGCCCAGAGTCAATGTGAAAGGAGACCACACAAGGGAAAACTTGTTTATTAGGACCAGTACCAAGCAATCTACCACAGAGGTTAGAACTTTATTTTATTTTATTTATTTATTTATTTTTGAGACGGAGTCTTGCTCTGCCGCCCAGGCTGGAGTGCAGTGGCACGATCTTGGCTCACTGCAAGCTCTGCCTCCCAGGTTCACGCTATTCTCCTGCCTCAGCCTCCTGAGTAGCTGGGACTACAGGCGCCCACCACCACGCCTGGCTAATTTTTTCTATTTTTAGTAGAGATGGGCTTTCACTGTGTTAGCCAGGATTGTCTCGATCTCCTGACCTCGTGATCCACCTGCCTTGGCCTCCCAAAGTGCTGGGATTACAGGCATGAGCCACCGCGCCCGGCCAGAGGTTAGAACTTTATTATCCATGTTTTACAGGTGAGGAAACTGAGGATCAGAAAGGGCAAGAAATCTGCTCCATTACCCAGAGTTACTAAAGGCAGAGGGGAACAGAAATCCTTTGCTCACAGCCTCAGTATCTCCACTGTCTTCCAAAGGCAATTAAGTCCTCACCTGGAGGAACCAAGACACCGCCTTGTGAAATGGCAAGATGTCAAGTTCATCTTTGACTGAGCTCTCAGCTGCATGTCTTTTATTACAGTTAGCCAAAATTACATTAGCTTAAGTCACCTAACCTGTTTGTTCTGCAGATTTCTCATCTGTAAAGTGGGTTTGTAACAACGCTCTTACTTTTCCTTCCCTTCATTTCACAGGTGTTGATCTTGGCTGGGCAAGATGGGTGACTCACGTCTGTAATCCCAGCACTTTCGAAGGCCAAGGCAGGCAGATCACTCGAAGTCAGGAGTTTGAGACCAGCCCCGCCAACATGTCAAAACCCCATCTCTACTAAAAATACAAAAATTAGCCGGGCATGATGGCACACGCCTGTAATCCCAGCTACTCGAGAGGCTGAGGCAGAAGAATCGCTTGAACCTGGGAGGCAGAGGTTGCAGTGAGCTGAGATCGTGCCACTGCACTCCATCCTGGGTGACAGAGTGAGACTCTGTCTCAAAACAAACAGACAAAAAACCCACAGGTGTTGATCTTTTCTTATCATTTTGTTTATTGTCTGTTCTTGCTTACTAGCTTCTTGAGGGCTGGGGTTGTTGCCTAGCAGTTCTAGGCACTGCTGTATCTCCAGTGCCTAGAACAGTGCCTGGGATATACTAGGTGCTCAGTAAATATTTCCTGAATGAACAAATAAATAGATGAATGAGGGATTTGGAGTAGCAGGTGGGAGAAATCAGGGAAAAAAAATAGACTTGTGGCATGGAGAAATCTTTAAAGAAATCCCTAAAAGCCCCTGGCTTCTCTTTGCTGCCTAAAATGGATTGCAAACCACCACCCACTGGTCTTCACGCACAGTGATGAGCCGTGCCTCCCCGTAAAGTCTAACAGGTGGGGGCCAGGGGCTCACCTCTCTATGTGGTCTTCAGGGACCCAGTCCCCTTCTACCTGTGGCTCTGCCCTCCTCTAGGTCCTCAGTGTCCCCTCCATTCAGCTAGCAGATGGGGAAAGACGGAACAAGTCTTGCTCAGGGGATGGGGGAACTGAGGGAGTGGGAAGTATTTATGGGCCAGGTTTGAAAGAGTCTCACATCCTATTGGCTAGAACTTAGTCACATGGCTGCAGCTAGCTGCAAAGGAACCTGGGAAATGTGTTGCTTTGGCTCTGGAAGAAGAGGTGATAGGTTTGGTGAACATCTAGTCAGTCTCTGCCATGACTGCTGTTTCTAGCCCAGAGATTTGATAATCTTAGAATTTTCCATTTCATGGGACCAGGGGAGTGGGGAGGCACTCACTTTCCTTACACCTCTCTACTTTTCCTCACCCCCCTCACCTAATAGCATGTGTCACTTCTAATGTAATTTACACATTTATTAAGCCTCTTGTTTATTGTTGGTCTCTCCTCACCAGGATGTGCCTCCCAAGGGCAAAGGGCTTTCTGCAGTTCATTCACCACTGCCTCCTTCACACTGGGACGGTGCCTGGCATGTAGTAGGCACTCAATATGATATTGATCAAAGAAATTTAATTCCATATCTTGGTTATTGTGAATAGTGCTACAATAAACATGGGAGTGCAGATATATCTTTGATATATTGATTCCTGTTCTTTAAGAATTACTGGATCATATGGTAGTTCTATTTTTAGTTTTTGAGGAATCTCTATACTCTTTTCCATAGTGGCTATACTAATTTACATTACCACCAACAGTGTGCAAGCGAGCATTCCCCTTTTTCCCTATCTTTGCCAGCATCCATGATTCCCAGCCTTTTTGATGAAAGCCATTTTAACTAGGGTAAGATGATATCTCATTGCAGTTTTGATTTGCATTTCTTATGATCAGTGATGTTAAGCGTATTTTCATGTATCTGTTGGCCATTTGTAGGGTCTTCTTTTGAGAAATGTCTATTCAGATCTTTTGCCCATTTTTAAATAGAATTATTATTATTATTATTTTGCTATTGAATTGTTTGAGCTCTTGATACATTCTTGAGCTCAGGAGTTTGAGACCAGCCTGGCCAACGTGGTGAAACCCCGTCTCTACTAAAAATACAAAAATTAGCCAGGCATGGTGGCGGGCACCTGAAATCTCATCTACCTGGGAGGCTGGAGAAGGAGAATCACTTGAACCCAGGAGGCAGAGGTTGCAGTGAGCCGAGGTCGTGCCACTGCATGCCAGCCTGGGTGCCAGAGCAAGACTCGGTCTCAAAAAAAAAAAGTGTGGTTTGTATACACAGTGGAATATTATTTAGCCATAAAAAGAATGAAATCCTGTCATTTTCAGCAACATGGATGGAACTGGAGGCCATCATGTTAAGGAAATAAGCCAAGCACAGAAAGACAAATATTGCGTATTTTCACTCATACGTGGGAGTTAAAAGAAGTAGATCTCGGCTGGGCGCAGTGGCTCACACCTGTAATCCCAGCACTCTGGGAGGCCGAGGCGGGTGGATTGCCTCAGGTCAGGAGTTTGAGACCAGCCTGACCAACATGGTGAAATCCCGTCTCTACTAAAAATACAAAAATTAACCAGGTGTGGTGGCATGTACCTGTAGTCCTAACTACTCGGGAGGCTGAGACAGGAGAATCGCTTGAACCTGGGAGGTAGAGGTTGCAGTGAGCTGAGATCGTGACAGCACACTCCAGCCTGGGTGACAGAGCAAGACTCTGTCTCAAAAAAAAAAAAAAAAAAAAAAGTAGAGCTCATGAAGACGGAGAGTAGATTGGTGGTTACCAGAGGCCAGGAAAGATACAGGGGGAGGAGGAATGAAGAGAGCTTGATTGGTAGGTACAAATATACAATTAGATAGAAAAAATAAGACCTAGTGTTTGATAGATTAGTAGGGTGACTATAGTTAACGTTAATCTATTGTACATTTCAAAATAGCTGGAAGAGAATAATTACAGCATTCCTATCATGAAGAAAATGTGAATATTTAAGGCAATGGGCATCCAATTACCCTAATTTGATCTTTACAAACTATACGTATCAAATGATCACATGTACCCGCTCAAGTATGTACATCTATTACATATCAATAAAAAAAAATTCAATAATGAAAGAAAGTTGAATGAATGAGGGATGTGGAACCCTGGCTTGCAGTCCAATTTCCAGAGCACGTTAGGTCCTAGATAGATAGATGTCTCTCCTCTGCCTGCTGGGAAAGCCGTGGAGGGGCAGAATTCCCCACCCCAGGATGCCGGACCTTTCTGGACAAGGCCCCAGACTCCATTAGAGCCGAGAAGCTTCCTCTGGACAAGAGGTCATGGTGCCGTGTCACTTACATGCTGTCCTCTTCCACAGGGCAGCCTATTCTTCCAGTCTCTTTTCCACCCAGGATCTGATTGTTTTTCACGTAAGACACAGAAAGGAGGCCGGGCGCGGTGGTTCACGCCTGTAATCCCACCACTTTGGGAGGCTGAGGTGGGTGGATCATCTGAGGTCAGGAGTTCGAGACCAGCCTGACCAACATGGTAAAACCCCGTCTCTACTAAAAATACAAAAAATTAGCCAGGCGTGGTGATGTGGACCTGTAATCCCAACTACTTGGGAGGCTGAGGTACGAGAATCGCTTGAACCCGGGAGGCAGAGGTTGCAGTGAGCGGAGATCGTGCCACTGCACTTCAGCCTGGGAGACAGAGCAAGACTCTGACTCAAAAAACAAACAAACAAACAATAAAAACCACACACACAGAAAGAAGCCTGGTTCCTTTTTTCCAGTTTTGAAGGATAAACACAATTATCAGGTAGCAGCTTTTGAGTGTCCAAGCTTTAGAGTCATCCAAGGGACATTTCCTTTTTCTTTTCTTTTTCTTTTTTCTTTTTTTTTTTGAGACAGGGTGTTGTTCTGTCACTCAGGCTGGAGTGCAGTGGTGAAATCATACCTCACCATAGCCTTGACCTCCCAGGCACAAGTGATCCTCCCACTTCAGCCTTCTGAGTAGCTGGGACCACAGGCATGCATCACCACATCTGGCTAATTTTTTTTTAATTTTTGGTAGAAACAAGCTCTCACTATGTTGCCCAGGTTGGTCTTGAACTCCTGGGGCCAAGTGATCCTCCCGCTTCGGCCTCCCAGAGTTCTGGGATTATAGGCATGAGCTATTGCACCCAGCCCCGTCCCTCATTTTCAAGAGGAGACAAAGTTCAGAGAGGTGAAAGGACTTGGCCAAAATTGCCCTGTGCACTGGTGACTGAGAATGCCAAGCCGGCGCTGCACATCACATTCCCAGAGGAGAAGGCCTCTAGGTCCCCATCCCCACTCACTCCCCTCCTTGGATCAAGCACCAGGGATGCCTGTGGACAGGAGAAGGGGCAGCTGGGGTACAAGGAAAGAAGAGGTAGCTTGAAGTAGGGAGAGGAGATGACACAAGACCACTGTGAACTCCGGCTTGAAGCACACCTATGGGGTTTGGGGAACAAGGTGGAGGCAGCAGACAGAGATGGTGGCCCTAGGGTGTCTATGAGAGGATTCAGAGACACCCTAGGGCCACCGGCCTAGACTCTGGCCTCGGCTTGGCAGGTGGAGAAACAACATCGCCCTGGGCTGGGCGCGGTGGCTCACGCCTGTAATCCCAACACTTTGGGAGGTTGAGGCAGGGGGATCACGAGGTCAGGAGTTCGAGGGCAAGCCTGGTCAACATGGTGAAACCCCGTCTCTACTAAAAATACAAAAATTAGCCAGGCATGGTGGTGCGTGCCTGTAGTCCCAGCTACTCGGGAGGCTGAGGCAGGACAATCACTTGAACCTGGGAGGCGGAGGTTGCAGTGAGCCGAGATCGTGCCACTGACTCCAGCGTGGACAATAGAGTGAGAATCCATCTCAAAAAAAAAAAAAAGAAAAGAAAAGAAAGAACGTCACCCTGACTTGTCACTCCTGAGGCTTTTGAATCCTTATAGGGGCCCTACTCCTTCCCCAACCTCCGCAGAAGGAGCTCTCACCAGGAGCTGGGCCCACCCACCTCTGCAGCCCTGATGTAGCAAAGACACTAATAAGCATGAAGGGAGCAGGCACCCCTGGACCAGCAGTCAGGGAACCCTGGCTCCATCATTTCAAATCTTGACTAAGCACCTACTGCATGCCAGGCACTGTCTTCCCAAGCCTGGATGTGTAACTCACAGGCTTTCTATTCCAATGGGGGAATCTGCTGATGAACAAGGAAGCAAAGACATGATCAAGATTATTTCAGATGGTGACAGTGTGGTGAAGACAATAAGCACAGGAAGGGGACAGAAGGGGCCGGATGTGTCAGGACTGCTTCAAGTGGAGGGAGAGGGTGGAAACAAGGAGGGCCTCTCTGAGGAATGACATTGGAGCTGAGATCCGTGTGTGGGAAAGAAGCAGCCACACAAAAATATGAGGGCCGAGTAGTCCTGGCATAGGAATGACAAGTGCTAAGGCCCTGAGGCAGAAATGAGCTTGGAGTGTTGGGAGAAAAATGCTGGGTGAGGACGGTGGGAGGAAGAACAGAAAGTGAAGCCCTATCCTTTTGCTGTTAACTCCCTTGAGGTTTGAGTACAACCCACTTCCTAACTTGGCCTCTAAACTCTGGGCATCTGTGAGCTTAAATAAACCTTTCTCTGGGAGGCTGAGGTGGGAGGATCACCTGAGCTCAGGAGGTCAAGGCTGCAGTGAATTATGATCACGCCACAATACTCCAGTCTGGGTGACAGGGCAAGACCCTGTCTCAAAACGAACAAACAAACCTTTCTTGGACAAGTTTCTACTTTTATTTTAACAGTTTTTGTAAAGGAAACAGGACATTCGTCAAGGAGTCAGCTAGCTTAAATTCTGGCCGCAGCTTTTTCAGTAGCAATTTGTATGACTTTGGACAAGTCCCTTTTCTTATCTGTAAACCAGGGGATTGGATCACAAGTTCTAAGGGCTCTTCCAGCTGAGACATGGGGCACCAGGAATTCATGTAAAACTCTTCTTGATCCTATGTATTTTCAGCTTGATATGTTCTGCTTATGTCTGCTCCTTCTTGCAGGAAGCACGCATGCAACAATCACGTAGTAGACATTTTTGAGAACAGGAGACAATCGGAACATACATTAAGAGGGAACGGTCTAATACATTGTGCAGCTATTCAAAGAAGAATGAGCTGGGCGTGGTGGCTCATGCCTGTAATCCCAACACTTTGGGAGGCTGAAGTGGGTGGATCACCTGAGGTCAGGAATTTGAGACCAGCCTGGCCAACATGGTGAAACCCCATCTCTACTAAGAATACAAAAAATTAGCCAGGTGTGGTGGCATGTGCCTGTAATCCCAGCTACTCAGGAGGCTGAGGCAGGAGAATCACTTGAACCCGGGAGGTGGAGGTTGCAGTGAGCCGAGATCACACCATTGCACTCCAGCCTGGGCAACATATTCATGAACATGGGGAAAAGTGGAGGAGGATAAACTCCAGGCTGTGAGAGGAGTAACTTAGGAGTGTGTGTGTGCTACGGGTGTGGGGAATGAGGAATGGGGAATGGAGAGGGGATAAGGGAAGGTTATTCATTTTTTATTTTTGAGATGAAGTCTCGCTCTGTCACCCAGGCTGGAGTGCAGTGGCGTGATCTCAGTTCACTGCAACCTCTGCTTCCTGGGTTCAAGTGATTCTCCTGCCTCAGCCACCTGAGTAGCTGAGATTACAGGCACCCACCACCACACCCGGCTAATTTTTGTATTTTTAGTAGAGATCGGGTTTCACCATTTTGGCCAGGATGGTCTTGAACTCCTGGCCTAAAGTGATCCGCCCTCCTCAGCCTCCCAAAATGCTGGGATTACAGGTGTTAGCCACTGTGCCTGGCCTATTTTGTCTTAGTATTTGCTGTTTCACTGGTTTCAAACAAAAATGTGTTGCTTTTTTTTTTTTTTTTGTGCTTTTATCATCTTAGAAGGAGAACTTAATACATCTCTAAGGAGTCAAGCTGCCAGGGGAAACATCCTTGCAGACATCTACTGGCCACTGACAGCATACCTTGCTCCCTGGGCCACACCTAACCCCATGGTTGTCATCCCCCATGTATGCTTCCCCAAGGAGATCAGGAGACATCCCAGGGCCCAGCCAGCCATCTGGGCCTGCGTGTATCAGTGGAATTTTGGCAGAAGGTTGATGTAATGCAAGCTCTCTAGGTCTTCTATCCTTTGAGGATTGAGAGAAGTAGAGGAATGGGAGTGAGCAGAACCCAGTCTGATTTTACAAGGATGTCCCCCTCCCCTCTCTGCATCCCCACCCCCATCTCAAAGGCTGCAGAATGATCACATTCTGTATTCCTGTGGGATATGAGATCACAGGCATGATTATGGCATGAGATGCTCCAGCTGCAAGGTTCTTCTGGGACCTTCTAGCCATTCCTTTGACTGCAGATGGGGATGTACCCACCACCCCTGAGGCCCATCATGGGGGGCGGTCGGGGGTGGGGGAGCTTATTGTTGGAGCTTGGCCAGCTGTTTCCCGGTGATGTTCTCCCTCCAGGAAATCCCTGCAGATGCCCATTTTAAGCTTCCCTCACTGCAGTCTGTGCTTGCTTCCTTGGCAGGGGGCTTCAGCCTCCAAGCAAGAGCCTTTAAGGAAGGCCAGTAAGTAAGTTACTGCCTCACTCCAGCTTTCTTGTCTTAGAGTCAGTAAGGAATCATTCTGCCCCTACCTCTTGGATAGTACTTGATGCTTTTCAAAGTCCTCTTGCATTCCCTCTCCTTTGAATGGCCCCTCAGAATGATCCTTGAGGCAGGAACAGCGGGGATTATTACCTCCATATTGCAGAGAAAATGGAGACTGAAGCAGTTAAGGGAGTTGCCCATGTCCCAGAATGAGTAGTAGGCGGTCCCAGGTTCGGGCTCCAAGATCAGCCTGTTCAGCTCATGCTGCATCCTCAGAAGTGCCCCTCCCGGTTGAAGGTCCCCTAAGAGATTGGCTAAGTAAGCCCAATTCATAGCCAATGAACTCATTTCCCAGTTGCAGCTGAGTGGATCAGGGTGGACCCCTGATCTGGGGACCACCCAGAGGCTGGGCTGTGACCACCAGGTGACCACCAATCAGCCTCATGCCTTAGCACTTGAACAGAGGTCACAGGCTTTGGTTGGACTGAACTGAAGAGGTGTGTGGAGTCAGCATCAGAGCCACGTGCTGATGGAAGGCACAAGGGGACGGGTACTCTGAACAGGGAAGGAGGAAGGAAGCCAGTCCATAATGTGGAGACTGGGAAAGTGTGTGAGGGGCAGCCAGGTGGCCCCAGACAGAGAAAGGCCTGGGGCTTTCAGATCCCACGTGCTGGCTGGATGTCTTATAATCAGGCAATGTGATGGGTCCCCTGAAGCCTTTCAGTGACTACTTTTTCAGAACTGGGACCAGATGAGAATAGCAATCATGGGGTTAAGATTCTCCCAGACACAGGGACAGACCGCCCAACTCACACTGGCCTAAGCAAAAAGCGCAACTTTTTTTTTCTTAGACGGAGTCTAGCTCTGTCGCCCAGGCTGGAGTGCAGTGGCGCGATGTCGGCTCACTGCAACCTTCTCCACCTGCTGAGTTCAAGCAATTCTCCTGCCTCAGCCTCCCAAGTAGCTGGGACTACAGGTGCATGCCACCACACCCGACTAATTGTTTGTATTTTTAGTAGAGATGGGGTTTCACCATGTTACCCAGACTGGTCTCAAACTCCTGACCTTGTGATCCACCCATCTCAGCCTCCCAAAGTGGTGGGATTACAGTCGTGAGCCACCGTGCCCAGCCAAAAAGTGCAACGTCTTGGCTCAAGGAGCTGAAAACTTCAAGGGCAGATCTGGACAGGCTCAGTGGGATCCAGGGGCTCATGCAGTGCCATTGGACATAGTCTCTGCTTTCCACTGTGCTGGCCTCCTTCTCAGGTGCCCTCCCCTCATGTTGGCAAGAAGGTTGCCAGCAGCACCAGACACACCTCCCACCTTCTCAGCAACTCCAGCAGAAATTGAGCGTCTCTTTTCCCAACAGTTTCAATTAAGTCCCGCTGGCTCTGGTTGTGTCATACAGCCTATCCTGAACCAATCTCTGTGGCTAAGGAGATGGGCTATCCTGATCCGTTAGGACTGAATCAGACATCACCTGGATCACATGTCCTGCCCTGGAGCCCATGTGGAGTCACCTCCGTTGGACCTCCAGGGACTGGGAGTAGGAAATGGGTGATTTCACCAGAAACATTAGGGTAGTGGGTTACAAGGAGAGTGTGTTAGTCAAGGTAAGCAACGTGCTTGCAATAAACAACCACAACATGTTAGTGACCGAACACAATACAACTTATTTCTGCTTCCAGTGGTGGCAGGGGCAGGGCTCTACTTCATGTGGTCACTCAGAGACCCAGGCTGATAGATGGGCTCTGTCATCTTTAACATGTAGCTTCCAAGAAAATCCTAGGTGATAACATCTAGAGGCAGGCAAGGAAATAAAGATCATGCTTTTTCTTTTTCTTTTTCTTTTTTTTTTTGAGACAAGGTCTTGTGCTGTTGCCCAGGCTGGAGTGGAGTGGTGCAAACATAGCTCACTGAAGCCTGGAACTCCCAGGCTCAAGCCTCCCAAGTAGCTAGGACTACAGATGCATGCCACCATGCCTGGCTAATTAAAAAAAAAATTTTGTAGAGATGGGGTCTCACTATGTTGTCCAGGCTGGGTAGGTCATGCTTTTTAGGATCCAGGCCTGAGAGTGGCATGCATCAATTCTATTGGCCAGAACTCCGTCACATGATCACACCTAAGTAGGAGGGACCAGGAAGGGAGTTTGGTTGTGTGCCTGAGAGGAAGAGGAGGCAGTCTCCAGTGTAAAGGAGGAATGGATGGATGCTGCCCAGACAAACACAAGAGTCTTCCTGACTTTCTAGTACAGCCCAGCTCCTTTGGACTTTTCGGTCAAGGGTTCCTGGCACGTAGGAGTATTGGCCCCATCTTCCCAACTGAGGTCTCCTCTTTGACGGCTTGGACTTCAGCTTCCCCACCGATCCTTGCCCACCCAACCGCCTTCCAACTGTTAAGGGCTGATGCACATCAGTCACTCTGGATTAGCTGACAAAACCCATATGTGCTCTGAGGACAGGCAGGAGTGGAGCAAAGGGTGAGAGGGAACAGTTTTGGCCTGGAGACCTGCCAGATCTGCATGCCAGCCACCCGATGCTTTTCTGCTGTTCTTCCCCTAAGCCAAAAGCATCCTCTTCTTCACCTGAAGTTCAGGGCAAATGGACCAGGAAGCAGACCCATTTGTCACAAAGAAGCGGCATCCCAGCCATTGGAAGACCTTGGCAGGGAAGGTTGTGTGCCAACATTGCTGTTGGCAGCAGTAAATCCTTCATGCAATCATTCATTTATTCACCTCTCAGTGTGTACTGTGTGCCTCGCATTGTGCTGGGTGCTAAAGCAAAAAGGATACACAAGAAGTATAAGATATTGTATCTACTGATCTGGTGTCAAAGCACCCAGGCTTATGTAGGTTGAACAATGAGAGAGAAATTGTTAATAAGGCAATCTATTGGTTTAGAGATGAATGGAACTTTAGGTGAGTAACAATCCTGGGCATAAACAAACAACAAATTTAATGTCTCGATGACCAGCCACCTGATCTCCTCATCCTAGAGCTGTCTGTTAGGAGAATTCCAGGTAAAACGATAATAATAAATGGAAGAGCAATAGCCATCACTTACGGTGTGCATCTGGCACTGTGCTATATAAATTATCCAAATGTAATACCTTACATCATTCTCCCAACAGCCGTATACAATGAAGACTCAATTAAAAAACTGGCTGGCTTGGTGGCACATGCCTGTAGTCCCAGCTACTTGGGAGGCTGAAGTGGGAGAACTGCTTTGGTCTAGGAGGTCGAGGCTGCAAAGGAGCCATGATCGTGCCACTGCACTCCAGCCTGAGACCTTCTCAAAAAAAAAAAAGTATTTAATTGCGCTAAAAATTTTAAAAATTAACATTAAAAAAAATAAAAGGCTGGGTGCAGTGGCTCACGCCTGTAATCCTAGTACTTTGGGAGGCCGAGGTAGGTGGATTGCTGAGTCCAGGAGCTCGAGACCAGTCTGGGCAACATGGTGAAACCCTGTCTCAAAAAAAAAAAAAAAAAAAAAAGAAAAAAAACCACACACACACACACACACACACACACACACACACACACACACACACCATAAAAAATTCGCTAGACATGGTGGATGGTGGCAGCATGCACCTGTGGTCCCAGCTACTCAGGAGGCTGAGGTGGGAGGAGAGCTTGAGCCCAGGAGGAAGAGTTTGCAGTAAACTGAGATTGCACCACTGCACTCCAGCCTGGGCAAAAGAGAGAGATCCTCTCTCAAAAATAAATATATAATGGCCAGGTGCGGTGGCTCACACCTGTAATCCCAGCACTTTGGGAGGCTGAGGCAGGCGGATAACAAGGTCAGGAGATAGAGACCATCCTGGCTAACACGGTGAAACCCCGTCTCTACTAAAAATACAAAAAAAATTAGCCGGGCATGTTGGCGGGCGCCTGTAGTCCCAGCTACTCCGGAGGCTGAGGCAGGAGAATGGCGTGAACCTGGGAGGCGGAGCTTGCAGTGAGCTGAGATCGCACCACTGCACTTCAGCTTGGGCGACACAGCGAGACTCTGTCTCAAAAAATAAATAAATAAAAATAAAAAATAAATAACTCACCTATCCCTATCCCTATTTTCATTTTTTTTCTTTCTTTTTTCTTTGAGACAGAGTTTCGCTCTTGTCGCCAGGCTGGAGTGCCATGGCACCATCTCGACTCACTGCAACCTCCGCCTCCTGGGTTCAAGGGATTCTCCTGCCTCAGCTTCCTGAGTAGCTAGGATTACAGATGCCCAGCACCATTCCCAGCTAATTTTTGTATTTTTAGTAGAGACGGGGTTTCACCATATTGGCCAGGCTGGTCTCAAACTTCTGACCTCAGGTGATCTGCCCACCTCGGCTTCCCAATGTGTTGGGATTACAGGCGTGAGCCACCGTGCCCGGCCCTCTATTTTCAAAGTCGGAAAACCAAGGCTCCAAAAGCCTTCAGGAACCTGCCCAAAGTTATACAGACATTGGGTGGCAGTGCTGGGGTTGGCATTCAGGTCTCTCTGATGCCAAAGCCGAGGTTTGACTGCCTGTGTGTTACATTATAAACCGCACCTGTCATGACGGTCCCCTCAACACCCTTTCCAAGTCTGCAACTCCCAGCCAGTGTGTCTGAAGGGTGGCTGCCCACTGCCAGGAGCTGCTGTTACAATTTTGAGTGTCAGCTGTGTTTTGGGGGCTGGATAAGTCCAGAGAGTCAGGGTACCCAGTCCTGAGACTGTAGAACCTGGAGCAGACCCAAGGGACAGAGGCTTCAGCTTCCTCCTCTGGCCTCATCTCTTCGGCTGCTGATCTTCTCCCCCACAAATAGCCATCCGTCTGAACAGGGCGTATGAGGACAGTTCTCCTTCAGTATCTCCAGGCAGAAGCTTGGCAGAGGAAATGCTTCTCCACCCACTTGGTTTCCTGTCCTATGATGGCTCTTCCATCTGGTTCATTCATTCCTGTATTCATTCAACAAATCATTACTGAGCACTGACTCTCTGCCTTGCCATGGACAAGGTACTGAAGGAGGTGGGGAAATGAACATGGATCAATACGAAAGACGAGACACTCATATACAAAGAGTAGTCCAAGCTGGGCGCGGTGGCTCAGACCTGTAATCCCAGCACTTTGGGAAGTCAAGGCGGGCGGATCACCTGAGGTCGGGAGTTCGAGACCAGCCTGCCCAACATGGAGAAACCCTGTCTCTACTAAAAATACAAAATTAGCTGGGCATGGTGGCTCATGCCTGTAAACCCAACTACTCGGGAGGCAGAAGCAGGAGATTCACTTGAACCTGGGAGGCAGAGGTTGTGGTGAGCTGAGATCGTGCCACTGCACTCCAGCCTGGGCAACAAGAGCAAAACTTCATCAAAAAAAAAAAAAAAAAAAAAAAAAAGAGTAGTCCAAGGTAAACATGATGAGGACCATGAGAAAGCACAGACCAACAAGACCTGTGTGAGGTTGAGGTTGAGAGGAGAGATCACATCCAGATTTGGCAGGAGTGGAGAAGAGGTATGTGTTAGTAAGTTTCAAAGAGGTGAAATTTGTGCTGGGCCTTGAAGAAAGGGTAGGATTTGAAAATGTGTAGCTAAAGGGAAGGACATTCCAGGGAGGGAGAACAGCGTGAGCAAAGGCCTGAGGTGGGAACGTGTGGTGATGTCTAGGGAGCAGTGAGCTGTTCCGCGTGGCAGGGTTGCAGGGTGGAAGTAGAGCAGTGGGAGCCAGGATGGCACTGGTGGCTGGGCTGACTTTATTTTGTGAGCTATGTGCTGTGTCACATGTCACATTGGCCACAGCCCACCCCTGCTGGAGTGGGATCAGAAGAGACGGAGATAGGTCCCAGAGGTCCCAGGAAGAGTCTTGACCCCAAATTGCTGGCCTCCCTGGGGACACCCTTCTGCATCATCCTTGGCTGCCTGTCATTCTTGAAAAGCCCTCTGTTGCCGCCGCGTTTGAGAATCTCTGACCTGCTCCAATAATACTTCTCACACCTAGTCAGCCCAACAGGCCCTAGAGCCTCAGGGCTGGAAGGGAAGGTTTAGAGAGCCTCTTGCTCAGTGATTTCAATTGTTTCAAAAATCTGTAAATCCCATTATTCAAATGGACTCATAGAATCCCCAGACAGGTAACACATACTGCTCTAGTTAAAGCGAGGCGGGGGTCTCCCTACTCCATTTCCCCATCACTCCCCACAGCAGCTCCTGGGGCACCCCTGAGAAGTCTAGGACAGGAGGAATGTCGTTTGAAAAGCACTGGTCTGCTCCATTCTCATTTTCATTTTACAGGTGGGGAATCTGACATTGGGAGGAGAGACACAGGGGCTGAACCACCTGACCACTAATTCGGGGTTCATTTTGGTATCTTGTGCCTAAGATCAGGGAGAATGTTGAGTAAATGCATAGACAAAGGCATGTGTGGGTGCCCAGGAGATGCCCCCTCTCCCCTGGGTAGCAATGCCACCACGGGCCTTGTGGCTGGAGCAGTCCCCTACGCCCAACTCTGCAGCCCAGCAGCGGGAGCTATACAGGCTCACCAGTGGCTCACCTGACCCTCAGTCCATCATACACACTGAGAATGCAGATGTGCTCAGCAAAACTTACAGCCACTCTCACCAGGGAGGCAGGAGTTGGAGTGGTTGTTCTTCACATGTACTGGGCATTTTATTATTTACTGAAGGGTTTTCACAGCCATGATTCTACTTAATACTTATACCAGCCGGTGAGGTTGTAAGAGGAGATGCTATCCCCATTTCACCTTTGTTTAATAGGAGGCACAGAGAGGAGTCCTCTCACCCAGGCCTTCTAATTCCAGGTCTAGAGAACATAGCGTGAGTGAGGGAAGGCGAGAGGCTGTGTGTGTGTGTGTGTGTGTGTGTGTCTGTGTGTTGAGAGGCTGCCGGTGAACAACGGAAGAGCAGGGGCTGAGGCTGGGAGCTGGCAGCAGGCTTGTAAATCATTATTATTATTACTACTATTTTAGAGACAGGGTCTAACTCTGTTGCCCAGGCTGCAGTGGCGGTGATGATAGCTCACTGCAGCCTCAAACTCCCGGGCTCAATCAATCCTCCTGCCTCAGCCTCCCAGAGTGCTGGAATTACAAGCATGAGACACTGTGCCTGACCTGTGAATTATTATACAGTAACTGCTCCTTTAATTATATGCATCTCATTGCAAATGTAAGAGCAAGAGAGGGCCTCCTGGACCTCCCAGTGCCTAGCAGTTCGAAACTATCTGCTGCATGAATTTGATTGAAGAGGGCATGCCGTGATCTTGTTTCTAGACAGGTCTGGGGTTGTCTCAGCCACATCAGAGGCTGCCTGCAGCCCATCGTCCATTCCTAGGTCTTACATCTTCCCACTTCCGTTTTTCTGCAAATGGGGAGAAACACCAACAAAAGTCCTGGCAACATGTAAGAAGGAGGCAAAGAACATGCAGGGAGGCCCTGCCCAGTGGGTTCTTGTTACTCTGGACATATGGAGTCAACCCCAGCTTTTCCCTCCAAAGCCCCTGACACTGCCTGGATTCTGCAGGGTGAAATGCCTGGGTTCTGCAGGGTGAGACGGCAGTGCTGTCCTATTTCCTGGCAGTTGCAGGAAACAGAACCATTCTGATTACTGGCAATGGCGGAGGCCACTCTTTTGAGTTCTGAGTAACTCTGGGATCAGTGCCCAGCTCAGCACAGGAATAAAGAAGATATCCAGCTGAAGACTCACACTGCCACAGGGTCTGGACAGGTTTTTCCAGAGCCTCTGAAAGAAAACTGGGCTGCTCACCACATTCTCTTACAACCTGCTCGCACTCATCCCTGAGAGCACACACACAGTCTATACCATATGCTCTGAAATACACATGAACCTTCTCAGAGATATGAATACATGCTTATGAGAAGCCCCCAGCCCAGTGCTCCCTCCCTGCCAAATGTCCCAGACACCTGCATCTGAGTGCCCAGGCGTACAGACATCCTGGGAGGCTGAGACAGACAGCCGACGTCCCTCCAGGGAGCCTGGCACATGTGATTTTCAGACAAGGCATAAGTTACTGCCTCCTTCTCTGACATTAAGGAACAGCTTCCTGGCAGCAGTCCCCAGATCCCGTCCTAATCCTGGGGTTGGCTCTGGCTGCTCAAAAGAACTACTTTCAGGTTTCTGATGGTAACCAGGGGGAGCTATACAGGCTCACCTGTGGCTTATCTGATCTTCAATCCATTTTTTCACCCCCAGCAGGCCTGGCATTAAACACAACACAGGAGTAGTGACAGGGCTGTAAAAGCAGGTCCACTTTATTTACAATGATCAGTGACACATAGATCTTTGGGCTTTTTGTGGTCTTGCGGAGACACCTGGGTGGGGGGCCCACTCCCTTGGTTGGTTAACACACCCTCCTTCCTCATCCTGCTGGGAGAATCCACTGCTGTCAGGACCCACCTGCTCTGAGGAGCCTCGACTTGGGAGCAACTCTGCTGCGTCTACTTTCTAGGTAGTCAGTGTCCTAAGCACCTGCCAAAGGTTCTCCTTACCTCCTTTGGGAGCCCCATCTTGGTCCTGGTTGTGGGGCACCTAGGAGGGGGCCACACACATCCGTCTGCAGAGAGATGGGATGGGCAAGGAATCCCCTGGGGGTGCCAGGGCAGAGGCGTGGGCAGCGGCCTGGTGCAGGGCTGTTACCTGGCCTAACCTGTTGTTTGAACGTCGGTAGGACTCTCCCAGTGTTCTCCAGAGGCAGAGCAGTGAAGTCACAGGAGTCCTCCAAGGCGTAGAGAGGCGGGGCTTGGGCGTGAGAATTCCTCCCTGTGTGTATAGCAGCGGACTCTGCCCACCGCCGGCCCGGCCCCAATTCTCCCCGGCCGCTAGATTCTTCTCCTACAAGAATGCCTCTCCAGGGTCATTTTTTTTTGCACAGGGAAGAAGGCTAGAGGGACCAAGGGCAAGGTCACTGCCTCCACCCTGCCCAGGGTCCAAACCCACCCCTCCTGATTTCTTGAAACTTCTCCTCCCTTCTCTTGAGAGGATGTTTTGGGAGGGAATGAGGAGGTCTGTGGGCAAAGAGACTAGGTGTAAAGCATAGGGGGCGGGTCCACAATGGCAGGCCCGGGAAACTCCGGGTGTGGGGAGAGAGGAACACCCCCCAATAACCAAGGGCGTATCAGGCATCACCCTGAGCCAAAATGAGGCGGCGGGGCGGACAACACGGAGACCACGGGGGAGACACGGGCCGGGGGCCGGGGCAGCCGAAGCGGGCAGGGCCGGGGTTGGAGGCTGTGAGTCTGGCGGGTCGGGCCTGGGGCTGCGAGTCCTGTCCTTCGGCTCTCAGCGCGCCTGGCCCGCCCGCTCCCTGGGGCCGGCCTTCCAGCGGCGGGGCTGCGCGGGCGGCGGGGGCGCCGGGGCGCCCCGCAGGCTGCACGTCCTCAGCTCCCGGGCCAGGCTGAGCACCTCCGGCCGCTCGCGCTGGGGGACTCCTCCCTCTTGCTCCTCCGCGTCGTCCTCCTCCTCCTCCTCGTCCTCCTCCTGGATGCTGCTGAGGCGCGGCGCCCCGCGGCTGCGCTCGCTCGGCGGCGGCCGGTAGGCGCACTTGGCATTGAGCAGGCGGCGCAGTGGGGCGCGGGGCACCGAGGCGGCGGCGCCCCCAGCGCGGAGATGCTGCTGGCGCACGTGGCGCGCGTCGCTCTGGCGCTGCAGGCGCTTGAAGTCGCTGAAGGCCGCCAGCGCGGTCTGGCGGAGCAGGCGGGCCAGGGCGCGCGCCTTGTGCGCCCGCGCCAGCAGCACAGCGTGGCAGCGCAGCACCACGGCCTTGTGGCGCGCCTGGTGGCGGTAGACCCAGGCGAAGACGCGCGGGTGGCGCCCGTCCGCCGTGCAGTAGGTGATGCGCGGCAGCAGGTAGGCGTGCGCCGGCCTGCGGCCCCCCGAACCCCCGGCGGCGCTGCGCTCGCACGGCTGCATGCGGATGCCGTGCGGCCCCAGCGTCAGCTTCATCTTAGTGCCCCCGCCAGGCCCGCAGCGAGCCCAGATCTTGCCCACGGCGTCGTCGGTGCAGCCGTCGCCCTTGGCGTGCAGGGTGACGGCGTTGCCCAGGTACCACACGGTGTAGGTCGGGTCCTCCTTGTTGAGCTCCACTTTCTGGCGCCGGCTGCGGAACACACGGCCCAAGCGCTCCAGCGGCCAGTCGGGCAGCAGGTCCGGGCAGGAGCGCAGGAAGCTGGAGAGCAGCGACGTGTAGGCGAGCCCCGGACTCAGGCTCTTCGCCTTGCACTTGGCCTCGTCCTCCACCAGCACGAATTTGTTACGTCTCCAGGGCAGCATCGCGGCGGCGGCGAAAGGGGCTGGGGGCGCAGGGAGCTCACCGGCGTCCTGTCGGGAGACCGGGGGAGGGAAGGCGCGCAGAAGTCCACCGCCCTGGAGTCGCGAGAAGCTGGGCAGGGCCGGGGACAGTCGTTGCCTGGAGATGCCCAGTGCCAGGCAGGGCTAGCTTCGCAGATGCCCGGTGCCCAGCCGGGCCAGCAGCCGAGGTGCGGACGGCGGCCGAGTGGCTGAGGACCGCTTTTCCCGGGAGTGTCTCCAGCCGTCTGGGAAGCGAGGAGGGGCCGGGGCTGGGGGTGAGGTGGGCTGGACGTCCACCAAGCCCAAACGGTGGGATTTCCGCGGTCCCTGCCGCCGCAATTTGGGTCGCCGGAGCCGCTGGCGGCTGCTTAGTGGGGCAGACCGAGAGCGCGGCTGCGGTGGGGACTCCTTCAGGCGTCGCGGCTCCACCTCCCCGGGCTGCCTACATCACCGGGCGGGACCGCTAGCTCTCTTGTCCCCTCCCCTTGCCCTCTTCTCCCCTCCCCCCACGCAGGCTCGCGCTGCCCGGGACCCTGCACAGGCGCGGTGGAACGGGTTTAATCATTATTAGTGGAGGGGTGGGGGTAGAGAGGGCTGTTAAGTACTAGGAATCCCCTGAAATATACAGGAGGGCTTCGTCCATGCTAATTTATTTGGCCTCGCTACTGGTCTCCAAGCTCCCCTTGGCGCATTCGGGAACCCCCGCGCCCCACGATTCCTGCTGCCCCTCACCCACAGCATGTCATTACCCCCATCTCTGAGAGTGGGAGTTAGGGGGTGTTCCTGAAGGGGCTGGCCTGGCGCACTTTGCCTCGTCTGCACAGCACAAAGCCAGCCGAGGTGGCCGAGCAGTGCAGTGGAAAAGTACTGTCGCTTGGTGAAGCTTTCTCCCAGGTTCTTCCAAGGTCGTGGGCCAGACCGCTGGGCCTGAGCTGAGAGACCTGGCCGCTGCTGCAGTGGCTGGCAGTGCCCCTCGCCTGGTCTGAAGCAGGGAGGGTACTCTTGGAGGGTGGGGGAAACTTTCAGAACAGGGTCTGTGGTAATTGCAGTTGAAAAGCTCCTTCTGGCGAAAGGGCAGCCTCTGGGCGCATGATTAAATAAACTCCTATTTGTGAACTCCTGTGAGTTCCCAGGGGTTTAGCATTCATTTTCTTATTTAATTCTTGGAACAAGCCCAGGCTCAGTTAAATGACTGGCCCAAGGTCTTCAGGCTGGTAGGAGGTAAAACTAGGGCTCCACTCAGGCCCTGGTGACCCAGGGGCTGCCCCCAACCCTCCATGCTCCCCGGGACCTCCTAATGAGAAGTGATGAGGACCTGCTAGGGAGGAAGTTCTGATATACTGAGAGACAGTTGTCCCTGGGTGTGGGGACACAGCTCCCTCTTTCAAGATTGGTTAAGCCACAAGCTCCCTAGAACTCCAGGACTGCTCTGATATGACCAGGAGTCTTGTTGCCTTGGGCTCTCACAGAGTCAACACTCAAGCTCTTTCCTTGGCTTCTGAACAGGTCATCTGGGGTGGTGTCCAGGTCAGGAGTGAACCCAGGTCTGGGCTGGAGCTGAATTGAGAGCTTGGGCTGGGCCAAGCCAAACCACATGACCTCCGAGAGTGGGAGCAGTGGGAAGATTTGGGAAGACAGTGTGTGCTATCTCGGCCAGCAACATCCTGCCAGTGGGTAGGAGTGAGTGTCTGGGTCAGAATCCCTGGGGGAATATAAGTAAAATAACAAACCACAACAAGAAAATAATATGCAAATAAAGAACAGGAAATTACTCCGAATTGCAGTATCTTTGGTTTGGAGGGTGCCTCCCAGATGATCTGGTTGGTTGTAGCCTCGGTTCATTTTTAATATGGAAATATCTTTATCACCTTTTGCTGATTATAAAAGGAAGATGTGCTTGTGGTAAAAATTCACAGAAGAAGGACATGAAAGTAAGTCTCCTACTGTTCCCCACCCTGCAGATGTGGTCTCATTTCCCAGGGGGAGAGAACAGGCTCTGAGAAGCCAGTGATCATTGCAGTGCTTTCCATGGCGCTACATTTGTCTCCTGGGCCAGTGGAGACATTAACTCAACCAAATCCCTTTATGGAAAGGACTTCATGTGGTTTTGACCTGAAAGTCAGTTCACTGTAAAATTCTGCCGTATCCTGTCTTGAGTCTCCTAGGGCTGTTCTCTGGACCTTGCCACTGGGGGTTCCCTCTCCCCGCTGGCAGTGGGCTGGTGGGAGTGCTCAGAAGCAAAGCCTCAGCTTGCAAGGCAGAGAAAACTGCAAGCTTTTTTTTTTTTTTTTTTTTTTTTTTTTTTTGAGACAGGGTCTTGCTCTGTCTCCCAGGTTGGAGAGCAGAGATGACTGCTCACTGCAGCTTGACGTCCCAGGCCCAAGCTATCTTCCCATCTCAGCCTCTTGAGTAGCTGGGACCATAGGCATGCACCACCATGGCTGGCTAGTTTTTAAAATTTTTCTGTAGAGGCCGGGCATGATGGCTCATGCCTGTAATCCCAGCACTTTGGGAGGCCGAAGTGGGCGGATCACCTGAGGTCAGGAGTTCGAGACCAGCCTGACCAACATGGAGAAACCCCGTCTCTACTAAAAATACAAAAATAGCCCGACGTGGTGGCGCATGCCTGTAATCCCAGCTACTCGGGAGGCTGAGGCAGGAGAATCGCTTGAACCCGGGAGGCGGAGATTGCGGTGAGCTGAGATCGCATCATTACACTCCAGCCTGGGCAACAAGAGCGAAACTCTGTCTCAAAAAAAAAAAAAAAAAATCTGTAGAAACAGGTTCTATGTTGCCCAGACTGATCTCAAACTCCTGGACTCAAGCGATCCTCTCGCCTCAGCCTTTTATATTGCTAGGATTATAGGTATGAGCTACCAGGCCTGGCTGAACTCCAGCTGTTGATGGAAGGAAGGTGTAACCAGCCCCTTAGGCTTGCTAGAGTTAACATATAAAGACACAGAAAATGTCACTAAATGTGTTTTGGAGAAACATTTTTTTTTTTTTGAGACAGCGTCTCACTTTGTCACCCAGGCTGGACTGCAGTGGTACTGTCTTAGCTCACTGCAACCTCTGTTTCCTGGGCTCAAGCCATTCTCATGCCTCAGCCACCCAAGTAGCTGGGATTATAGGCATGTGCCACCACACCCAGCTAACTTTTGTGTTTTTAGTAGAGACGGGGTTTCACCATGTTGGGCAGGCTGGTCTTGAACTCCTGGCCTTGAGTGATCCACCTGTCTCTGCCTCCCAAAGTGCTGGGATTACAGGTGTGGGCCACCACCCCTGGTCAGAAACAGCATTGTAAAGTCTAAGTATGTCTCAAGTATTGCATGTATCTGGCAACCCTAAGCCTCCTGCCTACCAGCAGGCTAGAGATCAAGTGGCCATAGGTACATGTGTGCTGCACATTGAAGGTCTCTACTCTCTCTGGAGCCTGCCCCACTTTCCTTAATCCTGGTGATGTGGCTTCTATTCCCATTGTTCTTTGGAGAAATTCTCAGGGGATGGGGAGGGCATCACCTGGGACTGTGAGATCACAGCAAGCCCAGTAGTCTGTTTTTATGTTACAATCCCTTGACCTCAAAGCAAGCTTGGTCTTGGGCATTCTGTTCTTCCTGTAACCTTTTTCCTATAGAGCAGCGGTCCCCAACGTTTTTGGTACCATTTTGGTACCAGTTTCATGCAAGACAATTTTTCCATGGAGGGGAGGGGGATGGTTTCAGGATGAAACTGTTCTATCTCAGAACATCAGGCTTTAGTTCGATCCTTTTTCCTTTTGTTTGTTTTTGAGATGGAGTCTTGCTCTGTCACCCAGACTGGAGTGCAGTGGCACAATCTTGGCTCACTGCAACCTCTGCCTCCCAGGTTCAAGTGATTCTCCTGCCTCAGCCTCCGGAGTAGCTGGGATTACAGGCACATGTCACCACACATGGCTAATTTTGTATTTTTAGTAGAAACAGGGTTTCACCATGTCCGCCAGGCTGGTCTCAAACTCCTGACCTCAGGTGATCCACCCGCCTCAGCCTCCCAAAGTGCTGGGATTACAGGCATGAGCTACCACACCCGGCCATCAGGCATTAGATTTGCATAAGGAGCATGCAACCTAGGTCCCTTGCATGTGCAATTCACAATAGGGTTCACGCTCCTATGAGAATCTGATGCTGCTGCTGATCTGACTGGAGGTGGAGCTGAGGCAGTAATGTTCGTTTGCCTGTCGCTCACCTCCTGCTGTGCGTCCCAGTTCCTAACTGGCTACAGACTGGTACCGGTCGGCAGCCGGGGGGTTGGAGACCCCTAGTATAGAGGGCTCAGCTGCCCTCTGGGCTTCCACCATCCTTTCTATTTAGATGTCTCGAAAAGCTGGTCTGGTCCCAGTCATGGAGGCTGAACTCATCATGAATGGGACCAGGGCTGCCTTCTCTGTTTTCTCTTGATTCCTTTCCTTGGTAAGAGCTCCCAGCCTGGCACCAGGTTGTCACTACTTCATAGACTGGCATGCAGTTGGATCTTTTCTCTTTTTTCAAACATCATTACCATATTTATACTAATATTAATTTAAAAAGCCAAATACCTGGCTTATAGTAGGCTTATAATTTAAAACAAATCAATCCCTTACCCCACCCTTTTTTAGTCTCAATTCCCACTTCCACAGACAACCACTCTTCTATACATTTTATTTTTTTGAGACGGAGTCTGGCCCTGTCACCCAGGCTGAAGTGCAGTGGCGTGATCTCAGCTCAATGCAACCTCTGCCTCCCGGGTTCAAGCAATTCTCCTGCCAAGTAGCTGGGACTACAGGCGTTCGCCACCACACCCAGCTAATTTTTGTATTTTTAGTAGAAATGGGGTTTCACTATGTTGGCTAGGCTTGTCTCAAACTCCTGACCTCAAGTGATCCGCCCACCTCGGCCTCCCAAACTGCTGGGATTACAGGCGTGAGTCACCGCACCTGGCTTTTCTATACATTTTAGATGGCATTTCTGTCATATGCCTCCATATCTCTGACCCTTCTAATTCAGACATTTCAGTTTTTAAATTCTTATATATTGTCTCCCTGTTAGAGAAGATGAAGAATGTTGTCCTTTTATCCACCCCCATCACACATAGTTTTCCTCCTCCCTCCCTCCCAGTTGAGTTAGAACATTTTGTTGTTTCTTTTTTTTTTTTTTTGAGATGGAGTCTTGCTCTGTCGCCCAGGCTGGAGTGCAGTGGCCTGGTGATCTTGGCTCACTGCGAGCTCCGCCTCCAGGGTTCACGCCATTCTCCTGCCTCAGCCTCTCCGAGTAGCTGGGACTACAGGTGCCTGCCACCATGCCTGGCTAATTTTTTGTATTCTTAGTAGAGACGGGGTTTCACCGTGTTAGCCAGGATGGTCTCAGTCTCCTGACCTCGTGATCTGCCTGCCTCAGCCTCCCAAAGTGCTGGGATTACAGGCGTGAGCCACCGCACCTGGCCAACATTTTGTTGTTTCTGTTGCAACAGTATTCAAGGTTTAATTTTTATAACTATGTAAATATTGTTCAGAGCTGAGCCTTAAAGTGGGCCATGATTCCACTTACTTCCCTTATTGGACAACTTTTTTTGTTTTTTTCAGAAGTTAGTAATTGCCTCATTTTTTAAGAAAAAAACTTTCTTGCCAGGCACGGTGGCTCATGCCTGTAATCCCAGCACTCTGAGAGGCCGAGGCGGGCAGATGATGAGGTCAGGAGATCGAGACCATCCTGGCTAACATGGTGAAACCTCGTCTCTACTAAAAATACAAGAAAAAAATTAGCCAGGCATGGTGGCGGGCACCTGTAGTCCCAGCTACTCTGGAGGCTGAGGCAGGAGAATGGCGTGAACCCAGGAGGCAGAGCTTGCAGTGAGCCGAGATTGAGCCACTGCACTCCAGCCTGGGTGACAGAGCGAGACTCTGTCTCAAAAAAAAAAAAAAAAAAAGAAAGAAAGAAAAGAAAAAAACTTCCTTGTGTACCTATCACTAATTTATCCTCCACTTCTCCAATGGAACGGTAAAACTCCTCTTGACCTGGTTGAACACACCAGGTGATTTTTCCAGTTCTTTGTGTTTCTTAGGGACATCCCTCTTGGAGGCATCCTCTCTGGGCTCCCATCTGGAATGCAGAGACCTATGGAGCTATTGTCCCGGGACCTTACGCTACTACTATCCTGGGAGTTTCCTTTGCTTCTTTCCTATGTTGGATCCTGTTTTCTGGATCCCTTGGTTTTTGTTGTTATTTTCTTGTTTTGACAGAGCATATATTCTACTAGCTTTGATTGATAGTTTGCCTTGGTGTCTGTGTTAGTTCATTCTCTCATTGCTATTAAAAAATACCCGAGACTGAGTAATTTATAAAAGGTTTAATTGACTTGGTTCTGCAGGCTATACAGGATGCACTGTGGCTTCTACTTCTGGGGAGGCCTCAGGAAACTTACAATCATGGTAGAAGGTGAAGGGAGAGCCGGGTGTCACATGGAGCAGGAGGAAGAGAGAGGGAGGGGAGGTGCTATACACTTTTAAACAACCAGATCTCACAAGAACTCACTATTACGACACAGTACTAAGGAGAAAGCTGCCCCCATGATCCAATCATCTCCCAGCAGGCCCCACTTCCAACGCTAGGGATTACGGTTCCACATGAGATTTGGGCGGGGACACAGATCCAAACCATATGGGTGCTGAATTCTACATTGGAGATAAATTTCCCTGAGAATTTGAAGACATGATCCATGGTTGCTGTTGAAAAGTCAAATGACAGTCTGATACCCTGTCCTGTGCATATGGCTTGATTGTTCCCTCTGGAAGTTTTCAGGATCTTCCAGAGGTCTACAGTTTCATAATGATGTGCATTTTCTGTGGGCACTTGGTGGGCCTTTTATTCTGGAAATCAATCTCTTTTAATTTGGAAATCAATTTTGGTGAAATTTCTGTGGGTGCTAGTTTCCTCCATTCCATTTTCTCTTTTTTGTTTTCTTTCCAGATCTATTTTAGTTCAATCTCTAATTTTTCAAAGTGTTCTTTGCAATTTTCCATTTTAAAAAATGTTTTTTCTATTTCCAGGGACATTACTTCAACTTTATCATCCAACTTTTCTATCAGATTTTTAAAAATCCCTCTCCTCACAAATCTGCTTCTAAGAGCAATTTCTTGTCTTTTTTTTTCTCTATAGCATCTTATTCTTGTTTCATGGACATAGTATTATCTCTTGTGTCTCTAAGAATGTTAATTGTAGTTGCTTTTTGAAATTTTTAATCTTTCAATTGTGGTAACATACACATAACATAAAACTGACCACCTTAACCATTTTTAAGTGTACACAACAGTATTGGTAAGCCTATTCGTATTGTTGTACAACCAACCTCTAAAACTTTTTCATTTTGCAAAACTGAAACTTTATACCCATTGAACAACAACTCATTTCCAGCTCTCCGTAGCCCCTGGCAACCACCATTCAACTTTCCATTTCTGTGGATTTGGCTACTCTAGATACCTCTTGTAAAGGGATCATGGAGTTTTGGTCTTTTTGTGACTGGCTTATTTCACTTAGCATATCTTCAATGTATCAGAATTTCCTTTCTTTTTATGGCAGAATAATATTCCATTGTATGTGTACATCACATTTTGTTTATCCATTTATCTGTTGATGGACACTTGGGTTGCTTCAACCTTTTGGCTATTGTGAATAATGCTGCTATGAACACGTGTGTATAAATGTCTTTTTGAGTGCGGGCGCGATGGCTCACACCTGTAATCCCAGCACTTTGGGAGAACGAGGTGGTTGGATCACCTGAGGTCTGGAGTTCGGGACCAGCCTGGCCAACATGGTGAAACCCCATCTCTACTAAACATACAAAAAATTAGCTGGGTGTGGTGGTGCGTGCCTGTAATCCCAGCTACTCTGGAGGCTGAGGCAGGAGAATTGCTTGAACCCGGCGGGGCAGAAGTTGCAGTGAGCCGAGATCGTGCCATTGCACTCCAGCCTGGGCAACAAGAGCAAAACTCCGTCTCAAAAAAAAAAAAATCTTTTTGAGACCCTGCTTTCAATCGTTTTCGATATCTATCCAGAAGTAGCACTGCCAGATCATATAATTCTATTTTTAATTTTTTGAGGAACCACTACTGTTTTCCGTAGCAGGTGCACCAGTTTACATTTTCACCAACAGTGTACAAGGGATCAAATTTCTCCATATCTCCATACGCTTTTTTTTTTAAGAAGTTGTCCGATGGGTGTGAGGTGACATCTCATTGTGGTTTTTGATTTTGCACTTCCCTAATGATTAGTGATGTTGAGCATCTTTTCAAATCCTTGTTAGCTATTGTATATCTATCTTATTTGGAGAAATGTCTATTCAAGTCCTTTGCCCATTTTGAAATTGGGCTGTTTGTGTTGAGTTCTTTATATATTCTGGATATTAATCCTTTATGAGAGGTATGATTTGTAAATATTTTCCTTTTTGAGATGGAGTTTTGCTCTATCACCCAGGCTGGAGTGTGGTGGTGTGAGCTCAGCTCACTGCAACCTCTGCCTCCTGGGTTCAAGTGATTCGTCTGCCTCAGCCTCCTGAGTAGCTGGGATTACAGTTGCCCGCCACCATGCCTGGCTAATTTTGTATTTTTAGTAGAGATGGCATTTTGCCATGTTGGCCAGGCTGGTCTTGAACTCCTGACCTCAGGTGATCTGCCCGCCTTGGCTTCCCAAAGTGCTGGGATTACAGGTGTGAGCCACTGTGCCCAGCCTCTTTCAGCAATGTTTTATGTTTTCCAGTGTACAAGTCTTTCACCTCGTTGGTGAAATTTATTCCTAAGTATTTTATTCCTTTTGATGTTATTGTAAATGGAATTGTTTTCTTACTTTTTCTTTTCAGATTGTTCATTGTTAATGCATGGAAATCCAACTGACAGCTGGGTACGGAGGCTGAAGCAGAAGAATTTCCTGAGCCTAGGATGCTGAATTAATGTATTAGTACTGTAAGTCTTTTTGGTGGAATATTTAGGGTTTTCTAGGGATAGTTGTTTTGTGTTTTTTTTTTTTTGAGACAGGGTCTCGCTCTGTTGCTTAGGCTGGAGTGCAGTGGCATGATCATAGCTCATTGCAGCCTTGGGCTCCCAGGTTCAACTGATCCTCCTGTCTCAGCCTCCTGAGTAGCTGGGACTACAGGTGCCTGCCATCACGCCCAGCAAATTTCGTTGAATTTTTAGGAGAGATGAGCTCTCACTGTGTTGCCCTCCCACTCCTAAGCTCAAGTGATCCTCCTGTCTTGGCCTCCCAAAGTGCTGGAATTACAGGCATGAGCCACTGCACCCAGCCTACAGTTGTTTTTAAAAGTCTTCTTCAGTTTCCTGCATTGATCTGCTTCCTGAGTTCCTTTCTGCTGTTTTAAAAAAAATTAGGCTGGGTGTGGTTGCTCACCCCTGTAATCCCAGCACTTTGGGAGGCCAAGGCGGGCGGATCACCTGGGTCAGGAATTCGAGACCAGCCAGGCCAACATGGCAAAACCCCGTCTCTACTAAAAAATACAAAAATTAGCCTGGCGTGGTGGCATGTGCCTGTAATCCCAGCTACTTGGGAGGCTGAGGCAGGAGAATCACTTGAACCTGGGAGGCGGAGGTTGCAGTGAGCCGAGATTGTGCCACTGCACTCCTGCCTGGGCAACAGAGTGAGATTGTCTCAAAAAAAAATTAGTTCAAAAATGCAAATGTCTGAATCTTTGCAGCTTTCCTCTAATGTTTGGTATTAGTGTTGTCCAGTCCTAAGCTGAGAGGCACAAAAGCTGATTGGAAGCTCTTTATGTATGAGGGCCAGGGAGCGGAGGGGAGGACAGGGTTTGCCATATGTGAGTGTCATTTTCTGGTGACAACTCAGCCATTTGTAAGGGAACCGAGAGTTGCAGTCACTGTCCCCAGAGAGCGCTCCTAGGGTCTCCTGCCCTCACGGAGGGGGTGCGCCAGTCTGGCTGTCCCCATACTGGGAGTGCACTGAAGACAGGCCCAGGGGGTCTCATTAATCAGTCAATGCTATGTTCAGGATCATGGCTCCCTCACCCTTGGCTGTGCCTGGGTGCTTCAGTCTAGCACTCGTTGATTCAGCCCCCCAGAGGGTAAAGATCTGGTGCAGCTTCTGATGTGGAGGGCAAGGTGGCCATCTCCATGCTGCTCCGGATCCTGGAGGGTAGCTGGGGCTCTCACTGCGGGCTTTCAGTGGGTCCTCCCTTCTCACCACCCTCGCCCTCATCACCAGAAATGTCTGCTGCTCAGAATTCCTGGGTGTCCAGGCTCCTCCGCACGATGTGGCTGGGCTGGTTCTTGTTGGGTTGCAGTCTTCTCCCCTCTGCTGAGCTTTTGCCCCGTCTTTCATCCTCCCAAGTGTCGCCGCCACCTCTCAGCTGCTGCCACCTCTCATTTGTTTCTTGTCACTTAGGTCACTTTCCATTCCTTCCTGTTTTAGTGAGGCTTGGGGAAGAGATGGGGAATCCATCTCAATTTTCCACGTCTAATGAGAAGGTTCTCCTTGGTAGTTTTCTGGTGGTTCATATTGTGCTCAGGATTCATGTATCCTACTTACAGATACTTGATTGCATTATCACTTGTTCCTGGAAATGTAAAAGTACCTCCATGTTGTAGTGTTAGGATAGATGCAGGTTTTCCTTCAGGTCCTCACGGTTCCTGGCTCATGATGCCCATAGCCCTTGTTACAGTCTTTTATCATAATGTTGGGTGCTTTAGGCCTCAGGGGCAGGGCTCAGGAAACAGAACCTCGAAGACCTTCTTCCATCCTCCTTTCACCTGCTCCAAGGCAGGACTTTACTTTTCCCACCCACTTTTCTAAAGACTCTCATTCCCACCCCATACCCTGGAGGCCAATCACATTTCGACAACATTGTCATAAAAACCCAAAAGGCAGATCACTTGAGGTCAGGAGTTCAAGACCAGCCTGGCCAACATGGTAAAACCCCGTCTCTACTAAAAATACAAAAATTAGCCAGGAATGGTGGTATGTGGCTGTCATTCCAGCTAGTTGGGAGGCTGAGGAAGGAGAATTGCTTGAACCCAGGAGGCAGACGTTGTAGTGAGCCGAGATTGCACCACTGCACTCCAGCCTGGGTGACAGAGAAAGTCTCTATCTCAAAAAACAAAAATCAAAAAAAAACCAAGAGGACCAGGTTCAGGAGCTTCCAGATAGCTGAACACATGGAGGTTCCTGGAGGGTGGTGCGTCCAGGAAGGGCATGGAAGCTTCGTGCACCTTCCCTATGCGTCCATGCCCCTCACCCTATGCATCTCTTCATCTCTATCCTTTGTAATATCCTTTATAGTAAGCCAGTACATGTTAAGTGTTTCCCTGAATTCTGTGAGTTGTGCCAGCAAATTAATTGAACCCAAAGTGGAGGTTGTGGGAATCCTGGTCAGAAGTTCTGGAGGCCCAGAATTGCAACTGGGATCTGCAGTGGGGAAGGGGAGGGCTGTCTTGGGGACTGAGCCCTCAACCTGTGGGATCTGACACTATCTACTTGTGGGATCGGATAGTGTCAGAATTTAATTGAACACTCAGTTTGTGTCCGCTGCTTGGTGTATGGGGGAAACCTGCCCACGTTTGATCAGAGAAGTCTTCTGTGTTGGTAATTGCTGTTGCGGTGGTGCAAGAGCAGAGGAAAAACATGCAAACACGCTTTGTGTTTTTCCCAAACAATGCATATCAATTGATAAATTTGTTCATATTTGTGTATTCACTCAGTTTTTTTTTCTGACAAATGAATAGGAAAGTTGGACTAATTGCCATAGTCCCTTGCGGTTTGTAAATTCGACCAAACATCTTAAGAATCATTTTTGGAGACAGGGTCTCACTCTGTCATCCAGGCTGGAGTGCAGTGGCTCGATCGTGGCTCACTGCAGCCTTGACGTCCCTGGGCTCAGGATTTCCTTTCACCTCAGCCTCCTGAGTATACCATCATGCCTGGCTAATTTTTTGTGTGTATTTTTTGGAGACAGGGTCTTACCATGTTGTCCAGGTTGGTCTCAAACTCCTGGGCTCAAGCATTCCTCACACCTCGGCCTCCCAAAGTGCTGGGATTACAGGCACTTAGAGCCACCAAACTTGACCAGGGATCATTTTAAGTGGGTGCTGAGTTTAATACTAGACACTGGGGTGGGGGGCACATAAGAGATATGGAAGACATTGCTGTTGTGGCCAGACTCCAAGATGGCACCCAGTGATCCTCACTTCCTGGTGTTCATGCCTATGTGTATTCTCCTCCCACAATGAATGGGGCTGACTAAGTAATGCATAAGACATTGTGGAAGTGTCACTGTGTGATTTCTGAGGCTAGGACATGAAGGATCCTGTGGCTTTTGCTTTGTTCTCTCTTGGATTACTTGCTATGGCAGAAACCAGTGGCCATGTCATGAGGATACTCAAGCCGTCCTATGGAGAAGTCCACATGGCAAGGAACTTAGGCCTCCTGCCAACAGCCAGCACCAAGTCAGCATCCCTGTGAGTAAGCATCTTGGAAGTGGACCCTCTGGCCCCAGTTCAACCTTCAGATGACCACAGCCCCAGCTCATATGTAGACTGCAGCCTCCTGAAAGACACTGAGCCAGGGCATGCAGCTATGTTGCTTCTGACTTCCTAACCCATAGGAACTGTGAGATGACACATGAGTGTCATTAAGTTGCTAAGCTTTGGGACAGTTTGTCTCTCAGCAGAAGAAAAATACCATCCTCATCTGTCACACTGGCCCCCAAGACTCTGCAAGGTTGCCCTCTCCCTAGTTTCCTTGTGAGCTCCTTTCCAACATCTCTCTGCCCAAGCCATGCTATACTAGCTTCCTTCCAGTTTCTCTAACCACTGAGTACCTTGTTGTCTTGGGTACTTTCCAGATGCTGTTCCCCCTTGTCCCCATCCCCTCTTCTTCTAGTCTATTCATCTTTCAAGCCGATGAGTAAGTGTCACTGCTCTAGGGAAAGTTTCCTGACCCCTCCTGACTTCCATGGGTCCTGCGCCTCAATGTAAACCCTTCAAAGCATCTATCAGAATTATAATCAGATAACTATTTGTGTAATCATTTATTTGGTGCCTCTCTCTCTCCATTCCCAAGACTGTAACACGTAGAGGGCAGGGAATGCATCTGTCTTAAACACTGCCAACTCCACAGTGGCCTGGACAGCATCTGGAACATAGTAGATACTCAAAAGATGTTTGTTGAATAGCTGAACGTGATCTGCTTCTGCCAGCTCCCCTCTGTTGTCATCACCTCCACTGCAAGAAAACAGCTTAGGGCAAGCTTGTCCAAGCCACGGCCCGAGGCCACATGTGGCCCAGGATGGCTACGAATGTGGCCTAGCACAAATTCATACTTTCTTAAAACATGAATTTTTTGGCCATTTTTAAATTTTTTAGCTCACCAGCTATATCGTTAGTGTTGGTGTATTTTACTTGTGGCCCAAGACAATTCTTCTTCCAGAGTGGCCCAGGGAAGCCAAAATATTGGACACCCCTGGCTTAGAGCAAACCTCTCATTGATGGCAGGTCAGTGTTATTCTTAAAGGACAGCACATACACTTTTATTACTTTTTTTAAATGCTCACTTCCAACAGTGACTCATTTTGTGACCTTGGGTTGCTTGCCTTTCCTCTCTGAAAAAGGTGGATAGAGATTGGTACAATGCCTCATTTGAAGGCTGGGAACTGTTTCATTTAGAGAGGTTTTGGCAGGGTTTTCAATGTTCTTGAAGTACAATCTTCTTAATATCTAGATGGTTGTAAGTGATTATGTAAGTGATAAGTAGAAATGAACTGTGATTGACCATGTGAATATATCTCCATTGTAGGTAGGGGTGTGTGTGTGTGCGTGTGTGTGTGTGTGTGTGTGTGTGTGTATGTGCGCCTTTTGGTGCTAAAGGTGCATGCATATTCTTCAGAAGAGTCTGTTTGCTCTAGAATGCTCATGGATATCCTAAATACTGCTGCAGACCTGTTTGAAGATGTAATTGTTTGACTTTGAAGCTACATTCATTTCTAATATAACAAAACCAATATTTACTTAAAGCTTAGTAAATACTTAGGCATTATGCAAAGCCAATTTCCTTTATCATAGCCAATCTTCACAGTTACTTTTGCAAGATAGGAACTATTGTAACCTCATATGACAGATGAGGGAACTGAGGCTCAGAGGTTCAATAACTTGCCCAAGGTCACACAGCTAATAAGTGGCAGAGCAATAACTAAAATCTGTATGGCATGCTCAAAATCTTTGGCAAAATTGCACATGTGGATTTGTGACTAAGGGAATAAGGAAAAAGAGGAATGTGACAAAAGTCACCATTCTGAAGGATTTTAATCATAAAGGAGCCCTCAGAACAGCATGTCTATAATCAGATGCTCAGGTACTGAATGGGATGGATGCAAGAAGTGAGCAAAGCTGATGGATCCAAATGTTACCTGCAGTGCACCTGTACCCATGAGATAAGCTCTTGGCACATCCATCAAATTACAGTCCAGTTCAAAGCAAAATCGTGTTTGCATAACAAACAACAGAACAGTCCAAAAAAAGGCCAGTATTTGGATACAGCTGGATCTCAGGAATGCAGATGAGGAGACACCTGCAGCTCACCAGGCTGTGAGCCACAGCAGATGGGATCGAAGACAGGGCCAGAGGAGGGGATTTTGAGGTTGGCTACATCTTTTTTTTTTGAGACAGGATCTTGCTCTGTTGCTCAGGCTGGAGTGCAGTGGCATGATCTCTGCTCACTGCAGCCTCGACCTCCTGGGCTCAAGTGATCCTCCCACCTCAGGCGTGTGCCACTACACCTGGGTAATTTTATTTTTTGTAAACATGGGGTCCTACTATGTTGCCCAGGCTGGTTTTGAAATCCTGGACTGAAGTAATCCTCCTGCCTCAGCCTCCCAAAGTGCTAGGATTATAGGCATGAGCCACCATGCCCTGCCAAGGTTGGCTACATCTTGTACTGAAACTGGTATTAACACAAATCCTTCCACTTGAGCCCCAAATCTAACCACATACAGATGCTATTCATTCACCCCAGCAGTCATTCAACAGATGATTTCTGAATACTTACGTGCCAGGTGTTGTGCGAGGCAGGTGGGTACACAGGAGAACAAGGGAATGTTCCTGCCCTCCTGGAGCTTACAGTCTTGTTTGGGAGTGGAATCCATATCAGTGGCATACATACATTAAACAAATTTTTATTTTTTATTTTTGTATTTTTTGAGTCAGAGTCTCTGTTTCCTAGGCTGGAGTGCAGTGGTGCGATCTTGGCTCACTGCAACCTCTGCCTCCCAGTTTGAGCAATTCTTGTGCCTCAGTCTCCCGAGTAGCTGGGATTACAGGTGTGCGACACCATGCCTGGCTAATTTTTGTATTTTATTATTATTATTATTATTTTTGAGACGGAGTCTTGCTCTGTCGCCCAGGCTGGAGTGCAGTGGCATGATCTCGGCTCACTGCAAGCTCCGCCTCCTGGGTTCACGCCATTCTCCTGCCTCAGCCTCCCAAGTAGCTGGGACTACAGGCACCCGCTACCATGCCCGGCTAATTTTTTGTATTTTTAGTAGAGACGGGATTTCACTGTGTTAGCCAGGCTGGTCTTGATCTCCTGACCTTGTGATCCACCTGCCTCAGCCTCCCAAAGTGCTGGGATTACAGGTGTGAGGCACCACGCCCAGCCTAGTTTATGTATTTTTAGTAGAGATGGGTTTCACCATGTTGGCCAGGCAGGTCTCGAACTCCTGACCTCAATTAATCTGCCTGCCTCGACCTCCCAAAGTGCTGGGATTACAGGCGTAAGCCACTGCGCCCAGCCAAGCAAATTACCATGCAATAATCATTTAATTATGCAGCAGAAGAACAGAGCACTGTGAGAAGGGCTCCTAATTTAATCAGGGGGGCCAATAGCAACCTGCCTGAAGAAGTCACTTCATTTGTAACTTAGAGGTGTTACCTATTAAGAAAAAAAGGAACTGGTATATTACTTGTCTATGTGGAACAAATCACCCCATAACGTAGTAACTTGAAACAACAATAATCATTTAATCTCGTCATTCCTGTGGGTCAGGAACTCAAGGGCAGCTCAGCTGCGTGGTTCTGGCTTGGGGTGTCTTGTGAGGTTGCATTCACGATGCTGGCCTGGGGGGTCAGCTCTGACACGGTCACCCACATGCCTGGCATGTTGGTGCTGGCTGTTTTCTTTTTTATTTTTGATACGGAGTCTCGCTCTGTCACCCAGGCTGAAGTGCAGTGGCGCAATCTCAGCTCACTGCAACCTCTGCCCCCCAGATTCAAGCGATTCTCCTGCCTCAGCCTCCCAAGTAGCTGGGATTACAGGCATGCGCCACCACGCCTGGCTAAAACACATGGGGTTTCACCATGTTGGCCAGGTTGGTGCTGAACTCCTGACCTCAGGTGATCCACCCGCCTCAGCCTCCCAAAGTGCTGGGATTACAGGCATGAGCCACCGTACCTGGCCCCATTGTCACACTCTTGACCGTGCCATTATCAACAACTGCAGCCCCTTCACAATATCAGTTTAAAGCATTCCCCAGTACAAGAATGTAGTACCCCGTCTCCAGTTCTTTGACCCCTTTACCTGGGCCTCCAGTTCACTTACCTTTCTACCTTTTCCTTCTCATAGTTCATTTCCCTCCTTACTCAGCTTAAGTCTCATTGCTTCCTTGTGTATCCCTGTATTTGTTTTCCATTGCTGCTGTAAGAAATTACTGCAAACCTAATGGCTTAAGACAACACAAATGTATTATCTTACCGTTCTGGACGTCAGAAGTCCGAAGTGGGTTTCACTGGGCTAACATTAAGCTGTCAGGAGGGCTGGGTTCCCACTGGAAGCTCTAGGAAGAAGAAATCGCCTTGCCTTTTCCACTTTCTAGAGGCCACCTGCGTTCCTGGGCTCATTGCTGCTTCTTCCACCTTCAGTCAAAGTCCATAGCATTGGTTGTATCTTTCTCACCATGCCATCTTTCTGGTTCTCTCTTTTCTGCCTTCTTTTTCCTCTTATGAGGACCCCTGTGATGACACCAGGCCCACCCTGATAATGCAGGATAATCTCCCCATCTCATGGTCAACTGATTAGCTACTTTAAAAAGAATATTTTAAGATGGGCGTCTCGTGATGTTACCCAGGCTGGTCTTAAGCAATCCTCCTGCCTCAGCCTCCCAAGTAGCTGGGACTACAGGTGTGCGCTACTGCACCTGGCTTGATCAGCTACTTTAATCTATCTACAGCCTTAATTCTCATTTCCTTTTGCTATGTCGCGTGACATATTCAAATTCCAGGAATTAGAAGGTGGACATCTTTGAGGGGCCATTATTATTCCCTTCTGCTTATTGTACTGACCTCAGCAGAAGCCCAAATCTCATTAAAACAAGTGTCCACCTACTGCAAGCCTGCACCCAAGCAGCTCAGCACCCAAGCAGCTAAGCACTGTGGAGAAAGAATATTCCTCATTTGTCTCCAGTAAACCCCCAGGACTGCCAGGCAATTCTACTATATTTCCCTCGTCCGTTTACACTCCCTCGCTTCTAGATGCTAATTTCACACCTCCTCCTCTCTCTTGAAGCCCCCACATTTCCTTCCCTGTTCTTATTCTCAGCTGAATCTTGATTCTTACTTCCTAGAGAAAATTGGAGCAATTGGAAGAGAACCTCCCCAGACTCATCAGCGCCCACCTGCATCTGTGCTCAGGCACGGCCTTTCCTCCATCCTGTGGATAAACATCTGAATGCCGGCCTGAAGGCAGCGCCTCCCCTGCCGCCTGGGCCCATCCCTGCTCATCGCCTCCAGGGAGGCCAGTCCAGAAAGCCCTTGCATTTTCCTCTGTGTTATCAATTACCCCCTCACCTCTCTTTTGGACTATTTTCCATCAGCATACAAACGTTTTATCATTTCTTCCATCAGACAAAACAGACTTACAAAAAAAAAAAAATGAAATAAGCCTCTGTCTTGTTCTTACATCTCCTCTCCAGCCATTGCCCTATTTCTTGGCCTTTCTTTACAGCACAACTTGAAAAAAGGCTGCGTGTTGGTCCAGTTCCTTCTCTTGGATCCACTCCTATCCGGCCTTGGCTTCCACAGTGCTTCTGAAGGTCACTGACAACCGCCACACTGCTAAATCCAGCGGTCGATTCCCCTACTGAGCTCTCAGCAGCATTTGATACAGCTGATCATTGCTTCCTCCTGAATACATTTTATTTACCTCCTCTCTTGATTTCCTTCTTATTTAGTGGCAGCTCCATCTCAAGTTCCTTTGCTGATTTCTTATCTCCTTGACCTTGAGATGCTGAAGTGCCTCATGCTCCCTTAGTGAGCTCATCAGGCTGTTGGCATAAAACACCATTTTATAAACTAATGGCCTCCAAGTTATATCTGTAGTCGGGACTTCTCTCAGTTCCAGAGTCTTTCCTGCCCTCCACTTAGAAGTAAATAAACTCAAAGTGAAAATGACATAAACCAGCCAGGTGCAGTGGCTCATGCCTACACTCCCAGCATTTTGGGGGGCCGAAGCAGGAGGACTACTTGAACCCAGGAGTTCGAGGCTACAATGAGCTATGATCGTGCCACTGCACTCCAGCCTGGGCGACAGAGCAAGACCCTATCTCACCTAATCAATCAATAAAATGACATAAACCAATGATGGTAATGTCAGCCATGGTTGCTCAGGTCAAGAACTTTGGCATCAATCTCAACTCTTCTCTTTCCTTCATACCCTTTAACCAGTCCAGACCTATTCACATCAGCTCTATCTCCAACTGCACCCGAGATCTGACTCGTTCTCACCATGTCTGCTGCTCCTACCTGGTCCACGCTACCATCATCTCTTACGTGGAGCAGTGCAGCAACCTCCTCCCTACCCTACCGGATCTGTCCCGCAGACCCTAGCTGACGGATGAAATGAGTACTCAGATACAGGCATGCAATGTAAGAGCAGCTTGGGGACTGCCTGGCTCTCGTGGCCAGAGAGCAGCCCAAAGAGGCTGAAGCTGCTTTCTTTTACTCAGTGCAGGCACAATGCCGAAAACCTGGAGCAAACACAACCTGTAGGTAATTAAGATGTATTGTTCCCCTTTCAGGGAACCTTGCATGCATGGATCATCAAAGGTCAGTTCCTGGTCAACATAAGTAAACAAGCCTGTTTAAGATGAATTCTCCCACACTCCCTTGTTCCTACTCCTTGCTCTCTGCTTCAGGGTTATAGAACAGCTGCCTTCAGCTATTCTTCCCCGGGGCTCTGCAGAACCTTCTGATCTTTCAGGTTTGCGTCCTTTCCCTGTAGTTTTTCCCACCACTCTGACTGATCCCCCACACTGCCCTCCATGTCTCTTCCCAGGAGCCTGCACATTCTGTTCTCAGCCGAGGGGCCCTTTTAGGATTGCAAGACCCTATCTTGTATCAAATGAGTGCTAATCGAACGCTTTAACCTAGATCCTTAGAAAGTGAGTCTCATCATGTCCCTCCCCTACCCTAAATCCTTCATGGCTCCCCATGGCCAACTAGGCCTTGTCTCAGCCACCCCTGTGGCCTCTCTGACCTCATCCTCTAGTCCACCCCTCAGAGAGTTGCCCCACTTTGGCTTCCTTGATGTTAACCCCAACAGGCCAGGTAATCCCACCTGGGCGTCTTCATATGGGCTGTTCCCTTGGCCAGGGATATTCTTCAGGCACTCAGAGGGCTCCCTCATCACTCCCTTCATGTCTGGGCCCAAATGCCAGCTTCTCTGAGCAGCATGCCGGTCACCCCATTTCCAGCTCCCACCTCCCCACTCCTGCCCCAGCACACTCTGCGCGCATCTCTGCTGTAGTCTTTACTAGCACTCCTCACCATCTGTGTTAGTTTCCTATTGTTCCTGTAACAAATGCCACAAACAGTGGCTTAAAACAACACAGTTTATTATCTCACAGTTCTGGAATCAGACATCTAAAACAGGGCCACAAGGCTGTGCTCCTTTTATTTTATTTATTTGAGATGGAGTCTCTGTCGCCCAGGCTGGAGTGCAGTGGCATGATCTTGGCCCACTGCAGCCTCTGCCTCCTGGGTTCAAGCAATTCTCCTGCCTCAGCCTCCCGAGTAGCTGGGATTACAGGCATGTGCCACCACACCTGGCTAATTTTTGTTATTTTTAGTAGAGATGGGGGGGGGGTTTCACCATGTTGGCCAGGCTGGTCTCGAACTCCTGACCTCAGATGATCTGCCCGCCTTGTCCTCCCAAAGTGCTGGGATTACAGGTGTGAGCCATGGCCTTCTAATTTATTCTTATTTTTTAGTGACAGGGTCTTGCTCTGTCACCCAGATTGGAATGCAGTGGCGTGATCTTAGCTCACTGCAGCCTCAGACTCCTGGGCTCAAGTGGTCCTCCTGCCTCAGCCTCCTGAGTAGCTGGGACTACAGGCATGTATCACCATGCCTGCCTAAGTTTTGTTTGTTTTTGTTTAACAGATGGTATCTCACTACGTTGCCTGGGCCGGTCTCAAACTCCCGGCCTCAAACAACCCTCCTGCCTCGGCTTCCCAAAGTGTTGGGATTACAGGTGCGAACCACTGTGCTCTGCCAGCTATGTTCCTTCTGGAGGCTCTAAGGGAGAATCTGTTTCTCCCCTAGCTGCCTTTTCCAGCTTCTAGAGGCCACCTGCATTTCTGGGCTCATGGTTTCTTCCTCTGTCTTCAGAACCAGCAGCTTAGCTTCTTTTCTCTCTGATTTCCAGCCTCTCTTTTTAGAGATAGGGTCTCAGGCCAAGCATGGTGGCTCACACTGTAATCCCAGCATTTTTGGAGGCCAAGGCAGAAGGATCACTGGAGCCCAGGAGTTCGAGGCTGCAGTGAGCTGTGATCGCACCACTGCACTCCAGCCTGCGTGACAGAGTGAGACCCTGTCTTGAATAATATAGATAGATGGATGAAGAGATAGAGGGATAGAGATGAGGTCTTGCTTTGTTACCCAGACTGAACTCGAACTCCTGGCCTCAAACGATCCAACTCCTGCCTCAGCCTCCTGAGCAGCTGGGATTACAGACATGCAGCACCACACCCACCTTCTGCCTCCTTCTTATAAGGACTCTTGCAATTACTTTGGGCCCACCCAGAGAATCCAGGACAATCTGATCTCGAGATCCTTAACTTAATCACATCTGCACAATCCCTTTTGCTACATAAGGTAACATATTTATGTAATTCACAGGGATTGAGAAGTGGACATCTTTGGGGGTTCCACTACTCAGCCTATAACACCTGCTGATAAACTATAGTATATTTCTTTGTTTACCATCTGCCTTCTTTTTAAAAAAATAAAAATAAAAATAGGCTCTCACTATGTTGCCCAGGCTTGTCTCAAAATCCTGGGCTCAAGCAGTCCTCCCACCTCAGCCTCCCAAAGTGCTGGAATTACAGGCATGAGCCACCACGCCTGGCCCCATCTGCATTCTTGAGGGCAGGTTGTAGACTCCTCAAGGATGATTTGTATCTGTATTCACAGTGCTTAGGACTATGCAGAGCTAATAGCAGGTGCTCAATAAATATCTATTTTTGAATGAACATCTGGCTTTTTGGCTGTGGCTGTGTCTGCCTGCCCTTGGTATATGTGCCAACCAGCAACACTGCTGGTCTTTGAAAGCACTTGGTCCCTATGTGATGGGCAGTGTCAACAATGCCTGGGGTGGTTTGGAGGAGGATGCTGGGCAGCCGCTCAACCTGGGCAGGCTGAAATGGGAGCTGCACTCCTCTTCCATCAGACATTTTTCATAGGCTGCTTCAGTGCAATTCCATTGAATTCCTCCGTGTTTACTGAGCCCTGAGGCGACAGGCTTGGTCCCACCCTGCCACTCTAGGAGATGTCTAGAAAGAGCGTCATCGCCCTCAGATTTGAACCAGAGATGTATCTTTAGTCTGGAAAATGGTATTTTGTTACCATAGCAACCAGACTTCTAAAAAAATGGATGTCAAGTAACATGCAGATCCCAGTGCTCATGGCAACCGCCATTCTGCATACTTTGGGGAGAAAATGTGCCTCACCTTTCTCCTGCCTGTGAGTTGGACAGTGGGGAGGTTAGGTTAGCACCAGGTTTCCTTCTAGAATTGAAGAGACACTGAGGTTTTTGGTTAGTGGAGTTAGAGGCTGGACCCCTCCCCAACTCCCACTGTGAAAGCAGCTCTCTTCTCCAAAGTCACATAATCAATGCCTTTCCCCGATTATTTGGAAGGAGGTCTCTCTTCTGCTTTTGCCTTCTTTGATGCTGCTCAAATCCCTGGAGACGTGCTTGGGTTCTACCAGGAACACACATGATAACAGATACACACACACACCCCCTGTGCACTGAGAATCTGACAGGTGCAGGCATCACCATTCATCCATTCTCCTATGTATTTGCTCGTTGATCCATTCGTGCCTTCTCTTAGTAAATATTCATTAAGTGCCTATTACGTATCTGGCTCTGTGCTAGAGCCTTGGAAGCAAACAGGGCACGATTAAGGATGTGATTCTCACTCTCCAGCCCCATATTGCAGAAGAGATAACAAACACGTTCATTACTCAGCAGCTTCACTGAAAGAGGCGTGCACGGGAAGGAAGGGAGTGATTAACTGTAGCAGAGATGTGAGTGGTGGGTGGAAATCAAAGAATTTAGCCTTGTTTTAGGTTCTCTTACAGAAAAGATTGGTCAAACTGTATTCCTTCCAGGAAAATTTAAGAAAAGAAGTCCTCAACAAGTTTCTCGAAGGCATCTTTGACTACCCCATCGCTTCAGTTGAAGATACAGATTCTCCCCATTATAATGTTTCTGAAATCAGAATGTTTCTCGTGACCAATGTATATATTTAATGAAGTGTTTCTTTTCCTATCCCTAATTAAATTGGTGGTGTGTCTTATAATCAGTGGTGTCTTAGAATCCAGGATATTTGAGATTTCCCGTTTTTACTCCCAATATTCATTCGTAACTAAGCCTGAGCCCTCAGAGAATCTTCTTGGCCTTGGACTTCTGCTCACATTTCCTCCCTGAAGAAGTGTAGCTTTCCCCATTAAAGACAGTGTATGGTTTCAGCTAGAAGGCTTTTAAGTGACTTCGGTGCATGTGTTGGCAGTTGAGTTAGTATTGAGGAGCATGCATTCTGCAGCCAGATTGCCTTGGTGAATTTCCAGGAGCCATCCCTTTCTAATTTGCGGCCCTCTCTGAGCCTCAGCATCCTCTTCTATAAGATCGTAAGATTATTTACCTTTAGGGTTGATTATCCTTCAATTAATCAATTCAACACATATGTACTGAGTGTCTACTGTGTTCGAGAACTATGGAAAAGGTGGAAATGTGAAAGTGGACAAACCACACAAAATTCCTGCCCTTGTGAGCTTACATTCTATTGGAGGAGACCAATGGTAAACATGCAAATTATTCAAATGTAATACATTAGCTGGTAATAAGTGCTCTGGAGAAAAATGAAGCAGGGAAGCCAGTAGGGACAGCCAACGCAAGGGAGTTAGGAATAGCAGTTAGGATTAGCTTCGGTTGGGAGTAACAAAAAAACCAAACAACAGTGGCTCAAAAAAGACAAAGGTTCACTTTGCTATAATGAATATGAGAAGTCCAGGGTGGCTTTACAGCCACTGGGGACCCAGGTGTCTTTTATCTTCTTGCTGTGCCATCCTCAATACCTAGCTACTACCTCATGGTCAAAGATGGATGCTGGAGCTCCAGCTATCTTGACTACATTCCAGTCAACAGAAAGAAAGAAAGGATGTGCCTCTTTCCCTTTAAGAACATTCCCTAGAAGGCTGGGCGCAGTGGCTCACACCTGTAATCCCAGCACTTTGGGAGGCTGAGGTGAGTGGATCACCTGAGGTCAGGAGTTCGAGACCAGCCTGACGGACAGGGAGAAACTCCATCTCTACTAAAAATACAAAATTAGCCAAGCGTGGTTGAGCATGGCTGCAATCCCAGCTACTTGGGAGGCTGAGGCAGGAGAATCGCTTGAACCCGGGAGGCAGAGGTTGCAGTGAGCCAAGATTGCGCCATTGCACTCCAGCCTGCGCAACAAGAGCAAAACTCCATCTCAAAAAACAAAACAAAACCAAACAAAAATTCCCTAGAAGTTTGATGTGACACTTTCCTTTCTTTCCCCTTGGCCAGAACTTAGTCACATGGTTATACCTCTGCAAGGAGGGCTGAGAAATGCAGTTTTTAAGTGCCCAGCCAAAGAGTAGAGATTTTTTTTTTTTTAACCAGGTAACAATGGATAGGACAAATATGGGGCAAAATTAGCTGTCTCTGCACAGTTTATCACAAAGATTTGATCAGATGATGCGTGCAAAGGATTTAGCATAGAATAAGTGTTTGATAAATATTAGTTATCTTTTGACACAACGTTTTCTCGATGTATATGTTCTTGGTAAACAGTGAGCAGATGAGGAAAATGGAGGCTCAATGGTCTTAGGGACCAACCTGTGGCCACTTGAAAGGTGTCAGATCCTGTCCTGTGGGCATCGAGATCCTAGATACCATCCCCCAGCGGGCACCGTGGTGGGCGGGGCATAGAGGTTGTGCTCCGCAAGTGCTGCCCACTGGTTTCTGGGCCTGGGACAACCTCTCCAGCAGGTGGGCTTGTTATCTCTCTTCCAGGATCACCCATGGTTTGTTGCCTTTTCAGAGCAGTTTCTCTTACTCTGACATGCCTCTGCCCCCCCAAAATCCTTGCTGCTTACAGAATAGAATCCAAACTTTACCATTCCTGGCACTGAATAGGCATTTAATGCAAATGTATTAAAATAATGAACTCAAGGGCCTCTATCAGCTGGCTCTAATTTCTCCTTTCTAATTTATCTCTTTCCCTATTGCCTCTTCCTGCCCCTGAGTGGAATCTATTCTGTAATTCAATAGTTGCATTTTTTTTTCTTTTTCTTTCTTTTTTTTTTTTTTGAGACAGAGTCTCACTTTGTTGCCCAGGCTGGAGTGCAGCGGCGTGATTTCGGCTCACTGCAACCTCCGCCTCCCAGCTTCAAGTGATCCTCTTGCCTCAGCTCCCTAAGTAGCGGGATTACAGGCACGCACCACCACGCCTGGCTAATTTTTGTATTGTTAGTAGAGACATGGTTTCTCCATGTTGGTAAGGCTGGTCTTGAACTCCTGACCTCAGGTGACCTGCCCACCTCAGCCTCCCAAAGTGCTGGGATTACAGGCGTGAGCCACCGTGCCCGGCCGCATTTTTTTTTCTTATTTTTACTACTGGAACAAATATAGTTGCATTTTAAAAGAAACCTCCGATTATCAAACTGTGTGATTTAAAAATAATTGTTTCAATAGGAAAATAAAAATAAAGGCTAGAGTATTTAAGACTTGAAATACTAAGAGCTGTCTTGGTCTGCCCATCAGATCCTCCTGTCTTCTGGTCTCAGCCTCCAGCCCCTAGACCACAGTGGTGAGTTCTGTCCAACACTGGGCAAATATATTATCACCACAGTGATTGGTCCAGGCATGCATATTGACCCAAGATAGCAAATAGGAAGTCTTTCTCCTAGTCCTCTGCCCCCGCGCCTAGTTCTGCTTGCAAGATGAAGAGCTTAGCCTGGTGCTGTATGTGACTATAAACTAATTGTAAGGAGAAAGACTAATGGTGGTAGGAGAGACTGAAGCAAACTGGCAGAGAAAAGCAGAAGAGAGAGTGAGGAGGCAGACAGGAGGAGACAGCAGGAGAGAAGAGTAAATAAATATGGGTGCATTTGAACCCTGGGTCCATGTGTGCTTGAGGCCAGCTTCATCACTGTGCCTTTTCTAGTTCAACTATTGAGCCTGTAATTTTTCCTTTTTGGCTTAAGTTAGTTTGAGTTGGATCAGAAGTGGGAACAGAGCAAGTCAAATGAGGCACTTGAGGAGCAAAATTTAAGGAGGCATCTTTACAAACCTGACAGTGAGCACCTTCATACATTTCTCACCCTCAGCTCCTCACTGGCCTCCTCTTAGTCTTGACTTTGAGTTGAATTTTAATAACTTGTAACCAAACAAATTCTTGGCTAATATAAGCTCTACTTGTTATTTTCAATAAATAACAAATTCTTGGCTAATTTAAGCTCTACTTGTTATTTTCAAATTGCAAGCTAAAAACATTATATTAGTTGATCCAGTTGGCCAAATACACCCCAATTTTTTTAGGCTGCATTATTTTTAATTAGGTACAAAGATCTTGTTAACATATCACCTAGAGACCATTTCACCCACTGCTTTAGGCTGCCAGTCTCTTGTCTGTCTCTTCAGCAGTGGTGAGGTGGATACCCTTTCCTTGGGTTTTGTTGCCCTTGCCAATAACAAAAATGCTGGAAAGCCAGGTGGCAAAGCTGTTGCTGTTGGCATCTTTCACATGAACCACATCAAAAGATCCAGGGTGCCTCTCTCTGTTGGTAATCACACCAATTCTTCCCAGGTTCGCACCTCCAGTCACCATCCACAGGTTACCAGTATCAAACTTGATGACATCGGTACTCTTGCCAGTATCCAAATCAATCTGAATGATGTCATTCACCTTGATGAGGGGACCAGGGTAGCGGATGGTGCCAGCATCATTGGTTACCAGATGAGGGATTCCTTTTGTAGCCGCAAGATTTTTCTCACTTTGCACAATTTGTACTTGGCCTCCTCAGCTGTAATACGGTGAATGGCAAAGTGACCCTGATGTTACAGGTCAGACGGACATTCTCTCTGGTCTTGTCAATGATGATGACATCTTTGAATCCAGCAGGGTAGGTTCTATCAGTTTGGACCTTGTCGTCAATCTTAATGAGCCGCAGCATCCAAATCTTTAGTTCATCTCTGATCAGGGCATACTTAATTCTGTTTCTTAGGAAAAATGATGAGGAGGAGACATACTCTCAGCTTGTGGGGACTGGTGGATGGATGAGGAGCAGACACACCAGTCAGTGTCTCCAGCATCCATTGCTTTGAGCTGCTACCACTTCAGATGCTTCTTGGGACCATAAGCCATGGCTACCTTAGGCATGGAAAGAAGTTCACCTTCCTCCCCTAAAGATTCAATGAACAAGCCAGGCATGGTAGCTCACGCCTGTAATCCCAGCACTTTGGGAGGCCGAGGTGGGTGGATCACCTGAGGTCAGAATTTGAGACTAGCCTGGCCAACATGGTGAAACCCCATCTCTACTAAAAATACAAAAAAAGTAGCTGGGCGTGGTGGTGGGTGCCTGTAATCCCAGCTACTTGGGAGGCTAAGGCTGGAGAATTGCTTGACCCTGGGAGGCGGAGGTTGCAGTGAGCCGAGATCACACCATTGCACTCCAGCCTGGGCAACAAGAGTGAAATTCCATCTAAAAATAAAAAATAAAAAATAAAAAATAAAAAAATAAATTAAATGAACATATCCTGAAGAACACAGGCCCACAGACAACTGGGTCAAAGTCAGTGGGTTTCTACAGAGGCTAAGAAAGTAGATGTGGCCCATTTCACGATTGCCAGCAACTGACGTGGCTCCAGGACCAGTGATTCATTAGGGAACATGGTGTGTGTTCGGTATAACTCAGCTGGATGTCAGTTGTCACTTTCTCAGAGCTCCTGTCTTTCTGACTTGTCTTATGGTTGGTGGAATAGACACAGAATTCATTTCCCCTTCTTTGGGCAACAGTACCTGGGATTGTGCTTGTCACATAGAAATTAAAATTAGATATGTGTTGAATTGAACTGATCTGGTCACGCCTTACCCTAGACACATCTAACAATGGGGGTGTCACTCATTCTTGGCCAGTTGGTGCTTTTCCTCCTCTGGCTTTGATGCTTAGCTCATGGGTGGACATCTGACCTGAAGCAGCCTATGAGACTCAAGTGCCAGGACTTGTGTTGAAACTATTGGGAAAGAACAGTCCTCTTCTTCTGGGGCTGCAAAGCTGTGAGACTGTGGGTCCAGTGGCCTTTTTATGATCTGGGAGTGACAGCCTAAGAATGGAGCTAGTGGAGCAGAGAGAGAAAGATGAGTCCTAATTTTCTGGATCCCTGGATGTAATCAACTCTGTACTTTTCAGTTATTTGAGCCAACAATTCTGTTCTGTTTGTTTGTTCTGCTGAAGCGAGCCAGAATTGGGCTTCTGTACTTGTCACTAAAGAGCCCACATTCGCGGTGGCTCACGCCTGTAATCCCAGCACTTTGGGAGGCCGAGGCGGGTGGATCATGAGGTCAGGAGATCGAGACCATCCTGGCTAACAAGGTGAAACCCCGTCTGTACTAAAAAATACAAAAAATTAGCCGGGCTTGGTGGCGGGCGCCTGTAGTCCCAGCTACTCGGGAGGCTGAGGCAGGAGAATGGCATGAACCCGGGAGGCGGAGCTTGCAGTGAGCCAAGATCGCACCACTGCACTCCAGCCTGGGCGACACAGCGAGACTCCGTCTCAAAAAAATAAATAGATAAATAAATAAATGAGCCCACATTAATACAGTCCATTTTTAAAATCTGCATATCTGTTAGGATGCTCGTGGTGGTGGTACTTGCCAATGGCCAATTCGCTGGGATTACACAATATGGTTTATGATCTCACAGGAAATCAGGCATAGAACACCTTCAGGCACAGTTTGATCAAAGCTCCAGCTCTACTTCTCTGTGATTCTCTTAGTTATGCCCCTCTCCATATATTGGTCTTGGTGGCAGCAACATGACTTAAGCAGTTGCAACACATTCAGATTCCTCAACCAGAGGCAGAAAAGGGACTGTCTCTTCCAGCCTGTGCTGCTTAAGAGAAGCCCCTCAGCAGACTTCCCTTCCCATCTCATTGGACATAACTGAATCCCATGCTCATTCCTAAGCCAATCCCAGGCAAGGGGGATGGGACCACCATGTTTGGCTGGGGCTGAGGCCAAGATCCACCTCCCTATAGCTTATGTCCCATAGAGGGACATATATTTATGCATTCCTCTCCCGCATCTTCACTCTGCTTGCTCTTCAGGTTCCATCCCCTACCACATAGACAACTTCCTCCCATATTGAGGAAAAGCTCTTCATATGACCTTGTGCCCTTTCCAGCCACCATAATATTTCTCTACTTCCTTCCATCAAGGTTAGGTGGCCCCATGGTTGGCAGAACTCAAAGGAAGTTTCTGAGGTGTGCAGAAAGGCTCTATGTTCAGGATAGGCAAAGGCTTTGGGTGGCAGAACCAAGGCCAAGGAGGTGAAGTGTTAGAGATTCAAGATGGCTGACAATACACTCCTTGAGAAGTAGTGAGCTCTCCACCAAGGGAAGTGTTCAAACAAAGTCTGGGTGGCTCTCTTTGAATCATTATAGAAGTACTTCACTTATTGGGAGTGAGTTTGGACTGGATTTGTTAATTCATTCATTTATTCAGCAAATATTTATTGAGCACCAGGTTCTATCCTGAACACTGAGAATATGCCTGCATTTTGCAAGCCAGGAACATAAATAATAATGAAAAGGAGAATTCCTAACCTGCCTACAACAATTTCCCACACATTAGCTTATCTGGGCCTAGGGCAGTCCTATGCATAAAGCAGAGCTATTACTCCCTTTTTCTAGCTGCAGCAGAAACTAAGACTCATAATGTTGAGATGGTCTGCCCAGTACACAAAGAGGAGAATGCGTTCCTTTCTCTAGTTTTCAGGTAGTTTGAATAGAATCCCAGCTGAGGCCAGGCATGGTGGCTGAGGCCAGGCATGGTGGCTCATGCCTGTAATCCCAGCACTTTGAGAGGTGAGGCAGGCGGATCACCTGAGGTCAAGGAGTTTGAGACCAGCCTGGCCAACATGGTGAAACCCCGTCTCTACTGAAGATACAAAAATTAGCCGGGCGTGGTGGTGGGCACCTGGAGTCCCAGCTACTCTGGAGGCTGAGGTAGGAGAATCACTTGAAGCTGGGAGGAGGAGGTTGCAGTGAGCCGAGATCGTGCCACTGCACTCCCTCTAGCCTGGACAACAGAGTGAGACTCTGTCTCAAAAAAAAAAAAAAAAAAAAAAAAAAAGTATCCCAGATGAAAGACACCCGAGGAATCATCTATTTCCATCTCCCCATTTTGCAGATGAGAAAGAGACTCAGGGACCTCAGGACATTTGCCAGAGATCACATGGCGGGTAAGTAAATGGCAGCGCGGATCCCAGACTCCGGTGCCTGACTCCCAAGCCTGTCCTAGTTCACCCTTTCCCAATCCACACCGGCAGCTTTCAGGTGACCAGCAGGCTCCTTGATAAAGACGGGGTTCCTGTCGTTCTCAGGAACGGAGGCTGGAGGTGAAGGTAGTTACTGGTGACGGGCCCAGGGCCTGCTGGCAAATAGCAAGCCTGAGGCTGAACTGGGTCCCTGGATACAACTCGGCGTGGGCCACAGTTAGCCTCAGTTTCCCCTTCAATCTCCAGACCTCCTTCACCCTTCCGCCTTCGCCTCCCATTCCCAGGTCTCAGATCCTCCTTCAGGGCGCTTTGCTTCGCCTTCTCCATTCTGTGCTCCTGGTGCCTCCTTGTGGCTAAAAATGTCAACTGCAGCAATGACTGACTAAATTCGCAGGAAAATCCCAGAGATTTTAGGCTGCCGAGATTGAAGGACCCTTAGAGGTGATTTTAGAAATAACTCGTATTTGCATTTTTTTCCCAGTGGCGATACTGATCTGAGCCCAGGTTAGAACCCAGGAACCCTGGTTTCTAGACAAGTTCTCCAAATGGGCAGTCACTTACTAAGTATTTGAGTAGGAGTGACTGTAATTCAAGGAAGGAAATGACCTGATCAATCAATCAATCAATCTGTGGACTCAGCTTGATCAATCAAGTTGATTTTAGGGACAATAACATGAACTAAATAAAAGCTAATATAGTTTTGTCCTTAAGCATATAGCTCTGGAGAAAGAAGGAGTTGGTTAAACCCTGCAACTTCACCTCACAAAGCCTCAGTTTCCTCATCTGTAAAATGGGAGCAAAAATAGTACCTGATATCTTTGCAGAAATGAAGTGAGAATGGCATGAAATGGTTCGTGGAAAACAGTGCCTGCACAGTGGATGGAAACATTCATGCAAAGATGAATCTTTTTTTTTTTTTTTTTTTTGAGACGGAGTCTCGCTCTGTCTCCCAGGCTGGAGTGCAGTGGCGCGATCTCGGCTCACTGCAAGCTCCACCTCTCAAGTTCACGCCATTCTCCTGCCTCAGCCTCCCAAGTAGCTGGGATTACAGGCGCCTGCCACCACACCCAGCTAATTTTTTGTATTTTCAGTAAAGATGGGGTTTCACCGTGTTAGCCAGGATGGTCTCAATCTCCTGACCTCGTGATCCGCCTGCCTCGGCCTCCCAAAGTGCTGGGATTACAGGCGTGAGCCACCACGCCCGGCCCAAGTGAAGATGAATCTTAGACCTAAATGTAAAACCGAAAACTATAAAACTTTTGGAAGAAAACATAGGAAAAAAATATTTGTGACCTTAGGTTAGGCAAAGATTTCTTAGACGCAACACCAAAAGAATGATCCGTAAAAGAAAAAAAGGATAAATTGGACTTTATAAAAATGAAGAACTTCTGCTCTTCAGAAAGACAGTTTAAGAGAATGAGAAGTTGAGACTCATTTATCAAATGAGTCTTTTTTTTTTTTTTGGTGGGAGACCAGAGTTTTAATCATTACTCAAATCAGTCTCTATGAACATTCGGGGAGCAGAGTTTTAAAGGATAACTTGGTGGGTCACCTGTAACTACCTTTACCTCCAGCCTCCGTTCCTGAGAACGACAGGAACCCCGTCTTTATCAAGGAGCCCGCTGGTCACCTGAAAGCTGCCGGTACCCTGTGGATTGGGAAAGGGTGAACTAGGACAGGCTTGGGAGTCAGGCACCGGAGTCTGGGATCTGCGCTGCCATTTACTTACCCGCCATGTGATCTCCGGCAAATGTCCTGAGGTCCCTGAGTCTCTTTCTCATCTGCAAAATGGGGAGATGGAAATAAATGATTCCTCGGTTGTCTTTCAGCTGGGATACTTTTTTTTTTTTTTTTTTGAGACAGAGTTTCACTCTGTTGTCCAGGCTGGAGGGAGTGCGGTGGCACGATCTTGGCTCACTGCAACTTCTGCTTCCCAGCTTCAAGCGATTCTCCTGCCTCAGCCTCCCGAGTAGCTGGGATTATAGGCATGTGCCACCATACCCAGCTAATTTTGTATTTTTAGTAGAAATGGGGTTTCTCCATGTTGGTCAGGCTGGTCTCGAACTCCTGACCTCAGGTGATCCACCCTCCTTGGGGAACAGAGTCCTATCAAAGCCAATTAAAAAAGCCTAAGTGAAAAATAATTATTCTTGCTGCACTTTATGCAAATAATCAGGCCAAGTACAGTAAGACTAAAGTTTACTTTGTAAACAAATCAGTTCCATCATGATTTGTTTTTAATAAAAATGGGGACTGGAGAGAGAAAAATTATGCTTCAAAAGAAAAACTAGAGTACACTGTTGTTAGCTGTTCTTGAGGTTTTTTCTGCAGTTTAGACTAAATTCTATATTCTTTGTGGGTTAGAAGTACCCAAACTAATGCTTTCAAAGCTTTGCTTTTAAAACTGGGAATTGTACTCCTCATCCTAGGACTCGTTACACTGTAGTAAAACTATAGATCTCATGAGATACTCATGTTTTTGCCATGCAAACCTTGAGAGCCCATCCAGACCTGCATGAGTCGCTCAGACAGTTGCAAAGCAGTTCCACTCTTTTCACCTTGGGGTTCACTCCCTTTCCCACTACGTCTGTCCCCTGTCAGCAGGAAGAAGCCAGAGCGATTGATGGCCTTTTCCCATCTTCATAGCCTACACCTTAAGATTAAGGTGTTATAAAACCCAAAGGGAGGGATTGAAACTGCCTTTGCAAAATTATGACTGAGACCGTGAAAGTGATCTAACTTAACTGACTCCATCTTGCCTCTAACCTCCAGGCTGCCCTTGTTCCTTCCTGGGCGTAGGCTGAAGTAACTTTGGGAGAAACTTAGTTTATAGTTTATAGTTTAAACAAAGATGGTAACAGCCCTTTCCCAAAGCGGACTTCCTTCTTGCCAGGGGACTAGATTGCCTTTGTAGGAGTAACATTAGCTACAAGATTAGAAATTATGGTTTAGGAGTCATGCAGCTGGAGGCTACAAGATTCTGACCCTCCCTAAACTGCTCTAAGATCGGTGCTTGAGATATTTTGCAGACCTTGCACTTGATGGATCAGCTGGCCCTACTCAGATCAAGAAACTGGCTCGTCTGATCTATCTGATCCTGTGGCCACCCAGGAACTGACTGAGCACGAGAAGACAGGCCTGACTCCCTAAGATTTCATCTCTGACCAATCAGCACTCCTGGCTCACTGGCCAAATGTCATTTTTGGGCTTATATCTAAAATATTAGGTAAGAAAGAGACATAATTTATAACTTGATTTTGGAAAGTTTGTCAAATATCAAAGGTTTAAAACACTGGATATCACAAAATAGAATCCCAGGTCACCATAAGTCAATCATTTGGCCAAAATGATAACTCCAAAAATTTTTTTTAAAAGAAAAACCTTTACTCTAATAGAGGAGACTTAACTTTCCAAACAAGACACAATGAAGACAGCATGAGGCCAACTGAATCTGTCTCTTTTCTCTCTCTTCCCTTTTTTTTTCCTGCCATTTACCCAAAGGAGAAAACAAAACCCTTTCATTATATTTTAACATTACATACAAAACGTCTTCAAAAGAGAAAACCAAATTTCATGTTTGCATTAGTGCATCTTTAATGTTAAAGCAAGTTTTTAAAATAAAATTTTATATCTCTATCCAGTTTTAATTAGTTTGACCACAAGGTAAGATTTTCATAAACTTTTTAGAACCCTTTATGATTTTCTATCAAACAGTAGATCAATTTCTAAGAAAACCCTGTTATTTGGACACATGGGCCCAGAATCTGGCCCCACGTCAGTATGATTTTAATGTTTTTAACCTAAGGAAAAAACTAAATAATTTCTTTTAAATTTATGCCAATGTGTTTATACTCAAAGAATTTTTTTTTTTTTTTAAGACGGAGTCTCTATTGCCCAGGCTGGAGTGCAGTGGCATGATCTTGGCTCATGGGAACCTCCACCTTCTGGGTTCAAGCAATTCTCCTGCCTCAGCCTCCCACTGGGATTACAGATGTGCGCCACCATGCCCAGCTGATTGTTATATTTTTAGTAGAGATGGGGTTTCACCACGTTGGCCAGGCTGGTCTTGAACTCCTGACCTCAGGTGATACACCCGCCTCGGCCTCCCAAAGTGCTGGGATTACAGGCGTGAGCCACCACACCTGGCCCAAGAATTTTTTTTTTTTGAGATGGAGTCTCGCACTTGTTGCCCAGGCAGGAGTGCAATGACACAATCGCAGCTCATTGCAACCTCTGCCTCCCTGGTTCAAGCGATTCTCCTGCCTCAGCCTCCTGAGTAGCTGGGATTACAGGCGCATGCCACCACGCCTGGCTAATTTTTGTATTTTTAGTAGAGACAGGTTTCACCATGTTGGCCAGGCTGGTCTCGAACTCCTGACCTCAGGTGTTCCGCCTGCCTTGGCCTCCCAAAGTGCTGGGATTACAGGTGTGAGCCACCATGTCCAGCCTGTATACCTACAGAATTTTTACAAGATCAACCCTTTACAAACCCTTTCACTTTGCTTAAACCTTCAGTTTTGTTCTGTTACTCTTTTAGGTTAAGACAACCTTTTTTTGTTTTTGTTAAGGCAATATTTAAAACCCTCTGAACTAGACAAAATTACATTCCCTTTAACAAAAGCCATATTCCCATACTGCTGCCTTTTTTTGTTTGTTTTTTGAGATGGAGTCTTGCTGTGTCGCCCAGGCTGGAGTGCAGTGGCACGATCTTGGCTCACTGCCTCCCGGGTTCAAGTGATTCTCCTGCCTCAGCGTCTCCAGTAGCTGGGACTACAGGTGCGTGCACCATGCTTGGCTAATTTTTGTATTTTTAGTAGAGATGGGGTTTCACCATGTTGGCCAGGCTGGTCTTGAATTCTTGGCCTCAAGTGATCCACCGGTCTCGGCCTCCCAAAGTGCTGGGATTACAGGCATGAGCCCCCGTGCCCATCCTGCCTTCTTATAATCTTTTACCAAAAACACATTCCCTACACACCTTGTGTGTAAAACTGTCTCTCTAGTGGTCTCAACTACATGTTACAATATGAACTCTTAGCAACTTTTACTTTTAGTGAAAAAACTGATAAGTAAGTGATTTTAATTATGTACTGGGGTTGAACCTAGGACATCAGACAGAAATGAAGATAAGGTCTGACTCCTTTTAGCATAGCTAGCGGGCATGGCTAATCTAATGCTCCAAAGTGGGTAAATCGAACAATTTTCAAAAGTCAAGACAGTTTGACCTTAAAGCATTTAGCAAGTCTGATATCTGACCTTAATTTAGACCAAATGTCTATATTTTCAAGGCATTTTATTTTACCAATCATCTTTAAAGCTGTCTTTATTTCCAAAATATTACTAAAATCACATGAACAAAAAGGCATTAAAGTTTTTATTTCCCTGACAAAATATTTAAGTACTTATTATTCTAAGCCAATTAATCAGAGCTCTTTTATATATAAACATACAACACACATAAATGCACAGACAGAAGATTCAGCACTTGTAAGATTCTTCATTTGCCAGTTTCTTAATTGGATTACTGGCTTCAGGGTGGAGCCCTTGGAGGAACAGGGCTGGGAAAGCTTGGTTTCTAGGGCCAAATAAGCAGCTGAAGGCAAAGACAGATCCCCAAAATTAAAGGTGCCATTCTATACTGGATCCTGGATCCCCAAAAGGAGGGAAATACTACGGGAGAAGACAGTGCAGTGCCTCTACCCTGTGTTTCTTTTTTCTTCCTTTTTTTTTTTTGTTTTTTTTGAGAGGGAGTCTCGCTCTGTTGCCCAGGCTGGAGTGCAGTGGCGTGATCTCAGCTCACTGCAACCTCTGCCACCGGGGTTCAAGTGATTCTCCTGCCTCAGCCTCCTGAGTAGCTGGGATTACAGGCGCCTACCACCATGACTGGCTAATTTTTGTATTTTTAGTAGAGACGGGGTTTCAACATGTTGGCCAGGCTGGTCTCGAACTCCTGACCTCAGGTGATCCACCTGCCTCAGCCTCCCAAAGTGCTGGGATTACAGGTGTGAGCCACTGAGCCTGGCCTACCCTGCATTTCATTTCCCTTTTCCCTTCCCTTCCATTTTTTTGAGACTGAGTTTTGCTCTTGTTGCCCAGGCTGGAGTGCAATGGTGTGATCTCAGGTCACTGCAACCTCCGCCTCCCAGGTTCAAACGATTATCCTGCCTCAGCCTCCTGAGTAGCTGGAATTACAGGCGTGCCCACCACTATGTCCAGCTAATTTTTGTATTTTTAGTAGAGATGGGGTTTCACCATGTTGGCCAGGCTGGTCTCGAACTCCTGACCTCAGATGATCCTTGGCCTCCCAAAGTGCTGGGATTATAGTCGTGAGCCACGGTGCCTGGTCTCTATCCTGCATTTCATTGAAAGGCAACCCAAAGCCAATCAGCCCATTTTGTAATCAGCCCATCTCTCATGGGAGTCTCATCTCCCAGTGTGGGGGGTGGAGATATTTCCTTATCTTCCAAGTGGCCAAGAGCATGCTTCTCTGATCCAAGTGTCAAAGAGTCAGGTATCCCTCCATAACTATTATTAGCCATCACTTAAAGTATATTTCCTACCTAGATATCATAATGGGAAGTAATTTCTGATACCCCCAAAACTCAAACCGTCAGATAACACAATGCAAAACAGAACAGAGCCTTCGATTTTGAGAGGGATTTATCTGCTTTGTTGTTGTTGTTGTTTGATTGTTTGAGATGGAGTTTCGCTCTTGTTGCCCAGGCTGGAGTGCAATGGCGGGATCTCGGCTTACTGCAACCTCCACCTCCCAGGTTCAAGCAATTCTTCTGCCTCAGCCTCCCGAGTAGCGGGATTACAGGAATATGCCACCACGCCTGGCTAATTTTGTATTTTTAGTAGAGACGGGGTTTCTCCATGTTGGTCAGGCTGGTCGCGAACTCCCCAGCTCAGGTAATCCGCCCACCTCGGCCTCCCAAAGTGCTGAGATTACAGGCAGGAGCCACTGCGCCCGGCCATTTATCCACTTTTAATTCTTGGGGTTTCATGAGGAAAACAGAGGTTTTTCCCAAAACAGGGTCTGTGGCGCCTCCTCTGATTTTCCAAATGAGTCCCAAGTTACCAGAAGTTATTTTAGGGCCTCTCATGTGTGCATTAAGGGTGGCAAGACAGGCTGGGCGTGGTGGCTTATGCCTGTAATCCCAGTACTTTGGGAGGCCGAGGTGGACGGATCACTTGAGGTCAGGAGTTTGAGACCAGCCTGGTCAACATGGCAAAACTGTCTCTACTAAAAATACAAAATTAGCAGGTGAGGTGGCGGCGTGCACCTGTAATACCACCTACTGAGGAGGCTGAGGCAGGAGAATCGCTTGAACTCGGGAGGTGGAGGTTGCAGAGAGCAGAGATTGTGCCACTGCACTCCAGCCTGGGCGACAGAGCGAAACTCCGTCTCAAAAAAAAAAAAAAAAAAAAAAGAAATGGACCCTTCTGGCCATGGGGCCGGTCGCAGTGGCTCATGCCTGTAATCCCCAGCACTTTGGGAGGCCGAGGTAGGCAGATCACAAGGTCAGGAGTTCAAGACCAGCCTGGCCAACATAGTGAAACCTCGTCTCTATTAAAAATACAAAAATTAGCCGGACTTGGTGGCAGGTGCCTGTAATCCCAGCTACACAGGAGGCTGAGGCAGGAGAATCGCTTAAACCTGGGAGGCAGAGGTTGCAGTGAGCTGAGATCGTACCACCGCGCTCCAGCCTGGGCAACAGAGTGAGACTCCGTCTCAAAAAAAAACAAAAAAGAAATTGACATTTCTGTTCCTAAACCTTACATTTGTTTTATCTGAGTTACTTCTTCAGGAAACTCAGGCCTCTCAAAAAAAAAAAAAAAAAAAAAGTATCAAAGAACCAAAACTCACCAGATCACCCCATCCGACTATGAAATGCTGGACCCCTCATTCATCGTGATTGCTTCCTTGTCCCTTCTGAGTTCCTGTTTTCTTCTACATTGCTACATTTCTTCCCTGCTATATAAAGTCCTAGTTTTAATCCATCAGGGAGATGGATTTGAGACCGAGCTCCCATCTCCTCAGCTGCAGCACTGGCCTAAAGCTTTCTTCCTTGGCAATACTCATTTTCTTAGTAATTACCCTTCTGTGTGGTGAGCAGCAGGACCCAGATTGAACCCCTAGTATTTTGGTAACAATGGTTTCACAGGTGTATACATATGTCAAAACTTATCAAATTGTACCTTTAAATATGTGCAGTTTATCATAGGTCATTAAAGCTGATTCAAAAAGAAAAGTAGGCCAGCCACAGTGGCTCACGCCTCTAATCCCAGCACTTTGGGAGGCCAAGGCGGGCAAAACACTTGAGGCCGGGAGTTCAAGACCAGCCTGGCCAACATGGTGAAACCCCGTCTCTACTAAAAATGCAAGAAATTAGCCAGGCGTGGTGGCAGGCGCCTATAGTAATAGCTACTCAGGAGGCTGAGGCAGGAGAATCGCTTGAACCCAGGAGGCAGAGGTTGCAGTGAGCTGAAATTGTGCCACTGCACTCCAGCCTGGGTGACAGAGCAAGACTCTGTCTCAAAAAAAAAAAAAAAAAAAAGACAGTGCCTGGCTCATAACACTCTGATTTGAGGAACTTCTGAGCGAAGGAGTGACTGGTGAGGCCAAGGCCCATCATTCCATTCTCATGGACCATTTTTCTTTTTTCTTTCCACAAGGTCTCCCGTTGTTGTCTGCTGCTGGAACCTTTGGCCAATCAATGGTGGGTAAGTCCCACTGGTCCAAAGGAGACAGAAAATGAACCCCCTGAGTGTGACCCCCCACTGGATGTGACCTCTTTTTGGGAAATCCTCAAAGCCTACATCCTTCTATGAGCTTCTGACAGCAGCATCCTCATGGATAGACAGTGGATCAACTCTATGACCTGCAGATAAATTGATGCCTTCCTCTTCATAAGACTTTTCACAGACTGCTTAGAATTGAATCTTTTTTTTTTTTTTTTTTTTTGAGATGGAGTCTCACTCTGTCGCCAGGCTGGAGTATAGTGGCACGATCTCAGCTCACTGCAACCTCCGCCACCCGGGTTCAAGTGATTCTCCCACCTCAACCTCCCGAGTAGCTGGGGTTACAGGCGTGCACCGCCATGCCCAGCTAATTTGTATTTTTAGTAGAGATGGAGTTTCACCATGTTGGCCAGGATGGTCTCCATCTCTTGACCTCGTGATCTGCCCACCTCAGCCTCCCAAAGTGCTGGGATTACAGGCGTGCGCCACCGTGCCTGGCCGAATTCAATCTTTTGAGTGCTTGCACTATCTTCATTAGCTCGTACCCCAACACATTTCTTTTTTACCATGGTTATTGGGAAGCTCACAGTCAAGGCTGGTGTCCAACTGTGTGATTAACTAATCTTAGGTGTCTATCACCAGTTTCCTGCTCCTTTTATTTTAGCTGAGTTCCTTCCTTCCTTCCCTTCCTTCTTTCCTTCCTTCCTTTCCCCCTCTCCTCCCTCCCTCCTTCCTCCCTCTTCTCTTTCCTTCTTTTTTTTTTTTTTTTAGACAGAGTCTCACTCTGTCACCCAGGCTGAAGTGCAGCAGTGCCGCCATAGCTCACTATAACCTTAAAAGGGCTCATGTGACCCTCCTGCTTTGGCTTCCCAAAGTGCTGGGATTACAGGTGTAAGCCACTGTGCCTGGTCTCTCTCTCTCTCTCTCTGCCACTGTGCCTGGTCTCTCTCTCTCTCTCTGTCTTCAGAGTTTTGCTCTTGTTGCCCAATGGTGCAATCTCGCCTCCCTGCAACCTCCGCCTCCCTGCAACCTCTGCCTCCCGGGTTCAAGCGATTCTCCTGCCTCAGCCTCCCAAGTAGCCGGGATTACAGGCTTGCGCCACCATGCCTGGCTAATTTTGTATTTTTTTAGTAGAGACGGGTTTTCACCATGTTAGTCAGGCTGGTCTTAAACTCCTGATCCCAAGTGATCCACCAGTCTTGGCCTCCCAAAGTGCTGGGATTACAGGCGTGAACCACTGCACCCGGCCCTGTATATGTGTATGTATGTATGTATTTATTTATTTTTTGAGACAGAGTCTCACTCTGTTGCCCAGGCTAGAGTGCAGTGGTGCAATATCAGCTCACTGCAACCTCTGCCTCCTGGGTTTAAGCAATTCCTCCACCTCAGCCTCCCGAGTAGCTGGGATTACAGGCGTGTGCCACCATGCCTGGCTAATTTTTTTTTGTATTTTTAGTAGAGATGGGGTTTCACCATGTTGGCCAGGCTGGTCTCAAACTCCTGGCCTCAAGTGATCCGCCTGCCTCAGCCTCCCAGAGTGCTGGGATTACACAGGCGTGAGCCACTGCGACCAGCCCTATTTATTTTTAATACATCTATCTTATGATGTGTTCCACTTAATGAAGTTATCTCAGATTTTTTTTCACAAATAGGTGGGGATTAAATCATAAAAAGTCTCCCCTGTACCTTCCATGAGGCCAGGGAGCACGTCCTGCACATTACCCCTGTGTCCCGCCACGCATCTGGGAGAGTACATTGCATAGGATAAATGCTCACTAAAAATATGTTCACTTTATTAGATAATTCTTATGTCAGGTGCTCTCCCAAGAGAACGTTCTGGAAGGAAACTGAGTGACCACCTGATGCTGCTATTAACATGTTTTTCATTTCCTGTTTCCTGTGGCACCTGTGGGCAATGTCAGTGCAGGTGCTAAGAGGCCACTCTCATACCTATTTGGTCCCTGGACCTTGGCAAATGCCTAAGAGGCATTTACCCAGTGACTCACAGGGAATTTTTGCTCCTCGGAGGGGAAATCTGAATTAAATCTAAAGTGAAATGCCCCCCAGTGGCATTGTCCTTAGTAACTCTGTTTCTCCCAGGAAGCTCTGCCTCCTGCCTTAGAATTTACCTCCCTTTCTTGAAGTCAGAGGCTCATCTTTAACTTGTGATTCAGTGAGGACAGCCTTCCAGGCTGGGAATGGTTCCCTAGGGACATCTGGCTGCAGCTGAAATTGCCCATCTCTCATTGCTCCTAACAAGGTCCACATGATGTAAATTTCAGACTGTCCCAGTAGGACTGTGCTCAGCATAGCTAATGAAGGATTTCAGCCTTTGGCAAAAAAAATGGAAGGGTTATTTAAAACCAAACTGTGTCATTTAAGAGTGATGGCTTTAATGAGCTCCCAGGGAACTCATAAAAGGGCCCAGAGAATAAAACAAGGAGGCCTAAAATAGTCAGAACCTGTAAGCAAGGACCCCTAACTTATTGCAGTGCAGCACTCTGCCTGTTTTATTTTAAGGACCCGTTTTTGTTCTCTTCCTTGCTGTAACCTAAGGATACAAGAATTTTGATTATATATATTTTTTAAAAAACAGGTTAGGTTGCACCCTTGCTGATCCTCAAAAAGCTTTACTGGAATGGATACCATCCCCAAAATGATGAAGTTTAAAGTTTTGGTTTGGCATTTAGGGACCTACAGGATCTGGCCTCAACCCTCCTTTTCAATTACTTGCTCCTTGCTCTCTGTCGCACATCCTGGGCTCTAGCTATACTGGGCCAACTCTTGGTAGCTTTGTACCTTTGCTGTTTCTTCCCCCCTCTTCATGGAAGGCCTTTCCTACTTCCATCCCAGCCACTCCACCCTCCATTCTGTTAACAGAACTCAAATTCCTTCCCTGGTGGAAATAAACAGCATCTCCCTACTGTGGCACTTGGTTGTCCTAATTTCACTGGACCTGGGGCAATCTGTAACTGTCCATGTCTACCTCCCCACAAGACCCTAACCAGTCAGAGGGAAGAGGCTGGCTATATAAGGTGTATCTCCTAATGCCCAGCCTAGAACCTTGGATGTAGGAGGCTCTCTGTAATTGTTGGTTGTGAAGTAAATAGCATGCTCTTTTTTTTTTTTTTTTTTTTTTTGAGATGGAGTCTCACTCTGTTGCCCAGGCTGGAGTGCAATGGCGCTATCTCAGCTCACTGCAACCTGCGCCTCCTGGGTTCAAGTGATTCTCCTGCCTCAGCCTCCCAAGTAGCTCGGATTATAGGCATGTGCCACCAAGCCTGGCTAATTTTGTATTTTTAGTAGAGACGGGGTTTGTCTATGTTGGTCAGACTGGTCTCGAACTCCCGACCTCCCGACTTCAGGCAATCTGCCCGCCTCCGCCTCCCAAAGTGCTGGGATTACAGGCGTGAGCCACAGCGCTTGGCCATGCCCAGCTAATTTTTTGTATTTTTAGTAGAGACGGGATTCCACCATGTTGGCCAGGCTGGTCTCGAACTCCTGACCTCAGGTGATCCACCTGCTTCGGCCTCCTACAGTGCTGGGATTACAGGCGTGAGCCACCTCGCCTGGCCATTTTTTTTTTAAATTCTAGTTTTATTAATTCAAAATATGCTGTACATTCACACTCAAAAGATACAACAGAGTGAAAAGTCACCTTCTCTGTTCTCTAGCCACCCCATTCCCTTCTATGGAAAGAACCAATTATTATCAGCTTTTTGTGAATCCTTCTGGAGACATGCAATATATATAGTATACTCTTCTCTCTCCTTTTAAAAATAAACGGGGTTCCTCTTTAGTTTTGCAGTTTGCTGTTTCACCTGACTATGCACACATACACATATTTAAAAAATTTACTCAACCAACTGACTATTGATAACATTTAGTTTACTTTCATTATTTTGTTATTAAAAACAATGTTGGGCCTGGAGGGACACGTTTTACATACATTGAATCAGGCCACTAGGTAAGATGTGTCTAAAAACTACAGATGATGTATCTAAAAACTGTAGACTGCTCCACAAAAGTAAAATTTCTTTATTAAATCAGCCTGTTATATATAACAGTTTTTAACTCCATTCCTTAAATACAATTGGGGTCAAATAAGAATTACTTTCTATAAGAATAGGGCTAGAATCATTAGATTGTTAACACTGTGAGATATCTTTGATGATTTTCAACCCAAGGGATGATCATGAATTTGGTAAACACACACACACACAAACTTAAAATGAGGTCTAACCTTAAATTTTTAATAGAACTTGTCAAAAAGTTTGTTAGCAAAAGTGTGGGTGAAAAGAGATTCCCGGCCAGGCGCAGTGGCTTACTCCTGTAATCCCAATACTTTGGGAGGCCAAGGCGGGCGAATCACTTGAGGTCAGGAGTTCAAGACCAGTCTGGCCAATATGGTGAAACCTTGTCTCTACCAAAAATACAAAAATTAGCTAGGCGTGGTGGTGCACGCCTGTAGTCCCAGCTACTTGGGAGGCTGAGGCACGAGAATCACTTAACTTGGGAGGCGGAAGTTGCACTGAGCCGAGATCACGCCACTGCACTCCAGCCTGGGCTACAGAGCGAGACTCTGTCTCCAGAAAAAAAGAAAAGAAATTCCCACATATTGCTCATAAATGTAAAATTGGACATTATGGAGAAAAATTAGACAATGTTGATCAAGATTAATGGTGCCAACACCCATTGACCTAGCAATTCTACCTCTAGAAATTCTCCCTACATAAATACTTATACATGTAAACATGAAAATACAAGAATTTAGGCTTGGTGTGGTGACTCACGCCTGTAATCCCAGCACTTTGGGAAGGCAAGTCAGGAGGATCACTTGAGCCCAGGAGTTCCAGACCAGCATGGCCAACATAGTGAGACCTTGACTCTACAAAAAATTTTTTAAAAAATTAGCCGGGGGTGGCATGCATCTTTAGTCCTAACTACTGGGGAGGCTGAGGTGGGAGGATTGCGGGGTGGGAGGCTGCAGGGAGCTATGATTGCACCACTGCACTCCAGCCTGGGCGACAGAGCAAGACCCTGTCTCAAACAAATAAAAAAATTAAAGCATAACCTGTAGGAGATAGCTCAATGAATGCTGATGTTTAGAAGAAAGATTTGGGTTATCTCCGATTATTTTAGAAAGGAGATGCATTACAGAGATCAGGGAACAGTCTCTGAGAAGGATCCCCTGGGTTTTATGGCCATACCTATTGCTTTTAGCTGTATAACCTTGAGCAAGTTACTTACCTGAGCCTCAGTTTCTTTATCGGTAATCTGCATTATAGCTGTGTTGTGAAGGTTCAGTGGGATGGTGCCTGCAAAACCTCCCCCGCCTCGAACCTGACACATAATAGGCACTAAGCGTAGCCGTAATTATTATTTAATAAATATGTTGTTCTATGTGGTGATGGCAGATTAAGGGGCTACTTTGGTGATATAATCTGCCCTCCTGGGGTAGAGTTGAGGGCTTTGGAGTTGGGTGAATTCCTCTCTAGCACTCACTAGACTTCGAGCACATCATTCCCTAACCTCTATGGCCTCACTTTTCTCATCTGTAAAGTGGCCAGAATAAATTCCAAGTCTTGAGAGTTTGCTCTGAAACTTAAACGTATATTACTCATAAGAGTTTAATACACAATTATTTTATTTCCTGCCAATCTAATGGCGAAGACATGGAATAACCCATCAAACAGCCCAGTAACCCCAGGAAACCAGAGGGACGGAAACCAGGGCGATGGGCGAGTCAGTCATGGCCAGTGCGCCGTGTTTCGAAGGGGACGGCCATGGAGCGGTGGGTGGTCGCTCAGCTCCCCAATCGCTCTCCGACACCCGGCTGGGGAGACAGGACCTCCCTGGAGGCCGCAGCAGCTTGATTGTCACCCGGGCAACCCCACCTTCCGGTTCCCTCTACAACCCCTTGCCCCGCTTCCGGTTCCGGCGTCGTGCGTCATCGCTGGGCGACTGATTTCGAGTTTCCGGTCAGGTTAGGCCGGGGGGGTGCGGTCCTGGTCGGAAGGAGGTGGAGAGTCGGGGGTCACCAGGCCTATCCTTGGCGCCACAGTCGGCCACCGGGGCTCGCCGCCGTCATGGAGAGCGGAGGGCGGCCCTCGCTGTGCCAGTTCATCCTCCTGGGCACCACCTCTGTGGTCACCGCCGCCCTGTACTCCGTGTACCGGCAGAAGGCCCGGGTCTCCCAAGAGCTCAAGGTCAGTGCTGGAGCCGGCCTGGCCTCAGCCGGGTCATCTCTGTCCCAGGTGCTGGGGAGCCCATGATTCACCTTGGCCGCCCCACCGTCGGAAACTGTCCAAAAAAGGAAACAGCCTCTGAAGGGTGTCATCCAGCCAGTAGATGGAGGAGCGAGGGGCAGGATTCGGGCTCGGGATAACGGCTGCTCCGCTCCTTTTCTCCCAAGTCCCTCTTATGACTCAGAATGAATCTTGACTTCATTACTTTACTCGAAAAATATTTATTGAACACCTGCGATGCTCCAGGCAGTGAGTCGAACAGATGAAAGTCCATCCCCTCGTGGAGATACCATTTTAGTACGACTAGACAGCAAACATGTAAATCAGGCGGTGTAACAGATGGTGAGCAATGCTTTAGAGTAAGGTAGGGGAGAGAGGACATGGAATGCTGGAGAAAGGGGGATCTCCTATCTTAAATAAGGTGACATTTGAGCAGAGCCTAGGAGGAGATGAGGGGAGTCATGCAGATATCTAGCGGGAGATGGAAGGAACAGCAAGTGCAGACATCCATTTACTGAACCACTCCACTCCTTGCTTTACAGACGCTTCCTTTTTATATTACAACTATTTTTATAAATGGCGCTTTTTTCTGAACTGTGCTTTACGGTTTACACAACACATTTGCATTTATTTTTATTTTTTATTTTTTCGAGATGGAGTCTTGCTGTGTCGCCCAGGCTGGAGTGCAGTGGCGGGATCTGGGCTCACTGCAGCCCCTGCCTCCCGGGTTCAAGTGATTCTCCTGCTTCAGCCTCCCGAGTAGCTGGGATTACCACGCCCAGCTAACTTTTTTGTATTTTAGTAGACACAGGGTTTCACCATGTTGGCCAGGCTGGTCTCCAGCTCCTGACGTCGGGTGATCTCCCCGCCTCGGCTCTCCGAAGCGTTGGGATGTAAAGGCGTGAGCCACTGCGCCCAGCCACATTTTCATCTTGATTTTATTTTTTTCTTAACAATAATTTTTTTTCCTTTCTTTCCTCTCCTTTTCTTTTCTTTTTCTTTTTCTTTTTTTTTTTGAGACGGAGTCTCGCTCTGTTGCCCAGGCTGGAGTGCAATGGCACGATCTTGGCTCACTGCAACCTCTGCCTCCCGCGTTCAAGTGATTTTCCTGCCTCAGCCTCCGGAGTAGCTGGGATTACAGGTACCTGCCACCACGCCTGGCTAATTTTTGTATTTTTAGTAGAGATGGGGTTTTGCCATGTTGGCCAGGCTGGTCTCCAACTCCTGACTTCAGGTGATCCCTCTGTCTCAGCCTCCCAAAGTGCTGGGATTACAGGCGTGAGCCACTGCGCCTGGCCCACAATAATTTTTTGAAGTAAATAAAATGACAGTTACCACCACATTGCAAATCAGAAAATTGAGATTTGGAGGAAAGGCCATACAGCTAGTCAGCTTGAAACTTAAATTTAGGTCTTTTGATTCCAAGGGTAGGATTTTAATCTGATTGACATTGCTTTATTGTGACTATCTGACTGGTCCAGAGAGATGGACCTCTTTAGGTCAGAGACAGGGTCTTATTCATCCATTCTCTTTCCTCTAGCTTCTAACACAGTACTTGGCAAGTGGTAGATGCTCAGTAAATGTTTGTGGGTTCTTTTTGGCTGAAGTTTCACAATACAAGAGCTAAGGGCCTAACCTAATTTGATGTTTATATGAAAGATGGATTCCTAAACCTGACTAACTTAATTATCAGATTGTTTTCAGTAAGGGTTTAGAAACTAATGTGTGGGCCAGGCTACTCCAGCCTGGGTGACAAGAGCAGGACTCCATCTCAGAAAAAAAAGAAACCAATGTGTGAACTCCAGTCCCTGCCATGAAGGGAGTTTTGGAATCTGGAAAGAACCAAGTTATGAGGCAATTGGATTTGCTGTGCAGTGGCGTTATAGTGAGATTCCAGCTGCCCTGTATTTCTCCTGATTAAATAATCAAGTTAATCCTGAAGTGATTAGCTCTGTGTATCTGATACTTCACTTTCTGACTCCAAACCACTTTGGCCTCAAGTTGGCTGGAGGAGGGCTTCTTTGAAGCAGTGAACTCTTTAGGTCTCATCTTTGGGTGACCTTAAAACCTTTGCCAAACAGTTCCTAAATGAGGATGAAATAGCCCCTTCCTGGAAAAAAAGTTGGGACTGTTAATATTTTAGATTCTATTTTCTATTTCCTTCCTCTCTTTCTCCCTCCCTTCCTTCCTTTTCTTTCTCTTTGGCCTTCCTTCCTGTCCTTCATTTCTTTCTTCTTTCTTTTTTTCTTTTTCCTCTTCTTTTTTTTTTTTTTTTTTTTTTTTGAGACATGGTCTTACTCTGTTGCCCAGGCTGGAGTGCAGTGGCACAAACATAGCTCATTGCAGCCTCGAGCTCCCAGGCCCATGCCAGTCTCCTGCCTCAGCCTCCTAAGTAGCTAGGACTACAGGTGCACACCACCACCTCCAGCTAATTTTTTATTTTTCATAGAGATGGGGTCTTGCATGTTGCTCATGCTAGTTTTGCACTGCTGGCCTCAAGCAGCTATCCCACTTTGGACTCCCAAAGTGCTGGGATTACAGGTGTGAGCTACCATGCCTGTCCTAGATTCTATTTTCTTGATCAGATGACAAAACTTCCAGAGAGGGGCTTGTGTCCTATCCTGTGTATCTCTCATAGTGAGGAGAATGCAAATTTATTGCGTGCCTCCTATGTGCCAGCCCCCGGGCTGGATTCTTTCACACCTTGAAGTTCATTTAACCCACATAAAAATCCTGTGAAATTGCATTTTCCCTGTCCTTTATGGTTTTGGAACCTGAGACTCAGATAAATGAAGTTGTCCCAAGTCACAGTGGATGCATTGGCGCTAGATTAAACTCCAGATCTTTCTGATCATATTCTCCCTCTTCCCCCTTTAAAATTCGAATTGGCCATCCTGTGGTGGATACTTTACTAGCTGTCTCACTTTGGGCAAATCACTTCACCTCTCTGAGCCTGTTTCCTTGTCTGTAATTGGTGATAATAATGTCTACCGTAAAGGGATGGTGTGGGCATTAAGTGGTTTATGCATTTAAAGTGCCTAGCATATTGCCTGGTACATAGTATATTTAAATGCTTACTTATTCATTAATTTATTAATCAAATAATGTATTAAATGCTTGCTGTGTGTCAGGCACAGTTCTCCGCACTAGGGGGATAGCAGTGAACAGGACAAACAGTGTCCAAGCCCTCCTAGAGTTTAACATTCTAGTGGAGGGAGACAGATAATGAGTAAATTGTTAGTTGTTATTGCTGTCATTTTGGTATCTTCACAGTGTAAGTGGCTAAGAAATTTTGATTGACCTTGCTCCTGTCACTTACTGTGTAGCAGTAGCTTAAACTCAGAGTGACCTTCATATACATCTTGTATCACATCACCTCTTTAGAGGTTACTGAATCTGGCATCCTTAAGAGTTGTTTTTGGGAATACCCTGAAAGCAGAGATGGTCCTTTATTCGTCCTGAATCTCTGACACCCAGCACAGTGCCTGGCACAAAGATGCTCAGGAAATGATTGTTGATTTTATTCCTTTTCTCTTATTTTTGAAACAGCAGTAACAGGATTGGTTTCCCAAGTGCAGTGGGTTGGACGCTCTGAGTTGGAAGGCAGAGGAGAACTAGGGATTGTTAGAGGAAGACAGCAGCAGAAAGAACCGTGCTCACTTAATTATGAGCATGAAAAAGGCAAAAAGTAGAACAGACTGGGTGCGGTGGCTCACACCCGTAATCCCAGCACTTTGGGAGGCCGAGGCAGGAGGATCGCTTGAGCTCAGGAGCTCAACACCAGCCTGGGCAACATTGGGAGACCCTGTCTCTGCAAAATAAAAAAATTAGACAGGTGTGGTGGTGCATGCCTATGGCCTCAGCAACTTGGGGGCCTGAGGTGGGAGGATCACTTGAGCCTGGGAGGTTGAGGCTGCAGTGAGCCATGATTGCACTACTGCACTCCAGTCTGGGTATAACAGTGAGACCCCATCTCAAAAAAAAAAAAAAATGTAGAATGGCATTTGGCACCAGTTAACAGTCTTCCTGTTGAAGCAAAGGCAACTCCCCCTGCTTTGTTTTTTTAATAACATACAATGCAGAGCATTGGTTCGTAAAGATGTGGTAATATTAATAATAACACCTACCAGTTCTCAAACCACTGCCATGTGCTAGGTGATAGGTTAGGTACTTTATACCTGAACCCTTTGGATCATAGCTCTGTGTTGTCAGGAAGAGATTGAATGATGTTCAGTCTGTGGTATGTAAATTGACTAGTACCTTTTATATTTTCACTAAAAAGTCTTAACATGAAAAGGAGTATAGGTTTTGGTTAACTGGAACAAGAATGTATGTGGCACCCCCATTCTGCAGTGATGGAAGAGGCAGAGGCATGGCTCCATTCCTGTTGATGTACACAGCTTTGAAATCTGATTCTCAGTAGTCACCTTCCTGTCCAATTTCCATATTCTCTTGACACGAAAAAAATAGAATCTTTTTCTTTTTTTTGCCTGTAAGTTTGATTGAGCATGTCAGTGTTCAATGGCCAATTAATTTAATTTTTTTTTTTTATTTAGGGAGCTAAAAAAGTTCATTTGGGTGAAGATTTAAAGAGTATTCTTTCAGAAGCTCCAGGAAAATGCGTGCCTTATGCTGTTATAGAAGGTATGTTTGCTTATTGGTCAATGGAAAACAACGTCTTTTTCCCAAAAGATTGATAAAGATCATCTTGGCTAATATGAAGAGCCTTTTGTGGTGTTGGGTCCATGGTCCAGAACATACTTTGGGGTCAGAAAGACATGGGTTATTGCTTTGTGATCGCTAAGATTACCAAACCTCCCTGAACCACTGTTGCCTGATCTCGAAAATAATACTTACCTTTATGGGGTTGTTATAAGACAAATTATGTGATCCATGCAAAGTGCTTAGGAGAGTGCTTCTAAAATGTGACTTATGGTGATCAGAATGTCATTGTTTTGATGAATTAGCAAAAGTCAACTGAAAACACTTAATTTTTAACATTTTTTAAATTAAAAAAAAAATTTTTTTTTGAGGCCAGGTGTGGTAGCTCATGCCTGTAATCCCAGCACTTTGGGAGGCTGAGATGGGCTGATCACTTGAGCTCAGGAGTTTGAGACCAGCCTGGTCGACATGATGAAACCCCGTCTCTACTAAAAATACAAAAATTAGCTGGATGTGGTGGCACATACCCGTAATCCCAGCTACTCGGGGGGCTGAGGCAGGAGAATTGCTTGAACCCGGGAGGCGGAGGTTGCAGTGAGCCAAGATTGCACCACTGTACTCCAGCCTGGGTAACAGAGTGAGACTCCGTCTCAAATAGAGTCTTGGCTCTGTCACCCAGGTAGCTGTAGTATGGTGGTGTGATCATAGCTCACTGCAGCCTCAAACTCCTGAGCTCAAGTGATTCTCCTGCCTCAGCCTCCCAAGTATCTGGGACTACAGGCACATGCCACCACACCCTGCTAACTTTTTAATTTTTTGTAAAGATGGAATCTCACTGTGTTAACCAGGCTGGTCTCAAACTCGTGGCCCCAAGTGATCCTTCTGACTTGGCTTCCCAAAGTGTTGGGATTATAGGTGTGACCTACTGTGCCAGACCAGAAAACACATTTTAAATTATCTGAAAGGAGAGGGCAGAAAACTTCTTCAGAAATAATAGAATTTGTGTCCACTTAGGAGCTGTGCGGTCTGTTAAAGAAACGCTTAACAGCCAGTTTGTGGAAAACTGCAAGGGGGTAATTCAGCGGCTGACACTTCAGGAGCACAAGATGGTGTGGAATCGAACCACCCACCTTTGGTATGTATCACTTCTCCACTGGCCAAAACCCTTGCAGTTGGTCTATTCAAATGCTGGGGTCCTGGGTGCTGTTGCCGTGACTTCAGCTTCTCCTGAGACAGGTTGAAGCCCAGTCTCTTAATGCAGGTCATATTCTTGTGTGTAGCCTGTGGGCCTCCTATGTCGGAATCACCGAGGCATCTTGTTGAAATGCAGATTTCTGAGCTCCCTTCAGTCCCTGAAGTGGATAAGTCAGTCCCTGGTGACTTATCCAACCAGAATTTCCAGGATCAGGGACCTGGAATCTGTTGTTAGGCACACTGAAGTTTGAGAACCACTGAATCAGTGATTTCAGTATTTCCTAAAATGCTTTTGTGCCATCATATGAAATATCAGTTTTCCAACTGGTCCTAGTGAGTTTTGTTTTAGATGTTTGTTTTACAGTGGAAAGGGAAATGATAGTCTGTGGCGGTTATTTGTTGCCCACTGATATCGCCCCAGGACCTACAAATGGAGCCTCCTTGTTAGGAGGCAACTGGAGATAGTGATCTTACTGTCTTCTTCCAGTTACTTCAGACCATATGCTGTCCTCCACATTTAGTTGATCTCCAGTTCTGCCTGGGTGTTTGCTGTTTGCTACCCTGTATCTTTAGTTCTCTTATTCTTCTAGGAATGATTGCTCAAAGATCATTCATCAGAGGACCAACACAGTGCCCTTTGACCTGGTGCCCCACGAGGATGGCGTGGATGTGGCTGTGCGAGTGCTGAAGCCCCTGGACTCAGTGGATCTGGGTCTAGAGACTGTGTATGAGAAGTTCCACCCCTCGATTCAGTCCTTCACCGATGTCATCGGCCACTACATCAGCGGTGAGCGGCCCAAAGGCATCCAAGAGACCGAGGAGATGCTGAAGGTGGGGGCCACCCTCACAGGGGTTGGCGAACTGGTCCTGGACAACAACTCTGTCCGCCTGCAGCCGCCCAAACAAGGCATGCAGTACTATCTAAGCAGCCAGGACTTCGACAGCCTGCTGCAGAGGCAGGAGTCGAGCGTCAGGCTCTGGAAGGTGCTGGCGCTGGTTTTTGGCTTTGCCACATGTGCCACCCTCTTCTTCATTCTCCGGAAGCAGTATCTGCAGCGGCAGGAGCGCCTGCGCCTCAAGCAGATGCAGGAGGAGTTCCAGGAGCATGAGGCCCAGCTGCTGAGCCGAGCCAAGCCTGAGGACAGGGAGAGTCTGAAGAGCGCCTGTGTAGTGTGTCTGAGCAGCTTCAAGTCCTGCGTCTTTCTGGAGTGTGGGCACGTTTGTTCCTGCACCGAGTGCTACCGCGCCTTGCCAGAGCCCAAGAAGTGCCCTATCTGCAGACAGGCGATCACCCGGGTGATACCCCTGTACAACAGCTAATAGTTTGGAAGCCGCACAGCTTGACCTGGAAGCACCCCTGCCCCCTTTTCAGGGATTTTTATCTCGAGGCCTTTGGAGGAGCAGTGGTGGGGGTAGCTGTCACCTCCAGGTATGATTGAGGGAGGAATTGGGTAGAAACTCTCCAGACCCATGCCTCCAATGGCAGGATGCTGCCTTTCCCACCTGAGAGGGGACCCTGTCCATGTGCAGCCTCATCAGAGCCTCACCCTGGGAGGATGCCGTGGCGTCTCCTCCCAGGAGCCAGATCAGTGCGAGTGTGACTGAAAATGCCTCATCACTTAAGCACCAAAGCCAGTGATCAGCAGCTCTTCTGTTCCTGTGTCTTCTGTTTTTTTCTGGTGAATCGTTGCTTGCTGTGGACTTGGTGGAGGACTCAGAGGGGAGGAAAGGCTGGGCCCCGAGTACAACGGATGCCTTGGGTGCTGCCTCCGAAGAGACTCTGCCGCAGCTTTTCTTCTTTTTCCTCATGCCCCGGGAAACAGTCTTTCTTCAGAATTGTCAGGCTGGGCAGGTCAACTTGTGTTCCTTTCCCCTCACCTGCTTGCCTCCTTAACGCCTGCACGTGTGTGTAGAGGACAAAAGAAAGTGAAGTCAGCACATCCGCTTCTGCCCAGATGGTCGGGGCCCCGGGCAACAGATTGAAGAGAGATCATGTGAAGGGCAGTTGGTCAGGCAGGCCTCCTGGTTTCGCCACTGGCCCTGATTTGAACTCCTGCCACTTGGGAGAGCTCGGGGTGGTCCCTGGTTTTCCCTCCTGGAGAATGAGGCGCAGAGGCCTCGCCTCCTGAAGGACGCAGTGTGGATGCCACTGGCCTAGTGTCCTGGCCTCACAGCTTCCTTGCAAGGCTGTCACAAGGAAAAGCAGCCGGCTGGCACCCTGAGCATATGCCCTCTTGGGGCTCCCTCATCCAGCCCGTCGCAGCTTTGACATCTTGGTGTACTCATGTCGCTTCTCCTTGTGTTACCCCCTCCCAGTATTACCATTTGCCCCTCACCTGCCCTTGGTGAGCCTTTTAGTGCAAGACAGATGGGGCTGTTTTCCCCCACCTCTGAGTAGTTGGAGGTCACATACACAGCTCTTTTTTTATTGCCCTTTTCTGCCTCTGAATGTTCATCTCTCGTCCTCCTTTGTGCAGGCGAGGAAGGGGTGCCCTCAGGGGCCGACACTAGTATGATGCAGTGTCCAGTGTGAACAGCAGAAATTAAACATGTTGCAACCAAGTGCTAGCCTGTTGCTTTGTTAACAGGAGTTAAATGGCTAAGCCTAAGTGTCCCCAGGATGGGATTGAATCCCTGCCACAATGGAGTGAAAGGTGGGGGAGTTTGAGGCCTCTGTGTTCTTTTCCTCGGCTATAGTGGTTTGGGGCTCCCCCAGATGGGGTGATGCAGAGGCCGGCCGGGATGCCTGCCCCCTGGGGAGGAATCTGGACAGCCCACCCGTGGGTCATATCTGGCCTTGCTGACCATCTTTGAAGTCTGTCCCGACAGCCTACAAATCAGGGCAGTGAGATTTCACCTGCTGGGAGAATGGGATGGGGATGGGGTGCTGGGGGACAGCAGAGAGGAAATGAGCATTTAGCAATACTGTGTATGAGGTACTGTGCCGTGTGCTGTTTCAAACTCATTTCAGAGTGAGTTCATCCTCACAAAACCCCTGCAGGCCGAGTCCCGGTGTCTGTGCTGTACAGGTGAGGAAGTAGGCCCAGAGGGTACATTCACTGGGCTGAGGGCACAGATACAGCAAGTCCCGGGTCTGACTGAATTTAAACCCCAAGCTATTTCTAAAGTCCTCATCCTTCTCACCAGTGTGGGGCCAGTGAATTCCTCAGTGCTAACAGGAACACTCACAAGAGATGTGTTCCCCAAGTCCATAGAGGAGAACTGGTGGCCACACTAGAGGAACAGGCAAAAGTTGGGGTAAGAATCCACTTGCCAATATTGAGTCCGTCCAGTGAAGTACGAAGACGTTGGTTTTACACAAGGTGCTGGAGGGTGGGGCAAGGTGACAGGCCCCTGATGGGAATGGCCTCTTTGCGCACCTTGAAAGCCTCTGTCCCCTTTTCATCGTCCTTCTGGCGCTTAGCTTGTAACAGAAGGTGAATGAAGTGGCCTAGGGGGATTTGCATGGTAAGCTATCTGAGTTCAGCCCTTGGCATATCTTTTGTGGGGAAATCTGATCAAAGAGATTAAAAAGGAGCAGGTAGGCTGCTTTCCCTAGCCCACCTCAATCTTGGACATTCCAATTCATGAATTGGAATTGGAATTCCAATTCATACCGAGTGTTCTTCCCCACTGAGCTTCCCAGCTGAGCTCCCTGTCGTGGGAGACCCAGGACCGGCACACGGCCCCTGCCTCAGGAAGCTGGCATGTGCCTGGACCCCCTGGGTGCGAGGGCCCTGCTTGGTCCTATCCTGCCGGGGACTGAGACTGTCCCATATTCTACTTCAGCTGTCACTGGCCGTTCCCACCTATTTTAGGAGCCTAATCTCCAGGAGGTTTGCATGGGTCCTAAATGGATGTGTGGAACCAAGGCTGGCAGGAGGGATGACAGAGAAAAGGGGAAGCAGGAAGTCAGTTCTGAACTGACCATGGGATGATGATGAATTTTGAGTCTCCCCTAAATCACCCCTGTGCTCAGTCACTTTACTCCCAGGCAGCCAGCGTTGGGCAGGAATCATCTTGAATAATTGCTGCTGGTGTTCTGACTGTCCGTGCCAGGCACTTCATTTGCATTAGTGTGGCCCTATGCAGTGGATATTGTTGCCTCCAATTAGTGGGGCCCAGTGGGGTTACATCTTGCCTACATCCACACGTCCTCACAAGCCCAGCAATGTCAGGCTCTTCACAGGTATTGTTTCTAATATAGCAAACCAGCAAGGGATGCCACATCACCCTTTTACAGGTTATGTGACTTGTTCAAGGCTACCGCGATCTGACTATAAAACCTGCAATCTTTGCTTTTTATCACGAGGCCTGGGAGGCTAAAAAGGGAAGTTGTCCATGAGACAACTTAGTATTACCATAAATACACAGCATTTTACAAGCCGAGCAGCACCTCGGGAAGAACCAATCACATCCCCAGCTGATCTAGTGGATGGGGGCTGGAAGGCAGTCTTTGGAATCCAATTTCATTCAGAATTCTAATGGAAAATCTAAAAAGCAACAACCTGTGGGAAAATTAAAAAGCAAACAATAACATGACAAACTAGCCACTCTGACACCCTCTGCAGCCGTGATCATAGGCCATGACAACTCCAGTTGGGGGATGGATGCTGATGGTCCCACAGGGCCTCTGGAATGCTCAAAGTTGGTATCATGGATGGGCATTTATATTTTGAGACGGAGTTTCGCTCTCATTGCCCAGGGTGGAGTGCAGTGGCATGACCTCGGCTCGCTGCAACCTCTACCTCCTGGGTTCAAGCAATTCTCCTGCCTCAGCTTCCCAAGTAGCTGGGATTACAGGTATGCGCCACCACGCCTGGCTAATTTTTTGTTTAGTAGAGACGGGGTTTCACCATGTTGGTCAGCTGGTCTCCAACTCCTGACCTCATGTGATCCACCTGCCTCAGCCTCCTAAAGTACTGGGATTACAGGTGTGCCCCACCGCACCCGGCTCATGGATGGGCATTTATTCACCCAACAAACATTTGCTGAATGTGTATTTTGTGCCTGGAAATACAAGATGAATAAGACAGTCTGTGCCTGCAAAGGGCTCAGAGTTGTTTCAAAGGATCTGAGTTGTTTGAACAGGAGTAAACCCTGTTTGACAGGTGTATTAGTCCCTTCTCACTCTGCTAGAAAGAAATACCTGAGACTGGGTAGTTCATAAAGAAAAGAGGTTTAATTGGTTCACGGTTCTGCAGGCTGTACAGGAAGCATAGCAGCTGCTGCTCCGCTTCTGGGGAGGCCTCAGGGAGGTTTCAGTCGTGGCAGAAGGCAAGGGGGAGAAGCACTTCATATGGCCGGAGCAGGAGGAAGTGGAGGGAGATGCTACACGCTTAAACAACCAGCTCTCACATCACTCACTCACTATCATGAGAACAGCGCTGAGAGGGTGGTGTTAACCCATTCATGAGAACTTTGCCCCCACGATCCCATCACCTACTACCAGGCCCCACCTCTGACACTGACGATTACAATTCGACATGAGATCCAAACCATATCAACATGTATGGTGACTCAGATCCAAACCATATCAACAGGTATGGTGACTCAGATCCAAACCATATCAACAGGTATGGTGACTCAGTTGTCGGGAACATTCGTGGTTCACAGAATATAGGACTTGAAAGGAGGCTTTGTGACAGGCCTGGTTAGAGCACATTCCATGACCATTAGCGATCAACCAACCAAGGGTGGTATCATTGCTGAAGGGAAGCAGAGAAAACATACCCCACAGAGTCGAGAATGATCTGTTTAAACCACCAACCTCGCCATGTCCCGCCTCTGCTTCAAGTTCACCTCCAGGTTCTCTGCCATCTGCAACATCGTGTCCTGGCTCTTCCATGGCATGAGAAGCCCTGCATGACCCTGACCCTGGCCACCTCCCCACAGTTTCCTGCATCCCTTTCAGTCTCATACTTGTGACTCCAACAACATTGAACTGTTGAGTTTCCTTAAACATGCCATGCTGGCCAGGCAGTAGCTCCCGCCTGTAATCCCAGCACTTTGGGAGGCCAAGGCAGGAGGATCACTTGAGGCTAGGAAGTAGAATTTGAGATGAGCCTGGACAACATAGCAGGACACTTTCTCTACAAAAAATAAAAACAAAGCTGACCATGGTGGTACACACCTGTAGTCCCAGCCACTCAGGAGACTGAGGTAGGAGGATGGCTTGAGCCCAGGAGATTGAGGTTGCAGTGAGCTGTAATCATGCCACAGCACTCCAGCCTGGGCAACAGAGTGAGACCCTAACTCCAAAAAACAAATAAAAACAAATAGAACCCCATGCCATGCTGTTGTCTGTCTTTGCTCACATGAATTCCTGATCTGGAATGCTGGTCCTTTCTTCACCTTGCTAAGATCGATTCACCTTTAACACTCAGCTTTAGGTGTGTCCTCCAGGGAAAATCTTCCCTGTCCCTCCCCACCTAGGCTGGGTTAGGTATCCCTCCTCTGAGATTCCATAATAAGAGTCTCAAATCTCGATTCCTGCTCTTAGCCATATTGTCAATGTCTTGGGCGGGGACTGTCTCATAACTTTTCCTTCTCCAGCACAAATTCTGGGTTGTCAGTGCAGACTAATTAGAACTCACATCAGGGCTCACTATTTGCTAGGTACCCTGAGAAGTGCAGTACATAATGAACCCTTCCGGTCCTCACTTGCGAGGTACGGAGGAATGTGTTTGTATTATTCTTAAATAAAAGGAAACAGAGGCCCAGAGAGGTCAAGTGTCTTGCCCAAGTGCACAAGAGGGATGGGACTTAAACCCAGGCAGTCTGACTCCAGAGCCCAAGCTCTTAACTACAGAATGTACATGGAATGAATGAGTCAACCCATGAATGAAATAGTAGGTGTGGGCGAAACAATCCTGGAAGACTGCCTAGAGGAGCTGGTTTTTGGACCACAGATGAAAGTGGTGATTGTAAGGAGTGAGGGCAGCCCCCCTTTTAGGACCTGGGAGCTATGATGGATGAACTGTACAGGAGGAACGCCATGTCCAGTGACCTGTCCAGAGCTTTGAGGACTCCACACAGGAAAGTCAGGGCAGTGTCACCGGATGGTGATAAATGGTCTTGACTGGGAGCCCAGTGACTGGCTTTCTCTCTGGTCCTGCTCCATTGCTGTGTGATCTTGATCAAGTGATTTAACCTCTCTGGGCCTTAGTTCTGTCTATGAAAGGAGCAAGCTGGATTAGAAGCTCTCCTCTGTTCAGCTCTATTTTGCATGTCTATGAGAGGCAGCATGGGTGAGGGACTAGGGAGGACAGTCCTGGAGCTGGTCTGAGAGATGAGATGTGGCTCCTCTGCAGGCTAGCTGGGTGCCACAGCCTCCAGACCGTGCTCCCAGAAAGCCGGGTGCTCAGCACATTTTCTCTCTAATTAGATAGTGTTAACTGATCAATTTTGAATGAGATCAGTTTCCATGTGTGCTGTCCTGAATTGCTCCCTGAAGTGCTCATTAGTCACTTCCCCTGCAGCTGCCTTATTGTTTTCCAGATGCCAGCGAGGGACTTGGCATTTCCCTTCCCTGAGACTGGAGCACGTGAGGCTGAGCCAGTGCCACTGGTGTGGGGCAGGGGGCGCTGAGCCAGTCTGGGTGAAGCCCCTCATCTCCTGCTCTTAACCCTTAGTCCCTGCTGGAGCCATTGCTCCTCATTAGGGACGTCACATCAACATTTTGTGGCCACGTGCTGCTGCTGCTGCCATTGGGCCATGACTCTGGGGGGCCACAGCCGAACTCAACAAACATTTATTAAGCGCTGAGTGGGCCAGGCACCTTGCATCTGTAACCCGAATGCTCCCTAGGCCTGGGAGGGGGGTACAAACGAGGTCGTACTAATGTTAATGTCCAGATGACCATAATTGCAGGCTCCATCCCCTCACCGTCTTCCCTAGCTATTAAAGGTGCTTCCTGCATTCCTAGTTACTGGGCTGTGCTCCACGCGTGCTTGCAACAAATCGCTCATCTTCATTTCCTCATTTCCTTCCTTCCCCAGCCCCTCCTAATGCTGCAGTCTCCACAATGCCCTCCAGGTGGCGCTATGTCTCTATGGTCGAGGAGGGCTGGAGGACTTGGAGGACAAACAGGTTGTGCTTCCAAAGGCCTGTGCAATTTTCCCTTCCCCAAGGGATGGGGAACAGGCCTTGGAAGTCAGAGAGCAGACTCTGAGGAGGACGCTGGCCTCCTGATCCCAGGGCCAGCTGGGAACAGCCCGGAAAGGGCGAAGCAGTCTCTTCAATTTCCTCCTTTGTCGGCCCAACTCACTAGGGAGCTGGCTGCAGATGTGAAAGTTTTGAGAAACCCAGAAAATTCAGGGGGGACCAAAAATCCCACATTTCTCCCCTGTAATTTCCCAGGCATTCACATCTTTAAATATACTAACCATAATTTCTTTAAACAAAAACGAGATATGCATAATGCATTGCATGTTCTTAAAATATGCAAATGACTTCACACTGGGAAAGGATGCTTGAAAAAAAATTGTATGGCACAGATTTTGATTTTTCTCCCCAGAAGATTTTCCTCCGTGGAGAAATTCTGCTTCTCCAGCCTGGCCAGCTCTCTTCACTGCCTCGTGCTTTCTCCTGTGCTTCCGGCTTCTCTCTCTGCCTTCTCACTTCCCCGTCTTCTGCTTCCTCTCTTCCTCTGTCCCCTACTTTAATTGGAAGTTCTGCTTCTTGTCTGCCCAGTTTGTCTCCTGCCTTGGAGCCTGTGGAAGGGTTTCTTCCCCTGTGTGGGGATCTGTCTCCTTCTTTGAGATTGTTTTTAGTCTCTTGGATTCTGTTTCTGCCAATTTCTGCAAGTCTCGTTTTCACCTGTCCCTAGCACCTGCCTTCCCGATCAGATTGTCCTCTGCCATGTCCAGCCCAGGACCTGGCAGGGCTGGATGGGGAGGGCCTCTGTGACCATGCACCGGTGGCTCTGTAGTCTTCTATTCTCCCTATTACGTAGGAAGTCGCTTCCTAGGAAGAAGAGACCCTCTTCTCCTCTCCTGAAGGCCGTAGGAGGCTCTGGGCCGTGGGACTCACTGCTGGAGCTGTCCCTTGCTCTCACCGTAATGACTCAGTCTGCAACTCATTTGAGCCCCACAATCTCCCTTTGAGGCTGATCTTGTCCCACTCATTTTATGGCACAGAGGGATTCTGGCTCAGAGAGTGGAGTAACTGCCTCAAGACCACACAGGTTGGAGGGGGTGGAGCTGGGATTGAACTCAGGTCTCTGGGTCTACCCTCGTTTAACTGGCTTTTCATGGGATTCAGTGAGCAGGGTGCTGCACTGGTTCTTGGGAGGCCTGGTCTCAGTGCTGGTGGCTCTGTCTCCAGTTGAGCAGCTCATCTTCCTTATGTGGGACTCACTTTTCCCACCACACAGTAGGAAAGTATCCCTGCTGCGTCCTGCCCACTTCACAGGGCTATCATGGACGTTAAATACCTCACATCCATCGAGTGGGAAAGTGCTTGAATGCAGTGCTTGGGAACTGGGGTCCAGAGACCTGCACAGCCAGGCTTCTCGGTGGGATCCTGGGCTCAGCAGTGAGGGGCCGCATCCCTCTGATCATAATGGAGCCATCACAGGTCTGACCCAGATCTGGGGGCCTCCTCAGTCGGTCCTGGCACCTCTTAGCTTAAGGAGTAAAGAGCTCTTCTGTTGTCACGGAACACTGGTGGGGGATGCTGTAATGCCACTTGAGGATCCAGCCCTGACTTTTTCATGTGAGGGCTCTTTGGGGTTCAGCGATCCCCTGGAAATTGTTTATGCAATGTTCTGCTTCTGGGAAAGAGAATTGTCTCTTTCATCAGATTCCCGAAGGGGTCCTCAGTGTGTGAGAGCTTTGGACTCTAATCTACGCCCACTCTGTTTCTGTGGCTAGGCTGAGGTGTAGGGACTAGAAGAGGTTTGCTGGGCTTTCCTGGCCCCGGGCCTGCTCAGGGAGGCAGTGCCACCCAACAGTGGCGAGCCGGCCTCTGGCATCCGAACTGCTGCCTCCTATTGGCTGTGTGGTTTTGGGCTCATCTGTGAACTTTTCTGGCCTCAGAGCCCTCCTTCGTGGTATAGATGTGGCAGTCACAAGCCACCTTCTATGGCAGGCTCTCAGTAATGACTGGGGGTGGCTATTGAATTTGGAATCAGAGGGCAGTGGCTGCCCCTTCTGAACTGGGGTGGGGTCAGCTCCTCCTTAGCCCCCTTTAGTGGCCACAGTTTGGCTCAGTTCATTGCTCTGCTGAAGTCAGGGGCTGCTTAGTTAGGGGGACTTCTAGCTTCTTCGGACCCCTGGGCAGGAGAAACCTGATAGGCCATGTGATGTTTTCAGAGCCTGGGCTTTGGAGCCCGGCCATGTTTCCAAACCTCTTGAGCCTCAGTTTCACCATCTGCCCATTGGGGTTAAAGTCATACCTTCCCTTACCTGCCCCCCAGGACACACTCCTGTGGTTGTAAAAGTCTGATTGTGCCAGGTCTGTCTGCTGTTCTCTCCTCCCTGTCCGGGCTTGAGAGGCAGTGAGAATTTTCCAGGACGCCCAGAGCCCCAGCACCTCCCACCAGCTAAGTCTGGGCTGGGAGTTGTAGACAGAATTTCTCCCTCAGAGCTCCAAGCCCAGAGTCCCCTGCCCGGCCCCATGCCATTGGTCCTCACGCACTGCTGACGTGGAATGATGGGGATGGGGGGCGCACAGGCAGGGGGCAGGGTCAGGCACCTTGGTGGCCTTACCCCCTCCCATGCCCTGTTGAGGCTTGGCTCCTAAGCCCCTCCCAGCTCTCCTCATGGTTTTTTACATTTTCCTGAAGAGCCCATGAGACTCTCATTCTGTAGGTTGTTGGTGCAATAAAAACTTTAAACAATGACCCTGTGATCTTTGTATTTTATTTTAAAGAAACACCCCAAACTTCATTGTCAGAAAAAATGAGCTTTTGTGACTGATCGCTCATTGCTGGAACTTCCCTCTCTTTTGCGACTCCAAGTGTGACACATGTCGTGTCAGGGTGGCAGGAATGTGAAACGGAGTGAGGAAGCCTGTGTTTTACCATTCCCTGGCTGGGCCTCAGTTTCCCCAGCTGTCACGTGAGGAGTTAGACTAGATGAGCTCTGGCGGTGGTTTCACACCGAGCCTGGCAGGGCTTTGGGGGCTCTTTGGAGACCGTTGGAGACCAGCTGGGGGATGGAGGGCCCAGAAGGTGGGGTTCTGACTCTTGTGACCCCATCAGCTTATCCTTTGTCTAAGTTTCATCTACTGAATTTCCTTGTAAGATTTTATTTGGAGAGAGGGTCTTAGTGATTAGACAGACAAATAAGTTAACACCCTTTGAGTTGTATTGGGGGCAGGGTTGTGTCTGCCACAGAAGTCCTCAACAAGTGTTTGCTGAATGAATGAATCCTTCTCTTAACATTCCTTGATTCTGGATCTAAGCTACCTCCAGTCGGCCCGTGTGCTCGTCTCTCACCGTGTGTGTGTGTGTGTGTGTGTGTGTGTGTGTGTGTGTGTGTGTGTGTGTGGACGAGGCGGGGACGGGGGCAGAGGCCCTGCCTTTCAAGGAGGGTAGGGAAGGGAAGTGGCTGCAACCCAGGTTCCAGTCACTGAGCTGAGAGGGGTGGCGGGGACTTGGGTTTTTATCCAACTCTGGCTCAGAGTGGTGGTTCCCTGCTGGATGGCCACTTAGCCTCTCCTGAGGTGACCAGCTGGCTATTGAGAGGGCATCACCCCCTGGCCTTTCCTGCTGACAGTTTAGGGTCTGAGCCGGCCCTGGCAAACCTCAGCATTCCCAGCACCCCATCTCTACGGGAGCCTGGGCTTGGCCTGCCATCCAATGCCCAGGTGAAGGAACCGAGCCCAGAAGGCAGGCACAGAGGCCTGGGCTGGGCTGTCCCACAGCCACGTTCTTCTCTACGTCTTGCCATCACTGTCTGATGCCGCTGCCTGTGCCTCAGTTTCCCCATCTGGATTGGAGGGAGGAGACGAGATCAAGGGGAAACTGATGTGTGCTGAGCCTCCCTTCTGTGCTGGGCCCTGCTGGGGCTGACCTTCCCCTTTCTTATCCCACCAGCTTGAGTGTGGGGCTCGGTGCACAGTCTGGGCTATCAAATACTTATTTTTGATCCTGGAATGTCTGTGCTGAAAGGGTCCATGGAGATGGCCTGGTCCTGTGGTTCTTATTTCTAGAGTCCTGGGGTTTGGTGAAGGAGTTTCAGATGAAGTTTCAGGGGGAAGCTGGAGTAAGGCCCTAGGACCCCCACCTTTGCTTCAAGCAGGTTTTATCTACTTTGGATTTGGGAAAACTGGTTTTGCCGCTGAAAAGATGTGATCTTCTCCAGGTTTCCCATTGGATGATGTAGAGTCAGAGGCAGCTTTTTCAAAGCCACAAAGAAAGCCTATAGCAAATAATAACAACCACTTTTATTGAGGACTGATTCTGTGCTAGGCGTGGTGTGTGTATGATCTCCTCCCCACAATAAACCACCAAGTAATAATGATTCTTATGCCAATTTGACAGATGAAAAAACTTAGGCACAGAGAGTGAAAGGATCACAGACCTAGGAAATGACCGAGCAGGGCTTTGAACTTTTTTTTTTGAGATGGCGTCTCGCTCTGTTGTCCATGCTGGAATGCAGTGGTGCAATCATGGCTCACTGCAGCTTCAATTTCCCTGGCTCAAACAATCCTCCCTGATCAGCCTCCCGAGTAGCTGGGATCACAAGTGTGCCCCACCATGCCCGATTCCTTTTTAAATTTTTTGTAGAGATGAGGGTCTCACTATATTGCCCAGGCTGGTCTACAACTCCTACACTCAAGCAATCCGACTGCCTCAGCCTCCCAAAGTACTGGGATTATAGGTGTGAGCCACCACGCCCAACCAGGGCTTTGAACTTGACTGCCCCAGTGGGCTCTTCATCCTAGACTACTGCCCCAGACCATGTACTGCCAGGCTTCCTTGTGGGGAGGTGGGGAGGGAAGCCTTCATTCCTGCCTTATTAGGTTCCTTCACCTGGGTCTGGCCTCCTCAACACAGCTCTGGGCCTCTGGTTCAGAGCCAGCCTCTTGGCTTTGGGGAATGAGTGTAAACAGGTAGGAATGGAGTCCCAGCACATGTGTTGACTTCAAGATGAAGAGATGCCCCCACCAAATGCTGGAAGGAACGGAGGACTGAGTGAGGCCTTTGTGATAAAGACAAGTGGGAGGAATGGAGGTGGAGGAAAGCCATACTGATTCGCAATTTGCCCTTGCAGAACTTCTGTGTGACCCTGGGGACATCACTCCACCTTCAGGCACCTTGTCTGTGAAATGGGCCTGACAGTCCCAGTCCCCTCCACTTCCGAAGCTTAGCGATTAATGAGCGAATAGTCATGGAGATGCTTTTCAAGCTGTCAAGCACCATGTGCTGGGAGGCGCGTGTGCTTCCTGAAGGGGGTGGGTACTGAGTTGGGAACATGGGATGCTGTCACCTTTAACCTTATTTGGAACAAGGCAAGGTAAACATAAAAACAGATGGGGTGGAAATTGGACTTCTCTTCTTGCTCTCACTTGCTGTGTGTGCAGGGATTCGTCAGTCCTCGCTGGGTCTTTCTGCTTACCTTCTGTGCAGTGGGACTGTCGTAGGTGCTCAGCGTGTAAATTGCTTTGTGCCTCTCAGCAGCAAGGAAGGAGCCAGGCGGATGTGAGATGAATGGGGTGGTCCCAGCCCTGTATGCTGTCACCACTGCAGGGAGTCCCCTACGGAATCAGGGCTGGCCACAGTGGCTTCTCCTGGCTCTATCACTAGGCTGTGACCTTGGGCAAGTCACTTATCCTCTTTCTGCTATGTCAGTTAAACAGGGATGCAACGTCTCCTCTTTCTACCTCAAAAGGTATTTATTTTGAGAAGCAAGGTCAATAATAGATGTGAAAATGCGTTGGAGGAAAATAAGAAAGGGGACAAATGTCAGCGCTTCTTGGAACTTTATCATCCTGCTTGTTACGCTCTTGTTTTCTCTCTTAGCACTTGGCTTTGGCACTAACCTCAAAGCAGGCACTTGGGAAAGTCCTAATGAATGAGCCAGGTGGCTTGTGGAGAGGAACAAGGTCAGTCTGGGGACCTGAGGCTTCTGCCATCGACAAACTGTGGGATTTGGGGCTAGCCCCTGGCCCTCTGGACTTCTGTTTCCCCATATGGAAATGAGGGATAGGCCCAGCTCATCTCTAAGGATTCTCCCAGCTCATGTGGTCCTGAAATGGAAACAAATGAAGTGCTACCGTTCTTTCTCACTCATTAAGTCATCTCTCAAATGTCTATTGCACATCCACTCTCAGCCAGGCATCAGAGCCTGATTTTATTTTTGTTTTCATAACTGTCCTGCAGGGTACACAGGTACTGGCTAGCCATATACCCATTTGACAGCTGAGACCATGGAAGCTCAGAGAGGAGAGATGACCCACCCAGGGTCACACAGTCAGCAAACCACGGGGTTGGGATTCAAACCCAGACCTAAATCCAAGGGACATGCTTATTCCACCTGCCACATTGCTTCAGTCTCCCTTTTCTCTGCTCCCTTCCTCCTCCCCCCATGGATTCTGGCTTCCCGAGGCCAGCCAATCCTTTTACACCGTTTGGAGAGGGGGCTGGACTGACTCCCCCCTCCACCAGATGTTATACCAGGAAAAAACCTTCCCCTTCTGCCTCCAGCTCCCACCCGCCAGAGTTCTAGATAGGAGGGGAGAGCTCCTTTCACTGTTGATGGGACCCCTTGCAGGGCAGCAGGATGAGCCAGGTGAGACTCACCTGGGCCACCTGGATGTGTTTCCTAGCCCTGCCTCCAGCAGCTGGCATGACCTTGGGGTGGTTGCCCCTCCCTGTGGTCAGGCCGGCTCTACTAAGCAAAGACGGTCTCCAGCGGAGGGCAGGTGCTGTTGGCTCCGGCGAGGATAATGAGCGCTCCTCATGCACCTTGCCCCCTCGGAGTTACCATCTGCTTGGCAGATGCGCCTCCCAGGCCTCTGGGGCTGCCCCAGTCTCCCTCCCGGCATCGAGGAGCCCGCTCCTCCTCTCAGAGGCCATAGTCTCTCCACAGGGCGCACGGCTGTTGCTGGAAGGGAGACCCCCGAGGGCAGAGGGCGGCAGACCCGGGACGTCCCCAGCGGAGGCAGCGGACGCCGGGAGCCAGGCATCCCGGGCGAGCCCGGCGTAATGAGGCGCTCCCTTCTCCTGCGGGAGGCGGGGCTGCCCCTTCCCTCTCCCCCTCCCCCTCCTGGAGGCCCTGCGGGAGCCGGAGTCCAGCGCAGTTGGGCGGGGGCGTGGGGGAGTGAGGCCTTCCAGGTCGGACTGAGCCGGGGCGGGAGGAGAGTGTGAGGCCCCAGTGGCTGGGCCCTCAGGGTCTGAATTGGGGAGCAAGTGTGGTGGGGAGGAAGGGCTCCCCGGTTTGCAGATGGCGGGGGAGGCTATGTCCGCGGGTCGCCCTGGAGCCCTCCGATCTTTGCCCCGCAGCATCTGCCCCCCAGGGGGGTCAGCATGCTTCCGCCCTTCCCCGCGTGTGCGTCGTCTGTCCGCTCCCTCTCCAGCTCCCGGAACCCCCACTCCCCCCGAGGTCCCCTCGGGAGGCAAAGCCGGCTGCGGGGCGGGCGCGCACCAGCTCCGGGCCCCGTAAACACCCGTGAGCGGGACGGCGGGGGCTGGGGGCGGGGGCAGGAAGCTAGCGGCAGCCCGGGCCGGCCGGCGCGGCCCCGTGACGTCGCTCCGCTCGCAGGGATCTCTCCCCGAGGCCCGCGGGTCCCCTCCTCCCCGCCTCCTCCCGCCCTCCTCCCCGCGCCTCGCCTCGGCGCCGCGGCCGGCATTTCTCCTCGCAGCTCGCTGCCTCCTCTATCCCTGCCTCCCTCTCCCCCCTCTGTTTTTCTCCCTTCCTTCCCTCTCCGACCCTCTTCCTCTCCCTCCCGATCCTTTCCCTCCTCCTCTCATCTTTCCCCTGTCTCTCCGTTCTAGCTCGTCCCCCACCCCACCTTTTCTTCTTTCTCCTCCTCTCCTTCCTCTCCCCCTCTCCTCTGTCTCCTTCCACCGTCTCCCCTGCCTCCCTGTCTTTCAGTCCCTGTTTTTCAGCCCCGTCTCCCTCTCGGTTTCTCTCCCCCACCCTCCCTCCGGGTTTCCTCCCCGGTGCCCTCCCTCCTCTCTCCCTCCCCTCCCCCTCCGCCCCTCGCAGCCCCGCCGCTCGCAGCTCCCAGTCTGCCTCCCCGAACCGGCGCCGCCGCCCGCACTCGCCGCAGGACCGGCCCGCCCGGCTCCCGGGGTGCGCCCTCCTCGGTCCCGCGCCCTCCGGGCTCGCAGGGACGTCTCCTCCCTCCCGGCTCGCGGCCCCGCCCGGCCCGGCCCCCGCCCAGAGCCCCAGCGCGCCGAGGATGTGAGTCCTGCTCGCCTCTGGCGGAGCAGCAGCCACTCGCGCGCGGAGCCGGAGCGCAGCGCAGCGCAGCCGCGGGCGCTCTCCGGGCCGCTCGCGCGAGTGCCGCGCTCTTGCCCTAGCGGCGTCCCCCGGCCTCTCGCCGGCGCCACCGCCGCAGCAGCCCGCGGGCCGTCCCCGGCCGGCCGCCCCCGGCCCCAGCGCCGCTGACCCTGTCCGCCGCGGGCGGGGACGCGGGCGGAGGAGGCGCCGCGGCGGAGCCCCCGGACGCGACCATGTCGGAGGTGCTGCCCTACGGCGACGAGAAGCTGAGCCCCTACGGCGACGGCGGCGACGTGGGCCAGATCTTCTCCTGCCGCCTGCAGGACACCAACAACTTCTTCGGCGCCGGGCAGAACAAGCGGCCGCCCAAGCTGGGCCAGATCGGCCGGAGCAAGCGGGGTGAGTTCGCGGCCCCCTTGTCTGACACCCCCTTTTTCCCGCGCCGCGGCCTGAACAAGGGTTGCGGAGGTCTCCCACCCGCTGGAGCCCGTTCAGACCTGACGGAATCCCTTCTTGCAGAATTGGGGGATCCCGCACTGCGGGTCCGGCTGAAGCGGGTCGCAGGAACGCGTCCCCCTAAGCCGGATCCCCGGCTGGGTCACCCTGGGGGCGTGGCGGCTTCTAGCAGCAGCTGGGGGTCTCCACCCGCGCGGCAAAGTTTGCTTTTTGATTTGCGCCCCCCACCCCCGCCTTTTGCGCAGTGTAGTCACAGCTGCACTCGCTCCATAACCCTGTGGGGAGGGGGTCCCAGGGACCCCCAGGGGACGGCGTGGGGACCTGCGTGGGGAGGATCCCATTCCTGCGGGGAAGGCTAGGGTGTTCGGGTCGCACGGGCTTTTCATTGTTACTTGGCTTGGGAGGGGGTTTGCCAGGCCTGGGCGATCCGCGCGAGAGCTGGAAAAGCCCCAGAGAGGCGGAGACGCAGAGAGGCTCCGAGAGGAGCTCCAGAGACGCGGGGACAATGAGGGGGACCGACGGCTGCAGAGAGAGACTGAGACGCAGGGATGGAGGGGAGGGGGTACGCGGGAGACCGAGGGTGGCAGAGACCGAGACAAAGCTCCCGAGAGGGGAGCTGAAGCGGGAGAGACAGAGCCGAGGACGCGCGTTTGGGGAGGACGCAGAAGCCGCCGAAACAATAAGGGCGACCGACACCTTAGACAGGGAGAGACAGAGACCTCGATCGGCTGCCGGCCGTCGCGCCGAGGGACGATGGAGGGACTGAGAAAGGCGAGGCTAAGTCGAGACGGTAAGAGAGGCCGAGGTTACGGCATGTGTCCCTGGCAGGCAGCGAAGGGAGGCTCTGACCTCTGCGGCAGCGGGGAGCGCGGGGCGGCCGAGTCAGTCGGCCAGCGGCTGGGAGAGGGCGCGCAGGAGGGGGCGCCCGCCCAGGCCAGGCCCTAACCCCCACCCGCTGCGCGTCGTGGGAACCGGTTTTGGCGTCCCCTCCTGGTTCCGCTCATCTCCGCACCTAGCCTTGCCCACCGGAGCTGCGCTCGGGACTTACCTGGGGTCCCGAGACCCAAAGACTTTGGCTCCCTCTCCTATCCCAGCTCCAGACATTTCTGTCTAAATTAGTGCGCCTGGTGCGGGGAGGACGCGGGCCAGTGCGCGCCCTGGCTGCAGCAGGAGCGGCTGGGTTGGCGCCCTCTGTTTCCTTTTCTCAGAATGGAGCTGGGACGCAGGCTGGAGGATAGAGGGTGGTGGGTGGTTCAGAGGAAAGCAGGGAAGGGACCCCTGGCAGGGACGGAGGATGGAGCTGTTTCACCGCGCAGTGAGCCCTGCTCCCTCGCCCTCTCCTCTCCCGACCTCCCACTCTGGGCATAACGGGAAATGTCAGAGACCTCTGGCTAGGCCCCAGCGCGCTCACCTCTCTTTTCCCCCCTTTTTTTGCAGTTGTTATTGAAGATGATAGGATTGATGACGTGCTGAAAAATATGACCGACAAGGCACCTCCTGGTGTCTAACTCCCCCAAAGACAATGAGTTAAGGGAGAGAATAAGAACGGCGGTAACAGTTATTGGCAAAAAGCATGAAAAGAGAAAGCACTTTGAAATTTATTACTAGCTTGCTACCCACGATGAAATCAACAACCTGTATCTGGTATCAGGCCGGGAGACAGATGAGGCGAGAGGAGGAGGAGGAGGAGGAGAAGGCTCTGGGCTCCTCTGCAAAAATAAAAATAAAAAAATAAATAAAATTTTAAAAATAATAAAAATTCACTATATACACATATAAAGAAATAAAAAGAAGTCTCAGTTGCAGCTATTTGTCAAAATTAATATCCATTTCTTTTTATATACGGTGAATATTGCGCAATTATAGATCTGGATTTTGAACCACTTAATGAAGCGGCAACACCAGGTGTTTTGAGGTGTTGGCATTCTTCGCTGATTTGGCTGTTCCCAATGTTTACATTATTTAATCTTGCAAAAATGGTTCTGTGCACTTGGATGTGAAATGCTGTCCAGTTTTATTTTTTTTATGTTGTTATCCTTGGATGTACAAAAAATTCAGAAAATGATCTCTGTAGATATTCTGTTTTATTTTGGTCATCTTTAGAAGTTATCAGGAATGTGTTTAAAACAAGAAGAGAACTTTTCTAAGGAATGATACATAGAAAAGATTTTATTTTAAAATGAGTTGTAAAGCTTGTGTTTCTTTGTTGCTGCAAGCTATCTGCCCAAGTTAATGCAAATGGACACATTTTTTATGTCAGAAAAACACACACACACACACACACACACACACACACACACGAAAAACAAAGAAAAAAATGCTTGAGCTTTTTCTAACTTCCCCTTGCAGTCTGTTGTGTGAGCAGCCTGTTTATTTCTCTAATATTATGTCAGTTTATTCTCTTTAATGGACTGTAAAAAAATGTAATCACAAGAGTGCCAAATATCTTGAAATGCCAAAAGGCATTTTAGTTTCTTTTCTCTGTGCTCTGAGTCCACGTACAGGAATGCTTGGAGTGTCTTTTCTGTTATTTATAGGGATTCTCTTAAGGCACACCAGCTGCCTGTTTTGCATGGTATTTGCAAAAATGCCTCTTGCGTGAGGAAATCTTTTACCATTTTTTGTTTGCAACTTTGGACCTCAAGAGGTTTCCCTTCCCTTCCCCGTTCCCTCTTTTCTTAATTCAATATTCTGTATGTTGCACCTTGAACCAGCACACAGGGCTATTTCTCCAATGTACAATAAAAGAATTGTTCCTGTGTCTCACTCCTCTCTTTTCTCTGCTTTGGCTGGGGGGGTGGGGTGGGGGGGACATGACTTGCTGTTTGTGGGCTGGCTGCAGACAGGAAGGAGGGATGGTGGCTTTGGTCTGCGAGGCAAAAAGGCAATGTTGGGGTCCCCTATGGGTGGGCTCAGATGAGAGGAAAGATGGACTGGACTGGCAAGGCCATCCCCCTAAGGTGAATTTATTCCATTTTGGATTTGCAGGTTGAGCTCTCACTGCATCCCTGAGGTTTCTGCCATCTCTGGTGGGGTGAGGGGAGAAAGAGGGATACTGTGCAGGGAAGCAGGCAGTCTTGTTAAGAGTGACTTTGCAGGCTGGCAGAGTTGGATGCGAGTCCCAGCTACCCGACTTCCTAGGTCTTTAGACTTGAGCAAGTGCCTCAATTTCCTAATCTGTAAAGTGAGGATAACTCAGCCCCTGCCTCATAGGGTTATTAGGAGGATGAACACAGTGCCAGCACATGGGAACACTCAGTATCAGGCCACTCTACGCACCTTTCATACTTCGCCAGGGGCCCCCTGTCCTCAGAGGCGGGGCTGCAGATGAGTTGCATTCTGTCTTCATCTTCACCTTCCGGGGCTCACAGGTCAAGGGATGCGCTGCTCCTGGGGGTGCACGGCCTGAGAGGTCTCAGGCACCTGCACTTATCAGCCTTTCTCTAATCATCAGTTAGAAGGGCTTGATAGGAAGACAAATCTTAGCCCCTTGTTAGGCTTGGGGCAGTCAAAGGTCGTGGAGCAGGCCCCTGGGGGAGGAGGGTTTGGGAGGAGGATTTTGGCTGAAGAAAGACTGGGAGAGTTTTTTTTTTTCTCCTGGGCTATTACACACCCAGAAGTGCTGGGAGCTTTTAATGTGTTTGTGGTAAAGCTGTCAGCCAGGCGTCACAACACAGCTCACAGTGACAGGAGCCTAAGAGTGACTCAGACTTCAGGTGAGAGGCTAGGGGAGGGGGGCAGGCAGGAGGAAGAGGGGCTCCAGAGGGCCCAGAGTGGGTGATGTCTCAACCTCCTTCCCAGGCAGTGGAGGCCCAAGGGCTCAGGAGGTCCCAGCAGAGAGCTCTCCATGCAAGCAGTTATTATTGGGAATGGTGAGCAAGCTGGGGCTGGCGGGGCCAACAGGAGTGGGAATGCCAGATTGATTTTCCCAGGCACCTGACCCTCCTCCAGAACCTGCTCTCCTCCCTGCTTACCCGGGGACTCCCAGCACCTGGGAGCTGATGGGCACCATGGAGCTCAGCCATCCCCTGGCATTCCCGCTGATAGGCTGAGGGGGACAAGGCATCAATCTGCCGAGGGGCAGAAGCCATGTGAAAAGATTCTTTCAGAAGACACGATTTGTGTCCACACCCAGGAGTAATTGCCACTGACGTGATCAAAGCACTGTGTAATTACAAGGTGTTTTCTCTCCTGTTTTCCTATGCAATCATCCCAGCACCCCTAGAAACCCATGAGTTGCTCTCTTCAGTAGGTAAGGAAATCGAGGCCCCAGAGAGGCCAAAAGGATCGCACAGCCTCTGCATTAATTGAGCTCTTACTGTATACCAGGCTCACAAAACCCTGTGAAATAGGCACTATTATTATCCTGATTGTACAGGAGAAACCGGGGCTCAGAAGGGTGAAGTAACTTGTATAAGGTGACTCAGCTAGTAAGTCACTGAGCCAGGACTGAAACCCAGGGTCCACCCTTCAGGAGGGGGATGCAGGGTCATCTGACCCCAGGACCAGGCTCAGTCCCAGCTGCAGTCACTGTCCTTCAGCCTTAAAGGTCCTTTGTTGGTTTGTTGGTTTGAGGCCCTGTCGGCTCTGATAGTCATTGTGTAAGGGTTTAGAAGGGGGGCAGGGCTTGGAAGTGGTCAGCTAAGGCCTAAGGCTGTCCTCTGTTGGGAAGCAGGGAGTATGGGAGCCCTCGGCCAAGGCTCCAGGTCCATTTTAATAAGTGATGTATTAAAACATTCCTGCTGGAGGCCACCCCGCCAGCGAATGCCGGATCCTCTGCTTGGGAAGACAGTCCTCCTTTCCGAAGGACTCCATTCAGCAAAAAGGAATATAAATCTTTTAAATACACTATAGCATCAGGTAAACATTTGTTGAGAGGGCACTTTGGGGACCGGGCAGATATCAAATTATACCAAGTGCAGGATATGCTTGAAGTGTCCGGTTAGGTAGCAATAAATATGGAAAAGGCTATTAAAAGTCCAAGGTGGGGGAGGTCTATAGGCCTCCACTGATCGATGGGAGCATGCCAGCGCTGCATTATTCAAACTTAATTAATTGAATGGTTGTAATAAGCATCCATCTCCCTGGATTCTGCTTGCGTGGCCTGTCCAGGCTGACAGCCTGAAGGAATATCAAAAAGCACCTCTAAGGGGGAAATTGGCAAATTAAGTTTTAAAAGAGAGAGACTTGAAAATCACTGCTGTCTGGAGGAGACAGATGAAGGGATGAGTAAGGGGTGCCTCTGCAGAGAGCAGGGAGGGGACTCCCAGGGTCTGGGGGCCTGGTGGGAAGCTCTGGCCTAGAGGGAGGGGTCAGACATTAGGGTGGCTGGTACATGGGTTTGGGACACAGATGTTTTGGATTTGAAATCTCCTATACTTTCTAGCTGTGACTTGGGCATTTCTCAAGTTCTTTGGGCCTCTGTTTTGTCTTCTATAAAATAGGGATAATGACAATTCTCACACATCATTAGATGGAAACTCCTCCCTTCTCCCTGCACAGGGCCTGGTGCATAATAAATGGCATCCATCAATATTAACATATATGAAGTGACTACCATGTGCCAGGAAATGCACTTTTAAGATCTAGCCAACTGTTTTTGTTGCATGAAGCTTCTTTGCGTATAGTTTTGGCAGTTGCCCTGAGGGTCAGTGGAGGCATCTTGGGGGTTTGAAGGGTGGGGTCTTGGGTGAGGAGGTGGGGAGTGGTTTGGGGGGATCAGCCTGCCTCTCATGATCTCCATCAGCTCCCAAAATGTCCTAATAAATACAATCCTAAGTAAATCCACATGCTTGCCTTCCAAAGGCAGAGTCAAGAGGAGTCTCTACCCGCTTCTAATCAGATTGCCAGAAGTCTTCCTTTTCTGGATGGAGACTAAGAGGTACTTACTTCTCGCCCTGGGAAGGGAAGATCTTGGCTTTCTGCTTGGATCACTTCCTTCAAGAAGACCTCCTCAAGTTTCTTTCATTGGACAAATATCAATTTAGCACCTACTATGTGCCTGGTACTGTGCTAGGCTATCTGGGTATACCATGGTGAACAAAATGGATGTTTTTCCTGAGCTTGAAAATGATGATTCTTCCTATGGAAATGAGGTTGGGATCTAGGGGCTTGGATACCCCCCACATCAGAAGCTCAAATCCTTCATAAATGGCAAAAAAGGGGAATCAAAGATAGCTAGGTTTTGAGGATTACCTAAAGCCCAGACAGATGACTCACTGTTTAAAATGTAAACTTTTAGAATAGTTTTAGACTTACAGAAAAGTTTTGCAGATAGTACAGAATTGCCATATACCCCAACCCAGTTTCTCCTATTGTTAACACCTGACATTGCTGCGGTACATTTTCCACAACACTGGTATGTTATTGTTAACTAAACTCTGTAGTTTATTTGGATTTTATTAGTTTTTACCCACCATCCTTTCTCTGTTCCACAGGGTCTCTCACATTGTATGCAGCCATCTTATTTCCCTAGGCTGCTCTTGGCTGTGGTAGTTTCTCAGACTTTCCTTGCTTTTGATGGACTGTTGGTCAGGTAATTTGTAGACTGTCCCTCAGGTGGGGTCTGTCTGCTGTTTTTCTCATGGTTCAACTGTGGTTATGGGTTTGGGGGTGATGTGCTGTTTCCATCACATCATATCAAGTGTCCATGCTATAGACACGACTGATCGCTGCTGATGTTGACCTTGGCCATCTGGCTGAGCTAGTGCTTGTCAGGTTTCTCTCCTGCAAGATTACTCTTTCCCCCTGCTTTCCATACTATACTCCATAGAAGGAAATCATTATGCACAGCCCACACTTCAGGGACAGGGATTTATGTTTCACCGCCTTGAGGGAGGAGTATCTCCATAAATTATTTGGGATTCTTCTGCACAGGCGATTTGAGTGACCCATTTTTCAGTAGTTTGAACTTCGCCCCTGTGTTGGGCAAGGCCACTATGAGTTAGATTTAATAATGAATTCCAGGCAAATGGGAGCAGTGGGGGGAAATAAGAAAATGCCCACAGGTGCTGCCTGATGACCAGTATATAGTCTTACAAAAGAAGAGATAAAAAAATTAATAAAAGTAACTTCCTGTGGAGGGGAACTGTCACCCTGGTTAGAAACTGTGCAGAATTTTTTTCTTGGAAACCTTCAGGCAGCTGCTCTGGTTTATAAAGTCTGCCTATTGGAGGGAAGGAAAAGAGAGAGAGAAAAAAAAAGGTTGTCGTTATTCCAGCAACAGAGATTCTCCCAAACCACATGCAAAAATAAATCAGAGGCGACTGGGCCGTATCCGAGGAAACCTGGCAGCTGGGCTGGAGCTTGTGGGGTGGCCCCTAAGGGCAGAGATTCTGCGTCCAAAAGCCCCTGCCACCTCCCTAGTGGGATGGAGAGTCCCAGAAAGCCGCTGGATTACCCCTACACCCATCGTGGCAGTACCAGGCCCCCATTTGTCTCCCCCAGGATGGGGGATGAGGACGGTTTACTTTGTTGCCTCTCACATTGGAGGGTTTTTCCTTAACCCAGGGGAAATGTACACCTCTGGACCTGGAGGAGGGTCCTTGACCCCAAAACAGCCATTTTGAGGACAAAGGGTCACTAACCGGGGAGGGAAGTGAGGGAGGGCAGGCTGAAGGGAGGAGGAGGACCCAGGCAATGTGCCATGGGAACTGTGAACAGCATGGTGATGGCAGTGGGGTGGGGTGGGGGCTGATGGCAGGAAGTGGTCAGCGTAAGGGGTGTCCTGTAAGAGAGAGAGCTGGGTGGCCAGGGGCTTCAGGAGCTTGCTCTGGGAGGGTGTTTGGGTAGAGGAGATGAACTAATTAATTAATTAAATCTATATTCATTCAACAACTCCTCTACCAGGCATGGGGTGGAAAGTGGAGGTGCAGGAAACGGGTTTGTGCTTGGCACTGGGGAGACCGGGCTGGCTAGAGCAAGACCTTTTCTGGTTCAGGGATTTTACTGCCTGGTCAAAGACAATTCAATGACTGTGACTGTCAAGAGGTTAGAGAGGGGGGTTGGGTGGGCCCGCAGGAAGCACAGGTAACCCTTGGAGAATCCCAATGTGGCCACCCTGGGTGTTTTAGGAAGAATTGGCAACTGCATTCCAATCCCAAATCTGCTAATAGCATGCTGTGTGACCGTCACCTTCCCAACATGGAAAATAATGCTTCCTCAGTGCTGGCTACAGACCAGTAACCACTCTGCCCTCTTTGCATTTAGTCCATTCAATTTTCACAACCCTATAAGACAGTCACTTATTATCATCCCCATTTTACAGATAATGAACACCGAGGCACAGGGTGGCCAAGTCCCCTGCCTAGGATCCTACAGCAGGAAATGGTGGAGCGGGGCTTGCAACCAGGACGGGCAGGTCCCCAGAGTCCGTGGTCTCAACTACTCCCATAAAACGAGGGGGTCAGACAGGATGATTCTGTAGGTTCCTGCAGCTGGAAGCTCCCAGAGAACACAGTTGGGAGTCTAAGACGCCCAGCCTCCCGTGGGGGAGGGGAGACAGAGGATCCGGTTGTCCGTGAACCCTGGACCAGGCCAGCCGGTTGCCATGGGGACGGCTGGGCGGAGGCGGCTGGCCAGGCCTGTTGCCCCGCGGGGCAGTTCCGGGGAGCTCCCTCCCGCCAATGGCAGGGAGTGGCACCAAGCCGGCACCTGGGGACTGTGTTTTCCTGGCAGCCAGAGTCCCAGGAATTTTCCCCTCTCAGACCGGGGAGACCACAAGTCCCCCCAGCCGTCTGAGCCTCCTCCGACCTGAACTCGATCCTCCACGAAGCCGCCCTTATCTCCAGTTCATCTGTGTGAATTATTTACTGCGTCTGGCGGCCTCCCGCGCGGCCTCCCTGCCCCCGCAGGATGTGGAACCCACGTCCTGGGTTCCGAAGCCCCCCTTTTCTCATTATCCAAGGAGTTCCAGAGTTAGACCTCAGGGGTACCTGGGGGGAAGGAGCTTCCCACCCCCTCCCGCTTTCACCCAGAATTCTTTTCCGGAACCAGAGAGCACTGACTGAGTTGGGAGCCAGGGCACCTGCAGCCCTGCTTGGGTCCTCTGGGAACCTCAGCAGTCTCATCTGTGACCCTGGGGTGGTGATTCCTGCCCTAGGTGCTTCCAGAACTGCTGATCAAACCCCACAAGGTAATGTGGGGGAATGACCTCTGCAACCAAGGCATTGTATGAGTGCGCAGTTATCACTATCGGTATTCTATTTTTTTTCCATTATTTAAATTTTCTTAATAGCCTTCTTGTCATGTGCCACAGTGCTAAGTGTTCCGTGTACATTTTCTTATTTAATTCTCACAGCAGCCCTAGGAATCATGTTTATGGTGTGTGCCAGTTACAACTATATATCATGCCCATTTCACATACAAAGAAACCGAGGCCCAGAGGTTCTGAGTAACCTGTCCTCAGTCAGGAAGGAGCCAGGAGTGGAAACTGAGTCTGAGTCTGGCTTCCACTCTGAACTCTTTTTTTTTTTTTTTTTTGAGACGAAGTCTCGCTCTTGTGCCCCAGGCTGGAGCGCAATGGCACGATCTTGGCTCACTGCAACCTCCGCCTCACGAGTTCAAGTGATTCTCCTGCCTCAGCCTCCCGAGTAGCTGGGATTACAGGCGACTGCCACCATGCCTGACTAATTTTTGTATTTTTAGTAGAGACGGGAATTTCACCATGTTGGCAAGGCTGGTCTCGAACTCCTGACCTCAGGTGATCCGCCCGCCTTGGCCTCCCAAAGTGCTAGGATTACAGGCGTGAACCACCACGCCCGGCCCCCACTCTGAACTCTTAACCACTCCTAAATTCCATGCCACATTGCCTTCTAACCTGGGGGTCCTTCACCAGCATCCAAGAGGCTGCTTGGGCACCAGTCTCATCTATGACAACCATCTGCACAGAGTGATGACCCGGCCTGTGTGCCTGGCCCCATGCAGGGTGCCGGGGACACAGGGGTGAGTCAGGCACAGCCCCTCCCCTGGAGTTGGGGGTGGGTATGAGGGACAGGGAACAGGGAAGCATGAATATGCTCACGATCAGATGCGATATAAAATGAAATGCCCATCATGATGAAGGCTGGGCACAGACAAACAACGTGTTCTGGGGGGTGAGGAGACCATTTAATGAGTGGGCGGGATTTCAGCGGGGCCTTGGAGAAGGGGATGGGGTGGCAAGGTCACTCTTGAGCAGAGGGACAGATGTTGGTAAGTTTGGGGTTTGCTTGAGAAAGGGCAGTCCTTTAGGGGCTGGTTGGAACAAGGCATTTGTGGTGGTGTTGGGACTGGGGGAAAGGAGGTTAGGGCTAGATCAGGAGGTTTTTCATATATGAGCTCAAAGGTCAGTTTAGAGCAGTGCTTCTCAGCTGGGGCTGATTTGGCCCCCCAGGGGACTTTGGCAATGTCTGGAGACATTTTTGGTTGTCAAAATGCTGGGGAGAGGGCTAGTGCTACTGGCATCTGGTGGGCGGAGGCCAGGGATACTGCTAAACATCCTAGAGTGCACAGGACAGCCCCACTGCAAAGAATGATTCAGCCTCAAACAGCAATGTGCTGAGGTTAGGAAATACTAGTTTAGAGCCTGCTTAAGAGCCTTTAAAGTGAGATTTAGGGCAAGTCACTTAAGTTCTCATTCCTCAGTTCCCTTCTCTCTAAAATGGGCTGATGTAACAGCTAACGGCATTTAAGGAAATCACTGCCATATATTTCATGAGTACTGTGTGCCAGTTACAACCCTAAATTCTTTATGTGTGTTATCTCATCCAGTCCTTATAGCCCACTGAGGATTGCTACTACTACACCACTACCAAGTCTCTGTGGGCACTTATGAAGTGCCAGGCCCTGCACTAAGCTCTTTTTTTGTTTGTTTTTATTTTTTGTTTTGAGAGACACAGTCTCGCTGTGTTGTCCAGGCTGGAGTGTACTGGCGTGATCACAGTTCACTGCAGCCTCAACTTCCTAGGCTCAAGCCATCCTTCCACTTCAGCCTCCCAGGTAGCTGGGACTACAGGTGCACACCACCACACCTAGTTAATTTTTAAAATTTTTATGTAGAGATGGGGGTCTCACTATGTTGCCCAGCCTGGTCTCCAACTCCTGGACTCAATCAGTCCTCTTGGCATGACCTCTCACAAGTGCTGAGCACAGGTGTGAGCCACCACGCCCAGCGCTGCACTAAGCTCTTATACATGTTAATTTATTTAATCTTCACAACAACTGTATGAGGTAGGCACTATTATAATCTCCATTTAACAGGCAGGGAAACAGGCACAAAAGGCCAGAAGCTTCCTGAGGGCAATGCCTTGTCTGCTACTCTCTCTAGAACAGTGTCTAAATAAATATTTGTCAAGAAGGAAATAAATAAACCCTCCATGGACTTCAGTGGGACCACCAATCTCCTGGAGTTGTGAAGAAACTGGGGCACAGAAAGTTTGAGGGTCTTGACTGGAGTCATGCAGCAGGGCCGTCTCCCCTTGCTTTCGGGAGGAGGTCTTGGGAAAGCTCCTGGAGAGTTTCTTTGGTCCACTGGAACCTGGCTGTGTTCCTATCACTGGCAGAGAGAAGCTGATGTGTGTCTGGGCATTTCTGAGATGGTCAGAGGGCGGGGGGTGGGCGGGCCCTGGGTTTCCCTGCAATCCTAGCTGAGGTGGAAAGCATTAGCATTTTGAAGCGACCAAACTGGGGAGTTAAGACGGCACAACAACGTGACTAGCGCCTCGGACTGGACTGGTCGACTCCCTGGATGAATGCGGAGAGATTTCAGATTTAACTCAGTCCTGGTCTTGACCTCAGGAAAGTGGGACTCTGCAGGGCACATGGGAGAGGTGGGCGTGGTCTATCGTTGCAGCTGCTGCGTGGTCCGAATGCGCATGCGTCATGCTCTGAGTCCCCATCTCGGTGAAGCCCCATAGTAGCCCGCAGAAGCAGCAGCACTGTTGTTACCCCATTGAGGTCTAGAGAAGCGGTAATTTCGTTCAAGGGCACCAACGGGGAAGCTGCAGACCAGTGATTCAGCCTGGTCTCTCTGATGGCTACGTTAACCTGAATGCTCAGCGCACGATTCCTTTACTTCTCTGACCCTCATCTGTGAAATGGGGCCACGAATCAAGGCCTCAGAGGAGTGCTGGAAAGGTGGTAAAATGACCTATTACCCAGCACCTAGTAGGTGCTCAATAAATAGCAGATTCTTTCCCTGAGCCTCCTGGGGCTCCATCCTCAAGTCTGACCTTTGGAGCAGTCCTTGGGGAGGCGCTGCTGTGGAGTTGATATTAGAGGAAGGGGGAGCCTTCCTCTAATATCAGGGGCGCAGAAGGAAGGGGAAGGTCTCTAATGACTGCTCTGCCCTGCTCTATGAAGCAGGGTCCTGACTGTCTCGGTGGGCCCCTTCCCGTTATGCTGCCCCACCCTTAGGCTCTACAGTGGGCCATGCTGCCCTGTCACCCACAGGTGTGCCCGGGGATGCTGTTTTTCTGGGGATGGGTTGTGCAGCACCTTTCCCATTCTCTAAACAGTTCTGGGGATCACTGGCAGGTAAAAGAGCAGATGGCGTGTGGTCTACACCGCAAGCCTCATCTTCCTCCACTTCTCCATAAGCCCGCTTCAATGCCCTGGCCACTCTGTTGTTTCCAGAGTGCCATACTTGTTATGCCTCTGCACTTTTGCACATGCTCTTCTTTTAGCCTCTTACCCTTTCCATTTAGCTAAATCCTCCAGGTTTAAGCTGAGATGTCACCGTCTCCAGGAAGCCTTCCCTGACACCCTTCCACCTGAACTGAATGAGCTCCCTCACTTAGGCTCCTGCAGTGCCGATGCTTCCTTCTGTCCAAGGCCCATGTGTCATTGCTGATCGGGCCTCCTCTGTCAGACCATGTTCCCTCTTGGGCAGGTGCTGGAGCTTCCTCCTTGGTCTCCATATCCCCAGGGATTTGCACAAATGCCTGGCACACAGCAGCAGGGAATGTTAGTGAATTAATGTTATGATAATAACAAAGTCTAGCATAAATAGAGCTCTTTTCCAGTTTCAAAAGCCTTTTTTACGCAATGGTGTCATCTGAGCCTCACAGAAAACTCACCATTTAAGGTAGGTAGGGTTTCAGTTGGTGCTTTCATTTTAAAGGGAAGAACCTGAGGCTGGAAGAAATGAGGTGCAGTGCCAGGTGGCTGGTGGGACAGGGGCGATGTCCACATGGTCTTGCCTGAGCAGGCCTGGATGCATTTGAGAGATATCTGGTTCACAGTGGGAGTTGCCTCAGAGTTCCGATCCCGTCTGGGGGCCAGTGAAGAGTAGGGGGCCAGGACTTGTTGCTTTCAAGGCCTAGTAGGGAGCTGGGGCCAGCCTTATGTGGTGGTGATGGGGTGGGCATGTTCTCGGGAGGGGAAACTGTAGGAGGCCATGGTTTTCTTCTGTGAAGATTTGTTCACCGCTATGCTATTGATGGTACAGAATACTGAAAATTCAGGAAAAAAAATCCCAAACAGAGGAATGACTAAGTAAATTGTAGTCCAGAAACTTGCAATATTTGATGGCCATTAATAATAATGTATCTGCCAGGCACGGTGGCTCACGCCTGTAATCCCAGCACTTTGGGAGGCTGAGGCGGGTGGAACACCTGAGGTCAGGAGATCGAGACCAGCCTGGCCAACATGGTGAAACCCCATCTCTACTAAAAATACAAAAAATTGGCCAGGCATGGCGGCAGGCGCCTGTAATCCCAGCTACTGGGGAGGCTGAGGCAGGAGAATCACTTGAACCCGGGAGGCAGAGGTTGCAGTCAGCCGAGGTCATGCCATTGCACTCCAGCTTGGGCAACAAGAGTGAAACACCATCTTTAATAATAATAATAATAATAATAATAATAATAATAATAATGTTTCTGCAGCTCATGCAAGGACAAGGGAAAGTGCACGTGTCTGCATGAAGCTTAAGGCAAAAAGGAAAATATAAATAGTGTGCGTGGTAGGAGAGACAGTGTCATAGAATGATTTGAATCCCAACTCTGCCACTTACTGGCTGTGAACTCAGGCAAGCTAACCTCTCTGTGCCTCAGTTTCCTCATCTGTAAAATAGACAAAATAATAGTCCTGCCTCAGAGAGCATTGGGAGAATTAAATGAGTTAATACTTGGAAAACACTTAAAACAATGCCTCGCATATATTGTTAAGGTTTAGTTACTATTATTAGTCGTTATTGTCATCTCAGCTATGTCAAGCCTGAATAAGAAAAAATAAAAAGATGGAGGAGAATGTTTTCTTTGGGATGTGGGTTAATGGATGTTTTTTACTTTCTTTTTTTCCACTTCCCTGAATTCTCTAAATATTTTACGATGGGGATGTTTTACTTTTATGATCGTGAAAGAATAAACTTTATTTTCCCCCAAACAACTGGAGATAAACGCAGCAGCACTTTCCTTTTGGACACAAGGGGGTGACTGCAGGGTGTCCCCTCCATAATTAACACCGGGGACACTCTGAAAACACACCCGTGTCAATATTTCTTTACCTGGAAGATCAGCTCCCAGGTAATCTTTCTCCAAACAGATCAGGCTATGCCTCCCATCTCTTCTCTGCCTGTTTAATAATTTTATATGATGCCTATTGAAACGAATAGCCAAGCTGTTTAAATACCCATAGCCATAAACTGTCACCACCTGATGACAATGAGAATTCCCCAGGCAGGGCACATCAGAAATGAAACTAAATCATTCTGACCAGCCCTGTCATCATCACACTCTCCCTCTATCCAGTGAGACAAGGGCATTTACAGTGAAGGAAATGCCAGCTGCTGTGTGAGCTGATATGGGCCCTGCCAGTCAGCTGGCCAGGCTGGCAGCCTGCCAGAGAAAGCCAGCCAGCCAGCCAGTTGCTCAGCAAACAATTGTGCCAAGCACACAGTAGGTGTTCAATAACTTCTCATCCCATCTGATGAGAATTTTGTTAGTTCTGACCAACGTGTGCAACTGTATCCTGGGCAGTGTGTACGTGTCACGGCAAGGACAGTAGGATGCTGGAGGATGGTCTTCACCTTTAAGGAGCAAAGACCAATAGATCTTTTCAGACATTTTTACTGAGAGTTTCATGAGTTCTAGGCCTTTGGGATGGTGGTTTCTGGGCTAGGGGTCTATGTTAGATCTTGACTTAATTTTTTTCCTGAACCTTCTTGGGATATGGGTTTAAATTACCATACCAACCATCATTGTCAAGAGCTTACTGTCTCTTACCTTTCCATCCCCTATTTTTCATCCATCCATCCATCCATCCATCCATCCATTTATCCACCCACTTATCCATCCATCCATCCATCCATCCATCCATCCATCCATCTGTCCATCTATCCATCTGTCCATCCATCCATCTGTCCATCTATCCATCTATCCATCCACTTACTCCATCTGCTATGGTTTGAATATGTCCCCTAAAGCTCATGTGTTGGAAAATTAATCCCAAATGCAACAGTATTGAGAGGTGGGACCTTTAAGAGGTGATTAAGTCACAAGGGTTCTGCCCTCATGAATGGACTAATGCCATTATCAAGGGAGTGAGTTTGTAATAAAAGTGAGTTTGGCCCCCTCTTGTGCCATGGGATGATGGTGCAGCAAGAAGGCCCCTGCCAGATGCCAGCCTCTCAAACCTTGGACTTCCCAGACTCTAGAACTGTAAGAAATAAATCTCTGTTCTTCATAAATTACCCAGTCTCAGGTGTTCTGTTATAGCAGCAAAAACAAACTGAGACACCACCGAACCATCCATTCTATCTGTGCATCCATTGTGAAACAGTATAATGGTGGATAAATAATCAGACTGTAAAGCTAGACTGTCTGGTTTAAAATCTTTTCTCATGTGAGAGGCAGACAGATAAACAGACACTGAGGCAACAGGGCAAGTTCAGGGTGCTGTGGGTGCAGAGAAGAGGGGCCTGACACCCAGTTGGAGCCTCAGAGGAGGCTGCTGGAGGGGGACCCATTGTCACCATTATTATCACCAGGGGGATTTCTTTGACCCATGGTGGGGCCATGATCAAGTGCAGTCATTGGCAAAACTGGCCTGAGAGCCTCAGCCTTGTCCCTGGCGTGAGTCCACCTCCCAGCACCATCATTGCCATGTACCTAGTAAGTGTATTTACTGTGCATAATGAAACCACCTACTCTGAACATTGTGCACTACCCAGCACTGTTGGTGTGCAATTTTTAAGTATTTTGAGCATTGACTATGTGCATTGACTGCATTATCGAACACATAATGCGCACCTTTAACTATGAATTTCAACCAGGTCTAGGCTTTAACTTTCTTCAAAAGACAGCATGCTGGAGTGGAGAAGTGAGATCCCAGTCAGACAGACCTGGGTTGAAATCTCACCAAACCTCTTGATAGCTTTATGCCCACGGACAAGTCACTTACCATCTCCGAGCCTCTGAGCTAGTAATACTGTACCTACCTGGCAGGGCGGTGGGGAGGGTTACTGGACAATGTGTAAAGGGTCTTTGCAAACTGTTAAGCACCATGTTAGTGTGAGAGTCATCCCAGGAGCTTTACATGCTGGGCAGATGCTCCTTCTGCAGAGGCAGAGATCCAGGTGGCTGGGGATGCAGGGGGCTTTTGGAGCAGGTTGGGTTCTCTAGGGCTGTAGACTGGGCTGGCTGTGACCAGTTTCCAGGGATGTGGCAGCACCATAGAGTGGCCTAAGACTGATTGGCATCTGATTGTCCTCTCCTGGGCTTGATTATGTAGGGCCCTGCAGGAAATCTTACAAGATTTCTCCCATGCCAATGTCCCCTGGGATCTCTGGCACCATTGCTGGGTGCTCTCCCTTACTTTCTTCCCTGGGGATCCTTGTCTTCCACTGCTTGGACCTCTGTGTTCCTTGCCTGGAGAGCAAGAGTGCTTTGGCCTCCCACCACGTACCCTAACCTCCTTCCTTTGATTTTGAATCTGCAAAAAAGTTGGTTCTCCTTCCGTGAGATCCCTCTGGAGAGACCTCATCCCTCATACGCAAATTCATTCATGCATGTACTCAGCAAACCTGTGTTAAGTCTTACCACGTGCTGAGCCCTGCATGTGAAACAGGGTATTGTGGGTGACTGGTGCTGAGCTTTGGAAGAGTCTCTGACGAGTGGTCTCAGGCACTCTCCTGCCCTTCCCGAGGGTCTGCTCCCATGATGCAATAGGCTGAGGCTCAGCAATGGGGTTGAAAGTGGTCCTTGATAATAAAAGGCATAAACTTACAATTGGGCACACCCACCTTGATGCTTCTGTGTCTAAAAAGTGTCAGAATGTCACAACTCTCTCAGGCTGTTGGAAATGGGGGAATCAGGAGAGTTGTTGGGACTGGAGATAGATCTGAGATTCTAAATTTGTAGGCAATGGGTCAAATGATGGGGGTGGGTGTTATTGCCTGGGCTGAGGGTGGGGAATGGGGAATATATAGGGAGAAGTGAGAGGAAGAGAAGCAGAGAGGATGGGATTGGGGGGAGAAACCCTGGGAACAAGCAGTTAAAGATGGGGAGGCCAGAGGAGGTGCGTTCTGAGAGATGGGAGGAGCACTGGGTGGGAGGAGAGAGCTTCAGAAAAGGCAGGGATCAGCAGAGTCCGAGGAGACCCAGGGCTGGGGGCTGACTGGGCATTGGCGACCTCAACATGGCCTCCTCTGTGACCAGGAGGCAGAAACCAGAATGTAGGGATTAGAAGGAAGTGGGGGCCTTGGCCATTCTTTGGAGGAGGTGGGAAGTGAGAAGGAGGCGGTGCTCTTGGGGCTGGGGACAGCTATGGGGAGGATGCAGTTTGAGGCAGCAGGAAAGGGTCTCTTTGATGCTGCCCATATACTAGGTATGTACACAGTATGTGTTGATTGGTCATCTTTTTCTATCTCCAGTGACTTCTTTGTCACCAGATCCTGCCAGCTAATCATACTAGTCAGCCCTGGGCACCTGCTGGGTAGCGGATTCCGCTTTGCGTTCTGGGGGTGCTGCTGAGAAAAGACAGACAGGATCCTTGCCATCGAGGCTCTTCCCATGTCACGTGGTGAGAAATGGCATGAGCCAGTACTAAGAAGGCTGGGTACCAGCGAGGGCTAACCCGAGACTAATCCACTGGGCTTCAGCAGGAGAGGCCACACTGCTATTGATGGTGAAGAACTGGGGCTTTATTATAGGGGTTAGACCTTGTTCAGCAGTGGGAACATATGGGCAGTCTGTGCAGGCCGCTGTCTCTGCACCTGGGGTTAGGCCTGAGTCACTGTAGGTCAGCCAACTGGCCTTCAGGAGGGACAGCTGGATGGAGCCAGCATGAGGACAAACTGGAACCCGTGTCTGTCTCTGGTGACCTCCAACGTCGATGCCGCTGGGGTGAGCTGCCACAGGGGCTGGCACCCTTCACCGTGGAGCCACACACACACTTGGCCCAGGACTTAGAGAGGTGGAAGGGGGAGGTCTTGTGGAGTGGAGCTCCTGCCGTCCCAAGAGCTGCCCCTCGTCAAAAGATGGGCCATGACAGTGACAATGGTGCACCCTGCCCCGACCTTCAGAGCATATTCAAAACACATAGCTGCTGCTGCTTCACTCCCACCTTCCGAGTCGCATGCAAGATGTCTCTTGCTCCCCACACCACCCCAGCACCATCCTGGGAAGGGTATTTCGGGAGCCGTTATACCAGCTTAGTTAGTTGCACTGTGTTAGCTGTGCTGACGCAGTAGGCAACGTGGCCCAGAGTGACAGGGTTGGGGTGTTGCTTTAGCCTGGGTGGGTGGGGAAAGCCCCTTGGAGGATGTGGCATTTGCAACAAGAGCCTGGAAGCTATAGTTGGGCAAGTTCCAGGGACAGGAAGAAGGGCAGGTGGCTGGGGCACAGAGGTGGGAGACGCGGGGGAGAAGAGGAGATGAAGCTGGCCAGGCAGCAGGAGCTACAGGGGGTTGCACCTCACCGGCCATGGGGTGGGGGGGCATTGGATCTGATTCTGCTTGCAGTGGGGAGAGTTCTAAGCAGGGCAGGGATGTGGCAGGATTTAAGCTTTTGAAAGCTCACTTGTGCTGCTGGGTGGATGAGGGACTGTGGGAGTGGAAGAGGCTGGAATCAAGGGGGCCCACATTTTGGGGGGCACGTTACAGTGGTCTAAAGAGATGATGAACACTAGAATGGATGTGGTGGCTATGAGGAGAGAGAGGTGATTGAATTTTGGATCCATTTTGGGGATAGAGATTGGATTGAGGCGGGTTTGTGTGATGAAGGATAGAGAGATATTAAGGTCCTTAAGAATAACATAGTTGCCCTGAGCTCCTTTGATCCCTGCTTCTGGGAAAGCTCATCCCTTCCCTAGTGGCTTTCTTGCTAGTGGCTCCTGTGCTGAATGGTTATGAGAATCCATCCCTTCCCCTGTGACATTCAAGGCTGGCCCCCATGACATCCCCTCCTCCACTCTCTAGACCCTTGGCTGTCCCCTGCTTTTGGGCACCTGCCAGCCGTCAGCACCTAAAGCTCCTGTGCCTTTAAGATGAGGAGAGAAGGGCCAAATGAAATCTATCTCCTCAAAGTCCTGCCGTAATGAGAGGCAGAGAGAGAAGATAATAAAAGCAAGAACCAGCCTGGGGGAAAAAGAGATTTTTATCCTCCCAACCCTGCAAGTTCCCCTCTGGCTCTGAGAAGTCTCAGAAGATTTCTCTCCACACATATGAGTAATACCTGGCAAAAATGCTGTCCTCGGAGCAGAGGGAGAAGATGGAATGATTCTGTGTTTGATTAGAATTTATTTCCAACCTGCAGCCTCCCTGGTGCCAGGCTCCTACGCTTGCCACTCCTGCAGAGCTTGGTGGCCAGAGAGGCAAGGCAAGAGGAAAGGAGGTGACGAGAGGAGGGAGGAGGGAAGTGGGGAGACAGAGGGATCTAGAGCTCCCCGAGAACTTCCAAGTGTCCTCTTGGTGGGCAGGACAGGGAGAAGAGGTGTATCGTCCACTTGCTGCTCCCACAGAGGCCAAGGGGGCTGCCATTCCAGTACAACTGTGAAAAAGAGCCAGTTGGATTCACTGGGGCCGGGGAGGGATGGTTGACTGAGCAGCCAGTCAAGCTTGGCTAATAGCTTGCTGTGTGATCTTGTGTAGCTCCTGCACCCTCTCTGGGTCTTCTCTGAGGCCAGTTTTCTCCTCTGGCCTCGACAAGCTTTTAAGGACCCTTAGAGGCTATGCTTTTAGAACAATTGCAACATCCCTGTCTAAGAGCAGATTCAGTTCTCACTGGGTTGGGTTGGGGGAGGGCCCCTAGATGTCAGATTGGGGAGTGAGGTAGGGCAGAAAGGGACCAGGACAAGCTGAAGTATCCAGACTTGAGGTCAAGGACTCTCTTCTTTTTGGATAATCTCTAGGGGACTAGGGTAAATCAAACCAAATGCCTCTCCTTCTTTCATTGCTCCATCATCCGCTCATTCAGTGATTCATTCATTTGTTCACTTTATTAATCACAGGCTGCATGCCCGATGCTGTGCCAAGTGCAGTGAGGACACAGTCTCTGCCTTCACGAAGCTCTCGGTGTGGTGGGGGAGGCACAAGTGCTGGGTACAGAGGACTCTAAGGAGAGGCCCCTGGACTGGGCTTTGGAGGGTAGAGAAGGCTTCCTGGGGAAGCTGATGTCTAAGCTGGTACACAAGGAGTGAGTCGGGGGAAACCAGGAGAGGAGATAGAAGAAGGGAGCACCCAGAAGAGAGGAGGGTCTCTTCAGAGGTGCAGAGTGAGAGCAGTCAGGGTATGTGAAGGGATTGAAACATGCCAGTGAGGCCCAGGATGGGAGGTGAGATAGGGCAGTGGTGGGGTTAGCTAAGTGGGTGGGTTTAGATTTCATCTTGTCGCCATGGGTTCATCAAGGGCTTAGAGCAGCAGCTCTCCAGGAAGGTGTCTGGCCAAGAGCATTTCAGGGCTTTGGATGTTTATGTGACACTCAGATATTTTAAGGCCCATCCCTTGGAACCCCATTATTCTCTTGCCATGGAGGTGGACATAGTCATGGTTGAAATGTGTGAGGGGGAGCTAGATTTCTTTAGCATAGATCTAGGGCTTCAATGGGTAAAAGCTTTGGAGAAACAAACTTTTCGTGACTCCGTAACAGAGACTCTCAGTGTTGGAGCTGGCTGCTGGAGTGGGAGTGAGCTCCTGTCCATGGAGTGGGTGGGTGGCCATCTATCCAGTTCTGGAAGGAAAGGTGATTGAGATGGACAGAATTTCACCTTGTAATGAAGAGGCATGAGCACTGGAATGAAGACAGACAGATCTGGTATCCCAGTGTTGGCTCTACCATGCACAACTGTGCATCCTTGGGCAAGTCAATTAACCTCTCTCTGTCCTAGTTTCTGTATTTGCAAAATGGCATTAACAGCATCCACTTTCCAAGGTGGTTTTGGGGCTAAACAAGATGATGATGATGATGATGATGATGATGGTGGTGGTGCTTGTGATGGTGGTGGTGATAATGGTGGTGGTGGTGGTGATGGTGATAATGATGGTAATTATGATGATTATGGTAGTGGTGGTGGTGGTGATTATGGCGATGGTGGTTATGATGGTGACAGAAATGGTGATGCTGATGATGGTGATGGTGGTGATGATGATGTTGGTGATGATGCTGTTGTTGGTGCTTATGGTGATGGTGGTGGTGATGATGATGTTGGTGATGATGGTGGTGATGGTGGTGGTAATGATGATGATGGTGATGGTGGTGATGATGTTGGTGGTGGTGATGATGATGATGGTGGTGGTGATGGTGGTAATGATGATGAAGATTAACAGCTAATATTTATTGAGTCCTAAGCCCTATTGGTGGATGATGCCATGCACTGCTGAAGTCCCCCTTCAGGACTGGGGCATTCATCCCCCAGTTTCCAAGAGTGTTATCTGCTGAAAGCACACTGCTGAGTGCTTCCCTGGAATTGCCTTTGGCCTAAGTCAAGGCCACACCCTTTCTCTGGGTGTAGCCCCATGGCCTCAGTTCAGGAGAATTTGAAGGGGAATCCTGCCTTAGAGCTCCAGTTTGTGGCTGCTGCAGATCATTCAGTGTCTCCTTCTGTGCAGTCCTCCTTCCTTCACCTCATCAGGTGCTTTCTCAAGAGCCCTCCCCGACAAGCCTCTTGCATGCAAATGTTCATCTTAGAAGCTGTTTCTTAGGAATCTGACCTAAGAATCTGACAGCCCTTTGCCCACTCTATCTCATGTCATCCTCCCAACATCCCTTTGAAGGGGACTCTATGATTAAACCATTTTTATATACATGGAAACTAGAGTAAAGAGATTAAATCCCTGCTTGCAGCCACACAGGTAGTAAGTGGCAGAACTTGGATTTGAATGCAGGGCACCTGACTCCAGAACCCCAGCTGTGAGCCACCATCTGGAGCCTGGCCAATGGGCAGGCAGTTATCAAAGGGCAGTAAGTAACCCCTTCTTGCCTGGAGACTTCGGTCCCATTGCCATTTGCTCTGAGGCCTCACATCCCCCTCCCTCCCCATTGTGCAGCAGCCATGATAGTAGCAGCAGCAGCAGCAGCAGCAGCAGTCTTGATGAGCCTCCCAGTGTGCCAGCATCTCACAGTGGAAAACAACACCTCCCTTGGCCACCCACTTCCCAGCTGCCGACATAACACCATTGTCACTGCTGCCAGGGTGGGTGTCTCCGCCTGTGTGCCTCCTCACATGTGGATGGTGCAGCTGCAAAAACTGCTGGGAGAAGAGATTTGGAATCTGATCTCACTTTACTCTGACATCTAAGACCTTGGAAGAGCTGAGACCCCAGCAGGACCAAGGTTCTGGTCAGGCCTGGACTGTGGCAAGTGGTGCACTGGTTGTGATGGGACCTGGGTTCCAGTCCTAATGCTCCCATTGATTTGGGAGGGGTCTCTGTACTTCTCTGGGCCTTAGTTCCCCACCCAAAGCTGGGCAGTGGCCTTCCAGATCCAGTGTGGAGCTCACATACACGTGGATGCCCCATAGCACTTTTGCTTCTTCCTTCCTTATTCAGAATGTCCAGAAAGCCATCCCCTTATTCACTGGTTTGGAGCGCTATAGACTGTTAAGCATCTTCACAGGCATAGCTTCATTTGAACTCTACCACAAGGCTGTGAGGTTGGCATGACCACTATCCTGTGTCAGATAGTAAATAGAGGCTGAGAGAGTGGAAGGAGCTTGCTTCAAGTCATGCAATCTTTGGGACATCCTTGCAATCCCTTCATTTTTAACCTACAAATAAAAATATATATGATGCTGAATATCGGAATTAAGAGACAGCTCAGAGATCATCCCAACCTATCTGTTTGTTTGACTGATAGGGAGCTGAGGCCCTAAGAGTCCTCTTTTCCCCAGACTGCACAATGACCAGTGGCAGAGCTGGGGCCAGGGCCAAGTCTGCGGTTCATTCAATGACTCTTGGGTAGGTGTTTTTCAAATTTCATATCATGAATTTTATCCCATTTAAGACTAAAACCTAAACCAGTTATAGGTAGGCAAATGCTGTGCAAGCTTGCGGACATTTAGTCCCTGGCTTCTGATGGCCTGTTTGTGGGAGGGGAGCAGAGCTCTAACAGAGATGATTGGGCTTGTCTCACCTTGTAACTCACCAGCTGTGGGTGTTCACAGTGGAGATGGGTTCGTGCACTTATTTTTCTATCACAGTGGCATAGGCAGCCTAGGGAGGAGGTAAGGCTGAGTAGCAGAGACAAAGAAATGTGTGTGTTCTGGCAAATTTGGGAAATTAACTCTGAGGTTGTTCCAGGGAGAAAATGATATTTTGAATCAGGAGTTATTATACATCTGAGTTCACTGCCTTTTGAAGAACACCTTGCTTGCTTAACTGTTCTGTTTACAGATTTATTTATACCTGACTCGGTTTCAAAAGAAATCTGAAATGGCTAATTATTTAATTAGATCATGAACTCCTTGAGGGCAGGAACTACCTTCATTATCTCTTCTCCTCTTCTGACAAGCTAACTCCTGCTTGCCCCTACCCTCTGGCCTCCTCTAGCTGGATTTTCTACCTCTCTCTGTTGTAATAATCCTTTTCAGTATCTTGGTTCTCCCTTGAACTGTGAACTCAGTGAGGACAGGGACTATGTATTACATATCTCACTGTCTCATCCATCCACCTATCCATCCATCTATCCATCCATCCAACAACAATCATCCATCCATTCAATCATTTATCCAACCAACAAACCACATGTCTATCCAACCACCTGTCTTAGTCTGTTTTGTGCTGCTACAACAGAATACCTGAGAATAGGTAATTTATAGTGAACAGAAATTTATTTGGCTCAAGGTTCTGGAGGCTGGAAAGTTCAAGATTGAGGGGCCACATTGAGCGCCTTCTTGCTGTTTCATAATATGGTGAAAGGCATCACATGGTGAGACAGTGTGAGCATGAGAGGGGCCCAAATTCATTTTTATTACAAACCTACTCTTGTGATAATAAATCCACTCCCGGCCGGGCGCAGTGGCTCACGCCTGTAATCCCAGCACTCTGGGAGGCCGAGGCGGGCAGATCACACGGTCAGGAGATCAAGACCATCCTGGTTAACACGCTGAAACACCGTCTCTACGAAAAATATAAAAAATTAGCCAGGCGTGGTGGTACGCGCCTGTAGTCCCAGCTACTCGGGAGGCTAAGGCAGGAGAATATCGTGAACCTGGGAGGCGGAGCTTGCAGTGAGCCGAGATTGCACCACTGCACTCCAGCCTGGGCGACAGAGCGAGACTCTATCTCAAAAAAAAAAAAAAAATCCACTCCCACAATAATAACATTGATTTATTCTTTAGGGCAGAGCCCTCAGGACCTAATCATCTCTTAAAGGTCCCACGTCTCAACACTGTTGCATTGGGGATTAAGTTTCCAACACATGAGCTTTGGAAGACACACTCAAACCATAATGCAATCCATGATCCATCCATCCATCTATCCGTCCAACCATCTATCCATCTATATATCTGTCCAACCAATCATTAGTCCATCAATTGATACATCAGTCAATTGATCTATCCATCCATCCATCCATCCATCCATCCATCCATTCATATTTGTGTCCCACCAGATATCCATTCAACTATCCATCTGTATAATTATCCATATGTGCAACCACCCATCTATCCATCATCCATTCATTTGTCCATCCATGTATCCATGCAACCATCTACCCATTCTTTCAAAATCCCAGAAAGTTGCACAACTGAAGCCAAAGAGGATGGTTAGTTATCCTTTATCCAGTGCTCACTTTGTTCCAAGCACTATGCTAAATGTAGTACATATATGAACTAATCAAGTAAGTGAAGTTAAAATCTTCCAAACACTCCATGAAGTAGGATTACTATCCTCATATTGCAAATGACAAAAGTGAGATTAAGAGAGTTTCAATGCCTTGCCCAAGGTCACATGGTCAGCAAATGACAGGGTGAGCTTTAAAGCCAGGCTTCTGACTCCAGAGCACAAGATCTTTTGCTTTATCATAGTGGGAAATATTTTCGGGGCAATGATTTACACTGACCTGCACATCTTCCCCCCAACAACGTAAACTTTCCCACACCCAACCTTCATCTCTTCAAGCTCTGACCCTGCCCTCATACTCCCATCTCCAACTCCCTCCTAATAAGGAGTGTGGTTCCCGATCTCAACCTCTGGGGAGAGAAGAGTGAGAAAGGCCTGAGTGAGCTTTCCATGAAGGCCAGGTCTGGGGTGAGGAAGGAGACAAAACTCTCCACAGGCAGCCCAATATCCTGTCTCCCTTCTCCTCCTCTGGGGAGGGTCAGAGCCTCACAAAGCATGTAGCTCTACTGTGAGTGGGCAGTGACGAGTTAGTGTGCCAGGGAGGGCCAGGGAGGCCCAGCCAATGACAAAAGCATTGGCCCCAGAAGCCCTGGGGGCTTCAGGAGAAGGATGTTTACTGTTCCAAGGTCACAGGCAGCCAAATGGAGTTCACACAGAGGACTCCACCTGAGCCTGTGGGGCTTCTCCACTCGATGTCCTCCAAGCACCTGAAATTCCCCAGCTCCAGAGCTAAACCCAATTTCTTTTGCTCCATCTCCTTCACTTGCCTCTCCCCTGCTCTTCTATCTCCTGGAAATGACATCATATCTTTTGCCTGTCTGTTGCACTTTTCTTTCCCTCTTTCTTTGGGACCAGCACCCCCTTTCTTGGCACTTGCTACTCTCCCATTCTAGTTCCAATGGGACCTGCACATCAGCATTCTACCCTCTGGCCATGGGGTGGAAAACATCCAAATTGGGCCAATCATAGTTCCCCAGGCCATGACACAGGGCCAGGTATAGAGAGGGACACATGACCAACCCTGACCAATGAGAGGTCTTCCTTGGGATTTTTCTAGCTGGAGCTGATAGGAAAATGTGTTTTCCTGGGTGATTATAAGGCTTTAAAGACAAGAGTACTGAGCTTTTTGCAGTTAGACAGAGAGAATGACACTAAAATATTAAGAGGAGAGAGGGAGCCGGGCACCGTGGCTCATGCCTGTAATCCCTGTACTTTGGGGAGGCCGAGGTAGGTGGATTACTTGAGGCCAGGAGTTGGAGACCAGCCTGGGTAACATGGCAAAACCCTATCTCTGCTAAAAACACAAAAATTAGCCAGGCATGGTGGCAGGTGCCTGTGATCCCAGCTACTCGGGAGGCTGAGGCAGGAGAATCACTGGAACCTGGGACGTGGAGGTTGCAGTGAGCTGAGATTGTGCCACTGTACTCCAGCCTGGATGACAGAGTGAGACTCCATCAAAAAATAAAAATAAAAAAAAGAAGAAGGAAAGAGGGCACCCTGAAGAAGGAGCCTAAGGCCTAGGTCCTAATCACCCCTGAGTCAACTCCACCTCTGACTTCTCTCAGTTTGTTTCAGAACAGGGCTTGATGGATGGGTAATCAATTTTCCCTTTCCTTTATGGTTTGATAGGGTTTCTGTCACTTGTAATCAAAGAATGCTGGTGATTACGTTGCTCAAACCAGCAACTCAAGTGTCTTCTTTGGCTTAGCCCTCTCCTTCACCTCCTTATCCAATCAAAGCCAAATTTCTTAAACTCTACCTTCTAGTGAGCTCTCAGCTCTGCTCACTTCTCCCCATCCTTGCAGCCTTCTGGATCAGGGCAGCTCTCTCTCTGGGTTGTGGCTTGCCCCCTCCAATCTCTCACTTTAGCCAGAGTAATCTTCAGAGCACACAAATCTGACCTGGTTATATCATGTCTATAAAACCTTCAATGGCTCCCCATTACCCTCAAGATAAATCTAGCTTTTTAAAAAAGCCTTGAACTTTGAAATCATTTTAGATTTATAGAAGAGTTACGAAGATATTACAGAATATCTTCGTATATCTTTACCCACTTCCCCTGATGTTAACTTCTTACATAACCATGGTATGGCTGGGAAAACCAAGAAATGAACACTGGTACAACATTATTAACTAAATTACAGATGTTATTCAGATTTTACCAGGTTTCCTAATATTGTCCTTTTTTCTGTTGAAGGCTCTGATCCAGGATACCAGGTTACATTTAGAATTCTTACCTTTTGGCCGGGCGTGGTGGCTCATGCCTGTAATCCCAGCACTTTGGAAGGAAAGTGGGCAGATCATGAGGTCAGGACATCGAGACCCTCCTGGCTAACACAGTGAAATCCTGTCTGTACTAAAAATACAAAAAATTAGCTGGGCATGGTGGCACACACCTTTAGTCCCAGCTACTCGGGAGGCTGAGGCAGGAGAATCACTTGAACCTGGGAGGCGGAGGTTGCAGTGAGCCAAGGTCATGCCACTGCACTCCAGCCTGGGCGAGAGAGTGAGACTCTGTCTCAAAAAAAAAAAAAAAAAAAAAAAAAAAAGAAGCCTTATCTTTTGAACAGGGCTTTCAAAATCTGGTCTCTGATGATTTCCCAGCCTGTCTCTAGCCTCACCTTTTTCCGCTCTGGCCACCCCAAATGACCTGAAATTCCTCAAAGGGCTCAGGCCTCCTTCACCCCTGGGATTTTGGACATGCTGTTCTTTCTGTCTAAGGGGTCCTTACTCCCTTTCTTGGCCAGACTAACAGTTACTCATCCTTCAAAACTCTGTTCGGGGCTGGACGCGGTGGTTCACGTCTGTAATCCCAGCACTTTGGGAGGCTGAGGCGGGTGGATCACCTGAGGTCAGGAGTTCGAGAACAGCCTGACCAACATGGTGAAACCCCGTCTTTACTAAAAATACAAAATTAGCTGGGCATGGTGGTGCGCGCCTGTAATCCCAGCTACTTGAGAAGCTGAGGCAGGAGACTCGCTTGAACCCGGGAGGCAGAGTTTGCAGTGGGCCGAGATCGCACCATTGCACTCCAGCCTGGGCGACAAGAGTGAAACTCTGTCTGAAAAAACAACAACAAAAACCCAAAACAAAACAACAACAACAACAAAAACTCTGTTCGGGCAATGGTCTTTCTAGGAAGCCTTTTAGACTAAGTCCTGCCAAGCCCTGGGCTTCTCCAGTCTCCTGTGTTCTTTCCATCCCTGCCCTATTTACCCTGGATTCTGTGATCTGCTTCTTTGTCTTCCCCATTGGGCTGGAGCTCCTCGGGGCCAGCACCCTGCTTTATTGATCTCTATGGGAATCCAATGAATGTTTACAAAATGGATGAAGTTACGCAAAAGTCAAGACCCACTCAAGCATTGCAATAGCTCAGAGGGAGAAATCAGCTGGCCGGGGAGACTTCTTGATTTGCTTCCTGCAGGATGGAATCATAAACTAACATTTGTTGAGCATGGACTATGCATCAAGCAGTATTCTAAGGACTTTACACATTCTAATTGAATTCTCACAAAAATTCAACAAGGTAGGTATTATCATTATCCCCATTTTATAGACAAAGGGAGGAGGAGGGAGTATTCCAGGCTGGGACACCTGGCAAACCCAAAACATTTTTGAAAGTGAGTATGCGTGACCTTGGTTCTTGAAGTTTCTGTTGAGAGTGTTGTGTTGTTGGTTACCCCTGAGGGTAACAGGCTGGGGAGACAACTATTTAGAAATGTGGAGCTGGGGAAGAGAAGTGACTGCATCCTGGTGGTAGAGGCCACTGATGCGCTCTGGAGTGTAATGTAGCCTGAGGCTGATCAATTAGAAAGTTTCAAGAACAGGAAGCAATCCAAGAAGAGACTGTCTCAAGGAAGGAAGAGCACAGAGGCCCAGAGAAAGTGGAGCTCCCTGGGCCAGGGTGGGCATGGAGTCAGGATGCACCTGCTAAAGTGAGGACCTCATACTAAGTTCTGGCAAGACGGGTGCTGTGGCTCAGCTGGACACCTATAAACTTCCACTGCCTTTCCCATTTATTTGTTTTATTTATTTTGAGACAGTGTCTTGCTCTGTCTCCCAGGCTGGAGTGCAGTGGCACAATCTCGGCTCACTGCAACCTCTGCCTCCTGGGTTCAAGCGATTCTCCTGTCTCAGCCTCCCTAGTAGCTGGGATTATAAGCATGTGCCACCACACCCGCCTAATTTTTGTATTTTTGGTAGAGACGGAGTTTCACCATGATGGCCAGGCTGTTCTTGAACTCCTGACCTCAGGTGATCTGCCTGCCTTGGCTTCCCAAAATGCTGGGATTACAGGCATGTGCCACTGTGCCTGGCTATCTTTCCCATTTATAGCCTGAGATTTCCTCTGACTGCAGTCATACAGCACCATACCCTACGTGGAGTTGCAACCCCTTGCATTAGTAACAACTACTATTTTACAATGTTTTAAATGAAAACATTCTTTTATACTTTATTGTTTTTAGTCCATCCTTCCAGTGGAAACAAGGCAGGCAGGCAGGTATTATTTCCATGTCCTTTGTCCAAATTAGGAAATGGAGGCTTCATGAGGAAAATGACTTGCATAGGTGACATAGCTAGAAAGGGGCACAATAAATAGTGAGTGAATGAATGAATAAGGACTTGAACTAGGTGTACTCGAGTCTGGTTTCTATTCTATAATCTCTGGGAAAGGATATTGAGTGCCCAGAACGGGAACACCTGGCACATAATGGGAGTTCCATCAATACGTGTGGAATGGGTGAATGAAAGGGGTATTAGCAAGAAGTAGGAAAGGCCCTAACGACACAAAAACCTACATATATTGAACAATCCGCTTGCATTTGGCATGATGCACACAATACATTGTCCAATCAATCCTCAGTTCAACTTAGCCAGCAAAAGCATCACCATTCCCATTCCACAGGGGAGGGAAAGGAGGCTTGAGGGTTAGGTGACTTGGTGGGGAACCCACAGCCAATGAGAGGCACAGACAGGACTGGGGCCCTGGTCTGATGCAGAGCATCTGCACTCACCGTAAGCCACTAGAAGGTCACATAGCCCCACAGACACACCGGTACACAGACACACACATATACACACACACACATACACACATGCGGACACACAGATACATATACAGACACATAGGTACACAGACACACAGACACACCAGTACGCGCACACACACAGATATACATACACACTGTTACACACACACATACACACATGCAGACACACAGATACATATACAGACACATAGGTACACAGACACACCAGTACGCACGCACACACAGATACACATACACACTGTTACACACACACACACACACACACACACAGGTACACAGACTTACATACAGACACACACAGACACAGGCACACACACAGATACACACACAGAAACATGCACAGATACAGATACAGACACGCACACTCACACACAGGCAGACACACAGATACATATACAGACACATAGGTACACACACAGACACACACACAAAGATACACACAGACACACAGATACACATACACACCGGTACACACACACACACAGACAGATACACAGGCACTAGACATACACAAAGACACACAGACATACACAGAGGCACACACACAGCTACACACACATACACAAAGACAGACATACAGGCACACACACAGCTACACACACAGACACACAGATACACACAGACACATAGACACACACACACAATCACACCGGTACACACACAGACACACAGACACATCAGCACATACACAGACACGTAGGTACACACAGACACATAGACACACCAATATACACACACACACAGATATATACACAGACACACTGGTGCACACACACACGGATACACACACAGAAACACAGACATACACACAGACACAGGCACACACACAGATACACATACAGACACACAGCTACACATAGACACATAGGTACACACACAGATACACAGACACACTGGTACACACACACACACACAAATACACACACAGACACACAGTCACACTGGTACACAAACACAGATACACAGACACACAGATACACATACAGACATGTAGGTACACACAGACACACAGACTCATACATATGCACAAACACAGACACACACAGGCACACAGACACACACCCAGCAGTTGTGGTCTTTGGAGAAGAATCCGTGATGGCTTGGCTGGTGTCTCCACCTGAGTAAATCCTAGAGAAACTTCTTTTTTACTTATTTTTTTTTTTTGAGACAGAGCCGCTCTGTCACCCAGGCTGGGGTGCAGTGGTGTGATCTTGGCTCACTGCAGCCTCCGTCTGCTGGGTTCAAGCGATTCTCCTGCCTCAGCCTCCCAAGTAGCTGGGACTACAGGCGCCCGCCACCACGCCCAGCTAATTTTTGTATTTTTAGTACAGATGGAGTTTCACCATGTTAGCCAGGCTGGTCTTGAACTTCTGACCTCAAGTGATCCGCCCACCTCAGCCTCCCAAAGTGCTGGGATTACAGGTGTGAGCCACCGCGCTCAGCTGAGAAACTTTAGTGGTGTTCCCTGGCTGGCTCCAGTCCAATCCTTCCAAGGAATATAAAAAGCAGGCTTCCTGGAGGGGAAAAAATCCCCCTCCCTTAACCCCTTCTAGCTTTTCTGTGAGGATGATGGAAAATCCAACTGAAAAGGGGCTGGAGGAGGGTGAGGGTGGTAAAATCACTGAGAATTGGGATGCAAATCCCACTGAAATTAATTGCTTTGCATAGTTTTAAATTCCTTCTAAAAAAGGCAGGTATTAGCTGGTACAGTGGCAAGTGCCTATGGTCCTTGCTGCTTGGGAGGCTGAAGTGGGAGAATTGCTTGAGCCCAGAGGTCAAGCTATGATCTCACCACTGCACTTCAGCCTGGGTGACAGAATGAGACCCTGTCTCTAAAAATAATAAAATAATAATAATAAAAAGGCAGTCAATATATGTTCCAGCTGGCTGGGCTGTGGGGCTCCTTCTGTGGAGGGCAGAGGCTTCTCCACCTCACTCCTGCCTGCACTGCAGAAGAGTTACGTTCTTGGGGACAGCAAAAAGGACCTTGGGTTTAGAGCCAGACCCAGTTCCAAATCAAGCTCAACCCCTTTCTGCCTGTGTAATCTTGAGCAGCTCACTTTGCCTCTTTGAGCCTCACTGTCCACATCTATGAAATGGGGAGGAGTGCCTCCCTTCTAGTTGATGGGGGAGGGTTGACCAAGAGCATTTCTCTAAAGTGCCCAGTACTGAGCCTGCCTGGCACAGAGCAGCTGCTCAGTCAATGGTGTTCCCTTTCCCCTCCCACCAAATACTCCTTTCTCACTACTGTGTGTGGCTGGCACCTTGACATAGTAGATAATCAATAATGTGTGAAATGAATCTTTCCAAAATACAGATCTGCTCCCAGAGTCTTCAATGGCGCTTCACACGTCCTCAGAAGAGTAGACTCTTTAGCCTGGCGTTTGAAACTCCTCGTGATCTGAGCCCAGAATCACTACCTGTCAGCACTGCCTGTAGCCGTGAGACCTCAGCAGCTGGGGCCTCTGCATATGCTTTAAAAGGCTCTGATCTGAAGTTCCTCCGGCGAGTCCCATCCTTACGGGGCAAGCAGTCTGCAACGCCAATGGCCCAGGTTCCCCTGGAAGCCATACCTCCTTCTCTGGACTATACTTTGGGGACTGGGCCCCCCAATTCTGGAAGAGTCCCAAGCTCTGGAACTCCTGTCCCTATGGAATTTGGGGTGCGCCACTCTTGTGGCATGTGGATACTTTCACAGACCAGGAAGCTATCAGAACTCAGTTGTTTAGGCTTTTTACGGAAGCTCCATTACGTAAGCATGATTGATTAGGTCACTGGCCATTGGTGATCAATTCAACCTGCTTGAATGGCACTGGGCTGCTTCCAGGGCCTTGTGGGCCTCTTCCCTGGGTTCTTCTCCTGGAGCTGGACTGCACTTCCCGTGCACACATCTTTAGGCCCAAGGGATAGAGAGCAGGACAGTGGGACCCCTAGGCCCCCATTCAACTCCAGGCCTGCTGAGGGGTTGCTGGAGGGGGTACCAGGAGTAGCCTGAATGATGGGTTTGGCTGGGTTGCAAATGCTCCTGGATGGGCTTTACTCACCAGGTTGGCGAGAGCCAAGTGTCAAGGAGGCCCAGACTCAGCGCCCAGGTTGACTCCACAACTTTGCTGAGGGGAGTGGCTTGCTCAAGGGGAAGAATGCCAGAGCTAGAACTGAAACTCAGGACTCCTTCCCTCCCCTTTTTGGTCATTTTATTGAGGTGTAATTTATAGACAAGACAATTTGCCAATTTCACGTATACAATTTGATGAGTTTTGACAAATGTATACAGTCTCATTACCACAACCGATTACAGTCATGATGAAAGGAAAACTTTGTCTACTATTTCTAGGATCTGTTTTACACTCAACACTTCTGGCACCAAATGTGTGTTCCGCCACCCCCCACGCCAGGCAATTCTCCAATTCTCTGTGGACACCAACTGGGTGTCCTACAATTTAATTCAATTCTGATACTAACTACTTGAGGTTAGCACAGACCACACAGGTTAAAGACTCGGTCCCACAAGACTGCGCCCCACTTCAGATGCTGATCGCAAGCAGTGGGTCCCTGGGTAACCCACACTTCTGTCTGACGGCTACACATCAGAGGTTCCCACACCCCTTTCTCAGTTTCAATAATTTGCAATAAGGGCTCACGGAACTCAGGACAATAGTTTACTGGCTCCTTCTCCTTTTCTCCTTCTCCTTCTCCTTCTTCTTCTTCTTCATTTTTGAGATGGAGTCCCACTCTGTCGCCCAGGCTGGAGGGCAGTGGTGTGATCTCAGTTCACTGCAACCTCCTGGGCCCAAGCCATCCTCCCGCCTTGGCCTCCCGAGTAGCTGGAATTACAAGCATGTGCCACCATGTTTGGCTAATTTTTGTCTTTTTAGTAGAGACGGGGTTTCACCATATTGATCAGGCTGATCTCAAACTCCTGACCTCAAGTGATCTGCCCACCTTGGTCTCCCAAAGTGCTGGAATTACAGGCGTGAGCCACCCTGCCTAGACTTTACTGGCTTATTATAAAGGATATTATAAAGGACACAAATAAACCGCCGGATGGACGGGTTCATAGGGTAAGGTCTGGAAGAGTCTCAAGTTCTGGAACTCCTGTCCCTGTGGAATTTGGGGTGTGCCACTCTTGTGGCATGTGGATACTTTCACAGACCGGGAAGCTACCTGAAATTAGTTGTTTAGGGTTTTTACAGAAGCTCCATTATGTAAGCATGATTGATTAGGTCATTGGCCATTGGTGATCAATTCAACCTCCAGCACCTCTCCTCTCTCCAGCGGTCATGGGGTGGGGTTGAAAATTCCACCCTTCTAATCACAGGATTGGTCTTCTTGGCATCCAGCGGTATCCTGAAAGAGCCACCTCATTAGAATAAACTCAGGTGTGGTTGAAAGGGACTCGTTATGAATAATATAATAATAAGAGGCTGCCTACCCCCCTCCTGTAACCTAGGAAATTCCAAGGGTTTTAAAAAACTTTTACACCAGGAATTGGGAGGAGAACTAAATATATATTTCTTATCATATCACAATCTTGCAATCATATAGAACATGTTCATCAGCTCATGGAACCCCCTCCTGCCCCTCCTGCACCTTTGCGGTGAATCCTCTCCACCATTTCTGTCACTATAGTTTTGCCCTTCCTAGAATTTCACATAAATGGAATTGTATGGTCTATGTCTTTCATGTCTGGCTTCTTTCACGCATAGTCATTTTGAGATTCATCCATGTTGTTTCTTGTATCAGTAGTTCATTCCTTTTCGTTGCTAAATAGTATTCCATTGTAAAGAGGTAAGAGGTATCACATGTTGTCCACTCACCAGTTGATAGACATTTGGGTTGCTTCCAGTTTTTGGCTATTACAAATAAAGCTGCTTCACCAGTCACACATGAGTCTTTTGTGTGGACATGTGTTTTCATTTATCTTGAGTGAATGCCTAGGAATGAAATTGCTGTGTCATATGGTAAATATATGCACACGTTTTGCAACATGGCTCAACTATTGTGCATCCACACCAGCAGAGTCCAAGTTCCCTCCACATCCTTGTTACCATCAGTCTTGGCTTGCCCAGTTCCTAACCTCTCTCTGAGCCACCATTCCTCCTTCTATAAAAGGAGGACAAAAACAACCTCGAAGGGTGGATTGGGAGGATTAAGTATGGAGAGCTTGTCCAGAAGTTAAAATATTTACTGAGCACCTACTGTGTGCCTGGCATTGTTCTTGGTGCAGGGAAGACAGCAGAGAAGAAGATAAACAGATAAACGCAGTCCCTGTGCTCGTGGCACCTATCCACAGTGGAGGAGGCAGATTATAAAGAAGGAAACAAATCAACAATTATAACTGGTGACAAACGCCATTTGAAGGGGCCAAGTTGCCCTTTACTTTAGACAGGATGGTCGGAGAGTCTCTCTGAAGTGGTGATATTGGAAGGGGGACCTGATTGATGAGGAGGAGCTGGCCACATGGAGAGGCATTTCCAGGTGTGGGAGAACAGGACCTGCAAAGGTGTAGAGGTTGGAAAGGACTTACTGTATTTCGGGGCAGAAAGAAGGGCGGTGCCACCCTGGGACAGCCATCTAGGGAGAGTCGTAGAGAGTGGTGGGCTGGGGTTGGCTTGTGCTGTGCCTTTTAGGAGTTCGGATTTTATACAAAGAGCAGATTTATTTTAGACACAAGTGAATGTTAGCTGTTATTATTCTTCCTTTGATTTTCCATCATGCAGGGGTCTTAACTCCCAGTCAGAGCCTCTTTCCAAAAACCCACTGTGGGCAGGTGCAATGCTGGGGTCTGCAGCCAGCTGAGCCTGGGCCCCCCACCCGGACATCCCAGGCGGGCCTGGCAAGCCCAGCGGCACCAGCTGGGGAGTGGGGGTGGGGTTTCGGGTGGGGGGTGAGCAGGTTGGGGGAGAGACCATCTGCTGTTCCCTATTGTTCATCAGCCCATTGTTTGGTCCATGCCCTCTGCTCTGGGGACAATGGGTGACAATGCAGAAATGTGACCTTCGGGCTCCTATTTCCCGGCCTGGCCTCTCGCCCCCAGGATGACACCAGGAGAATGCCCTCCTGGGCCGGGGTGGAGGCAGGGGCTCTGCCAAGTGGGAGGCAGCACTGCCTGCTTTCCTCATCATCTCCTTGGCAACCGCAGCTGCCACATTGTTGGATGGAGGAATTTTTTTTTTTTTTTAGCATCCTGGGTGAGGGTTTTCTCCTTGCGTCCCCCTGTAGTATGGGGTGCTCTTGGGAAAGGATTTGCTTCTCCCCTCCTGAGGGTCCCCAGTCCCTGCCATGGAATTCACTGACCCCTCAGGCTACCTGGGAGCCCAGGGCAGGACCATACCAAGTCAGACCAAGCGAATGCTTCAGTGTTTCCAAGAAGGAGGCACCAAAATAAACTCCAATGATATTTGTGACACAGCATCCACATTGTCATCATCCCCAAAGTCAGCATGGTTAAAACTTCTTCGTGCTCCTTTTAGATTTTAGCATTGTTTTTATTCAGACTTAGATAGTGGGGGTGGGGATGGGACCCCCTCTTCTTTTCATTGCTTAGAGTCTCTAAAAGCCTGAACCCAGTGCTCAGGGGGCACAAAGGGAGGGGAGCAGACCCCTGGTCGGCTTCTCTATCATTCCGCCAATGGAGAGATCTTATTCTTGCAGGGCAGCTCTGAGCGCTGACTTGTCTGCTCTCTGGTGTTCCAGAAGCCAAAAGGGCCAGATATGGATAATAACAGCCAACGCTTATTGAGCATTTACTACGTGCCAGTTATTGCTTCATATACATCAACTCATTTCATCTTCATGACCATTCCAGGAAGTGGGTACTATAATAATTACACCCATTTTCTAGATTGGAAAACTGAGGTGCAGGGAGGTCAAATATATCACCCAAAGTCACATAGCTAGCTGGTGGCAGAACCAGGACTTGAACCTGGGCTGCTTAGCTCCACATGCTGAGCTCTTCTGCTCTCTTACATCTTTTTTTTTTCCTGAGACAGAATCTCACTCACTCTGTCACCCAGGCTGGAGCGCTGTAGTGCGATCTCGGCTCACTGCAACCTCCGCCTCTCGGATTCAAGTGATTCTCCTGCCTAAGCCTCCTAAGTATCTGGGACTACAGGCACGCACCACCACACCCGGCTAATTTTTGTTTGTTTGTATTTTTAGTAGAGACAGGGTTTCACCATGTTGGCCAGGCTGGTCTCCAACTCCTGGCTTCAAGTGATCCACCCCACTCTGCCTCCCAGAGTACTGGGATTACAGGTGTCTTACATTTTTTTTATCTCTCTGCTACGTAGACTGATGGGCTTACCTCTCCTATTTAAGGAGATGAGCCACAGCTCCAGCCCTACTCCAGGCCAGAACTCTGGGGAGAGGAAACTGAAGGAACCTAGGCACCACCTCCCAGTGTGTTGGCATAGCCTGGCGTTGACGCTAGACAGACCTAGGTTTGTGCCCTGATATTTATCAGCTACGGGAGCTTGGGTAAGCCACTCTGCCTCTCTGAGCTTATTCTCCCCTTCTATAGTTTGGGATAACAATAGTACCTCCTTCCTTGGGTTGACATAAGCATTAAATGAGTGAATAGAAGTCAGCACCTAGAACAATGCCTGCCCCTTAGAATGTGCACAGTAAGTGTTAAGGGTGACTATTATTACTGCTTTTACCTTTCTCATTAGGGCGATCATGGGGATAGGGTAATGCGCAAAGGCACTTTGTATGTGGAAGACAATTGCACAAATGTCCGGGCTTGGTGTGACTCATATAAATAAGAGCATTCAGTTTGGATAGCAGAGGTGGGCGGGGGATGAGAGGAGAACCGTCTACCCGGCACTCAGTGCCAAGTGCCAGCTCAGTGGGGTGGTGGTGAGGACACCAGCAGCAAGGAGGCAGAGGGAGGCTGCTGGTCTGCACTGGTCCCCAAACCAAAGGGAAGAGCCTGAACCCAGGCCCCCTGGCATGTTCCTTTCTCTCTATGGGCCTCAGTCTCCCCATCTGCAGAATGGGTAACTAGGGACTAGCTAATTTTTAAGTCCCCCCGCCCCCATCCCAGCTCTGATTTTTTGTGACTCGGATAGGATAAGAAAATGTGTAAAAATGAAAGTGGGAAACAGACCCATGGTGTGGCAGATTGATTGCAAAGATGTGCCAATCCTTCCCTTTTCTCTGTAATCATACCATTTACAAAGTGACTCTGCAGCTTCTCCCTCAAGAGGTGGAGTCTGTTTCCCCAGCTCTGGCTGTCCTGGTGATCTGCTTTAGCCACTGCAAAGTGGAGGACGTGGCAATGTGCTAGTTTCAAGTCTAGGCCTCAAGAGGACTTGCAGCTTCCTCTCCCTCTCTCTCTGTCTGTCTCTCTCTGTCTGTCTGTCTCTCTCTGTCTCTCTCTCTCTCTCTTTCGCAGACCCTTACCACTGTCATGTCATCAATTCCGGGCTAGCCTGCTAGAAGATGACAGACATGTGGCCCAGTCACTTCCATCACCCCAGCAACAGCCAGCCAACTGTCAGATATGCGAGTGAGAGCATTCTAGACAATTCAGCCCCCATTTCACCTGCCTGCTGTCAGCAGACACCTGGGCAAGACAAGCTGAGATCAGCTGTGCCTGGTCCAGATCCCCAAAACCACCCACTTGACCTGCAGACTGGTGAGGGGAAGTAACTATGTATTGTTGTGTGCCATAGAGGTCGTGTGGGTGGTTGTTACACAGTGTTCCTGAGTCAATTGATAACAGCTACACATGGTCAGTAGCGGGGCAGGAGCGGGGGGGAAATGTGGCTTTTAGCCAGAGTAGGACCTCGTCTGGGCACGGTCTGTTGCTTCCCTTGAGGGAGCAGGGAAGGGTGAGTTTAGCACAATGGTTAGGAGGTTAAGTTCTGGGTGGAAAGTGCCTGGCTTCAGGTCTCAGCTTTTCCACTTTCTAGCTGTATGGCTTTTCCAAGTTACTTAACAGACAGGCCTCTGTTTTCTCCAAAATCTAGATAATCATAGCACCCACCTTTGGAATTGTGTGGATTAAGTGAGTTAATACTTGTAAAGAATTTAGTAAAGCTATGCCTAAATGATCAGATAAACGTGAGATTCAATTATGGTTCTGCCACTTACTGCGGGTGTGACCTTGGGTCCTTCCTCAGCTGCTGCATCCTGGTTTGCACATGGGAGATCCTAGTGGCATCTTCCTGGTCAATGAGACTGTGCGCAGAAAGGGCTTGACCCAGCGCCTGCCTGAAGGATGCTCGGGGAATCTCAGCTTGGGAGAGGAACCTTCCCTGGCAGATTCTCCTTTTCCCTGCTCCAGCTCAGACCACCTGCTTCTGGTGACATGGAAGCTTAGAATGGGATGTCTCGGAGACCAGTTCTAGTTCAACTTCCTTGTATTAAAGATGAGGAAACTGAGGCACAAAATAGGACTCATTCAAGGTCACAGAGAGTCAGTGGCTGGAACCTACACATTCTGACCTCTAGCTTGGTGCTTCTTGCATCATGCTAGGGTTGTTGCGCCCCAGCAAGGTACACCAGTTCTGGGCTTGGGCTTGGTGGCTCAAAAGAGCCGACCAGGCAAGACCCTCCAGCCTGCACAGGCCAGATGGAAGGACTAGGCTATCCCTGGGTGGTGAAAGCCTCTTACTGATCTTGTCCACAGCCCCATCCAGTGCCGATGCTGGGGAGATCCTACAGGGGGTGGGGGGGCATCACCCTGACCGTGGGCTCACCATCTAGTTGGGTCAGATGTCTTTTCTGTTTTTTGAGATGGAGTCCCACTCTGTCACCCATGCTGGTGTGCAGTGGCACAATCTCAGCTCACTGCAACCTCTGCCTCCCCGGTTCAAACAATTCTTGTGCCTCAGTCTTCCGAGTAGCTGGGACTACAGGCACGCACCACCACACCTGGCTAATTTTTTTTTTTTTTTTTTTAGTAGAGACAGGGTTTCACCAGACTGGTCTTGAACTCCTGACCTCAAGTGATCTGCCTGCCTTGGGCTCCCAAAGTGCTGGGATTACAAGTGTGAGCCAATGCGCCCGGCCAAGGGTCAGATGTTTAGGTGACGAGTGACCCATGTGACATATACCTCAATATGAGGACAAGAAGGATCAAGGTGATTCCCTCTGGGTATCAGGGGATAACCGAGGCTCAAGATGGGAAGGGCCCTGTCCAGAATGCCCAGTTGTGTAGAGGTGGAGCCAGGCCTAGACCCAGACTCCTTTCTGTTCAGTGCCCCCCACCACCACCTTGGGCTCCTGGCCTTTTGGGTATAACTGAGAGAGAAGGCGGGAGCCAGGCAGGATGGAGCCGCAGGCTTTGGGCTGGTTCAGGAGCCTCCCTGGGGCTGTCCTCCAGCCCCATCTCTGTCCCAGGTGATTACAAGGCTCTTGGGCCTGGCTTAGGCCAGGATACTCCTTCCTGGGCCTCTCTTAGGAGAATAGGTCCCTGACCTCATTGTCTGTAGGGGCTGGCCCAGATGCCAAGTCAGGAATTCCCCAGGTCCCAACTTGCCTCAGTGAATGACCCTTCAGGTCTTTGTTCACCTCCAGGGAGGAGGGAAGGGATTTTCCTGGCTCTTTCTGACATTCCCTGGGCTGGCCCTGCAGGGCTGAAGATACTCTGTGTGTGTGTGTTTGTGTGTGTGCACGTGCGTGTGTGAATGCTGCTATGTATATGTGCACGTGTGTGTGTGCCTGTGCAGTGTGAACTTGCTCTACTGTGGCACTATATGCGCATTATTCCATGCATGCTGTATTTATACTGTATGCACTGTCTATACTGCACGTAGGAATGTGGGTGTGTTTGCATAAGTTCTCACTGTATCCTTTTTCTGCCTGGTGTGTGGGCCTCCTAGGCGTGTGTTGTGTGCACAAGTCGTGCACAGTGTGTGTGCATGCACTGGTGGATAAGGGGACCCTTGGGGCAGATGCATGATGTGCTCACACCCTGAGTGCTTCCTGTATATACCGGGTGCACTGAGTGTGAACTCTGTGTGTGTGTGTGCATGGTGTGAATGCACCGTGTGAATGCATGCAGTCAGTCCTCTGAGAAGCAGGCTTGGTTCTGGAGGTGGGTTGGGGCTGGGCTTCGAGGTTCAGTGCTGTGGCTCAACTCTGCTAGCTTGACCCAGATCATGGTTCAATGGCACCTGCTCTCACAGCTCAGACAGGCCCAGGGAGTGAGAATTGCCCTCAAGGAGCTGGAGGTGGGTGGATCAGCTTGGGTTGGGTCCTACACTGGCCCCTGGTGCCGCTCAGAGACTCCTGGTAGAGACAAGAGAGGCAGGTCCTAGGGGCCTCTCTTGACAGATCTGACCTTTGGCCCCCAAAGATCTTTTGCCTCTGGGGCTCCTGTTGTCTTTGAGTGTCCTACACAGAATAAGTCCTTGAATTGCCAGGCAGGGGGATGCAGGCCCTGGCAGCCCCTTGGTTGTGCTTGACCTAACAGCTGGCCGTGATTTAGCCAGGGATGAGGAGGAGGCCTAGCCCTGGAGCCCAGGTCTGTTTCTGGGTCCTGGACCTCCGACCACTGCCCCATCTGCCTGGGCACCTTTAAAGAGTCCTGCAGTCCCCAGATGGGGGTGGAGGAGAGGACTATAATGTCTGAAATTTGCATCCATCTCCCCACGTGCCCTCATGTAATCTAGGTATAAGTGTCTGTGCACACCCAGCACAGTCTCCTCACCCCCATTCCAGGGCTGCCATGGCAACGCAGAAGTTGGCTCACCATCTGTTGTCTGTGGGGACCTCAGTCAGGCCTCTGCCATGCTAGGGATTAGTGTGGGAAGGCACCTGACCTGCTGTCTTCCAGGGCAGTCATTGGCCACATCTGGTACCACTCAGCCCTGGAGTGTTTGGAGATGATACAGCCTGGAGTCCCTCTGGCTACTGGAGAAGAGTGGACATTGAGAGAGCCTATGATTCTTTCTGGGGCTAAACTCTCCTCAGAACATCCTCTCTCAGGAAGGGCCAGGAGACTTATTTATACTAGAGTGTAAATGACTAACCCCTCCTAGGAGGGTGGTGGGTTGGGAGGGTGCAGAAACCTGGATTTTAAGAGAAATTAGAAGCTTAAATTAACACATTATCAACAGGGAAGATTTTAGGCATGGGAAAGAGGTGTAGGATATTACCAAATTTAAAACTTAGTTGCTAAGGTAGCCCTGGGTATGCAGTGGGTGACTGTAAATCGAATTTGTCCTTGAGTGTCTTGCTGAGGGTGGAGGAGGCACCCATGCCCCATCTGGCCTGAGTCTCTGAGGCCTTTGCCTCTGCTGAATTTTTCCTACTGCGTTCAGAGATTTTCCCTACCCCCACCCCTGGCTCCTTTAAATTTGTTTTCTTTGGAAAAATGTTCCCCCTTGGATGCTCTGTGCTTACTGTGAAAAGAGCAGGGGAGAGAAGGAGGGATTCAATATTCCAGATGAGGCTGGGCAGGAGTGAAGCAGGATGAGGGGGTGGGGGAATTGGGGAGAGATGGAGAAAGAAGGGAGGCCTGCAGGAAGGTGAGACCAGCCACAAGGGTGGTTTGAATCCAGGCTCTGTCACTTGAGGGCAGTGTGAGTGTGGGTGAGTGATGTCCCGTCTCTGTGCCTCAGTTTCCTTACCTGGAAAATGGTTACAAGGACTTGCTTGTGAAGATTGGGAAAGATGCATTTGGAGACCTGGCACAGTGAGAGCACACGGCAGCTGCTTAGGAAATGACAGTTTGCATCTTTCTTCCCTTTTGACGCGGGTTCTGTGTCAGACAGGGAGACTTCTAGAGCTCACCCCGGGCTCTCACTCTTGGAAGGAGGATGCTGTGGCATCTGAGCTGGCCACCTGCTGGCCTGGGTTCCACAATCTGCCTGAGCAAGGAAGCACCTCCTGCAGGCCCTGGGCAGGTCCCACAGGCCTGCTCTTCACCAAGTGACAGGTCCACAGGCTGAGAGTAACCCACATAAATCGAGGTCGTTGTACTGAGTGGAGCCGGGATGCTGGAGTCCTCTGCCTCAGGGGCCCCCAGTCCAATCCCAGGCCCAGGAACTGGGACAAACCCAGAGATAAACAGGGGAGTCATTCTCCAAGGCAGAGCCCACCTCCTCACCATGCCTGTAGAGTTCAGCAAGGCCCTAACAGCACCCAGCTTGGCTTGGTAGGGAAGATAAAGGGTACACATAGGTGGGGGAAGAGCGGAGCAGGGCAGGATATCAAACCCTCTGCACCAGTGAGCTCCTTCCTGTGAAATTTTAGCATCTGCAAATTTATTTCTGCCAGCAATTTACCTTTTCTGCAAGCAAGAGAAATCTGTTCTTGTTTATGAGTCACTGCTTTATGGGGAAAATTAGAAAACGAGGCATCTGCAGTTTGGAAATAAGACAGGGAGGTGAAGTTTGGTGGCAGGGCCAGTACAAATGAGCCCTGGAGTAAAGTCTAATGTGGTCTCACTTCCATTCAGCCAGAGGTGATTATTTTGTTGGCTGGAGGTACAAGGCTTTATTAGTATCCACACAGCATCCTTTTTTGATAAAGCAAACATTTTCTAAGTAAATAAACTTTGAAGCTTAAAATTGAAAGCTCCACTTGACACAATAGAATAAACTGGAAAATATGCTGTCCGTAGAAAGCTGTTAGAAAATGTTAAGCCAAGAATGGTCTGGGTAGGGGTTTAGTATTAGATCCACAGCTGGGGGCTCGGGAGAGGTGGCTGGACCCTGTCTTTGGGAGTATTGCCATCATTCTGTGCTCTGTGGGGGAAACCGCCACTGGGAGACCACCTGGGTGTCTTTCCAGGGCTGTCCTCCCCCTCGATGGGCACCTCAGTGAGGCATATGAGGCCACACTACCTGGTGTTGTAGAGTATACCGGTTGTCCCCTAGTAGTCACAGCCTTCCAGCTCAAGACTACATTTCCCAGCCTCCCTTGCAGCCAGTCTGACCATGTGACTGGGGTCCAGCCAATGGGATATGAGCAAAAGTGGCACATGCGACTTTGGGCTGTGCTCTTTAAAGTGAGTGTGTTTTACCCTCCTCTTCCTCACTTCCCGCTGCTGGAGCAGACCCCTTGGGCCCCAGGAGGGAAGCCACACGTGGAGGCTGGCAGCACTGCCCTGCCAGCCCTGGACAATGGACCTCTGGATTGTCATATGAGAGAGAAGCGAACTTTTATCTTGTTTAAGCCAATATATTTTGGGGTCTATTATTTTGTATCGTAACTTCTTCATGTGACAAACACAGGATTTGACAACTAGCCTAGATCCTGTAATGAGTTACTTGTAGTTAGCGCAGCCAGTGCCATGATCAGTAGAGCACTGCAGTTAAAAGCCTGTTAGACCTGCCTTCAAATTCCTGTCCCTTCAGTTAGTAGATGTGTGATTCTGGACAAATTACTTAATCTCACTGCAGTAGGGTGATTTCAATAAGAAATGCCTTTTGGCCAGGCACGGTGGCTCATGCCTGTAATCCTGGCACTTTGGGAGGCTGAGATGGGCAGATCACTTGAGGTCAGGAGTTCGAGACCAGCCTGGCCAACATGGTGAAACCCCAACTCTGTTAAAAATACAAAAATTAGCTGGACGTGGTGGCATGCACCTGTAGTCCCAGCTACTCTGGAGGCTGAGGCAGAAGAATCGCTTGAACCCATGAGGTGGAGGTTGCAGTGAGCAGAGATTGTGCCGCTGCACTGCAGCTTGGGTGACAGAGTGAGACTCAGTCTCAAAAAAAAAAAAAAAAAAAAGAAAGAAAGAAATACCTTTCACGTGGCTACCCAGTGTCCACATGCATATGTAATTGAAACAAGTTTCATGGAATAAAACAGCCATATTACCTGCAGTATAGTCTGATATTTTGTATTTCCATAGTTCTCAAAGTGGAGTCCCTGAACCAGCAACATCAACGTCACCTGAGAACTTGTTAGAAATCCAGTTTCTTGGGCCCCATCCCAGACTCTTTCAATCAGAAACTCTGGTGTAGGGCCCAGCAATCAGAAACTCTGGTGTAGGGCCCAGCCTTAAAACAGAAGGCTGTTTTAAGAAGCCTTCTGGGTGATTCTGAAGCAGCTAAAGTTTGATAGCCACTGTTTTACTTTAATTTCAAAAATGCTAATTTTAAAAATGCTGGTTATCACCTAATAAATTGACCTTATAATCCACTAATATGAGTCATGACTCATGTGGATGTAACTGACGCCTGTTTATCTGTTTTCTGGCCAGCGTTTATAGCTTCTTCTTCTTCAGCTTCTCAAATTTTCCCTAGGGAAACTACTCTTAGTCCATGGCTACAGGGATGGGTCAAACCTTAGGCCCAGTCCACTGAAGCAGTGATTGGTTCAGGGATGATCATATGATCTTTGTCATCCAATGACATGCAATCCTGAGACTTTTGCTGGAACTACCAAGAAGAAGCTCTTTCTCTTGGGGTTGCTAGGCTGCAGGAAGAAAGCCTGGGGCTGTCCATGGTACTGTTGCCAGCCTCTGGAAGAAGCTGCCTGATGTTGCAAGCATCTCAGAGGAGGGGAGTTGAGGGATGCAGGAGAGAGTGTAGATGTTTTTGGCATCCTGCATTAGCTCCTTGTGCCTGAGCTCAGGTACAGCTGCAGTGAATAGTCCTGTACACACTGGCAGGATCCACCTCAAGAGTTTCCTGAGCTGAGGAGCCCGCTAGCCTGAGCGTGGGTGCAGCTCTGAAGTCCAGAGGAATTAATACCCTTGGGACCACCCTCAACCAGTGCAGTGCAGAGCTGGTGGGTAAGTGCCCCTGGCTCCTGTTTTTCAGAAAGACACTTCTGGGAGGCAGCGTGCTTATCTCAATCTCCTCCCACCTTCATTCCTGCAATCACCCCTCAAATAAACCACCTGCAAGCATCCCCTTGTCTCAGGCCCTGCTCTCACATAAACCCAGACTGAGACAGAAGGATGCCTGTTGACATTTGATGGATCCAACCATACCCAAAACAAGCTCTACTCCTGGACTTTCCAGGTCAGTGAGTCCCCCAAAATCAACCCCCTTCTTTTTTGCAATGTGTATTAGTTATCTATTACTGTGTAACAGATTATCCCCAAATTGAATGGTTTTAAATAATAGCATTTATTATCTCGCAGTTTCTGTGGGTGAGAATCCAGGTGTGGCTTAACTGGGTCCTCTGGCCCGGGTTCCCCCATGAGATGGCAATGAAAGTGCCAGCTGAGGCTGCAATGTCTCAAGGTTTGCCTGGGAAAGGATCTGCTTCCACGATCCCTTCTGTTGGCAAAATTCAGTTCCTCATGGATTGTTGGATTGAAGTCCTCAACTTTTTGCTCTCTGCTGGCCAAAAGCCGCCTTCATTTCCTTGCCACATGGGCCTCCAAATAGGGCAGCTCATACCACGGCAGTGGCTTCCAGCAGAGCAGGCAGAGAAGGAACAAGAGAGGGCTGGTGAGCAATAAGGAAGCCAGAGGCTTTAGGAACCCAATTTTTAAATGGTATCTCAACATGTTTGTTGTATTCTATTCCTTAGAAGCAAGTCTGTAGGTCCAGTGCACCCTGATGGGGAGACCAGTACACAGGGCCGTGGATACCAGGAGGTGAGGACCATCGGCTGCTTAAGATAGACTGTAAGAATTATGAACTCCCAGTTCCAGGGCACAAACCCAGAAGGGCTGTGAGCGTCAGAACGGAAGCCTGGATGCCCAAATCAGCCTCGACTCTGTCCCAGGGTAAGGAGGACTGACAGGCATCTTGGGGACCCTGCAGGGGTGAGGAGCCTGCAAAGGTCTTGGTGGGCAGGAGGTGGGAGGGAGATGGAAATGGAGGGTGGGGCTCCCCATTATTACTTAGGGAAACTCTGTAGAAGAGCATCGCTGTCCCTATCATTGAGGGACCATTCTTTGTGATTGGTTTTCACTGTGCTATCACGGTTCAAGCTAACCTTTATTTAAAGTTTATTTTTTGTCCAACTCTGGACTAAGAACTTCACCTACCTGATTTCATTTAATCCTCCCTCTGTGAGGTCAGACCTGGGGGGCATTTTCAAGATGAGGAAGCTTAGGTGCAGAGAGGTTGAGTAATTTGCCTGAGGACACACAGCTATTAAATGATATCACTGCAATTCATCAGAGACTGAGTCCTTATCTGCCAGGAAATCAAAACCATCTCAGCTAGGTGAATGTAAAGTATTCAGGGAGGCTTGAACACATTCATCCACTCACAGTCTTAATCCCCCTACCCTTTCGTACAAAACCTTAAGTTCCTCACCCTAACATTTTCTTGGTACTGAGTTTTCATCGCTGCCAGCATTTATAAACCTCCTTTGGGTCATGGAGGCATTGGAGAAAACATATTCTTTTTTTTTTTTTTTTTTTTTTTTTTTTGAGATGGAGTCTCACTCTGTTGCCCAGGCTGGAGTGCAGTGGTGTGATCTCTGCTCACTGGAGTCTCTGCCTCCTGGGTTCAAGTGATTCTCCTGCCTCAGCCTCCTGAACAGCTGGGACTACAGGCACCCACCATAACACCTGGATAATTTTTGTATTTTTAGTAGAGACAGGGTTTCACCATGTTGGCCAAGCTGGTCTTGAACTCCTGACCTCAAATGATCCACCCACCTCAGCCCCCCAAAGTATTGGGATTATAGGCGTGAGCCAACGTTCCTGGCCAACACATTCTTTTTCCTCCAAAATATGCACCCATGCGTTCAAACCCACATTTGGCACATGATTTGTGGAGGCAACTGACTTCCTGCAGGGCCCCAGGATGGACGCTCATTGGCTCAGCTTGGTTCATGCACCCACTCTGGAACCAATCATGGCAGCCTAAGGGATTTGGTGCTCCGGCTGGCCAGGTCTTTAGGGATTGTGGCATTGCATTCTCTCATTTTACAGTTGGAGGAATTGAAGACTAGAGGAGAAGAGTGACTTGGTCAAGGTTATACAGCCTTGGTGGGCCCAGGTCAGACTCAAGCAGTAAGGTGTGGCTGTCGCTCAGCCTGCAGGTTCCTCCCAAGCTGGGGTGTGTCTGATTTATTGATGTATTCCTAGCCACTTGCTGTGGGCCTCACACACAGTAGGCATTTAATTGCTCTGAAACCCCCCCTGAAGGGGACTGAGAGTGAATCTATGGAAGTTACGGATAGTGTTTGCCCAAGTGACACCTTGGAATCTCACCCTGCAGGAGGTTAATAGATATTCCATGGAAAAAGGGAGGAGGGCTCCATGAGGAAATAAGTTTGGGAAACACTGGACAAAATGAACTGGTTTCTCTGGATAGAACTTCTCAGGATTCTTTATGGGCTCAGTGCAATGAGTCCTCCGAAAGGAGGATATAGTATGTTGCATTTCCCAAGCTTGTTTGACCATAGAATCCTTTTTGTTAAATGGGATTTTTGAAGGATTAGTGTTTAGAGAAACCTACTTTGGAAGGTAGGGCGGTCAGAGAAGGCTTCCTGGAGGAGGTGACACCTCAGCTAGGTTCAAGGATAGGGGGACTGGGAGAAACAGGTGAGAGCAAAGAAGGCATCCTGAAGGCATCACTAGAGAAAGCATTAAATATTTTAAAGTTGAGGTCCTCAACTTTATAGCACATATATGTGGAAAGAAAGACTTATACAGGTCAGGATCCCATTGGATACAAACATCAGAAATGCAGTTCAGACTGACTTAGGCAAAAAGTGGAATTTATTGTTCCATGTAACTGATTTCAGGCATGGCTGGATCCAGGAGCTTGAGACATACCTTCAGGGAGAAGTATTGGCTTTGTCCTCAAGCACACTTTCTTTTGAGGCCCCCTACCACCATCTCCAGGCTCACATGCTGCCAGCTAGCAAACCCTGCTGAAAGTGAGATGCTTTTATACAAAGTTTCAACCAGGAGCCCCAGGATGGGTGCTCATTGGCTTAACTTGGGTCACGCGCCCACCTTGGTACCAATTATTGCAACCTAGGGGATTTGGTGCTCTGATTGGCCAGAGCCTTAGGCATCATTGCATCCCATTCTCTCATTTTACAGATGGAGAAACTGGAGCCCAGAGGGGAAGAGAGAGTTGCTCAAGGTCACACAGCAAGTGAGTGGCACAGTGAAGGCAGGAACTTCCAGTTCTGGGGCTCTTGCTGCTGCAGGTGGTGCCTGGGGGCCAGTTAGACGAGCGTGGGCTGAGCAGAACGCCCACTGGTGTCTTTGAGTTGGGATCTGTGGTAGAGCCCTGCCTAGAGGAACTCTGTGGGAGATGAGGCTGGAAAGGACGGAAATTCCATGACTTTAAAGGACCAGACAGGCTGCAGAACAGCTCCCTGACTGAGTTGCCCCTGAACACTGATGGGGTTGGCAGTGGTCAGGGAAGACAAAGGGAGCAGACCAGAGGCAGAGAGAGGGACTAGCTCCCTGGCTTCCCATGGGGATGGGTGTGGCAGGGAAGTATACAAGGGAAGATCCGTCAAATGGGGGTCCCTCTGAGGTCTGGAGTGTCTAGCCAGTTATTCCTTCTCTCTGAGTTTCTACATCCAAGCTGTTACTAGACCTCTTGATGCTACCTTCTGATTGTGTAGAAACCATCTGCTTCTCTCTGGTTCAACTGACCCCATCCTAATCCCAGATCCCAGTCGCTGTCATCTCATGCCCATGCCTGGCTGCCAGCAACAGTGTTTCAAATGGTGTCTGCACTTCCATTCTTGCTCTCCAACCTCAGCCTTGATCCAGTCTCTACATAGCAACCTGGGTGCTTTTTTCTTTTTTTCTGATGGAATCTCTCTCTGTCCCCTAGGCTGGAGTGCAGTGGTGCCACCTCAGCTCACTGCAACCTCCGCCTCCTGGGTTCAAGCAATTCTCTTGCCTCAACCTAGGTGCGCGCCACCACCCCTGGCTAATTTTTTGTACTTTTAGTAGAGATGGGTTTTCACCATTTTGGCCAAGCTGGTCTCAAACTCCTGACCTTAGGTGATCCGCCCGCCTAGGCCTCCCAAAGTGCTGGGATTACAGGCGTGAGTTGCCGCGCCTGGCTTGGGTGCTTAAAAACCCACATCAGCTGTGTCCTCACTAAAATGTTCAACGGCTCTCCATTGCCTTCAAGATAAAATGCAAACTGTGGCTTCTCAGCACCTCTCCATGGGCAATCTCCCTACCGCACTCCAGGCACGCAGATTTCTCCTTTCAGCTCCTTCTTACCTCTGAGCCTTTGCACATCACATGCTATTCCATCTGCCTGGAACTCTTCTTTTCCCTCTTCACCTGGCTGAATTCTGACATGCCTTCAAATTTCAGCTCAATGCCCCTTCCTGTCCTTTAAGAAATGTTTTCTAGTACTTTCCTTAAGACTTGACTGGGTCAGCTGGGCGTGGTGGCTCACGCCTGTAATCCCAGCACTTTGGGAGGCCGAGGCGGGCGGATCACAAGGTCAGGAGATTGAGACCATCCTGGCTAACACGGTGAAACCCCGTCTCTACTAAAAATACACAAAATTAGCAGGGCGTGGCGGCGGGCACCTGTAGTCCCAGCTACTCGGGAGGCTGAGGTGGGAGAATGGTGTGAACCCGGGAGGCGGAGCTTGCAGTGAGCCGAGACTGTGCCACTGCACTCCAGCCTGGGCGACAGAGCGAGACTCCACCTCAAAAAAAAAAAAAAAAAAAAGACTGGACTGGGTCACCTGCTACCCGACAGCACCACCTCCCTGGGAGTTGAGGAAATGAGGAAGCTGAGATGCAGAGAAGGAAGAGACTCTTCCAAAGTCACATGGCTAGTAAATGGCAGAGCTGGATTAAATTCAGCTCGACAAATGTGTATGGCACACTTACTATGGGCCAGGCCCTGTACCAGACCCTGTGGTTACAATGGCAAATCAGACCAAGTACCCTGTCCCAGAGGAGCTCTCAGACTGGCAGAGGAGACAGACTGGAAAAAGGGGTGAGGACGGGGCCTGAGGGACTCTGGACCTAATCTCAGTGTCTTGGTCCATTTTTACACTGCTATAAAGAAATGCCTGAGACTGGGTAATTTATAAAGAAAAGAGGTTCTGCAGTCTGTACAGGAAGCACAGCAGCTTCTGCCTCTGGGGAGGCCTCAGGAAACTTACAATCATGGTGGAAGGCGAAGGTGGAGCAGGCATTTCTTATGGTTGGAGCAGGAGGAAGAGAGAGAGAGGGGAGGTGCCGCACACTCCTTCCTTCCTTCCTTCCTTCCTTCCTTCCTTCCTTCCTTCCTTCCTTCCTTCCTCTCTCCCTCCCTCCCTTCCTCCCCCTCCCTCCCTCCCTCCCCCACCCTCCCTCCCTCCCTCTCTCTCTCTCTTTCTCTCTTTCTTTCTTTTCTTTCTGATGGAATTTTGCTCTTGTTGCCCAGGCTAGAGTGCAATGGTGCGATCTCGGCTCATGGCAACTTCTGCCTCCCGGGTTCAAGTGATTCTCCTGTCTCAGCCTCCTGAGTAGCTGGGATTACAGGCATGTGCCACCACACCCAGCTAATTTTTGTATTTTTAGTAGAGATGAGGTTTCTCCATGTTGGTCAGGCTGGTCACCAACTCCTGACCTCAGGTGATCTGCCTGCCTCGGCCTCCCAAAGTGCTGGGATTACAGGCATAAGCCACTGTGTCCGGCCGACTGTGCCACACACATTTAAACGACCAGATCTTGTGAGAACTCTATCACCAGAACAGCACCAAAGGGATGGTGCTACACCATTCATGAAGGACCCACCCCCATGATCAGTCACCTCCCACCAGGCTCTACCTCCAACACTGGGAATTATAATCGAACATGAGATTTGGGTGGGGACACAGATGCAAACCATATCACTCAGGGAGGCAGGGAAAGCTCCAGGAGGGGGCGAAGTCTGCACTGAGACTTGGTGAAAAGATGTCCAAGCACGTATGTGACAATTCATTTATGAATTGAATGAATGAATGAATATGCACATTTTCATCTTTGGGGATGTAGATGTCAGGGGTGTGTGCATGTGTGGAAGTAGGTGTTTGAGTGAACTGATATCTACTTGTGTGCATATGAGTGTCGTTTTGCACACAAAAATATGCTGTGTATATAGACATGCATGTAAACAGGTGCATTGATGTGAGTGTATGTATGCGAGTCCAAAAACGGATTTGCATTGTATATCCAAGTATATAGAGGTAGTGGAATGAGTCTGCCTGTTCAACTTTTGCCTCTATCACTTATATGTTCTGGGCAAGCTAACCTCTTGGTCAGTTTCTGCATCATTAAAATAAGGAAAATGGTAGTATCTCCCTGCCTTAGGTTGGGTTGCTGGGAAGCAGGGCCCGAGACAAGCATTCTTACTCAAGCAATTTATTGTGGGAGAAACTGCAAGCCAGTGTGGGAAACAGGGTAGAACTGGAGGAAAAGCTCAAAGCTGAGATGTGGGGTCAGCTGGTGTCTAGTCTCAGCCTGATCCCATGGGGAGCTCTGAATCATAAATAGCTTCGCAGAGGTGGCCACCATAAGAGAAGGAGGCCAGCCCTTGCCAGCCATTAATTGGCCGTGTGTTCCTAGCCCTCACCTGGAGGAAGAAGTATCTCCTAGGCATTTCCAGAGAAGGGGACAGGAGCACCAAGGCCTTTACTAGGCCACGCTTTTGCTGCCCTTGCTTGTCAAATGAGTTCTCAGGGACAGCAGTATCAGTCTCCCCTGGGAGCTTGTTAGAAATGTCAGTCGGGGCGGTGGCTCACGCCAAAAATCCTAGCACTTTGGGAGGCTGAGCTGGGCAGATTACCTGAGGTCAGGAGTCTGAGACCAGCCTGGCAACATGGTGAAACGCCATCTCTACTAAAAATACAAAAATTAGCTGGGCGCGGTGGCACACACCTGTAATCTCAGCTATTCAGGAGGCGGAGGCAGAATTGCTTGAGCCTCGGAGACAGAGGTTGCAGTGAGCCGAGATTGCACCACAGCACTCTAGCCTGGCCGACAGAGAGAGACTCTGTCTCAAAAAGAAAAAAAAAAAAAAGAAAGAAAGAAATACGGAATCACAGGCCTTCCCCAAGATCTGCTGATTTAGACCCTGTGCTCCAGCATGATCCCCAGGCCCAGGCACCTTAACATTTGAGAAGCCCTGTGTTAAACCACTCACAGGCTTGCTGTGAGGATGAAGCCACATAGAGCACTCAGAGCAGCATCCGGCCCACAGCGGGTGCTATTATTATTATTTGCGCCTAGGAGTGTTGTGCATGTTTCCTCACCCAGATACCTAATATGCATAAATAAACTCGTGCAAGGAGGACCGGTTGGAAAATTGGCAGGATCCATTGCAAAATGAAAATGTGGGCTTCTTGTTCAAAAATTAGAAAGCAGAGTCTTAAACCAAGAAGGGACCCTTCTGAGCTGGAGGCCTTGGTGACCAGCAGGTTTCTTTTCTTCGGTGACTTGGCCCCTCTTTATGGCTTTACAGGTGAGAAAACCTAGGGGAAGGGTGCCAGAGCTGAGTGTTGGACTCAAGTCTCCCGTCTCTGGGGGGACCTGTCCCCACCTCACTCGGACATGCACACTTACTTCCTGGCCCTGCACTCCTGCCTTAGTGCCAACTTTGGGGAATTGTTGAGAATTCGAAGCTGAGAAATGTTCTCTTGTATTTGCACATTGCAAAGAGACATCTGAGCATGTTCCCCCATGAATCGTGAGTATCCATTCCCAGGGAGCTCTAACTGCTCGGGAGAAGGGGTGTGAAATTTAATTTGCACTAATTATCCTGAAGTGAGAGGAGCGGGAAATGAGCTGGCTCTGCACATTCGGCCTCTTCCAGCGGCTCCCTGTTCCCCAGGTTGCAGTTTGTTTGTGTGAAAGGGGTGGGGGTGGGGTGGGGGTGCTGTTTCTATGGCAACTGCAGCTGCTGGGATTTTGGGGTGGCTGGGCAGGGAGGGAGAAGGGAAAGGCTGGGGCAGAGCCGGGTGGTGTGTGTCCTTGTGGTTGTGGGGCGGGGGGCATCTGGAAGCCCCTACTGACTCTGATGGGTGAGAGGAGGTGGAGAGGAGACGGATGGAGTTCTTCCCAGCCCCTTTTCAGCTGGGAGAGGGCTTTGACCAGGAGATGGACCTTCCGAATCAGCAATTCCCTGGAGCAGGGATGTCCCTCTCAGGCCCCCAGGGCTAGGCCAGCTGGAGGGCAGAAACCCAGGGTGGCAACTGTCAGAGGGAGCACCAGAGAGGAGAAGGGACTCCAGGGCCCAGGACAAAGTGCCCCACTTGCCTCCTCTTGCTCCTCTCCCCCTCCCTTTCTCAGCTCCACCTTTCTCTTCCCATCTCTTATCCTCTCTCCCCTTCCTCACCTCCTCCCTCCCGCAACCTATTCCCTTTCCCCTTCCTTGCCCTCCCCACAGACTCTTCCTGCCACCACTAGAGGGCGCTGGGGCGCCACGGTCTCCCTGGGAGGGATTTAGCAGCCTAAGACCCTCCATGGGCACCTCACCGGGGGTGGGTGGGCAGAAGCAGGAGGCCCTATAGCAACTGGGTCGTCTGCAGAGCGGGGCTGATTCTAGCCTGTTTGGAGCCTGGGGCAGGTCTGGGCTGTCCCCAAGGACTGAGGATGGATGGCACGACCACCTTCTCCTAACAGCCTTCAGGGGAAGGGGATTTGATGGGGAGGGTGCTTCTGTGGGACCTGAATTTGCATCCCAACCCTCACACCTAGTGTGACCTTGAGCAGGTCACCTCACCTCTCCAAGCTTGTCTTCTCTTTTGTGAAAGGGGGGTAACCACTCCCTGCTCAGAGGCTGTTGTGAGGACTGGATGGAATCACGTACAGGAACTGATCGCAACGCTCAAGGGGGAGCATATCTTGGCCTTAGAAGTGAATCAGTCAGTCAACAAATGTTTATTGGGCACCTCCAATGTGCTAGGGGCTCTGCTAGGCACTGGGGATGGCGGGGATCAAGGTGGAGGAGGGCTTAGCATCATGGATCTTTCAACCTAACAGGGATGAAATTATTATATAAAAGAGAAAAATAATTTAGAAATTAGCAGCAAATTCTTGTTTTTGAGATGGGGTCTTGCTGTGTCGCCCAAGCTAGAGTGCAGTGGCGTGATCACGGCTCCCTGCAACCTCGACCTCCCAGGCTGAAGCGATCCTCCCACCTCAGCCCCCCGAGTAGCTGAGATGACAGGCTCACACCACCATGTCCAGCTAATTTTCTATGTTTGGTAGAGATGGGGTCTCACTATATTGCCTAGACTGGTCTTGAACTCCTGAGCTTAAGCAGTCCTCCCACCTTGGCCTCCCAAAGTATTGAGATAATAGACATGAGCCACTTTGCCTAGCCTGTAAATTCTTAAGTAGTTGCTAATATGTGGACTGTGTTACAAAAGAGAAGTTCTGGGTGCAGACCAGGGGATCGTCTTGGTCTGATATTTAAGCTGCAGCTGAAGGGTGAATAGGTTCCTTCTTTCCCACGAGAGAGGCAAGAGGGAAGGGCTTCCAGGCTGAACGAAGGGCAGATGCAAAGCCAGGGTGGAGGGAGGGAGAATAGGATGGATCCCAGGCCCCAGGGGTTTTGTGGAGGGTTGAGAGTGAAGGAACAGGGTGTGAGATAAACTGGGGAGTACTCGGGCAGGGGCCAGGCTGCCTGGAGGATATGGGAGCGTGTATGGCTCTGGAGCTGTGGCACTGCAAAGTGGAAGGCCCAGCTGCCTTTTTGTGACAGACGGAGGAGGCGTTTTCAAAGTGATGACAATGTTTCTGAACAGGAAAGTGGGTCTCTTCTTCTTCCCCAACAGTCTTAGAGCATCTAAAAATAAAGCAGGCATCAAGAGAGCATCCCAGCAGTGCCATCACAACACAGGGCTCGAATGTGGACAGGAGGAGGACCTAAGTGGACCCGGAGGCTGAGCTGGCCTCGCAGCACTGGTGGTGGGGGAGGGCTGATGGTCAGGACTCTGGGTCTTTGGCACTGCTGCCTAGGCCGTGGCCCTCAGTCTGCCCATCTGTGAAATGAGGGGGAGCTGGTCCTGACTGCCTCCCAGGGACCCTGTGAAAAGCCGCTCTGAACTCCTTGCCAGAGAGGAGGTTTGCCGGTGCCACAATCCAGGTCTGTGGGTTTCCCTATCAAGCTGGTCTTTCTGTAATAAGCAGGGAGACAAAGGATTTTGGGGTCCCCACTATGATGTAAACCCTGTGCTGGGTGGGGTAGGGGTTCAGAAGCAGAAGTTGTGTTTTCAGCCTCAGGGAGCTCTAGTGGAGAGACAAGATTCGTGCATGAAATAATTACGACTGTTGTAGAAAAAAGAAAAGCCTGTAGGTCTCCCTTCCTCCCTCCTTCTCTCTGTCTACCTCAGCATTTCTGGGGTTCACTCTGCTCTGGGTACTGTGTAAAGGACTCCACAGCCATCAACTTCCCTTCATCCTTGCCGTGTCTTTGAAAGGTGAGTATTTTAAAATATATATTTATTTTTCTTTATTTTTATAGAGACAGGGTCTTGCTGTGTTGGCCAGGCTGATCTCAAATTCCCATCTCAGCCTCCCAAAGTGCTGGGATTATAGGTGTGAGCCACTGGGCCCAGCCTGGAAGGGGAGTATTCTTGTCCCCACTTTACAGATGAAAAAACTGAGGTTCAGAAAAGTTGAGTGACTGTCCCAAGGTCATGTAGTTACTAAATGTCAGACCTAGAATTAGATAGACCCCAAGTCTGCCTATCTGAATCCAAACCTAATGATATATGTGAACCCATGATTGCCTTTCCCAGGGGTCGTTGAGGTACCTGTGTGTTGTGGAAAGAGAGTGGGAGAGGGAGAGGAAGAGATATTCTAAGATTCTTTTAAAATATAAAGATTCTGGGGAAGTGAGGGCCCAGCAGTCACTCTTTTTTTTTTGAGACGGAGTCTTGCTCTGTTGCCCAGGCTGGAGTGCAGTGGCGTGATCTCAGCTCACTGCAACCTCCACCTTCTGGGTTCAAGCGATTCTCCTGCCTCAGCCCCCCTGAGTAGCTGGGATCACAGGTGCCCACCACTGCGCTTGGCTAATTTTTTTTTTTTTTTTTGAGACAGACTCTCACTCTGTCGCCCAGGGTGGAGTGCAGTGGTGTGATCTCGGCTCACTGCAACCTCTACCTTCCAGGTTCAAGCGATTCTCCTGCCACAACCTCTTGAGTAGCTGGGATTACAGGGGTGTGCCACCACGCCCGGCTAATTTTTTGTATTTTTAGTAGAGACGGGGTTTCACCATGTTGGCCAGGCTGGTCTCAAGCTACTGACCTCAAGTGATCCACCCGCCTCAACCTCCCAAAGTGCTGGGATTACAGGCATGAGCCACCAGCGGTCACTCTTTAGTGCTAATTTGTAGTTTTCCTGGTGCTGGGCTTGGGTGTATAAGGAGAAAGTAATGACGCGACATGTGTGACTACGAAGAGAACAGGGGGCGTCCAGGTTGGGGGTGTGGCAGTGAGAAGCAGGAGGGCACTGGCACTAACAGGAGGAAGAGGCAGGGAAGGCGGCATGCAGAACGCTTTGGCTGGAGAGCTGGCTTGGTGGCGAATTCGCTCGCTGTGTGACCCCGAGCAACTCTTTTCTGTTTGAGGTTTTCATCTCCCATCTGTGCGATAAGAATAGTGGACTAGATGGTGGCTAAGGTCCCTTCCAGATTAAAAAGTCACTGCTGACTCTCACCTGGAGTTTGGTGTGGGGTGGCCCTAACTGGCATCAGAGGTCCAAGGGTAGTCTTGAAGTCTGGTTCTACATCTGAATGGCCCCAAAAGCAGAGGAGCAGTGACGGACGATATCCTCTAGTGATGTGGAACGCTGTGGGGCTGGACCTGCCTGTTTTGAGCCACTGCTTGCAGCTCCCATGGAGCCTGTGGAGTCATTTCTCCAAGTTAGAGCCTTCATTGTCTCGTGATTAACTTGGGCTTCTCACTATGACTCACATCCTGGAATGAGCTGAGCTCAAACATGGTTTCTATTGCTCAGAGAAGGGGCTCCCCTTTCTCAAGTCCCTTCCCTGCCTCCTCTGCACTGGAAAGCTCTGTAGTGAATAGAGTGCTGGACTGGGGGATGGCCAGACTTGGGATCTTAACCTGGATCTTTTTAGCTTTGTGGCTCCAGGCAAGCTGCTAAACCTCCCTGAGCCTCAGTTTCCTCATCTGTAGCACGGGGATCAATACACCTGCCTCCCAGGGTCCTTGAGATGATTACAAGAGGATGTCTGTGGAGGTGCCTGGTACACAGTAGGTGTTCATTGTAGGCCAGCGGATTTTAGATCAGTTGACAGTTTCCCCAGCAGTGGGCCTGTTTCCTCTAGACCACTGTGTACTCTGAATAATTCTCCTTTAAGCAGAGGCCCAGATTTTCAAGGCAGTGGGTAGGATCAGGCAAGATCTACAGCCTTGGAATAACCCCATAGCCCCACCTGTTCCCTCTCTTTGGGGCCAGAACCTGGCTGGCCCTCGGCCAAATGTATAAGCTTTCAGTTCTGCAAGAGCAAATTTAAGGTACCTGGCCAGCTACCCTCCTTACAGCCTCCAAGCTCTGCAATGGGGTGGCTCAGAACCTAAGACTAAAGGTTTTATTTATAAATCCAAAAGTTTTAATCTTTATCAAAAAGGCATACACACACGGTTTAAATAATAACACAGTTCTACGAGGTTTATTATAAAATTAACTCACTCTCATTTCCCCCACCCCAGAGAGGAAACCACTTTGACTTCTTTTAGCTGATTATTTTGACATTTGTATTCATGTTTCTAAATGACATGCTTGTTTCACTGCTTCTTGAATTTTCTTTTTTTTTGGTTAGTTAATTAACTTATTTTGTGTCAGCTTTATTGAGATATAATTCACATATCATACAATTCACCCATTTAACAGGTACAATTCAGTGGGTGTTAGTATATCCACAGAGTTATTTAACCATCACTACATCAATTTTAGAGCATTTTCATCACCTCAAAAAGAAAGCCTGTGCCCTTCAGCTATTATCTCCTGCCTTTGTCCCCATCCCTTGGCACCTGCTAATCTACTTTCTGTCTCGATAGACTTGCCTATTCTGGACATTGAATGTAAACAGATCATATAGTACATGGTCTTTTGTGACTGGCTGCTTTCACTTAGCACAGTTTTCTCAAGGTTTATCTAAGTTATAGTACATATTAGTTCTTTATTCATTTTCATGGCTGAATAATATTCCATTGTCTGGATATACCACCATTTGTTTATCCATTCATCAGTTGATGGACGTTTGGGTTGTTTCTACCTTTTGGTTAGTGTGAATGATGCTGCTGTGAACATTTGTGTGCAAGTTTTTGTGTGGACATATGCTTTTATTTCTCTTGGGTATGCTGGGTTATGGAGTAACTTTATGTTTAACCTTTTGAGGAACTGCCAGGCATTTTCTACAATGGTTGCACCATTTTCCATTCCCACCAGCAATATATGAGGGTTCCAGTTTCTCCACATCCTTACCAACAGTGAAGTTATTCTGACTTTTCGATTATAGCCATCCTAGTGAGTGTGAAATGGTATCTAATGTGGTTTTGATTTGATGGCTAATGATGCTGATTATATTTTCATGTATTTTTAGCCATAGGTACATCTTCTTTGGAGAAATGTCTATCCAGGTCCTTTGCCCATTTTTAATTTGGATTACTTGGCTTTTTATTATGACTTGTAAGAGTTCCTTCTATATACAAGTCCCCTGTCAGACATATGATTTGCAAACATTTTCTCCTATTTTGTGGGTTTTCTTTTCACTATCTCAATTGTATCTTTGGAAGCACAAAAGTTTTAAATTTTGATGAAGTTCAACTTATCTATTTTTTTCTTTTGTTGCTTGTGCTTTTGGTGTCACATACAAGAACCCATGGCCAAATCCAAGGTCATGAAGATTTATCGCTCTGTTTTCTTCTAAGAGCTTTATAATTTTGGCTCTTACATTTAGATCTTTGATCCATTTTGAGTTAACTTTTTGTGTATGGTGTAAGTTAAGGGTCAAACGTGATTCTTTTTCATGAGGCTATCCAGTTCCCCAGCATCATTTATTGATGAGACTATTCTTTCTCCATTGAATGGTCTTGGCATCCTTGTCAAAAATCAAATGACCATAGCTGTATGGCTTTATTTCTGGACCCTTAATTCTATTCCATTGACCTATGTGTCTGTCCTTATGCCAGTACTACACTGTTTTGACTTTTATAGCTTTGTATTAAGTTTTAAAATTGGGAAATGTGATTCCTCAAATTTTGTTTTTCTTTTTCAAGATTGTTTTGACTATTTGGTGTTCCTTGCAATTATATATAAATTTTGGGATTGGAATTTTCATTTCTACAAAAAATGCCATTGGGATTGCATTGATAGGCATTGCATTGAATCTATAGGTCAGTGTGGGGAGTATGCTTATATCAACAATATGAGTTTGGTAATCCATGAACATAGGACATCTTTTGACTTATTTAGGTCCTCTTTTTTTGAGACAGGGTCTCACTTTGTTGTCCAGGCTGGAGTGCAGTGGTGCAATCACAGCTCACTGCAGCCTTGACTTCCCAGGTTCAAGTGATTCTCCTACCTCAGCTTCCAGAGTAACAGAGACTACAGGCATGCACCACTATGTTGGCTACATTTTTGTATTTTTTACGTAGAGATGTGGTTTCACCATGTTTCCCAGGCTGGTCTTGTACTCCTGGGCTCAAGTGTTCCACCTGCCTTTGCCTCCCAAAGTGCTGGGATTACAGGTGTGTACCACTGTGCCTGGTCTATTTAGGTCTTATTTAATTTTTTTCAACAACATTTTGCGCTTTTTAAAGTATAAGTTTCATACTTCTTTAGTTAACCTTTTCCTAAATGTTTTATTCTTTTTGGTGCTAATGCCAGTGGAACTGTTTTCTTAATTTCATTTTCAAATTGTTTACTGCAAATGTAAAGAAATACAATTGATTTTTGTATATTATCTTTTTCGTTTACTCTTGCTGAACTTGTTCATTAGTTTTAATAGGTTTTAATGGATTCTGATCCCTTAGGATTTTCTATGTACATGATCATGTCATTCTTTGATAACTATATCTTACTTCTTCCTTTCTTTTTCTTGCCTAAGTTCCCTGGCTCGTGGTGAGCATGGATAGTCTTGTCTTGTCCCTGATCTTAGGGGAAAAGCATCCAGTATTTCACCACTGAGTATGTTAGCTGTGGGTTTTTCATAGATGCCCATTATTAGGTTGAGGAGGTTCCCTAATACTCCTAATTTGTTGAGTGTTTTTAGCACTAAAGAGTGTTGGATTCTGTCAAATTCTTTTTCTGTGTTTATTGAGATAATAATGTAATTTAAAAAATCTATCGATATGGCATATTACATCAATTTATTTTCACATGTTAAACCAAATTTGCATTCCCGGGATAAATCCCACTTGGTCATGGTATATAATTCTTTGAATATGTTGCTAGATTTGGTTTGCTAGCATTTTGTTGAGGATTTTGCATCTATATTCATAAGATATATAGTTTTTTGTGATATGTTTGTCTGGATTTGGTATGAGATTAATACTGGGAATGTCTTTATTTCTCCTTCCTTTTGGTGAGAAGTTTTTAAGGATATAGTATTCTTGGTTGGGAGTTATCTTTAAGTACTTTGAATATGTTATCCCACTGCCTCTGGCCTCCACTGTTTCTAATAAGAAGTCAGCTGTTAATCTTATTTGGCTCCCTTGCAAGTGATGATTCTTGTTTTTTTTTTTTTTTTTTCTCTTGCCGCTTTTGAGATTCTTTTCTTCTTTTTAGTTTTCAGCATTTTTACTACTTTGCATTAATTCTACTTGGAGCTTTTTTGAGTTTTATAAATCTGTACATTAAAGTTTTAAAAAATCAAGTCACAAAGTTTTTTTGACATTATTTCTTTGAACCTTTCCTCGTGCTTTTCTTTGTCTCTTCTCTTTCTGGCACTCCCATTATGCATATGTTGATGCACTTAATGATGTTCCACACTTCTTTGAGACTCTGCCCATTTTTTTCATTCTTTTCTTCTGTTTCTGTTCTTTAGATTACATAATCTCTGTCAATCTACCTTCAAGTTTGCTAATTTTTATTTTGCCAGTTCAAATCTACTGTCGAGCCCTTTCAGTGAATTTTTCATTACAGTTATTGTACTTTTCAGCTCCAGAATTTCCATTTCAGAAAAATAATTTTCGTCCCTTTATTTGTATTCTTTATTTGATGAGGCATTATTACCATACCTTCCTTTACTTCTTTAAGCATGGTTTTCTTCAGCTCTTTGAAAATATTTATAATGACTACTTTGAATTCTTTCTCTATTACATCTGACATATGGTCATCCTCACAGGCAGCTTCTGTTGCCTAATTTTTTTTCATGTGTGTCAAACTTTCTTGCTTCTATGCATGCCTCATAATTTATTCATTGGAAATTGGACACTTAAAATAATATATTGTAGCAATTCTGACCTCCTTTGCAGGTGTAGTTTTTGAGGTCATTGTTTGAGATCTGCTCTGACCCCAGGAGGGCTCTTGTTAGCTCTCTCATTCTCTAGTTCTTTCTGGCAAACTAGTCAGTGGTCTAGCTTATATCTCAAATGGATGGATCTACCAGTCTCCTCTGAATTGTTTTCACCACAACCTCTATTGTTTTTGAGAGTGCCCTTAGACTTTAACTTCCCCACATGCTGTTGCAAATGAAGTCAGTTCTTTTAGACAAGCTTCAGAACTCTCTGTTTCATGGTCTGTCTCTCCCCATGGGTGAAATATCTGGAGCTAGGGATGGGGACAGTGGCATGCTTTTCTCTCAGTAAGACCCTTACTTTAGGAGTTGGGTGCTTGCTGAAGTGGGGGCTGGCTGTAACCTCTGGTCTTCTCAGCTTGCCTCTCCTGGTGTGGAACCTCTGCTTTATGAATGAGCCAGGGTGAGAGTAGTTGGGGACCTAGGATTTGTCAGCTTGCCACACCCAAGTTAGAGTGGCCATCTCACTGGTGAGGGCTGGGAAGAAGAAGGGATCCCCTATCTCTCAGCTATACTCACCTAAAACTTAGCATCTGCAACAGTAAGCTTGGACAGGATGAGAAATGCTTATGTCCTGTTCTTCCTGAGAAGATACTGTAGGCTTCCAACTTGGAGTTAAGGGGAGAAGGAGCCCCGTGTTATGGGCTGCACCTATCTGCAGTGGAGTTTTTATAGTGCTGTGATGGGATGAGAGAGGGAGAGAGTGGATCATGGTTCAAATGTCACAGACTCTTGCTATTCTTATGGAGTTTTCATACGTTTTCCTGAACAAACATTTCTTTATTTGCTGTATGCTCTTAGGACCATTTCCAGGGGCTTTAAATAGTGTTTTAAAAATAATTTCCAGCAGTTTCACAAGGGAACAAATCTGCAGAGAGCCTCACATTTCCATGACAGAAGCGGAACTCTAGCTGTTTGACTTTGCACTGGGGAAGATGATGATTTAGCTCTCTTTGCTCTCCTTCCCAGTCCTTAACTTGCTCTCTCCATTCTCCTATCCTCCCAGTAATGCTATGATTTCTTTTTTTTTCTCTGTGCAAGTTTTTGTTTTCCCTGGAGTTACTAGTTGCCTTTTTAAAAAGATATATTTGTTTGCTTGTACTTGTAACAAATTAAGTATGCCAAACTCCTGACCAATAGTGTACATTTTCTCTCAAGACAATTAGATGCATCAGGTTTTTTATCAATTTCATCCTCCTGATGAAATCTTCCAGAGCCTTGTGACCTGCTTAAGGCTGGACTGGTTGCTTTTTACACCTAGCACACAGGTGTCATCCTAGGCTCTCTCTTTACTGTCAACCTGGAGGGTTCCTCCGTCTCTCTTTTGTGTTGGATGTTCAGTTTCCAGTATCTCATATTTTCCTCTTTCTTGTTTTATTCCCTTGTTTTGGTGGAGCATATCCTCCAGTACTTCCTGCGAAAAGATACGTGGAATGTTGGTTTTTTGAGACTTTGCACATCTGAAAATGTCTTTCTTCTATCCCTATCCTTGATTGGCTTTTAGGCTAGGTATAGAATTCTCGCCTGGAAATTATTTTCCATCAGAATTTGAAGGCTTTACTCTATTACCTTCTGGCTATCAGTATTGCCTTCAGAAGGAAGCTGTTCTGTATTCCTAATCTTTTAAATGTGGAAGTAGAGAATCTTCTCTTAGTTTCCAGGGTAGTGACAATTCACAATAATATGCCTTGGTGTGTCTATTTAATAATGAAAATAGACAATAATGTGTCTGTTTTCACTTACTGTGCTGGGCCCTCTGTGAGTTCTTGAAATCTAGAAAGCTGTTCGTTGGGTCTGTGAAATTTTCTTGAATGATTTTATTGATGATTCCCTCCACTCTACTTTTTAAAAATTCTTTTTAGAAGATGAAACTCCTGGACAAATCCTAATTTAAAAACACTTCTCTTCCATTTTCTGCATCTGTCACTCTAGAAGAGCTCAACCCTGTCTTCCAACTTTCCCTTTTTAATTTCTGCCATTGTATTTTCATTTTTAAAAGCTCTTTTATTTTGTTCTCTTCCTATTTTTTTATGAGAATCCTATTTCAATTTCATGCATGTCTTTTGTTGTCTCTCTGATGATATTAAGGAGGTTTTCTCCCCCCTCTCCTTGCTATTCTCTGTTATCCTCAAGTTGGTGTTTTCTCTGTGTTTTGTTCTTTATCTTTCAGATTAGAGGCTTTCTTCTGATGTCTAGTAAACCTCAGTTATCTTGCATGTATTTTAAAATAGGAAAGCATAAGCTGATTAGAAGCTCTGAGTACATGAGTGGGTCTTGTGGGCTGTGGGCTTCCTTGTAGGATGGTGTGACTGGGCTGTTTAATTGGAGAAACTTCCATGTTGATATCTCTAGGGTTTCTCTAGGTATAATATTTTCTCCTTGGTCCATCATGCTCCCCAGAGAAGACTCTTCCAATTGTCTGTCTGGAGGGTATAAGTCTGGCTGTCAGTGTCCCAAGAGCAGAGTGGTTTGTCATGGTTGGGGTCTTGGCATCCAGACTGCTCATTTTCATGGAAACTCTGTGTCATCAATAGAGTGCCACTGCATGCACTGAGCCCGGTGTCCCCCAGTCTAGAGGTGTCTAGTCTGGGACAATGACAGCTTCTGAAACAGCCTTTCAAAGGCTCCTCTTTGTTGTAACTTCTCCTTCACCTCAGCTTCCAGAGGTAACTGGTGCTGCCAAACCCTGAGCCTTTGGGGGACTTTTTTTTTCTGATGCATTTTTCTCAATCATTCGTTTATTTTCCAGCTCCTGAAATTTCATTGTTATTGTCCCCTCTCCTGTTCTCCCATCCTGTGGGTTCATTCCCTCAGACATTTAAAGAAATCTCATCACTGTTATTGGAGCACCCAAGGGATGACTTTAGCATTGCAGTGGCTGTGCGTGTCCAAGCTGCCATCTTTATGTGGACGTCCTCTCTTCTCACTGACTTCCCCATCCCAGCATGGCAGCTCCATGCTTCCAGTTGCTCAGGTCAAAACTCTGGTGCCATCCTTGACTCTTCTCTTTCTTTTATACCTCACATTCAATCGCTCAGCAAATGTAGTGAGCTCTACCTTCAAAATCTATTCAGAATTCACCACTTCCACTGTGACCACTCAGGACCAAGCCTCCACTGTCTCTCACCTGGACGTCGCAATAGCCTCCTCACTCACTGACCTCCCTCTTTCTCTCTTTGTATTTAGCACAGCAGCATGTTCTATCTGTCATACTCTGTCACTCCTCTTCCTAAAGCTCCCCTGTGGCTCCCGTTTTACTCTGAATGAGAGTCCAAATCCCAGTGAAGACCAAGGCCTGTGTGATCCAGCTCTACCACCTTCCCAGACACACTGGCCTTCTGGCCACCTCATTGCACACAGGCAAGATTCCCCACTCTCCTCTTTAAATGGGACACTCTTCCTCCAGGTATCTTTGGGGCTCAATTCCTCGTCTCCTTCAGGACACTTGTGATGCATCCTTGACCCTTCCATCTAAAAGTAAAGCCTTCCTCACTCTGGGGCCCCCCTACCTTCCTTATCCTAGTTCATTTTTCTCTGTAGCAACTATGGGCATTAGACATATATTTTGTTCTCTGTGGTATCCTCAGCACCTAGAATAGTGCTTGGCACGCACATAGTAGGTGCTCAACAAATATGTGTTGCCTGCAGGCATGAATGAATGATTGCTTGACCTTGGTCCAGGTTCTGGAACTGACCTGGTTGCAGCCAGGAGCTCTGGATCTACCAGCCCTCCCCTTAATTAATTAATTAATCCATGTTTCCATCCATGCATTATTATTGTTGTCTTGAGGATTAAGATTGCACAGCTAGAAAGTGGGAGAGGGGGGATTTGGCCTTGGCTTCTCTGACTCCAAAGCCCTGGCTGCTGCCCAGGATGCTAAAAGAAGGACCTTTCCAAGGCCCAAGGAATAAGACCCAGTTCCCTGACTTGGGGTCAGAAGTTAGAACAGAACCTGGACTCAGGTGGCCCTTGCTCCTAAGGTTCCCCTTGCTGGAAGAGCAGTCCCTTGAGAAAGTCCTGCAAGGTCCAGCTCCAGGATGCACCTCAGGGCAGTTCCCCAGGACCAGGGCACAGTCAGCTGCTGCTTGCATGCTGTGTCAGAGTCGTGAGTGTCCTTCCATCAGGGACACTTCTATCAATCAGGTTTCCATCAGGTTTCTTGCAAATGGCCGCTGCTCTCTGTCCACCTTTAACTGTGAACTTTTCCAGGACAGGGACTGTATCTTGTTCAGCTCAGTGTCCCAAGAGCCCATGCAAGGCCTGCAGCCCGGGAGGCCCTAGAGGAGCAGATGTTACAGGCCAGGGGAGTGGCTTGTGTGTGGGCTTGAATGGGGAATCAAGCTCTGCCATCCACCAGCTGCGGGACCTGCAGAAGCTCCTCCATGCTGTGGGTCTCAATCTGCTTATCTAAATAATGGAGAGAAAAACAGTCCCCCTTTCCATGAGGACACAATGAGTTAATGGGTGTGACCATTTGCACAGTGCCCGGTGCAGAGTAGGCATGCAACAAAAATGGCTGTGACCCTGAGCCAGGCCTCCCCAGCCCTGGCCCACTCCCTCTGTGCTCCCCCAGCAGTGGGTGCTTCCGTTTGACTTCCTTCTATTGCCCTGGGCAGCTGGATAATGAGTTCCTGGTCCACCAGCTTAGTCCTCTGCCATTAAGGGACTGGCCTATCTGCGCTCAGTGTTGGCCTCTAAACAGCCTGGCCTTGACACATCGTGTCCTTGCCTGCTGGCCAAGCTGGGGACAGTCATCACTGGGGCAACTGAGGCCTCCTTGGTGCAAACACGGGGCAGTAGGCATCAAGTGAAGAGCAGCGCCTGGGGTACCTGCAGGAAAGAGATACGGCAGAAGGCAAGGGCTGGCGGGGTGATGGGGCAGGGCTGTCTGGGGAAGAGGAGGGCTGATCGGGGCTCTGCTCTGAGGATTTAGGGGAAGTCTGTCTGTTTGGTGTGTCTTTAGAAAGTCAGAAAGAGTTTTCTGTAATCAAGGCGCATTGATTTCCAATGCCAGTCCTCTTTGGCAGATTGTCAGCTCCAGCTAAAGTCAAGGTGGGAGGAGCCCCCTCAGTTCCTTCCTTGAGGTCTTGAGATTTGGGGCTGGAGGCCTGGAGTGGGTGCTCTGATAGATACCCCGATAGTACTTATCTCCTGCATTGTAATTAATTGTTCAATACCTGACTTCCCTCCAAGAGGACGTTAGAGTTAGATTTATTCAACTTTGTGCCCTGCTTGCATCCAGCATAGTGCCTGCTGCATAAGTATAATGATAATATTAATAGTTATCTTTTAGTGAGCACTTACATCAACCCTGAGGTAGGTTCTATTATTATCCCTGTTTTTGAATGAAGAAGCAGGCTGAGAGAGGTAAAGGGCTCCGGTCACGGTCACATAGTTAGAGGTGGCACAGCTGAGAGGTGGCCTCTCTAAGGCTTGTGTTCTGAACTCTGTGACCCTCTGCCATGTTGAGTGAGGGTTTGCTGAATGACTGACAGTGATGACCTGTGGTGATGTGTGGTTGTGTCAACAGTAAAAGATTTGAACAGCTCACTTCTGCCAGCTGCAGCTTTTGTCAGGGGCAGGAAGGGAGAGTGTGAGCTGGGCCAAGCCAGTGGTGGTTGGGCTCAGGCTTGGAGACCTACTGGAAATTCAGATGAGAAGGTGGAGACTAGAATGCCGAGGCTTTTTTGCAGCCTTCTTTTTGGAACGCTAGAGTCTGGTCTCCACGGCAAAGTGTTCTTCTGGCTCCTGTTTGAGCCCTTCCTGTAGTGGAGAAGTCATCATTTTCAGGGATAGATAACATTATTAGAAAACTCCTCCTCGCTGGGCACAGTGGCTCAAGCCTGTAATCCCAGCACTTTGGGAGGCCGAACCTCCCACTTGAGGTTGGGAATTTGAGACCAGTCTGACAAACGTGGTGAAACCCTGTCTCTACTGAAAATATAAAAATTAGCTGGGTGTGGTGGCAGGCGCCTGTAGTTCCAGCTACTTGGGAGGCTGAGGCAGGAGAATGGCTTGAACCCAGGAGGCGGAGCTTGCAGTGAGCCGAGATCACACCACTGCATTCCAGCCCGGGTGACAGAGTGAGACTCCATCTCAGAAAAAGAAAAAAAGAAAACTCCTCCTCCTTTCCAGTCCTTGCTTTCTTGCTTGGTTCTTGTTTCTCCCCTTGGGATCCTGTAGATTGAGTGGAATTTACATATTTGTTGAATGAATAATATAAAGATACCATTTTGGGCCTTGGGGGAGTTTAATACACACGAACCTCCCATCCTCATCCCTGCCACCAAGTTTCCCCTATTGTTAACATCGTACATGACCACAGTACATTTGTTCAGACTAAGAAACCAACATTGGTACATCACCATTAACTAAATTCCATTATTTGGATTTTTCCAGTTTTCCACTAATGTTTTCTGCTCCAAGATCCAACCCAGGATCCCACATCACATTTAGTCTTCACGTCTCCTTAGTGTCTCCTAATCTGTGACAGTTTTTCAGTCTTTCCTTGGTTTTCATGACCTTGACAGTTTTGAGGAGTATTGGGCCAGGTGTTTTGTAGAATGTCCCTCAGTTTGGGGATGTCTGATGTTTTCTCCTAACTAGATTGGGCTTATGGGCTGTTGGAAAGCACGTCAAAGGGGTAAAGTGCCATCTCATATGGTATTGGAAGTGCACGATATCACACGACATCACTGGTGATGTCAACCTTGACTGCTTGGTGAAGGTGGTGTTTGCCAGTTCTCTCCACTGTAAAGTTAAAGTTCTAATATTTAAGTACTTAACATGCACCAAATCGTATTATAGGCCTTAGCTCATTTAACCCTGACAACCACCTTGGGAGGAAGATACTCTTACCATGTCCATTTCACAGTTGCGGAAACTGAGGAATGAAAAGTCAAAGTCACTTGTCCAAGTTGATATAGGTGGTGAATCTTGATCCCAGGCAACCTGGCTGTAGGGCCCATGTTTAACCACTATACTGTATGTCTGCCCTGGGCTAAGCACTCTCATTGTCCACCTGGATTCCTGCAATGGTCCCCTCTTTGTCTCCCCTCTGACCTCATTTCCTGCCCATCTCTCCTTGGTCACTCTGCTGCAGCCACACTGGCTGATCGGAGCCAACAATTTGTGTCTAATTACATTAAATTGCATTATATTTTTACTGCTTTCCCCGAGGGCATCACCTGATTTCTCTCTGTTTATTTCTTTCAGATCAATCAGGCCACTAAGATACCTGCATGTAAAAAGATGCTGTTTACATACATGCATACATGCCAGGTGCATTGCTGCCCCAGGGCCTTTGTACCTGCTTCCCCTTTGTTCAGAATGTTCTGTATCATCCAGGTGGTTTGAATGGTTTGTTTCTCCTCCCTTGGGCCTTTACTGAAATGTTGTCTTCTCAGCAAAGCCTTCCTTGATCATTTTCTTTAAAATCTTAACCCTTGTCTCCTAGTACTCTCTAGTACTCCCAACCACTTATTTTTTCCATAGCACTTACCAGCCTCTGGACATTTTCTTTACTTAACTTATTTCTTGATTGACTGTCTGTCTTTCTTAACTAGAATGTAAGCCCCATGAGGACAGAGATTTTGGTTTGTCTTGTTCACAGCTGTGTCCCCAGTGCCTGGCACAGAGCAGGTGTCCTGTAACATTTGTGCACGAATGCCCTGAACTTGCTTGTCTCCAGGATTCCTCAACTGTTGTGTACTTGATGAGAAATCCCAAAGACAGAATCCCACGGCATGCTGTCAGAGACCTCCTCAGGCTGACATGGGTTCATTTATCAGCACCTTTTGAACTGGGTCATTTGACAGATTACAGGTCTTCTTAATCATCCAGTCCCAGAGCCCTGACATGTAGGCTCCAACAGGAAAGAAAGAGGGGCTCTTGTTCACTTTTGTGAACAAAATATATTAATAAATACATTGCCTTGCACACATGAAGTGCTCAAAAGATGTTTATTGGAAAAACCACTGAAAAGGGCCAGCATGACATGACTTCCTCTAAAGAAATCTACAAACCATCTCATTTCCTTAGGTTGCTTGGCAATCCCCATAGATTCTTTCTTGAGGGCAGCACAGACAGGAGGAGTGTAACCTTGGCCTTAGGAACATCCATTTAACAAAATGTGTCTATGCATGCACACACACACATACACACACACACATGCACACACACACAGAAATGAACAGAGAGAAATCAGGTAAGTCTCTTGGGAAAGCGGTGAAAATATTATGCAATTTAATGTAATTAGACACAAATAGTTTGCCCTGATCAGAGACTCTGGGGAAACTGTGGTGAGTCTGGTGGAGTATCGGGGGGAGTTAAAAACTTTCTCCCACCTCAGTGGAGGTCACATAGAAAACTGGGGCTCCAGATGCCTCTAAAACCAATACTTGTTGGTGCCCTCTACATGCCAGGAGCTTTACACCAAAATACCTCATTTCATCCTCACCATGGGCATTTCTTCTTTTGCAGCAGAGGCAACTGAGGCTCACAGAGGTACAGTGAATTGCCAATATTGTAGAGCTGGCCAGTGGCAGAGCTGGGCCATGGACCCGGACTGTCTGTCTTCTCCCTGTTCACCCCTCTGGCCCCTTCTCTGGCCTTAGCCTGAGCTGCCTTCTCCTGGGTTGGGGCCTGCGCTCTTATGTGGAAGAGGTTAGCAAGTTCAGATCATGCCAGGGACAGGGGGATGGACTCCATGACCTCTCAGGCACTTCTCACGTTTCCCTCTTTCCCCAGAATCCCTTCTGGGTCTTTGATTCCTGGGTCAGATGCCTCAAGATGGCTGTGCAGGAGGCCCCGTGTCATGGTGTGAGCTGTGACCCCGGCCAGGGCGGCTGCATCAGAGAGAGGCTGGGGACACAGGAGGACAGGTGGGTGAGAAGCCAGGGAGAGAGACACATTCTGGATTTGTGCATGTCAGCCTTGGCTCTGGCAATGAAATGCCTTTTAATTTCATCATCCGCTTTTCTTTTTTCCCTCTGTGATGCCGTCTGGTGCCAGGAGGCCCTTGGCCACAGGGTGCGTGTTTAACAAATCCAATAAAGCCTTTTATTTGTCTCTTGCTTGCTCCCTGGAGCTCGGCTGGCCAGGGAGACATTGTCTCATTCACACTTCTTACCTGTGTGCAGGGTAGGGTGCGGTTGGCATCAAGAGCAGGGCTGGCCAAGTGGCTGGGAAAGTCAAAGGCCAGGGAGGCCTGCCCTGGGTGACCCACTCACAAGGAGTGACAGATGGTGCCCGGGCAGCATCCTGAGACCTGGGCACTGGTCCCAGCTCGCCACCAGCTCTTAGTTGGACCTTGGACAATCCTTGGACACATTGGATCTTCGTTTTTCCTCTGTGAAGTGGCAGGATTAGACTAGGTCAGTGGGTTCTGTCTATAAGTCTATCTGTCTATCTATTTTTTTTGGCAGAAAAATCCAATTCTTCAAGTGGAATTGGCTACAAAAGTCTCATCTTGGACAGCTCTGCCACTGCTCTCTGCCCTCTGTGATTTTAAAGATGACAGGCTTGTTTCTGCCTTGGGGCTTCTGCACTGGTCTTTTCTTTGTCATGATTATCCTTCCCCTAGAACACGCTGTGCATCGCTGGCCCTCATCTTGCCATCCAGGGGTCAGCTCTGATGTTACTTTTTCAGGGAGCGTTCCCCGGCCAGACCATCTAATGATACCCTGAGCACTCCACGGCATTCTGGATCTTACTCCCATCCTACTGTGTCCTCAGCAATTACCACTTTTTGACATTTTCTTGTGTCTTTATTTGTTAATATGTTTCTTGTCTGTTTTCCCCGGTAGCTTGCAAGTTTCATGAGGCTACAGGTTTAGTTTCTTTATTCACTGTCTTATTGATAGAAGCTGATACAGTGAAGGTGCTCAGTAAACAGCTGATGAATGGATGCATGCATGAATGAATGAATGGCCCGTCTAAGACAGATCAAGGTAAGGCTGCTCTGAGTTGGAGCAGGTGTAGAGGGCTGTGTCCCTGCTGACTGGACCACCCCTCAGGACCACCCTCCTCCTACAGTCTTTAAGGCCCCACGCTTCTCAGGGTGTCACAAAGCCAAGTTTGAAAACCACTGGATTGAGAAACTACCTTTTGGGTAACCATGCTCACTATCTGGGTGACGGGATCAATCATACCCCATACCTCAGCGTCACACAATATACTCATATAATGAACCTGCACATGTACCCCTTGAATCTAAAATAAAAGTAGAAATTAAGAAAAAAACAACAACACTGGACTTAATTACCTCTAAGACTCCTTGCAGCTCTGAGAACCCATAGCTAACTCTAAAAACAGTGGCACAGACAAGAAGTTCTGGGGTTTCAGAGAAGGGCAAGGTCAGTAATGGCTTCAGTAGTCTCCAAGGAGGTGGCCCCTAAACTGGTTTGGAGATTTAGAGATGGTGCAAAGAGCCCTTGAGGAGGAAGAGAGAAGAAGCAAAGGTTTGGGAGGGCAGGAATTTGGGGCTATTTCACACAACCGTCAGGATTTGGGAGAAGTTGAGTTTTGGACAAAGCCAGATATCGGGGGCCTTGAATTCTTGGTGAGATGGTTGAACCTGATGGGCAGCACGTGGGAGCAGGCACTGATGCTTTGGGCAGAGCAGTGAAGTCACCAGGGCCTTGCATTTGGCCAATGAGGTGGAGAGGGCAGGAGTGGAGGCTAAGTAATAACAAGGCCTGGACCGAGGCAGTGGGGATGGTGGGAGGGATGGGATCCAGGCGAGAAAGAAACAAAGAATGGAGCCAACTGGGCAGTGAATTAATGTGGTGGGGAAGGAAGAGAGAAGAGTCTAAGATAGTGCTGAGGTTTCCTACCCATCTGGGGAGATGGTGCCCTTGTTCAGGAGTTGCTGAGTGACTGTGTCATCAGGGATGATTGGGGAAGGGTCAACTTGCAGACAGGAAGCTCCCCCAGCCCCAGGCAGGGAGGGTGAGGCTTCCCAACTCAGCCACATCCCACCTCAGGCTGCTTGGGTAAAGAGGAGCTTTCTCTGAGGGCCAGGAGGTCCTCCAATTTCACCCCCTCCCAAGGGCCCCAGGATCGATGTGCTAATGGTCACACAGGAGCCTTGGCAGAGAGCAGGGATGAGTCAGGGGCGAGTCATCCCCACTGCGGAGAATAAGACACAGCATGGAGTGCAGCAGGGATGCCTGGGCCAGGGGAGCCACCCTTGACTCTGAGGCCTGGCATGTGATGAGGCACGTCTGTGATGCTCTGTGTTTCCAAGGGATCAGGACAAGGCCTTCATCTGCTCACTCCGCAGGTCACCCCCCCGACTGTCTTCTCCAACACAAGCCCTGAGTGCTCCTTAATCCTTGCAGTTCAGACAGAAAGCCAGTTCCCAGGAAGAATCAATTCAAGAGGGTGAGAATAATTTAAGGGCCTGCTCTAGCTATCCAGGGGTACGCTTTAGGATTTGGAGGTGCATACCTGGAGAGACTGACAGGAATGGAGGGGAGTCTTTGGATCTCTGGGGTGTGTTCTGGACCTTGGGGAAAGTATTCTGGAATTTGAGGACAGATTTTGGAATTCCAGCTTGTTCCAGCACTCTGGGCTCTTGTTTCAGAATTCTCAAGGATGTTTGGGAAGCCCAGAGTGTATTCTAGCTTTATGAGACATATTTTAGAACTCTTGGGGGCCTGCTGGAGTCCTGGGCTGGCTCCCCATCATTCACCTCCTTGGGCTTGTCTTGTCAGCTGTGATCTGCTGGTACACATGGTTACAGGGAGGTAGTTGCTATGGCAACAGTAACCATGAGGTGTATCAACTCCCAGAATTTACTCTGAGCCTGTGACATTTTAGCTGGTGAAGAATTGCAATTAGCTCCTGAGAGTCTGATGAACAGGGATTCCTGCCAACCCTTCCCCCCAACCTTAAATAACCTCCTTTAGACCCATAGATTCTGGCTGCCCAATTCTCCCTTGGGCAAATGAATATTCAAAAGCAGCCAAAAAGTGTATTCAAATCTTATAAACTTCCACCTGCCTCGCTCCATTTAAATGTAACTGCATCTTCTGTTTTGCCCCATTTATCTGCCAGGAAAGTGAAGGGTAATTCCGGGAGCTGAGAGTAAATGCTTTTCCCAAGTTGCTTTACCATCCTAAGTGGGGTAAGGGAGGGGCAAGGCTGGCCTCCTCTCTCCTATAAATCAGGCCCCTCAGACAAATCTCGCAGAATCCTAAAATGCTGGAGTGAATCTGCTGGAACTGTGGACCAGGGAGGGGAAGTGACATCAGGTACGTTCAGAGCTAGGCCTGGGCTCTCCTCCTCTTCTCCCCAGTGGCAGTTTTCTTAGCCAGGAGGGAAGGGCCCCTGCTGCTGGCTTCCCCTGGGGCTGCTTATTAGCGTAGGCTTTCTTGCCTGAGCCCCGGCGTCTGTCTACAAAGAAGTGTGAAGAACTCTCGAGAATCACCAGGGCTTTACAGATGAGGAAACTGAGGCCCAGAAGTGTCCCTCCGATGGTTGGTTAGTGGCAGGGCAGGAACCTGAACTTCAGACTCCCGGTTCTCAGCACAGATCCCCTTTTGTAATACTCACTTTTCCCACCATGTACTATTTATTAATGTATTCTATTCATGTATTCATGTATTCATTCACTCTATTCATGTATTCATACATGACTAGAGATCTGTCCGTCGATCCATCCATCCATCCATCCATCAATCCATCCAGAAAGATGTTAAGTACCTGCTGAATGGCCTGCACCACCTTGGGCCTAAGCATGGTAAGAAGCTCACAGTTGTGTCTCCTGGGCCTCCTGTTTATGGTCCAGGCAATCTGTTCCACCCAACCTCATTTATCTCCCTTTCTGCCAAACAGACAATCTCCCATCCAGTCTACTCATGCCCACCTCCCTACCCCACTCCCACCACACCGAGTTCCTTCTGGTCTCTGCCCTTTTGCTCATAATGTCTCCCTGCGTAGAATGCCTCTGTACCCCACAACTTATCCAAACCCTACTTATCCTCTAAGGCTCCCAGAAAAACTCCCCATCCTCTGGGAGCATTCTTGCCCACCCAGGCCATGGGAGCCCTCCTTTTCTGTGACTCTTTGACTAGGAACCGCACAAACCAGCCCCTGTTTCTGACTGTTCGGTTTTGTGCCAGTACACTCCCTGAGAGCAGACCCTGTGCTATTCTATTATGAGCATCGCTGTTGGTATATTTTGTAGAAGCTTTTCTTCAACCCTTATAGGTTCTTGGAAAGAACTGCTGTTACAAAAGACAGCTTAACAAGAGAAAACAAACCAAAGTTTATTAACATGGATATTTCATATCCATATGGGAGACAGCCAGGGGATGAGTAGTTCTCGGAGAGCTGGTTTGAATTCCAGCTCATAGAATATCTTCAATAAAGAACAGTCAATTTCTGGAGAAGTGACAAGACACAGGAAAAGAACTTTGAGTCTTGAGGGGCAGCAACTTGGGGGAAGGTAACAGCTGGCAGATCAAGGTTAGTAAAGCTCATTAGTCCCCATCCCTCTGGTATCACCTCCAGGTGATAGGCATCTATAGTTGTCTTCAACAGTTAACCTTTGCCCTTCCTGGTAGAAGGGGGTCAGGATACCTTTTGTCTTTGTAAATCTATGTTCTGCTTTTAGGCCAATAGAGGGAGGGCTGAGAGTTTGCCGAGAGTTTTCCTGTATCTGCTTTTTTTTCTTTCTTTCTTTTTTTTTTTTTAAGACAGGGTCTCACTCTGTTGCTCAGGCTGGAGTGCAGTGGCGTCATCACAGCTCACTGCAGCCTCCACCTTGATTAAGCAAACCTCCCATCTCAGCCTTGCAAATCACAGGTGCGTACCATCATGCCTGGCTTATTTCTTTTTCCATTTTTTTTTCAAACTTTTAAGTTCAGGGGTATTACATGTGCAGGATGTGCAGGTTTGTTACGTAGGTAAACGTGTGCCATGGTGGTTTGCTGCCCAGATCATCCCATCACCTAGGTGTTAAGGCCAGCATCCATTAGCTATTCTTCCTGATGTTCTCCCTCTCCCCACACCCCACCCTCTGACAGGCCCTGGTATGTGTTGTTTCCCTCCTTGTGGCTATGTGACCTCATTGTTCAGCTCCCACATATAAGTGAGAACATGTGGTGTTTGGTTTTCTGTCCCTGCATTAGTTTGCTGAGGATAATGGCTTCCAACCAACTCCATCCATGTCCCTGTAGACGATATGATCTCATTCCTTTTTATGGCTGCATAGTATTCCGTGGCATATATGTACCACATTTTCTTTATTCAGTCTATCATTGATGGGCATTTAGGTTGATTCCATGTCTTTCCTATTGTGAACAGTGCTGCAGTGAACGTACACGTGCATGTATCTTTATAATAGAATGATTTATATTCCTTTGGGTATATACCCAGTAATGGGATTGCTGGGTCAAATGGTATTTTGGCCTTAGGTCTATCAGGAATCTCCACACTGTCTTCCACAATGGTTGAACTAATTTACACTCCCACCAACAGTGTAAAAATACTCCTTTTTCTCTGCAACCTCACCAGCATCTGTTGTTTTTTGACTTTTTAATAATAGCCATTCTGACTGGCATGAGACAGTATCTCATTTTGGTTTCGATTTGCATTCTCTAATGATCAGTGATGTTGAGCTTTTTAAAAATGTTGCTTGGCTGCATGAATGTCTTCTTTTGAGAAGTGTCTGTTCATGTCCTTTGCCCACTTTTTAATGAGGTTGATTTTTTTCCTGTAAATTTGTTTAAATTCCTTGTAGACTCTGGATATTAGACCTTTGTCAGATGGATAGATGGCAAAAATTTTCTCCTATTATGTGGGCTGTGCGTTCGCTCTGATGATAGTTTCTTTTGCTGTGCAGAAGCTCTTCAGTTTAATTAGATCCCATTTGTCTATTTTTGCTTTTGTTGCAATTGCTGTTGGTGTTTTCATAATGAAATCTTTGCCTGTGCCTATGTCCTGAATGGTATTGCCTAGACTTACTTCTAGGGTTTTTATAGTTTTGGGTTTTACATTTAAGTGTTTAATCCATCTTGAGTTAATTTTTGTATATGGTGTAATGAAGGGGTCCAGTTTCAATTTTTATATAGGGCTAGCCAGTTCTGCCAGCACCATTTATTAAATAGGGAATCTTTTCCCCATTGCTTGTTTTTGTCAGGTTTGTCAAAGATCAGATGGTTGTAGGTGTGTGGTCTGATTTCTGAGTTCTCTATTCTGTTCCTTTGGTCTATATGTCTGTTCTTGTATGGGTACCATGCTGTTTTGGTTACTGTAGACTTGTAGTATAGCTTGAAGTCAGGTAATGAGATGCCTCCAGCTTTGCTCTTTTTGCTTAGGATTGTCTTGCATGCCTGGCTAATTAATATTTTTATTTTTATTTTTATTTTTTTATAGAGATAGGGTCTCCCTATGTTGCCCAGACTGGTCTCAAACTCCTGGGCTCAGTTGATCCTCCTGCCTCAGCCTCCCAAAGTGCTGGGATTATAGGTTTGAGCCATCGTGCCTGGCCTGCTGCTTCTTATTGCTTTCAGCTCAACCATCCTTCATATTTTCGGGTGGCATACACTAGTCCCCACAGTTACATTTGGGCAGTGCTGTGATGTAAAGAAAATGACACCAGAAGTGGAGTCAGACAAGGGGTCGAATCTTAGATTTACTGATGGAAGGTTGTGTGATCTCAAGCAAGGAACTGAGTCTCGCTGTGTGTGCCGCAGATTCACCAGGTGATGCCTTCAAAAACTCTTAAGTGCTAAACGAGCAGGAGGGGGCTTCTCATTCCAGGGTGTGTTTTCCTCCTTGCTACTTGGGTTTGTGGTCTTGTATAACTGCTGATAGCTTGAGGCACAGATATCCTCCTGGGAAGGAGAAAGGGGAGGTCTTATTTCAGGGCAATCTCCCAAGTAGTCTTTTCTTTCTAGTCCCTTCCCTCCAAGTAAGATCCAAGGTGATGGTGGGGAAAGCAGGGTTTGTTTTTCTCCCAAGAAGACTCATCTTCTCAATGGGTTGGGGAAGGCTGGGGCCCAGACAGGCTTTTGAGTGTTTTCCAACGGGTCATGGCTTCCTCCGGGAAGCCTCCTTTCTGGGAAAACAGGAAAGCCCTTGGCTGGCGTGACTCCCCCTCTGTGGACTCCTGACTTCAATCTTAATCATGTTTCTCTTTCCTCAACTGTGGCTTTAACACTCCCTGGGGGCCTGTGGTAGGAGGTTTAAGCCTTAAGCACTTTTTATTTTCCCTGCTGATTGATCTTTGTTTTGCAGAGCTGAGATTTCTTTACATCACAGTGGTTCAAGGAGAAAAACACAGCCAGATCCTTCCTCATCTCAACATAAATTAAACCCAGGTCTGTAATGCTTCAACCTCAAATCACATATCCTCATCCCTACCCCCTCGCTGCCCAAACCCCGCCAATATACAAGCCCAGGTGCACGCACAGGAAGGCACCTATTCTCTGGGGATGGGCGTGCCGCGCCCTCCCTCCCTGCAGACACCTGTGGGTGCTTGTGTTTACTGGCTCCTCCCTGCTAATCCCCCCTCCCCACGGTAGTTAGTGTCCATTCAAGCCCACTCGAGGAGGTAGCTTTACACATATACTGGCAAGACATGGGGTGCTCTCATGGGTGTGCCCTCACTGTGTGCATGGGCTTGTACACCTGCACACATGTAGCTGTGTAAAAATGCAGATCCATGTGCATCCACGTGCTACAAAGATAATTACAGCTCACAGTTACACACCCTCTGTGCCAAGTACTGTGAACTTTGTAGGTGTCTGTTCATCCAGCCCTTGCAACAACACTATGATATACACAGGACTGATGATTCTCTGCATTTTCAGAGGCAGTCAGCGCCACAGTCCACACTCGTAACCGTTACACTCACCTGGAAATAAAAGTATTTTTGTGCGGGGACTGCAAGGACTAAGCCCGGCCGCACTCCGAGTTTCTCCTCCTCACAGGTGCGTAGGTACAGGGTGTTGTTGCCCAAGGGTGGGAAGATGGGCAGGGAGTGGAGTGTGTGCACACCTGTCCCAAACTGCTCCCTTGGAAGCCTCCAGAGGCATTTCAGCCTTTTCAGGAGGCCCGTGCCTTGTAGCTGCGGTGCCCCTCTCCAGCACTGGCTACCTGGATTGTATTTTCTTTTCCCAAGTCGTGTGTCCCAAGGCCTAGCTGAGTCTCACCAGGCACAGAGTGGGGGACTAGGCCACTCACCCCAACACTGAGTGATCAGAAGCTCTCAGAGTCCCCGCTCCACCATGCTCCCATCTCTACCCTCCTCTCCTCTTACTGAGATCACTTTGGAGGATAGATACCTTCCCTGGGAAACCCTCCTGGGCCACCCTGATGGAGTCGGGGTCCCTTCACCAAACACCTACAGAGTGGCTCAGAGTCTCCCTGTCTCCAGGTTCTGGCTCTCCTGCTTCTCAGCTGTGTGACCTAGGGCAAGGTTCTCAACCTCTCTGAGGCCTTAGTTTCCTCATCTGTCATATGGGGATACTGTTGATACCTACCCCAAAAGTTAATGGGAGAAGTAAATGAGTGAATCCTTGGGAAGGGCTCAGAACTGCCTTGGCCCTGAGTTGCTGGCATCGTTGCTGTGGTCCTCAGCCTCACAGGCAGGCTCGTGGCTATCTGTCGGCTTCCCCTGTGAATCGGTGTGCTTTGCAAGGGCAGGGACCACAGCTTATGTTTCCTCTTGTCCCAGGGCCTGGCTCAGTCTCTGGGACGGTGTTGGTGCTGCTAAACATTGGTTGAACATCTGAGTGAGGGAGCCCAGGTCTTCTTCCAGCGGGACCTGTTTTGCAGCAAGTGGGATAAACCCCATCTCTCTGTCTCAGGGGTGCGGGGTGAGGCTGCCCGCCCTATGCCAGGGATGCAAAGTAGGGCAGGCCTCCCCAGGGGGGTTGCCATGGCAACAGGAAAGTTCTAATCAGCAGCCGACACACAGGGTTGCTTGGGAAGCATCGGCGGTGTCGCCTGCCCAGTGTGGGGAGACATGGTATGGAAATGGCATTCGGAGCCTCAGTGACTCATCTGTAAAATGGGGTCTAAGCTCCCAGCTTGTGATTCAGGGCAGATTTGGAGAGATCATGCCTGGGGAAAGCTGTTTGGAGCTGCGGAAGGCCCTGCTGCTCCTGGCTGTTTATTGACTGTCTTCTGCGCCATTACAGAAACAGCATGAGAGCAAAGGCATTGTATTACTGCTACACCCTGGCACCGAAAACAGTGCCTGGCACATAGTGGGGGCTGATAAACATCTGCCAAATGAAGAATTACTCAAGTAAGAAGGCTGAGACTTCTCAAGGTCTCACCCCAATTCAAAATCTAGAATTCTAACAGAGCAGTGGTCTGCAACAGAGACCCCTGGATGCCATCTCTGACCTACCCCAGAGTCCCACAGGCCCCTGAGTCCACCTCCCATCCCAGCCGTGAACTCTGTGAAGGCAGGCAGGGGACTGGTTTCCATCTGGCACTGGGAAAATTGTCCTATATTGGGAATCTTGACTTGGCTGATCACAGAAGCTTGGGGTTGGGGGCCGTGAGCTGAGGTCATGCTGGATAAAACAACGCAGGTTTTCAGCTCCCTCCCTAGTTCCACCAAATCAGACATTCTCGGGGTGCAGCCCAGCATTGGGGGTTTAAGCATGTTCCCAGGGAATTCTGGTGATCAGCCAGGCTTGGGGATTTCTGCCCAGGCCACAACCTCCTGGAGTTGGAGGGGCCTTAATGGGTCTACTTGACCAAGCCAGGGTCCGGCACTTCTCATATACCTGGGGAGACTGAGGTCCAGAGAGGGACATGACTTGGTCCAGTTCTCACGCTGGCACTCCTTGCCCTGGGACTTGGGCAAACTTCTAGGTCTGTCTGGCTTCAGCTTCTCCATCAACAATGATGGTGTCCACCTGCCTGGCTTCTCTGGGGGGATGGATGTCACAGGTCTCATCTGTGCATCCTGGTCAAGACATCCAACTGCAGGGAGGAGCACGGGCCTGGTAGCAGGCAGCTGCTCTGAGTTGCCAGCCTGGCCATTCCTCTTCCTGGCTTCTCGGACAAAGTGCCTTCAGCTTCCTGAGCATCAGTCACTTCTGCAAAATAGGCACAAGACCCATTTCCTGAGAAGTGGGTTAGTGAGGCCACTAAAGGCATGGAGACCTACTTTGAATTCTGGCTCTACTGGGTTGACAGCTGTGTGACTCCAGGCCAGTGACTTCACCTCTCTGAGCTGTAGCTTCTCATCCATAAAATGGGGGAGATGAAGCCCAGCTTCGTGGAGGTAATCACGAGGATTAGGTGTGAGGGTGCCCATGAAACACGCAGCAGGGGCTCAGCTAAAATGAATGCCCTGTTGAGGGAAGGCAGGAAGGCTGTGACTCAAGTGTCCAGACTGGTCTGCCCCAGCGCTAGAGGGAAGACTGGGAGCTTTGCCTCTGTATCCAAAGGGCAGCCCAGGGGAGGGGCAGTGAGGGGAGAGGTGTTTGTTTGAACAGCCAGAGGTGCTGAGAGGCTCCTGGTGTCCATTAGCGGGTTCCTGCTGAGTTGGAGGGAGTTGGAGGCCAGGGAAGTGATGAGCCGTCCCAGCTGTGTGATACTTTCTCAGCTGAAAAGCAGTTTACAAGTCGTTATCTTAATGTGTCCTCACAATGACCCTGCTAATTGTTAGCCTAGGGATCAGCCTCCTTGTTTCAGATGCGGAGATAAGAGCCCAGAGAGGTTAAGTGGCCCAGCCAAGATCACACAGCACAGTGGCAGCCAAAGAGAGGTAAGGTGGAAGGTGACTGGGATTCTAAAGAATGGTGGCAAGCCGAAGGGGCATACTTCCTGACTCGCGTCTAGCTTAACTCCTGCTTACTGCAGTCTCAGTCTATTGGTCCTGGTTGTTTTGTAGGGGTGGCAAAGAACTCAGACTCTGAAGCCAGATGCCTGGGTTCAAATCCTGGCTCGGCCGCTTCCCAAGTGTGTGCCTTAAGAAAGTCACTTAGCCCCTTTAAAATGAGTTCTTCATCTGTCAGATGGGGATAATAATAGCACCTCCCCATAGGGCTGTTTTGGGGAGAAGCTCAGTCCACGTATGTGTAGCATGTGCTCAGTGCACGATGAGTTTGCTGTCTTATGTATAGCTTTGCTGCTGTTAGATGAAGTGTACTCCTAAAGTCACGTCACCTGTCCGAGCCTCAGTTTTTTCATCTGCTAAATGGGGATGCTGACTCCTCAGCCATTATTTTAGGCCAGGCACCTGCCAGTCAGAATTTCATTTAATATTCCCAGCAACCAATGAGGTTGGTCCTCATTTAGTCCCATTCTCCAGATAAGGAAATGAAGACACAGAGAAGTGAACTGACGTGTCTATAGTTATTTGGCCAGAGACCAGGATGCTCCAACTCCAACTCAACCCTGAGAGCCTATGGCCTCCCCAATGTGCCTGCCTGCAGGCCTCTCTCCAGGGAACTCTTTAGGGCTGATACACTTGCCTGGGTCTTTGGAGTCTGGGAGCTGGTCCCTGCCTTGGATGCCAGAGCAGTAGAGAATCCATCCGCATCCCAAGATGGTGATCTCCCTCTGTGCCCTGCCCTGGCATGGGATGCCAGTCCAACCTGGGCCTCTCCTCTTTCCCTGGGCCTGGGGAGAGGCTGGCAGGCCCCAGGCCATGAGAGAAGGCCATTAGCTGGCACTGGAGCCCAAGTGCTGGTAATGACCCTATTTTCATAGGAAGGCAGCTCATGTCTCCCTGCGTTCCAATCTGCTCCCGGAGCTCCCACTCCAGAAGGAAGCAGCAGTGGGTTATGAAAGCAGGAGCGGGTTACATAAGGATGCAGCAGGCTCCAGTGGGATTGGGGGAGCAGAGCAGCCCCCAGCCCCAGCAGAGCAGGGCTAGGCTCCTGCTCCCGCCTTGCCCAGCTGCCCACCCTGGGACTGAGAACTGCAGGCAGGGCCGGGGCAGGAGTGAGCAGGGCGAGGCGGCGGGACGGAATGAGAGAGCCCGGGTCAGGGAGCTGGGAATCCTGGCTTGGGTCCTAGCTGTCTCATGACTTGGACAAATCCCTTTCCCTCTCTGGGCCTCAGTTTCCCTTTCTGGAAAAAGGAGGGGAAATCTTTAGGGGCCCTCCCAGTTCCAGGGGTGCTATGTTTTTCTCACCTTGGAGAGGGTCATACAAATTTCTAGCTTCTGACTCTTACCTGCTGCCAGCTTGCTTGAGCAGGACACAGTCCCTCTCTGGGCCCCAGTATCCCTGTTTATCTAACAAACAGAAGGAACCCCATTGTCAGCTTCATGGGTGCCAGATGTGCCTGGACTTTGGGGGTTCTGGATGTGACAAGAGAGTGGAACAAGGACATCTCATTTCCTACTCTCTCCTTTGCTCCTTGGTGGAGTTCTAGCAAAGACCAGCCATACCACATCATGATAACAGTAATAGCCAAGACAACTACCACTGATCAAGTCCTTACTACGGGTTGGGCCCTATGTTAAGCCTCTTTGCAGGCATTGTCTCATCAAATTCTCATAAGAGCCCTAGGAAGTAGGTACTTTTCTTATCTCTGTTTTACAGATAGGGGCTGAGGCTCAGAGAGGGCAAGTGACCTGCCCAAAGTCACACAGCCGGTAAGTGGCCAACTCAGGATTCGATTCCAGGCTCGTTAGACTCCACTTCCTATGACACTGTGAGTCTGAACAGAATTGGCTTGGTTATTTCCAGAGACCAAAGAAGTGGGTATGACCAGATGGTGTAAACAGCCCTGTTCTGTGGTCTAGGCTCTCAGGAATGTCCGTCCCCCTCACTAGCCACCCCCGGGCCTCTCTGGGCTCACCACCCCCCCACCACATTCCCTTTGTGCCACCCACGGTGGCCATGATGACATCTGGGAAGTGGGCAGCACAGCCTGCAGGCTGTGTGGGCAGTTGGCACTGAGGGTACTTGGGCTCTCATATTTTTAAACCCAGCTCTGGCCACCTCTGCAGTTGGCTCAGACAGAGCTGAGGGGTTTTCCTTTGGGCCCCGCTGACTCTGAGTGGGAGGGCCCAGGCACCACTGTGTCAGAAGGCACTGTGCCCACGGCAGCCAGGGGGATGCTCACAGCTGGGGTGGGATCTGTGTCCTTCAGACCCTGGGAGCCCCAGGCAGCTTGAGCAAAGCTTGTGGGAACCGTGGGTAGGTCTGAGGCTGTGGGTTGGAAGGAGAAAACCAGGGAGGACCAGGAAAGGGCTCGGGAGAGGAGAGGAGGGAGGAAGCCAACAGAAGGCAGAAGGAGCCGCAGGACAGAGGTGGGAGGTCCTTAGAGAGCATCGAATCCGACCCACTCCGTTTGAGATGGGGAAGCTGAGGTCGTGAGAAGGAAAATATCCAGATTCTACTGCGAGTTAATGGCAGAGCTGGGACTTGAACCCAGAGCTCCTGATACCCAAGCAAGGGTAATTTGGGGGCTCACTATTTATCCTGGTCGCCAGGAAGTCCTGTTCATGGGTACTCTGCTCCCGGGTAGGGGAATTTTATCTGCTCTGTAGGAAGGCAGGGGAGGAGGAGTAGGACAAGCCATTCATGCCCATGAATGGCTCCATGGGAAAGGAGCCAGAGGAGAGTTTCATAGCCAGGGGGGGTCGGATGATGGCAGGGGAGACAGAGGAGTTTGAGGGTGTGGCTGGGGAGTGAAGTAATTCACTAAACCCCTGCGGCTGCCATTGCTTCTCCCTTCTGATACTCCACGTATCTGCCAACTTCCCTGCCCTGACCCCTGGCTCCAGGAGGGGCCCTCATACATTGTGCAGAGCAGGAAAGTGAGGGGCCAGGAGGCCATTTACAGGAGAACCATGATGAAGGTGAAGGGCATGGAGTGGGAGGAGCTGCCCTCCATGGCTTTGTCACAGCCCCTTTCTGGGGCCTTTGTTTCTTCATTCATCCAATGGGGATAATCATTAGCATTTGCCAAGTACCAATTTTATTCCAGCCCTGGGCTAATCCCTTTTATATATGATTGTATTCAATTTTGCAGTGACTCATTGCTCAGGTGAGGAAACTGAGGCTCAGAGAGGGTCCGTGGCATGTCCAAGGTTACTCTGCTGGTAAGTGGCAGAACCTGGGTCTGTCTTCAGGGCCCAGGTGCTTAGCCAGTGTCTACGCCCTCCACTCCGGGGTGTCAAGTTGCTCCAGGGAAAGACAAGTAGTAGGAGAAAGGGCATTGGAGAGGATGTCCGAGATAGACGTCACTGGGGTGTCAGTCCCCTTCTCTGGCCTCCTCCCAGGGAAAGGGGGCCCAGACCCATTCCTATTGCCTCTCCAAATTCCTTCTTTTCCACCACTGCCTATTCCATTCCCTGCGCCACTGCCACCAGTGCCAGCCTTCGAAAACACAAACCTGATCATCTCACTGCCTGATTCAGCCCCTTTCCATGGCTCTCCACTGCCCTTGGGAACATCCAAACTGCATAACTTGGCATTCAGCGGGTCCTTTTGTAATGCACCCCCTTACCACCTCTCCATGGACCCTCTACTCTGGCTGATACCCAAGCAAGAGCGACTTTGGACTCTCCCTCCACAGCACTCCCTGGCCAGATTTTCTTCCCTTTCCCCGTGCCTTAGCTCAGACAGTTCCCTCCGCCATTTTCACCTTGTCCTCAAACTCCTATCCATCCCTTGAAACCCACCCCAAAGTCACTTCTTCTGTGAAGCCTTCTGAGCCTGCTCCTGGTGGAATGTCACTCCCTCTTGGTGTTCCCATTGTCTTAAGGGTGGTTCTCATTGCTTTGTTTTGTAGTTAATTGTTTTCTTGGCACTCTCTCCCTTCTCACCTGTGACTACCTGAGTGTCCCCAGAGGCAAGGAACTATGTGAGCCACTCCAGTGTTCCCAGCCCCAAGGCCAGGCACAGTGGACATTTATTGCTGAATGAATGAATCAAGAGAGAGGATCAGAAAGCTGCAGAGGATGATAGATCTGCAAAATTCTCCCTGGGTGAGGCCCAGGCTCAGCTTCCAGAACAGCTCCATCTGTCTCCCACTCACTGAGATTGAACTAATGTCCCACAGTTGGACAGACCTGAAATTGAGCTCTGTGATTTTGGGTAAGTCACTTAACTTCTGGGTCTGGTACCTCATTTGTGAAATGGGTTAACAAGATGGCTGGTAGGAGAATTCAGTAAGATATTGCATGAGAAACTTCTAGAACAGAGCCTAACCTTCAATAAGGTAGGTATTTAGTAAAGCTTTCTTCTGTCCTCTTGCTATCATCCCCATCATTGTCACCTTCATCACCAACATCATCTTCATCATCATTGCCATCCTCATTATCATTCCTGGGGTCTCTCTTTTTCTTTCCCAGATACCTGCCCCTCTGCTGGAGATTCTGCATGTCTGAGGTACCAGCCATTGCCAGAAACTGGGCTATGTTCTCTCCTTTCATTGTGCCATTTCATTCTCACCCCAAAATGAAAACACACAAAAAAATCACTTTCTTCCCAAAGAGAATCCTGTCATTCACCATATGGGTTGCTACAATGATCCCCATTTTACAGATAGATGAACTGAGGCCCTCGGCAGTGAAGTAACTTGCTAAGATCATACCACAGCTGGTAAGCAGTGGAAGCCAATTCAAACCCTGGTCAGTCATTTTGGCAATACCGAGCTGCTTGGGGCTCTCGAGCTCACGGACCCTTAGGGTTCTCCTGATACACCTCCTGCTGCAAACACTCCCCACAAAGGATCAGTGTGAGTTTTTAGCTCTTTCCTGAGTCCCCTGGGCCCAGCAGAAAAACACTGAGAGATTTACTGAGAATCTAGGGAGGTAAAATGGGACAGGCACAAAGACACCAGGAAGCTGGATGAAGCCTGGTAGGCTCAGAAGCCAGGCCTTTGGCCCTCCCTGGCTTGCTCACTCGGGCACAAACCAGCTCACTCTGGACTCACAGGGCCTGACCTGGGTCTCCTGCCTGAGGATCTGGTCCACAGGATCCACTTCAGAGAAACTCCACCCCTACTCCCATCCATTTCCAGCCCCCTTCTCCTTGTCTTCCTTCCTTCTGGAGAGGCATCGCTGGCATCTCTGAAGCTGAAATAACAACTCCTATGTTGGCTTTTTTTTTTTTTTTTTTTAAAGATGGAGTCTCACTCTGTCACCCAGGCTGGAGTACAGTGGCGTGATTTTGGCTCACTGCAACCTCTGCCTCCTGGGTTCAAGCGATTCTCCTGCCTTAGCCTCCCGAATAGCTAGGATTACAGGCACATGCCGCCATGCCTGGCCGCCTGTCTGATTTTATTATTATTATTATATTTTTGCATTTTTAGTAGAGACGGGGTTTCACCGTGTTGGCCAGGCTGGTCTTGAACTCCTGGCCTGAAGTGATGCACTCGCCTTAGCCTCCCAAAATGCTGGGATTACAGGCATGAGCCACCGCGCCTGGCCCTGTGTTGGCTTTTTAAGGGGAGGTTTAGTGAGAGGCTCAAAGGAGAGAATAGTGGGTTCATTCATTCTTCAAATCTGTATTGAGCATCTACTGTGTGCTACAATTGTGCTGGGCAGGAGGACCTGGAGATAACCTGAACTCAGTCCCTGCCCTGGAGAAGCCTCAGTCCCATTTTTGTCTCTAAGAGTAGCCAAGACCCTTCCCACTTCTTTGGCATTAGTTCTGGGAGTGCCTAAGGGCAGGGGACCATCTTTATCCCACGGAACTGGGCACAGAAGAGCTTTGAGAGAGCATTTGTAGTATGGACCTGAACTGAGCTAAATGACAGTAAAGCACTGCATACCCTTCTCTGATTTCAGGCATGGGCCTGGGGAACCTCAGCCCTGACCCTTTCCCATGGGTCCAACCCCTCTGTATGCACCCCTTTACTACAAAGCTTCTCATATTCTGTCCCCGTCTATATCTCACTTTCTACTCTGAGGTTGAGCTCCTACTATGTGCCAGGCACAGTGTTGAGCAGACACTGCTGTATCCTTATAGAGATCAATGATCACACACACAGACACCCACCCATCCCCTGCAGCTTCCCCTACCCACCACACACCCTAAGAGGGTATTAAAGGTTTATTACTCACACAATGAGGCTCTTAAGAAAGAGCAGAAAAGCTCCCAAGCAGGTAAAAAATGGCTTGAGAGACTAGGAAAGGAGGACTGGATTTCAGTTTTTATAGATGGATTGACCACAAGGATATTATAGAGTTTTAAAAATAGACCTCAAGAATTGGGATGAGTTTTTTGTGGACCTCAATGGTTCCTGGTGCATGGGCTGGCCTTTGTGGTTTGAATTTACTGTTAGTGCCAAAGGAAGGAGCTCTCAGGTTTTATTATCTTGCCTAGATGTGGGACAAAAGGGGAAGGGGGAGTGGTGGGTGTGGCTAGTGTCAGATATCAAACATCAAACACTTGAGGTCAGGGGTTCGAGACCAGCCTGACCAACATGGTGAAACCCCATCTCTTCTAAAATTATTAGCTGGGTGTGGTAGTGCATGCCTGTAATCCCAGCTACTCAGGAGGATGAGGCAGGAGAATTGCTTGAACCTGGGAGGTGGAGGTTGCAGTGAGCTGAGATGGCCCCTTTGCACTCTAGCCTGGGTGACAGAGTGAGACTCTGTCTCAAAGAAAAAAATATATAAAAAAATAGAGCTGACTCCTTATTACATAGTCACACCCACCCCTGCCCCTCTTCCCTACTGTCCCTAAACCTTGGCAACCACTAATCTGTTCCCTGACTCAATGATTTTATCATTTTGAGAATATTATATAAGTGAAGTAATACAGTGTGTGGCCTTTTGAGATGTTTCTCCCCTACTCAGCATGATGTCCTTGAGGTTCATCCAAGTTGTTATATGTACCAATAGTTAGTTCTTTTTTATTGCAGAGTGGTATTTGGTGGTATGGATGTACCACAGTTTGTTTAATCGTTTGCCTATTGAAAGATATTGTGGTGGTTTCCAGTTTTTGGTTATTACAAATAAAGCTCCTATGCTTTTTCTGATGTTATTGTAACTATTCCAGCTTTCTTTTGATCGTTGTTTGCACGATACATCATTTTCTAATCTTTTCTTTCATCTTATCCATATCATTATATTTGAAGTAAGTTTCTTATAGATAGTATATAGTTAGATCATGTTTTTTAAAATCCACTCTGCCAATCTCTGTCTTTCAATTGACTTATTTAGATCATTTACATTTAATGTAATTAATACTTTAGGGCTTAAGTCTGTCATTATACTTTTTGCTGTTTGTTCCTTCTGTGTTTATTTCTGTTTTATTTTTCTTGCCTTCCTATGGTTTACTGGAGCATTTTTAAAATAATTCTATTTTGATTCATTTAGAGTATATTTGAGTGTATTTCTTTGTATATAGATCTTTTAAAGTGGTTTTAGCAGGTATTGCATTATACTTACGTAACTTATCACAGTCTACTGATGTTAATAGTTTACCAGTTTCAGTGAAATATAGAAACCTTACCTCCTTTAAAGTTCCCTTTCCTCCTCATTTAAAATATAATTGTCTTAATTGTTTTCTTTACATATTTTGAGAACCACATCTAACAATTTATTATTTTTGCTTCAATGATCAAATATAACTTAGACCAACCTGGGCAGCATGGCAAAACCCCACCTCTACAAAACAAAAACAAAAGACAAAAATTAGCTGAGCATGCTGGCATGCACCTGCAGTCCTAGCTACTTGGGAGGCTGAGCCAGGAGAATTGATTGAGCCTGGGAGGTTGAGGCTGCAGTGAGCCATGATCATGCCACTGCACTCTAGCCTGGATGACAGAACGAGACCCTGTCTCAAATATATATATATTTATCTTAGAAAACTCTACAAGGGAAGGTAAATCTATTATGTATATATCTCTCCATTTTTCTGCTCTTTCTGTTATTCTTCCTTTCTGAGGTTCCAAGATTCATTTCTTTACCATTAATATTTCAAGAACTTCTTTTAGCCATTCTTTTAGGGTAGGTCTGCTGATGACAAAGTCTCTCATTTTTCCTTTGTCTGATATTGTCTTGACTTTTCCTTGATTCCTGAAGGATAGTCTCACCAGATACAGAATTAAGGGTTGACAATTACTATTTTTTTTAATACTTGAAAAGTTTTGTGCTGCTTTCTTCTGGCCTCCATGATTTCTGATAAACCATTGTTGCCCAAGCTATTTCTTCCCCCCATAGATAAGGTGTTGTTTCTCTCACTGCTGTCAATATTTTTTCATTGTTTTTAGCTTATTGAAGTTTGGTTGTGATGTGTCTTAATGTGGGTTTCTTTAGGTTTATCCTCTTTGAGTTTTACTTGGCTTCTTTAATCTATAGGTTTATGTCTTTGGCCAAATTTGGGAAATTTTCAGTCATTATTTCTTTGAATACTTCTTCAGCTCCATCCTCTTTCTCCTTTTGTAGGATTCTGATTACTTGAATGTTGGATCTTCTGGTATAGTCCCATAGGTCCATGAGGCTCATTTGTTTTCAGTCTATCTTCTCTCTTCTTTGGATTAGGTAATTTCTATTGTTCTACCTTCAAATTCATTGCTTGTTTCTTCTTTATTCTCCATTTTGCTGCTGAGCCCATTCATTGTATTTTTAAAAAATTGTTTATTATATTTTTCAATTCTAAAATTTTCCATTTGGCTCTTCTTTATATCTTTTGTTTCCTGAGACTTTCTATTTTTTCACTTGTCTCAAATGTTTTGGAATTGCTTGTTCAATGATTTTTTTTTTAATGATGACTGCTTTAAAATTTGTCAGATAATTCCAACATCTGTGTCTTCTCAGTGTTGGCATCTGTTGATTGTTTTTTCTCATTCAAATTGAGATCTTCCTGGTTTTTGGTATGATGAATGATTTTCAGTTATATCTTGAACATTTTGGGTGTTATGAGATTCTACATCTTGTTTAAATCTGACACCATGCCCGTGGGGGAAGGGAAATGACTTCTCATTACTGCCAGGCAAATGAGAGCTCAGGTTCCCCGCTCATCCTCATTTGACACCCCAAATGAGAGACATGGCTTGCTACTGTTGGGAAGAGGTGGGATTTCAGGCTCTTCACTAGATCTCCATTGACACAGCCCCAGCTGGGAGGGAAGGGGTACCTCATGATTGCTCCCCACATAGTCTCCACTGATACTGGAGCTGGAGAAGGCTTCATGACTATGAGGAAGGTTATGATTTCCACTCAGTCTCCTCTAATACCACACCAGTAGGGAGGGTAGGGGGTGCCTCATTACCAATGGGCAGGGGTGGAAGTCCACAATTCTAATGTGGCCTCCACTGACTCCAGGATTGGGGTGAGAGAGGGGGTACTACTACCTGGCAGGTATGAAAGTCCTGGCTCTCCATTGAGTCTTCTCTGATACCACTTTGGTGGGGGTAGAGGCCTAGGCTCTCTACTTGGCCTTTGCTGAAGGGGTTTTAGGTTGGGCCACATTACTTCCCTTTGATGTTTGGCTAGGGTGGAGTGGTAATCATTTAGAAGTTTTCTATGTACTAGGTTCTTGCTCTTTCTGGTCCTTTGACTAGGGACAACAAGATTTCCTTGGGGCTTTTAAATCTGCTCCCAGTGGCATTTCCAGATTGCTGGCTTCTCCAGCATTCAGCCTGAGATCTATGAAATAATCAGAGAACTCAAGGAACTCACCACTGTGTCATCCCTTAGCTTCAGAAGTTCCTAGCCAGTCTTCCTTCTTCTCTCCACCTTTCAGAGTCTACTTTGCTTGTTTTAGATACAATGTCCAAGATTTTTAGCTGTACTTAGCATGAGGAATAGGGAGACATGCATCTACTCCATCTTGGTTCAGAACCAGATGGTTATGGAACGTCTCTTGGTTCAGAACCAAGAGAACTTGGTTCTCTACAGTGTTTAACAAAATAAGTAGAGCTAAGCCAAGAGAAACAAGGCTTGGTTAGAAAGTAAAAAGAGATAGATCAGTTGAATATAATTTGGCATCTGTAGGATGAAACAAGAAAGTAAATGTTTGATTGTTTGCAAGGTTTTGATTAGAGAAGCATACTATGGTTGGCATGCCCTTGGTATTAGGGTTATTACCATAAGAGCAAAGCAGCTCAGCACAGCACATCCACCGCTGCACATGGAATAATAGTAATAGGAGGCAATGAGTGTACAAGCTTAATTTAGGCCTGGAAGAAGACTTCCCTGTGATACCACCTAGAGATAGTATAAACAACCCTAAGGGAGATACCATCCCTGGGGTTGGGTTGGGGGAAATTCTAAGAGGGATGGGAGAAGGGGAAGGGGGTTTAGGCATTTGGATAAATGTATAAATCCAAACCTGTGTATATGAGAATGTGGAGGAATGCAGGCGTTTTCTTTTTACTGCTGATCCTGTTCAGGTTCCTGAAGCCACTAAGTGGTTGGTTTATCACTCCATGCCTAACAGAGTGCCTGGCACATAGTAAGTCCTCAATACATGTTTGTTGAAAGAAAGAAAGAATGAATGAGTGAATGAATGTTTTTCTGTGTTACATCACTTATTTCACTAGCTGTTATGGACTGGACATTCCCCAAGAATGGGGAAATGTTGGAGGCTTACCCTTCTGGGGTTCTGGATAAGTAACCTGTAGGGAACCCTCAAGACAGTGGTGCATACGTTTTCATGCTCAAAGGGGTAGGCTCACCAAGAAGAAAGAAGAGATCTGGGAGTCAACAGTTCATCCACTGACCCATCAACCCATCTATCCATCCACTCACCCACCCATCCCTACCCATTCATCTATCTACCCATCTGCCCATCCATCCAGGGGTGGGGGCAGATTGTGCAGGTTTTCATGCCCAGAGGGGCAGACCCATTGAGAGGGGAGAGGGAGAGATAGAGTCAACAGTTTATTTGTCTATCCATCCACCTACCTATCCAGTCATCCATCCATCCCATCCATCCATGTGAGGTTAGAGCCAGATTGTACGTGGTCATTGAATGGCAGCCTCAAGATGTTAGACTGAAAACTATCTTTCGTGACAGCTGCCAGGGAGAGGAGGTTAACTTATATGAACAGCCCAAGTGCCTGCTGGAAGCTCACTAGAACTTAAGCAGGCTGAATAAGTGGGGCCTGGGCACTTCAAGAAGTCACCTCTCAGTGCCATCATGCCAGTTTTGGAGAGAGCTGGGGAACAGATGGGACACAGCTACTCTCATGAGCAAAACACCTAGATTAGGTACTTATTAACCCAGTTTATGCTAACTCTAAGGTGCAGGGAGCAGATGGAATGATCTGAATGGGCTGTACTCAAAAGCCAAAAGTTCCCAAAGAAGAGAGTACCTAGTCAGGCTCTCTGGCATCCTTGTTGGGTTTAGGGCTGGGTAACAAAAACTTTTTGAATGACTACATAATGTGGGAGGCAGTGACTTTCAAATGCCTCTTCCTTTGCGTAGAGATTTCAAGTAGCTCTTCAGGGTTAAAATCAAGCCTGGGGCAGTGAGGGGGCCAGGCCTCCTGGAGAAGTCTCCACCTTTCATCTCAGCCTCGCCTCTGGCACCTCCCTCCCACTGCCATCCTTGATTTCTGTCTGTGCTCACAGCGTCTGGATCATAGGAGATGCTCAGTAATGTTTATAGAATGAATGAGTGGGTAAATATATCAACAAATATTTATTGAGTGCCTACTATGTGCCAGGCATTGTTCTAGAAGCTAAGGTACAACAGTAGATAGGACAAATGCTCTGTCCTCATGGATCTCGGTTTAGTGCTCAAAGTGTTTTAAAAACACAAAAGTGAGTCATACCTCTCATAGTTTATACACTGCTGCTGTTGTTTCCTGAGGTCTATGCCAAGTGAAGCTTGCAGGTGCCAATGGGTGATGGTGTCTTGGGGCCAAGACTTGGTGATTGTTTCTGGGAAGAAGGGGTGAAGAGAGGGCAGTACCCACTGAGGAGCCAATACTGGTCAGGATCCTAGCTACTGTATCCTGAGCCCTTGTATATGCCCGTGCACATACAGTGTATGTTTATCTCTCTGTTCTCCAATCACCCTATGAGGCAGGCTCTTTTTTTTTTTTTTTTTTTTTTTTTTTTTGAGACAGAGTCTCACTCTGATGCTAGGCTGGAGTGCAGTGGCGTGATCTTGGCTCATTGCAATCTCCACCTCCCAGGTTCAAGCCGTTCTCCTGCCTCAGCCTCTGGAGTAGCTGGGATTACAGGCGTGTGCCACCACACCTAGCCAATTTTTGTATTTTTAGTAGAGATGGGGTTTCACCATGTTGGCTAGGATGGTCTTGATCTCCTGACCTCATGATCCACCTGCCTCGGCCTCCCAAAGTGCTGGGATTACAGGTGTGAGCCACCACACCCAGCCGAGGCAGGCTCTTTTATTTGCTCTGCTTCCCCAAGGATGCGCTGAGGACCCAGGAGCTGATGTGACTCACCCAAGGCCATGAGGGGAGGAGGTAGTAGAGCTAGGATTTGAATCCTGGTCTGTTTGGTTCCAAAGCCTGGGTTCTTAACCACTTGGCTCAAGTGCCGGGGAGGGTGGAAAGGGGTGGCAGGAGGGGTCTGCAGGAGCTGGAGCCTGGCTTTAGGAGGGCTTTGGAGAGCTGTCCTGCATGCCACCTTGTTCCTAACACCTACTGTCCTTGAATGTGGAGCTGTCATTGATGACTTCAGGCAGACCTACCAAGCCAGGCTGCCTGTTTCCTGCCCACAGAGAAGGCCATTTGGCAATGCAAATCATGTCTGCCCACACCCGCTATGGATCCTGTAAGTTTACACAAATCACTGAATAAAAATTACATATTGCTGTAATTTACAAACACCACCCCGCCATTCGTAGCTGCAGAGGGAGATGGTGAGTGCTTGCAGAAAGCTGTCAACAGCTCTTGGGCCGGCTGTGCGCGCTGCAGCTCTGGTACGGTGGCAGTCACTCAGTGCTGCCGCGGCCTCCACTGCTTCGGCGGTAGGTGGGGACCTGGTTCTGTGGTAGCTTTGAGGGTTGACCCAATCCTGGCCATTTTTCTAAACATGCATTGATTCCTGCCCACATCTGGAGGCCACTCCAGAAACCAGAGATGATTGTCATAATAAAACAATAGGCACAGCTAACTCTCGCTGAGCACTTTCTATAGCTCCAAGGCATAAAGGAATTTACCCTGTGAATTCTCACAACCACAAGGAGTGGGTACTTCATCATCCTCATTTTTTGAAGGTGGAAACAGGCTCAGAGAAGTTAACTCGCTGAAAGTCAACCAGTAATTGGTAGAAACAATCCTAAACCTAACTGTCTGATTTAAACATCTGGTCTGGCTCTTAGGCAGGAGGCTGCCCTGCTCCAGCCCTGCTCCTCCTCCTGATATTCATCAAAGAGAGCTTATTCGAAGGAGCAGAGAGTGGCAGTGGACTCAGAGGATCTGGGAGAACAAACTCGGGCCAGCTTACTGTGTGTTCCAAGGCTTTTGAGCGTGTAACCATTTGTGTGTTCACGGGTGGGTCGTTATATGTGTTTGAGATTTTGTATATGACCACATGCCCAAAATTGTGTTGTGTGTGTCCTGCATATGTTTGCGTCCTCACGTGTGTGTTTGCAAGTGAGTGGCTGGGTGCCTTTGTGTTCTTGTATATGTGTGTGTTCATGCTAATGTACATTAAGTGAGTATCCAATTTTTATTGGGTACTTACTATGTTCCAGGGACAACTGTAAGTGCTTCACAAGTATCAACTAATTTCATCTTCACAACAATCCTATGAGGAAGTACTATTACTATCCTCATATCATAGATAAGGAAATCAAAGCACAGTGAGGGTGCCAAGTTGCTCAAGCATCCCTTCTGATTACAGAACACGTTTTCTTCCTTTACATCCACCCTCCCTCATTTTTGGGCCATATGGCTTAGGTATTGATTCCCCACCTCCCCCATACCTGGTTGGCCGTGGGACCCAGGTGTGGCGAATCAGAGTCACTGTGATTGGCGCAAGCAGCTGAAGCAAGTAGCTGCTCATGAGAAGCACCTGAGGGTAGTTCAGTGTCACTCAAAGCATGGTCTGCAGATAGCATCGAATTCCTAGGTCCCACCCCTGAGCTCCAGAATCAGAAGCTTCGGAGCTGGGACCCAGGACTCTGTGCTTTCACAAGCCCTCCATGTGACCCTTGTGTACTTGAGAGCCTGGACCATGAAGCCACACCATCTGGGTTGGGTTGGAATTCTAGCTGCACCACTCATTAGCTATGGACAAGTTATATAAGCTTTCTGTGCTTCAATCTCCTCATCCATGAAATGTAAATAGCAGTAGTCCTGACCTTTTTAAGGATTAAGTGGGTTAAGACATACATGTTCCTAGAGAAGTCCCTGGCACGTGACTTGTTGCAGGAGGGCGCACTGTCACTGTCACTCTGCAGGGATGAGCATGAGACCCAACCCTGCCCAATGAGCAATCCTAGGACTTTTCCTGGTACCATTAGGAACAAAGTGGCTCCTTCTACTGGGGTAGGGTATAAGCCTGGAGCTGCTGGTGACCGCATGCCTCCTCAGGGGGAAAGCTCGCCTGAGAATAAAATGACCAAGAAGGAAGTCAAGAGGCAAGGGGTCCCTGAGGACATTTTTGGAGCTCCTGGATCCATGGCTGGACTTGTCAATTTCATGAGCAAATTCTTTTCCCTTTGGCTTCAGCCACTCTGAGTTGGGCTCCTGGCAGTTGCACATGGACAGCTCCTGCCGGGTACCTCATCTGACTTAAACAAAGGAGTGACTGCAAGTGAGTCCAAGGCCATCAGTGAGTTGAAGCAGTGCTGGGATTCCTAATCTCCAGTCTGTCACCTCTTATTGGCTGCCTTTTCCCGACAAGGCAACCCCAAACCATATCTCCCAGGCCTCGACAGTCGGTTCTCTGGGGCGGGCATCTGTAGGCTGACCCTGCACATTGAAGGTACCATTTCGTTTCTTTGTCAGCGTCACTGTTTGCTTGGGAGGGGTGGCAGAGCTTCCTCCTGGAGTCCAATTTCATCATGATCGGAGGCACCTTAGTCATGTAGGGGCTTTTTGCTGAGGCTCCTTGGCCTTTAGAGTGTCAAAAAAGACAGTCCTCTGCCAGGCTCTATCACGGTGATGCCAAGGCACCAAGCCTGGACATGGGCTGAGGTTGGAGGCTTCGTGGGCAGTGATTCTGTCCGCCTCCTTTCCTGATTTGTGTGTCGTGTGGGGCAGGGTCAGAGGCCATTTTCTGCCTTAGTTTCCCCAATTTGCAGGCCTCTGGCTTCCTGCTTCAGTTGCAGCCTGACCAGGCCCTCTCTGCCTTCTGCCCTCATCCCCCTTGGTCTTGGTCTGCCCTACCTCTTGCCCAGTTTCCCATGGCTCTCTAGACCCCTCCCTCCACTCCCATCATCCCCGTATTGCCCCATTTCAAGTTCCCACCTTCTCCCCGTCTCCCAAGTTCCCAGCCTCCTTGAATTTCCTCCATCTGACCTCTCTCCATCTCTCCCAGCCCCTGCAGCCCCCCACTCATGTCAGTGTCCCTGTAACTCCTGTTCTTCTCTCTCCAGGGTTCTCTGAGTTTCTCTATTCTCTCTGCCTCTCCCTTCCTCCTCCCCCTCAGCCCTGCCTCGGGCAGCCACCCCACACATGTCTGCCCCTCTTCCCCTCCTCCCCCCATCTCCTCCAGGTGGCCCGCTGCCAGTCTGGTACCAGCCGGGTTGCCATGGGAACCACTGAGCGGCTTAGGAAGCTGCCATAGATCCAATCATGGGCTGTGAGGTTTCAAGGAACAGCTCTTTTTGGTGCTGACAGCCGATTAGGCTGATGCTGGGAGGTGGGGGGCAGGGGGAACAGGAGCCAGGGAAGATGTCAGCCAAGGCAGGGCTGGCCCTTGAGGCACCTGGGAGCAGGAGGCCAGATCTGCCCAGCCCATGCTGTCTGTGCCTTACTAGCACTCTCAGACCCTCTGGAATTTTCCTGAAGAGATCATTGATGCTACATGCATTCTCTCCTTGCTTCCCTTTCACTCACATTCATTCATTGGTTTGCTGATTCATTCATTCACTCACAAAACCCTTCCTATTGGTCATGTACCTCCGAGCCTTTCCAGTGCAGTGGGAGAGACAAACCCTTACACAAACTCCTGCCCCCAGTAGGCCCAGTGTTGTGACTGGGGGTATCCAGGGCTGTGGGATCACCAAGGAAGGCAGGAGGCCCATGGTACTTGGAGAGAGTGAGGGGGCCTGAGGGTGCGCTTCACAGGACATTTAGATCTGCATCTCCAGGAGGGAGGAACAGGAGTTCGTCAGCCAAGAAGGGGAAGGCTTTCCCCGACCTGCAAGTTCCACCTCTGAAGGTGACCACGGAATCTGTTTTTGAGTGTGCATCCCAGGCGATTCAGACACAGACCAAAGAGTGAGGTCATGCAAAGTCACTACTGATGGAGACATTTCTGTGGGGGCTGCAGAGTGGCCCCCAGAGCACACCCTTTTACAGCTGTGCTGAGGATGGCCTGGGGAGTAAGCCCACTTCAGGAAAAATAGCCCAAAGTTCACAGCAGCCAAGTCCCCTGGGGTTGATGGTCTGTGTTTCTGGAGGGCAGAAGGTGGGGGATTCTCTGGGGGAGTTGTTCCCACTTGCTTACACCTGCACCCCATTTTAGTTGTGTAGCCAGCAGGGCTGCGTCAGAGCTTTGCGGGCCAGGAGGGCCTGCCAGCTTGGTTTAGTCTTAGATGGCTCCCCTGATACCAGGCTTTTGGTTTTTCTCATCTAAACCAGAGACTGTGTTTGCACATAATTTGCATACATTTGCATATGGTGTCGGCGGGGCCCAGCATAACATGCAGAAAACACATTTTTCTCGCCAGGGTGCTTTGCAGCCTGGATTAGAGCCCAGGTGCGCAGAGACCAGGAGCTATAAAACTCTTCCCTCCTTTGGCCCTTGATGCTCCTCCAACTCACTCCTTCCTGCACCCCTCCCCACTGTGGAACTTAGACCCCAAGTCAGCAGGTCTGGGAAAGCCATTCCAGTAAGGAAGCCTGGATTGCTCTGGGTCTAGTTCAATTATACTTGCTGTGTGACATGGGAAGGTCACTTTTAGTGTCTCCGTCTGCCTTTGTATGAGTCTAGGTTTTACTGAAGATCGGGGGAGGAGGGTACAGAAGCATCACTTCATTCATTCCTTCCCTCCTTTATTCATTCATCTGATTCTATTCATTGTGTGCTTACAATGTACCAGGCCCTTGGTTCTAGAAGGAGTGAAACTAGCCATGTTCCCTGCCCTCTGGGGGTTTCAGGGAGACTGGCTTTAATCAAATGACCACATCAATCAATGTACAATTACGGTCTAGATAAGTGCTACACAGAGACATATGTGGTGCTACATGGAAGCTCAGAATTGGTCTGGAAGGTCATGGATGACTTCCTAGAGAAAGCGTCCTTCCACTGAGATGTTATATAGACAAATAGGGCCAAGAAGAGCTTTCCACTTAGAAGGAACAGTATGTGCAACGGCCCTGGGGTGGGAAGGAGCAGGATGAGTGTGCAGAGGGAGAGGAAGGCAGTGTGACTGAGTGGAGAAGGGTGTGACGTGAGAATACGCAGGAAGGTGGGGCCGACTCCTCAGGACTTTTCTGGCCCGTTACGGAAGATTGTCTTTAAGACAGTGGTGCCTCTATTCTGAGAGCAGTGGGAAACACAAGGCGAGGAAGTGACATTAACAGCGTGTGGAGAAGGGGTGGAGCAGAAATGAGAACGCCAATCGGGAGGCTGTGGGGGTTGTCCAGGTGACACAAGGCAAGGGCTTGAGTTAGGGTCACGAAAGTGACCTGAGATCATCAGGCAGTGACATAAGCAAGGCTTAGTGGTAGATGGAGGACAGGGGTGTGAGGAGGTGTTGACAATGACCGCTAGACTTCTGGACGGGAAGATGAGCCATTGACTGAAGTGGTGAACGTGGGGCTGGGGGAATCCAGGTTTGGGGGTGAAGAAAGGAATTGAATATGGTTAAATTTGCATTTCCATTCAAGCATCCTAGTGGTAGTTGGGCAGAAGGGAAGAGGCAGATAGGGGTGTTGTGTCCTTCCACCCCCAGTCCCCCAGCCACAGGAAGGGGGGCTCCCTGCATCCTGCACCTTACAGAAGCACCTGGCCTCATCTGTCTATAGATTAGTGTTTTAGACTTATTTCTAACCTAAGAGTAAGCAGAACATTGGGGAATGCAAAGAGCACCTTCCTTTACTATGTGTATTAAACTTGCATCCTCCCTATATGGGAATTGTATTTTCTGAATTCCAAGACAGCACCCACAAAGGATTCTCAGGCTTGTTCCAGGAGTAATGTGCATTATGATTTGCATGCTGTATAGGAACTGGGAAAACCAGAAGGGAAGGCAGGAGAAAGGAAAAAGGGACCTATTTTTAATGAACATCTACTGGATGCCAGACCTTAGGTGAGCCTTTTCTCTTTTACTAGCATTACACTGTTTAACTCTCACAAAACTAAGGTATGTATTATTGAGCCCGTTTTACAGATGAGAACACTGAGGCTCAGAGAGGTTAGATACATTGTCCCAATTGCACAGGTAGTGTGGGTCGGGGGTGGAATTTTAACCCAGGCATGCCTATGTCTAAAGCTCATGTTCTTTTCACCTCACCAGTCCTATCTGAAAGTGGAGTGCTAATCTGGGGCCCAGGAAGGATTTGGCTTTCTTCAGGGCCAGGGAGCTGGAGGGCAGAGAGTCTACTTGGTTTATGCACTGCCGGTCTAGTGGAAGCTCAGAGCTGAGCTTTCTCAGTACAGTTGTCTGCACCTGGCTCCCACTCCTAATTTAGCAGCTTCAATACCTCGTTCACCTTTCAGCTGCAGCCACTTTGGTCTTCTCACTGTCCCGTGGGAGTGCCAAAGGCTTTCTCACCTCTACACCACTGCTTCTGCTGCTGCCCCTCTTAGAAAGTCTTGTTCTGCTCAAGCCTTGCCCACCCTCCACATCCCAGCCTCCAGCACACCCCTTCTTGTCCTTTGTGACCAGCTCAGGGGTCTCCTCTGTGAACCCTCCCCCCTGATTCTCTGGGCAGAGTTGAACCCTCCCTCTCATGAACCAGCAGGGTGCCTAAGAGTCTCCCAGGGCCGGGTTCAAATCCTGACTCTTCCACTTAGGAGCTCAGTGATCTGCAGCAAATTACTTAACCTCTCTGGGTCTCAGTTTGCTGCTCTGTAAAGTGGCTATCATAATGGCACCAACTTTACAGGCTAACATAATGTGTTATGAGACTAACATAATGAGATGAGTGAGACGATGCCTGGCAGACTGTGAGCCCTGGATGGGTGATGGACCCAGGTGGCATGCAGCCCACTGTTAGGTGCATATTTATTTACTCATTTGTCTTCCCCTCCAGGCTGGGAGCTCCCTGAGGACGGAGGCTTTCTTTTATTTCAGTATTCCCAGTGCGTACCACAGGGCTGATACAGACTAGGTATTTAGTGTGCATTTATTGAATGAATGGACAGGTGCCAGAGTTTTTATTCTATATATTTTGTCTTCCCTTCCCTGCGTTTAGCTTTTCAGAGGTTACAGCTGGGTTTCATGCTTAGCCGTGCCCTTCACAGAAGCAGACCTGCACACAGTAGGTTCCCAATAAAGGTTTGTGGTTTATTTCTGCAGGCAATCCCTTCCCAAACAAACAGCATCCAGCCTCTGATCCACACGAGCATCCGCCGCCCTCCTGGGTGTAATGGATACATATTTATTATTGCCCACGTGCCTCTCCTCCCCTGCCGAGCACCGTATTAAATGGCTGTTCCTCAGCTCCAGTGCACAAATATTCCTTTCAAAATTATTACATTCACCTTTTGTTGGCAGAACATGCCATATGAAACATCCCAGCCTCTTATTGAGTGTGGGTGTCTGCTTTCTGCTTCCGCCTCAACAGCAGTACTGAGGCCAGAAGGCCTTGTCAGGGTTCCAAGTGTCTGCGTGGCCAACTATTGGCTGGACCCAAGGAGCCAGTGTGGGACCTGATTCTGGGTTAACCTGAGCTGACCCAGTCAAGGCTATCAACATCACATCACTGTCTTCATCACTGACACCATTACCAGCATTACCACCATCACATGGCCATAGCCACCATCACCACTACCACTGTCATCACCACCACCACTATCGTCACCACCATCACCACAATCATTACCACCATCACTATTACTACCAACTTCGCTGCCATGATTACCACTGCCATCTGCATAGCCACCATCATTATCTCCATGTTCAACATTACCACATCATCATAACCATCATTTTCACCACACCACATTCATTACAATCACAATTAATACTATTAATTACTAACATTTATTGAGAGCTTTATCTATGATAGATGTAGAACTAAGCCCCTTATGTGTGTGACTTTACTAATCCTTCAAATGACCCTAGAGGCAGGTACATTTTAAATTCTTGTTTTACAGATGAGAAAACTGAAGCTCAGAGAGGTTAAGAAACTTGCTCAACATCACACAGCAAGTGGTTTTTGTTTCTTTTTTTAACTCAAGTCAGCAGACATTTAATGAGTGTTCATTAGCACATAGGATACGGTACCAGGGACACAAAAATGAGTGTATTTCCTGACCACAGGGATCTTTACAGCTTTCTCAAGGAGATCAGACATATAATTAATACAACACAGCCTACAGGTGTGTCTTCGAGAGATAAGGTAAACTACCCTGAGGGCCATGGGAGAGATCACTTCTGGTTAAGACCTCGATCTAGAGGCATTCCTATAATACAAACATTTTGATAAAATCTGTCCTAAGCTTTTCGGTCATGTAAGAGCCTTCTTGGCCAGGTGTGGTGGCTCACACCTGTAATCCCAGCACTTTGGGAGGCCGAGGCTGGTGGATCACCAGAGGTCAGGAGTTTGAGACCAGCCTGGCCAACGTAGCGAAACCCCGTCTCTACTAAAAATACAAAAATTAGCCAGATGTGGTGGTGCGCACCTGTAATCCCAGCTACTCGGGAGGCTGAGGCAGGAGAATCACTTGAACCCGGGAGGCAGAGGTTGCAGTGAGCCGAGAGTGCGCCACCGCACTCCAGCCTGGGCAACAGAGCAAGACTCCATCTCAAAAAAAAAAAAAAAAAAAAGCCTTCTTGTCTTTCTGACTGACTCAAAGGAAGACTTGGCTGTCTCTCTAACTCCTCCTGCCTATGCCCTAGGCCAATTTTTCTTGCTGTGCCAGGTTTGCCAAGACCGCCATCTTGGTTTCCAGCTGGAAGGAAGTTTAGCAGCCCTTTTACAGATGGAGAAAACTGAGGCTCAGAGAAGGGAAGAAACTTATTGAAGGGAGAGAGTAAGCTCTTCTTTTTCAGTTCCCTGACATTGCAGTCATTCTGTGAGGGCTGTTTGGACTCTGAGTTTATCAAGAATGAAAGGGGAAGTGCCTGTATTAGGACCTTCTTTCCTCATCAGTTGGTTTATGTGGTATATGGTGGTTGGGGGCCTGGGGGTCTCTGGCCCCCTGTTGCTTCTTCTCTTTTGGTCTCTTCCAAGGGGACCTCAGGACAGCTGGGTGGGCCTGGGGGAGGGGGCTGAGAGCTCTTGTTCATCTTCAGGAGTTCATATTCCCCATGGCTGGCCAGGGAATCCTTTCCTCACCGAGGGATCACATGGCATGGCCTCCAGAGCCCCATCTGAACACCGCGTGGACAGCACTTCAGTCCGCGTGTTCTCTTGGAGTAGCAGACTGGCCCTTTTCCCGAGAGGCTGGAGCAGGCAAGAGCGAGAGTGGAAGGATTTTGAGCTGTTTCCTGAGCGGTGAATGCAACCCCACCTTTTGGCATTCTCTCAAGGACTGCAGAAAAGCCTTCAGCTGGTCTTTTGATGATCTCTGGGTATGAGATGAATGTTTCTGTGAATGTGACTCATGCTGAGGTTGACTTCAAGGAGGAGGCGAAATGGCCAGGCTCTAAGAGGGTTACACTTGATTCCTTCATTTATTTGCTCTTTCAACAAATAGTTTTTGGCCTCCCACGAAGTGTCAGGCATTGTGCTGGGAAGCGGGGTGGCAGTGGTGAGGACAGAGTAGATGTGGTTTCTGCCCTTATGGGGAAGAAGGGAAGACAGATGTGACTCCAGTAGTTACACGAATGGAAACAATTACACAGAGTTTTAAGCTCTACCCCCAAAGAAGCAAGGGCTGCTGAGAGAATGTGGAACAGGGACTGGCCAGTGGGTTTTGGGCATCCCAGTGATAACACTTACAGAGTGCTAATGGTGCTGGGTGGGCTGGGCTGCAGCTGCAGCACTGGTTGTTAACTTTGTTAGCTGGCTGTAACCTGTGTGGTATCAGTTCTTCAATATTCTGTTATCCGCAGGGCCACGCGCTGTTCCTAGTGCTTCACTCATACATATTTACTCATTTCCTCCTTACCCCTATGAGATAAGAACTCTTGTTATTTTACAGATTGGGAAACGGAGGCACCGAAAGATTGAGTGCATTTTCCAATAATATACAGCTAATAAGCAGCAGGGTGAGGGTTCGAACGCAGGCCCTCTGGCTTCAGAATCTAGCCTTTCTCCATTCCACTCCTAATGCTTCTGGTGGATGAGTGAGTTTAATGAGGTAAAGATGGGGCAGCTGTGGGGTTGGGGTGGGTTTCAAGCACAGAGCTGTGTGGAAAATGCCTGGTAGTAGGAAGGGCACAGGACACTCAAGGAAGCAGGTGAGGCTGGTGCAGCTGGCATTAGGGGCCAAGGGGCTGGGGGGTGGGGAAAGAGGGCAGGTGGCAGGCAGGGGAAATGGACAGAGCAGGATTACATGGAGCCTGGGAGCATTATGGTTCCGGCCAGGATCCCAGCAGAGTGAGCTCCACAGGGGTGGGCACTGTGTCTCTTTTCTTCATTCATGTATACCCAGCTCTGAGCACACTGCCTGGCACATAGGAGATGCCCAATAGTGATCTGGTGAAGGACAAAGTAGGGAGCCAACTCCCTTCTCTCCAGCCCTCACCCAGCTTTGGCTTCCCCAGTTCCCACTGTCTATTAAAATTCTAGTTGCTGGGGCTCCAGCCCTGGAAAATGCAGTTTAGTAATTCTTGGTGGGCCTGGGGATCTGTATTTTCAATAAGCTCCCAAGATGATTCTGACTTTGCCTGGTTGCCCCTGGACACTCCTGGAAGCTGGTGGTTCTGCTTGTAAGGGGGCAGCATCGGGGTGGGGTGCCGCCCTGCAGACACTTGCTGGGGGACACACCTTGAGCTCACTGCCCCCCATCTCAATGTTTGTCTACAGCACTGTGGAAAGAAACTCTCTTGGTGGACTTTCCAGTGCTGGTTCCCTGGCAGCCCTCTCCTCTTCTGGGGTTGTGGACGTCAGCTCCCGGGCTGACCCTGGCCACCCGAAAACCTGGACTGGATCATCGTTGATATGGTCGCTATGGCTATGTTCCCACTCAAATCTCATCTTGAATTGTAGCTCCCATAATTCTCACATGTTGTGGGAGGGACCTGGTGGGAGATAATTGAATTCTGGGGGCAGTTTCCCCTATACCATTCTTATGGTAGTGAATAAGTCTCAAGAGATCTGATGGTCTTATAAGAGGAAGCCCCTTTTGCTTGTCTCTCATTTCTCTCCTGCCTGCCACCATGTAAGATGTGCCTTTTGCCTTCCACGGTGATTGTGAGGCCTCTCAAGCCACGTGGAACTGTGAGTCCATTAAACCTCTTTTTCTTTATAAATTACCCAGTCTTGGGTAGTCTTTATCTGCAGCGTGAAAACAGACTAATACAATAGTGGACCCTGAGTTTTAGGCATTCTAGAAATCTGTTGGGAACCGAGAGAGAGAGAAATCAATCATTCAGTCAACCATCCAACAAACGAATTAGTCAATCTAGAGAAGAGAGAGGGAAGAGGAGTGGGGTGGAGACAAGGAAGAAGGTAAAATAGAAGAGATGGAGGAGAGATTGAGAATGGAGACGAGGAGTGAGAAGAGAAAGAGGGAGAGAACAGATAGCGAGAGACAGAGAGAGGAGAGACTGCTGAACGTGGGGATGCGGTGGTTCTTGGGGGACAGCCCTGAATAACAGCATTGTAGGCATTTGACAGAAAGGGCCTAGTTGTCCCAGCTATTCTTGGAGAGGGCCTGAGGGGTCACACATGAGCACAGCTTACAGGTGGTGCAGGTGTTGAGAGAGGTGGTCATTCTCCTGATAGCCATCATCTTATAGTTTGTTGTTGTTGTTTAAGATGGAGTCTCAATATGCTGCCCAGGCTGGAGTGTGGTGGTGCCAACATAGCTCATTGCAGCCTTGAACACCCAGGCTCAAGTGATCCTCCTATCTCAGCCTCCCAAGTAGCTGGGACTACAGGTGAGCACCAACCACACTTGGCTAATTTTTGTATTTTTTTGTAGAGACAGGCTTCTGCTGTGTTGCCCAGGCTGGTCTCAAACTCCTGGCCTCAAGCGATCCTCCTGCCTCAGCCTCCTAAAGTGTTGAGATGACAGGTGTGAGCCACCACACCCAGCCATCTTACAGTTTTGAAGCCGGTGAAACTGGCAGGGCTGGAGGTGGCTGGGAAAGGCAGTTGTGCCAGGCCTAGTGGAGGCTGGGGCTCCACTTATCTCATTCAGAACTGAAGACCTGAGCTGTGATGGCGCAGGGGCCCTCGGCATCTGGGCCATTAGCAGAGGGACTGGCAGTTGCACAGGCCAGAAAGGAGCCCACCTGTAGGAAAAAGATAAGTCTGATAGGCCAGACTCAGTTTCCCTAGCTAGAAAATGAGGGCATGGGACCAGGAGATCATACCCACAGCTACTAACATTAACCTCCTGCTATGTGTCACACTCCTTTCTTGGGCCTTCCGGGAACCCGTCCTGAGCTGGCCGGACTCACCATTCCAACCTCAGCCCCTGCCACTCTCCCCACACCATCCTGCCATCTTTCAACCTCACCAGGCTCATGTACGCCAAGCCTGTTCCTGCCTCAGGGCCTTTGTACGTGCTGTTCCCTCTGCAGAATGTCCTCCCGTGGTCTTTGCCTGACTGGCTCCTTGCTATCACCTCTTCAGAGAAGCCCTCCATCATCACCCTGCCTCAAGTAGCTTCCCAGCCACTTGCCTTTACAGTACTCAGTTTTATTCTTTGTCACTCCATTCCCCTTCCGGCATAGGTGCTCCATTAAATCAGGAACCTTGTTGCTTCTGGTATCTGGGGTGTCCCACCGCTACCCCCATGTGAGTGCCTGGCACATATAGATACTTGATACCTGCTTGCTGAATAAATGAATAAGTGCAACTTGGTAAGTTGGTGCTTAATTTGTGTTATTTCAAGTAGATGTCATAAATATTTGCTTTCATTAGGTATTGAGGGAGATGTTATCATCAGGGTCCTACACACAAGGAAACTGAGGTTCCCAGAGGTGAGGTCACACAGCTGGGACCTGGACTCAAGGCTCTGCCTCCAAAGCCCTCTCCCCCAGGGTGCCCCCACCTTTTGTCGAGCAAAGAGGAGACACCAGCCACGAGGAGCTGAGGGTAATCTTTGTGCTTTAGAGATGAGGAGGTGATGGCTGCGGGCGAAGTCACTCAGCACTGCCACCCTCAGGCCTGTGGTGGTAATGCCTCTAGGCTCCTTCCTGGGGCACGCTGCCTGCAACTCTGTGATTCTCAGAGACCCAGGGCAGGGCTGGGAGCAAGTGGCTGCTGTGTGGTTCACGCACCACCTCCAGCAGTTGGCTCCTAGAGGTGCCCAGTCAGAACAATACACAGGGATTTCGGGAGAGAGTGCTGTCCTTCAAATCATTCAGGCTCATTTCCCAGACAGGCCAAGCACAATGCCACAGATTTCCCCAGTGGCATTACCCACAGGACAGGTGCCCCTTGCCTCTGTGGGTAGCAGAGAAGTGCCTCATGTGTCCGAAGACTGCAGAAGTCTGCCTCACTGGTCACCTGTCTGTCGGCAGTGGTCTACACCTCTTCAAACCCCTGAGCTGAGGTTTATCGTGGTCAAGGGGCAAGATCATGGCTATTAGAGCCACCTTCGTCTAGATTCAAGTCCCAGCTATGCAACTTACTGGCTGGGTGATGTTAGGCAAGTTACATTACTCTCCAAGCCTCAGTTTCCCTATCTGTAAAAGGGAGATGCTTGTCAAAGTGCTTGGTCCAGAGTTAAGTCAACAAGCGGCATATCAGCCCCTTGCCATCTGGCTACATTTTCACCTCTGGCCACTCCTGCCCAGTTCCTCTGCCATGCTTTGCACACACTGTTCTCTGCCTGGACGCTCACCCTGCCTTGCTTGCTGGGCCAAGGTCTCTTCCTTCTACATGGCAGGCACCGCCTCCAGGAAGCCTTCCCAGACACCCTCAGGGCATTGGTCTATCCTGGGTTCTCTGAGCCTCCATACTGTTAGAGTGGTGAGGTCTGTAACGGTCAGTGTGTGTGGACCAGGGTTGTGTCATTTTTGTCCCAATGACTCCAGCACAGGACTCAGCAGGAGTAATATCAGTTGAATACATAGATAAAAGAAGCACTAGAAAATAGAAATGAATTAATGAGTAGAGAAAGGAAAGAAGAAAGCATGGAGGAAGGAAAAAAACAAAATAAAGGAAAAAGAGAAGAAAGCAAGGGAGGGAGAGAAAACAGAAGATGAAAAGAAATGAGAGAGAAAAGGCAGAGAAGGAAGTGGGTCCTCCTAGGGTCCCTCCCGCCATGCTGATGTCTCAAGTCCCAGCTATGAAACTTACTTACCCCCCGTCCTGCCTGCTTCTGTCTGCCTGTCACTCCGCAGAGGTCCTCAGTTGCCTCCGGCTCCCGCAAAATATTCTTTGTTCTCTTGCCTGCTCTGCTCCGCCTCTCCCTGCTTGTTAGGTGCCAAAATGGTGGAATGATCAGAGGTAAAGCATGTCTGTCACCAGGCATGGTGGGGCTGATTCATCGAAAGATGCTCCTGTCCCCCAGGCTCTGCTGCAGAGGCTGACTCAGCCCTGGCTGCCTCTCTCCTAAGGTCACAGCGGTGTCTTCCCCAGAGGGTCCAGAAAATGTAGCACAGGCTTCGAAAAGGGCACAGCCCCTGGAGCTAGAGAATTTCTTTTTGAGCAATTGGGATCAGAGAACCCTTGGCTTGAATGTGGTGGGGCAGACCCTAAGGATGCTGGAAGGGGCTGGGAGGTGGTTCAGCCTGTGCCGGAGCTAGGGGAGCCCCAGTTCCACTTGGCATTCTGGAACAACCTCGTGGGCAATTCCTTGAGCACGATCCAGGAAGGCTGGTATCTGGGGATGGGCTTGGGCTGGTAGGGGAGCGGGCAGGCTTTCCAGATGGGACTGGAGACAGGGCTGAGAGAGCACAGGAGAGGCAACACTCTGCAGGCTGGGAGGCAGAGGCCAAGATTCAGAAAGGCTGCCAGAGCCGAGCCAGCTCCAGTCTGAGATGACAGCCACTAAGAACCCAGACAATAGCCACTTTTTCTGGGCGCCTACTATGTGCCAGGTCTCTACCATGTACTCGGGGCTCCAGGGGCCTTGTTTCATTCCATCCTCACAGCAGCCTTCTGGCATAGGTGTCATTGTCATCTCCATGTGAGGAAACCACAGCTTGGAGAGGTCAGAAGTCCTCAAGCCCATGGCTGTAGAATGTCAGAGTCCTGATCTGAACCAAGAACAGCCAAGCCCTGTTGCCTTCCTGGCAAGGCCTACCCTTTAGAAATGGCTTACTAATTTTTCTAGAATATAATAATACATGCTAGCTGTAGAAATGTAGGGAAGTAGAGTTCAAAGAAGAAAACAGAATTTACCCCAAACCCAGCATTTTTTCCCCTATGCCCTTAAAAAAACCACAGCAGGCACCATGTGGCTTCTTGTTATTCCTACTTAACATTAAAGCAGAAGCATTGTCCTTGGAGAATACAACTTTTGGCAAGTATAATTTTTACTGGCTGTCATAGTATTCTGGTTGGGGATACGTGCCCTAATTTCCTTAGCCATTCCCCTATACCTGGACATTTGGATGGACTCCAAAGTTTCACTGTTATAAGCAAGACTGCTATGTGTTTCTTTGTGTTCAAGCTTTTTCTGTTTCAGGCCTGAGCATTCAGGAGATTTCTGGAAGGGGAATGGTTGGGTCAAAGGGAGGGCTGCTTTGGGGAGTGGGTCGAGTGGAAGAGGACCAAGGAATCCTGGCAGTCACCCCCAAGAAGGGTACTTTTTTTCTAAGACAGACCAGCTCATTGAGGGAGGCTGCCTTCCTTTGGACTAACTGGCCTAAGTTACACCGACATCAGAACTTTTAATGATACCTTTTTGACCTTCTGACTGTTTCTTTACCCTCTTATAAGCACTGTGGGTGTGTGTTGAGGGGCCCTTCATACATTCACCTTGCTACTGGGTTCCTGAAGGCATCCGCAGATTCAGAGAGCTTGGGGATAATCTTATTCAACCCTCCTCATATGCACACAGCTGTACCATTTGACAGGTGCAGTGACTGAGTCCCAGTAAGGACAGGTAACTTGTTCAATCTGCCTGAGAGTAACTTTGCTAAGAGCAGATGGAGGCTCCCTGGCTTCATGGCTCCCTCCACTGTGTTAGATGCCTTGCATTTTGTTTTGATTCCAGGTCATATAATTCTATCCCCAAGCATAATGAAGAACAATTGCTGGTATCATGGTTGCCATGGCAACACTGGTTCCAAATTTCCTGCTAGAGGTGCTAGGAGTGAGGGCTTGGGCTATGAGGGTTCTGAGGCTGGGATGGGGGTGCTGACCGGAATGGGGCTGGAGTCCACTAAGCTCATGCCAGTGCGATGACATCACCCTGATGCCCTCAAGGAAGACCCAAGGCTGGGCCCAGAGCATGGACTGTCACCAACAATGCTCCAATTTGGTGCTGATGTTCCCTGTGCAAAGAGAAGCAGAATCCATGTTTCACTTTTTTTTTTTTTTTTTTAAAGACTGGATGATGAGAGGCACAGCTGAGTCCGGAGCAGACTGAGCCACCTAAGAGGGGAGGAACCGCTGCAGAGAAACCGTGTTAAGCCTTTTTGAAGTTCCAGAGGGAGAACAAGAGAGCGGAGGCTCCTGGTGGCTGGTGACAGGTGCTGATTTGTTCTGGGGAAAGAGCACAGAAAAGTGCCTGGAGAGGAGGCGGGGCCAAAATGGGATGTAGGCGATGGGAAGGACCCTCAAGACACAGTCCTGGGCTCCCAGGCAGGACCAACCCCCAAACCTGTCCCCCCAGGAGCCTGCAGAGCCACTGCCCTGACAGGGGACACCTCACTTCCTCTCCTTGCAGCTGCTCTTGGCTGGGAGAGCAGAGAACAGGGGACAGGAGAGAAGCCCCGAGAGTACTGAAGCTGAGGCTGGGGCGGTCTTCACTTCCCTCTTTCCTCGGCCCTTTTCCTGTTCTCTTGTCTTGTCTCTCTTTCTCTACTTTCCTTCTCCCTAGCCCAGTCTCTCACCGCTCTTCAGCCTCTGGGCCTTTCCTTCTTCCTCTCTTGCCCTCATTCTTCCTTCTCTGTCCCTCTTGTCTTCTCTTTTACCTCTTCTCTTCTTCCCTCCTTCCTACAGCTATGCCCTCTTCCCTCCTTTCTCTTGTCCCCAACCAGGGCATTAGAAATGCATTCCAGTTACACTGATCTGATCACTGCATATTGTATGCATGCATCAAAATATCACATGTACCCCAGAAATATGTAAATTACTGCATATCAATAAAAAGAAATGTAGCTTCTTTGCCTCACATACAGAAAAGCCAATCTGAAGTATAAATAAATAAACAAACAAATAAATAAAACGAACCACACTGGCCCCCCCGCCGCCTCCCAGCCATCATCTGGGCCTGCCACTATTTGCTCAGGGTATCTAAACATCAGCCAAAATCAAAGAAAAAGTTTTAAAATCTATTGTTAAAAATTTCCAAGGCTAAGTTGACATGCATGTACAATAGCATTTCCCAAACTGTGACTTAATAAACTCCAAGCCTTCAAGTTGGGAGAGGTGGTTCCATGATACCGTTAAAAGCACAGACTGAAGCCCATCTGCCTGGGTTTAAATCCTTGCTCTGCAGCATGATAGTTATGTGACCTTGGGCAAGGGCTTAAGTCGTTCTGTGCTGCAGTTTCCCTCTCTGCAAATGGTAATAATAATAATACCTGCTTCATAAGTTGTTATAAAGATTAATTGCCTTAAAATGGAAAGATCTTAGGACAATTCCTGGCTCTTAATAAGTGCTCTATAAGTGTTAGTGATTCCTAGAAGCATTGCATGAAAGGAAGTTTGAAAAACACTGAATACTTCTTGGCTGCCATCTTGAAAATAACACAATAGCACATTAGAGGGTCCAGAAGTCCTACAGCAAAAGACCTGTATGACTCTGTTTACCTTAGTAATCCTCAAACTTATTTTTACTATAGTACTCCCAATCTCTTCTTTTATGCACCAAACACCTGTCTCTGAGGACACTCTCACTTTTTGAGTGGATCACAGTTTGAGAACTGCTGATTTGGGATTATTCACTGTTTGAAGACCATGTTGAGTGAGGTAGAGCGAGAAAGCATTATCTGAGTCATCAGGAAGATGTAGGGTCAAATGCGAGCTTTACCCTCCCCAGGCACAGGGCCCAGGAAGTGTGTGGGCAGTCCCCAAGAGGAGAAAAGGCTTGCCCAAGGCCACACAGCCAGTTAGGGTGAGACTCAAGATTATTACACAGGATTTCCAAACCTAGACCTTTCCATCTCCCTCCTCTTCCTCATTATCAAATAAAGGCAGGAGGTCTTTGTGTTGTTGCTGCTAGAGGACAGTCCCTCCTCATCTGCTCCCTCCCTGGTTGGCTTTTCATGCCTTTCGGGAGCTGGGCTGCAGTGCTCACCCCAGAGCACATGCTTTTCTCCCAATCAGAGAGAGGGAGGAGGCGAGATGTCCTCAGTTTCCCACCCACAAGAAGAAGAAAAAAGAAAAAAAGAAAAAGAAAAGTAAAAGAGCTAAGGCATTTTTTTTTAAAAAAGCTCCCCACATACGCAGAGTGACCAAGTAGAATCCTTTTGAGAGAGGACTTGTGTGCCCTGTCCCTGGTGCTGAAACATGGCTGGGCACCTGGGCAGTGGTCTCCAACCCCGGCACTGGCTGGAAGGGCTGCTGCAGAATCTTCTGTGGGAATGGACGGGAGATTTCCACTTAATTCTGTGATTTCAAGGTCTCGCATCTCACCTGTTGGATCAGAATCCCCTGGGGTGGGCACCTGCCTTCCATGTGTTCGAAAATCTCCTGAGGAGGGTGATTTGGGACCCCACTACCTTGGGGAGCATTTATGTAACCCAACCCTGGTCCACCTCTCTCATGGATCATTGTTTGTCAGTGATATTATTTTGTGATTTTCTGAAAAAAATTGTAATTTTGATACTCTTGCAGGAAAGAAAACTCCATGATATATTTTTACTATTAATGGAGCAGATTTTATGGCCGGTTGACAGTTCTATTATTTTTATGGCAGTAGCAATTTTTTTCTACTCTGGGGGCTTTAGGATGCATATTCCTAGTGAATCCACATTTGTGGTCCTCTGGAGTCCACAGGAGCTAAATGAGGCTATTCCCTCCCCATTCCTTCTTTTGGCCTGCAGGTCTTGTGGTTTACAGAGCTGGAATGGTCTTAATTATGTTCGCGTGTTCTCTGTCTCCATGTTGCACTGCTCCAGGCAGAGATGAGAAGCTTCTGCTGTGGTATTTGTTCTTTCAGGCACTTCTCTTTTCCCCTGGGATCCTCAGGAAAACCCTCCTTGGTGGAGAAACAGTTGCATTGGGCATCCTGCCAAGAAAGATGCCGGCGAGATGGGGCCAGAGAGCTTCATTAGCCCGTGACGAGGCCCCTGGGCTCTAATACTGGGGAGGAGGGTGGATTCTACCATTGCATCCGGTCTCATTCTCTTATCTGATGTCCCAGATGCTACAGCAGGTAGCTCTAGGCCAGATGGAAGTATACAGTCGTGGTTATGAGCACAGGATTTGGAACTGGACCTGGGTTCAAATCCTGGCTCTGCTTTTTGCTAGCCATCTGACTCTGGACAAGCTTTTTTCTTTTTCTTTCCCAGTTACTGGGCCTCAGTTGCCTAATGTGTAAAATACAGACAGCACTACACATGCCTCAACAGGGTTGAGGTAGAGATCAAGTAAGAAAATTGATATAAAGTGTCATCCTATAAACCATCGTAGCTTATTACAATCATACAAATGGATCTCTACCCAAGTGACGATGGCAAACTTTAGAAAAGCATTTACATTTTATTGTGATATTCTTGGAGTCCTGCAAACTTCCACTCCTCTGGTGGAGTAGAAATTGAGTTCTAACAATGAAGTTGAAGGCAGATGTTTGAGGTCATGGAAGGGCAGGGTTGTATGTCCAGATCAGAGTGTTGATCGCTGCTCTTTCTCAGGCCTCTTCCCGACGTAACTCTAAAGAGCAGCACAGTGAGAAAGAAAGGGAACCATTCCAGGGTTGGAAAAGGTCCCTGAGTTTCCCCCAGCCTCTAGCATGGGGGCCCTTGGCCAGCATGGGCCTGGGGCTGCTTGGGTCTTAGGGTTGGCCTGAGGGAGCAAAGCTGGGGTGCCCCTGCCCCCTTTGCACAGACAGGAAGATGGAGGCCCAAAGGGGTCAAGCGACTTTGCCCAAGGCCATAAGGTTAGTTGGCAGCAGGATCAGGGCACCCTTTTCATTGCACCACAAGGCCTCCTTGGCAGGGTGCAACGTGTCCAGCCACTGGCTTCTGTCTAAAGAAAGAAAGATTCAAGAAGACACGGATTCGTTTCTGGAAAAGTGGATTGGATTGGTTCTGTGGGGCCCCCAAGGAGTAACAGTATAGCTAAAGAGTTAGGAACATGGATTTCAGCATCACGCAGACTGCAATGTGAGTTTTGACTCTGCTATCCTCCACTGTTGTGACCTTGGGCCCCAAGAGCCTCGGTTTCTTCACTGTGCAGTGGCACTAATGAGAAACACTACGTCGGTGTTGTGGTGAGTCAATAAGACAATCCATGGTGATACCTACAAGGATACACTTTGCTTCTTTTATGAATGATACTTTAGGTCTGTGTTTATTCACATGCTAAGATGTTAGTAAGAAAGTGAAGAGGTTATGCTATTGTCAGGAATAGCAATAGCCTAAATTGTATGCAAAATTGTATACACAGGCTTCCAATGATGCAAGGAGCTGCCTGCGCAACAGTGAGCTCCTCATCACTGGAGGTGAGCAAGCCCCTGGTGGGGGTGAGGCAGGGAGGACTCGGGCATCTGCCAGAGAAATGGCCCAGCACCCCGATGCCCATAATGCCCACTCTCCCCCTTCTCAATTATCTGGCTCCCACTCACTGGGGGCCCCTGTTTTCCAAAGCAGCAAGCAGCCTGCGTGGTAATTACTTTTGGACTTATTAAGCATAATTATCCCCTAATCGCATACAACCAGTAATTACTGTGGCTGTTACCAGGGGCCTACCCATGCAGGGCCGCCCTCAGCACTGGCGTCCAACACCCAGCTGGGGCCTAAGGTGGAGCTGGTGCTCCCTGCCATGGGTTTGGGGGTGGGGGTGTTGGCTGGGGTGGGGCTGCTGCATCTGAGATCCCCAACCTGGTGCCCCTTCAGCCTGGGCACCAACTGGTGAAGGAGTCACTCACAAATGCCAGCCCTGGGGCCACCCCAAGCTCCAAGCAGGCAGGGTCCTTCCAAGTACTCCCTTCCCCATGATGCTTGCCCAGGCTGCCCTGCCTTTGCCCAAACCATTCCCTCCTTCCGGGCTCTCTTTCTCTCCTCCTTTCCCCTTTCCTTCCCTCCAGCCTCCTATCCACCCTCTTTCTTCTTTCAAATATTTACTGAATCTCTTTTATGTTCCTGGCACTATTTCTAGTACTGGGGATACAACAGTGAAGGGAAAAAATTGCAAAAATCCGTGCTTTCATGGAGCTTACTGTCTATTTGGGAGAGAGAGAGAATGAACAAAATCAGTAAGTGATGTAGGGTATTAGAAAGGGTTGAGTTCTATGAAGGAATAGAAAGCGGAATGTCAAGGAGGAGGTTTTCTTGGGCTGGAGGAGAAATTCAGTTTTAATAGGATGGCCAAAGGGAGAATGGGACATTTGAACAAAGACTTGGAAGGAGATGGGCTAAACTAGATGACATCTGGGGAATGTTCCAGGAAGAGGGGCCAGCCGGGGCCAAAACCCGAAGGTGGGAGCAGGTCTGGCGCATTTGAGGAGCAGGGAGGGTGTCCTGGTGGCTGGATCAGAGAAGCGAGGGGGAGAGGGGTGGGTGAGGAGGTCGGAGCTGCCAGGACGGGGGTGGAGGGCAAATGGTAGAGCCTGGTGGGGCAGTTTAAAAACTTTGGCTTTTCCTCTGAAGCAAAGTTTTGAGCAGAGAGGTGAACACTTTCTTTCTTTCTTTCTCTTTCTTTCTTTCTTTCTTTCTTTCTTTCTTTCTTTCTTTCTTTTTCTCTCTCTCTTTCTCTCTTTCTTTTTTCTTTCTTTCTCTCTTTCTTTCTCTTTCTTTTCTTTCTTTCTTTTTTTTTTTTTAATTAGAGTCGTGCTCTGTCTCCCAGGCTGGAGTGCAGTGGTGGGATCTCAGCTCACTGCAACCTCCGCCTCCCGGGTTCAAGCGATTCTCCTGCCTTGGCCGGATGCGGTGGCTCCCGCCTGTTATCCCAGGACTTTGAGAGGCTGAGGCAGTCAGATCACGAGGTCAGGAGATCGAGATCATCCTGGCTAACATGGTGAAACCTTGTCTCTACTAAAAACACAGAAAATTAGCCAGGCGTGGTGGCACGTGCCTGTAGTCCCAGCCACTCCGGTGACTTGTACTTTTATAGCCTCCACTCTGTCCACAGTGATGGTGAGGGTTAAGGGGGGCAGGAGCCCAGGGAGGAGGAGCTGTGGCTGCAGTCCCAGTGAGAGAGTGGGGAGGCTTGGGCTAAGCGGCAGCGCGGAGCAGGTGGCAGTGGGAGGAATCTGGAAACATGTTCGAGGTGGACATGGCAGGACTCTCTGAGGGGCTACATATGAGGTGTCAGAGAGAGGTCTCAAGAATGGCACGAAGGTTTTTGGCCTCCACAAGTAGAAAGCTAGAGCTGTTTCCTGAACTGGGGCACAGCATGGGTGAAACAGGTTCTAGAGGGGAGGGCAGGCGTTCAGTGTCCGGCCAGTTGAGGTCCAACGTCCAAGGGAGCTGTCAGCCTGTGGGTCAGAGGAGACCGATCTGGCTGGAGGTCTGCAGGTGGGAGCCCCTGACAGGCGGATGACTGGGAAGCACCTAGGCGGGCTGTGCTCTTCGAGTGAATGAATGAGGCTAGGAGCCACGAGATTCAAGGTCTGAGCCCTGCGCCTCCAGCGGTGGGACTGGGGAGATGTAGGGAGACCAGCAAAGGAGACTGGGAAGGGGCAGTCAGAGAGGCAGAGGAGGAGAGCCCGGCCAAGGAAAAGAAGCCTGGCCAGGAGCAGGGAGGAATCTCCCAGAGCCTTAGGGGACCAAATTCTGCCTCTTCCACTTCCCTGCTGCATCCTCACACCCTCCATCTCTCTCTCTCTTCCCCCTCCCCTCTCCCTATTTCTTTCTGTGGCTTTCTCTGTCTCCCTGGGGCTCCTTCCCCGGGCCTCTCCCTCCACCCCTGCCTGCCCGGCCCCTGGCAGCGGGTCGCAGGCCGCCGGGGCGCGGGGATCTCGGGCCCCCGCCTGCACGTGCCAATCCCGAGAGGCGGCGGTGTCTCGCCACCAGCTCGCGGGCCCCGTGCCGCGCCTCCTGCCCGCGTAATGCGCTCTAATATTTATTTACATGACTTTCAGACTATTATTTATTAAGGTATCGCTGCCAAGTGTGCGCAGGCTAATTGCTCTTAATGTGCCCCCTCCCGGTTCCCACTGCGACGCCTTCGTGGAGACAGAGCCAGCGACGCTCGGAGAGGGGAAACCGAGGACCGAGCGCGCGGAGGCTGCCGGGAGGGCGGGGGACCCAGCGGGGTCGCGGCGCGGCGTCCGCGGGGCGTGCGCGGTCGGGGCGCGGAGGGTGCTGGGAGCGCACTTGGGATGCTGGGACGCGGGGAACTCGGAGTGGGGGTCGCGGAGCGGCAGCGCGAGAGGCAGAACCTGGGGTGCATTTGCTGACTTGGCGTGGGGCGGGAGACCCCGAGCGCGAGGGGCGGTGCTGGGAGCCCAGGCGGGGTCTTGGCGACAAGTTGGGGACCTTGGGACCAAGGGAAGATGCGGGGAGCCCAGGCGGGATCTTCGCCAAAGTTGGGGACCTCGGGACCTAAGGCTGGTGCGGGAAGCGTGGGCAGGGTCTTGGCAGAAGGTGGAGGACCAGGAATGCGAGGCCCGTCGGGAGTGGGGACCGACGGGCGGCGCTTGGGTCTAGTGCGGGCTCGTGTTGCCGCCGGCTGACTGACCGACGGCCGCGGGGCCCGAGGAGGGGGCCGTCGCCTCTCCCAACCCCACCCGCGTAGGCGGCGGCCTCGCCTCGCCTGGATCTTCCGACGTCAGCAGCCGCAGCCAGAGCCGGAGGGAGCGGTTTAATTGGCAGGATTGTGGGTTAAGGACAGCTGCGGCTTTGCGGGGTTTGGAGGAGCGCGCGCGCAGGGGTTGGGGAGGGTGCTCGTTGGAGGAAGGAGGGGTGAGGGGAGGGGGAAAACAGACTGAGAGACCCTGGAGGAGCGTGGAGAGATGGGACAAAGCCAGGGGTGGGCGACCTATTGGGACAGAGAAGCAGATGAAGAGGGACATAAAATATAGCCCAGCAAAGCCAGAAGCCAGCTGTAGGCTGGAAAGACCCAGAAGGGAGCGGGATCCTGCCACGCTGGCTTCTGCCTCCTGCCTGGTGGAGGCCCTCACCCCTCACCCCTGTTGCCGGGACCACCCATGCCCCATGCATTAGCACTGCCCCACTCTAGGCAGCCGTTGTGATTAGGAGAGCGGCTAACTTGAGAACACTGATTCGTTTAATTTTATTACTGGTACTGTGGGTACTGTCTGCCAACTCCTAGGCCTTGCTGGTGTCATCCTGAAAGTTCTCTGGGCTGGGAATCACAGCTTAATAAAATCCAGGGAACTGTGCCCTGCCCCTCCCATCCCACACAATAAAGTCGGATTCAAAGCCAGCTGTGCAGGGACCTCCTGGGACCCTCTGCTGAGCCACACTGGGCCAAGCACATTTCTTTGTGTGAACGTAAGTGAGGTAGTATGGGGATTTTCCGGATGGGCAAACGAAGGCACTGAGAGGTAAAGTCACTTGCCCAGCTAGTGAGAGGCAGATGATGGCTGGCCAGGGAGGTCAGCCCAGAAGCTCATGCATGTTTCGCTACCCGAGGCCAAACCTCTGATTGATGGTGGTTGTAATTTCTTCCTGTCCCTAAGCCTGGAGGGATGTTGTCCTGGTGGCTGTGGGGCCTTCTGACACTGAATCCGGGTGTTCTGCCTGGTTGGTGGTTACTGGAGGCTCAAGGTGGCTGTTTGGGTTCCTTGAGCCCGTTTCTCCATCCCTGGACCAGGTGCACCCATGCTGGACTGTGCCACCTGAAAGCTGGGCTTTTTGGCCTGAAGAAGAGTCCGTGCCTCCAGGAAAGCAGACACAACCTCACAGCAAGCAAGGGCGGGATGGAGGCAGTCTCCTTCACCCTGTCATCCTTGAATGCTCTCAGGTCTGGAAGCAAGATATTTAATGTACAGCCTCAGAGATGGAGGGAACCTTAGGAGTTATCCAGTTCACCTCCCTCTTTTAACAGACAGGGAAACTGAGGCCCAGAGAGGTGAAGGCACTTGCCTAGGGGCACATAGTCTGTGCACCTGTAGTGAGCTGTGCCTTTGCTGAATGATTATTAGGAGCTGTGGACAGCCCCTCCCCCCATCTTATTGCAGCATCCAGGGATCTGGGTTTTACTACCAACTGGGGAGAGCAGCAGGATTTGTCTTCTTTGGGCCCCACCTGTTCTTCCAGCCCGTTTCCGGATCTTGCTACCCTTCCATCTAGGGTTCCCTGCTGCTCTAGGGCCCCATCTCCACCATCCTAAGTATCTAGGTTATGTGCATGGCCCCTCTGCCGTCACTTATCTCTAGCCCTCACCTCTACGTGTAACACATACGTTTTCACGGTGGCTCTTATGAATACGTTACCTGTATTAGTCTATTTTCTGTTGCTTATAACAGAATAACTGAAGCTAGGTAATTTATAAAGAAAAGGAATGTACTTCTTACAGTTATGGAGGCTGGGAAATCCAAGGTCAAGGGGGTACATCTGGGGAGAGCCTTCTTGCTGGTGGGGACTCTGGTGTCCTAAGGTGGTACAGGGCATCACATGGTGAGGAGGCCGAGTGTGCAGATGGCAAATGTGCTAGCTCAGGTCTTGTCCTTTATTATTTTTTTTTTTAGATGGAGTTTTGCTCTTGTTGCCCAGGTTGGACCGTAGTGGCATGATCTTGGCTCACTGTAACCTCCGCCTCCCCAGTTTAAGTGATTCTCCTGCCTCAGCCTCCCAAGTAGCTGGGATTACAGGTGTCTGTCACCATGCCTGGTTAATTTCTTGTATTTTTAGTAGAGATGGGATTTCACCATGTTGACCAGGCTGGTCTCGAACTCCTGACCTCAGGTGATCCACCTGCCTTGGCCTCCCAAAGTGTTGGGATTACAGGCGTGAGCCACTGCAGCTGGCCCTCTTCCTCCTCTTATAAACTCACTAGTTCCCCTTCTATGATAACCCCTTAATGGATTAATCCATTCATGAAAGCAGAGCGCTCATGATCCAATCACCTCCTCAAGGCCTTACCCCTGAATACTACCACATTGGGGATTAAATTTCAACATGTGTTTCAAAGGGGACAGATACTCAAACCATAGCATTACCCTAGAGTAGCTCTAATGTGAGAGTTTCAGGCCCAGTGAAGGCAGGTGTTTCGGGACCTGAGTGATTCTGGCCCAGGGCCTATCCCTCCCAGGGCCTCAGTATCTCCATCCATAAAATGGGGGTGGGGGTGAGTGTTTGGAGGTTTCTAAGCACCCTTTCCAGGTCTGACATCTTGGGACTGCTCACAGTAGGAGCAGCTGGAACCTGGGTCCCCCAAGCCGGAGCCCGTCTGCTGCTTTTCCTGCTGGCCCAATGAGCAGTGTGTGATGAGCTGGGGAAAGGCAGGAAGATGTGTCATTGATTTTCCTTCTGTGTCTTGAGCCTCCTGGTTCCCAGCTGCCTCCTTGGGGAGGGACAGGAAGAGCTGGGCTTCATTTGCCTTCTGGAGATGGTGTGGCGAGAGAGACTTGGCGAGCAAGAGGAGAGAGAGGAGAGGGAACTTGCAGTCCCAGCAGTTGAGCAGGGAAGAGCAGTTCTTCCATTAACTTGGGAGAAAATGAACAGCTCAGTAACAAATTCTCCCGTCTTCCCCCTACTTGGCTGTGTTAGCCTAGCCTGGTAGCACCTGGCACTCAGTAGCTGTGTAGTGAATTCACAGATGGAATGAATGAATGAACGCATAAATGCCTTTAAGGGACTTGACTGCAGAGTGGGGCAGACCTGGGTTTGAATCCTGCCCCACTGGTTTCTAGCTGGGTGACCTTGGGTAAATTAATAATAAAATCTATTTTTATTATTTTTATTATTTTATTTTATTTTTTATTTATTTTATTGTATTTTTATTTATTATATTAAATAAAATTATAGGTAATTTTATTTATCTAATTAAAAATAAAATTAATTAATAAATCTGAACTTCAGTGTCCTTAATTCATAACACCAACATGGTAATCTGTAGAGTTGTGAGGAGCAAATGAGATGAATCAATGGAAAGACCTCGGACTCCTGTCTGACATTTAAGACTCTCTAATTGTAACTTTTGATGATTTTCACTAAAGATGGAATGATTGGGTCAGACTTTAACCTTGCACTTGAGCATACATTTACTGAGCAGCTAGGATGTTCCAGACCTTGCAGAGGGCCTAGAGATGACTGAGGCCAGGTCTCTTCTCTCAAGTTGCTCATAGTTTGATGGGAGAGACACATGGCCACACAGCCCTGAAATGTCATTGAGAAGTGCTCGTAGCAGGCATTACCTAGAGTACGCACAAAGGGTTGTGGGAGCAGAGGTTGGAGAGGTCCAGTCTGCCTTGGGGGTGCCAGTCAGGGAAGACTTCCTGGAGGAGATGAGCTCTGCATTGAACTTTGAAGGATGACAGGAGTGGAGTGTGTCCCTGGGAAATGTCCCTCATAGGCAGAGTGAACATGCAAGGACTTGAATGGCTTGTCTGGGGAATCCTGAGAATCTGGTCTCTACCCTGTGTTGCTTTGTCAGGAGGTCTCTTCTAAGTGCCTTTCACCTAACAGCATCCTGCCCTGGAGGAGACTTCCAAGCATGATTGGAGCTCCCAATCCGATGGGGGAGACAGGACACACATACGTGTAATAAGAGTGTCCCCTGTGAGGCTGCTGCTGAGAGAAGCTCTGGGAAGTGTTCCTGAGAGTGGCTTCCCATGGAGTTTGGAGGAGGAGGAGTGGGCCAAGCAGGGAAGGACCAAGAGGTCACCTTCTCCTTTCCAGCCCCAGGTGAGCTAGTGTCACATTTTTAGCAGAGAAGAAAGACTGTTGACAGGGGACAGGAATAGCTTCTGAAGCCTCCCTTCATCCCTGCCACTCCTCTTTCCACAGATGCCTTTGGCAGGAGCTGGTCCGGGCCTGGAAGGCAGTGCACGCCCACAGCGCCCTCTGCTGAACGGTATCAGAACAGCAGGCTTGGAGGGCGAAGGCAATTCCTGCAAAGGATCCCTGGTTTCCTACCCATGGGAAACCCCAGATTCTGAAGCCAGGAATGAAGGGTAGATGGAGCCTGGGTCAGCACCCGAGAGGACCCATATGTGCAACCTGGAGGATCTTGGAGCTTGGGAGTAGCGTAGGGGGTGGTTAGTTCAGTTCGGGATGGCTGAGGAAGCCGTTTTAAACAACTTTCACCGAGATCTTACTGAGGGCTCAGGAACTTGGCATGGCCACCATCCTGGGTATCCAGGGCCCCTCCTTCCCCCAGGCTAGGAGAGGAACCCCTCCCAGCAGATGCCTTCCCAGACTACCCTTGTCTCACTTATCATAGAGGACGTGTGCCGCCTTCCTTCTCCCAGGCCCTGGATCTGGGGTTGCTGGACTTGGTGCGTGGGTGGTCTGGATGCTTCTAGGATGAATTCATAATTGGGAGATTCTAGGTGATGCTCAGATGGAAATGAGGGCAACTGCTGCTTGATGGCAGAACAACAGAGCTTGGCAGAGCTAGGCTGGACTCGACTTGGCATTTTCTCTCCGTTTCAGACCAGGATACGGATTAATTGAGCCCAGCGGAGCTCAGGTTTCCCGGGGCGGGGGGCAAGCAGTGCCTTGGAGGGAGTGGGGTACTGTGGGACGGAGGACCCAGGAGACCCAGAATCCTGAACTGTCGGGCTGACTTCGTCTCCTACAGAGTTCTTTAACCCAGGAGCCCCGAGAACCTGCTTTCCTCAATGTGTTCTTCACCCGTGAGGGACTAGGACATCCTAATTGCCATCCCAGCAGGACACACACACAGACACACACACACACACACACACACACACACACACACACACACACAAAACTGGCCTTTACAGGATGCACAGTGGAGGAAAAGAACAAAGAAGCACGTGTCTTACAAAGGGAGAGGCAGTGCCAGGCTCATAGAAGTCAGTGAGGTACTACAAAGGGGACGTCAGGTCCCCCCAGCAGCCTAGAGCCATGGTGAGGGCCAGGGAGAGGGCTTGTCTATCACAGTGACAGTCCATTATCCAGCTGAACATCACCTAGGAGGGCCATGCATGTGAACAGGGTTTCTGTTTACCATGTCAGCTTCAGCCTGGGGGCTCCTCCAATTTTTCCCATTAGGAGCCCTTAGCACATCGCTGCAATGTTTCTGGCTTATTGGGAATTCCTATTATAGTCCATTGTCCTCCCTCAAATCTGAAAAGGGATGATTGATTTTGAGGAAACAAGGCAAGTTGCTGAAGGATTTCTAAATGAGCCTTATGTTTGATTTTGGGGTCAGTCTGTGTGGGTTCCAAGACAAGATGGTGGCTGGTAATGATTTTCAAATAAATATATTTTGTGATCACGAATTGCCTCCGGGAGAAATCTGAAATGTGGCAAGCAGCTCAGGAGAGACACTGCTGCAGGTGCCGTCAGTGCCTTGCTGCAGCCCCTTGGCGTGTTTCAGGTCAGTGCACTTGGGCCTGACTCCCATCTGCCAGCACCTGCATCTCTTTCTTTTTAAAAAAGCCAAAAAAATCAGTTTCATGGTTCATCTTGCTAATTTCAAACCAAATGTACTAAAAAAAATGTGGGTTACCCTTTGTAATTTAGGCTTTCTCTATTCAATAATGATACATCCTGGTCATTTATTATTACAGAGGTCTTGGAATAGTAGATAGCATATCTGGAACTTTAAAATCTGCAAAGATACTGTACGCATGTCTCAATCATTTGTGCAGGGGAGGTGCCAGGGTTGAAGGAAACGCATGGTAGACACTGCATCATGTTCTCCTTTTATTAGCACGAGTGCCTACCTTTCTTTGCCTGGCAGCTTTCTCGCGGGCTGCAGGAGCCTGCTCAGCTGGTGCACCTGTGCTAGACCAGAAGCACCAAGGAATGAATCCTCCAGAGTGGCCTTCCCCAAGGGCTGAGTGGAGCTGGTGTACACGCACCCCGTTCCTTCACTGTGAGCTTTGGGGTGTGCATCTACTCTGACTCCCAGAGTTACCAGTGGGGCGAGGGTCCACACCTGTAGCAGTAATCTCCTTGGTAACCTTCCCTTTACTGGTGTTCTTTGCGTTCCTATTTCACTTCCACATTTCCTTAAGGGTATTTTCTGGAATCACCCAAATAAACTATTTGCACTGAATCCTTGTCTCAGGCTTTGCTTTTGAAGGAACTGCTGTGACCAACTTGTTCCAGGTTGACTGGAACTGTGCCAGTTTTAAAACTGAAAGTCTCACATCCTGGTAACCTTCCTCAGTCCCCGGCACACCACGACAATTAGTCACCTTATGGGGAACCCGAACGAAGACAGATGTGACACATGAAGTGAGGCAAACAGATCGCCGAACTGCTAGTCTGAAAGCCAGGTATCCTTGGCTTTGAGAATAAAAGATCAGACACAAGTATAACTTTGTCATATGATCAGGTTCAACAATTTTTATCAGCTCAAAGCCTAGATAATGGTAGCCACCATGTACAAAGAAGCCATTTCTTTGAGAACAGACACACACACAGCCCCATGGTAGGATTTGCTGAGTATTAGTGGACATTAGACGGCTGACATCCAGGGCTTCCATGACATCTATGTAATTGGCTACCAGGCAAGCAGGTGATGCATATCCCAAGAAGAAGAAAGTGTCATAGGCACTATGGGGACATTACAGATGAGCAGGCAAGGGCACGGGTAGCATGCCATAGGCACTTGAGGCTCTGATGGGGACAAGCACCAGCCATGCCACTTGAGCCAAAGCCACCTGGGCAGATAGTGAAACTATACCACATGTGTCACCACAGTCAGCGGCATTGAGATGAGGCGCATTGCGTTGGGACGTGGCTGTAAGCTCAAAACGGCTGGCCCTGAGCCAAGGAGATTTGCAGCATGAACAGGAGAAAAATCCCACCTCATCGGGTAACCCGGGGAGGCAGTGCTGTTGAGAGGCTAAAGTCAACGGGCTGGGAGCAGGGCTGGACACACAGGGCAGAGAGGTCCACGGTTGGGAGCTGTAGGCGTGGCCAGGAGCTGCTGCCAAGCCCCTGACCTTGGACAGATCTCTGCGGATCAGATTACCCAGCTGCAAAATGCCACACACACCCCTGCCCTGGTTATTTTTACACTGGCTTTGCAGAGCATGCTATGTTACAGCTGAAGAATGTGTCCATCTTTTTTCTGTTGACTTCTCTAGTCTCTGCTAGATTGGTAAGAACAAAATCTTCCAGATGCCAAGGCAATGAGCACATGCCCCATTCATGGGGCGGCAGTACCCTTCCCTCTCCTTTCCCAGGGCACTAAAAGTATGGAGTGCATTTGATTCTAGAGACCACTTAGAGATGTTATAATGGGCACATAGAGAGATGTGCATTTGGGCATTTGGACCCCTGAATGATAGGTGCTGGGGTGTCACACAGGATCCAGCCAGGCAGGTCAATGGGGCAGGCAATTGCAGGGTGGGGGGGCAGACTGTACACAGATAGGGGAGACCCCCTTTCCTCCTTCCCTCTCATGGGGAGTCCCTGCCAAGGAAGAGAGAAGGGGAACAGTAGCATGGCCCTCAAATAAGGGTAGGGATTAACAGAGGGCAAGTCAGGATCTAGAGGAAACTTCCAGAAACCTTTTTTGACAGCTGTTCCTGGTGAACCAGCTGGAAGGGAGAAGGAGGAACCCTTGCTTTTCATGTCTCTGAAGAGCAGGTGAAAGCCCACCAGAATCGAGTCTTGGAAGCAGCTAGTCTATTCATCAGCCACAGCAAGTGGCAGTGAGTGGCAGCTCAGGTCAGTGAAGGCTAGGGGATGCCATTCATTTTGCCCGCAGAGAAGGGACTGGCTGGGGAAACATGGGTGCCGGCTGGAAACCGAGGCCGCTTATGGACAAGTCCAGTGTAAGTCTGCCAAAGGATGGGGCCCAGTTATCCTGGCATCTGGAGTTGGTCTCGAGCTGAGGGGCCTGAGACAGGGTTCTGCATCTGCATGTGGTGGGAGGTTGGGCCCTCGGGGCACTCTGTTGCAGGGACATTCCTGCTCCACCTGGACAAGGAGGCCCCCAGCACCAACTCCCCTCTGGCTGTGCAATACCATGAGCTATTGTGGTCATCTGTACCCATACCATAAATGAGAGCCTGAAAGCTCAGGGGGCTGGCCGTTAGCGCAAAGGGTACCTAGGTAGTGCTAATACGAGGCCACACCCACAGATGGCAGGACCATTCTAGGGCCAGTGAAGACAAACCCACCTAGAGAACCAAGGAGTGGGAAAATGATTCATGAAACAGAGACTCTTCAAATGCTCCTTGCCAAGCTCCAAAAAGGACAGGGACAGCACCTCGTATGTTCACTGTGGTACCCCAGTATGCCATGCCTGGCATACAGTAGGCACCCAGTAAAGGCTTTCTGAACGCCAGTGCCGCAGGAGCCCTAAGAGAGATCTAGACCAGCATTTTGCGACCTAGTAACCAGAGAAGAGCTGCTGCTGGGTCACCTGCTCGGAGCCTGACAACGCACAGTAACATATTAACGGGTCAGGTTGTCCTAATCTAAAGAAGTTTGTCTTTCTACTGCTTCCTCAACATCTTTGCCCATAGCACAGTTTCTCATAGGTTGCTTATTCACGTCTCATCTAAGTGAGGAACAGGGTTGGAAATGCTGATCTTGTGAACCCCCGTCATTCCACAAAAGATGAAACAGGGGTTCAGAGAAAGCAAGTAATTTGCCAGAAGTCACACAGCACACTAGTGGTGGAGTTGGGACCCATGCTTGGGTTCCTCAACTCTCAGCTCAGTGTTTTTCCCACTGAAGGCAGCTTGGAGGCTGGGCTTTGTCTTACGGTGGCATTAGCCCTTTCTTCAGACAGTGCAGGGCATAAATATTCCTTTGTATGACCTAGAAAGCAAGGGCTGGTTTAGCAAGTTAAACCAGATTAACCCAAAGTAAATGAGATTGCAGGGGCAATGTGTTCCCTGCTTGAGAAACTTTAGAACTCTGTTAGCTTCAATGTATGTACTAATTACCAAAGGTTCTTATCTTTTCCTTAAAGCGAGTCCCCTAGGTCCTCTGCCTAGCAGTCCCGGTAGCACGTTTTTGAGGCTGCATGTCATCTCAATACCACTGAAGTTCTTTAAAAATGTCTCTTGTCCAGACCTGCCCCCATAGCTCTTGGGTTATTTGCAACCAATGAAGATTTGTTCTTCTGCACCTTTGGGGCTGGGCAGGGGAGCCAGGGTTGCAGAGATCAGCAGTTTTCTTGGGCCTCAAACATGTTGCAGAGCTCCAGTGGCCGGTGCGGGAGCAGTCTGAGGAACTTTCCTAGAGAAGTGGGTGGCATGCCCACCACCTTGCTGGATTTCTTGGTTGCTCCTGCTAGGCATCTTGTAGCACTAGTTCTATGCTGGCAGAGACCGGTTCACCTCAAGCCCTGGCCATTGTCCAGGCTGAGGCCTGGAGACCCAGAATCAGACTCATCTGGTGGGGCAGGGAGGTGCTGGACAGCCCAGTTCAGCCTGGTTATGTAGAGGAAGAAAGAGGCCCAGAACACACACGCCACTTGTTCAAGGTCACACAGAGAACTCAAGCAAATTCATGTTCATGAAGAGGGAAACATCTCAGAGGCAGAGAGTCTGGGACTGTCAGAGCAGGAGAAAGCCCCAGCTCCAGGGCACCTAGGAGGAGAAACCACTTGCCCAAACTAGTACTAGGCTGAGACCTGAGTCTGGGTGTTCTGACTCAAAACCTGGCATTTTTTTTCCATTACTTGTGGTCCAGGAAGTAGATGCCACCCCCGGCCACCCTTACCCTGAAGCTGAGGCTGCTGCCTGCATAGCTAAAGAAGTGATTTTGGCAGGGGATGGGGAGTGTGCAGGGAGATGACAAAGCTCCGCTCACATCTCCTGGAAGCCTGGAGCAAGACAACCCAAAGCTCTTACCCGCCTTGGTGGCACTGACTTTGAGCCAACACCCCAGATTGGCATCCTGCCCCACCTGGGGTTGTGATGGCCACAGTGTCCAGGCCTGCCTGCCTGGGTTCCTCCCCAGAGGGTAAGTCTGAAGCAGAGCCAGTCCACAAGGCAGCAATGGGATTTCATCTTAAGTATTCAAAAGGGCTGTGAGAATCCCTCGCGGGAGACTTGTGGCATAGATGGAGGGGTGGGGGTGGGGGGCAGGGCACCATATCATGTTGGGGCTGCTTTTTCTCCCCTTGTGCCCAGTGGGCGTTCTGCTGGAGCCTCCTCCCTGACTCCAGCCCCTGCTGGAGGCTGCACACCCCTCGAGTCTTCCTGAGGCCGGGGCTTGCGCCAGAGCCCGCAGGACCCCACGAGTTGGTTTGATAAGCTAAGCTTCCAAGGCCTTCCCACGAGGGAAGTCTGTGGAGCTTCACTCCAAGGTTGGGACAGGAATTTGATGAGGAGAGATTAAGGCCTTGAAGGAGGGGGCTTCGAGGGTGGATAGATTCAGCCTGAAGTCCCAAGCTGGTGGGGTTCCTTGGTGAGGTCTAGACCCACCTCCAGGGGAGTCAGTGGGGAAGAGGAGACTGGGCAGCTCTATGCCAGCCATTAGGGTATCTGCGGCCACAGCACGCCATTCCCCATGTAGGCATCACACAGTGGGCTTGAGGGCAGGAAGCCCCTAGGGGATCCAGCCTGAAGTGTCAATTCATTCATTTCACCAAACAAATCAGGCCTCCCCTGGCCAGAGCTGCCATCCCCAAAGGCACTGCAGCCAAGCCTCTCTCCCACAGCGTGGCATGGCTCCAGAGGACCCCCTGATCCCATGGTGCGACCTACTTGGTGGTGGCTCCCTCGTGCCTCAGTACAAGTGATGCAGTTCGCTTTACCCAATTCCTAAAAGTGGGAAAATTAAGTAAGGTGTTGTCTGGTGTCTTCATTGACTTCTGTGACCATGTCTGTTCTTTTAGGACTATTTTTGCACAGACTGCTGCTTAAATCTAACACGTCAACTCACAAGGTGTCTCCCCTGGTCCTGCCACCACCTCTTCTTAGTGAGGGAGCCACTAATGATCTGCAAGGCAATACTAGTATGTATTAAGGAAGCTTCCTAGCCAAAACAAAAGGCCCCCAAACTACTCTTTTGTAAAGCGTTGAGAAGGATGCTTCTCCAATTGGCTTTTAAGTGGGATTTAGGGGGGGTCCTTGGCTGTTACCATGGAGACAAGAGCCTGTCCTACAGGCACCAGACTTGCTAGTCTCTATGTGCCTATGCAAGCCTGTAGGCCTGGTTACTTGAGGTCACTGGGTTCTCTCATCTGCCCTTTTATTTGAGTGGGCATTGCTGTGTCCACTCCGTGCCCACGTGGTCTACCTCCAGACAGGGCTCAGGCTTCCACTGCATCTTCCCTCGCCAGCCCCAGCAGCAGTCAGCCCGGGACTGCCTGAATGGGCAGAAAGGAACCACTGAACCATTTGAGATCCACTCCACCTCCTTCATCTCGCCCTCTTATTTTATAGATGAGGAAACTGAGGCCCAGACGGGGGCAGGCACTGGCCTAAAGTTGCATGGCTGGATGGTAGCAAAGTTGGGATTGAACTCAGGCCTCCTGGCTGCCAGTCCAGGGCTCTTTCTAGTAACTGAAATATTAGTTACAGCTCCAAAAGCTCCCCGAAACCAGGCCGACATGGCCCTGCCCATCCCTCTCCTCCCCACCCTTCCCTCCACCCAGCCTCCCCGTCACTCAACTACACATAATTCGGGTTATAGCAGAGCATATTGAACTCGAGATTCTCATCCCAGTGCCGCAGAAGCACAAACAGCTGGCGGGCAGCGGCCTTGAGTGTGCCCTGCGTGCGGCCCTCGGGTACTTCCTGCTGCTCCAGCCATGAGTTGGCCTTGGCAGCCACCAACTCCCACTCAGTGAAGTAGGAGGCCGAACTGTGCTCCAGCCATGCCAGCCCCACCACCGTGGCCCACAGCTTCCCAGTGTGCTCCACCACTGCCCTCGGCTCCAGGCCCAGCTTGCCCTTGGCCAGAGGCTCCAGGGAGAAGCTGTCACAGGACGGGTGCCTAGGCGGGGAGCTGGTGCACAGCTGGGGACTCGGGGTCTTGGACTCAGACGGGCGGGTGGTGAGGGACACTCGATGGCAGGTGAAGGGGGACGTCCACTTGAGCTTCTCCATGGGGATGTGCGTGGCCTCACAGAAGGCTTCGTTGAGCAGGAAGGCTCCGGAGGCCAGCTGCAGAGACACCTGTGTGTGGGGGAAGCCCTTCAGTGGGCCTCAAATGTTTTAGCCCAGGGAGCCATAGGCCATGCAAAAGTCTGGATCCATGTTGCCCACCCCACCCTGCCTGCCTGGGGGATTTTCAGGATACCCAGGTCAATTGAGCATCTCTATCCTTTATCCTGCAGACACTTCAAACAGATCATTCTCCAAGCCGAAGTCAACATCTTCACTCCATATTTGCCTCTTGTCCTAGGTGGGTGGCCTCACCTCAGCCACTGGGAATGTCCCCTGCAATGCAGGGAACTCTAGCAGCTCACCTTCCTCTTTCTCCCTGTGTAACCATCAGTTTCCGAGTCTCAACAGGTCTACTTTCTAAATCGCTCTGCAATCCATCACGTGCTTCCTCATGTTATTCCTGCCTCCTCTTTCCTCCCCTCTCCCCACCCCCAATCCATCTGTCCTACATACAGAGGGATCTCTAAGAGGCATAGATCACACACTTTTTGGAGGCTCAGTTCAATGACTTCAGTGTCTCATAGACTAAGTCCAAAATATGATCAATAAAGCTCTGCACCACCTAATCGTTGACTCTTACCCTCTCCAACTCCATTCCCCAGCTGCCAAGCTCTGTCTCTCCTCTGGAGGCCTTTGGCCATATCTCCTCATCCTGCAAGTCTTGGCTTAGCCTTGACCTTCTCCAAGAAGTCATGCTTGGGTCTGCTCCCCACATCTCAAGCCTGGTCTAGATGTCCACCCCCTGTACTCCCCAACCAAACCAGACCTCTCCCATTGCCACTCCCAAGGGTTAGAATTGCCTGGTTCCTTGTCTGAATCCTACTAGATACTTAGCACCATAAGTGCAGAAACTATGTTTGTCTAGTTCAATGTTGTCTCTCCAGGGTCTAGCACTGGGCCTAACTCAATAAATACTTGTTGAGTAAAAACATGCCTAGTGCTCAGTTGCCCTGGATATTTGGAAATTCAGAATATTATGCACTTGGGTATGGAGGGACAGAAGAGGTATGCAGTGATGCTCAAACTGTGCTCCTCCTTTGAGCATCCTCTGTTTCCCAAGCCCTGAGGGGCCCCAGATGTGGCAGGGCCAGTCTCCCTTGCTCCTTAATTCAGAGAAGCCCACTCCAGACCTGAGTCTCTCACCCTGCTACAGCATGCTGAGGTGTCTGCAGACCCAGTTGCTAAACACAGTCCATGTCCCTGGGATGTTAATTTTACTCACTTGTGAGTCATTTCAAAGCTTATTTTTATGTACTGAAAAACAGATACACATAGATGCGTGGAGTAGAATGCAAAATTCCCACGAATTTTTAAGGCAAAGATAGCAGATTGCAAAGAATTTTCGTGATGCTGGTGCTGGCTTCTAGCAATATCCCTAGGCCTCTGGGCAGGGGAGATTCATGCAAACTCCCTCTGCCCTGCTAACTACTTGGGTGGGAAGCTCTAGGAAACCTCAAAACTCAGGGGATCTGAGCTCTAAGACCAAAGCCTTCTTCTCTTTGAGGAAGTGGAGAGGTGGGCAGGGGGATCACAGGAAGGCCCTGCTGCTGAGTGGAGCGGAGGGAGACTGACACCTGGGGTCAGGGCACTCACCAGAGGTATGTAGTCGAAGCTCTGGTTCCCGGAGGTCGACTCCACAGCTTTGATCAGTGGCTTGCTCAGGAAGCCCTTGGCTGCTCGCGTCAGTAGCCTGGACTTGTTGAGATTTAGCCTGTGCAGGTGAAGTCAGGTGGCCCTGGGCATCCCAACCTCCAGTGCCCACCCAGAAGCCCCTGAAAGTCAGGGTCAGAAGGAATGCAATAGATGGCTCCCTCCAGCCTCCTTATCTGATAGCTAAGGAAGCAGAAGCCTGGAAACATGGGCTCGAAGCAACTGCTCCAAGTCACTCAATGAGTTAGCAGCAGCTGGGACTAGGAAGAGGTTAGTGTTCTCCTGATGACCCTCTTTTGTTTTGTTTCTGAGACAGGATCTCACTCTGTCACCTAGGCTGGAGGGACACAATCGTAGCTTACTGCAGCCTCAACCTCCTGGGCTCAAGCGATCCTCCCACCTCAGTCTCCTGGACTACAGGCACACACCCATGTCTGGCTAATTTTTTATTTTTTATTTTTTTTGAGATGGAGTCTTGCTCTGTTGCCCAGGCTGGAGTGCAGTGGAGCAATCTCGGTTCACTGCAACCTCTGCCTCCCGGGTCCAAGTGATTCTCCTGCCTCAGCCTCCCTAGTAGGTGGGACTACAGGCACATGCGACCATGCCTGGCTAATTTTTGCATTTTTAGTAGAGACAGGGTTTCACCATGTTGGTCAGGCTGGTCTCGAACTCCTGACCTTATGATCTGCCCATCTCGGCCTCCCAAAGTGCTGGGATTACAGGGGTGAGCCACCATGCCTGGCCTATTTTTAAATTTTTTGTAGAGACAGGGTCTTACTGTGTTGCGCAGGCTGGTCTCGAACTCCTGGCCTCAAGTGATCCTCCTGCCTCGGCCTCCCAAAGTGCTGGGATTACACGTGTGAGCTACTATACCTGGATTGTGACCCTCTTTTACTATCACATTCTTGTCCAGTCCAGTGGTCAGAAGAGTTTTATGTCAGCCCTCCCATGCATACTTGCATTTGGAAAGAGATCTTGGAAGTGTGGGAGATAAAGTAAAGTGGGGGATTTGAGGTAGGGTGAGACCTGGGAGACAGTGATTGCTCTGGGCAGGAGTGCCTTCTTTACGACACCTGCCTAAATGTCAGGCTGAACCTGTCTTTGGCCTTCCAAGTCAGGGAAAACCCCAGGGACCACCCCAGGAAAATGGGTGGCAGGAGAGTGTACCTTTATTGGAAATCCCACCTACCAGGATCCAAAGAGATTCTCTGAGGCCTTCATGGAAGAAAGAGTATTTGTAGCCAGGCTGCGCTGGGGACCTGGAGAGCCACAGAATGACCAAGTTGAGACCTGAAGATGACCCCGTCCAACTGCTCACTGACCAACTGGGGGAACAGAGGCCTAGAGAGGGGCAGGTGCTTAGCTAAGTTCCTAGGGACTCGAGCTAACCATTAGGCTGTGGAGCTCCTTCCGCTCCAGTTGGTGTAGGGTGGGATGAGATGTCTGCCTGTAAAAAGCTGGCCTCTAAGATTCCTTGGCCGGCAGCCCCTGGGATCTTCTGGAAAGTTACTTGTGGGGACAGTGACAGCTTCACTTAGCCCTGCTCATTCCTAAATGGGGACACTGAGTTGACCTCCTTGGCACGTTGCTAGAGGACTCTAGGCAGAGCGGAGTGGCAAAAATGGTCCCTCAGCGGGGAACTAGGAGGCCTGATCCAGGCCCAGCTCTGTCACCAGAGTACTCTGTGACCTTGGGCAAGTCACTTCACCTCTTTGCACCTGTTCCTCATCTTTCAATTGGGGATAATCCTATTCCCCATGCAGACGGCTGCTTTGAGGACTCCATGAAGCCCTGAGGACTTTGTCGGTGCTAAGATACTCTCCTGACCCCAGGACCAATCCCTGTCACCATCTTGATGAAGAGGCAGCGCCACCTGCCCACTCACCTTCAGAAGCACCGTGCTTCTCGCGGCCGGGGGACCTGGCCTCGCTGAAGAGAGCAGTGGGACTTGCCTCCATGTCTAGGACAGAGGAGCCAGTGAGGCTGGACCTCTCCCCTCCCTTCCTCGCCTCCCATCCCCTCAGGAGAGCAATGGTCTAATTCACGGTGTCTGCAGGTGGGTTGGGGAACAAGGCTAGGGTTTCCACCCCTGCTCGGATGGGCCTTCATCTTTCACAGATATAACCGTTGCCCCACCATAAGGTTAGACAGGCCTGGGTTCAAATCCTGACCCCCGCCACCACTACCACCACCACTGACCAGCTGTGGGGACTTGGCAAAATTACTTTATACATTTTGATTGCAAATTGGGGATAATATTATCTATCTCACAGTGTTGTAAAGATGAAATGAGATAATACGCAGATAGTGCTTAGTCCATTGCTAAGTGCTTAGTAAAGCCCTGGACTACGGGCCCTGTCTCAAAAAAAAAAAAAAAAAAAAAAGTCAGGAATGTGGGCATGAATCAGAGAACAATTTCAAGGGAGGGATTTGTAGCCAGGCATGGTGGCTTATGCCTGTGATCCCAGCATTTTGGGAGGCCAAGGTGATGAACCATTTGAGGTCAGGAGTTCGCGACCAGCCTGGCCAATATGGTGAAACCCCAACTCTACTAAAAATATAAAATGAGCGGGGCATGGTGGCAGGTGCCTGTAGTCTCAGCTACTCGGGAGGCTGAGGCAGGAGAATCGCTTGAACCCAGGAGGTGGACGTTGCAGTGAGCCGAGATCGTGCCACTGCACTCCAGCCTGGGGGACAGAGTGAGACTCCATCTAAATAAATAAATAAATAAATAAATAAATAAAATAAAGGATTTGTGATTTTGATGGAAGCCATAGGCCACCAAAAGCTAAGCTTCGGAGAAAGGAAGGTACAGACCAGCAATTTCCTGAAGACTGGAAGTTCAGCTTGGCTCAGGGGTGGAGCTGGTTCTCCTGGGTTTTGGAGGCCAATGGGACCAAGAAGTTGAGAGAACACTTTGATTCTGAAGAGCTCCTCTGGGTTTCCACCCCCTCACACTGTGTTCTGTTTCTGTTTTTGTTTTAAAACCCATCAATGTCTGTGAGCACTTTCTAGGACCTGGAATAAAAAAATCCTTATGGTCTGGGTGGCTGGGCTAGTGGCCAGGCGGGACCTCTGATGTCTTCCTCCTGCACAGCAAAAGGCAGGAGATCCTCCCTGTGCACGTGAGGGAACCTAGAAAGGGGTTAGGATGAGTGCAGCAGTTAGGCTGTCTTTAGAGAGACAGAAAGACACACATCCATGCAGGACACAGAGGGTTAAAGCCATCCTGGGAACTAGTGCAAGGTCACAAAAAGGTCAAATCCCAGCTCTTCAAGGAGCCAAGCTGCAGGCACAATGAAACCAGGTGAAGGCTCAAAGGAGGCTGTTGGGAATCCTGAAAGAAACAGATGGTGGGACCCAAACAGATGGGACTGCCTCTTCGCTCTTCGCTTTTTCCCTTGTTTATTAGGTTTCCTGGCAGTTGGTGCCTGGGAGGACTCAGAGGCTGGAGGCAGGGAACAGCACCAGGGTCAGCAGACCTCAGAAGGGGAGAGGTGCCGGCAGGGAGGTGGTGCCGCTCCCTGGCAAAGAGAGAACTGTGTCAGTGGTGGTGCGCTCCGGCCATACCGAGCCTCTCTGTCCCTCTTAGGCTTCAGAGAGCCTGGGAGGACTGGCTTTGCCTTGGGCCTGCCTAAGCCCACAGTGCAGACTCAGAGAGTGGTCCTAGGGCCTCGGACAGGAGGACGCGGTAACCTCAGGGGCCCAGGCTTCCGAAAGTGCCCAGGGTGGCTCTTACTTAGGGCCTGAAATTTACCATTTCCTGGTGCCGAATCTTCTCCAAGCATCGTCTGCGGCCTTCCAAAGCCAGAAGAGGTGCCCCTCCACTGTTGGGCCAGGGCCCGAGAGCCAAGCATACGCAGGGCAGCTCCTTCGCGGAAGACAAGGGGAAGCGGGTGGTTGGGTACAAATGTGCCAGTCCTTTGCCTTTCCCCCAGAGCTGACAGGAATGATTCTGGCTTCAATCTTTCAATTATCCAAAGGCAGGAAGGTGTTGTACAGGGTAAGACCATAAGCTTTAGAGTCAGAAAGACCCAGGTTTGAGCCCCAGCCCCATCTCTTTCCAGTTGGATGGGTGCGGACCCCACTGAGCCATAGTCTCCTTATCTAGAAAACGGGGATAATAATATCTAGCTTGCTGGGTAGATACTATTGCTGAGAGAATGTTCAAGAAGGCACAATGTTTTCCAGGAAGTTAAAAGGCCAGTTTTTTCAGGAACATTCTGTTCTTCTCTCTGTTTACTGTCTCAGAGATCCATGTCCCAAGTACCCCTCCCACAGGGCAGGCCCCTGAAATCCCAGGGCATCACCAAGAGGGGTTGGATGGAAAAGAGATGAAGTTACAGCACCCTGGGCTGGGCAGGGTGGTTCATGTCTGTAATGTTAGCACTTCAGGAGGCTGAGATGGGAGGATCACTTGAGCTCAGGAGTTCAAGACCAGCCTGGGTAACATAGCGAGGCCCTATCTCTACCAAAAAAAATAAAAAAATAAAAAATAAAAATAAAAAATTAGCTGGGTGTGGTAGTGCGTGCCTGTAGTCCCACCTACTGGGAAGGCTGAGGTGAGAGGATCACTTGAGTCCAAGAGTTAGAGATTGCAGTGAGCTGTGATTGTGTCACTGCACTCTAACCTGAGCAACAGAGCAAGACTCTCTCAAAGAAAAAAAAAAAGAAGAAGAAGAAAGAAGTTATAGCACCCTAAAGTATGCTTTAGGGAACCCCACTCTCAGAGAGCACTAGTCTGTAAGTTTTTCCTTAAAAATTAGAGTTGTGTTGGGAAACAAGTTTTGGAGAAGCTGCATACTGTAGCCCATTCTCTGAGCCTCTTGATGTATATTAACATACAAAATGCTCTGAGAAGTTCTGCAGTAAAGAAAGCTTTTGAACTTTATCTAATCCAGTGGTTCTTAAATGTATTTCCTAATCTGGTATTTTCTATTTTTATGCTGGATGGCTATTCATAGGACATGAGACTAGAGCTCTAGTTTCTTGGAACACACTTGGGGAAGTGCTGATCTAGATCTTAGGGGGCTTTGGGACTTTGGTTAAGATATGGGCCAGGTCCCTAACTTCCTAGGCTGTGGCTACAGATGCTAGCAGGCTGGTCATAGACAGGTGGGAGGGACGCTCATCCCTGCAACATGAATAAGCGAACAGCCTGATTAAATGGCCACTCCATTGCCTGAAATGACAACAGTTGAGAAGGGTTGATCACTTTGGTACCACAGATAAGAAAAGGGGGACAGGTGGAATTAGGAAGGGCATATTTTATTTCCAAACACAATTCTTTCTGGACGTCTGCTAATAAAAAGCAGGGGAGGGGTGACCATAAAGGACAGGAAAATGTAATTTGAAACAAAAAAAGCACAAATAGTTCATAAACATGACAAGCATCTCACAATTAAAAAATGACAAAAGAGAGATTCTCTTCTCACCTATCAGACTGGCAGAGTTTAGAAAGATAAACAATATTCAGTGTTGGAGAGGATGGAGATTTGAATAACCTGTGGGATGGTAAGGGGGCAGTTTGGTAACATACATCACAATTTTAAATGGGCATCCCCTTGACATTGCAATCCTACTTCTAAGAATTAATTAACCCTGAGGAGATAACCAGACAGATGCACAAAGATGTTCTTTAAGGTATAATTTACAATAACCAAATGGGGAATAAAATAAAGGTCTAAATAGATTTTAAAAATTGCAATAAATTTTCAGAGACAGTAGAAAGGAGTGGAAGAAAATGCATAATCCAGAGCCAGGGCAATAAATGTAAAGCCTGGCTCCAGCCCATCACGGCTGTGTGACCTCAGGAAAGTAACTCAGCTCCTTCTGCCTCTGTTTTCCATCTATAAAATGGGGATAATAATAGCGTCTACTTTGTAGAGCTGTTTTTGAGGATTAAAGGATTGAAAATATATACAAAGTGCTTTGGAACACTAATTGGCTATTCTGAGGATGACAGCTCCCTGCAGAGGAATATGCTATTAAAATGATATAGATTCATTTCATGGAGTGGCACTTTCCACGCCCATATTTTGTAAAATATAGCACATATTAGGATAATCCAATTCATGTAAAATGATCTGTCTTTTGATTTCTCTACATGCTGATATCCATAGAGAGAAGTCTGGAAGGATGGTCACACCAAGTGGGTGACTAGTATACACTCCTGGATGACTGTTGGTCTTAGTTATTTTTTACATTTTATATCTTTCTATAGTTTAGAATTTTCTATAATGAGCACATATTGTCCCGGTTGAAGAAATACAATAAAATCATTTTCACCTGGTGGAGAAAAGGGAGTGGGGTGATTTAACGGCCTCTGCAGAGCAGTGGGATGAGGCCCCAGGGGCGCCCACCCCCTAGCAGCCAAATCATCCACTGGGGGCCTTTCTGCTTCTAGGCCCTGTCTCACCCCGCTCCCTGCTGGTCTGTGGTCCTTTGTATCTCAGCCCCCTCCCCTAGTCCACAGGGGCTGCTTGGCCCCCAGGAGTGCCCCCGGCCGCTCGCCTGCCTTACCAGAGTTGGGGTACTCCACCACGGTGGGCAGGTACCGGCTCTTGCTCACGTCCACAGGCACGAAGGCTGTGTATTTGCTAATGATGTTGCAGGCCTTGCTGGTGTGCAAGGCGCTCACTTGGTAGCGGCGGTTGGACCCTGTGGAGGGAGAAACTGGGGTCACTGTTTGGACTCAGAAAGTCTTCCCTGACACACAAGCTTTGGAAGCTAAAAAGGGGGCTCTACCTAAGTGGTCCCCATCTTTGGGATTAAAGAAGCCTTTAAAATCAAGGGCTTGCCAACTTGCTAACTAAAGACATTTTTTAAAACAACACCATCATTTCACGTCATCATTTCACAAAATAAAGGATATTTTAATGTAAAAATGTAAGACATTGTCTCAGAATAAAAGACAGCTACTTCCTTTAAATAACTGTAGTTTTATTTTTAAAAACACCCAACCCACTATGTTGTCTGTATTTTGTACTTTAATTTTGCAGATGTCTAATGGGAACGTTGCCGTAAAACTTCACAGGTGCCCTGGCTGGTGGGTGGGGACCACTTATCTGACCCATTTAACTGCTGAGGACATTGCAAATCAGAGGAGAGTGGTGAGCTGAGGGTCACACAGCAAGTTAGGAACGGATCTGAGATCACGACTCAGGATGGTCTGACCCCAGAGCCCAATCCCTTTCCTTTGAACAGGTGAGCAGTCTCCGTGGCTTGCAGCCTGCAGAAGGCTGTATGAGGAGCCAAGGAGAGAGAGGGTAGAAAAGTGCTTCGTGAACTGTAAGGTGAGGAGCTCATGGGAAGAAAAAAAGTAACACGTACAATACAAAAATACAAGTAAAATATAAACAAAATAATATTATTACAGAAATAAAGCAAAACCCACGACAAAGAAATGATATAACCGTTCTCTATTTATATTTATATTCTCCAAGTGTGTTCCATCAAGATCCCACCAGTCACTTTCTCAGTAAAGTCTGCCCCAATTCCTGGACTAAATTAGCTCCCCCACCGTCCCTGTTATACAATCTCTTGGATCCCTGTCTTTTTTCTTAATAGCACTTAGGACAAATGCACTCAATTAATTATTTGTGTAATGATTTGATTAATGCTGGCTTCCCTGCTAGTTTGTCAAGCACTCATGGGTAAGGAAGGGATGGAGATTGCTTTTTCACTGGGCTGTTCAGCTGGTTTACCGGGCCCAGTGGGAGCCTGGCCCCCAGCAGATCCACAGTAAATAATGGCGTGATGAATGAGTGCGTGGAGCCCTTGGACTGGGGGACTTGGAGGAAGGTGTGGGCTGTCACCATTGTTCTGTCTCTGGAGAGACAGGGGCCGCTGCAGGGGAGAAGCACTGGGAAATGGGGCGCCCATAAGAGAGAGAAATGAGGCAGGAGAGAAGAGGACGGGTCACTGAATGGGGGTGGAAGAGCCCAGGGCTGGGGGAGAGGACCACTTACTCGGAGGCAGGGGGAAGAGGGTGGATCTTGGCGGGAATGGAATGGAGCCCTGGGCTATGCGTGTGTTGGTGGGTGGACGGGTGTGAGGGGAAGGGCGATTGGGAATGAGGGGAGGCACCTGAAGGCTGTGGTGTGAGGTGGAGTGGGGGAGCAGTGAGCCGTGGCGGGGCTGTGGGGAGATGAAGGGGGCTGAAGCCAGAGATGAAGGGCTGATCCTGGAGTGGGGGTAGGGAATGAGCCCAGGCACTGAGCAGAATGGGGAGGGGGCGGAGCCTGGAGGCCGGAGAGGCGAGTGGGCGGGCAGTGGGCGGGGCTGTGCGGAGGGGGCGGGTCCTGGAGGCCGACGGGAGAGGGGGGGCGGGTCCTGGGGGAAGTGGACAGGCACAGGGTGGGGGCTGGGTCAGGGAAGGAGGTGGGCTGACCATGGAGGTGGGGACGGGCTATGGCGGGGAGTGGCGGGGTGGGCGGGCCATGGAGGGGTGGGGTGTGCGGGGCACTAGGCACAGTTGTAATGAGGGGATGGGGCGAGAGTGGGGCCTGGAAGGGGAAGAGGTGGGCGGGTCATAGGGAGAGTAGGCGGGGAATTGGGCGGGGCTGTGAGGAGGGGGTGGGGTAGGACCCGGGAAGCAGGTGGGCGGACCACGCGGGGCTGAGAGGATCACCGGGGGCGGGTGGGGAAGGGGGAGCGGCTGTGGAGCGGGGCTGTCCTCCGGAGGCCGTCCGCGGGAGGGGCGCAGTTCCGTGGCGCTCACCCTGCTCGATCTCGCCCTCGCGCTCCGCCAGCTGCTCGAAGTCGCGGATGATGGCGCGGGCCGCCAGGTGGTGGAAGGTCTCGCTCCATAGGTCGGCATCCTGCGCGCCGCCCCGCTCCGGTCCAGGGGTCCCCAGCTCGAAGCTCACCTCCCACTGCAGGCGTTGGCTGTCGTGCAGGCCTTTGACCAGGGCCTTGCCCAGCACCGGGGCCGGGGTGGCGGGCCTGCTGGGACTGGCTCGCTCCTGGGACTCGGCTGGGGGGTCCCAGTCCGAGGACGTCTCTGTCTCGAAGGCAGAGGGATGGTGGGACGGCTCTGCGGGCAGAGGGACAAGTGGGCCAAGCGCTGACCTGGGGGACAGACGGCCAACTCCCAGGGGACATCATTCCTCCCCAGGGAGCAGACACTTCTAAGCAAGTACAACCCACTCCATCTCCCCAGGGAACAGGCAACTCCAACTGCTTTCCTAGGACAGCTGCGGGGGCATGGGCTTGTCCCCAAGGGAGGACAGATCCGCCTCCCAGGAAGCCAGTGCCTGAGGGGGCCAGATAGTATGGGGTGGGACAGGGGCACAGAGAATGGAGCTGCAGCCTCAGAGGCCACCCAAGAACCAGGGTGACTGGGAAGCGTGGGATTGGTGAGGTCCTCAGAGAGGGGTGAGCCGCAGCAGACCACAAGGGGACAGACCCAGGCATCTGCCCTCTGGGCCTGTCATCTGAAGTTGAACAACAGCCAGTGATTCCTCCCTGTCCCCAGTTGGGTCCTGGACCCTGTGGTCACTTACCCAGATCTCCAGGGCTTCGGCTGTCAGAAGTCCGCTCTCTCACAGGGCTCCAGGCCTGGGTCTCCTGGCCCCAGGGCAGGAAGGGCTGGCAGCCTTGGGGCAGCAGAGAGGGCCTTCGGGCCCCTGGGCCACGGAGTTTGGGGCCCTGGTTCAGGTCCTGACCACTGTTCAGCAAGGGCTAGGGATGGAAGAGGAGAAAGAGAAAGAGGAGGAGGACGAGGAGGAGGAGGAGGAGGAGAAGGAGGAGGAAGAGCTCCTGGTGGCTGGACCCTCCTTCCTTCTGCTCCCCCACCCCCACCCCACCAGCTCTTTCCTGGGGCACAGCAGCTCCTCCTGGGCACTGCCCCTCCAGTACTCAGGGACGCATGACCCAGTCTCCATTATCCATGAGAAACATCAACAATCATAATCCCAAACCATGGAAAGCCATGGAAAATCATACACCATGGATAATTCCAAACCCACTTTTTTTTTTTTTTTGCCATAAAGTTTAAACTGTTTTGTGTGTATGGTTAAAATTATCAATCTTTTTTCCTTATGTCTTCCCATATGTCATACTTAAAAGGTCTTTCTCACTCAAAAAATATTCTAGAATTTTTGGGATTTCATTTTTGTTTGTTTGTGTGTTTAAATCTTTGATTTACATGAAATTTATTTTGGAGTAAGGAGAAAGGAATCAGATTTTTTCTTGATTTTTCAAATGGTAAGAATCTCACAATTTATTGAATGCAGTTTTTCCATTTGAATCCAGGCAGTTTAATCAGTTTCCTACCTCTATCCCAACAAAGCTTTCATGCACGTTTGGTTTTATTTATGGACTTTCTGTTCTGTTTTGTTGATTTAATCTATCTATTCTTGTGCTGGTACAAACAGACATCAAAAGGCAAGGGATAAATGGAGAAATACATTTGCAATAGTCATGACAAAGATCATTTTCAAGAAGCTTTCATAAATCACTGGGAGTAAAAGACTAACTTAATAGAATAATGTGTTAAGGGCATTTGCAGGCCGTTTATAGCAAAAGTATCCAATAAACCCAGGAAAAAATTCTCAGCCTCACGAAAAATTTGAACAATGTAAATTAAAACAAGTTTGTAATTTTTTTCCATCTTGCAGATTGGCAAATATTTAAGTGTTTGATGGCACCCCTGTGGTCAATGGAAAGACAGAGTCTGTCATGGACTGTCAGTGCTAATGTAAATGGGTACACAGCTGTGGGAGAACAATCTAGCAATGTGCTATCAATTAAAATGCGCAAGCCCCTTTGGTCTGGTAATTCCTCTTTCAGGAATTCAATCTTGTGGAAATACACAAGAGTGCAAATATCGATGTGCAAGTACTGTATACTTGTTGCAGTATTGTTTGTAAATGTAAAAATCTGGAAACGATCCAAATCAGTCGGGGTTGGCATCAGTAGGGGTTGGCAAATAAGTTCTGGTATATCCCATGCAATGGAACGTCACACAACATTGAAAATAAAGAAGTATCTTTCTTCATGCCAAAGTGAAAAGACGTCCAAGATAAAACTTATTTTAAAAAAGTAAATTGTGATTGTCCTGTAACCTCATTGTGGCGATGATTACATGACCATATACGTTAGTCAAATCTCATAGAACTGTTCACCAAAAAGGGTAAATTCACTTTTAAATAAATACCTTGCACTGTTATTTATTTAAAAAGTGAATTAAAAAGACATTTGAAAAGTAAGTTGGAGAGCAGTTTTTATATGTGATTATTAAAAATACATACGTGTATAGTGTATGCATGTGTTTGTGTGTGTAGTATTAATATTTCTAGAAGGAAACACTCAAAACCAAGTGGGTCTGGGAATAGGACAGGGGGCCTTTTATTTGTACTTTATACCTGACTGAATTGTTTGAGGGTTTTTATTGCAAACACTGAGTATGTATTACTTTTGTAATTGAAGAATATTAAATTAATTAGAAATGAATTTGAAGCCTCTGGGACCATATATATCCCCTGGTAGGGGGAGGGGATGAGGGCGAAAAGACACTTACCAGGTGTAACAGTTTTTTAGGCCAACAGTTAACCATGGGGGCTTTTCCATCCCTATCAAGTATTTATTAGGAGGCGGACCGTGCTTCCCCATTAAATGGGGGCTGCCTTTCTGTCTTTCTAAGCCAGAGGTCCTAGGAAGGGTACAAGGATGTGGGAGAAGGAGGGGACTGGTCACTCCCAGGATGACCCCAGCCAGGGCTGCTAAGTCCCAGGGGATCCCTACCCTCTGCTCCTTGCCCAATCAAACACTAGGATTCCCCCAGCCGTCAACACTACACTGGGTCACAGAGAGCAACAGAAGCTGGTAACGTTTCCATGGCAACAGATGAGTCTAAGATCCAGCCCTTCATCCAGCCAGAGGGTGCATGGAGTGTGTGTGTGTGTGTGTGTGCGCGCACATATAAGTGTGTTGCGTGTGCATGCATAAGGGGGCATCAGGTTGGGGAAGAAGCCAGGCAGGAGGGGGCGAGAGAAGAGCAGAGATGGGTCTGAAGAGCTAGGGAGCGCGCAGGAAAGAAGTAAAGGGGAATCAGCCTGTCCAGAGCTCTCACCAAATAGAGCTGCCAGCCAAGGATGCCTGCTGGGTGCCAGGTGCTGGGCCAGGCGCTGCATCTTTTATCAGCCAATGCCTGGAAGAGTCCTCCACTTAGAGTTGGCTCTCAATAAATATCTTTTGATGGATGGCAGTTCAATCATGTGCCTAAGCTATTCTCCCCATTTTGTAGATGAGGCAGCTGGGGCTCAGAGAGTGGAGTGACATGTTTGAGGATCAGAGTCAGCCAGACCGCAGGGCCAGTTGCCTTCTGATTGCATCAAGTGGTCCCTCAATAAGCACAGAGAAGGGCCCCTAGGGATAAGATTGCAGTGTCCCTACCCTTAGAGAGCGGGCTTATGTGTAAGTGGAGGCAGGGAGGGATGGGGGTGGTGGTTGGAAGTGGGAGGGGGCATATAGGGAGAGTGAAAAGACTGCTTTTATGGAACCACTGCCTTACAAGGACAAATCTACATAAAGCCCATTCTTTTGTTTGTTTGTTTGATGTTTTGTTTGAGACAGGATCTCTCTCTCTGTCTCCCAGGCTGGAGTGCAGTGGCATCAACCCAGCTCACTGCAACCTCTGCCTCCTGGGCTCAAGTGATCCTCCTGCCTCAGCCTCCCGAGTAGCTGGAATTACAGGCATGTGCCACCACACCCGGCTAATTTTTGTATTTTTTGTAGAGACAGGATTTTGCCATGTTGCCCAGGCTGGTCTGGAACTCCTGGGCTCACGCGATCTGCCTGCCTTGGCCTCCTAAAGTGCTGAGATTACAGGCATGAGCCACCATGCCTGGCCAAGCCCATTCTTAATAAAATGGATGAAACCACAATTTGGTTTAGGACAATGGTGCTCAACCAGGTGATTTAGCTCCCCAGGGAACATTTGGCAGTGTCTGCAGACATTTTTGGTTGTCATGATTGGGGATGGTGTTATTCCCAGGAGGCCTCTAGCGAGCAGAGGCCAAGGGATGCTGCCGAACATTCTACAGTGCACAGAATTGCCCCCAAATATAAAATTATCGTGTCCATGGTGCTGAGGCTGAGAAACCCTGGCCTAGCTGTGGCTCTCTAACTCTCAAATTCTCTCTGCTGCCAGGCATGGTTGCTCACTTCTGTAATCCCAGACCTTTGGGAGGCCGAGGCAGGCAGATCGCTTGAGCCCAGGAGTTCAAGACCAGCCCGGGCAATATGGCAAAACCCTGTCTCTACTAAAAATACAAAAATCAGGCCAGGCGTGGTGGCCCACACCTGTAATCCCAGTGCTTTGGGAGTTCGAGGCAGGTGGATCACCTGAGGCCAGGAGTTCGAGACTAGCCTGGCCAACATGGTGAAACCCTGTCTCTACCAAAAATACAAAAATTAGCCGGGCATAGCGGTACATGCCTGTAATCTCAGCTACTCAGGAGGCTGAGGCAGGAGAATCGCTTGAACCCAGGAGGCAGAGGTTGCAGTGAGCTGAGATTGCGCCATTGCACTCCAGCCTGGGCAACACGAGCAAAACTCCATCTCAAAAATAAATAAATAAATAAAATACAAAAGTTAGCCAGGTATGGTGGCACGTGCCTGTAATCCCAGCTACTTGGAAGGCTGAGGCATGAGAATTGCTTGAACCTAGGAGGTAGAGGTTGCAGTGAGCTGAGATGGCACCACTGCACTCCAGCCTGGGCAACAGAGCGAGACTCTGTCTCAACAAACAAACAAACAAATAAACAAAAAATCCTCTCTGCCCTGGGTAAATGTATATCCCCTGGAATTTGTAGGAGGTGCAATCTAATGAGGGGGAATAAAAGGCTTTGAAGGCAGGGGGTCCTTCAAAGGTCAGACAGGTTACAATCCTCTGACTGGCTGTGTGACCTTGGATAAGTGCCCTACCTCTCTGGCTCTCAATTTCCACATCTGTACTGAGCCAAGGTGGGCCCCTAAACTCTCTCCTCCCCCAGGTCTGCTATAAAGTCAAATGAAAGAGCACATGCAAATGTTCCTTGCCAACTGGGCAGTGTGTGTGCAGGGAATGAGCGAGCTTATTGACCGGTGGGTGTCCTGATTTGGAAGGTGTCCTCGGAGGTAAGGCAGATGAAGGCCTAGGGAAGGAAAGAGGGAGTGACTCACTTGGCAGTGTAAGTTGTGGATGGCCACGTCCTGCGGTTGAAGCAGGGGACACAGCTCTCCCCTGCCTGTCGCCTTCCCCAGCTCCTCCCTAATCTGTCCTGCTTGGGTACCTGCAAATCAATCTGCCACCGCTGGACATCCAGGCTGGTCTGGTTGGTGAGGTCCTGCAGCCTGGCTTTCCGCAGTGGGTATCTCTTGGCAGCTGGCATGGGGTCACTTGCCATGGTGGCTCTTGGGAGGGGCTTGTGATTGGTGATCTGGTTGGTGCTGTATGCCCTCCGTCGCTGAGAGAGGTTCAGATCTGGACAGGGATAGTGATGGGGAACCATCAGAGTGGGACAGCAGGGAAAGAGTGGGGCTTGCATCCCCTTTCCTGTTTGGAAGTGTCTCACGTTCTCCACCTCTTGCCTACTGAAATATATGCAGATGCCTCCCCTGGCATCCAAAGCCTCTCCGGATCTGGCCCTAGTCTAGCTTCCCAGCTACTCTCCCTGCTGCTTCTTTCAAAAGGTACAATGTGGCTGGGTGTGGTGGCTCACGTCTGTAATCCCAGCTCTGTGGGAAGCCGAGGTGGGTGGATCATTTGAGGCCAGGAGTTCCAGACCAGCCTGGGCTACATGGCGAAACCCTGTCTCTACAAAAAATACAAAAATTAGCCAGGCATGGTGGTATGCGCCTGTAGTCCCAGCTATTCGGGAGGCTGAGGCATGAGAATTGCTTGAATCCAGAAGGTGGAGGTTGCAGTGAACAGAGATCGTACCACTGCACTCCAGCCTGGGTGACAGAGTGAGACTCTGCCTCAAAAATAAAAAATAAAATAAAAGGTACAAAGTGGGTCAAACACACTAGATCAGAAGCCAATTGTGTGTGTGCTTTCTAAGTGTCACACTCTCCACATTGCTGCTCAGGCAGTTTCTGCTGCCTGGAACGTCCTCTCCCTTCCCACCTCTAAGAAGCAGTCCCCTTGTGAAGTCTTTGTGGATATCCTCTAGCAGATGTGCTCATTTCTCCTGGGATTCCCATAGTTTGTTAAATTTTCTAGGGGTCCCTGGCACCCTGTCACTCTGCTTTCTATCAGAGTTAGTGCCAGATGTATCTCTCACTATGTGGAAAGCTCCGGAAGGGCAGGGGACATGTCTGAGTCATCTTTGCTTCCCATGTTGCTCTCAGCCCCTAACCTTAGTAAGGAATCGATAAGTACCCTTTGAATGGAAACTAACACCATAACGAGGCTTTGGAGTCAGATAGATCCGGACTCTTTGTCTGTACTCTACCTATTGCTCTATGAGCTAAGTCAAGTTGCTCAAATTCTCCAAGTCTCAATTTCCTCATCTGTAAAGTGGGTATAACAGTACCCACCTCTGCAGCTGCTAACTATTCAATGAGGTGGTTTTTACCAAGTGCTTAGCACATAGTAAGTGCTCAATGTAAGGCAGCAATCATCAGAGCCGCAGACGAACCGTGCTTGGTGGTAGAGTCTCCGCTGGCTAGCCGGGCATTTTTGGCCTGCCCTAGGATGAAGGGTGCCCCCGAGTTCTTGGCACAGTCTCCACCTTCCAGCCCGGGTCCGTCATCCTGAGAGTGGTAGAAGACAGAGCTGCCAGACTCCTGAGAGTGCAGCATGCTGTACCGGCGCCTCTTGTCCTGTAGGGAGAAACAGAAAAGAGGGCTAGGAGTGAGGCTAGGTGTCAGGAAGGACTTCCGCAGGGAGCAAGGGGTGTGAGCAGAGGTGGTGCGGTTTTCATCTCTGAAGAAACAGCTCAACAGGAAAGCTTTGTGTTTGCTTAGGGAATTGAGACAAACTTCTGTTCAAGAGATGGTGAATGGAATTATCGTTTCATAACACTTAGGTTGTTTATGTTTTTAATTATTGACTTCATTAAATTTTTTTAAATGTAAGTCTAAATGCCACTCCTGTCTCCAAATAGGTAACCGAAATTACCAAAATAAACCATCTGTTCCTTCCATTCCATTCTCCCTGATCTAAACATACAGTTCACCCTTGATCAACACAAGCTTTAACTGCGTGGGTCCATTTATATGTGGATTTTTTCCAATAAAAGTTACACTGAGTGTCGGCTTCTCTTGCCTCTCCTTCCACCTCCTCCACTTATTCCCTTCTATCACCTCTGAGACAGCAAGACCAGCCCCTCCACCTTCGCCACTCAATGTCAAGACAATGACGACGGAGACCTTTATGATGATCTACTTCCACTTAATGAATAGTAAATGTATTTTCTCTTCTTTATGATTTTCTCAAAAACATTTTATTTTCTCTAGCGTACTTTATTGTAAGAATACAGCACATAATACATATGACCCACAAAATATGCGTTAATTGACTGTTTATATTATCCGTAAAGCCTCCAGTCAACAGTAGCCTATTAGTAGTTAAGTTTTTAGAGAGTCAAATGTCATATGTGAAATTTTGACTGCATAGGGGGTCAGTATCCCTAACCTCCACATTGTTCAAGGGTCACCTCTATGTATAAATAACACATCAGCTGTTGGGGGTCATTTTTTGTTTCATAAAAACTTTGCTATACTGCTCACACTTATCAGTATCTTGAATTTTGCACTTGAAACACTTTGGAAATTCTGCATTTCAACTATTACTTTCTGTTTGTTTGTTTAGAGATAGGGTCTCCACACTGCACGTAGGCTGGAGTGCAGTGGCATCATCAGTTCACTGCAGCCTCCAACTCCTGGGCTTGAGCAATCCTCCCGCCTCAGCTTCCAGAGTAGTTGGGACTACAAGCATATGCCACCACGTCTGGCTAATTTTTTAATTTTTATATTTTGTAGAGAAGTGGTCTCACTAGGTTGCCCAGGCTGGTCTTGAACTCCTGGCCTCAAGCCAGGCACCTACCTTGGCCTCCCAAAGTGCTGGGATTACAGGTGTGAGCCACCATGGCCTGGCCTCAACCATTCTTTTTAGCATTTGACTGCACAATATTTTACCACCCCTTGTTGTTAAGCATTCAGTTTGTGGCCATTTATTTTTGTCACCATAAAAAATACTACAATAAATCCTTGGACATAAATCCATTACATCACTTTTATTTTTATGGGCTAGACTCCTAGGAGTAGGATTTCTGGGTTGAAAGGTTTATGTATCTCTAATTTTTTTTTCTTGGAGACAGAGTCTCGCCCTATCCCCCAGGCTGGAGTGCAGTGGCATGATCTTGGCTCACTGCAACCTCTGTCTTCCGGGTTCAAGTGATTCTCCTGCCTCAGCCTCCCGAGTAGCTGGGGTTGCAGGTGACTGACGCCACGCCTGGCTAATTTTTGTATTTTCAGTAGAGATGGGGTTTCACCATGTTGGCCAGGCTGGTCTCGAACTCTTGACCTCAGGTGATCAACCTGCCTCGGCCTCCCAAAGTGCTGGGATTATAGGCGTGAGCCATCGTGCCCGGCCTATCTCTAATTTTATTAGTTATTTCTAGGTTGCTTCCCAGGAGGGCTGCGGCAAGTTATATTTACACCAACAATATGTGAAGGTCCTCTTTATCCCTACCAGTAGCAGGGCAAACGTTGCCAGTATTGAGTAAGCAAAGGAGAATGGATTTGATGACTGCGTCCAGTCCCTTCTAGTGGGAGGGTCTGTTGATGAACTGGTGCCTTCTAGACCTCCCAGGAAGGCCCGGACTGTGCAAGGACTTGGCCAGCATTTTGTTTAGCATTTTCTCCCTGCGGCTGAACACTCCATTTTCCATAACACATTAACCATTAACCTGATCACAGTTCTGAAAACATTTCATAACATTAAAAAATCTGGAGCTTTCACATAAAGTTCCAATTTCTCCTGAAAAATGAGACACACATTTAACATAGGGCTCACATTTCTGCATGATGGCACTTTGTTAGGGCTGCGTAGGGGCTGCCCAGTTTAGCCAGGGCGTGTGCCATCCAGTTTGCCATATTCCTCACCGCTCCCTATTGCCTTTCCAACTGTGAGCTCAGTGGTAACTGCTATCCATCACAGCATTGGCCCCTTTTATTTTTACACCAAGTCCATTTCATTCATTCCACACCTGCCCAATTTCTATAGGCATTGAGTTTGTGACTTCTTTTTTGAAAAACAAAACAAGATGAGAAATCCTTTAGAGAGAGTGGACAGACTCACGAAAGAGGAAAGATAGGTGAGGAAACAGCTTCTTTGGCAACCTCTCACATTTTAGCATGAACTTCACCTCCCTTTCAGAAGTTCTTGGCTTTCATCCCACTTCTGCCACCACAGACAAGGGAATCATCCACGTAAAGAAATAAAACACAAACTCATCTAAGGAGATACGCGCTTACTAGAGTGTGTGGAGAAGGAAATCTGAGTGCATTTGTTCTTGAACTAAAGTGTGCACCATATCACTTAGGGGAAATTATGTAAAATGCAGTTTCCTGGGCTTTATCCTTGGGGATTCTTATTCAACAGACCTGGGTGGAAGCTAGGGCTCTGCATTCTTTTTTTCTTTTGAGACGGAGTCTCGCTCTGTCGCCCAGGCTGGAGTGCAATGGCACGATCTTAGCTCACTGCAAACTCCGCCTCCCGAGTTCAAGTGATTCTCGTGCCTCAGCCTCCTGAGTAGCTGGGATTATAGGTGCCTGCCACCATGTCTGGCTAATTTTGTTATATTTTTAGTAGAGAACGGGGTTTCACCCTGTTGGCCAGGCTGATCTCAAGTTCCTGATCTCAAGTGATCTTCCTGCCTCGGCCTCCCAAAGCTGTGCATTTTAAACAAGTTCTTCAAGTGGTTCTACTGCAGGGGCTCTTAATAACCACATTTTTGAGATGGTGGCATCTACCTTAGCCATGCCACTGTGATTGAATGCCTGTGGCCTGGCAACTGTAAACCCACAACTGGGAAAACTGTAAACCCACAGCTGCAAACCCACTTCCAGTTGGTTTCTAGCTGTCACAAATAGTCTTTCCAGCTAAGGCTGATTTGTAGGCATGGGTTCTGGGCCCACACGGACCCGTGGAATTTCTAGGATACTTACAGATCTGGGATTGGAGATGTGCAAAGAAGCATCACATACAATGCCATACCCCACCAGCCGTTCTCCAGGGAAGAGGGAGCTGGCGCTGACGGGTGAGACCAGGACCTCAGTGGTCTCAGGGAAGATCCACTCCACAGTCACATCGCTCAGGACTGGGGCCATGGCCTTCTTCAAGGATTTGACCATCTGTAGGGCAGGGTCAGAATGCAGTTGGGGGATGTATGAGAAGAGATGTGTACAGAAGATCATGTAAGTATCAGCTTAGTGGGGAGTGGGAGCAGGGAAGAGGGGACAGTAGGCCTTGTGGTGACTTGCCTAGCACTGAGCACACTTCTGAGCTTCTTAGACTCACAGAATGTCAGAGTTGGGGAGCATCTTCGCTTCATCTTTTCTAAGCTTAGCATTTTATTTTATTTTATTTTATTTTATTTTATTTTATTTTATTTTATTTTATTTTATTTTATTTTATTTTGAGACAGAGTCTGGCTCTGTCACCCAGGCTGGAGTGCAGTGGCATGATCTCGGCTCAGTGCAACATCCACCTCTTGGGTTCAGGTGATTCTGCTGCCTCAGCCTCCTGAGTAGCTGGGATTACAGGCACCCGCCATCATGCCCAGCTAATTTTTGTATATTTAGTAGAGACGGGGTTTCACCAAATTGGCCAGGCTGGTCTCAAACTCTTGGCCTCAAGTGATCCACCTTCCTAGGCCTCCCAAAGTACTGGGATTACAGGCGTGAGCCACTGCACACCTGGCCAGTTTAGCATTTTATAAATGAGAAAATCTGAGGCTCAAAGTAGGGCTGTGACTAGCCCAAGGGCACACAGGTTTGCGCCAAACCATGGACTGGATGATGATCTTGAGCAAATTTATTTACCTCTCTGGGCCTCAGTTTTCCCTTCTGTTAAAGTAGGAGGGTGTAGTTGAAGGATTATTTGCAATACTGAATTTGACATGTGGTAGGTATTTAGTAAATGACATGCGCTAGGTGTGGTAGGTGTTTAGTAAATGACAGCTGTGGTCATCACCTAGACTGATTTCCTTGGATGTTCTGTACTGCAAACCTGGAGAAAATGACTTGGGGGTTGTGGCAAGTATAGAGGTGAGCTTTCAAATCTCTCTTCAAGAAAGACCATGCCTTCTTGCTGCAAGAAATGCCGTTAGGTGACAGCTTCCAGATGCAGCACCCCAGCTTTTGAGCCAAGACCATCTCTCTCCCTGGAAGCCCCAAGTCAATGATTCAGCATGGCAGGGATACTAGATCCTGCTCATTTCAGCACATCCCTGACTTTGATGGGCAACCTTTGCTCCAGAGCTCCCTGCTGGATGGCTGAGACCCTGCCAGGGCATCACAGTTTGAGGCTCTCTTGCCCAATTCTGCTCCCATTTTCCTTTCACAGCTGTTGGACTGGCCTCTTGGCCTGAAGAGTTTTTCTTCCTGCTTCCTCCTCTTCCACCTTTCATAGACACTATCCCCAATAAACATCTTCACTCTTAATCCCAGCCCTGTCTTTGTTTACTGGACTGACAAGGGGATTTTCTAAGGGTTAGATTATTCGTGTCAAATGTGCAGGACATGGAAAGCAGACTATAGCCTCCTTTATTTCTGGGTTCTTTAGATTCTTCTGAGCCACCATTTGTCATCATCAGGAACATGTCCAGATATGGACCTCAAACACAACTTCAATCCATATAGGTGGTAGCTTTTCCAGGAGCCTCATCTTGTCCAGCAGTGGATGGAGTGTGTGTCCAGTGGCTGGAGACCAGGGGATCTAGCGTCCTGGCATTGCTTCAAGAGTTGCCTGCTCTGTGGCTTGCAAGTCTCTGGTTCTCATTGGGATGCAGTGTGGCCTAGTGAAGAGCTCAGATTTGGGGTGTCATCCCAGCTCCACCACTGAGTTGCCATGTGACTGGTCTGAGCCTCTGAGGTTCCAGCACCAGAAGGGACTGCGTGGGTTCTGCTGCCTACCTTGGGTTGCAGCCGCTCCCCCTCCATCAGGAGCTCAGCACTGCCCTCGGACACAGATGCCAGTCCTTTCACCAGTCTGTGGCAGACGTTGGGTCCAATTCCAAAGCTATAGCACCTGGCGGAAAGGGAGAAGAGAGGCTGCTATGTCTTATCCTCTCTGCATCTTTGCCTCCTGATGCAGAAAGGGACAGAGCATGGTCTGGCAGGATCTTGGAGCTGGCCCTATATTCAGGTAGAGGGAGAGGGAGAAGGAAGAGGGGCCATCGGGGGTACCCACATACACACCCATCAATTCACCCACAGACAGTCCATTAATTCCCACCCAGCACAGAGCGGGAGCAGCCTCTCCCTTGGCTGTGGGACCTCTCCCTGGGCTTCTCTTGTGAGTCGTGTGCAGAGGCATGGGTAGCTCACCCATTCAGAACTTGAGAGGGAAAAAGATGAACTTTGAAATCAGCCCACACTATCTTGGAAGCAAAGCCCTTTGGGAATTGTGGGTCCTATCCTCTCCCTCTGGCATTTTCCACATTGCCCTTGGGCTCTGGCGCCCCAGCCCCGGCAGCCTGGAGTCACCGAGCCTAGACCCTCAGCCAAGGCCGACCTGGTGGAGAAGGCGTGATTTCGCACCAGCTCCAGCACCTTCCCTGTGTTGTTGACAGCGCCATCTGTGATCACGAAGAGGAGCCGCGGGTGGCCTCGGTGCACTGGCTGCCTGATGACCCACTTGAGAGGGGAAAGGATGTTGGTCCCACCCATGTCGGCCTTCATTCTCTGGATGTCATCACAAGCCATGGCCAAGCTGTCCTGCAGAGAAGCAGACAGTCCCCAGTGTCACCGTATGGTACAGAGACTCTAGACCACCTAAGGAAGAGGACTTTGTTTCCCTAGATCTTCTTTTAGCCTCACCAGAGTTGACCCATGCTCCCAATTTCATCCCTGCCCACACTCACAGGAAGAATGGGTGGCCACTCATTTGGTGTCATCCTGCTCAACAGCACCCCCTACCAATGCCTGAAACACCAACCAGTTGTCCTTTCCGGGTTCTCCTTTAAAAATAGAAGCACTCCTGGAACACATTAAACCCCTGATTCCTTAGCACACATGAGGTTTCTTTTTCTCATGAGGGAGGTGGGTGGTGTGAGGGAAAGAGCACTGGACTAGAAATCTTAAGATCTGAGACCAGAGACTGACTCTGGCACCAGCCCCCTGTGACATTTTGAGAAAATCATTTCTCTAATCCAGGCTTCAGATTTCCTTGCTCTGGACCAACTGTGTGGGTCCCAACTGGCCAAGGATGGATGTCATTTGCAGCAAGAGTAAATTCCCACTGGATACAGTGACCTCCTTCTCCTGGCTCAGGGGGATGCTATTTCAACATCCACCCTTGGACAGGACTTAGAAGTAACAGCATGTTTGGGAAGTCAAGGCAGGTGGATCACTTGAGGTCAGGAATTCGAGACCAGCCTGGCCAAAATGGTGAAACCTTGTCTTTATTAAAAATATAAAAATTAGCTAAGTGTGGTGGTACATGCCTGTAATCCTAGCTACTTGGGAGGCTGAGGCAGGAGAATCGCTTGAACCTGAGAGGCAGAGGTTGCAGTGAGCCAAGATCAAGATCGCACCACTGCACTCCAGCCTGGGTGACAGAGAAAGAGAGACTCCATCTCAAAAAAAAAAAAAAAAAAAAAAAAAAAAAGGGAAAAGAAAAAAGAAAAAAAAAAGCAGTAATGGCATGTTTCAAAAGTCTTAAGATGTATGTGTAGCTTTTGAGCCAGCAAGGCTAGGAATTAATCCTAAGGGAATAATTAAAGATACATGCAAAATCTGTGATACAAAGATGACTAAATAAAATGGAAAGAACTTTAATGCTTGACTGCAGGGGTTTTGTTAAATAAGTCCCAATCTATCTGTGTAGTGAAATACTAGGAAGCCATTACAGTTACATTACAGATTAATACTTACTGGCATGGAAATACATTCATGATAGACTGCTGCGTTAGAAAAGTAGGTTACAGAACAGTATGGAAGGCCTAATCCTATCTTTATTGAAAATGTGTGTAAATGCATAGAACAAGGGCTGGAAGGATTTATACTAAGCTCTTAGCAGTGTCTTTTCTTCCTTTTATCCTGACTGACATAATCACAGGAGATTTTTTAAAAAAAATTTGTTTTTGATATGTACATTTAAACATTGTGGAATGATCAATACATATTATTCTTTTGTTGTTGTCATTGTTTGTAGAAATGAGGTCTCACTGTCCTGCCCAGGCTGGAGTCAAAGCTCCTAGGCTCAAGCGACCCTCCCATCTCAACCTCCCAAGTAGCTGAGATTACAAGCGCATGCAACATATATTATTCTTGCATTTTTAAAACTCATAACATTATTTTTAGTTGAAAAGTGTCCCATTTGCTTGTCCTTCCTCCCTCCTTTCCTTCCTTCCTCCCTCCCTCTCTTCCTCTTCTTAGATCTGGGTAGGATGCTCCAATTTTGAACACGCTGCTGGGGCCACAGCCTTCTTGTTTCACACAGTATCTTGAGCCTTGTGAGTTCCATTCTTAGCCCGCTGCCACGCCCACTCATCCACCTATTCACTCCCCTACTCCTTATCAGCCGCTTCCTTAGCTCAACCTTGCATGCGTCCATCATCCTTGTGAAACGGAGGCTTCAGTGAGTGGCAGGCCTGGGCTATGTCCTCTCTCTACCCACTTTCCGTACCTCATTTCTGTACACACACACACTTTGCCCAAAATATTGTTTGATTCTAAAGAGGAGGGGATGTCAGAAGGCTGAGATGTCAGAAAAATGTCCAAACAGAGATAGTTTCTCTTCAGTTCTCTGCCCCCGGGTGTGATCTGGGTTCTCTGTGGGTAGGCAGCTTCTGAGGCCAGCACTAGGGTTTTAACTATTTTTTCCCCTTTCCCTCCTTTCCTCTGCTCCCCACCATGCACCACCCTCCTGGTCCCAGCCTTGCCCCCTCATTACCTCACTGTAGGTCTGGCTGGAAGGAAAAAGGCTCTTAAATGTGGATCCAAACCCAATGATATTGAAGAGGCAGGCTGGCATGAGGCTCTTAAGGGCCACCAACATGGCATCCTGGCAGGAGAGAAAGGGGTTTTCAGGATTCAGGAAGGAGTTCTTGTCACTCGGCCACTGCACTCCAATATTCCCTTTCCCAGCACACGAGCAGCCTCCAAACAGACCTTTACCCTCCTCTGTCTGCACCCAGCAACTCCTTTTCCCTCACATCAAGAAATTTGCTGACACTGACCAGAGGCTGGACCAAAGCCACCACCACCACCACCACCACCACCACCACCATCATCATCATCATCGTCGTCGTCGTCATCATCATCAAACTTATCCATGTAGCAGGTCTGATTTCTTAAAGCCTTTCTATTATGGCTTTCCAGTTCCATTTAACCTCTTCCTGATCCTGAGAGGTGGGGAGAGCAGGGAGCACCCTCTCCCTGCTGCCAAAGCAGAATTGATGTCCAAGGGAGGAAAGTGGCCTGGTCCAGGTCACACTGTGGATGGAATGGCTTCTGGCCCTCCTGTGGGACCTTCTGCATCAGACTCAACCTAACCATCACTAAGGACACATCCTCAGGGGCAGTCTCTTCAGCTCATATTTGTCAGGTACACAGGATGTACTTTACATGCATCACTTCACTGATCTTCACCATAACCCTTCGAGGCAGGTACGCTTTTATCCCCATTTTATAGAAGAGAAGATTGAGGCACAGAGAGGGGAAGTAACATGTTGGTGAGCATCCAGAGGGTAAATAATGGAGTCAGGACTCAAAGCCATGTCACTTTGCCTCCAAAGTCTATGGACACTAAACATAACCCATGTAACCCCAGCAGGAGACCTTGATAAAGGTAGACTGAAAAAAAATAGTGACAATGAGGGAGGTGGAGGTGATGGTAGAAGCAAAATTGATGATGATGATGATCATGATGATCATGATGGTGACGATGGTTATGATACAATGCAATGATAAATATCAAGCAATTACTATGTGCTAAATGTTCTAAGTTATGTCACCCCTCTGAGCCTCAGCTAGGTGCATAGTAAACATTCAGCAAATGGTTATCATTATCAACTCAGTGAGATCTATATTAATATTAATAACCCTGCTTTACAGATAAGGAAACTGAGGCTCAGGAGAGCTAAGGAATTGCCCTGGATTGCAAAACCTAAGACTAATGACAGAGGCTTTAAAAACACAGCTTTGGCTGGGCACGGTAACTCACGCTTGTAATCCGAGCACTTTGGGAGGTGGAGGCAGGCAGATCATGAGGTCAGGAGTTCGAGACCAGCCTGAACCGTCTCTACTAAAAACACAAATATTAGCCGGGCATGGTGGTACACGCCTGTAATCCCAGCTACTCAGGAGGCTAAATCAGGAGAATTGCTTGAACCCGGGAGGCGGAGGCTGCAGTGAGCCGAGATCACGCCACTGCACTCCAGCCTGGGCAACAGAGTGAGACTCATCTCAAACAAAACAAAACAAAACAAAAAAACCCCACAGTTCTGAGATTTTTATTCATGTTGGCTCTGCCTTGGCAGAGGAATGAAGGTCTGTCTCCCCCTCACCCCCATGTCCCCCATCTTGTTTATTGATAGTACCCCAGGGATCTCAGCATGGCTTCAGGGAAGCCGTCATCCTTCATGATCTAGAAGAAAACAGCTGCAAGAGGATTCTGGCACCTTTTACACCACACAGATTTCCAGGCTCCACATACTCACACCCCAATCCCATCCCCCACCCTGCAAACATTAACATTAACATTCTCTCAATCTCTCTTCATTGCTTGCGTCAATACATTTGGTTTCTCTACAAAAGAAGTCAATGTCTGCTTATTTTTTCATTAGTCACTAATGCATATTCCTGCTAGGAGGAGATTCTGCTGATCCATACAGATTGTCTCTGCTCACACCTATTAGAATTTTTAAAGCCATGTTTTTGGCAGCAAGTGGCAGCTGAAGAATGAGACCAGCTGCAGGAAATTAAATTGGCCGGACTTTCCCCTTTGGCATAAGCTCTTTGGATTTCTATTTTCTCCCTCCTCCCTGAGCCTAGATTTTCCTAAAACTTCAACCCAGTGGGTCACAATTAAGGACCCAAGCAACCTTCCAGTGGCCTCATTGTCAGTGGGGAAAGGGGTGTGTAGCCTGAGTAATTTCTGTGCCTTTCTCTAAAAGGGTCATGTTTAGCAGAATGGATGGCACCAATGCAAAGCCATTTGTGAAGGCATGACCTTGAGCTCAGTGAGCTGAACTGGAGAAGGGCAGGAGAGATTCCAAGGAGAAAGAGGACTGAAAGGAGAGCCAGAGAAAGTTATTGTCCGAGAATTCTGGAATGCAAAGATTGGACAGGCTTTCAGTCCAGGAAGTGGATTTCCATTTATGAACTAATTACATTTAACTGGTAGTAACTGCCTGGAACACTGGATGAGAAGGATATAGACTGAGTCCAGGCTCAGCAGGAAAAAAAATGTCATGACCAATTATTGAATTGAGGTCTACCTGGGCTTGGGAGAGGGAGGGGAGCGGAGGGATATATGACATACGTTCACTCTGCCTGAATTGATCCTTCTCTCTCTACAGAAAGTATGAATGAATCCCAGAGTTGAAAATCAGCTTGTCCACAGTCACAGAGCAAATCGGTGGCAGAATTGACCCTGGAATCCAGGTGTTGCTTTTGGCATGATGCCATGCAGCAGAGATGACATCATCAGAGAAGAGAATTTTTTAGTGGAACAGTATGCATAATTCTCCATAAGCAATGTAAGGAAAATGAGCTCTGAAGCAAGACATAGAAGGCCCAGGCTCTCTCACTAGCCCTGTGATGCTGGGAAAAGCACTTAGCCTCTTGGCGACTCAGTTTCTTTACCTGGAAAGTGGAGGGAAAATGGATTAAATGCTCCCTAAGGCATGTTTTAGGTTTATGCTTCTGTGATGCTCTAGGGTAACTGAGACATCTTACGAACTGATAAAGATGCGGAACGGGATACAGATGGCCACAGAGGCCTTGAGCGTGCTTCAGCACTCCAGCACCGAGGACAGCTTCTCATTCCAATGTTTGCCTCTGACGGTGGGCAGGTTGGGGAAGAAGGTGCCAATCAGCCCTACTACACCCCTGTGTCATGAGACTTCAAACAGGAACTTGGGTCCTGTGTATGATTCCTTTGTCATACTTCAAGACAACTGTAGCAAACCCATGGAGATACCTGGCATCCCAGATCCCACCCAACCCTCCTCTCCTTGCTGAGCTTGCTGCCCTGGAAACAAGAGCTTGCTCTGGGAACAAACTAGGGGGAAAGATGAAATTTCAGGTGACGGCAGAGCCCCACTCTGTTCTTGCCCCCTCCTTCCTTGTTCTCCTGAACTCAGTTATCCTTTACCCGGATCAATAAAGAGATAGAAGGCTTTTTATGCATAAACACAGAGCTAGGCCCCATGGAAAAAGACAGGTGAGAGGATAGACGACCCTTTTCCTAAATGAGTTCATAACTCCAGAGAGACAGACATCTGCACAATCAAAAATACAAGGGAGTGTTGGATAATGCCACAATGGAGACCAGTAATCTCCTGGGGGTGGGGCAGGGGGCAGGTGAAATGCATCTGGATTGTGAGGGGGGAGGATTCTATCACCATTGCTTCCACCCTCCTGAGGAGCTCTCCTTAGCAGGGAGACCAAGCTCCCATGTATTCTGATTGGCTAGCAGGCCTGTGCCTCTCTCTTGACTGTCAGCTCCTTGAGGACAGCAAATGTGTTTACATTCTGCTGTTTTTCCAGATGGCCAAGGGCAAGGCTTGGCACCTATTAGGCATTTGAAAAAAAGAGAAACCAAGTCTTTTCTACCAAATTCTACACATTCCTTGATGGCAGGGGCCATGTCCACTGAAGCTCTGATGTCAGGTGGTGGGGACAGTCAGGGAGACATGGATTTAATTTTAGACCACAGTGGCCATGTGACCTTGGGCAGGTGACTGAAACTCTCAAGATCAGCTTTTCTATATGGAAAATGGCAAAAATAGGATCAAACGCATAAGATTATTGTCTGGATGAGGTACCAAGCTTCACGTTAAGTGGCTAGCACCGTATCCAACACATAGCAGACCCTCAGCAAATGTTACTTCCCTTCCCCTCTTCCCTGTGCCCTGCTCCACTCAGTACCTACTGGAGTGTTTTAGCTAAAGTTTGTAGAATGCAAAGGACAGCTACGGATGACTTCATCCCTTATAAATGGATGCCAGCTCAGCTTCTGCTCACACCACTTCATGTTTTTATGGGGATGCAAATGGAGTTTGGGTATCTCTGTTTAAACTGATTTTTAAAAGTTGTTTCTTGGAACAGAAAGTGCTGAGGAAGCTGGATTGGGGGCACACAGCTGATTTCCCCTGGAGCCCCGGGTCCTCGGGAGGGGTTCTCTCAGCAGGTACCTTGACTCGGTGCATGCTGATCCCGCTCATGCTGCTGCTCCTGTCAATGAGGAAGATGAACTCCCCGTGGGCCTTTCTCAGGCACGGCTGGACTGACTGGAGGTCGGGACAGAAGTTGAGCATGATGACGGAGTGGTGGGGAATGTCTTTGTGGAGGCGTTTTCGAATGATTTCTGTCTGGAAGAGGAAAGAACACTCTGATTGGGCAATCAGGGTCAAGAGGTACTCCTGGGGACTCATGCTGGTCCCCGTCACTCACCGTGCACCCACATCCTGCTCAGGCTCTGCATGGAAGACTTCCGGGCTGACTGTGCTCAGCTCTTCTGTTTGCTAGACCTTCACGGGTTGCAACAGCAAGCATGGACTTTGCAGACAGAAAGACTTGGGTTTGAATCCCAGCTCTGTCACCATCCGACTGTGTGATATGGGGGTGAGTCCCTCCTCTGGGTCTATTTACCCATTTGTAAAATGGGGCGAATAATGTCCGCTTCTCAGGGTGGTTGTGAGGATGAACTGAGTCAGCACAGACGCGAGAAGCCCGTTGGTTGAGTAATGGTCTCTCGCTTTTACACTCAGTGTGTATACTGCTCTCTGGCTCATGTTGGCTGTGAACTGGGTTTCCTTGGTTTACCGATTCTCTCCCGTTGTTAAATTCCTACTCACTCTTCAAATTCTACCTGTTTGGAAAGGCTTCCCCAATTTCCAGGTGGACTTAATTACTTAGTTTCCTCATCCATTAAATGAGGACAAGAAGACATACCTCACTGAGTCGTTGCATGGGTTCAGTGCACCTGTGAAGCTGGCTGCCTGGCAGAGAGCAATGGCCTCTAAACAGCAGCCATCATTGCCATTGCTGGTGCTGCTGTTGTTGGTCCTGGAGGCCCAGGCACTTCTCACACCGAATAGTTTTTTGCTCCGATCTCTGCCTCCCGTCAACTTGTTTGCTATTATACTTGAGGGCAGGTCATCTCTTAGCTTCTTTTACCTCTCCAGAATTTAACACAGGGCCTAGTCCAGAGATGGATCAGTAAAGATTAAGGAAGGGACAGGGCCTTGGTGTTTATCCTTTTATGTGGCCTCCTAGCTGGCCCTGAGGCCAGGACCCTTCCCCTTGCTTCTCCCCCTCCCCTTCACACAGAATCTCATTTCCTTTGTTCTCACGCTGCTTTCACTTTCCACCCCGACTTTCTCTCTCTGTCTCCTTATCTGGCTGTCTCTGTGTGTACACGTGTCTCTGTGTCTGTTTCTCAGTTTCTGTCTATTTGGGTTCCTTCCCCATCTCAATAGATGACATCACCACCCACCCAGTTGTTCAAACCAAACGCCTAACAGTTGTCCTCAGTTCCCCTCTTTTCCTCACTCCACGCATTCCATCCTGCAGCAAAGCATTGCCAGTCCTGCTGCTAACATGCAGCCAGAACGCGTCCACATCTCTCTGACTCCACTGCTACTGCCCGTGTTCAGGAGAGGACTGTCTCTCTCTCTCGACCTTTGCAATAGTCTCATCCTGCTCTCTTTCTCCAACTTTTATCTCCCTGTGGTCCATTCTGCAGAGAGCAGCCAGAGCGACTGTTCTTGTCATTCTCTTGCTCAAGCAGTGCCCTCACTGAATACTCTGAACCATAGTTTAGGAAGCCCCCTGTGGCTTGACCCCTGCCTGCCTGTCCACCTCCTCTCTACCCACTCTGCTCCCTATATTTCAGCCGCACTGACCTTCTTCCTGTTTTCCAAAAAGGTCACCATTGTTCTGCTTCCTGCTCTTCCATCCCCTGTGCCCTCTCCATCCATTCCTCCCACGTTGGGCTCTTGGTCTTCTGCCAGGTCTCATCCTCAGACAGGCTTTTGCTGACGCCCGGCTAAAGAACACCCAGCACCTACTACTCATGATCATATCAGCCCTCTCCAAACAGATCTGGCTCATTGATTTGCTTTTTTATTTTTATTTTTTTGAGACAGAGTCTCGCTCTGCCACCAGGCTGGAGTGCAGTGGCTCAATCTCGGCTCACTGCAACCTCCAACTCCCTGGTTCAAGCGATTCTCCTGCCTCAGCCTCCCGAGTAGCTGGGATGACAGGCATGCGCCACCAAGCCCAGCTAATTTTTGTATTTTTAGTAGAGACGGGGTTTCGCCATGTTGGCCAGGATGGTCTTGATCTCCTGACCTTGTGGTCCACCTGTCTCGGCCTCCCAGAGTGCTGCGATTGCAGGGGTAAGCCACCGCGCCCGGCCTGATTTGCTTTTCTTCCTCTGTCTTTCCATCCCAGAATATAAGCTCCATGAAGATGAAGACTGTGTCATTCTCAGTATTGCCCCCCTAAGATTTATTTGTTGAATAAATAAGTGAGGGAATTAATCTGTGTGGGCCTTTTTGTCTGCCAATGACCTGTGTGTGCATCTTTTCGTGTTTTTTTTTTTTTTTTGCCTCTGTTACTCTTGGCATCTCTGTGTCTCACGCGTGGTGTGCCCTTCTATGTGATCTACCCTCTCCTTGCTAAACCAGGGTTTCTGACAGCTTGTCCCACCCACTCTTCCTGATTGATGTTCACCCTGTGGATACCCACAACCCACTCTTCTCCCTGCCAAGGGATCTCGCTGTCTCTCTCCCACGTGAAGCCGCTCCACCAGAGGCCACAGCCCAGACGGGCTCTTTTGATGACAGAGCCCTAGGCAGAAGCAGCCACATCTGCCAGTGAGAGAAGCCACCTCCAGAAACCTTATCTGCCTCTCAGAGGGACTGGGTTGGTGCCCTGGCTCAGGATTCTCTAATGTCTCCTCAAGCTGCCATTATCCAATTATTAATAAACTCATCATTTCTTAGCAGCTGTGGGTTGATTGCTGTCATCCCTGGAGTTTGTGAGAATACGGGCTATTTGCATAACCACCCCAAGGTGGCAAGTTAATTCTCATTTGCTTCCGCCATCCCCGAGCCAATTATTTAAGGCTTGGCAGGCAGGGCAGCCAGCCCCAGGCCTGGGAGGCCCACTGGGCCCCACTGGCCCATAGGCAGCAGTTCTCAGAGCTCAATGGGACCTCTGGCACTGCCACCCCCTACTCTGAGAACCCCGGGCTCCAGCTTCTTATCCCAACTGACTCATCTGGCTGAGGGGCACCTCTGGGAGAGCATGTGCTTCTAGGGGGGTCTCTGTCCACTTCCCCACCTTGCCACTGCCCTGTGCCAGCTAGGCGGGCAGAGCATGGGTGGTGGTGTGAAATCCAGCTCAACTGCCCCACAGAATCCGTTCTCATCCCTTAGCCTCCTGGTCACCAAATCTAACTTCTGAGATCACAGTCTTTCCCTTCCTCCAGCTTACTGGTGATCTTTGGGTGCCAGATCTCAGTTTTCTCATCTAAAAAGGGGGCTAATGGAAAGAGATGAGCCATCATTCTGAAACCTATCTTGGCATTCAGGACCTGGCTCAGTGTGCAGGACCATGAGCGGGAGGCAGAGCATGGGGTGTGACTTGTGGCTGACGCTCAGCCTCCAACGTTCCCTTTCCCATTCCTGGCCCCTGGCCAGGCCTCCTTGTCCTGCAGCTTCATGGGGTGGGGGACAGCAGAAGGAGAGGATCTTTCTCAGGCTTTCCCCACTCTGCCTTTGTCCTTTATGTCATAGCAAGCAAGGGCCCCAGAGGGAGGAAGAGCAAGAGGCTACCCAGCTGGTGGGTAAGGGAGGTCCAGGAGGTAAGGAGCTGAAGGGTCCTGGGCACCCCTGGGGATGCAGAGGCCTGGAGGAGGCCAAGGCCATTCTGCCACCATATATAAATTTTCCTGGCTTAGGCACCTGCTAGGTCCTGGAGAAAGGTGATCTGGCAGGAGGCGGGAATAGAGCCAGGATGACGGGGCATTTGAAAGTGCCCTGCAGTGCCCGGGGGCCCACAGAAGGAAACACTTCTTGCCTGGTGTCTGCCTCCAGCTTGCTGGATGACCTCGGGCAGGTTACCTCCCCACCTCACTTGTTCAGTGGAGACCAGGCCTCAGCGCCACCCCAACTCTGCCACCGTCCGCTCCCCACCTCAGTTGCCCTCACCTTCCGCTCTGCTCTGCTCTTCTTCTTCATCCCTTTAATGAAATCTGTTCTTCCCTTCAAGTGCTGGTCAAACTCTCCCAGGGTCATGTCCCCTTTCTCTATCAGGACATGGGGCATATGGGGCTCTGCAGAGATGAGATCGACTTTCAGCACTTGGCCAGGTATCGTAGGAGAAGGATGCTGGGGGCTTTGGTTTAGGTGCAAGATTCTCACAGGGGTGGGACTCCCATTTGGAAGCGGGGTGGAAGCCCTGGCTGCCTGAAGCAGTGTAGGGCTAGGGAAGACTCCTTAGCTGGGAGGCAGGGGAGCCTAGTGGCCATGGGTGACTCACTGCCCCTCTCTGGGCCTCAGCTGAGCCATCTGTAAAACGGTAGTAGGATGGGGTTAAATGACTCTCTGATGTGTTTAGGTCCTGACATTCTGTGAATTCTTGAACAGACAAGAATTTCTCCTTGAGGCTACAGAATTTCCAGGGTATCACTGAGCTTTGGGTTTCAAAGATCCTCTCTCTGTTCAGCTGGCCTGGGGGTAAAGTGCCCCGATGGGTGGATGAGACCCTAGGCCTCTGGAGCTTGAATCAGGGCAGGAGACACTCGATTCCACCAGCTAGAGCCAACTTTCCCAGAAGGCAAGTAGTGGGTCTCCTCTCCTTGGCCACACCCCCCACCCCGACTCTTTCCCTGGCTAGCTAGCTGCTGGGCGGGGGGCCACATGTTCTGTCCCCACAGGATCAGCACCTCCTCCCTCCCACAGGCAGCCCAGGGGCCCGTTGTGGGGCACCGTACCGCTGGGGTGGATGAGGATCTCCACAGGCCGGTCAAAGGTGTGCTTGTTGGCCAAGGTGATGATGATGCTCTTGGCCGAGCGGGCAGATGGGGCGGCGTCGGCACGAATCTCATGAGTGGGACTCTCCACCCCTGAGTGGCATAGAAAGGCAAGGGGGATATAGGCTCATGAGGTCAGGAGAGAGAGGAGTTCGCTGGGGCACACCGAGATCCAGGCCAGAGATGAGTGACATGCCAGCCCCGTTAGGGGCTCCTGACCTGCAGTGTGACCATGGCCAGGCTGCCTCAATTTCCCCACCTGTAAAATGAAAGCTTAGATAGATGGTGTCTGATGACTCTTCCTGCTCTGAACTCAGGATCTAGTGGGGGTCGGAGGAGTTGCATTCTTATAGGGCACGCACTGATCCCAGCATCCTGCCAAGCAGATGGCTCTCAGCGCTCCGTCGGAGGGTGCTTTTTTGACGGGTGCTCCATAAACGCACCTCACACTGGAATGCAATGTTGCTCTAGGAGAGGACGCACTGACAAGAAACCATATCCTAGTGTCCTTTTAAGGCTCTGAGTGGTTGTGGGGAGAAGCTTCAGAGCAATGGTTCTCAATCCTGGTTACATGTTAGAATCTCCTGGGAAGCTTTTAAATGTTTCCATGCCTGGAACTCACCCCAGAATCTCTGGGGGGTGGGATCTAGGATGCAGGATGTTTGGGTGTCTCTGGGTGCTTCTGATATGTAGACAAGGTGAGAACCAGGAAGCAGCTTTACAGCTGTGGCCTCTAGGAGAGAACCAAGGGCCACCATTCCCCATGGACATTCTTCCGAGGAAGCCACTGGGGTGAAAGTCGGTTGCCTTGAAATCCATCCTGGGAAGGGACTTATCTTTGGGCTGCTTGTTGGGGCCATGGGAAATGGGGGTCCACAGGCTTTGTGTACTTTAGTAGGTCTGCCATCTGGGCCAGTTGGCTTTCCTTCCCACCCCCGTCCCATCCCTGGCAGCCTTTGGCTTTTCGCCTGAAGCTCACCCATCCCGTCTGGATGTCTCCCTCTCACCTGCGAGCAGACATGGCCCACGGATCTCCAGCTGGAAGTTGAACTCATACTCCATGGGGTTGGACACTTCGGTGTTCAGGAGAGTCGCCAGGCACAACTTATTCCAGGAGCCCGGGGCCCAGGCACCGAAGCAGTGCCTGTCTTTGCTGGAAAAGGGCCGGGGGAAGGAAAGGAGACCAGCCAGGGTGGAAGAAGGGGTCCAGCGCGAGAAGACAAGGAGAGGACGATGAGTTCCAGGCAGCCCAGCCCACCAAGGGGGCCCCCAGACCCGTGCTCTCCCACTCAACCTGACCCCAGGGAGAGCCTGGATTCTGATGTAAGGCACAGCCACCTCCAAGGAGCACCCACACTGGGCCAGGCACCAGGCACGGTGCTCCCGATGGGTAGCTCACATCGTTCTCACCGCAGCTCTGGGAGGAAGATTTCAGGGTCTCCACTTTCCATGTGGGGACACTGAAGCTCAGTGTGGTGAGGTAACTGGCACAAGTTCCCACTATTTTTTTTTTTTTTTTTTTTTTTTGAGATGCAGTCTTGCTCAGTCACCCAGGCTGGAGTGCAGTGGTGCTATCTTGGCTCACTGCAAGCTCTGCCTCCCGGGTTCACACCATTCTCCTGCCTCAGCCTCCCGAGTAGCTGGGACTACAGGTGCCCGCCACTACGCACGGCTCATTTTTTTGTTTTTACTAGAGATGGAGCTTCACTGTGTTAGCCAGGATGGTCTCAATCTCCTGACCTCGTGATCCGCCCGTCTCGGCCTCCATTCCCACTATTAAGATTTGGCAGAGTCCTGGCCCAGATCTCCTAGCCTAGGTCTGTCTGGCTCCATGGTGAAAGAGTTTGTACTGCGTCACGCCACGTCCTGAATCTCTGCTCTGTCTCTGTAAGCTGCAAGCCCTGCGAGTCATTTCTCCTCTAAGTGTTTGTTTTCCCATCCTTTAAATGGGGACAATACTTTGCAGTTGCTTTGAGGACTCCAGGAGCAACGGCTTAGCCAAGTGTCTGTCACCTGCTGAGTACTCACGTTTCGGGACCCTCTTTCTTTGCAATCTCCACCCCATCTCCCATCCTGTTCTGTCTCCACAGGCACACCCCCTAAGGTCTTTAATCTATGTCCTTCCATATGCACACATCCTTGTAAAATACTTGGCAGCATTTGGGTGTGATTGTGCTTTAAGCTGACAAGATTGCCTTATATTATGAGTCTCCCTCGATCTCTTACTTTTTTTGGCACCGTGTTACGTCTTAAAACTCTACCCAGGTGGCTGCAAACCCAAGTCCTCGCTGCTAACTTGATGTCACTTGGGGGCATCCATTACATTGTACTTGTTGTTCCCAGCTCGGCCTCCCTGCATCCACAAATAACGCCACCATGAATATCCCTGTCCGTGCTCCCTTTGGACTTGTGAAAGAACTTCTCCATGATCCCTGGGTGAAAGGCCACACCGAGGATTGCCAGATTGCTTTCCAGGGTGGATGTCCCCTTTCCTAATTCCATTAGCAGTGAACAAGCATCCCCCCTCTCCTCACTAATACTTGGCATCATCTGGTTTTTGAATTTTGTCTTGTGTCACTCTATCTGAGCTCCTTTGAGATTCACAGGGGTTTGAGGCAGTCTTTTCCCAAGAGTGTCACTCTTAACTCTGCCTGCTGGAATGGGCAGGAATAAGCGTATTAGGACCCACTCAGTGGCATCAGGGCCACCTGAGCCTCTTGTTCCCTGATCCACTGAGGTCCGGATGTCCTAGCTAGGCCCTGCCTCTCAAATGCACAAGGCTCGTCATCACTGGCAACACTTACAAAGACAACACACAGGCTGGCGCTCTTTGGTCTGAGACTGGCTTATGCCACCAGCTTCTCTGTTGTGCCAAGTGTTGTCCTTCAAGGCCCTGCACGTTCCCCCTTGTCACCACCCATCTGACCTCTCTCCTTTCCTCTCTCACTCTGCGATAGCCACACCAGCCTTTCTGCTGCTGCCGTGACACATGGCACCTGCTGCTGCCTCAGGGCCTTTGCACTTGTGACTCTCCCTGCACAAAATATTCCCTCTAGAATATGTCCATGGCTTGCACCCTTCATTCAGGTCAGGCCACAAATGGTGTCTAGTTCTTGTCCATTGCAGCTAAAATAGCACTTGTCCCACTCTGTCCCCTTCCATCCCCTATAGCACTTATTTTCATAGAAAATGATCTCAGCTGTAAGTGCCTTGGACTGTGACCCACCTCCTTTTCCCTCCTGTACACCAGGGGAGGACAGAGAAACTGTCCAAGTACTGGGCTTGTCATGTTCCCCTCCCCATCCTGTCAAAAACCCTCTTAATGGTTCCTTGTTGCTTTTGGGAGAAACGCAGTCTTAGCCAGGGCCAAAGGGCATCCAATGCCTCTGCAGCCTCATTGCGTGCCACCTGTGCTTCTGTTCTTCTCTGGGGCCCTGTCCTTGCTACCCCAGGGCCTTTGTCCCTGCTGCTTTCGCCCACGAGAACGCTCTTCTCTGTGCCTACATCCTCCGCATCGTTCAGTTCTCAGCTGAAACATCACTCCTCGGAGAAGCCTGGTCCAGCCCCTGGCCCCCTAGGTTGGGTCCGTCTTTTATACTCTTAGCCCAATGAACTTCTCCTTCCTTGTACTTTTCAGTCAATAACGCATTCCAGTACATAATTAGTCACATAATTCATTGTGTTAATCGTTGTATAATGGTCTTCCACCAAGTTCCAAAATGTCAGGAAACATGTTGGTTTTTCTCTTTCTCTATCCCTAACAACCAGCTCAGTGTCTGGCACATTGTAGGTGCTCAGAAAGTACCTCTTGAGTAAAGTTATGAAATTTGGACAGCTTGGAAATGCTGATTCCAAGCTGTCCAAATTTCATAACTTCTGGCCAGTACCATTACAGGGGCATTTCAGGGATACTTTTAAGTGTTCTAAAAGTGAGCAGGGGAGAAGCAAATGGCTCAGAGGGTGGCAATCGTAGAGCAGAGCCTCCCCATCTCCTCCCTGTCTCCCCCCACCCTGTCCCCTACTAATGTCACCTGACGCACTCTCTGCTGCCCACCTGGGACTCTGATTGGTCTGGGCAGGGCTTCCTTACCCCTGGGCCTGTTGGTTGGAGGTGCCAGTGCTCTTGGTGCAGAACTGGGGCACGGTTGGGGCACAGACAGCAGGCAGAAGGACCCTCACAGCCCCGCTGGGCAGCGTTGGGAGCTCCGAGGAGGTGCTGATGAAGATGGTGACATTCTCCATGGGGGCAATGGTCCCCAGGTTGGCCACGAACAGGATCCGCTCCAAATCCTCGTCCAAGGTCACCTTTCCCGGTGTGCAGGAATGAGGGGCTATGGAAACCCCGTCTTGCAGAATGTTCCCTAAGTGCCAGGCTGGCGTCAGGGGCTGTACATAGATTATCTCTGATCCCCTCTAAGATTGCTGTTGTGGTAAGTGTGAGTGGCCCATTTTGCTGATGGGAAAATCAAGGCTCAGCTTGAGGGTGTGACTTGTGAATAAGTAAGCCATTGAAGCAGGATCTGAACCCCCATGCGTCTGACTCTAGGCCTGTGAACTTTCCACTCTACCTTGCTGGGAGTGGAAAACTTGGACTCACAAAACCCCCAACAGAGAGTTACATCTTCATCCTCCAAACTCTACTTCCCACCCCAAGAACCAAATCGAAGCGTCCTCCACCTTGGGGATCCATAGTTTTGCTCATGCTCTTTCCTTTTATCAAAACACCTATTCCTTCATCCCTAATTAGCCAGTCTACCCACCCACACAACCCCTCCGTGAACACCTCCTTGGTCCCTGATCTGGGCTGGTCTTTTCCTCTAACATCATCACAACCTCTCTTGACACAGCCACTTTCCACCCCCTGCTCCCATCATGGTTACTCCTAGACAGATCCTAACTAGCCTTTCAGACTGTGATAAATCATAACAACTCAGGGACAACTTTGCACATTACACAGGATGAGTGCTCACCGAACATTTTAATAACCACGTGAACAAACTTCACCTTGATCGTAGATCCAGTAGTAAGAATCTCTTACATTATATTATACCTGGTCTACATTCTAGCCCTGGCTCTTCCACTAACATGCTGTGTGACGTGCTGCCTAAAAGGCAGTAACAGCTGTCTTTTACTGACCTTGAGCCAGTTGCTCTCCCTCTCTGAGCCTCAGTTTCCTCAGTAGCAGGCATTAGTAGCCATGCTTTGAGTATTTACTGTGATGTGAGTCCTCTGCGTGCATTGTCCTTGTTGAGCATCGGGTGAGGACAGCTATTTATTCCATTTTACAGAGGGGGTTAATTTTTTCTCTAAGCTCCACCATTTGTGAGCAACAGGAAAGGAAGTCAAATCCTGGTGTGACTGGTCCCACAGCCTCTGAACTTAAAAGATATGTTATTCTGTTCTCTAGAGAGACCTTTAAAATCCTTTTGTTGCCTCCCTTCCTTTGAGCCTCACACTTTTGAGGTGACTACAGAAAGTCAATTACCTCTGTCTTACAGACAGTGAAGCTGAGGTTCAGAGAAGTTCATTATTGGCCCAAGGTGGCACAGGATTCTGTCCAAGATTCTTGACTAGTTCAGTGCTCTTTCTGCCTCATATCCCACTGCTATCCTTGCAGTTGGCCTGAGGCTCCAGCCCAGGCAGCCTCTGGCTGGCCAAACCCAGGTCCCGCGGCAGCCCTTCTGGTCTCCTTACCTGTGACTGTTGGGGATCGAACATGGGAGGCATCGAAGTGGCCGCTCTCCAGCTTGGCTTTGTCCTTGATCTGTACTGTCACGACACGGTCGGCAATGACTGCCTCAAAGCCGATCACCGTGGTGCACTCATCCAGGGGGTACACGAAGAGGCCTGTCGGAGCAGGGCCCAGCATCACGGGGTGCCCCAGGCCTACCCTGCACACCCCTTGCCTGGAAGGAACCTGAACCCTTGGTCTGCCTGTTGGGTGGTGCCCACTGCCGCTTATTGGATGCCGAGAGGCCTCGGCAGAGAGCCAGACTGGGACCTCCCAGCTCTGGGACCAGGTGGGTAAGCACAGCGGCAGGGCCAGCTCTTATTTTGCAGGTGTGTGAGCCTGGTGTGGCCAGAACTTCTGATTTTCCAAGAGAGTGAAAACATGGGTTTCTATGGGACTTGTGTGGGCCTCATATAGCACATCTGTGTGGTCAGTTTTGTCCATGGGCCACAGGTTTGCCACCTGTGGCATGGAAGATTGGGGCTTTGGAGGAAGACTAGAGTTCTAATCCAGACCCCATCATGTTTCCTAGCCAGGTGACCTTGGATAAGACACTTAGCTTCTCTAGGCCTCCTGGCACCACCTGTAAGATGGGGATAATGAAGCCTAATTCCCAGGGTTTGTAGTGAGAATCGAAAAAATAGGCATCATTTATTAAGCCACGTGCCACACATTATTATATCTTAGTGCTTCTCAAACTTTCGAAGCTCACGAATGACCTTGGATTTTGTTAAAATGCAGACTCAGATTCAGTAGCTCTGGGGTAGGGCCAGACGTCCTGCAGTTCTAAGCAGCTTCTGAGTAATGCTGGCGGCTGGGGATCACATTTACAGTGTTAAGGTCTTATTTTATCTACCCTCTTAATATTGGAACAGCACAATGTTGGGTCCAGGGTGAGCCCCTCACAAACCCCGACCTCCGCTCCCTCTGGGCCTCAGTTTCCTCATCTGTAAAATGGGGGCACTTGTTCCTTCTGCACGTGGAAAGCCAAAGGGCTGCTGGAAGTTATTTGGTATTTAGCCCCCTGAGTCCACAGGTAGATCCTCATTTAAGTCGCCCTCTCTAGGTTTCCTTGAACAGAGGAACAGGGCCATTTGCCCTGCCCAGGAGATTTCTAAGGGAAAGAAAGTTTCCCTGCAGCTCCCTTTGGGTAGTGTTGGTCCTCAGGGTAGCCTGCAGGGGTTTCAGAACCTCAGGTGGGGCTGAGGTTTGGTCACCAAAGGTTGGTGACCAAAGACATGAAGTTTGGTGGTTATGAGGCCCCATCACTGCGGATAGGAAGGGAATCCTGGCCGGTGTCCTCCTAGCCTTCCCACAATTCCCCTCCTGAAGTGGAAGGAGAGGAGTTTGATTTACAAATGACTCTGGCAGGCCAGTGTGACTCCACATCCCTGACCGTGGTTCATATTCACAGATGGTTTCTCAGTCCACAAAGTCCTGCCTTCTGTATTACCTCATCTGCTCCGCCACAATCCAGGGCATCTGGACAGCAGAGAGGAGCATAGCGATTTTGAGGGAGTGGCAGCTTCCCCAGGGTCATAGGAGCAAGAACCATGGTAGGAGTGGAGGCTCCTGGCTTTGACTGAGTCTTGATGCCTCTCCTCTTGTGAGGCTCCCTGGAGAAAGTGTGGGACTGACCTGTGGACAGTGTGCCTTGTGGACTGTAAAAATGCAGGGACAGTCTGGCGCTGTGGCTCATGCCTGTAATCCCAGTACTTCGGGAGGCCGAGGTGGGTGGATTGCTTGAGCTCAGGAGTTTGAGACCAGACTGGGCAACATGGAAAAACCCCATCTCTACAAAAAATGCAAAAATTAGTTGGGTGTGGTGGCACATGCCCGTAGTCCCAGCTACTTGGGAGGCTGAGGTGGGAGAATCTCTTGAGCCCGGGAGGTGGAGGCTGCAGTGAGCCGTGATCGCACCACTGCATTCAAGCCTGGGCGACAGAATGAGACTCTGTCTCAAAGAAAAAGAAAAGTGCAGGGACAGTTGGCTGGGGCTGAATCCAAACCTCCTCAGCTCAAATCCTGACCCTCCTTGCTACTAGCTTTGAGGCCTGCAAAGCAGAAAGAATCTCACCATTTTATAGATGAGGAAACAGACTCGGAGGGGTGGCATGACTTGCCTAAGGTCAGTCAGCGAGTAAATGTCAAAACAGGGATTCACTGTGGAGGAGGGGGTGGTCCCGGGGAGGCCCCAGCAGGTGTCCTTACCCTGGAAGGGCTGGGCTTCCAGGTTGCCATAGGTGAGGGAGGCAGTTAGGCCCAGGGCATAACCGCTGACACAGGAGGTAACATCAGACGCGGTGAGGGGCAGGGCTGCCCCCGTGATCCAATTCAGCAAGCCGGGCATCCCGCTGGCTACTCAGCCTTCAGAACCTGTGAGACACAGGAAGGGCAGGAAGTGGGAAGAGGCTCCCCCAGGTCCCCTCAACCTAGTTTTCCCGTTTCAGACACCCTCAAGCAATCAGAGCATCATTGTTTTCATTTTCCCCAAGAACTTCCCAGTTCCTGGGAAGGAAGTGACCGCAGGATAACTACCAATCTCCCCTGAGAAGAGAAGTGGCCGTTCTCTTCCTTTCATTTTACAGGTAGAGAAACTGAGGCTTGAAAGCATGTGACCTGCTGGGATTCACTCAAAGCGTTGGCGCACAGTCAGGGCTAGAGCCCAGTGAGCCTCACGTTCAGCCTGGAATTCTCCCCAACAGACCACGCGGGGAGGGGAGTCGAGGGGCTCAGGCTCTGACCCCATCCTCTATGTGTCCGGTAATCTCTAAGCCTCAGATGTTGCCTCTGCAGAATGAGAGCGTTGGAATAGCTCACCACGTCCCTCCTCTGACTTCAGTGAGGCTGCCCACTGCAGTGAACGCTTGGTATGTGAGGGCCAACCCCAATAGTCACCAAAGTAAGGGGAGCCACATTCTTCCAGGTGTAGAGGCCAAAACCTGGGAGTCATTCCTGCACCTCCTTCTCACCACCCCCCACCCCCACGCCCGCAACACACACACACACACACACACACACACACACACACACACACACACACAGCCAATCCATCGCCAAGACCCATGTGTCTTCCCTAGAAAAGCCCTTGTATCCGTCCACATCCTCCCTTCATGGCCACCAGCACCCTGTCCCAGGCCACCACCACCTCTGCCTGGACTGCAGCTCCTGATCTGCCTCTTGAATCTACTCTTGCCCAAGAATCCATCTTCCACCCACTGGCCAGAACAAACATTCTGGACACATAAACTGGACAGGTCTCTGCTACCCCACTACCCTCTTCTACCCACCAATGGGTTCCCTTGCTTCTTGGACAGAGAACCAAAGCTTAAGGTGGCCTGTGGCTCTGTGGGGTTGGGCCCCTGCTGGCCTCTCCAGCCCAGCATCACCACGGTCCCCAAACACACCCTGCGGGTCCCAGCAGTTTCCACTCCGGACATGTGTCCTGTTCCTTCCATCCCTGTGCTTGCTGCTCTGCCTGGAAGGCCCACCCCATGCTCATTTTTAAACCAGTAACCCCCTACTCATCCTTCATGGTCAACTTGGGTCCCCTCTGCAGGGAGGCCAGACCAGTGTGCCCAGCATCCTCTGTCATCCCCCCACGGAGCTGAGTTTTTCTCCCCAAGAGTATCTCTATCCATTTGTTGTGCTGCGTTCTGTTTCTGAGCGATGTCTGTTACTCTCTGTTTCCCATTTGAGCATAGGCGCTACACACGTGGGCATGGGCCACATCGACTTTGGCTTCACCTTGATTCGACTTTGGCTTCACAACCCCCTTTGTGTTGATTGAATGAATAAGAGAATGCATGGCTTTCATCCTTGCAGGATGAAGGCCTCCATAGCACTTCTCAGGACCACATCTCAATGATCTAGGGCCTCCCAAGACCCTCGCCCAAGTAATCACATGCCTTGAAGAAGTGGGGTGGGAATGGGAAGCAAAGTCAAATGAAGGGTGTGGGATAGAAGTCTGAGGTCAGATTCCCTCTGGTTTTCCTGTCTGCGGGGTAGGTGCCAGGCAAAGCTTCCCTGGGCTGGTAGCCTGCTGCCCTTTATTTGCAAGGCTGTTCAGTGAGTGCTGACTACCCTGCTCTTTCTCAAAGAAGGGACTGTTTCCCCCTGGGTCCCCTCCATGTCCCCAGCTGAGATCCTCAGGTGCTCCCCGACACCCCGGCACCCCGCCAGGCCAGCAGTGGCTTTTTAATTATGTTCTCCCTCTGGGCTCAGGCCCAGACAGCTCTGGGCTTATCTCCTGTTGGGCTGACTGACAGCAGCAGGCAGATAAAGAGCCGGGAGGGAGCTGCTGTCTCCCCAAGTAGCCTTCTCTCAGGAGATCTCTCTCCTGGTGGCCAGAGCAAAGCCTGGCAACTTCAAGGGGGTGGGGAGGCAAGACGTGAGGGTGCTGGACAAGATGGCGGCCTTCATTTCCTGACAGAGCCACATCCCCCCTCCCAATGTTCACTCCCCGCCCAGTCCCCCTGCATCCTGGTTCGCTCCTGTCTGGAATGCTGATTGGGGAACGCAGCCTTAGGGAGCCAGCACCCAGACATGCAGCGATCCCAGACCTCAGCTCCAGTCCACCTTGGGGTGAGATTCTGCCGAAGGCATCTTACCCAACCCAATCTGCCCACACTGTCCCTGGCCCAGGGAGCGGGGCTTAGATGAGGGACATCTCATCTGATAACAGACGGCAGACTCCCTCAGCATTGACCCTTTAGGAATGTCATGCAGTTATAAAAAAGAACAAAACCATGTCCTTTGCAGCAACATGGATGCAGCTGGAGGCCATTAGCCTAAGCGAATAATGCAGGAACAGAAAACCAAAAACCCCATGTTCTCACTTGTAAGTGAGAGCTTAACTTTGTATACTCATGGACATAAAGATGGCAATAATAGACACTCGGGACTACTGGTCGGGGAGGGAAGGAGTGGGGAAAGGGTTGAAAAACTAACTATTGGGTATTGTGCTAACTACCTGGGTGACGGGATCAGTGGCACCCCAAAACTCACCATCATGCAACATATCCATGTAACAAACCTGTATATGTACCCCCTAAATCTAAAAGTTGAAATTATCTTAAAAAAAATACACACACATGCACGCAAATAAAAAACCAAAATCTATATTACAAAAAAAAAAAAAAGAATGTCAGAACCCCTTGGAAAGAATAAACTTTAAATCCTGTGGAGGCCTGGTTAATGCATATTTTTTATCAATTCATCCAGCATTGATAAGCACCTACTGTATTCCAGGCCCTGAATTAGCCACTGGCTATACAAAGATGAGACCCAGCCCACATGGCAAGGAGTTTATAATCTAGCAGCAGAGGAAATGTGGGAGTGGGGAAAGGTCACAGCAATGACAGCGGGAATTTATTAAACACTGAAAATGTGCCAGGCACATATATTATCTCATTTAATCCTCATAAAACCTTCTAAGGTATTATTCTTCTGCAGATGAGGACAGTGAGGCCTCAAGGGAGTGTGCTGGCTTTGGATGTGGGTTTGGGGTGCCTCAATGGCACACAGGTAAATGGGTGTGCGTGTAGGACTTTCTCCTGGGAGGGGCCCAGGGCCATCCCCATGAGAGATGGGGACCATGAGGACCAGAGTAGATTCTGCTGAGTGTCTTCCCTTCCAGCTCTGTCCCAACCTGGGCCTCAGGTGGGCGCGGGCCACAGGAAACACCCAGGGACAGGGACGAGGCCATGGCATCTCCGGGTCAGGGTGTGGGAAGCCAGGGCTCAGTCTTCGGAATGGTGTCTGGTGTGAGTGGGGCTTGTCAAGTGTGTGAGGGTCAACACTATGTTTACCTTCCCCACCTCCTTCCTCAGTGTGCCACACAGCGTGTCTTTGTCCAGTTCCTTGACTTTTGGGATGCTACATCTGGAAAAGAGCTGGTGAGGTGAGAGAAACCAGAAAGGGATTGAGTGGAGCTGGCAAAAGGGGCCAGGGGAGAAGAGGGAGGGAGGGCCTTAAAGAACAAGGGAGGGAGGACTGGGGAGGGCAAGAAAAAAGGATTTTTCAGAAGGAGTGCCCGGAGTTATAAATTGGATCCCCTCTCATATTCTCTAAGAGGCACATAGAAAGATTGGAATGATTTGAGGCTCTGGACTGTGTTTTCCTGATGAAATGTTGGGTCCAACTTGGATGCTAAGAGTTCTATACGGCTTAGAGAGGTTCCTGGTGTGCCTGTTAAATACCAACACTTTTCTGATGGCCTAGAGATGCTAAATCCCAAATGGTTGCTGTCCTTCTGGGCAGGACATTATTCATATTTATGCCTGGCACATAATAGGTGCTCAATAAATATTTCTAAAGTGAAATGAATGAATGAGTGCCAGCAGCCTCCCAAGGACACTGAAGGACACCAGGTGCTGGGGATGCAGTGGGAACAGGCAGGCGTGAGTAGAGATACTAATGGAAGAGACAGCCAGTAAATAAAGACAGAAGTTCATGATCTGGCCTCTTCTTGTCATCCCCACTGCAGCAGCCACATTGTCCCCTTACAGTCTATTCCCAGTGGAGCAGTCAGAGTCGTCCTTTGAAGACAAGGATCCAGTTGTGTGACTCCATGGCTCAAACTCCCTGATGGCCCCCACGTCCCTCAAGCCCCCATTGATCTGAGCCCCCGCTGGTTTCCCTTCTGACCACCCCTTAATTGATTCACTCCAGCCTCTAGACATGCACGTGCTCATGGCTCGCTCCCTCACCCCTTCACGTCTGCTCAGGTGGCACCTTCTCAGGAAGGGCCCTGAAAACCTACTTTAAAATTGCACCCCTCTCCTCCTTTCCTTCAGATCCCTCATCCTGCTCTGTTTGGAGTTTTTTCCATAGCATGTCTCTCCAATGTGTTATGTAGAAAACATTGCATTTATTGCTTTTCATCTGCCTCCTTCCACAAGGGCAGGGATTGGGGCCTGTTTTTCTTATCGATGCATCCTTAGTACCTTGAACTGTGCTTGCCCTCATAGAAAGGGGTGAAACATATTTGTTGAATGAATGCATGGATCCATATGTCATCACAATGCCAGGCTGGTCATTTCTGGGTTTTGCATGGGTTCCGCTGAGGGAGAGATATCCTCTGGCCATGAGGTCAGGGGCGGCTCCACAGAGAAGCTATGGAGGTTCAATCTGTTGGGCTCCCATTCCAGTTTTTATGTACCATGGCCCAAACCCACCCTCCCTGCCTACCATAAGTGCCACCCGTCTTGTAACAGGCCATCAAACCATGGGGGAAGCTCTGTAATTCTGTGCCCCTGAGTCAGCTCCTGGCCACTGCCCACCTCTCCAAACCTTCCCCTGTGTCCTCTACAGCTGCCCCTGCATGGCCAGCAAACTCCCCCAGATCTTGTGCCTCTCCTGAAACTCTCTGTGTCCTTGGTCCCAGTTGCTGCTCCAAGACTGTCACTCTTCTGTCCTCCTGTCAAAACCCTTCTCCTTGGGGGGCTGATGCATTTTGGCTATCCCATCCTTGTGGCTTGCCTTCTCTAAGGTCTCAATCATACTCCTTTAGTCAACACTTGGCGCTTGGCTCATGACTTCCTCTGTTTCCCAAGCCCTGCCATCATCTCAGGTGACTCGAGCATGCTTGGGAACAGTGCATCAACAACCTGGGCATTTACCCCTTGATCCCGCATGTCAGCAACCTTTGCTTCCTTCCCAGCTCAGCCTGCATTTCCACTCCCATGCCTTGAACTTCACATACCATCTGTGATGGGTCCATCTTCAAGACCACTCGCTCATTCCTAAAATTGCAACCTCCCAACACTTTCCAGCTTCCTTTCTTTGTTTTTTTTCCTTAGCACTTATCACCATCTGACATAATATATATCTTGCTTATTTATCTTGTTTAATGTGTCTCCCAACGCTCCAAGGTGTAATCCCTGTGAGGGCCAGGATTTTGTTTTAGTTTATTCACTGCTGTATCCACTGCCCACAGAGTAGTGCCAGGCACATAGCAGATGCTCAATAAGTATTTGCTGAATGGATGAAATACCACTGAGTGCTTTACATATATGATTTTCAGCATCTCTCGGAGGTGAGTACTCTTAGTATCCCTATTTGATAAATGAAAATACCAAGGCTCGAAGAGGTGAGGCAACTTGCCCATGGCCACACAGCCAGTAAACAATGACCTAAGAGTAAACCACAGCAGAAGGACCATGTGCTTAAACATGAGGGTACACTATCTCCTGTGCCGAGCTTCCCTCAAGCCTTGTCACCTCTGCCTGAGCGAGTCTTGCAATCCTCTCTTCTCTCTTCCCATTGCTGCTGCTTCACTGATCTCCCTTAGACTGTATCATCTCCTACCTGTTCCTTCAACCTCCAGGCTGTTTCCCTTCTGGTCCCCTCTGTCACCACACACACACACATGCACGCACGTGCACACACACACACACCTCCATTTTTCCTTAGCGTAATGGCTTCCCATTGATTTTGTCCAAAAGAGTAAGTCAAACATCTAGTGTGGCATTCAAGGCTCTCCCCATTGGGTCCTTGTCTCTCTCCAGTGCCACCGCCCTCCACGTTCTACATGCTTGCCTTCCTCCAAACACACTGACCCTCTCATCATGCCCTGAACACGTCAGGTTCTTTGCCTCCCTTTGCCTCTTTTGCCTTCAAAGTCTTGTTCCTCTTTCAAGGCTTAGATCCACCTCCTCCAGGAAGCCTTCTCCTTCTCTGACACTCCAGTCCATCAGACACGCTCTCCTCCGGGCTTGCATAGCCTTTGGGCCCTTGTCTATCACACCCCACATCCTGCGGCACTGTAACCACTCATCTGCAATGGCTTTAACTTCCCATGGGGCTGTGAGTTCTGAAAGAGCAATGGCTGCACCTCCTCCTTTGCCTTGTTCCAGCTCCCTGGACTGTGCTTGGTTTGGAGGAGGGGCTCTGAATAGGGGCATCTACCAGGTTCTAGTGCTTTACAGGCATTGCTAATACATCTACTCCCAATTTCCAGGTTCAGATGGAGGTCCAAAAGCCATCACACAGCCAGAAAGTGGCCAAGCTGAATGGAAACCAGCCCGGACTCCAAAGCCTGCTATTTCCCCTGCTCAGGCTGCTTCCCAGTTCGTGCTGAGCACAGGAGGGAAGAGATTGCTGGGGCCCTGCTGGCTTCAGCCATCACAAGGGAGGTGGAGGTGGCAGGGGGCTGTGTCAGGGCTCCTGGGGTCAAGGAGAAGGCCCTCATGCCCCTCTTGCTGGGGGATATTTGCTTTTCAGAAAGAGATTGGGAAGGCAGAAACTTGCCCATGGGGTAGTGGTTAGGGGTACCTAGGTCCCAGTCTCTGGCAAACTGCCTGAGGTTAGTGTCCCTGGGATGGCCACTTCCATAGTAATTGGCCCAGTCACTCTGCTGGGCTCTGCCACTCACATTTTGCGTATTCTTGAGCAAGTTACTTAACCTCCTTGTGCCTTAGCTTCCTCCAGGTCTGAGCTGGGAAGGTCCCATGGGCCTCTGCCTAGCATCTGCCTTAGTAACCCCTGACCCTGACTCTGATCTTACTGCTGAAATCTACCCTTTCCCTTGCATCTCCAGCACATTGTTGTCCCAGAAACATGTTCCTCCCACCTGCAAAGCCATTCTGGAAGCAACTCACCCTCATCCTGGCCTGATCCCTCCTAGATGCTTCTCCATAGAGTTGGGGTCCCCTACCTGTGTGGGCTCAGCCAGGCCTGGGCTAGATGAAGACTGTGAGCCCACAAGCAATTCTGGGCTTGCCACCTGCCCTCTTACCTGGGGCTAGGGGCCTTTGCTTCTTTTCTTATCTCCAGCCCCCTCTAGGAAGTCCTGCTTTCATGTCCCCTTTAGAAGCCCGTGCTCTAAGGGCCACCCAATCACCAATAGCACCAACACTCTTATCAAAGTGGGGCCAAGTCGGTAGGTTCTCTGGATCTGGTCTGATTGTCCTAACCTTCTAGAATTCTGGGCTTCTCGTATTCTGGTCTCTTTCCTCTAAACCTCCCCGCGTAGGCCTATATCCAGCCAACACGGGTAACAAATCCCTGACGGTGAGGCCAACCCTCACCCCATTTACCCCATGCTCCAGCCAGTCAAGACCTCTCGCTACGTCTCCAAACAAGGCTGACTTCTGCTACCGCTATCTCTTCTGGCACTGTGGGCTTTGCCAGGAATGCTGTCTCCACCTCTCCCTCCTTAGCCATCCTTCAAGGCCAGCTTCAATGCCACCACCTCCATGGAGCCTTCTCGGGGTCCTGCATTGCCTAAGATTGCCCCCTGCCACCAGCACAGTCAGCACCACTCACGTTATCTGTCTCATCATCCATGTGCCGTGTGTCCATTTAACAGAACTATATGGAGGACCTGCTCTGTGCCAGACACTGCTAGGCTGGGCTACCGCAATGACCAAGAAGTACAGGGCCCCTGCCCTCAGGCCTTGTGTCTTGTCCCCCACCCACCCCAACCAGGAGCAGTTAGCCCCCAGAACTTGAGGCAGGAGACTCTGTCTCTCCTCAGTGTCTGGCCCATAGTTGGTGCTCAACAATGAATGGATGGCATGTGCTCTATTGGTTGAATGAATGAGTCAGTGGCCAAATAAATAGAATGAAATGTGTCATGGGGTGGATATAGGACTTGGCTACAGGTTCGTCTGAAGAATCTAACAATGGGAGAAATTTATTTCAGCCCACAGCCCATGAGATTCTATCCTGGAGATAGCTGTAGTCTCCTTTGGTGGGGGCAGGGGGTTGGGGGAGTAGTCAAGGCACAGAATGCTCAGGCTTCTCGGTGCTTTATGTCCTCACACTGCCTGAGAGACCTGGAGTCCAGCCAGTTGAGATGTCCTGGACAGTCAGTCTGGACAGGAGGCTGGGGCCAAGCCACCACGGTGTCTGGGGCTTCCAGCTAGGAGACTGTTTGGGCCTGCTGAAGAAGGGAGAAATAGACACATCCACATTTGAAAAGATAAATGAGGGCCATCTATCTGGGCTAAGCGTGTGAAAAGATGCTTGTCGGATTAGATCAACGAGGAAGTGGTTTACATATACAGAAACTGCGCCATGCCTGTCCACTGGGGGCCCAGTAAGATTCCTGCGTTGGAGCCTCTGCTCACTGAGGGTCACTCAGAAATGCACCCACACATCGCTGGGAAAATTGGGCTGTATTACACAAATTCAGTGTACACCCACCTTTCTGGGGGCATGTTTGCAAGTTGAGCTCACCCAGCAGAGCTGCTAGCATCCCTGTGGCTCCGCTGAAAAGCACTAAGTAAATTCTCTATGTGGCTTCGAGCCTTGTCCCTGTCTCCAGCACACCGCTTCCCGTGTGCTGAGGGGCTCACCGGCTGGTGGCGCACAGGGAGAGCTGTTTTTGAATCCAGCCACTGCCCCTCTAGAGCTACTCCATTGCAGTGGGGCTTCTAGGGAGTTGAAGAGTAAATCCTTGTGCTGTGCCTGCCTGCAAAACCTTGAAGTGGTAAAATGACAGGCTTGGAAGTGAATTCCTGCCCCTGGAACCTGCCTTTCCTCTTCCTTCTCCAGTGGTCTCTCATTGGATGCTTCTTTGAAATTCAGTTTCACCCTCTGTATAGTGGGCGGGTAAAAATGTCTTCTCTTTCTTAGGGTTATTGAGAGGCTTGCAAGGGAGACACTGTCCTATAAAATGCTTGTCCCAGTTTCTGGTCCCCAGTAAATGTTGGCTATTGCTTTCATTCCCTTTTCTCTTTGGGTTATCCTTCCGGCTTCACTCTCCCACCCACTATGACTGCATCTGGGCATCTGAGTTTTGGCATTACCCCATGGGGGCTCTGGCCACCTACAGCCCTCAGACCTGCCACCCAGCCATCCCAGGGCCCCCTGCCTAGATGTTGGCTAAAGAATACATTCATTGCCTTCCCTTCTCTCTGAGGTCCCAGAGCAGTTTGGGCCAACCTGTGAGACTGCTTCCCCGTACACAATGCGCCCCCTCCACAGAGAGGCTTTGTGGGGTGGCAGAGGTCACTGCACTGGGAGTCAAAGTGCCCCCTGGCCTGAGGACAAGTCCTGCCACCAACTGCATGTGAACCCCAGACTGGGACCCTGCCATCACACATATGGTCTGGCTATACCTCTTGGGCCTGGACGGAGCACAGCTGGTGGGGCGTAAAGATTGGTGGGGTCTTAAGACCCTGGGGTAGGGGTCAAAACTGTACTTCTTCCTTGTTATGGTTCTTAGCACATGGAACGGTGCCTAAAACAGTTTTCAAAAAATATCAGCTAACACATATTGAGCCATGAGTAGATGCCAGGTGGCATTCTAAGTGCTTTTCATGAATTAGTTCTAGTAACCCTCAGGACAATCCTATCAAGAAGGCAAGGCTATTATCCCCATTTTGCAGAAGAGGAAACTGAAGCCCAGCGTGGTTACATTTCTTGGTCAAGGTAATACACTTGTAAGTGGTGGAGCTGGTGGTGGGATTTGGACTCCACCTTCAGAGATTCATCACCCTCTATACTTATTTGCTGAATGAATACATGAATGACCTGGAGAAGGTCCTTCCCACGGGGTCCCTCTGGGCTCTGGGTCCTGGCATCTTTATCTAACAACAAGAGGAGGTGCACCTTGAGAATTCATGCCACCCATCTCTTCAGATTGACAGTCCAGGGTCTCAGCTGCTCTGAGAGACAACCCACATCAGGACTGAAGATGTATACTCATTCCTCATGCACCCCGCCCAGTTGAAGGGATCTGTGTGTCTGACTACTTAGTCTCTTCTCAGAGGTGACACTGTTTCCTGAGTGCCAGAGGGATTTTCACACTGAATCCCCAGAAAGACCCTATGAAGCAGCTCATCCTCACTTTGCAGCAGAGGAAACCAAGACCTAGAAAGGTGAAGAAAACCTCAGGGTTACACAGTGAGTGGGTGTAGAGCCAGGATTTGAATCCAAGCATCTGGCCCCAGATCCTGGGTTGTTAATGGCGCCCCCCTGCTGCCTGCTCCTCTCCAGTGAGGTCCAGGTGCCCAGGCTGAGTTAGTGCACCTGCCAGCCAGCTGCTCTTACGCAGGGCCTGTGACCCTTCCACACCAACTGCGGCAAACCCCCAGGGCTCTACCTCTCACTGGCTTCTGCCCTTTTGCTGTGCTTTCTAGGAGTGGGGAGGCGGGGGTAGGAGTGGGGAAAGGAGACAGCATCTTCCCCATGTTTTGAGTGGAGACAGTAGATCAGTACCCTGGCTGTCTCTCCTACCAAGTCAGCACACTAGAGAAGACTCCCACTTCGAAGTCATTTCAACAAGATGCCACTGGAGGCCGAGCGTGGTGGCTCACGCCTGTAATCCCAGCACTCTGGGAGGCTGAGGTGCGTGGATCGCTTAAGTTCAGGAGTTTGAGGCCAGCCTGGCCAGCATGGTGAAACCCCGCCTTTACTAAAACTACAAAAATTAGCCAGGCAGGGCTTCAGGCGCCTGTAGTCCCAGCTACTTGGGAGGCTAAGGCACGAGAATCGCTTGAACCTGGGAAGTGGAGCTTGCGGTGAGCTAAGATCGCACTACTGCACTTCAGGCTGGGCAACAGAGTGAGACTCTGTCTCAAAAAACAAAAACAAAAACAAAACAAAAAACCAAAACTGGAGCACGAGGGACACACAAAGAGGCCTCAGAATGGACCTCATGGGGCATCTTACTGCAGGAAAACCTCAGGCAAGGTTGGTATTGCCCCTCTTCTTGGGCTCCAGCTGGTGCAGAACCAGCTGAAGGTTAAGAGGGAAGGGAGAGACAGTTGGAGAGGCTGCATTTAGGATACCGAGTTTCCCATTGCCAACCAGGTTTAAGGAGGCAGGGTTTTAGGGTTTAGAGGTTCCCGACACTTTGCACAAACTCCTCCATTGGGTCGTAGGCACTGTGCTAAGAAAGTTATGTGTATGATCACATGGATCCCTCATAACCCTGTAAGTGCAATCTTTCTTTCTTTTTACAGGGTGATCTGAGTGAACATAAGAGAGGTTAGTAAAACTGCCCAAGGTCATAAAGCTAGGAAGGGATGACTCTGGGAACTGAACTCCGGCCACTTCCATTCCAGTGCCTCTGCATTTACCACTGTGCCATAGCAAAATCCATGGTAACGGTATCCCACATCCACAGAAGCAAGAGAAAAGCCCTCTCTTTGAGAGTCCCAAGTACAACACAGGGTTGTCAGCAACACAGACTGAACCAACCAGGGACAAGGAAGCAGAGAGAGGAGGCCAGCTGCAGAGTCCCCCTCGTCAGCCAGCCTGGGCATCAGGAGCTCCTCAGGCTCTAGGAATTAGGCTCAAAGCCAGGCTTTGACTTGTAGCACTGGGTGACACAGGCAAGCTACTTCACCTCACTGACCTCAGTTTTCTGATCTATAAAAGGGCACAGAAGTAGAGCTCGCCTCACTGCCTCATGATGATGAGAAAGAGAACTGTGCATAAAGCGCCAGGCACAGTGCCTGGCTGACTGTGAAGGTGAGCTGGTGGCTTTGCCCTGTGTAGGGGAAGGTGGGATGTGGGGATAAAGCTAATCAAGGCCAGACTTCCTGATAGGCTTGTAAGGAATCTCTTAGAAATGGGGTATCTTAGAAAAGTCTTCAAGAATTCAAAGGAAAGGATTAAAAATGATGGAATTGTAAGCAGTGAAGAGACTGTAGCCCCTGACCAGCTTACCCTTTCAGATTCACCACTGAGACTGGGCAGGGTGGCTCATGCCTGTAATCCTACCATTTGGGAAGCTGAAGTGGAAGGACTGCTTGAGGCCAGGAGTTTGAGACCAGCCTGGGCAACATAGAGGGACCATTTCTACACATATACACAAAAATTAGCTAGGTGTGGTGGCACACCTGTAATCCCAGCTTCTTGGGAGGCTGAGGTAGGAGAATTGCCTGAGCCCAGGACTTCCAGGCTGCAGTGAGATATGATCATACCACTGTGCTCCAGCCTGGGAGACAGAGCAAGACTCTGTCCCCTGAACAAACAAAAAAAAAAAAAAAAAAAAAATCCACCACCGAGTCATGAAAGTAATCATAATGAGCCTCCATGCCTCATAGAAAGCAATTTATAATTAAAGCACTTTCACATCCATGAATTAATTAGGGCTCTATGAATAGGAGCAAAATACGGATTATTATCCCATTTTAAGGATCAGGAGGAGACTGAGGCTCAGAGGGGAAATAACACAAGAGGTTTGGAGCTCCCAGGGCAGAGCTTCCTCTGTGAATAGGGGACCTGCTGCTTTGCTGTGCTGAGGCTTGAGAGTGGCAGAGGCCAATCCTGCTGGCCACCAGGCATTCAGATCTGCTGGTCAGCACTGAGTGCTAGTTGTCAGAGAAAGAGGGCTAAGATCCTTGAAGGGACTCAACCCAAGATGACCTGTCCTTTCTCCCCTATTTCCTATAAGTATTCTGATCAAGGCTATGATGCCCCGCTCTTAAATAAGGCTGCATGTGATCTTCATGCCATTGTACAGATCTTCTGCCTTCTCCTCCTCTGGGTGCGTGGTAAGCTGCAGCTCCCAGCTTCCTTGAAGGCCTAGATGTGCCTCTGGCTTCAGCCAATGAAATGTGTGGAAGCGACGTGTGTCACTTCCAGGTGGAAGCTTTCAAAGCCAATGTGTGCTTGCCCATGTCATGTTCTCTGCCACAGCGATCATGGAGGAATGTGCCCCCAAGGAGCCTCCGTTAGAGGCACGGCCTACTTTGTACATGTGGCAAGAGCAGGAATTAAAACGTTGCTGCTTTTTTACTGCAGCGTAGCCTAATCTAATTGGCTAGTACAGCCATGAATGTTTGGGTCTTTGAGCAAAGGTGATGGTCCCAGGAATAGAATCCATGGTATCCAAAGGGAGTAAGAGGTGGAAGAAGGTGAGATTCTAGTGGGTCCACTAGAATATAAGCTCTAGGAAGACAGAGATCTTTGTATATTTTGTCAACAATTGTATTCCCAGTGCCTTAGAAGAGAGCCTGACAATCAGCAGGTGCTCATTAAATGCTGAATAAACTAATGAACGACCTGAGGCGAGGCAGGCAATGCAGAAGCAAGAGGCCTGAAAGGCAAAAGTGAATGGTTCTGGAAAGAACTCCATAGTCATTCATTCATAAACTCTACAAGCATTAAACACTCATCATGAGAGATCCCCATGTTAACCCAATAATTTGACCAGAAAAAGCCCACTGTAAGTGAATCCACTTAGAACAGGGACCAACGTGTCATAGGAAAGGGTGAATGAAGAAAAGATTTCAGTTGGGATTTCATTTTGAGAAATGAGACTAAAAATATGAAAATAGAATCTTATGTTGGACCAAAATAAGATTATAGTTACAACCATGTGCCAAAACTTTCAATCCTCAAAGGACAAATCAAATATTGATTGGTTTAGCAGGGCATGGTTTTCCTGAACAGAATTATATGCTAGCATGATATGACATTTTTAAAAAGGTCATATTTCACTGTCACAGCATAATGATTAAAGTTTCTTATCATGAACTCATTGTTGTGCATATTCTCTTCTGTCATTCTCTGGCCTAAATGCCAGGTTCTCATTTATCTATGGCCTTGTGTAGGACTAGGAGTCCTCCAATGTCCTCTTTTATTGGCCTCACTAACTCCCACAACTTTCACATGATGTCAGTTTCACCGTGCAATCCTTTGGCTTTGTATAATCAGCTGCTTACCCCACCTGACGGAGAAACTGATGGACATGGGTATTGGGTGAAGGGCAGGGATCAACGCTGGTTCTGAGCAAGAACAGACATTTATTCAGGGACTACTTTTGTAAGTGGACAGTCTATTCATGTTCTCTATTAGGGTGACATTTTAAAAAACCTACAACCTTGGCCGGGCATGGTGGCTCACGCCTGTAATCCCAGCACTTTGGGAGGCTGAGGTGGGCGGATCACCTGAGGTCAGGAGTTCGAGACCAGCCTGGCTAACATGGGAAAATTCTGTTTCTACTAAAAATAAAAAAATTAGCCAGGCTTGGTGGTGCACACGTGTAATCCCAGCTACTCAGGAGGCTGAGGCAGGAGAATCACTTGAACCTAGGAGGCGGAGGTTGCAGTGAGCTGAGATCGCACCATTGCACTCCAGCCTGGGCAACAAGAACAAAACTCCATCAAACAAACCAAACAACCTACAACCTCACATCTATGGGGTCACAGATAATGATTAAGCAGACTCCTCCATGGGGCCTGAATAAGGAAGGGGGGACACTACGGCGAACCAGGTAGACCCATCTCCTGCCCTCCAGCCACTCCCTCAATGGCCACATTCTAGGCTGGGTTGGGACCATCACTCCAGCTGCCTGCCCTGGCCCTGGGTCCTGTCTCTGTCTCCACAGTGGCACCCAGGGAAGGAACCTCTTGGCAGAGAGTCCTGTGCCCAGCAGTTTGATCCTCAGTGTGGTCATGGGAATAGGGAGAAGAGCTTTGTGCTGAGACACCCGGGGACCCTTGCCTTAGGAAGATTCACAAGGCACGATCTAGCAAAGGGTTTTCAGACTGGGGACTAGGATCCTTCCAGACCCCAGTGAGGATTCAAGAGGTGAGATTTCAATTTCTCAGGCTTGTTAATTTGTCTTCCTGAGATCTTGATCTGACCACAGTGCTTCCCTGCTCTGGGACTGTTCATAGTCTTAACTAAGCCTGACTTGCTCACGTCAAATTCAGCTCCGCCCCACAATCCCCCTTTGCAGCCTGATTCCATATTTCTCTTCCGCTCTGACTCTGTGTTCCAGACTAGAATATGTGCTCTTCCCCAGACCTCTGTGAGCCTCAACTTTGCACCCTTGTTTACGTTCCTCCCTCAACCCAGAGCCCTGTGATCCCATCTCTGTGTTTTGAAACCTACTCATCCTGCTGGGTCCCTTCAAACCCACCTCCTCCCTGAAGCCTTTCCCCACCCCTTTATCTAGGAGTGATTGCTCCCTCCTCTGGGCCCCTAGGATCCAGCTTTGCTCAGCTAAATCCTGCTGTAACAATCTCCATGCATGGAGCGGTCTTAAGTTCTCTTCTAGAGGGTGGCACTGCTGTTTGCTATAGCTAGCTCTTTGAGCTCTCCAAGGCTCAGTTTTATCACCTGTAAAGTAGAGATTAGTAAAACCTCATGGGAGGCCAGGCATGGTGGCTCACGCCTGTAATTCCAGCATTTTGGGAGGCTGAGGCGGGCAGATCACCTGAGGCTGGGAGTTTGAGACCAGCCAGACCAACATGGAGAAACCCCGTCTCTACTAAAAATACAAAATTAGCCTGGCGTGGTGGTGCATGCCTGTAATCTCAGCTACTTGGGAGGCTGGGGGTTTGAGACCAGCCAGACCAACATGGAGAAACCCCGTCTCTACTAAAAATACAAAATTAGCCTGGCGTGGTGGCGCATGCCTGTAATCCCAGCTACTTGGGAGGCTGAGGCAGGTGAATTGCTTGAACCTGGGAGGCGGAGGTTGCGGTGAGCCGAGATTATGCCATTGCACTCCAGCCTGGGCAACAAGAGTGAAACTCCGTCTCAAAAATAAATAAATAAATAAATAAATAAAACCCCATGGGTAAGGCACCAGGTAAGGGAATGACACAGGTAAGAAAGAAACTAGATAGTACTCTTTGTCCCTTTTTCCCCAACCCCCATGTCTAACTGTTCCTTCTCTGCTAGTTTTGCAGGCTCATCCTTGGGGCCAGGACTATAGAGAGGCAAGTGACCAGACGCCGAAGACAAAAATTCCTCCAGGTTCAAACTTGCCCTACCCTGCTTCGATGCATAAGCAGTTGACTCAATAAAGATGTGTCTCTGACCCAGCCCTTGCCTCTGTACCTCAAATCCAGGAGTTCTTCTCCTGAGTGTTATTTTGCATAAGCTTGGGTAATTGATGACCACTGGTCTCCCCACTTGAGACTGCAAGCCTCTTGAGGACAGAGACCCAACATCCCGCCCAGAGCCCGGCATGAAGTGGGTGCCCAGTGATCCAATGGTTTTCATTCCTTTCCCTATTTCCACCCTTTCTTGTCTGTTCATTCAAACTGACATTGATCGACGAAGACCTCCTGCCCCTCCCAGCGCTGCCTGCACTCACACTCCAGTCACGTGGGAAACACTTCCCTGCTCCTCTCTGTCCACCCACGTAGCCACATCCATCCATTGCTTCCTCCAAATCCCCACTCTAGTGTCACCTCCTTCAGGAAGCCTGCCTAGCCCCACACAGAATACCGCTGATCCCAATCCCCTCTCCCTAAGGAATCCAGGAACCCAGAGGGTTTCATAGGATGAAAAGACTTGTGCACCCCTGGTGACCTGGAGTCATACTCAGTCCAGTGACCCCACTGGGCTGTTCCCAGTTCCCCCAGGGATGTCTGTCAGCTTCCTGTTTAGGTGACCCTCTTCTTGGCCTTGCTCAAGCCCCTTCCCAGGCTGACTGGAGTAAGGACGCCTGTGAGACCACGAGAAACCTGTGTCTGTATAGCCTGGTCATTGGTCACTGGAGGTTGTGTTGTAGAGGGAACCATCGGGGTACTGAGAGAAACCCAGGTAGGTATTTAGCAGAGAGGACAACCGGTATCCGAAAAGGAGCCCAGGCCAGTGGCCTGGAGGAGTGCTGCCCCTGAGTCCCTGGGTGCCTCTTCCACTGCCCTCCTTTCCTCAGAGCTGTCCCTTGTCCCCATGGAGCTGGCCTCTCACAGAGCCATAACCAGCATTCGCATCATTGGTAACAAGAGGTCAGTGAAGGTGCTGGCTCGGAGCAGAGCCTGGAGCAAAGCCGCAATGAGTGAGACAGAGGAAGCACAAAAGTGCTTCTTCCCTCTGGGCCCAGGGGCTGCCAGGTGAGTAGGGGCCACAGGGATGGCTGAGTGGGTGTCCTAGCTCCTTGGAACAGAACACTGGTGTCATCACCCTGGGTGGGGCTGCCTGTCCTCTACCTCCTCCTCCCAGCTAGGACAACTTTGCTAACAGCCTAATCGCCAGTGTCTAGAGCACCTTCTGAGAGCTGTGTCTGGCCCAGATCTGGGGCTGGTCTTCACCCCATTTTCTGTGAGGTCACAGATCCTGAGTTTCCTAATCCCTGAAGCTGAGGAGGCTGCTCAGAGCCTGAGCCATTTCCAGGTCAGGAGCCTTGGCACATCTCAAGCCAGCAAGGCAGTGGGGTCTGCAGGCCACCCACCCGGGCACAGTGACCACCAGCCCTGCACCATCACCTGGATGGGGCTGGATTGGAGACAACTGAAGCACTATCCCTGCAGACAGATGCCAGCCAAGGCTGGGTGATGAGGGCCCCACAGCCACATATCAGACTTTGGGGACCCTGCCCAGCAACCTTTGGGTCAAGTTCAACTCACAATTCTCTGCATGTGCACACGTGTGCACACACACACACACGCATGCCACTGCACTCTTAAATCCCTGCACAGCAGCAAACACAGGGTGTCCCCCACATGCACCCACAAACACGTAAACACATTTATATACACACACAGACCCACTTACCAACTCATGTAGTTCCCCGATACACGTCCCTACCCTCCAGGTAATCCCCTTACACACACATGCCCTAATATACCTTTCCAGAGCATATGCCTGCATGCATCACACGCACACACATGCACATGTGCTCAGCCCCACCGGCCAACCCAGCTGACCACAGAGCCTCGTGGCCTCACCACCTCTTCCCAGGAGCAGGAGGACCAGAGCTCATCTAGACCCCTTTGAGCCTCGTCCAGTCCCCATGAGCTGGCTGGGTTTAGACAGGTGAGCCCAGGGAAGGGGCTGCGCCTCAGCAGAGAAGACTTACTTCCTAAGTCTAAAAAAAAAAAGAAGGAAGGAGGTAAGGGAGGACAGGAGGGGGGGAGGAAAGAAAGAGAGAGAGAGAAAGAAAGAGAGGGAAAGAAAAGAGAAAGAGAGACAGAGGGAAAGAAAAAGAAAAAAAGAAAAAAGAAAGAGAGAAAAAGAAAGAAAAAGCAAAAGAAGGAACGGGGTTAGTGGGAGAGGCAGGATGGTGTGACGCCTGTTGCTCTTCAGAAGGGAGGAGGGAAAGGTTCTGGCCCCCGCCCCACAGGCCTCCTTCTGCTGCTGTGGTGCCGGCGGCGGGAGCATGGGGTGGAACTGTTGGGGCTGCCGCAGACGTTATGGTGGAACTTCCAGCGGAGGCTTGATGCGTTAGCAGGCGCCACACTGCACCCGCTGCTGAGTTCCTCTCCACTAGCCGCCTCCTTCTGCCCGAGGACCTTTTCTCCTTCCCCTCTTACCTTGCAGGAGACACGGGGCTCAGGAAAGGGTGTGCCCTTGGCCGGTGGCTCTGGGGATGGTCACAAGCTGCGGGGCATCCGAAGGGCAGCAGGCATGAGCCCGGCTGCCGGGGTGGGCACCCTGCAGAGCTCCTGACTGCCCCAGAGCTCTGGAGGACAAATGAGGGATGATGGGGGACTGACCAGGAAGTGGTGGAAACAGGTGGCAGGGACGGAAGGTTGAGAGAGGGAGGAAGGAGGCAGAGAGAAGAGAGAGACAGAGACACAGAGAGAAGGAGACGCAGACTCACACAGAGAAAAAAGAGAAACAGACACAGAAAGCAAACGAGAAAGAGAAGAGGGAGCAGGAGAAGGGGTGGGGAGGGAGAGAAATAGAGGAGACAGAAAGAGAGAGAGAGAGAGAGAGAGAGAGAAAGAAAGAAAGAAAGAAAGAGAGAGAGAGAGCTGGACCTGAGTAGCAACATGTGGCCATGCTCCCTCACTTCTTATGCTGAAGCATCCTGGGCTCCTCCCCATGGTGCCTGCACACAGTGTACACACCCTGACACACATGCCCATAGACACACAAACTCACCACACACACACACACACACATACACACACACACTCATGCATGCCCTTGCCCACCCAGAGCAGCCCCCTTGTCCAGCCTCTCCTCCTGACACAAGTGGGGCCAGCCCTTACCTTACCCCAGAAGCAACACGTGTCTGGGTACACACTCTGTCTCTCCACTGCCACAGTGACTGCCTTCTGCACCCAGCACTGCTGGAGGTGCGGTCCGGGGCTGGGCTCCAGTGCCCAAGCCCTGCGCCCGCTGCCCTGGCAGCTGGCTTGATCAATGCCCACATTGCGATAGCTGTTTAGGTGGCCTGCAGGAGGCCGAGCCATTTGTTTTGTCAGAGCGTAACCATGACAATCACCCCATACGCACACACCGCTGGTGCTGTTTCCCCACCCCTCGCCCTTCCCTCCCCCCTTCTCCGGAGCACAGGAGAAAGCTGGAGGCCACTTAGCAGCCTCAGCTAATCCCTGCTGAGGCTGAAGGAAAGGGCCTGGCCTGTGATAACAGTCCTTCGGGCAGCTCCTCCCTGGGGAGTGGGGCTGCCTCCAGGGTATTTCAACACTGTGCAGAGTCTGCCTGGGCCAGGGGTACCTACTGCCTGTGCAGGAGCTGGCCCCTCTATATCTCCCTGCCCCCCAGCAAGTTTATTTTTTAGCCAAGTGTTACAAGCTGCCAATCCATTCTCCCCCATGAGGCCACGGTGTAGTGAACAGACAGTATTGGTGACCGTGGTCATGGGCAGGTCCTCTGCCGGGGCCTTTGGCCATGCCTATTCACCCTTAGAGTCCCAAGCCATCCCTTGCTGCTCCTGGCCATGCCAAAGCCACACGGGAAATTGCTAGGATTCTAGGTGCAGCCCCTGGGGGCATCAGACTGGAGGTCTGGCCTTTGGAGATACAAAGTTGCGTAGCCCAGAGAGCCAGGGGCTTGCTATAATCAAGGAAGCCAGTGGCCAGCTGGGTTAGGACTGCAAAATCTAAATTCAGAGCCTAGAGTTAAAGAGTTCAAAGTTGAAAGATGCTTCAGAGGTACAGGATGAAGCAAATGATCACACATCTCATTTAAGCCTTATAAAAATCCTCAAGAAGAGGGCCTTTCTTCCAAGTTTACAGAGAAATTGTGATTTGGAGAGGCAGAGTGACTTGCTGAAGGTACAGAGCCATGAAATGACAGAGCAGGGATTCAAATTCACAGTGATCCCAACACCGGAAACTCCACCATATCTTATTGGCTTTTTATAGCTGTCACTGTGAGCTGGGCACCGCACACATAGCCTGGAAGAAGTGCATCTCACTTGTTCTGTACCAAACACTGGGAGGTGGATGCTATGCTATGTTCATTTCAAATATGAGTTCAGAGAGGTGACGTGAGTTTCCTTAGGCTACACAGGACGTGGAGGAGCCAAAGTTGGAACCCAGGTCTGTCTGATGCCACCTCTCCACCCTACCTCCTTCTCCACACAAGAGACTTCATCTGGGACAGATGATCAGCCCCTCTTCTGGACTCTCTGCCTAAGGAGAGAGGAGCCTGAGGATAGGATAGGGGTAGTGGGTGGATGCAATGGCAAAAGGGAGCACAGATGTCAGGTGGGGTGCAAGAACTCCCTGCTGGGGTAACAGATGATATGTGATCTTAGCCAGAAGTCCATGAACCAGTGATTCCCCATTATGCAGTCACACCTTAGGGTTCCAAAAGAGTTTTGAATCCCCCCCCAGAACTTCATGAAACATGCTACCTGAAGTCTCAGGACTTCCCCATCCATGAAGGTGTCAGACAGTTGAAAGGGAAGCCCCAGCAAAAGAACCTTAGAGAACATTCTGGAGGGGGAATTTGGGGGGACTGCTGGGCAGAGGGAATGGAGGAGGTGAGAGGAAGGTGAACTAGACACGGGCAAATGAACTTCTCAGGCTTGGCTGTTTTGCCTGGATTACCTCTGAAGGCCGGCTGGGGTGTTGGATCAGTCTCCAGAGAGAAGCAAAACTGCTGTCATAGGCTGAGGAGAAAATGATAGGTTGGGCAATGGAAAGGTGCCTCTGTCATACAAGAACTAACCAAGGATGAGACAAAGCTTACCTTCAGTTCGATACTTACACTTGCTCACCTTGAGCTGGGCCTTGGAGCCAGTGCTTGGGGAAAGTGATGATGAGTAAGACACAGATTTCCAGGAACCTGGCACACAGGTTCCCAACCAGATTTTGTCCCACACAACAGTTCCCTGAAGCCTTTCTGCATGCATTATTTTATTTAACCCTCATAATCACCCAGTGCAGCAGGTACCATCAGCCCCGCTCCACAGGGGGTGGGGACTGAGCCTGAGAGGTGAAGTGACTGGCCTTTTGTTATAGCCAAGAAGTGGCAGAGCTGGGATTCAAACTCAGTTCTCCATGACTCCCAAGTCTAGCATCCTTGCAACAATGCCACACGACCTCATGCCTCTTAGAGTGGCTATGAGTCACTTTTCAGCTCAGAGAGTCCTGGTTCCTTGGAGATAGGGGACCGGGGCTTGGGGACATAGCCACTTAGAATTCTAACCTCCACCACCTCCACACATCCCCAGGCTCCCAAAGTCCAATTCTCAGTCCCCCACAAAGTTCAAGATCCCTGTCTCTCAGTGAATATGGGACCAGAAATCTGTATCCACTGGTCATCCTTTTGACTAAACCGTCCCAAGCCTGGAGTTTACATTTTAGGACCAAAACTCTTTGGGAGAACAACATCAGCCTGGTTGAGTGGATACAAGGCATGAAGAGGACATGAGAGGTGGCGGGAGACAGAGGACCTGAGATGTGAATGGTGTGTGTGGAGAAGGCTGAGAGCTGCCTCTTCTTGAAGGGTTCAAGATTTTCTTACCCCATTGTATTAGTTTCCTGGGGCTCCCAGAACAAATGACCACAAACTGGGTGGATCAAAACAGCAGGCATTTATTCTCTCATATTTCTAGGCGCTAGAAGTTTGGAATCAAGGTGCCAGTGGGGCCGCACCCCCTCTGAAGTCTTTGCAGAAGAACTGTTCCTTGCTCCCTCATAGTTTCTGGCAGTTGCTGGCAATCCTTGTCATCCTGCGGCTTGTAGCTGCATCCCTCAACTTCTGCCTACATTTTCACAGGCCCGTCTTCCCTGTGTGTGTCTCCATGTCTGTCTCCAAATCTCCCTTTCCTTTCTCATATAAAGACATTGGATTAGGGCCCACCCTAACCCAGTATGACTGCATCTCAGCTTGATCACATTTGCAAAGACCCTACTTTCAAGTAAGGTCACGTTCACAGGTACTGGGGGTTAAGACTTGAACATATGTTACACCATGGAATACTATGCAGCCATTAAAAAGGAATGAGATCATGTCCTTTGCAGGGACATGGGTGAAGCTGGAAGCCATCATCCTCAGCAAACTAACACAGGAACAGAAAACCAAACACCGCATGTTCTCACTCATAAGTGGGAGTTGAACAATGAGAACGCATGGACCCAGGGAGGGAAACAACACACACCAGGGCCTGTGGGTGGGGGTGAGGGGAGGGAGAGCATCAGGACAAACAGTTAATGCATGCAGGGCTTGAAACCTAGATGAGGTGTTGATAGGTGCAGCAAATCACCATGGCATATGTATACCTATGAAACAAACCTGCACATTCTGCACATGTATCCCAGAACTTAAGAGTTAAAAAAAAAAAGGCTTGAACATATCTTCCAGAGGGACACAATTTAATCCACAATACCCATTCAGAGGAAATAAAGGACACAGGACAGGCATGATTCCAAGAGTCCAGGTTGCTGAACTTCTAGAAGTTCAGAGAGGCCAGGAAAGGAAGTAGCAGCATAATAGGATGATTAAATGTGGACTCTGGTACCAAATAGCTTGGGTTCAAACCCTGGCTTGATCATTTCCCAGCTGTGTGCCCTTGGGAAAATTACTTAACCTCTCTCTGTGCTTCAGTCTCCTCTCTGTAAAATGATGGTGCCTTGAATTGCTGTTATGATCATTAAGTGAGTTAATATTTGCAAAGGGCTTAGTAAGCACCATACAAGCATCTGTTAAAATAACATGCAATGTTAATAAACATGCAATGTTCCCTAGATGAATATTACTATGTTATAGGGGTGAAACTGAGATCCAGAAAGGGGAGATGACTTCTCCCAGGTCACCTGGTCAGGCTAGCCAGGGTACAGGCCATTTCTGCCTCCTTCCTTCAGGGTTGACCTCTGGAGAGGCTAAATCTCCTTCCTATTTGTTCTGCAGTTGGAGAATGCAAGGTGGATGGTCTGGAATGGCAGCAAGAGAAGAGAGGTGGGTGCAGAGATGAAGAGGGAATTCAGAGGACAGAAGCAATGGATTCCTCCTGCCTGCAAACACACACCTCTTTTCCCACCCAGCCCTCTGTTTACATGATTGAAAGCAATTGTGCGGCTGTTTCTGCCCACATGGAGGGAAACAAATCTCTGGAGTGTGTAACCAACACATTCTGGATAAGAAAGGAAAGCTAGTCCTTCAGTGATGCAGCCTGGGGCGGGGGCCAGAGCAGGGCTGTCAGAGAGACTAGGGAGAGTCTAGATGGGGGACAGGGGCCTAGGGGTGGCTCTTTCCCTAGAACATCTTGAGCAGGGTAGCCAGGTTGCATAGGCATTGCATCTGAGAGGACCCTGCCTCAGGCTTAATTCCTGAAGGGGTTGGACCCAGCCAAGTATGGCTGTGGGGTATGAAGGGGGCCAAGCTCAAGTTTTGGAGACAGTTGGGCTCTTGGCAAACAAACACACAAACAAACAAACCCTCATGAACTCCCTTTCTCTCTACTCTCCTGTTCCAACCTCTTACCTGCTCCAGGAAATTGCATGACTTGCCCTAGTTCTTCACCCCTCCCTGTGTCCATGCCCTTTGCTATGTGATTTGGCAGTTCTTCCTCTAAAAAGGTGGAATGTTGCTCCCATCCCTTCACCTTGGGTTCAGCCACATGACGTAGCCAATTTAATATTGGTGGGAATTACATAATTAAAGGCTGATAAAGGGCTTGCCTGATTGGGTTTGTTCTCTTGGGACTCTGCCCCTGTTGCCATAAGAAAAATACGCCAAGATTGGCCCACTGGTTCCAGGAGGAGAAGAGATACACAGAGCAGCACCAAACCACCCCAATCAAGCCCAGCTGAAATCAGCCAACTGCAGATGCAGAAGCAAGTCGAGCACAGCTCAGCAGAGCTGTCCAGCAGAGCCCAGCCAGGATCAACCAATTCTTAGCTTATCTAGAGATATGTGACCATAAATTATTGCTGCTTTAAGTCACTGAGTTTGGAGTGGTTTGCTATGCAGCATTTTCTGGCTATAGCTACCTGATATACCACTGTATTAGTCCATTTTCATCCTGTTGATAAAGACATACTCAAGACTGGGAAATTTACAAAAGAAAGAGGTTTAATTGGGCTTACAGTTCCATGTGGCTGGGGAAGCCTCAGGATCATGGAAGAAGGCAAGGAGGAGCAAGTCATGTCTTACATGGATGGCAGCAAGCAAAAAAGAGTGTGTGCAGGAAAACTCCCCCTTATAGGAACCATCAGATCTCATGAGACTTACTCACTATCCACGAGAACAGCACGAGAAAGACCTACCCCCGTGATTCAAGTACCTCCCACTGGGTCCCTCCCACAACATGTGGGAATTCAAGATGAGATTTGGGTACACAGCCAAACCATATCAACCACCTCTTGTAGATTTCACCTTCCTGATGTCTTTTGGGTAGGTCCTCCTCTCCATTCCCCTGGCATCAGTTCCAGCCTCCTAACAGCTTCCTACCTGGTCTCTCTGTCTCTAGTCTTATGGATTCCAGTCCATTCCCCACGCTGTAGCCAGTTCTTTGTAATATCTGATGATACTTGTACCCATCTGTTAATCCCTTTTCTCAACCTGCCCTGAAGCCCTTCATTGACTCTCCCATGGCCTTCCATAAAAAGTCCCACTTGTTAGCATAACATTCAAGGCCTTTTATGATCTGTCTTGATGTCTGGCCCTGCTCCTATGGACTCTTCACTCCAACCACATAGAACTACTTGTGGTTCCCTGGACTTGGAGTTGTCTCACACCGCTGAGATTTTACCCATGTCGATTCCTCCATCTAGAAGACACCCTGCCACTTCCCCTCTTGGCTCTCTTCTACCTGCCCTGCAAAGGAGAGCTGAAGCATCTCCTCCAGGAAGCAGAACCATCCTGTTAGATTACCTGACTTAGGGGGCCACAGTGTCCCATGCCCAGCACAGGGCCCCGCACACAGTAGGTGCTCAATTAATATAATACTGGATGAAGAAGTAAATGAGACCTCAGAGGCAGCATCATGTCTCATGTACACCTGTATTCACAACATCTATTGCTGATCTTGACACATAGAGGGGCTTCATAATTATTTGTTGAATCAGCAAATGAAAGAACATATGACCCTATTATCTCAGTACCCCCAAAGAATCATGGCAAGTTACTCCTCTCCTCCCCAGAGAAGGTGGCAGTGGCAGGGAGTGGGGAAGCCTTGGCACCTGACATAGGCGGGAAGAAGGTGGGAGAGAGATCATGGCATGCCAGGGGGCCGGGTGGTGGAAGCCATCTGCTCTAGGTCCAGGCAATAAGAGTTGCATTTTCTGTAGGGAATTTAAAAACAATTCAACTCAAAGTCAGTTTTCATTTTATTATCACTTATGGTGTTATGTTAAAACAAAGCACTGAGAAAATAATCCTCCTCACTGACCACGCCAGTGCCTATGCCTTAATGCCCCAGTACAGGGAGGATACACCCCCTTTTAGCCCTGATGTTGAGTCTGTCCCACCAGAGGACAGTCTTGGAGAGACAGGACAGCTGAGAATCTGTCAAAGGGGCCCTAACAACCTCAGTGTATCCAGCCTAGGTTACAAAGGCTTATGCCCTTGGTGTAATGCTATGTAGCTTAGGTTGGATGCCAGGAAGCCACAGGCAAGCTCACAGGGCACATAGCCAGAAGGTGGTAGAGGCAGAGTTTGTGCCAGGTCTCTGTGCTACCAAAGCTCACACAATGCACCTTCCAGGTCCTGTCTGTAGCTGGTCCTCGAGCTTGGTCTCCTTCTGGCCACTGCTGGCCCCTTTGGGCTTTGGCTGAAGGCTCAGCGTTTGTTGAGAAGGGAGGAGTCAAACTGGAGCCTGCTCTCATCACCTTTAGTGGCAAAAGCCTTAGGAAAGAGGTCCTCCCTGGCTTCGGGGACCAGTCTTTACTCAGAGCCACCCGGCACCCACCTAAATAATGACACCCACCCCTGGATCCCTGGGGGTCAAACATGAGTCCTTGTTCCATCACTGGCTATTTGTAGGGACCATTTTTCCTTTCTGAGGCTTGATTTTCTTATCTTTAGAGTGGAGATGGGAGTTCCTGTCTCCCCACTGGTGAATGGCAGCCCAGGCCACCGTGATGCTTTCTCCAGCCCTGCCCTCATTTCCCTCTGGGACAACTGCAACGGCCTCTCGTGTCCTGCTTCCCCTCAGACACCTCCCAAATGCTCTCTATGCAGCAGCCAGAATGGACCTTGCAAAGCATCAAATTCAATCTTAAGACACGCTGACTAAAGTGGTCAATGTCTTCCCACTGCGCTTGGATGAAGACACAATTCCTCTTCACCTCTGCCGACAAGAGCCTGCAGGTCTGGTCCCTGCAAATGGCTCCCACTTCATTTCCATCCACTCCACACCATCCAGAAACACTGGATCCCTTTCAGGCCCTCATTGGCTCTGGGCTATCTGGGTTTTGTCTAAGCTGTTTCCTTTACCCAGAGTGTTCTTCCCTCCTCCCTTCAATTAAAGCCGTTAGTTCTTCAGGTGTCAGCTCAAGCATCACTTCCCCAGGAGACCATCAAGGTCACACCCTCCAATCTCCAGTTCTCGTGCCCTGAGTACCAGTCTCTCTGTAGATTGTGTAGCACTTATCACAACTGCAATTAACAACTTGATGAATGTCTTTCTCCTCTACTACAATGCAAGCTCAATGAAGGCCAATACCTTAGCTCTTTCGGTTACTTCCTCTGCTATGCCACGCTTGGCGCCTGCACCAGGTAGGCACTCAGAAAATATTTGTTGAACAACTGAGTATAAGCCAAATGAAATCACTAATGGAAAAGACCTTTATCAAGAATAAAAGGTATCCATTTGGAATTATTATTATACCCACTTAATAGGCGATAAAACTGAAGAGCCAAAAAGTTAAGGAACTTACCTGTCTCTTGGCTTAGTGGCAGAGCCAGGGCCGGAACACAGACATAGTTCCTGGCACACAGAGGGGCTTGATCCCTGCTTACTGAGCTAACGCGGGTTCTCCCTACAACTTCAGCACCCTGTGCCCTGCACCCTGCTGTCTCTCCTGGAGGCAGGCTGCTTGGAGTGTACAGATGGCTGCTGGCAGAGTTCGGTGCTGGCTGGAGATGACTGCTCTGTCATCAGGTGCCTGTTTCTTATTCATGATCTGTTGCCATTCATAGTGCCTTGGTACAAACAAACAAGCAGCGACAGCTCCTGGCTTCAAAGCTGTCCTGGGGGCAGGAACACAGCCTGGCCTGGCCAGGGGCCCCAGGCAGCTCACTGATGGCAGGGAGAGCCAGGGGCTGGGCAGATGCAAGCGTCTCAGAACAGGTGGCTGATCAAGGCAAGGGAGGGCTGCTAGAGGGACAAAAAAGGGCTGAATCTCTGAAGCTATCAATCTTGTACCGTGCTCTTCCAGCTTTTTAAAAATAGACACATGGCAAAAACACATTTTAAAAAAGGAGGAAAACAAAGGTAAATAGATTCTTTCAAGTGTGGTCAGGAGTACTTCCATGTGTTTCCTGCCCTCTGGCCTCTCATGCTCCCCTCTGCCCCACACCCAGGAGAAAAGGATAGTGCATTTCTAGTGCCTGAAATCTTCAGGCTGCCTGGGACATTGTGTGAGTATATTGAGGACCTACCAGGTACCTGGGGCTGTGTTTTACACATGCTGATTCGTGCCATCCTCAAAACAGCCCTGGGAAGTGTTTGGGTTTTGTTTGTTTTGTTTTAATTCAACCAGTATTTGGGCATCTCCTCTGTGTAGACACTGGGCCATGATTGGTCAACCCAATAGACATTGTCTTCACCATCTGGATCCTACACTCCACAGCAATGAGGTCATTAAAGTCTTGATAAGTGCTGCAAAGGGAATAACTTGAGTCATTTGCTACAGAGTCACTAGGGTGGGGGACTGGGATTACTATGTTGTATTGGGAAGTCAGGGGGGTGCTTCTCTGAGGAGGTGACACCCGAGCTGAAAAATGCAAGATGAGGAGGAACCCAGCTCCCAGCTGTTCAAAGGGTGGGGCAGGGGAGGAGCATTCAGAGACAGTGGGAGCAATAATTCCAAAGGGTAGGAAGGGGCTCCGTAAACCCAAGGAAGAGAAAGGGGATGAAACGGGCCAGAGCAAAGTGAGAGTGGCCCACACCAAGGAGAGGGGCAAGTAAGAGGTCGGAGGGACAGATGGGTCACCATGAGAGTTCACTGGGGGATATATAAAGAGGGCAAATGTGCTTTTGTTGCATTTTATGAGCTCATCCTGGCCACTGGGTAGAGAATGGGTTAGAGTAGGGGAAGCCGGGAGAAGATCATGGGAACGCTACTGTGGTAATAGATAAAAGATGGTGGTGGTGGTGGGGAGCGGTAGGGGACGGAGAGCAGTGGATGGATTGGGTGTGGGTGAAAGGGAAAGGAAAGAATCAAGGGTGCCTCCCCAGTTATGGGTTTGTGTAATTACATGGGTGGTGGTGCCATTTGCAGAAATAGGCAAGGCAGGGGGAGGACCAGTTGGGTGGTGGCATTGGTGGGAATCTAGAAATTTTTTTAGGATGTAATGAGTTTATAGTAAATCATGTATCCAGGTACAGACTGTAGTTGAATATATTAGCTTGGAGTTCAGATGACACTGAGCTGGAGATGAAATTCAGGAGTCGTAAAGCTATACATGGAAATTAATACCCAGCAACAAGATCCTCTGAGCATCAAATGCAGGTTCCATGACAGCAGGGACTGTGCCTGTCTTGTTCATTGCTCTCTGCCCGGCGGCACCTACAATCTAGCACGTGGTAGGCACTTGAGTCATTATTGAAGACCGAAGGGAGAACATAAAAGGAAGCCACAGACATGATCCCTTCCGCCAAGGAACTCATACTAGGTGAGGGCACCCAGAAACAAACACAGCCTTAAATCCATAAAACAGTCACATGGCCAATTTGCAATCAGGGACCATTTGTATGCATCAGGATTGACATTTTCCTTAGCCTCACAGAACCTGCTGTGGTGGGTGGTCCAAATTAATAGGCTAAGTACACTTGTGAGGAAAATGTTTACAAAGAGCTTGAGAACAACTCTTTTCAAGCCATTAGAAGTACCTATTACAGGCTCTATATCAGAAACATTTGATGGGCTTATGCACAATTAATTTGCTTTCCTGTAGCATATTAAGCATGACTTTGTCACAGCACTTCTCTGGTGGTATTGTAGCCCTTTGGTTTGGAGGCACCCTTACTCCTCCTCTCCCCACCCGCCCTGTACCCACTCATCCACCAAACTTGGAGCTTTGCAAGGGTAGGAGGCCTTATCTGATTTATCTTTATAACTCCAGGGGATGGCTGGGTGCCAGATATCTAGCAGATAATAGATAACACATGACCATAATAGATAATAGAAACTTGATGGGTTTATTGCATAAGTGAATTCCTAGCTATTTATTGAAACAGATTCTCAAAAATATCTCTTAGGTAATGCTTCTTGGAATTACTATATATGATCCAGTGGCAATAAAACTACATTTGTGGTTTTAAAACTCACTACATGGTAGCTGTGGAATATGGAGGAAGTCTCTTGACCTCTCTGGGCCTTCAAGGCATAGCCTAGAAATGTAGTCACATGGCCCACATGGTGGTTTCTTCTAGGCATAGCCTAGAAATGTCTGCAATGCTTGGTTTCCTGCTGTCTATAGCATGTACCCATTTGTACCTGTTCATTTGTGGGGGGCGTGGTGCTCCTGGCTGAACTGAAGCCAGTACAGGCCACAGAAGAAGTCATGACCTCTGTCTGGGGAAGGAAGAGTGTGTAGAGGAAGTTTTGGGTGCCAATGCCCAGGGCCAGAGAGGGAGAAATCTGTGGAGTGCCTTGTCCTGACGTAGACACATGGGCCAGGTCTGGGCTCTACTGAGAAAGGCATTGATATGATGAGCACATATTATTCTTATAATTAAAACAACAACAACAACAAAAAACCAAGTTATCCATGGATAGTCCATAAGCAAGCATGGTTGATTCTCCCTACAGAATATCTCTCGAGTCCACACACCCCTCGTCATTCCCCCTGCCTCCCTGCAGGACCGAGCCCCAGCCTCCTTCCTGGCCCACATGGGTGGTTCCTCCCCGCTCTCAGCTGCCCTTCATGCCTCACCCCACTGTGCACTCATTGCTTGGTAGCCATAAATTAAATCACATCCTTGCTCTGCTTAAAATACTTTGGGGATGACATCACACTCAAAATAAAACCCAGACTCCTCACCACAGTCTTGGATGACCGGGCCCAGACTCGCCTACAAACTTTACTTCCTACTTCCCTGTCCTTAACCTGTGTTCCAGCCACTCAACCTCTCTCAGTGCCTCAAGCCCAACCCTCAGGTCCTCCCCCTACTCTGTGCCCTCTGACCAGAGTGTTATGCCCGTTGCTTTTTGCATGAATGACTTTTAGGCTTCAGCATAAATGTTACCTCCTCACAGAGGTCCTCCCTGACCACCTTATCCCAGTGCCTGGTACATAGTGGATGCTCAATAAATAGTTGTTGCATGAACAAATTCTTCCCAACCCGCACGGACCCCAGTATGGCTCCCACATGGGGAGGATAGAATGGGAAGAGAGGCCACTTTGACATCTTGAGGCTTCATCTTGGAGAACACTAAACTATAGCATCGTATCCTAGACAGTAGTTTGAGCATCCACAAAAACTAGACGCAGCCCTGCGCAGACAACCACGATGGTGTGGTGCTGTCCAGCTAGCATGGACTTGTTTGAGGGTATGTGCAGGACAAGCCCTTCCCCACTCTTGGACCTCCAGAAATACTCAAAGGAAGGGATTTTGTAGGCATCTGAGGCCCTACCCAGCTGGCGGCAGCCCCAGGCCTGTGGGTTTTGTGTATTCACGTTAATGACAACTTGCTAATGGTTGCTCAGCTTCTGCTGTGGTTTGGGTATTTGTCCCCTTCAAATCTCATGTTGAAATTTGATCCCCAATGTTGGAGGTGGGGCTTAATGGGAGGTGTTTGGGTCATGGGGTGGATCCCTCATGAATAGATTAACGCCTTCTCTCCGGGGGTGAGTGAGTTCTTGTTCTATTAGTTCCCAAGAGAGCTGGTTGTTGAAAAAAGCCTGACACCTCCCCCATCTCTCTCTTGCTTCCCCTTTTGAGATGTGATCTCTGCACACACCAGCTCTCCTTCACCCTCTGCCATGAGTGGAAGCAGCCCAAGTCCCCCACCAGAGGCAGATGCCCAATTGTGAAGTTTCCAACCATCAGAATCATGAGCCAAATAAACCTTATTCTCTTTATAAGTTACCCAGTCCCAGATATTCCTTTATAGCAACACAAAATGGACTAAGACACCTTCATTATGGCCCTTTGCTCTCAGTAGTAAATCAAAGTCGAGTTTTGATTTAGTAAGCGTGTCTGTGTTCCTATCAGTCTTGCATCCTCACACGGGAAGTCAGGATCAGCACTCGCTTCTAAAGTTGGTTCTGATAGAGGCAGAAGGCCTTTACTGCAACAATATGACTTAATTCTGGAGAAAACACCTGAGGCAGAGGATTGCTTGAACTCGGGAGGCGGAGGTTGCAGCGAGCCAAGATCACACCACTGCACTCCAGCCTGGGCAACAGAGTGAAACTCCATCTCAAAAAAAAGAAAAAAAGAAAAAGAAAAGAAAACACATGAACAGAATCATCTCTCACAAGGGCTTCTGGAGACAGCGTGTGAAAAAAATCATCTCTCACAACTGCTTCTTTGCTCCTTACTTTTGCAGACATTCCATGGCCTGTGTAACATGGGCAAAAAGCATAAATGAAAATGGCTTCTGGCCTGTGCTGAGTCCTTTTCAAAGAGAAAAAGGAGGGGATAGTGCTTAGGAGCTGAGGGATGTCTGTTCGCCTATTTAACTCACAGACATCCTCCAGGGGAGCACCTGTCTGCTCTGGGTCCTTAGTCCCGGCTATGGAATTGGAGGAAACTAGCACATGCTGGCAAAAGAGCCCAGGGTCCAGCCAGGACCATCGTCCAAGCAAATGCAATCATGCAATCCTCATCCTTATCAAAAAACATTGGTATTTGGGTTGGGGAAGAGTCCAGGGAGAGACTGGGACTGGTGGCTTCCTGGCCAAAGATGGCCCATGGTGGTTTTCACGGCATGTGGGCTAGCAGCTACCCCTGTGTCTTCTCAGTTGTATTTGTGAGAATATATGAACTCATTACGTGATGGACCATGGGCAAGTTACCGGAACTCAATATCCTCCTCTATAAAGTAGGATGGCGATACCTGCCTCATGGGGCTGTTGTGAAGACAGAAGAGATTAGGTAGGTCAAGGGCTCAGCACAGGGCCTGGTACAGGCCAAGCTGCCTCTTCCCCCACCCCACACAGAGTTGACACAGAAATCTTCCTCCATCTTCATTGCACAAGACTTAAGAAATTTAGTTCATTTCAGATAAACCATCCTCTCTCAGGCCAGGAAAGCCATACCTTTCAACATCCAGACAGGTAACCCTTGGTCTCAGCCCTACCAAAAGAACCAGGACCTTGGCACATCATTTTCCAAAGGTGGCTAATCCAATTTAAGCATCTACAGAGAAGAACTAGCAACACCTCTCTATAAGGTCCTGTTTGTGGATTCTCAACAGTGATACCAATGAAGGCAGCTGTGATTTGTTGTACACTCTCGGTGGCCCGGGAAATTTTCACTTATTAGCAGATCTGGTCCTCACAAGAGCCTCAGAAGATAAGTCTTTATGATGATCCTCATTTTGTAAGTGAGGACACTGGATGCGGAGAGGTGAAGGGAAGTAGGAGGCAGAGCCAAGATTCGAGCCTAGGACGCCTGCCTCTCTCCTAAGTACCATATTACTGCCTCTTGCTTGCTGCATGGAGCTTTCCACGACCTGCTGTAAGATGTGACTTCTCTGTCTCCACCTAGGAGACTCAGGTCCCCATGGTGACAGTCACTATGGACTTGTGGACAGACCTATGGGCTGGGCTAATTGATCTGTGGTTCCCCTGGGCTCTCAGAGGAAATTGATTGCAATGATGTATTCCGAGTAAATTTGAAGGTGGTTTTTCTCCCTCAGACGTTTGTCGCTGTGACCTTGGATGCTGGGTGGAGTCCCCAGAGAATGGAGAAGCCTGATTTGATAGCCCTAGGAGCAAGCCAGGGCCTCTGAGGAGCTAGGTCGTTGCCATGGCATCCGCCTTAGCTCTTCCAAGGCTGGGCCCAGCCAGCATGGTCCCGATAAGCATCAAATCATGCCTGACTGGTGGCAACATTGCCAAGGGGATGCTGGCCCTGTGAGATGCTCTGGCCCTTTGAACGCTGGACAGGAGCCAGTGGGAAATGGGAACAGGGGGTCAGAAGGACAGCTCTCTTCTAGGGCGGCTGGTTCTCTGCTCCTGAATGAGTCCCTGCCTGTCAATGCCTCCCACCATGCCTAGCACAGTACCTGTCATGCAGTGCGTGCTCATGCTTTCACTCAAGCATTCAACCCATGTTTATTGAGCACGTCTATTTGCCAAGCCCTGCGGATACAATGAGATAAGAAACACACAGTGCTGACCCTCATGGAGCTTACATTTTAGTGGAGGAGGGAGCCATCAGTTAGTACAAAAACAACTGGGATGACAAATGCCATCAAGAGAGCTACAGGGTGCTTGCCTATCCTAGGGGAATTTGAGCTAATCAGGGAGGTCGGGACATCTACTTGAATTGAGATCTCAATGAGTGAGTGTTAACCAGAGGAGGAGGAGAAGGAAGAGCCTCCCAGGAAAGGGAACAGCCCGTGCAAAGGCCCTGTGCTGGGGGAACACACAGGCTGGAGCAGCGAAGAGCAAGGAGCAGCATGGGACAGGCTGACCACCAGACCCTGTGGGGTCTAACGAACATGGGCTTTTATCTCAAAGGAATTCAGAAGCCATCAGAGAACTGGTAAGCAGGGGAGATGTGATGAGATCTGCTTTAAAATGATCACTTGGCTGCAGAGTGAAACTTTGGAGGGAGGGATTGGAGTGGATATGGAGTGGTCAGAGGTTGGGGGAAAGTGCTCAATGGATATTTTCAAATGATTTTTAAAATCCATTCCCCAGTCTCCCTTCCTCACTGCCACTGCCTTGGCTCAGGCCCCCTCATCTCCTCCACACTAGACGCATGGCCTCTGTTATTTTCCATCTGTTAGCCGCCTCGCACGTGGCCAGCAGTTTCCCATTCAGAACTCCAGCTCTGATCATGTCCTCCACGATTACAAGCTGTTCTGTGTCTTCCTTCCCTCTGCCTGAAATGCAGAGCTCTGTCATTGCGGTTGCAACTTCCACACCTGCCTCTCCTTCCTTCCTTCCCTCTTCCCCTCCTCCCCTCAGCTTCTGGAACATTGGATTTACTTCCAGATACTGCTCTCTGCCAGGAATGCTCTGCCTTATCCTTTCAGAGCTGACTGGGAGCAGAGTTTTTCCTGATGGCTCTGCCCCTGGTTGACCATCTCTCTCCTGTACTTGGACTAACTCCCGATTTATATCTACCCTGCCTCTTTAGGGGAGGGAGAGAATTGATGGGAATATCTACCCAGTCCAGGTTCTTTTTTTTTTTTGTCTTTTTTTTGAGATGGGGTCTCGCTCTGTCGCCCAGGTTGGAGTGCAGTGGCGTGATCTCGGCTCACTGCAAGCTCCGCCTCCCAGGTTCACGCCATTCTCCTGCCTCAGCCTCCCTAGTAGCTGGGACTACAGGTGCCCGCCACCACATCTGGCTAATTTTTTTGTATTTTTAGTAGAGACGGGGTTTCACTGTGTTAGCCAGGATGGTCTCTATCTCCTGACCTCCTGATCTGCCCACCTCGGCCTCCCAAAGTGCTGGGATTACAGGCGTGAGCCACTGCGCCCGGCCCACGTTCTTAAAAATACATAAATTCATCTCATCCTAGTAACAATGATCATGTAAAGAAGATATTTTTATTTACATTTTTGTAATGAGGAAACTAAGGCTCAGAGAAGGGAAATAACTCATGCAGCAAGGTATGGAGCAGATGTGGGGTCTATCTACCCTAAAAACCCACATTCTTTAAACCATGGCAGCTGCCTCTTCCTGAGCTGAGTTAGGACAGGGGGTGTCATTGGGCCTCCTGTGGGGTTTGTTGTACCTGGGGAGGGAAGAAATCAGAAAACAATGTGACTAAATAAAGGCAAACTTCTCCCTCTCTCTGTAGCTGCCCTCTCTAGAGATTCCTCTGCCTTGGACAATTATATTAATAGTTTATGTGTTATAAATGTTTGTGTGTTATAAATAACATGAATATATTCTGACTATATCATGAGTATGCATAAACATCAGACTCTGTGAACTGCTTAGCTAGCATTATCTCAATAAAGACTTTACAAGAATCTCACAAGGGAGTTGTCATAATTATGCCCCTGCCATGGAGAGGAAATGGAGGCCCAAGCCCTCATCTACAATGCAAAAGGCTGCACTGAGACCCGAGCCCACCAACCCGCCTCTATGAAGTACGCCTTGTATGGGTACAAGAAATGACTTGCCCCGGGTCTTGAGGCCATTAGGGGCCCAACCACTTTTGTGGTCCTCACAGCTTTTCCCAGAGTTTCAGCCTCTGCTCCCTCGGCCCAGGGTCTTCCCATGCTTTTGGATTTCCCTATGGAAAGGAGGCAATTCTTACTTCAGTCATTGTACTTCACTCATCCACCCACCCATCCATCCATCCATTCACCCATCCACCCATGCACCCATCCACCTATCCATCCAATCCACCCATCCATCCATCCATTCACCCATCCATGCATCCATCCATTAATCTATCCATTTATCCATCCATCCACCCACACACCCATCCACCAATGCATTCACCCACCCACACACCCATTCATCTATCCATTTATCCATCCATCCATCCATCCATCCATCCATCCATACACCCATCCATACACCCAACCACCCATTGATCTATCCATCCATTCATCCATCCATCCATCCATCCATCCATCCATCCATCCACCCACACACCCATCCACCCATCCATTCACCCACCCATTCATCTATCCATTTATTCATCCATCCATCCACCCTTCCATACACCCACCCACCCATTGATCTATCCATCCATCCATCCATCCATCCATCCATCCATCCACCCACCCATTCATCCACCCATTTATCCATCCATCCATCCATCCATCCATCCATCCATCCATCCATCCACCCAATATTTATTAATACCTACTGTGTGACTTCCCCTACTATGTGCTGGGGCTACACAGAACAAAAAGGCAGAGCCCTCAAGGAGCCCACAATCTCTCCAAAGAGACAGCACTCACACTCCAAAGCTGCTGGAGCCAATGCAGGGACCAGTTAGAAAATCTGATTTCTGGAAGGGCCCAGTAACTCATTGAAGATTGGTGGCCTAAAGGTGTGATCGGAAAGTCCTTATTTTTCTCTACTGTCAGTAAGGGCTGGGGCAGATGTTGCAAATTGATAGGAAGGGAATGAGCTCAGCTGTTGCTTGTCCCTCGTGAACACCAACAATTAGAAAGCATCTTGCAGAATCTGGGCAAAGTCACCACGGTTGGATTTCCCCTGGGCCAGGCAGCTTGCTGAGGTTGTTCTAGAGGCAGATTGTCACAGCTCCTCTGTAGGCATCAGCTCAGGAGGCACTGCTCACTTCTCACTCTTCCTATTGACACGTTTGCCAGTGGAGTGGCTGCAAGGCAGGCTCTGCCTTCCTACAGAAGCTGCTGTAACAGCTGGCATTTACTCCATGCTTTCTGTGGGCCAGTTTTTTTATATGTGATGTCCTCACTCTTCACAATGATCCTGAGATGTGGACGCATTATCCCCACTTTACAGGTGAAAAACTGAGGCTCGTTGAGGGAGATCGGGCAGCCAGGCAGTGCAGCACAGGGTTGGAGCCTGCATCCATCCTACACAAACCTGTCTCGACTCTGTTACATACCATATTGTTTCACCACCAGGCAGCCCTGCCTGCAGGGTCAGTAGCAGATAAAATTGTGACATCTTCTAAGTTTCTGGTCCCTTTGATTCTGGGGATGAAGGAAGTCTAAGTGGCCCTGAGAAGCACAGAGAGAGGAAATGGGAGAACACTAGATACAGCTCTCAGTGCATGTGAGATAGTGTCTAAAAGTTTAGAATCAGGATCCTTTCACCTAAGATGCTGGTTGGATTTCCAGACTGATCCATAAAATCTTATTTGATCCCTAACTACTTGGAGAGATACCAGTAGTATTTTAACTACAACCAACTCTTGTTTATAATTCTGTTGCTATAAGAAATGTGTTCTGAGGTTTTACTCATCATACCAGCAACATTTCTTTCCTCTTCAATGCCCCTCACCCACAAGCTGCAACCTAAGACCTCCTCCCAAAAGGAAAGGGTGGGGCTTTACTCCTTTTTCCATAAGAGAGAGACCCATCCTAGACACCAGTTAATACTCCACGTCTGTCCAAGACAGGGTCTGACACACTTCAGGTTTGTGACAACTGTTGACAAAAACAGAGAGAAGATGGTAGTGAGGTAGGGTAAGAGAAAGAGAGGACAGAAAGGCAGCAGGAGGGAAAGTAAGAAATCAGGAAGGGAAAGAGAGAGATAGTCAGACAGGAAAACAATGGCTTTGTCTACTGCTCAAGTGTTTTGAGGGCCGAAGGGAGGATTACACAGATAAGCCAGCCAGAGTTGCCTGTGTTATACTTGGCCCCCACTGGCGTAATTTTGCTTTTGGCTGCAGCTGGCCTGTCTTAGAGATAAAGAGTTCTTCCGTGGCAAGGAAGGATTTTGAGGCTTCCACCCCGCAGGGGCACCCACCCCTGATATACCAGCACCAGCTCCATCAGCCCCTGGCTGCAGGGCAGCAAAGGCTGATGCTTGTGCCTCACAAATGGCTCCTTTCCATCCTGGGTGTCCATCTGCCCTTTGCTGATGGGAGAGACTTTGTCTGGCAGACAGGCATCGCTGGGTGTTGCCATGGTAATGGCTATGATGTCACTCAGGAGTAAATCAAATTGCAAATCTCACAGTTGAACAGCTTTGCTTTGGAAGGGTTGTGAGGAACGAGGAAAGGGTGGATGCCTCAAGGGAAGTTGCAGGGTGGATCCGTACCAAGTCCATCTCCAGCCTCTCCCGTTGCTTTGTCAACTAAGATGAAGCACATTTATTCATTCATTCATTCAAGTAATTTTTTGAGCACCTACTATGTGCCAAGCACCACGCTAGGTAAATCAGATGACGTCTCTGTGTGGTTGCACCATCTAGTGGGAGAGACAGGCATGTAAAAGAAATTACATCATAAACATGTGATTACCTTTGTGATTCATGCAGTCAAGAAGTGTATCAGAAGTATAAAAGTTTACTTGGGCTGCCATAATGGAATACCATAGATGCGGTAGCTGAAACAAAATAAATTTATTTTCTCACAATTCTGGAGGCTGGAAGTCCAAGATCAAGGTGTCAGCAGGATTGGTTTCTTCTGAGGCCTCTCTCCTTGGCTTGCACATGGCTCCCTCCTCCTTTTATCTTCACATGGTCTTCCCTCTGTGTGTGTATGTGTCCCAATCTCCTCTTCTTTTACAGACACCAGCCATATTGGATTAGGGCTTACCCTAATGACCTTATTTTAACTTAATCATCTCTTTAAGAACCTCTCTCCAAATATAGTCATATTCTGAGGTACTGAGGGTTAGGATTTCAACATATGAATTTGGGGGGACACAATTAAAACCCTAACAGGAAGTGAGGAGAATGTATAAGAGGAAGATACAAGGTATCAGGGTGGGAAAGGGGCAAGCAAGTCCTCCCCGAAGAAATGACAACTCAATAGAGACTTGAAGCACTAGAAGTTTTCCAGGAAGGGAGAGTGTATTAGTTCGTTCTCACACTGCTATTAGGACATACCTGAGACTGCGTAATTTACAAAGAAAAACAGATTTAATGGGCTCACAGTTCCACATGGCTGGGGAGGCCTCACAATCATGGTGGAAGGTGAAGGAAGAGCAAAGGCACATCTTACATGGTGGCAGGCAAGAGAGAGTGTGCAGGGGAACTGCCCTTTATGAAACCACCAGATCTTGTGAGACTTGTTCACTATCATGGGAACAGCCCAGGAAAAAGCTGCCTCCATGATTCAATTACTTCCCACGGGGTCCTCCCACAACACATGGGGATTATGGGAGCTACAATTCGAGATAACATTTGGGTGGGGACACAGCCAAACCATATCAGAGAGGAAAGATGGAGATGGACTTCTAGGGAGAGTACCTTTCCTAAGGTGGGTGAGTTCAAGGAATTAAAAGAGGACCAGTGTGGCTGGGGTAGAGTGAATAGTGGGTGAACGGTGTAAGCAGGAGGCAGGGGCCAGGCCATGCAGAACCTTGCAGGCAGCAGTAAGAATTTGGAATTTTTTCCATGAGCAATGGGAAGCCACCAAGAGGTTTTAAGCAGAAAAGCAACTTGATCCAATTTTTATCTTAAAAGGTGGCTCTTCTGGTGGTTTGGGGAGGGATGCCCATAATAGAGGCTATTATAGCAGCCCAGGTGTGGTAGACTGTATTATTTGTCTTTGTTTCTTCCTCCTTTCCTGCCTCTTGTCATGGCTTCCTTTCCATGGGAGGAATATATTTTTCTGCCCCCTAGTCTTTAGGCTTAGCTATGTGACTTGCTTTAACATTAGTTAAATGTTAGAATGTTAGTGGATGGAACACAGAAGAGACTTTAAAAGCATTTGCATGGTTTGGCTCGCTCTTTTATGCATCTGCCACCTGCCATGAGAAAGACATGCCTTGGGTAGCTGCTGGTTCACAGAGAATGAGGAGACCTACAGAGAAGATCAGAATCTGACCTGTAGCCCAGAGAACTTTCCGAAATGACCCACAAACCTATTGGCAAGAATAATAAATGTTTGTTGTGGCAGGTCAATGGGATTTGTGTGTTGTGGGGGGGAGGTATTTGTTATGCAACATTATCATAGCATTAGCTGACTGATATACTAGGCAAGAGATAAGATTGGCTTGAATTAAGGTGATGGCAACAGGGCTGGAGAGAAGTGGCCATGTTTAAGCTATATTTTACAGTTGCCAACATATAGGTGACATCTAAGTCCTGGGGTAGATATACCAGTACTAAAGTGTGGGATGAAGAAAGGGGCCAGGATTAATCCTTGAGAGATTCCACCCATTAAAAATTGGAGGTGCATTAGCCTGCTTGGGCTACCATAACAGGGTATCACAAAATCTGGGTGGCTTAAAACACAAATTTATTTTCTTACCACTCGCAGGACCGGAAGTCCAAGATCCAGGTGCTGGCAGAATTCATTTCTGATGAAGCCTCTCTTTCTAGCTTTCAGATGGCCACCTTCTCACTGTGTCCTCACATGGCCCTTCCACTGCGAACACATACTCCTGGTGTCTCTTCCTCTCTTTGTAAACACACCAGTACTATTGGATTAGGGCCCCACCCTTATGACCTCATTTAACTTTAACTCTTGTCCCCCACCCCCCGGGACAAGTTGTGCTGTGGTTACGGGGGGCAGAAGACGGCGGTCTCCATCTGCATTCTATCTCCAAATAACGTCACATTGGGAATTAGGTCTTCAACATATGAATTTTGGGGGGTGGTGGGGGGTGGGCAGGCAGTAATAATTCAGTCCATAACAGGTAGATTTCCTAAGTTTCAGGTACCAAATGCAAAACCAAAAGCTAAAAGACCACTTAAGACTTCAATGGGTAAGTCACACAGCATTGCATCCACTATATTTTATTTGTCAAAGCAACTCTTAGAGCTGGTCCAGATTCAAGAAGGTGGGGAGAATAGATTTCATCTCTTAGTGGGAGGAGTAGCAAAGCCACATTTGCAAAAGGGCACATGGGATGGGAAAGATTGTGTGCCCATCTTTGGAAGCAGGCATCACAGAGGCTTCGAGAATGAGTGAGTAGGAACCTGCAGAATTCTCCCTAGACCTCTGGTCACCACCAAGGGACTTGACAGTTATCTGGAGGCAGAACCACTTGTAGGCCAAGACCTCCTCAGGAGAACGTCTTCTCACCCTCCTTTAGTCTAGCTGGTTATCTGAGAACATCCACACTGAAACCTACATCATTTCACAGCTCTGATAAGGACCTCGAATTACCTTGACTGTGAAAATAATGGACCCCTTGGCGTCTTCTAAAGGTGATGTGGTGGTGATCTTGGATGTCAGTACCCATCCCTCCTCATTATGATAAGACAGCCCTGATGCTCCTGGTATGAGCACCCCCTTCTCTGCCATGAACGGGATTGGTGGGGCTGTCAATCGAGGTATCCTGTCCAATGCCCAGCTAAGAGGTGAACTCAGAACCCGAGATTGCTCTGGAGTTTAAATAAAGGGAGTCACACAGAAATAGTGACTGTGTGAACACAATTCACCCTCAGGGCCCTGGCAGATGCCCTTTTGCTACCGCTACCTGGATTTTTGGTTTCTTACTCTTTCTGAGATCTGGTTTGTATGTTTGTTTCAGTTTTCCTTTAATTTGAAAGCTTTCCCCCATCTTCCCAATGAATTTCTTATTTGCTTAAGTGGTTCAGTGTGGATTTCTGTTTCATGAAATCAACGATCTGTAACATTGATCTTGGCTGCAGAAATCTCGCGTGTCTTTGCTGGCCTTTGTAGCATGAAGGAGCTTAGACTCAGGGAAGACCTCTCTTCAAGCTGTCATTTGGGGAGGGAGAGTTAGAATGTGCCCGTTTTAGACAACTTGGAGGCATTGCATGGCTTCCTCCCTTGCAGAATCTTGATTGCTCTTTCCCAGTTGCCTCAAAGGCTGCAGGGGGAGGGTTCACAGACTGAATATGACAGTGCCAAAGGTTGCAAGAATGTAGGGACACGGATGAAGCTGGAATCCATAATTCTCAGCAAACTATCGCAAGGACAAAAAACCAAACACCACATGTTCTCACTTATAGGTGGGAATTGAACAATGAGAACACTTGGACACAGGAAGGGGAACATCACACACCGGGGCCTGTCGTGGGGTGGGGGGAGGGGGAGGGATAGCTTTAGGAGATATACCTAATGTAAATGACGAGTTCATGGGTGCAGCACACCAACATGGCACATGTATACATATGTAAGAAACCTGCACGTCGTGCACATGTGCCCTAGAGCTTAAAGTATAATTTAAAAAAACAAGAAAAAATTTTAAAAAAATAAATGCAATGATAGTTGGAAAAAAATAAAAAGAAAACAGGAGCTTCAACAAAGGGAAGGCTACTGGACAGCTCTTTGGATGGTAGCCTTGGCAGAGTGGCCCAGAAGCCACTGCCAGAGACTCAGGGAAGAGTTGGTGAGGGAGAAGCAGAGGTAACTGTATTTTTCAGGTCAGTAGGGAAAGTGGGGCACCAGTAATCAGGCAACCTGGGTTCCTCGACTCACTGGCTATGTGACCTTGGGTGGCAAGCCGCCCTGATGCTCAATTTCCTCTTTGTCAAATTGAGGGTAAGGATAACACTGCCGTGCAAAAGTCATTGTGGAGATTAGTTCAGTTTCTGTAGGCCAGAGTTTTCTGGAATTTGATACTCTTATTTCCGGTGCAACTTTAGATACTTTTAATTGGTACAAGAATAAACAAATTTTATTCTAATAGTTGCATGTTTATTTCTATGGATTTCAACATGAATGTTGAGCATACTATGGCTGCAATTTTGTGGCTATTTTTCAGGAAGAGGTCAGATTATAAGAGTTAGTCACTTTAACGAAAAATATTAAGTAAATAAAAGTATAGGAGGAAAAAGGATGCGGCGATCAAAGGAATGCAGCTATAAACAGGGTGCTTACAGAGGTGAGTATTGGGGAGACAAACGTGGCTGGAGAGAGTGGACAGGAACAGTGGAAAGCAAGGCCTGGCCGAATCAGGGGCCCCTGGGCTCAGAGTTGGAGATGTCTGGAATATTCTACCTCTGGCAATGGTGAGTAGGTGTCAGAGGCTCCCACTGAGCGGGGGCCTCTAGACTGGACTTCTGCCCACCTCCTAATATCGTAGGGTTGTGCCTGCTGTGCTTTGGGAAAAGGAACTCTTGTCCCCCACCCCCTGGGACAAGCTGTGCTGTGGTTACAGGGGGCAGAAGAGAGCAGCCTCCATCTGTGTTCTTTCTCTGAGACTCCTTCTCTTAAGTGGGGCAGTGGCAGGAATCTCGGGCTTCAGGATCAGGCAGGGCTGGGTTTTGATCCTGGCCCTGCTGTTCACTGGTTCTGAGGCCCTGGGAAAGTCACCTCACCGCTCTGAGTCTCGGTTGCTTTATCTGTAAAATGGGAGTGATAAGAGTTTTTGAAACATGTGTTCCCCACCTAATTCCCAAAAAGATTTGGAATGGCAGCTGATAGGGATTGTCATGGGCTGGTGAGCTCATGCAGCCTCCAAAGGAGGGGATGAGACACTCGCGACAGCACCTAGTGCAGGACTCAATAAATGTGCATTTTCCTTATGTTGCTAATACAAGGCCCACTGAAACCCCCAGGCCTCCGTTTGCCTGTCTGTGGGAGGAGTGGCCACGGGAAGGCTGAATTGGATGCTCACCAAGATTCCTCCCAGCTTGAGCCCACGTGCGGTGCCTCATGACTGTAATCCCAGCACTTTGGGAGGCCGAGGTGGGTGGATCACCTGAGGTCAGGAGTTCGAGACACAAACTGGCCAACATGGTGAAACCCCATCTCTACTAAAAAATACAAAAATTAGCAGGGCACAGTGGTGCATACATGTAGTCCCAGCTATTTGGGAGGCTGAGGCAGGAGAATTGCTTGAACTTGGGAGGTGGAGGTTGCAATGAGCCGAGATCGCACCACTGCACTCCAGCCTAGGTGACAAAGCAAGACTCCATCTCAAAAATTAAATAAAATAAAAACAGAAATTCCTCCCAGCTCAAACACACCCTCCTTCTAGATTGCTCCAGAAGGTTCCTCTGTGGTCCTCACCTGTGTGGCAGCCTTCTTCTCTATGCTAGTCTTTATTCTGCTCTGAAGAGAACTGGGCAGTAGGGGTTTTGAAGGTCTTCCCATTTCCCCTTTCTTCCCATCTGTCTCAGGGTAGCTGGTTTAGGATCAGAGAGACACAGATTGGAATCCCAACTCTGTCACTGACCAGCCTGGTGAGCTCACATAAGCTCTTCAATCTCTATATGCCTCTGTTTCCTCATCTACAAAATGAAAAGAAAAATAATGGCTTCTTAGGGACTTTGTAGTGAGGAAAAAATGAGACAAGGAACTTGCAAAGGTCCAAGAGGATCCCAGCACAGAGTGGGCAGCCCTGACATGCCTGTCCCTTCCCTTCCCGGCAGAAACTCAGTGTCTCATGTTCCAGAATCACATTCCACAACCTCTCTACACTCTCAGTGACAATTCCAGCATGTTCTCTCTCTCTCTCTTTCTGCTGTGGACACTGCAGGAGGTGAATGAAGATAGGAAACTCTTGTGTATGCGTGTCCAGGGCTCTTGGCTGGGAGTGGAACTGGGGCAAGGGGCAGCTGCCTGGGAGGAGGGCCTTGGCATTGGCCAGAGAATGCAATTAGCGCTGATGAGGCCCAGGGCTCCCTCTCCATATGGGCCTGTTAACTTGGCCACTGTCTTCTTCTCAATAAACACCAATAAACACTTTAGCAAGGCACCAGCCCGAGATGGGGTGGGTAGGAAAAACAGGAGAGAGTCATTAAGATGAACAACAGCTCTCCCCTGTTGAGGGCCTAGCGAGGTTATTCTGAAAGCTTTATTTGCATTCTTTTATTTAATCTTGATCTTTGCTCTTTAAGAATGTATATTAATACTAATAATAACTGCCATTATTTAGTAGTTACTTATCCTGCTGCAGGTGCTGTGTTAAGCACTGTACACACATTTTCTCGATTATTCCTCTAACAATTCTATGAGGCAGGTACTATCACCATCCCCACTTTACAGGTTAGAGTACTGAGGCTCAAATAAGTAACTTGTGCTAGACCAGTGCTTCTCACACTGTAGTGTGCCTATGAAATACCTGAAGACCTTGATAAACTCTAGATTGTTCAGCTTCAGTAGGGCTGTGGTGGGGCCTGAGATTCTGCATTTCTAATCAGGCGATATGGATGCTGCGGGTCATGAGCCACACTTGAGTAAGGAGGTCCTAGACCACATAGCTGGAAGGTGGCTGATCTGGGCTCTGCCCCTGGACACACCATCTCACAACTAAATCAAGTGTGGGGCTGACTTCAGAACAGCACTATAATGAGGGCACAAAGAGAATGTCAGAGAAGGCAAAGAACAGAGAGACTGTTTCTGACCAGATGGTTGAAGGAAGACTGCATGGAGGAGGTGGTGTTTGAGTAGGCCTTAAAGGATGGGTAGAATGTTGACAGAGATGGAAGGGAAAGGACATCTCAGGTCAAGGGAACCCATGAGCAAGAACAGAGAGAGGGAAGAGGGTGATGTGTTTGAGAGATACTATGGCTAAGCATGGGGTATGTTATGGGTTGGAACGTATCCCCAAATTCCTATGTCCAAGTCCTAATGCTCAGCACCTCAGAATGTGACCTTGTTTGGAAATAGGATCACTGCAGATGTATTTAGTTAAAATGAGGTCATGCTGGAGTAGGATGGGCCCCTAATCCAATATGGCAGGGGTCCTTATGAAAAGGAGAGATTTAGACACAAAGATGTATGCTCAGGAAGAATGCCATGTGCACATTGGCGTGATGCTGCCATGTGCTAAGGAGCTACCACGTGTTCCAGGGGGAGCGGCGTGGAACAGATCCTTCCCCGGTGCCTTCGGAGGGAGCATGGCCATGCCAACACCCTGATCTTGGACTTCCACCTCCAGAACTGTGAGACAATAAATGTCTGTTGTTTAAGCCACTCAGTTTGTGGTATTTTGTTACAGCAGTCCTAGCGGACTCATACGGGGTGTCTGTTTGGTGCCTATTGCATCTGTATCAGCAGGTGGCCTCAAGAGAGAAATGCTGTTTTGTGCCTTAGGAGCTGCACTTTTAGCCCCAAGAATATCTCCTGTCTCAAAGGGAAATAGGTCAGGGAGTGGCTAATGGGAGAAACTCGTTCCCTACTGCCTGGGACCTGGTTGAAAGCACAGGTACATGAGGGTGGCTTCCCATTTACAAAGAGCAACACACACACACAGCTAAGGCATAAATCAAAGCATTTCTAAGCACTAAAGTGGACGATTTAAGTTTTTCTTCTTCACTGAGAAGGTCATAGGAGGGGAAATGGGGCATGAACTACCGAGTACTGAGTCCTGCTATGTGTCAAGGACTGTGCTAGGCACTCTTGATGATTTAATTTCATCTCTACCGCACTCTTAGCAGGAAGATCTTGTTATTTTCATGTCACAGAGGATGGAATTGAGGGTCAGAGCATTTAGATCACTTGGCCAAGGACCCACAGATAGAAGTAGCACAGCAGATATTGGGCCCTGGTGGTGCACCTTCTCCTGTCCCCTTTCTCCCGTTACAGCAGGCATAGTGATGGGAAAATTGACCCAGAGCTGGGCCAGGAGTTGAGGAAGGAAATGAGTCTAAGATCAGGAGGTGGGTGGAGAGATCTGCCCACAGAATTTTTACCATATGAGAGAACAGCCCCCTTATTGTCCAAGCTACTTTTAGTTGGACCGTCTGTTATGTGCCACCAAAAGCATCCCAACAGAATCAGTGGCTTAAAATGAGCCAGGTCTTTAGGTATGTGATATATTGTAAGTGCTGATAAACAATAACCCTCTTTCCCCACCCACATTCTGAACCAACTGAGAAATAAGCACCAGAGAAAGGCAGATGGAGCCCCAAATATCACCTTCACTAAAGATAAAGCTGCTCTGGGAGAGATGGTGCTCTGTGGGGAAGTGGGTTGCCTTATGTTGTACTCAGAATAGGCAGACTCGCCCACCCGGGTGTAGGCAGCATTGGGCCGTGGCAGGGACTGGAAGAGCCAAACAGAACCTGGCTCCCCGTGGGCAGCTCATACCCAAGAGACAGTGGGGAGGAAGGGCCTGGGCTACTGCCACTCAGTTCCTTAGCCCAGACTCACCAATGAGATAGGTCACTCAGAGGGGAGGGCACGTGGGGGGTGAGACAGTCAGCAGAGTCATGATAGCTCGGCTCCTGGAGGACTCATCAAGAGTGAGGAAGAGGCTGGGCACGGTGGTTCACACCTGTAATCCCAGCACTTTGGAAGGCTGAGGCAGGCAGATCACTTGAGGCCAGGAGTTCAAGACCAGCCTGGTCAACATGGTGAAACCTCATCTCTGTGAAAAATACAAAACTTAGCGGGGCATGGTAGTGCGTGCCTGTAATCTCAGCTACTCAGGAGGCTGAGACAGGAGAATTGCTTGAACCCAGGAGGCGGAGGGTGCAGTGAGCTGAGATCGCACCACTGCACTCTAGCCTGGGCAACAAAGTGAGACTCCATCTCAAAAAAAAAAAAGGAAAGAGAACAAAAAAAAAGAATGGGGAAGAAATTTTCTTCCAGAAGGGTAAAACTGGAAGGAAGGAAAGAATGAAGGAAGGAAGGAAGGAAGGAAGGAAGGAAGGAAGGAAGGAAGGAAAGAAACGAAAGGAAGGGAAGGAAGAAATAAGGAGGTAAGGAAGGAAATAAGGAAGGAAGGGATAGAGAAATTGTATAGTATAAACTTTTTTCGTTTTTAAAAAAGGGAAAAGCTGCAAGTGTGTATATGTTTGTGTGAATACAGATAGGCATGGAACAGCAAGATTGCCCCAGCGGGAGGGTGGAGAAGGGAAGGAAAGATGATAGGTGGTCTCTAACGGGGTGCGGGGGCAATGCTGTGCAGGGCTCTTGACCACTAGGAGCTGCCAGTCCTGTGGGAAAGCTCAGACAACCTTTAGGACCTCGCCTGGAAGGTGAGATAGGATTATGGGCTCGGGTTGGAACTGGATGGTGCAGATGTTTGGTGGGAGACTGAAGAAGTCCGAGCAGGCTTCACAGAGGAGATGGACACTGACTGGGAGGCTGAGAGTGTAGACCAGGAGTTCTCAAAGTGTGGTCCCCAGACCAGCTCCATCCATGTCACCTGGAAATCTGTTAGAAATACAGACACTTGGGCCCACAGATCTGCTGAATAAGAAACATGGACAATGTTTTAACAAGCCCCCGAGGTGACTCTGATGCTTGCTAGAATTTGAGAACCACCCACGTAGAAGATGCAGCTTTAGAATCAGACCCACATGGGTTTAAATCCTAGCTCTGGTTCTAACAACTCTGTGGCCTTGAGCAACGCAAACAACTTCCATGAGCCTCAGGTTCCTCACTGGGAAAATAGGAATGATTGTCCTACTTTGTACAACAATTATTACTAGGTATGTGTCAAGCACTGTCCTTCATACTGAGGTCCAGAGTTAAAAAGTCATGACCTCTGACCTCAAGGAACTAACAGTCAGTGGGGTGTAATGAGAGCTGACATTTATGGAGCACCTGCTATGTGCCAGACATTATGCTGAGTGCTTTACGCGCATGGTCTCATGGAGTTTTCACAATGCCCCTATGAGGTTAGGACAATTACTATCCCCATTTTCAGATGAGGCTGAGTGACTCGCCGAAATGCACAGAGCCTCTGAGTGTGGACAGCTGAGAGCCAGACACAGGCTGTCCAACTCCAGAGCCCAAGAGAAAGAAACCTCTATGTTGCTGAGCAAGTGGGAAGTATGCCCAGCACACAGGCTCCCTTCCTGGAGAGGAGAGACTAGAGTTGTGAGAGGAGTTCCAGGTAGTGAGGGTGTGAACCTGCCTTGCTATCGGGATGCTCTCCTTGGCTGCTTAGATGTGGGTGTACCTTTTTCCACAGTTTCACACCTATTTCCTAGGGTCTACCTTTTCAAAGCTTTAAAGCATTTGGCCCAAGGCCACGGCCAGAATTCTAGAACAAGGAACAGGTATACTACATTCTCCAGAAAAATTAAAATGTTTAAGAAAGAACTGAGTGTGGAGGGCATGTAAGAATGCAACTGCAACATTCCAGGGCCAATGGCATGAAAAGCATCATCACACCAAAGCATTGTCACACCAAAGCATCGTCACACCAAAGCATCGTCACAACAAAGCATCGCCGTCATGTCGAATTATTGGTTGTGCTTAACTTTGGTTAATCACTGTTTGCTCCTCCCTACCTTTACTGCCCCGTGCTAGATTCATCATCTGCTGTTCTCGGATTTGCTCTGTGTCCCCAGAGGCCGGCCACTGCAAACCCCATCTTCATCTGTCCTTGGCTTTGGCTTCCAGTAGGAGGTACCAAGAGGAGACTGCAAGGAAGGAAGAAAGAGAGATTGGGGCCTTTATCCTCCCCACTCCTACGTGTCTGGCTACGGTGGGTCTTTCAGTGGCCAGAGCCCCTGTGGAGTTCCCTCTTCTGTGGCTCCAGCTCTCACCAGCAGCTAGTCCCTCCCCTTGTGCCTTAAGGTCTTGTCCTTTAATGGTAACAGTTCTCTGCTATTGCCAGAAAGCTATTCACTATCCCTTATGGCTTCCCTTAACCCTGCCCACACCTCAAAAATAGTCTCTTTATTATGCTGTCTTCCTGGTAAACCTTTTGGGCACTCCATCTGTTTCTCAGTGGGATCCTTGCTGATGCAGACACCAAGGCATATAGTTAACAACAACAAAGGCTAGCATTTATGGGGTGCTCACCATATGCATGGCCTTGTTCTAAGTGCTGTACGTGTTTTAACTCATTTAATCCTCCCTCTGGAGTAGGTGCCTTCGGGCATTATTCCCGAATGGATGCTAGTTACCCTTGGCCAATGAACTTCAGGCATCGTTCCAGATGAAGGAAATAAGATGGTAAATCAAACGGAAGCTCCTATAATATCTGACTTTTATTACTGTGCCTAGGAGAGTGATGTTGCAGAGTCCAGATGCCTTTCTCAGTGACAGCCTCTAGTCTGGTTTACTTTTGCATGGCCCCCTGAACAAGCTCTTTGAGTGCTGGAAGCATTTCCCATGCGGCTGGGTTCCTCCCAGGACCCCGTGCAGGGCTGTGGAACCAGCAGCAGAAGCTCCAGGAGCTCCTGTGGACTGGTCAATTGGCTGATATGTGTGGCTGAATGAGGAGATGCTTTTAGAGTAGCTGCTGCCAGGGGAAAATTCCAAGTGCAAAATATTATTATTAATTATCACAATTGCTCTTTCAGCTGCAGGCACTGTGTCTGCTTAGAAGGAAGAGATAAGGCATCCCTGCCAAAGTAAAAAAGACTGATTAATGCTGACGGATTTTGTCCTCTGAGAGGAGGCTGCAGAGTATTATTATTATTTTTTTAATGACTTTGAGACTGAAGTTTTTTTTTTTTTTTTTTTTTTTTTTTTTTTTTTTGTTTAAAAACCTAGACTTGAGACCTGGCTTGGTGCAAGGCTGTGTGTCCTTGAGTGAATTACTTAACCTCTCTGTAACTCAGAGTCTTCATTGCTTAAATGAGAAAAAGTTAGAACTAGGTAATGTCTAAGACTCCTTCTAGTAGCTCCCCAAAGACGCTGGGCAGTGCAACACTAAGGCCCCACTAAGGAGAGTGGGTTTACCCATTCTCTCTCCTACTAATGGGGCACTCCCAAAAGCTAGTGCACACCTGTCCCCTGGGTTCTTCACTATGTGAGAGTAGAACTTGTCCTACTTCTACTGCTGTGACTGAGGCGAAGGTCATGGCCACGGTGGGGAGAAGGACAGAGTTCAGGGCCTAACACAGAGTTTCTTCTTCTTCCCCACCCCCAACCTCCATCTCTTCTCCTTCCTCCTTCTTCTCCATAATCACAATAACAGCTATAACAAGAGCAGCAACAGCGACCTCCAACTGCCCTGCTGGAGCCCTTCCATGCTGCCCAGTCCCTCTTATCAGCACTCTATAGAAATCCATCCTTTTAATCCTATGATACCTCGATGAGGGATGTATCATTCTTACTCTTTCTTTGCTGATGAGGAAGTGGAGGGATGGAGTTTTAAAGTCATTTCTCTGAGTTCACACAGCCAGGAAGCAGCATCTATTCTTACAGCTGGAAAGACCTTCAGAGCCACCAGTTCTCAACGCTGGCTGCACATGGAACCATCTAGGGAGTCACAGCGCTGATGCTCAGCTTCCACCCTAGAGGTTCTGATTTAGTTGGTTTGGGGGGCAGCAGCTTGGTATCTGTGGGGGGCGTTAATTTCCCCCAGATGATTCTAATGTGCAGCAAAGCTTAAGAACCACTAATTTAGTCCAATTACCTATTTTACAGGTAAGGGAATTGGGGGTCAAAGAAGGGAAGTGGATTTCCCTCGAGCGTGGGCCCGCCCTGCGGCCCTCCTGGTGGGAGCACTGGGGAAGAGACACTCTGAGTTCAAGGAGCTCATTTTGCTCTATGCAGCCCCCTCAGAGCCCAGTATCTTTGGATCTCCCCAGGATATCCCACGGGTGATCCCCACTGTCTCCCTACCCTAGCCATCCCTTTGACTAGGTTGACTCCAGTGAAATCTTGGGGTAATTGAGGGACCCCAGGAAGGGGCCAAGGCAGAGGAAATGGAGACTTTCCTGGGGTCGGCCCTGGGGACTTAATTATCTTTTACTGTTGCCTGAAGCCTTTGTTCTCATCCTCCCCAGCATATGATCTTCTGAGCCCATCTACACAGGTTTGAACTGGCAGAGATTAATAGTGTCTGACCCACCCTGAGCACTGGTGTTGAGGACACCAACCCCAGGCCGGAGAAGCCAGGAACTTGGTCTGAAACAAAAAACGTAAGAGTGACTGACAGTCTAAGAAGTGCTTCCTGTGGGCCAGGCACCATGAACATTGTTTCATTTAAGCTTCACAAATACGAGAGGGAAATATGAGAAATTTGGTGTTTCAATTGTGGAAATAGAAGCCTAGAGAGGTTACATGATTGCCCGGAGTATATCAAATAGTAAGTGACAGATAGAGGTTTGAATCCAGGTCACTTGCTGATGTCAATCTAAGTGAAACCTCCTCCAGGAAGCCTTCTCTGAACACCAGAAGAGTCCTTTTGTATACTCTGGCATTCTCTATGTGTTACTTATCTCCCTTTATAATCAGTCACTCATCAGTGTAGCTCTGCTCTTCCACTAGACTAAGTTCCTTAAGGAGGACTGTTTTTGCCCACACATCTCCATCCCATCAATATGTATCCGCTGAAAGAAAGAAAAGGCAAATGGTCCAACCAATTCCAAAGTCAATGCTTCTACCCACGCCACAGTTTCACAGATTTCCCCAAAATGTATATCAACTAGTTAGAAATGGTCTCCAAAATTAGCCTCTTCTAAGAAAGAAGGGTTCCCAGAAGGAGAAAGCCCTGGAGTCCTTGCTGCATTGAGGATAGAGAGATACTGGACGTGGTGGCTTACGCCTGTAATCACAGCACTTTGGGAGGCTGAGGTGGGCGGATCACCTGAGGTCAGCAGTTCGAGACCAGCCTGGCCAACGTGATGAAACCCCATCTCCACTAAAAATACAAAAATTAGTCAGATGTGGTGGCACATGCCTGTAGTCCCAGCTACTTGGGAGGCTGAGGCAAGAGAATCACTTGAACCCAGGAGGTGGAGGTTGCAGTGAGCCAAGACCGCACCATTGCACTCCAGCCTGGGCAACATGAGCGGAACTCTGTCTTGGGAAAAAAAAAGAGAGAGAGAATACCTGAGAATTTTTAACCCAAGGAGTCTATCAAAGTTGCAGATCCCTTATGGCTCTTTATTGCATCACTGGAGGCTGAGTGGCCTAAGCTGCACAGAGGGAGAGCTGACCATTCAACTGGGTCATCAAAATTCCCTAAGCATAGGTTATGTGCCAAGTTGTAGCATTTAGCTACACAAAGCAGAAGCCCAGCCAGTGGATTAACCAAACTGGGAATTGGTTTTTGCATCTAATGACCATTGAGACGAAGGAAGTCCTAGGCTGCTGCAGCTGCTCAAGGAGATCCTGAGGACTCAGGATCCCTTCAGGCACCTGCGCAGCTATCCCCAGTGTGTCTTGCATCCTCATGGTCTCAAGATGACTGTTCCACCTCTATGTGTGGAGTCTAAGCTTCTAGGTGGGAAGATGGGGTAAAGGTGGTTAGAAATGAAGGCCAAAGGTAAAGAGCCCCCTGGGGCTGACCTTTTATCAGGAAAACAACAGCTTTGCTAGAAGCACACCCTATAGAGTTCAACTTGCATCTCACTGGTCCAAACTGGGTCGTATGGCATCGGAGCTTCAAGGGAGCCTGGGACACGAATATCTTTAATAAAGCATGTTGCCCATCTGGGATTCTATTGGAAAGGAAGATGGGAAGGATGGATATTGGGCAGGTCACTGGCAATACCTGTCATCTAGGCTCTGTGCTAGGTGAGCAGAATATACAGATGACTAATATATATGCACCCCGCTTCCACCATGGAGCATAATGCCTTGTAGAGGAGCCAGTCATGGGACCAACCTTTTACAGTACAACATAGATAACATTAGAAGAGTGACAGAGCACAGAAAAGTGAGTAGGTGAAATTAAGTAGATTACCTGGGGGAGCTGGAATAGCTATCACAAAGAAGATGACGTTTGCGATGGATGACAATGGGACAGGAATGTTCAGGGAAACAGAGCAAGGGCTTGGCCTTTGGAAAGCTGGTCCCCAAACACCCTGTTGGCCCCAGCTCCTGGAATTACCCCACTCTGAATGCTTTGCATCCACCTATAACTAGCTCTATTTTTCCTTCTTTGGGATGGATCTTGGAAAATGAGTAGGAGTTCTCCAGACAACAGTGAGAACTTTCAAACTCCGATTACCATGTAATCTTTCAGCCTCAGTTTTTGGGATTAAGACATTCTGCATGCTTTAGAGCTCCAGACAATTTACCATTCCACATATTCCATACTCTGTTATATCTCCGTGCCCTTCTACAAAATGGCTTTTTTACTGCCTGCAATGCCCCTCCCCTTTCATTCTCTAGGATATGGCTCTCCTGTGGTGGTGACTCATCCTCGGCCAGCTGTTTAGAGGGCGAGAAAGGACTTCATCTGAGTGAAATGTACGCAGGAAGATGGAGAGCAGTCACACAGCCCCGCTGCAGAACTTGGCTTTGCTGGTCTTAGAAACGAGGGAGGAGGAGAAATGACAACCAATCATCTGAGAGAACACTGAGGCATCAGCTGGTGCCCACAACAACCCTGTGTGGTAGATATTTTTATATCCTTTTGAGAGCCTGGGAAACCGGAACTCTGCGAGGTGAAGCAATTTGCCACCCTCCCACCCCACTGCAGAGCAATAAGTGACATATTTAGATTTGAGTCTTGCCCATCCAGTGCTGAAGTCCATGGTCCTTTCATCAAACCACAAAATCTTCTTGGTGGCTTTCCTGGTCCTGGGTTCTGCCTTCTTTCTGGAGGTCAGCCCTTCCATCTGGAGGTTTTACTTCTGGCTCTGCAAGATGAAGAGCTTCTACCTTGAGTTTCCCTCCTACCCTGCACCCTTGTTGTGAGCTACAGCGGTGGTTCTCAACCAAAAAAGAGCGTATAGACATCTTTGATTGTCACAAACTGGCAGGTAGATGCTACTGATATCTAAGAAAGGAGAGGCCAGGGATGCTTCTCCACACCTTGCAGTGCACGGGACCACCTCAACCCTGCCCAATAAAAATTATCCCCCCATAAAAATTATCCAATAAAAATTACCCCCATAAAAATTATCCAATAAAAATTATCCCCCATAAAAATTATCCAATAAAAATTACCCCCCATAAAAATTATCCAATAAAAATTATCCCCCATAAAAATTATCCAATAAAAATTACCCCCCATAAAAATTATCCAATAAAAATTACCCCCATAAAAATTATCCAATAAAAATTATCCCCATAAAAATTATCCAATAAAAATTACCCCCCATAAAAATTATCCAATAAAAATTATCCCCCATAAAAATTATCCAATAAAAATTACCCCCCATAAAAATTATCCAATAAAAATTACCCCCATAAAAATTATCCAATAAAAATTATCCCCCCATAAAAATTATCCAATAAAAATTATCCCCCATAAAAATTATCCCTCCAATAATTATTTTATTATCCCAGTAAAAATTAACTCGGCCTGTAATTCCAGCACTTTGGGAAGCTGAGGCGGCCGGATCACCTAAGGTCAGGAGTCCGAGATCAGCCTGGCCAACATGGTGAAACCCCATCTCTACTGAAAATACAAAAATGAGCTGGGTGTGGTGTCACACGCCTGTAATCCCAGCTACTCGGGAGGCTGAGGCAGGAGAATTGCTTGAACCTGGGAGGTGGAGGTTGCAGTGAGCTGAGTTGCACACCAGCCTGGGCGACAGAGCAAGACTCCGTCAACAATAAATATATAAATAAATAAATAAAAGAAAAAAATTAGCCCAAAATATCAGTAGTGCTGGGGCTGAGAAACCCAAGTTAATCTCCTGTATTCTTCCCGAACACCAAGAGAGCAGGTTCTTTCTGGAAGGTTTCCTGAGCACTTTTTGCCATATTCTCACCTCCCTTTGCTGACTCAGTGCAAGGCAGCAAGCTGGTTGGGTTTTCTGCTCACGTGGGTTCTCCCTTCTTCACCCACGTCCTGTATTCTTGTTCATCGTAATTCCATTCTCTGTAGTTCCAATTCTTATGAAGAACTTGGGCTCTAAAGCCAGGTTATCTGGGGTTTGAATTGAGAGCCTAGGCCTTACCTGGGCCAAGTCCTTGAACTCCTCTAAGACTCAAGGTCCTCATCTTTAAAATGGAGATAAAATAGCATAAACTTCTTTAGGGTGGTTTTGAGGCTTTCATGGGATAACTTATGTAAATCGGAGTACCTAGGCAGATGGTAACTACTCAAAATGTATCTGGCATTATTATTATTCTGAGAGTCTAACCTTATTTGTTAGCTTTTTTTTTTTGAGCCATTTCATTTCCTTGAAAGGCATCTGGGATGGGGCAAGAGGAAGACACTGGAGTGAGGTACCCCAGAGCACCAATCCCAGCTCTGCTAACTTGCTGGCTGTGCCTGAGTCCTCATCTGTGAAGCTGGCGTAATATCTCTTCATAATTCTTTTTTTTTGAGGCAGGGGTCTCGCAGTGTTGCCCAGGCTGGTCTCAAACTCCTGGGCTCAAGGAATCCTTCCACCTCAGCTTCACAAGTAGCTGGGGCTACAACCCCACACCATTAAGCCTGGGCTAACTTCATAATTCTTGCCAGGATTAAGCTAGTTAACTGTCTGACACTTAATAGGTGTTCAGCAAATGTTAGCCACCCACTCTTTCTATTTCTGAGTCTTCCTGGGCATTGATAAATGGAGCTTCTGACGCATCTTATTTACATCAAACTTGTAGATTATTCTTGCCTGAGAATAATTAGGGAAGGCAATCTCTCTAGCCCGGGTGAGGCAGGACTGAGATTGTGCTATCCTTCTCCAACATGGTATCAATAAAGCTTTGGTAAAACTCAATAAATAGACTCATTTGGCCATCTGCAGTGGAATTCAATACCGAGAGCATTGTTTAGAAATGGCACTCCTAGCCTGCAGGAGGTGAAGATGAAAGTGCATTTGCTTCATTTCTCTGTAGGAGTTAGCAAGTGGAAGAGACGTGCTTTGACAATAGTTGGGGAAAGAGGGTGTTATACTGAAATCTTCCACATAGCCCTCCAGACCCACTCTCCACCCCTCTTTACTCTGCTTCTGCCACAGAAGTCTGGACCATGTGGACCACGTCAGTGAGTTCTGCCATTTGTGAGCCTTGCCTGGCGTGGGAGGGAAGAGTCAGGTGCGGGTATTTATTTCCCTGCCCCCGCTCCCCGCAGCATCACTGCAAGCTGGCTGATCTCCAAAGACCACAGCTTTTATCCAGGCAACTCTCTCTCCACAAAATGTTCTTTCTCTTCGGCTTCCTGCTAACTGTCCCCTTCCTTCTCTTTGGCAGCCCAGGGTGGTACTGGTTCCCCATGTTGCTCGCCCCCACAGTGTTGCGCCCTCCCTATGTTGCCCCATACCCTGCCCACATCTTCCAGGTAGTCCTTTTATTAAACTCAACTCAAATTACACAAATGGAGAGTGGCATCTATTTCTTGCTAGCGTGTTCATGGATAAGGTAATGAACATTCCACTGAGTATTTTCTTGCAAGTTCCTGGTCCACTTTGTGATGATGTGTATGAGTTTGCTGGAGCTGCTGTAACAAAGTCCCACAGACTGGGTGGCTGAAGCCACAGAAATGGATTTTCTCACAGTTCTTGGAGGCTAGAAGTCCAAGGTCAATGTGTTAGCAGAGTGGGTTCCTCCTGAGCACTGTGAGAGAAGGATCTATTTCAGGCCTCTCTCTTGGCTTGTAGGTGGCCATCTTTTTTCTGTGTCATCAAACTGTCTTCCCTCTGTACTTGTCTATGTCCAAATTTCCTCTTCTTTTAAGGATACTTGTCATATCGGATTAGGGCCCATCCTAATGACCTCATTTTAGTTGAATTATCTCCTTAAAGACCTTATCTCTAGATACAGCTATATGATGAGGTACTGGAGGCTGGGACTTCAAGATATGAATTGGGCGGGGGGGGGGGGATGGGCACGATTCAGCCCTTAACATGGCGGTTGAGAAATGGGAATGTGATTATTGGGCAGGAACAAAACATGTTGAAGGCCTGAAGATACAGTAACATTCAAGAGCGAAGAGGTCCCTGCTTTCAAGGGGCTTATGTTCTAGTGGGAACGGGTGAAGCAGGAGCAAGAGCTCCACAAACAAACAAATCCGTATACACTGCAGCATTCTAACAATGACAAGCCCTGGAAGGATAAACCTGGTGTACAATAGAGGGACTGCACTGAGTTGACTTTAGCTAGAGAGATGGAGGTGGCCTCTCTAAGGAGATCTGAAAGCTGATACTCAGAGGAGAGACAGGAATCACCATCTGAATACCCCATTTGGGTGGAACATTCCTGGCAGAGGCAGTGTGGTCAAAAATAAGGAATGAGTTTTTCATAATCGCCATTTTGACTGGCATGAGATGGTATCTTATTGTAGTTTTGATTTCCATTTCTCTAATGATCAGTGATGTTGAGCTTTTTTCATATGTTTGTTGGCCACATGAATGGCTTCTTTTGGGAAGTGTCCGTTCATGTCCTTTGCCCACTTTTTAATGGGGTTGTTTGTTTCTTGTAAATTTGTTTAAGCTCCTCGTAGATTCTGGATATTAGACCTCTGACAGATAGGAATGCTTTTACACTGTTGGTGGGAATGTAAATTAGTTCAACCACTGTGGAAGACAGTGTGGCAATTCCTCAAAGATCTAGAACCAGAAATACCATTTGACCCAGCAATCCCATTACTGGGTATATACCCCTCAAAATGTAAATCATTCTATTACAAATAAACATGCACGTGTATGTTTATCGCAGCACTATTCACAACAGCAAAGACAAAGAATCAACCCAAATGCCCATCAATGATAGTCTGGATAAAGAAAATGTGGTACATATACTCCATGGAATATTATTCAGCCATAAGAATGAACAACATCATGTTCTTTGCAGGGACAAGGATGAAGCCAGAAGCCGTTATCCTCAGCAAACGAATGCAGGAACAGACAACCAAACATTGCATGTTCTCACTTATAAGTGGGAGCTGAACAATGCGAACACATGGACACAGGGAGGGGAACAACACACACTGGGGCCTCTTGAGGGGTGGAGTGGGAGGAGGGGGAGCATTATGAAAAATAGCTAATGCAGGCTTAATATCTAGGTGATGAGTTGATAGGTGCAGCAAACCACCATGGCACATGTTTACCTAGGTAACAAACCTGCACATCCAGCACATGTACCCTGGAACTTAAAATAAAAATAAAACTTTTTTTAAAAAAGGAATGAGGCCTTTCCATCCAGAGAGCAACTTCTGCTGTTGCAGAAAGAGAGAGAATTCGAGGATCATATTGGTTTTGCTGGAGAGAAACTTTAAAAACCAGATCAAACAAGCCTCGCTAGGGTATATGAACATCCCAGGACACTGTGGCACATGACAGTCGGCTCTGAACTTGGACTTTGCCTTTATCCCGTCTTCCATGGGCCTGGCCAGGGAGGCACCCAGAAGAATCTAGGGCAGAGGCTGAGAAACAAAGTTTGGCTCAGCTCCATCCTGTTTTAACCGTCAGGCAGTTCAGGGCGCAGCCGTGCAGACTCTGTGTACAGAGATGACTGGGTGATCCCACCAAACCAATCACAGCTTCCCCTGGGGTTTGCTACGTGGCATGAAGGATTACTGTGCTGGAGCTGGGTTCATATTAAAGTATTAATCTACATTTAAAATGTTTCTCCTGTGTCCATGGGGATCTCAACTCCATATGTTTGCAGGAGCCCTGGGGCCAGCAGTGTGTTTGATTTTGAGTGTTTTAAAATGAAGGCTAAAGGTGGCTCATAATAAAGCAGCGTGAGGAACAGCACAGAGGTCAAGACTCCCCTTGAGTAAATATTGACTGACAAGAGGCTTTCCTTCCCACAAACAGCTCTGAAGCTATTAGCTTATAGCAGACCCTAGAGACCATCTCCTTCTACTGGTTCAGCACCCCCAGGTTTAGACTCTTCCCTCCCCTCTTCCCTTCCTTTCTCCCTTCTTCCCTTTCTCCCAAAAATGCATTGAGCTGACAACCTGTGTTAGTTTCCTACAATTTCTGTAACAAATGACCTCAAATTCGGTGACTGAAAACAATGCACATTTATTATCTTCTATTTATTATCAGTTCTGGAGCTCACAAGTGTAAAATGGGTCTCACTAAGGCTACAATCACGGCGTCCATCGGCAAAGCTGCACTTCCTCTGCAGGCTCTAGGGAAGAAGCCATCTCTGCCTTTTTCAGCTTCTAGAGGCTGCTGATTCCTTAGCTCATGGTCCCTTCTTCCATCTTCAAAGCCACAGTGGCCAGTCAAATCTTTCTCATGTCCCCTCACTCTGACATGGATGCTCCTGCCTCCGTCTTTCATGTACAAGGACCCCTGTGGTTACATAAGGACCCACCGTGGTAATCCAGAGTCACCTCCCTATCCCAAGATCCTCAATTTAATCACATCTGCAAAGTCCCTTGTGCCATGTAAGATGATTTATGCACAGGTTCTGGCATTTGTACAGGGACTTTTTTGGGGGCTGTTACTCTGCCTACCACACCACCCCTCACACAGTTTAATTTTCCCAATCTATATGTTTTCAAAGCACCTATACTCCTTACTCACAGTGGCCATCAACATTGTAGTTCACTGCTTAGTTGTAAAAATTATTGATTTAATGTCTGTTCCCTTTCTGGACAGAAAGCACCCCCTAACCAGGGAGGTGATTATAGATGTGTTGACTATCCCTATTATTTTCTCAGAGGTTCCTAGCAGCCTAGGCAAGAAAGGAAACATGTTGACAAGGAAGGAAGAAGAGAAAAGAAAATAGCTGACACTTAATGACCACTCACCCTGTGCCAGCAATGTTCCGAGTGCTTTTAACCTATTTAACCAATATGTTGTGAAGAAAAGGCTGTCATCTAACACAAGCAAGTGGCACAGCTGACATTTGAAATTTCTCATCTTAACCACTTCATCATAGAAATGAATACTCTTAAACAGTACTTCATGTGCTATAATAGAAGTCTGAGAGGTGGAAATGAAGGAGGGGAAGACCAATTTTCTAGAGATGTCAGGCAAAACTTTCCAGAGGATATAATGAATAAGTAGAGCCTTAGAAGCCAGTGGTGAGGGTGGGGAAAGTGGAGCAGGGTGTTCTACGCAGAGGAGGCTGTGTGAACAAAGGCCCAGGCAGGAAATGGCTTGGCGTTTTCTAGAAATTGAAAGTAGTATAGTATTGCTGGCACTTACATGGTGAAAGGCAGGGCACAGAAAAAGAGATGAGGCCTAAGAGGGAGGTGGACGTGCCATGCCTGAAGTTGCTGAGGCTGCTGTAGGCCATGCCTTTGTTACAGGAAAGGGAGCCTGATTCAGACCCCAAGAGAGGGTTCTTGGATCCTGCACAAGAAATAATTCAGGGCAAGTCCATAGGGTAAAGTGAAAGCAAGTTTACTAGGAAAGTAAAGGAATACAGAATGGCTACTCCATAGACAGAGCAGGCCCGAGGGCTACTGGTTGCCCATTTTTATGGTTATTTATTGATGATGTGCTAAACAAGGGGTGGATTATTCATGCCTCCCCTTTTATTTTATTTTATTTTTTTACTTTTTTTCGATTATACTTTAAGTTCTGAGATACATGTGCAAGAACATGCAGGTTTGTTACACAGGTATACCTGTGCCATGCTGGTTTGCTGCACCCATCAACCCATCATCTACATTAGGTATTTCTCCTAATGCTGTCCCTCTCCTACCCACCCCCCAACCCCCTCAACAAGCCCCAGTATATGATGTTCCCCTCCCTGCCTCCCCTTTTTAGACCATATAGGGTAACTTCTTGATGTTGCCATGGCATTTGTAAACTGTCATGGTGCTGATGGGAGTGTAACAGTGAGGAACATCAGAGGTCACTGTAGTGGCCATCTTGGTTTTGGTGGGTTTTAGCCAGCTTCTTTGCTGCAACCTGTTTTATCAGAAAGGTCTTTATGACCTGTGTCTTGTGCTGACCTCCTAATTTATCCTGTGACTTAGAATGCCTTAACCATCTGGGAATGCAGCCCGGTAAGTCTTAGCCTTATTTTACCCAGCTCCTATTTAAGATGGAGTTGCTCTGGTTTGAATGGTTCTGACACCTGCCTGGACTTCAGACATAATCCTAGGGAAAATGGGAAGCCACTTTTGATACCAAGTTTTTCACAAAATCAATTTGCTTGCCACGTGGAGAAAGGATTGCAGGACTGGGATGCTGAAGGTGAAGTGGCAACCGGAGAGGGCATGAATGGAGAATCCAAAGATTTTGCAGCTTCAGTCCAGGGCATCCTCAGTCACCATCTGGACCCTCCCAAAGGCCTCGCCACCACCCACAAAGGGAGGGTAGGGGAAGTAGCAAGCCTCCTGCTGTTTGGAATAAAGAGATGTAAACTCCAGTCTCTGCTTCGAAACCAGTCAGAGGGAGTAAAGTGAGCTGAAGAGAAATGCACTTAATCCTTAACTCATAGCCCCTTCCTCCAAGAAGCCAGCTTTGCTTAACTCATGCAGAAATTATTTCTCCTTCCTGTGAATGCCTCCCATTAATGCTTCTGCCATTCATTCATTCAATCAATGAATATAAACTGAGCACCTATTATGTGCCAAGTGCAGTGTTAGATGCCATGTTAGAAATAAACAATCTTAACTTATTCTCTACACTTGTGGAGTTCATTATTTAGTGAGAAAATAAAACATCAAACAAATAAATTCTTACCCTGTAACATGATTTTAAGTGTGGCAAGCCCCATGAAGAAGTTTAGGGTGCTTGGAGATGGTGGGAAGGGGAATTTGATTATGGTAAAATGCATTTTCTGCTCCTATTCTTTACCTCTCCTTGCATTCTCAAACTTGTCATGTGACTTTGAAGTTTCTTCCATAACATCAAAGTATATTTCCACAACCCCTTGACTTTGGGCTTGGCCATGTTACTGGCTTTGGCCAGTAAGATGAAGTGGAGGTGACAGTGAGCTAATTCTAAGCATGGGCCTTGACAGGTCTTAGTGTGTTCCCACTTGCCCTCTTGCTCCTCTGCCATCACCTTGAAAACATGCCTTGGTTGGCCTGCTAGTCTCATGAGGATGATGAGAGACCTGTGGAGCAGACCCATCCCAGCTGAACTGCCTTAGCTAAGTGAAGCCTAGGAGCCCCGATTGGCTCCTCATCCCTGAAGATGAATGAGAGAGGCCAGCCAAGGTTAGCAGAACTGCCCAGCCAATCCCAATCCAGGCCAGCTCCTCTAGCTAAACTGCACATTTGGGAGTTCATTAATGCTTAAGTTGTCAGTTGCTGAGATTTTTGTGGCTATTTGTTACGCAGCATTCTTGTTTATAGTTAACTGTTACACTGACTTAGTCTGAACAGCCTATGGCAGGGTTCCCTAAAGAAATGGCATGTCAGTGAAAACTAAATTAAGTTGGTAAAGGAAGAGATGAGGAGCATTTCAGGCTGAGGGAGCAAAATGAGCAAAAGTCCTGAAACAGGAAGGACATGAACTTTTAAGAGAGAAAGTGAAAAAAATCAGGAGTTCCTAGGGGTGAGCATATAGAGAGCCAAGGGTGACCAGGCATGGTGGGAGAGACGGGCAAGGAAAGGATACAGGTATCTGCCTTTCGCATGGCACTGAGCAAAATTAATGTCCTGTAGCATTGTGCATTTTCGTGATGTTCCCAACTATAGTGATCCCTTTGAAGAAAAGTTGATGATTTTTATCTTGTCTCCTCTCACCCTACCAGAGCAATGCCCCACATCACAATAAACGACCAATATCTTTGGTGTATGAAAGAGCTGAACTAATGACAGAGGTGCTGAAATAACAGCTTCTTGGCTTCTCTTAAACCTTGGACACTGACTACAATTTTTCTTCCTTGGTAATTAGTTCATTCATAACACTATTGTTTGAAATGAACAATATTTCACCCCATCACTCCCTGTTTTCCTGTTGAGCTTTTTGTTTCCTCATAACATTTGTCACTGCTTGCCATTACATTTACAGAATTTTTTTTTTTTTTTTTTGGTATCTGTCTCTTCTATTAGAGAGCAGGGACTTTGTCTTGTTCATGATCATATCCTCCATATCTAGGATTGTGCCTGACGCAGTTGTAGATGCACAAAAAATATTTGTTGAATGAACGCATAATCAGACGATGAAACACTTAATGCTAAACAACGCTTTAAAAAGTGCAACACAGAAGTTAGAGTGTTAATTATCAGTTGGTTCAGTAAGAAAGTAGGGCAAAATTTATTTATCTGGGATGGGGAGAATCCATGGGCACAGCAAAAGGAATGATGAAATCATCTATGATTCTTACTAGGATAGGTGGAACCAAACACAATATGTGACCAAAAACATGGGGTGTGGGCCTATCAGCACCTCAATATCATAGCCCTTATATTTATAGAACACTTGTCATTTTATAGTGTTCCTTCCCATACTCACTCACTTTGTACCCATCCCATGCCTGAAATATATATTGTAGTGTATAGGGATTATTATTTCCTTTGATAGATAAGAAAACCTAGGTTGGTGAAATTTAATTATTTGCTGAAATGGATTTAGGGACTTGCTATGGTTTAAATGTTTGTCTTCTTCAAAATTCATGTTGAAATTTAATTGCCATTTTGAAAGTATTGGGAGGTGGAATTTCTAAGAGGTGGTTTAGGTCATGAGGGATCCACTCTCATGGATGGACTAATGTTGTTATCATGGGAATAGGTTTGTTATTGAGGGAGTGGGTTTGCCCCCTCTTGCTGTCTCTCGCCCTCTCCTTGATCTTCCACCATGTTATGATGCAGCAAGAAGGCCCTTGACAGACGTCAGCACTTTAATATTGGACTTCCTAGTCTACAGAACTGTGAGCCAATACCTTTCTGTTTATTATAAGTTCCCCAGGCTGTGGTATTCTGTTACAGAAGCACAAAATGAACAAATACAGCATTCTATCTTCCAGTTTATCAATCTTTCCATATAGCACAGTTGCCTCATAAGATGTCTTTAAGAAAAAGCAGATGGAGCTGGACATATTTTGAAAAGATGGATGCCAGATAGGTGCATTTTAACCTCACTGTGCCTATAAGATTCTGCAGGATTGGGCTTCTGCCTGCATCTCTAGTTTCACTTTCTGCCTCTTTTTTCCTAGCTCCTAAACTCCAGCTACTTTGTCCCTCCTCATCAAGAGCCTTCCTAGTCCACAGCTTTCCCATATGCTGCTCTCTCTGCCTGGAACACACTTCAGCCCAATTTTCACCTGGATAACTCCTACTTCAGAACTGAGTTTAAATGCCACTTCTTTTTTAAAAAAGACTTGCTTTTTTTACACTCCTTCACTTCTATTCAGTCCCATTTATTTTTAAAGCACCCCGTAACTTATAATTATTCATTTAATATCTGTATCCCAAACTGGATAAGATTTTTGAGGGCAGAGTACTTACCTGTCTTGTTCAGTAGTGGATGCTAAGCCCATGATACAGTTCCTAGTACACAGTAAGCACTCAACCAATATTCTTTGAGTCTAAGAAATGAACAAGTGGTGAGGGAGGGCTGGGCTTTATTGTCTTAAAATTGGAGTCTACTCCTTAGGTTTTAAGCATAATTCCCTGTAGTTAAAGGGTTGCAGTATTGTAACAGTTATCTACTGCTATATAACAAACAACTCCAAAACTAGGTGGTTTATAAAAACAACCATTTTGCTTGTTTACAGTTATGTAGGACAGCAATTTTATTTTTTATGTGCAGAAAAACTCCAACAGAGGACAGCAATTTGAGACAAGTTCAGCTAGATCGTTCTGATGGTCTCACCTGAATTAACTCATGCATTTGCTATTATCTGGTGACTGGACTGGGGCTGGATAAGTCACATGCTGATGGGGCTGGATGTTGACTGGGTCACTCTCTCCTTGGGATCTATCATCCTCGAGGATGGTGGTAGTCTCATGGCAGCAAGTAGGGTGATCAGCCATGCTGCTTTGCATGGGACTATCCTGGTTTTAGCAGTGAAAGTCCCATATCCTGGGAAACTCCTCAGCCTTGGGCAGATCAGGATCATTGGTAACCCTACCAACAAGAAAAAAAGAAGGTGGAAGTTACAAAGCCTCTGAGGTCTAGGCTCAGAAATTCCACAGTGGGACTTCTGTTGCATTCTATTTGTCAAAGCATGTTACGAAGCCAACCCAGACTCAAGAGGGTAGAGAAATAGACTTCATCTCTTGATGAGAAATACAGTTAACACATGTTGCAAAGGGAAATGCATACAGGAATAGAAGTGTTTTGTTTTTGCAATCTACTACAGGTTTTATGGAAAGTAAGACCACAGATTCAGAAATGAAAGTAGGGCTTTTTTGTTAATTGAAATATTTGTACTAAGTAGTGAAATATTGAGAGAGCCCCCACTAGTCAAATGTTGAGTGACAACTACATTTCAGTTTCTTAACACATCAAAATTATAAGTTTTCTTTTATATACAAGTACAACCTAAGACAGACACCCCCTTTGGAAAAATGGCTTATGGTCAGCAGATTGAGAGGGATGGTAAAATCTCAGGTAAAGGAGAGAACACTTCTTGGCAATTAAGGGGACAGGAGAGGGAAAATCTTGTAATCGTATGTTAACAATATCAAAAAGCCTATTTCGAGAGTAGTATTGATAAAATGTTTGCCAAGTAAAATATTTGGGATAATAATTTACACTTATATAATGCTTACTGTATGCCAGGCATTATTCTGGTACAGTTGATTTACAACTATTTATACATTCAAACCTCATATTAATAGATGAAGAAACTATAATAAAGGACAAGGTCGCCTACGTAGCGTGTGGTGGAGTCAGGATTTGAACCCAGGTAGTTTGGCTCCATTTGTCTTTCCAGGTGCTGCCATTTTGCTAAGAGTTTAACTTCCGCTTCCTGATTAGCAGTTGGGAATGACAATTTAAACTTCTGTCTGTTATGGAGCTTGCTCTTCCTCCTGAGGGTTAGAGAGAAAGGCCCTGGGTAGCCTCGGGAGTGAGATCTAGAAACAAATCCTCAGCGCCCTGAAGGGCGGCGCTAGAGTTTGATTCCCACCCGGACAAGAGTGGCGGAGACTCTTGCGCAGGTGCAGTGACTTAGTCAGTGCTAGAGCCCCAGGTCCGCGCCCACCTAAAGTAGCCCGCGAGTCCCGCCGTCCGAGGGTCGGGCTGGCCTCTCCCCACCCACGAACATGGCCGTCGAGGTGGGCGAGGGGAGGCGGCAGCGGAGAGGGTTCACGGGGCAGGGCGGAGGACGGGGGTAGCGAGGAGGGTGGGAGCGGAGGGACCAAGAGCAGTCTGGGAAACTCGGTCCCCGAGAGGGCCCGGGGTGTAGGAACGGCTGACGCCCTGGGGCCCGCGGGTGGCCGTGTAGAGCTTCTCGGAGGTCATGGAATGCACCACACCTCAGAGATAATCATCTCAACCCACGCACACATTTCACAGATGGGCAGACTGAGCCCTGTCCCCTCTGGGATCCCTGGAGAGAGCTTCAGTCGCTTACTTTTATTTCTCTGAACCTATATTTCTCATCTGTGAAATGGGATGACCGGTTCCTGCCCGGCCTTTGATTGCACTCTTAATGGGCACTGTGTTAAGTGCTTCTTATTCACAAGATTATTGTGGGGAAATCGAATGAGATGATGAAAGTGAAAGCCATCGGCACGCTTTTAAGCATGATATAAATGTGACCTCTTATGAAAGACTGAGCCTTATATGTAGCTAGCTTTTATAAAGAAAGAGGTCGAACTTTGCTGTTTCCTGGGCTCTGGTCACCCCACTCTCCCTGGCCAGATCTGTTGCAAACAGATCCAATTAATCACTGGAAGAGTTGAGAATAGATTGGCCCAGTACATATAGGCGACTGATTTTGTCCTTGCTGTAGAGTATATCTTTAATACTCCTTCAAATGAATTAAAATGAGTTAGTAATTTGTAGCTGCTCTAAGTATAGTTCTCTGGCAGTTTCAGAATGTTTTTCAGTTTACTAATTAATTTGGGAGGTTGGAAATTGTTGATGTTGAAAATGGAACGTGGAACATTTGGCTTCTGTTTCCCTTCTTCCCCTTTTGGTTGATAGAACCCCAGTTATAGTGGGGGAAAGCCTTGGCATCCTCATTGCCTCCTCTTTGCATTCACAAGCTCACCATTCCTTTTGTGGACAAATTTTCTAATATTTTAAAACACATTTTTATGCAATAACTAACATGGATCAAAAGCACTGTGCCAAGCCTTTGAGAGATGAGAAAATGACTATGATAATGGTCCTGCCTCTCAAGGGTCTCGCGGTATGAACAGAAAATAAGGTAGTAGGGGATCTGATGCAAGTAGAGTTACATTAGGACAAGATGAAGCTTTCACAGACAACCTCCCTTATTTTATTACAGCCATTATTTTACTTGTGATTGGCGTCATGTCTTCCAGTGAACACTACATTTAGAGCTAAAGTTACATGCTTTTTCAGACCTTTAGTTGTCATGAAAGAGATTTTAAGTTTTATACCTGCTCCTTTCCAATATCCATCATCACTGACATGCCACCTAACTCTGGGAATATATTCTCTAAGAATCTGAATGAGGCACATACATAAAAGGAGAATTTCTGAGGCTTAACTTTGCTTTTCGTGTTGGTGGTGTGGCTTCAGGATTTGCTGCCCTGTCCCATGACTCTTATATTCTCTTATCCTTACTTCAAGATCCAGCTAGTCCACCAGACCTTCCTAACCATCTATATCATATTGTTCACCCCTTGAAACTGTAGCATTCATGGTACACGGCTCTTGACATTTAATTGTAGACCAATTTGCATTGTTAGTTAACTTTCATTCTAAGACTGTGAGTTGTTGAGCGGGGGTTGGAGGACAATGTGCAGTAGAAGAAAAAGCGCAGGTTTGGAAGATAAATAGACTTGTTTGAATTCTGGTCCCCCTGTTTATTGGCCGTGTAACTGAAACTTTGTGAACCTCAGTTTCTTCAGCAATCACGTATCTGTAAAACCTGTCTTATGCAGGATTGTTACTCGTAGATACGTGGTAAGAATTAAATAACTAAATAAGATGGGAAGTACTTTTCTTTCCTTCCCTGCACCCCTTTTTATTTTCTGTTCCCAGCCTTATACAGTGTTTGTGCCTATAGATTCCATTTAATACCAGTTTAATTAATGACAGCCTGTCACATCCAGTTAAATTATGAATGTGGGCTAAAGTTTTTTCTCATAATCCAGAATCATAAAATTTTAGAATACACTTCTGATTCTCAGCCTGATTCTCTGTCCGTTATTCAGTGTAGTTCACAAATATTTCTTAACACCTGTTAAGTTCCAAGTACTGTACTGCCTTCAAAGAAAATGAGACAGGTTACTCTTCTCAAGAAGTTTCAGTCTATCTGGGAAGCTGGGAATATCTTCCTCTTATCCATGTTGCCTCTATCCCAACAAGTCAACTTTCTGAAAATTGGAGTTCTCTCAGGCCATCTTTTAGCTCTACACTCTTCTTGAGTAAACTCATCCACCCCTGTGGATTCTGGCACATGCCAGAGACTTCTACATGCCAGAGGCTTCCAAATTCATACTTAAGAGTCTAGACTTTTAAACTTCAAACTCATATCTACAACTGTCTTTAATAAATGCACCTATTCTACAACTGTATAACATTAAACTTACCTGAAATAAATCTCTCCAAGCCTGCTCTACCTCCAGTGTTGCCCTTCTTCATGGAGTGGTTGAAACCAGGGACCCAGGCATCATCCTGTGATCTCCTGTCGCTCATATCTCCCCTGCCTGTATATCCAGTAAATCACTAAGTCATATAGCTTCTGCCTCCAAAGTATAACTGAAATCACCCAATTCTCTCCATATCCACTCATATCACCAACGTTTAAGCTACCATCATCTGTCTCCTGTACCACTGCATAAACCAAAAAGTATCTGAGACAGGTCTCAATCAATTTAGAATTTTGTTTTGCCAAGGTTAAGGACATGCCTGGGACACAGCCTCGGGAGGTCCTGAGAACATGTGCAGGTGGTCAGTCTACAGCTTGGTTTTATATGTTTTAGGGAGACATGAGATGTCAGTCAGTACATGTAAGATGTACACTGGTTCAATCTGGAAAGGCAGGACAACTTGAAGCAGGGTGGGGTGGGGAGCTTCCAGGTCATAGGTGGATTCAAAGATTTCGTTATTGGCAGCTGGTTGAAAAGAGTTTATCTAAAGACCTGGAACCAATAAATGGAGTGTTTGGGGTTAAGATGAGGGGTTATACAGACAAGGGTTTTTATTATGCAGGTGAAGCTTCTAGGTAGCAGGCTTCAGAGAGAATAGATTGTAAATGTTTCTTATCAGACTTAAAAAGGTGCCAGACTCTTAGTTAATTTCCTCGTGGATCAGGAAAAAGATCTGGAAAGGAAAGGGAAAATCTATAGATTGTAGAGACAAACTTTGCAAGGGCTGTTTCAAAATATGTCAAAGAAGAAGTGGCTCACGCCTGTAATCCCAGCACTCTGGGAGGCTGAGGTGGGTGGATAACCTGAAATCAGGAGTTCAAGACCAGCCTGGCCAACATGGCGAGACCCAGTCTCTACTAAAAATACAAAAATTAGCCGGGTGTGGTAGTGAGTGCCTGTAATCCCAGCTACTCAGGAGGCTGAGGCAGGAGAATCACTTGAACCCAGGTGGCAGAGGTTGCAGTGAGCCAAGATCATGCCAGTGTACTCTAGCCTGGGCAACAGAGCAAGACTCCGTCTCAAAAACAAAACAAAACAAAACAAAAAAAGGTCAAAGAAATACATTTTGGGGTAAAATACTTTGATTTCTTTTAGGGCCCCCTATCTGCCATGTTGGTATCTTATTGCTATGAAGAATCTGTTTTGTCAGTCTTTTTTTTTTTTTTAGACGGAATCTCACTCTGTCACCCAGGTTGGAGAGCATTGGCACGATCTCAGCTCACTGCAACCTCCGACTCCCAGGTTCAAGGGATTCTCCTGCTTCAACCTCCTGAGTAGCTGGGACTACAGGCATGCACCACCATGCTCGGCTAATTTTTGTACTTTTAGTAGAGGTGGGGTTTCACCATGTTGGCCAGGCTGGTCTCGAACTCCTGACATCAAGTGATCCACCTGCCTCAGTCTCTCAAAGTACTGGGATTACAGAAGTGAGCCACTGCACCTGGCTTGTTTCATCAGTCTTAAGGTGTGTTTTAATGTTAAATGCTGGTCACCCTCGGCCTGAATTCCCAAGGGATGATGGTATAATGAGGCATGTCTGACCTCCACTTCCCATCATGGCCTGACCTAGTTTTTCAGGTTAACTTGGGAATGTTCTTGGCCAGGAGGAGGGGTCAATTCAATTGGCTGGGAGCTTAGAATTTTTTTTTTTAAAGTTTATTTACAGTGGTAACAGCTGTCTGTCTCAACTCTCCTGTAATCCATTTTCCACATGGCAACAAGAGTGATCTTTTTAGGTACAAAAAGATCAGGCCACTTCTCTGCTGAAAATCTCCCAATGCCTTCGCTGGTAGGATTAAAGTTTAGTTGTTCCCAAGCCCTCTGACAGTCAGCATACTTTGCCTCTACTGGCTTCTCCCTTCCCAGCTGCCATCACTCCCCTTCCAGCCACACTGGCTGTTTCTTTTTTGTTTTTGTTTGAGACAGAGTCTCGCTGTGTCACCCAGGCTGGAGTGCAGTGGTGTGATCTCCGCTCACTGCAAGCTCCGCCTCCCGGGTTCACGCCCTTCTCCCGCCTCAGCCTCCCAAGTAGCTGGGACTACAGGTGCCCGCCACCACGTCTGGCTAATTTTTTTTTTGTATTTTTAGTAGAGACGGGGTTTCACCGTGTTGGCCAGGATGGTCTCAATCTCCTGACCTCGTGATCCACCCGCCTCGGCCTCCCAAAGTGCTGGGATTACAGGTATGAGCCACTGTGCCTGGCCCACCCTGGCCGTTTCTTTGTGCATTGATGATTACTTTTTCAGGGAGGCCTCCCCTGCCCCCTATAATTTAGATTAAGTTTCCTTATGTTAACTTTAAAATTACACACTTTATAAATTTCGAAAGGAGATTTTATTTTCTATAAAGGGTTACAGCATGCACAGTGGCTGTCCTGACAGGCTGGGAAGCATAGCCTCTGACAGAGCCCAAAAGGCAGGCACTTTGAGGGAGAAAGGGGTAAGATAAGAGCATAAGCTTAATGGGTTGGCCAAATATACATACTCAACAGGTTACAGGAGGAGCTATGAATATTCACGAAGGCGGTCCTAACACCCGCATACTGAATAAACATGCATGTTACATACAACCCATGTTCACTTTGGGGTGAAGACTTAACATTTAAATATATTACAGTTAGGCCCTATATGTCAAAAGGTCTTTTCAGGATGCAAAGGCACTCAAGTGCGTAGCCTCTGTGAACCGGCCAGAGCCAGTGCATGGTCGGTGGTTTTCTTACCAGCAGAAAGTTATTGAAATCAGTTTCCTGTCCAATCAAAGCTGTAGTTACGGCTTGTGGAGCAGGGGGTCAGTGGGTCAGCATCTGGCAGTGGATGAGCTGCCATTGTTTCAGTATTGCTTATCTCCAGGCCAGCACTTGTTTAGCTTCTGGAGGAAAAGAAAAATCTTGTGGCAGCTAGAACAGAGTTTATCCTTTGAGCGTAGGATATATGACTTAACCCTTGCCCGGTGTGGCCTTAGGTCCTGTTTATAGTTTAGTATCTTATTGCTACAAAGGGTCCATTCTGTCAGTTGTATGATCTCTATTTTCATATTAGTGCTGGTGCCTTGTTGTGTCTAAACTGCAAAAGGAAGGAGGTATAATGAGGCATGTCTGACCTTCCATCGGGCCATGGCTGGGAACGCAGTTTTTAAGGTTTCTCTGGGGACCACGTGGCCAAGAGGGGTTCCGTTCAGTCAGCTGAGGGGCTTATGGTCTTATTTTTAGGTACAAAAGATCAGGCCGCTTCTGACGAATGCCTTCTGATGAAAACTTGGCCTTTTATTTTTCTTACTGCTTATCTTAACTATGTAATACTCTTTGCATAAATATTTGGTCATTGATTCGCCTATTAGTCTGCAAGTTTCTTGAGGACAGATGTCACGTCTCCTCAGTACCTCTAATGCCCATTAAATAATGGTTAAAGAATGAGAGCAGTTAGGTAGCTTATGATGAGTGTCAGAGAAAAGCTCAAGACAGTGGCTGTGATGGAAATTCAGAGAAGAGAGATCACTGGGGCCTGCGGTGGGTGAGACGATATTTCTTAGAAAAACAAGACTGTTTTTCAAAGGTGAATATTCAGGAGACAGAGTGTACAGCTTGACAGAAGAAGGGTTACATTTAAGATAGCAATTCAAAATAAAGGTGGGGAAGTAACTTGAGGCCATCTTGTGGATGGTCTTGGTGCCAGGCTAAGGAATTTCAACTTTATCCTATAGGCAGTAGGAAACCATTGATAGTTTTTGAGCATAAGTGGTAATATCTGGAAATCAGTGGCATTGGAAATATCTCTATTAGGACTCTGAGTTGCCTTCGAGAGAAAGCCATCCAAATAGGCTTAACTGGAAAGTCCAGGGATAGAGACATCTTTAGGCGTGGCTTGATCCAGCAGCGCAAGTGATAGAACTGGCTTCTTCCTGTGTCTCTCTGCTTTGCATCCTTTGTGTAGGCTCCTTTCTCAGGCAGGCTTTCCTCTCATGGTGTGGGATGGTGCATGAGCTCCAGGCTCACATCTTCCAAGACTGAGGTCTAGGGGAAGAGAGGTCATTAGCTTTCCCAGTGATTCCAAGAACTATCCTTGAATTAAGTCTAGATGGCTGGGACCGCCTGGCTTGGTTTATATGCACACCTCAGGACCAGTATTTGTTACTGGAAGAATGCATTGTGCCAGGTGCCTTAAGCCTAGTTTAAATTCACAGTCCCCCTTCCCCAGCTCAGAGTGGGGTTGGCTCCAACCCAACCACATTGAATGAAAGCAGGGGAGGAGTGAATTTCTAAGTGAAGACAGGCTTGTGGCTGCAAACAGTACTTGAAGGCCGGGCCCCAAACCAACAAATGTCCGTTACAAGAAGGAAGGTCAGTGTGGTAATGTAAAGAATAGACTGGAGCAGAGAGAGACCACTGCTGAGAACTGTCTGTCATTCTTGTGTTTCTGCAGTGGTCTGGGAGGGTTGGACTCTCATTCAGTTCTTTACAATGGCCAGAACGCCTCTTCCAGTGCTCTGCTCACCAAAGTTCCCATCAGTCTACTGATTGTTTCTCTGGAGAGAAATCAGAAGGGAAGACAGAATTGGGGTGGGTTTGGGGTGTGTAGGAGGCTGGCCACCGATCTCATTATCCAGTCCCATTTTGCCGTGTGGGAAGAAGAGCCTCATCCTTCCATCTTAGTATCTGTTGTAGCAGTGTGCTGGGGAAAGGAAGGCCGCCACCTTGGCAGGATTGTCCATCTGTGTGGCTTATGGTGATTTAGCCCTTTTTGAATTTATTACTTAAAAAACGGGTTAAGAAAAGACCAGATGCTTTTTAGGCTTTTCTCCTGGTTTTTGTTTATTGCACAGATAACATCACAACAACAATAAGGGATGAAAAGAAAGGGAAAAATAGTAGAATACTGTAACCATCTTATTAAAGAGATAGATGGCCCTTGGCAGATGTATAAATATTGTCTTCAACTTATCTTGCATCCTTTAAATGTGGACTTGTCAAAAAAAAAACTCTCATTCTGTAATAGCACCAAGAGGTACCTTAGTATGAAGTGCAATATAGCTTTGTTGAATTTTAAAATAAGTGTTGGCTAGGCAAGTAAAACTATAGTCCTTACTCTTACAATTTAAGCTGGAGGAGCTGGAGGAAAGTAAAGATAAAGAAAGGAATCTGTATAATGTTTATTTACCTTTCTCCTACTGCATAGTCTTATATGTGAAGGAAATGCAGCTTCTAAATCATTTTCTGTCTTCTGGTGTAATCTCTTGAGGGCTGGCTGGGTCATTGGAAGGCATTAAATACATGCTTTTGAACCAGGGTGATGAATTGTTCTGGCCTTGGCTGAGAGAGGGGATTGGCTGGTATGGGACTGTTTTGTGGTAAGATTGTCATCGGGTGGACTGACCTACTTTGATACAGTTTTCTTCCCCCTTCAGCACTTTTAAGTCTTTTTAACAATTCATGACCTGTCGACTATTAATTTAACGTAATTGAGACAAACATTGAATGCTGCCATTTTAAGAACATAATTGAAAAAGCATAGCTTTTCCAAGTCAGTGGGGGAAGCCTAGTAGAGCCTCTGGACATCAGTAACATCTGACAGATATTGTAGGTGGTAAATTGAATAAATAGGATCTATTATGTTTCGGAGAGTGGTTTCTGTAAATAGGAAATTAATGTTGCCCGCAATGAGTCAGATGTGAAAGAATGGTGTTCACGTCTATTGACTCCCACTCAGGTACTCTAAGGACTAAGTCAGCCATTCTTAACCCTTTTTGAAATGCAAGGTATTGGCATATGACAGGTGGTGACCCTGAAGGATTATCTGTCCCCTTTGGGTTCATTTGCACAATACACACACAAGCCAGTACAACCAACATCTATCAGCTCATGCCCTTCAAAATTAATGGAATCATTCCATGAATGCTTCTGTGGAACTGTCTTTTTTTTTTTTTGTCTCTCCAACACAGAGCCTCCAGTCACCCAGTTCTCTCTCTTCTGCCATTTCCCTGTAGATACGATTATCTTTTCTCCCTAGCAATGTAGAGAGGAACAGCGTGCGTCCCGTCAGCAATCCTTCAATGTCCTGTCCACGCTATCTGGGTACTTTCTCCAATGAACCATGTCCTTTTCCCTTTCACAGCTTAATTTTTGAGAAAACTGAAAAATTATTACCAGTATATGGAAATTTTAAGGCATTCTTTTTATGATGATTTAAAAAAAACTTAAGCATGTAATCTCATAATAATGATGTAATTGATTGTACAGTACAAGCACCTGAAGTGTGGGACCAGCAGTCTGAACCTTATTTTTCATTTAAATCAGGGCAGTTATCTACTTCTGAGGGTGCTCTTGTCACGTGTAGACAACAGAGTGATTTGCGCCATTCCCAACTCTCCCTAGTCGCACTGTGTTTGTTTTGTTGTTGCTCTTTGGGGACTCATGGCTCTAACTGCAGCTTTCTGCCAGCCTCATCAGTGCCTCTCAACCTCTTCTGGCTTCTCAGCATTGTGCAGCCTGTGCTGCAGCCTGTCATTTGCAAGTCGGTCCCTGTGCTGGGCTGGAAGTGGGTAATTCTTCCCCACAATGCCCTGTTTGTCAGTCTTGAGCATTTAAAGTGCAACGTGGTTGGCAGCAGCAGATGTGCTGTGTACACCCACTCTGCTCAACCTCATTAGCTGTCTCGCTGCAAGGCAAATTGCCGGGGGAATGCAAGCTCTAGTCCTGCTGCAGATGCTGAGAGCCGGATGTTCACTGACAACTCTTCCTAAACAGCAGCTGGTTTCTCCTTCTTTCCTCTTGTGCATCTTTTGAACTCAGTTTGAGAAACTAACATTCGTTCATTGCCTCTACGAACTATGAATATTTAGGAATATTCTAAATGTATTAAGGCAGAACCACTTATCAAATGCGTATTATGCAGAAGGTGCATCCTCTCTACTATATTTTAATCCTCATTTCAACCTCTGGGAGGTAGGTATGGAGTCAGAAAGAACTGGGTTTGAATGCTGATGCTGCCATTCCCCAGCAGTGTGACATGCAGTCCCTCAAGTGACTTCACTGAGTTTTAGTTCCTAATCTGTATAATGAAGATAATAATGCGCCCTCTATAGGGTTGTTATGAGATTTAAACGGGATGGTTGATGTAAGTTCCTTAACAAGGTGGCTTGGCATGTAATAAGTGTTTAATAAAGGTAGCTATTATGGAGAGTTTGAACTTGGCCAGGTTACTTGACTTACCCAAAGTTGTACAACTATTAAGTGATGGAACTGGGCTGTGAGTTCATCTTTTGAAATTGATTTCTGTTGGGGGAAGTTAGGGACCCCGAACAGAGGGACTGGCTGGAGCCGAGGCAGAAGGACATAAATTGTGAAGATTTCATGGACACTTATCACTTCCCTAATAATACTCTTAAAATTTCTTATGCCTGTCTTTACTTTAACTCTTAATCCTGCTATCTTTGTAAGCTGAGAATGTACGTCACCTCAGGACCACTATCGTACAAATTGACTGTAGAATATGTGTGTTTGAACAAAATGAAATCTGATTGTAAAACATGTGTTTGAACAATATGAAATCAGTGCACCCTGAAAAGGAACAGAATAACAGTGATTTTCAGGGAACAAGGGAAGATAACCATAAGGTCTGACTGCCTGCGGGGTCAGGCAGAAGAGAACCATATTTTTCTTCTTGCAGAAAGCCTATAAACAGACGTGCGAGTAGGAGAAATATCGCTGAATTCTTTTCCCAGGAAGGAATAACCCTGGGGAAGGAATGCATTCCTGGGGATAGGTCTATAGACAATCCTTCTGGGAGTGTCTGTCTTATGCGGTTGAGATAAGGACTGAAATACACCCTGGTCTCCTGCAGTACCCTCAGGCTTACAAGGATTGGGAAATTGCAGCCTGATAAATTCTAGTCAGACCGGTTCTCTGCTCTCGAACCCTGTTTCCTGTTAAGATGTTTATCAAAACAGTACATGCACAGCGGGACATAGACCCTCATCAGTAATTCTAATTTTGCCTTTGCCTTGTGATCTTTATGGCCCTTTGAAGCATGTGATCCTTGTGACCTACTCCCTGTTCTTACACCCCCTCCCCTTTTAAAATCCCTAATAAAAACTTGCTGGTTTTGTCGCTTGGGGTCATCATCACGGTCCTACCAATATGTGATGTCACCCCCGGAAGCCCAGCTGTAAAATTTCTCTCTTTGTACTCTTTCTCTTTATTCCTTAGACTGGCTGACACTTAGGGAAAATAGAAAAGCCCTATGTTAAAATACTGGGGGCTGGTTCCCCCGATAGATTTCCTTTTCTTCAACTCTTCTTCTTTTTTTTTTTTTGAGACAGAGTCTTGCTCTGTCACCCAGGCTGGAGTGCAGTGGCGCAGTCTTGGCTTACTGCAACCTCTGCCTCCTGGGTTCAAGCGATTCTCCTGCCTCAGCCTCCTGAGTAGCTGGGATTATAGGAGCCTGCCATCATGCCTGGCTAATTTTTGTATTTTTAGTAGAGGCAGGGTTTCACCATGTTGTTGGCCAGGTTGGTCTTGAACTCCTGGTCTCAAATGATCCACCCACCTTGGCCTCCCAAAGTACTGGGATTACAGGCATGAGCCACCATGCCCAGCCACACTCTTCTTTTATTAGAAAAGATGCCGTGTTAGTGCCAGAGCACCATGAAACAGAAATGGGAGCTCTTGGGTACTTCAGCAGTGAGCTGTGCCATTAAATTGCAAGGCTAATAATAAAAAAAATTAGAATACAAGAGCTAATATCTATTGAGTACCCACTATATGGTTGGTGTACATGAAGCATTTGGCATGCAGTCTGTAGTCTTTTTAACAGTGTTCACAAAAATTTGGCCATTTGTGTTCTGTCTTCACAAGTTTTGCCATTTCTGTGTGCCACCTAAACCATTATTTTACTTAATAATTTTCTTTAAAATGGACTAACATTATTATTTAAACAAATGTATTTTCTAAAAGACAAGTTGTTATTGCTACTGTAAATAGAAAGCCAGCATCAACTACCACAAATAGGAGATGACCAGGAAAAGAAAAACAATTAAAACAAAGCAGTGTTATCAAGTTCCAACTAGATAATACTCTGGACCTGAGGCCTGATCTCTTTAAGGAAGATTAACAAGTGTTAGCTTTTTAAAGCGTGCTAGAACCGGGCCAGGCACCGTGGCTCGTGTCTGTAATCCCAGCACTTTGGGAGGCCAAGGTGGGTGGATCTTTTGAGGTCAAGAGTTCAAGACCAGCCTGGCCAACATGGTAAAATCCTGTCTCTACCAAAAATATCAAAATTAGCTGGGCATGGTGGCAGGCATCTGTAATCCCAGCTACTCGGGAGGCCAAGGCCAGAGAATTGCTTGAACCCAGGAGGCAGAGGTTGCAGCGAGCCAAGATTGCACCACTGCACTCCAGCCTGGGTGACAGAGTGAGACTCCGTATCAATAAATAAACAAATAAATAGTGCACTAGAACCAAACAGGCATTTCTTCTTGCCTTAACTTGAACCACTGAAAGAGAACTGGGGAAAGAACAACGTTCTCACTTGCTATTCCATGTTACTTAATGCTCTGTCTGTCTACCACATAAATAATTGTACGGGCCCCCATTTCCTGCTAAAGGAAACTCTGCCATGCAACCAGCCTGCAGGGAGTTGTTGTACAACTAGTAAGTGATGGAACTGGGCTGTGAGTTTGTGAGTTTGTCTTTTGAAAGTCACAGTGCTACCCATTTTCCAGGTGGGACTGAAGCTCAGTGTGGTCACACAGTGTACACAAGGTTAGACATAAGTGGTCAAAGATACAGTCAGAATTGAGGTATTTCTCGAGGAAACGGGAGAAATGTGTCAGACTTCAGTAGGCTTGATAATGGAGCCTGCGTAAGAGCACTGGTGCGTTTGCCTGAGTTTTCCGTTACAAGTTCATGGTCATTGAGCTAATTGAGTTGCTGAGGTCCTCAGCAGCCTGAGAAACCCTGACACCCTTGGGGAGATGGCTGTGGTCCATGCGCTTAGAGTAGGGCAGGAGGGGATCTCTGCAGTAGGCAGTTAAGTGCCTGCTGCAGCTTTGACATTAGCCGTGGTAGTTCATGCAGCCACCTTCCTGCCTGAAGTGCCACTGGCTGGGCCTGCTGTGGGGAGTGGGGGTCTAAGAAGGTGTCAGAACCTGAGGTTGTCCCAGGCCTGTAGAGGTCATTGGCTGGAGGAGAGTACTGACTGCTGTAGATACAGGCCATCTACAGGCCCTGGGGTGGTGGGAAGAGGGCAAGCCTCTCCTACTGTCAGGCAGAACAGGGATTGGGGAATAGGGAGGTGGGATGAAATGGGATGGGGCAGATGACTGTGGCAATTCCTATAGTCGCTCTGTCTTGACATTCCAAAACATGGAAAAGTTGATATGACAAACCCAGTCAGAAAGAGACAGAAAATGCCAAACAGGAAGAGTGGTGGCCTTAGTGATGTCAGACGCCATGACACGCTCTCTTAATAATTGGGATGAGACAAGTTCTCATCCCAATTATTCCATTAAATTACTTAGCACAGTAAACTTGGGAAAATACTTACCTTCTTGCACCTCAGTTTTTTTTTTTTTGAGACAGAGTCTTGCTCTGTTGCCCAGGCTGGAGTGTAGTGGGGGATCTCAGCTCACTGCAACCTCTGCCTCCAGGGTTCAAGTGATTCTCCTGCCTCAGCCTCCTGAGTAGCTGGGACTACAGGTGTGTGCCACCACACCTGGCTAATTTTTTTTTTTTTTCATTTTTGTAGAGACGAGGTTTCTCCTTGTTGGCCAGGCTGATCTCAAACTCCTGACCTCAGGTGATCCACTTGCCTCAGCCTCCCAAAGTGCTGAGATTACAGGCATGAGCCACTGTGCCCGGCCTGCACCTGAGTTTTCTAATCTGAGAAATGGGATAATGCCAATATCCACTTATAGAGTTGTTTGGAAGATGAAATTAGCTAAGTACCTAGCAACATGCAGGCTGCTCACTAAATGGCGGTTTGCTCTTTCCCCTCCTCCTCCTCACTGTGGCATATGCTACCTTAAATCCTCCCTTTCCACCCAGCCCCACCGTCCCCCAAACTGATACCATCTTCTGGAGGACTTGGGTTGAGATAGTACACATTTGGGCTAGGTGGCAAGAATAATAACATCTTACACATATTAGGAGTGCCTTGGCTATTTGTAGTTGCTCACATTCCCCAACAAATCATGGTCTATAGCCTGCTGAGCTGCTTAGTTTTGTTTTGTTTTGTTAAGAAACCTTTGGCTTTCTGCCTGGTGCCACTCCAGCAAGAGGGAGCATCATGGCGTCTGACATTGCCAAGGCCACCTCTCTTCCTGTTTGGCATTTTCTGTCTCTTTCTGACAGGGTTTGTCAGATCAGCTTTGCAGTGTTTTGGAATGTGAAGACAGAGCGACTATAGGAATTGCCACAGTCATCCCCCCAACCCCATTTCATCCCACCTCCCTATTCCTCCATCCCTGTTCTGCCTGACAGTACGGGAAGCATCCAACAGGGAAAAAGTAGTTGGTTTTCATGACACACACTTCAAAAGGTTGAAGTTGTCCAGGCAAAACCTGGTGTCTCCCTAAATGGCCAATTATGAACCTGTCCCTTCTGTATATCCAGCAGCCCCCTTTTAGCTTTGCCATCCTTCACCCTGTCCCTTCTCTGTGGAGTATTGGTTTCTACAAAACTGAGGAGGAAGATTTTACTTAGTAGCATAGACTTTGTATATACGATTTTCTTCAACAATTCCATCAAATGGGTATTATCTTTATTTTAGATGAAGGCATGGAGATGCAGAGAAGTTAAGGAAATTACTAAAATTCTCCATCCAGGCAACGACTGAGCTGGGAGGCAAACCCAGGCACTTGACCAAGCCCCTGTCAAATGCTGTGCCAGTAAACGACCCCTTCCTTATAGATGCGGAACATGGTAGTCAATTCTGTGAGGAGCTCTGCAGCTTCCACTCCCTACCTCCCCTAGACTAAGGCATACACCCCTCCTGGCTGGGAGAGTTGGGAGCTGGCAGCTCTCTTCCCTTGGCAGATCCCCTTGCCTCAGAGCCGCACAACTCTGCAGGGCCACCCCAGCTCCAGGCTTTCAGTGGGATCGGCTGAGGCTTTAGTTGTGACTACATCACAGCTCTGTTTCTCCTTCCGCCCACTCCTGCGGCCGTTGCACTCCCACAAGTGTGATCTGGAGCGCACTTGCCAATGAACTTTCCTATATGCAAGTCTCCGTCTCAGGATCTGTTTCTCAGGGACTCCAGCCCTGGCGGACATCTCCATATCCTGATGTCTCAGTTTTGGGTGCAGAAGCCTGCATCCTGCTAACAGGAGATGGTAGAGAATGGTTCTAGAACCATGTCGCCCGGATTAGAATCTTAGACTCCACTACTTACAGTGGTGTGATCTTGCAGATTAGCTCATCTTCTCAGAACCTCAGCTTCCTTATTTGTAATATGAGCATAAGAATAATATCTCTCTTACCAGCTATGGCAACAGAGAAAACTTAGGTCATGCACGTAACTAGAGCCTGGCACATAGGAACAGGCGGTAATGTTAGGTATCAGTAGTAGCAGGTCCTGCTGAACACTCCTTCTCTGTATCCCCTGTTTTCTTGGATTCCTTGAAATCACACCCTCCTTATTCACCTACTTTTCTCAACATTCGTCCTCTGTTGGCTTTCTGGCTCCGCCTCCTCCCACTGCCCTCTAAATGTATTTTTCTTGAATTTCAGTCCCTCTCTGGCTCCCTCTGCTTTTCCCGTTCATGTTCTGTCTTTCTAGTTTCCACACAGCAGGTCAGTGGCCTGCAAGCTCTCAAGCCCAGTCAAGAGCCCTTGCAATGGACTGAGTTTATTTGTATATATTTTTTAAGTGATGTAGTTTTTGTGTTTCTTTGTTTGTTTTGTTTTGTTTTGTTTTGTTTTGTTTTTTTGAGACAGGGTCTCGCTCTGTCACCCAGGCTGGAGTGCGGTGGCACAATCTCGGCTCACTGCAACCTCCACCTCCTGGGTTCAAGCGATTCTCGTGCCTCAGCCTCTGGAGTAGCTGGGATTACAGCCACATGCCACGTGCATGGCTAATTTTTGTATTTTTTGGTAGAGATGGGGTTTCACCTTGTTGGCCAGGCTGATCTCGAACTCCTGACCTCAAGTGATCCGCCCACCTCGTCCTCCCAAAGTGCTGGAATTATAGGTGTGAGCCACCCACCAGGCCATAAGCAAAGTAGTTTTTAAGGAGGGTGGACAGACCTGCCGTTTGCATGAATAACCAGAGCATTTCCCATTTGGGCTGCTCCCAAAGTCAGCATGTCAAAGCTTTTGAACTGTGTTAACCACTTTGTTTGCCACTTATGCCCTTGAGTAAGGGCACCTGCTTGTCTTATAGTAGGTGCTATTGTCAAGGCCGATGCAGAGAAAGCAAGAGGAGGCAGAGAGGTGGGTAACTGCTCTTTGAAGTTCTATGACAAGAAACAGGGTAAAGAGACTCTGGACAAGTCCTGGTATGATGAAAAGAGGGAGCCATTATGCTCAGGGCTTTGTAGACTGTTTTGATAAATACCCTAAATCTCATTTTTTACAGATCCATTACAAGACTTTTAGGAAAGTATAAAACCTGTGAAAATGATATACAAGAACGTCTACTGATGGCCTGTGTTTTGGATTCAATTGATCTACAAACTAAATCAATGAAAAAATAGTTTCTGGCTTTACAGGTTAAAGTTTTAAAATGTGGTTCTAAGAGGAGAAGAGGAGGTTAGGGGTCTGCGAGAGGAAAAGATAGGGCAGGAAAAGGTGAGGAGAGAAGGAGGAGAAGGAACCTGACCTGTCATAGTCATTACTGTGGGATCAGCACTTTAAAAATGTCTTCTCTTTAATATTCATAAAATCTCTGTAAGGGTAGAATATTATGCCCATTTTACAGATAAGGAAATAGGAGCTTAGAACAGATAAAAACCCATCCTAAGCCACAATCAGGATGGTCTGATTCCAAAGCCTGTGTTTTTAACATCCTACCTCACTGGAGGAGCTAGCGGTCATAGGATGCCATAACTTTACCTGTAATCAGCTTCAGTTTCTGTCATCACCCTTGTGACATGGAGGGACAGTGCTACAAGGTCATAACTAAAAAACATGTTCCAGAGTAACCTGGATTTGTTTATAACACAAGCCAATGGAAGTTTACAGTAAATTCATACTTCCCCATCCCCTAATTCACAACCATCTCCCCCTACCACACACACACCAGCCACACACTCCCAGTTCAGAAAACTTTCAGAGAGCTTCAGTTCTGTTGATTTTCATATTACCTATGCTTCAGCCCATTGTGGTCAAATGAATTGCACTTACTTTCGATCTACCTTCTTAACTTAGAAAATTCCAGAGGTGGGGTCCGGGTTATAACATTTGGGTGCTAAGATAAGGTCTTGTGTTGGCTAACTTATGGTATCCTTTCATCCCATCTGCATGAAAAATTCTTGCTTCCATGAAGAGCCACATCAAATGATTTTTCTTTTAATGACTGATATGGTTTGGATCTGTGTCCCACGCAAATCTCCTGTCGAATTGTAATCCCCAGTGTTGGATGTGGGGCCTGGTGGGAGGTGATTGGATCATTGCTGGGGGAAGGGCAGAGTTCTCATGGCTTAATACCATCGCCCCTTGGTGCTGTTGTGATAGTGAGTTCTCAGGAGATCTGACTGTTTAAAAATGTATATCACTTCCCCCTTCTTTCTCTTCCTCCTGTTCCGACCATGTGATGTGCCTGCTTTCCTTTCACCTTCTGCCATGATTGTAAGTTTCCTGAGGCTTCCCCAGAAGCCAAGCAGATGCCACCATGCTTCCTGTACAGCCTGCAGAATCGTGAGCCAATTCAACCTCTTTTCTTTATACATTACCCAGTCTCAGGTATTTATTTATGGCAGTCAGAGAATGGACTAATAAAATGCCCTTTTATGATCACTGCAAAGACAGAAAAAGAAGGAGAAATTATTTTGAAGAATAGACTTTAGAAAATAAATGAAGGTGTTTCCTTTCTTCTGTACTTGATTGAAAAAAAAAAATTTAGCATTTGAAATTTGTTACCTGTGGTTTTGAAGAATAAAATTCCCAAGCTTACTTATATGTTAGACTCGTGTTGGTCATCAAAACATGATCGGAGCTCCTAGTATTGGCGGTTGAAGGTATTAATAATATACGGCTGTCAAACAACCACCACCACCTCAGAACCGACATCTCAAAAGTGAAGCACCTTTGAAGCGGAGTGCGGGTTAGGATCTGCACTTGCCTCTTTGTGGCGTTGCAAGAAATGGTGCTGGGTTTCCCTGAATTTTAGATTTGAGAGGTCTTTCCAAGACACTTCTTGGTTACCTAGAGTCCAAGGGTTTCCTGAGGCCAAAGAAAGTCATTCTAGAAGACAGACTGTCAGCCAAAAGCATTAATTTTGCTTTCTCCCTTTGCTCCTGTTTGTGAAATATTTTCCAATTATTTTTCCATGTTCTTCTTAAGCAAGAAGTTCTTGGTGCTTTACTGCCTAGACTTTCAAAGTAAGGAGTTGAACCATTTGTTTCCGAAACAAAATGTTCACAGGACTCCCCCCACTGTATGGAAATCTACTTGCAAGAATAAAGTTTGAATCTTGCCTCAGGTTAAGGAACTCATTGGAATTTCTTGCAAGTGGTCCTGTCCAACCTGCACCATCACCCCTTCTAAGTTCACACCCTTCTCAGGTTCTGATTTGAAAGCACTTAATTAGAGGGCTGATTAGAACCTAATCAGGTTGCTAATGAAGTAGTTGACAGCCCAGATCAATTAAAAAAGGAAAAAGCATCCCTGGCCTTTTGTTTGCAGCTTCTACAGGAGATGACGTTCTCTTTTTAATTGCTTTGAAACAGGCTTTGCTGAACAAATCAGACTCTGTCATTCACGCTTGGCTCTCGGTCATGTTGCCTGCACCAGCAAGAGGCTGCACTGCAGCCAGAGGAAAGCTTTTGGACTTTGGAAAGCAAGGTTTTTCTTTTTCCTGTGCTTGATGCTTGTACATCTTACACTTCTAAGGGATTGCTCTGCCTACCTGTTCCCCCTCCTGAGCAACTGAGCTTCTGAGATAATCGCTATAAATCCCAACTAAGCCAAACTATTTAACCAGAACATCCCCATAGTATATATGTTTATCTCTCTGAGAAAGCAACAGTGAGAATGGAAACCAGACAAATATTTTATTAAATAATGCTTCTTCCCTTTTTGGTGCCAATCTGGATTCTGGACTCTAGACACAGATCCCTAGAGTTTGGATTATAATTTCTATAGAAGTAACAATAGTGGGTGTATTCTGACATCGTAGGCATTACTCAGTAGAAAATGAAATTGCTTTCTAGGTTTCATCATCACACAGTGTGTGAAGGTTATGTTGGAATCAGTAGGACACAAGGCCCTGGTGACAGGAACCAGACCACGGACTGAGGGAAAGAGGAGAATGGGAAGGGAGAGAGGTGGGGATCTGAGGGCAGCATTCGCTTACCGGTGCCAGGAAGAGCTATAGAAGTGGTTTAAAAAAATACTTTAAAGAATACAAATGGAGCACCTGTCGTGTGCTAGGCACCATGCTGAGCACGGGTTAGAGAGCAGTGAAGAACATGGCTCTTTGAAAGACAGACAACAAACTAATGATTGTAGATAAATAAGAGCATGCGCAGTGCTGCAGAGCATAAATCGTGAGCACTGGAGGCCTGACCTATACGGACGCAGCAGACTTCCCCGAGGAGTGTAGCGCAAGCTGAGAAGTGAAGGTCAAGTAAGAGATGGCTGGGCACGGGGCGGGGTTGGTGGGGGGAGGCGGGGGGTGCAGAGTGGAGTCCCCGCCAGCAGGAGTAGCACAGGGGCCTGCACAGGGAAGGGAGGCAGGGAAGCGGGGAGCAGGTATTGTGCTAGGAACTCGGCAAAGTCTCACATGCTGGAGGATTTCATGAGTTGGGGCTGGAGAGATGCCCAGTCATTTGTAGCCCTTTAAGCCTCTTGAAGGATTTTGGGCTGTAAAGGAATGGGAAGCCATTAAAAGGTTTTCAGGAGGGGATTCTTAGGATCAGATTTGTGTTCTTGAAATATCCCAGCAGCTGTGTGGAGAACAGATTAGGGGGAGTCCAGATGGGAGGTGAGGGATCATGGAGATTTTTGTAGTTGTCCAAGTGAAAGTGGCCTGAACTAGGGTGCTGATGGTGGGGATGGGGAGAGGCAGGCAGATCTGAGAGAGTGTTAGAGGACAGAATGACCAAGAACTGGTGGTTAATTGGATGTTGGGAGTGAGGAAGAGGAAGTAGTTAAGAGTGATTGCTAAAGATCTGGGTTGAGCAACTGGGTTATGGTGGGACCATTTGCGGAGAGTCGCAGTGGTGGGGAGAGAGTACAACTGGGGCTGCAGATGGGGCAGTTATGAGTTCAAGTCTTGGCTGTATTTAGTTTGAGGCATCAGGTGGTGATGTCATGGAGGGCAGTGGTGTGGGTGCATCTGGGACCTAGAGGAGCTGGAGAGGTGGGCATCCTTGCCAAACAGGTGAACTGTAAATCTGGAGCTCCATAAGATACCCCTGCGGGAGAGGGTAGCCTGAGAAGAAGCTCAAATGCAGGCCAGAGCCCTGAAGAATCCCAGCGTTTAATGGACTCTTAGAAGAGGGCAAATTGGGAATCAGCCAAGGAAACTAAGAAGCTGCCATCAGAAACAAGAGGAGAAAACTGGAGAGAACCTTTTTCATGATGCTTTTCATATTCAAGTTTCTGCGAGGAGATCATTGTGAATTGATAACCACTTCAGGCCTGAGAGCACTGATTTCCAAAAATGCTCCAGCAACGACATCCTCTTCTGTAGATGACAACTGGAAAGGCAGAAGGCTGGGACTGAAGGCCTGCTCACTTAGCCCTCCCCTCCTGCATGCACTCCACCTCGCCCCTCTGAACCCCAAGGCTGTGAGGAAGGATGTTGGGACAGCCCTGCCCTAGAGGATGACCTTGGCCTGGTGAGTTTAGGGCCACTCAGAGTAGAATGACCTTGGATTCTGTTCCTAGGCTGGGCACCACATTCCCCCATGAGCCAACCAAAGGCCTGGTTCCTTTGCACCTAGAGAGCTTACATCTCTGGATTGCTCCAGGTTAGGAAGTAGCAAGGAGCCCTTTACCAGACACCCCCTCTCCCTCCCCAGTGAATGCCTCATGACCCTTAGTAACCCAGCTTAGACATCATTTATTCATCATTTATTTCATGAGCCTTCCTAGGCCCCCAGTTCAGGGGCCTCCCCAGCCCTGCTTCTCCCTTCAAACAGCCTTGTTGCACTCATCGCACCGATGACTTGGGGTATTTCCTGACACACACTTCTCCCCTACTAGCCTGAGTTCTCAAGGGCAGGGACTAAATCTTTACATCTTCAAGCCAAGATCATGCCTGACACAGTGTGTGTCTTCAATACATATTTGCCAGAATAAATTAAAAATTACATTGAGTTAAATTTGGAAGGGACTTCAGCTAGTCCATAGCCCTTCCTTCTTTTGTATGTGAAGGTGAGGATAAGCCCCAGCTATAGCTGGCAGGCTCCTGATTTCCGGTCCAGTTTTCCTGGGATCCATTCTTCAGGGCTTAGAAGCCCAAAAGAAGAGTTAACAGCACTAAATAAATCTGTACATGTTGGAGAAAAAAAAAACCCCTAGTCTGCAAGCCGTAGGTGGCTCTCGCTGGTTTAAATGGTGCTATCTCAGTATCACCCACCAGGCCCACAGCATAAAGTGGCTTTCTTTGGAGTCACTTTTCATAAGTAGAAGTGTGACTGTCTCTCCTACTTGTCTTCACCACCTGTCATGGCCTTGGTTCCTTCACCGATTCGCTGTCACTTCTAATTCTTACCTTCAAAAAAGGCTCACTTCTCACATTTTCTGGTGGAAACGCTTTGTTTGTTTGTTTTTAATCTCCTCTTGCAGGATTTGCCCAGGGATGATTCCAATGTAAAGGCTCTGGGGCTTTCTCTGTGTGGAGAAGGGTTAGGAAATTCCTCTAGGGAAAAGGTAAAATTGGCCTCTCTTCCTTGGAGACAGAATAACGGTTCTGTTTTTTGTTTTTTTTTTTCTTGAAGAGTTGAAGAGGGGCTCTAAAGAGCCATCCTTGAGTATAAATGCCACAAGCACTTGTCTTCTGCCATCAGTGGTAGCAGGGCTGTGACCCTTGATATAGGAGGAATCAGCTGAAGGGCTGAGAGGCCGGCTATTCTCTTCTGCCGCCCATTTGTCCTGTTCCAGGACCATTTATTTGTTTCCCTTTAGATCTCCTCTTCACAATCCACGCTGCCTTCCAGCTACTGGGCAAGAATTTTTGTCAGCCTACCAATTTTGTTGAGGAAGTAGAGAAGGCAGAGGAAGAACCCAGGTCTTGATCCTGTGTTCAAACCCCAGCTCTGCCCAGTGTGCAATCTGTCTCTCTCTCTCTTTTTTTTTTTGAGACAAAGTCTCGCTCTTGTCCCCCAGGCTGGAGTGTGATGGCACAATCTCGGCTCACTGCAACCTCTGACTCCCGGATTCAAGTGATTCTCCTGCCTCGGCCCCCCGAGTAGCTGGGATTACAGGCGCCTGCCACCATGCCCGGCTAATTTTTGTATTTTTAGTAGAGACGGGGTTTTACCATGTTGGCCAAGCTGGTCTCGAACTCCTGACCTCAGGTGATCCACCCGACTCGGCCTCCCAAAGTGCTGGGATTACAGGCGTGAGCCGCCGCACCCGGCCGCAACCTCTCTTAGCCTCTGTGAGCCTCAGTTCCCTCCTCTGTAAAATGAGACTAACGATGCCTCCCTAGCAGGGCAGTTGTGAGGCTTGGTGAAAATGTATATAAGGCCCCCGGCAGAGTGCCTGGCCCATGAAGCCACCTAATAAATATTTAGTGTTAATAAGCCCAAGTTTTTAGGTGAGATCATTACAATTTCACTTGCTTTAATCCTGGCTGTGCATCCAAAATGGTATGATTGATCGGTCTCTCCGCAGTTTTCATGGCGTGTCTAGTGCAATAAATGGTTTGCTGCCTTAATGATTGTTGTTGTCAGTATCACTATTGTGATGCCTATTGATGGGATGGTCTCTTTTAAAGATAGATTCTTGGGTGATAAGTAGTTACCTGTAGCCGAATGCATACAAAGAATGAAACCTGGGTTGTTTTATGTCTTTTGTCTGTTTTATGTTTGAAAAATATGAATTAATCTGTCAAAATAAAAAGAGAAAATGTTTAACCAACATTTTTAACCAGCCAAGCCACATTTTAACCAAACACCACGTTTAACCAACTAAATGGGGGCACTTGGACTAATTGGGTCTGAATTCTGTGGCGACTCAGGGTATCCTTGGCAACTGTTTAGGAGAGAGCTGAGCTTCCCAAAGCTCTGCTTTCAGATGGAGGACGCAGAAAGGTTAGACTTTGAAAGCTCTTTTTGTCTGTCAGCCAATGTCTGCAGGCAATCTGTGCTTTTAGAGAGCCTGTCAAATTACAAGGAAGGTGTGGGTGGCCAGATTATTGCCCTTGAATAGAAATATTATACTTTTTCAACGAACGCTGGTCTTGATTAAATAGCTCTCTGGTTAAGAGGCAGCATAGAAAAGTATCTTAACCCTAGTTTAAGAACAATCTTAAGGGTTGCTGTTTCTTTGTATCTTTTCTACCGCAAGCTGTTGCTTTGCTATTTATAGGCCCTCCCTGTAAAAGCTCTGCTGCTTGAATTGGGCCATTAGTAATATTGACTACGATGACTGGATTCTCTTTACCTTTTTTGCAGAATTGAGTATTTGCTGGAGACTATTTTAGTACAACCTAGTTACACATCAAAGTATAGCCTAAGGAAATAATTAGAAACACCAAAAAAGCTAAAGAAATTCTCAGGATTACTCCTACTAGGAAAACTTTGGAAACACCCAAAATGTCCAGCAACGAGGACTTGTTGAGGAGATCAGAGTACACCATAAGATAGGAGTTTTATATAGCCATTACAATTTTCATGTAAGAGCGTTTTTTTGTTTTGTTTTGTTTTGCTTTTTTTTTTCTTTTTTGAGACAGAGTCTTGCTCTTGGCACCCAGGCTGGAGTGCAGTGGCACAATCTCGGCTCACTGCAACCTCTGCCTCATGGGTTCAGGCAATTCTCCTGCCTCAGCCTCCCAAGTTCAAGTGATTCTCCTGCCTCAGCCTCCCGAGTAGCTGGGATTACAGGCACCTGCCACCACACCCAGCTAATTTTTGTATTTTTAGTAGAGACCGGGTTTCATCATGTTGGACAGGCTGGTCTTGAACTCCTGACCTCAGGTGATCCACCCGCCTCAGCCTCCCAAAGTGTTGGGATTACAGGCATGAACTGCCGCACCCGGTCTATGAGTAGTTTTTAATGGCAACTGTTTATGATGCAATGTTAAAGTAAGACACAAAATTGTATGTTGCACCTGATCTTGACTTAAATCAATAAAGATATACAGATGAAAAGACTGTAAGGAAGTGTACTAAGCTGATAATTATACCAAAGTTGTCACTTGGGCACAGGACTGTAAACGATTTTTCTTGTATTTTTTATTTTTTCCCATATTTTCTAATTTTTCACTATAAACATAAATTACTCTAATTTAGGTTAAAGTGTTATTCAACAAATGCAAAGACAAAATCTTGTAGTTTCAGGGAAGTAATGGTGGTGGAACCTTTAAATTAGAAATTGGTAGTGAGGGGCAGCTGTTGGATATTAATGTTTAGCACTTATATAACAGTTTGCAAGAGGTTTTTAAGGTGTTTGATAGCACCTGAGCTCATTTGCATACCCTCCCTCTGTGGTAGGCAGCAGGGATTGTAATGATTTTATGGATGAAAGAAAGGCCGAGTGTGGTGGCTCATGCCTATAATCCCAGCACTTTGGGAGGACGAGGCAGGTTGATTGCTTGGGCCCAAGAGTTCGAGACAAGCCTAGGCAATATGGCAAAACTCTGTCTCTACTAGAAATACAAAAATTAGCCAGGTGTGGTGGCGTGTACCTGTAGTCCCAGCTACTTGGGAGGCTGAGGTGGGAGGATCACTTGAGCCCAGGAAGCAGAGGTTACAGTGAGCAGAGATCACGCAACTGCACTCCAGCCTGAGTGATAGAGCAAGACTTGGTCTCAAAAACAAACAAAGCATAGAACAAGCACTGCAGTTTCCTCCCATGAAATCTTTAAGCTGTGAAAGCAGGGCCTACATGAAGACATGGTGCCACCATCCCTTATTCACAGAAGCATAGATGATTGATTAGGATTGGCAGGGACCTTAAAAATGATGTGTAGTCCACTACCTCACCAAGAGGAAACTGAGGCAAAACAGTGAGTTAGCCTAGTATTTGAGAAGATAACTCCCATGCCTTGTTATTTAGGATGAAGGATGTTCTAGAGGAGCTTTTTGGTTTAATAGATAGCATGATTCCTGCTGAAGACCTCAATGAAAAGTGGGGGAACCCTGAATTTTTACAGATTAGACTGGGGACAGGGTAGACAGAAAGAATATTGGCAGCCAGAGACTCTCATGCTTCCTGAATTCCCTGACTGATCAGTGCATCTGATGCTCTCCTTGGCCCCTTGTATTATAACAGCCAGACTATCCTAGCCCTCTTCTGTGAGACCTCTCCCTTACCCGCTTCCAGCTTCTGCTTCCTGGGTTTCCACGCCTCTTAGTGTCTCTAGCATACTAGCCCATCTATGATCACTTTCACATTTAGGTTTCAGGGTATACTCCCCTCAAGGTGGTACAAGAATTCTAAGCTTCACTCCCTCCCATTTCTCTGATGTTGTTTGTCAAGGTGGTCACAATCCAGATTCAGAGGAGCCAAATACTCATATTCTCCAACAGTTACCATCACTGATTTATTTTTTTAACCAGTGCTTAACTGAGGATTAATTTTTTTTCCATAGCACCCAAGAGTTTGCAGGGATTCAAGAAAAGGCAAGTATGAATGTGATGATGCTACTTTTAGAGTGAAACAGATAGCTGGATTTGTTTTTTGTTTTAGAAATGGCACCTTGCTTTGTTGCCCAGGCTGGAGTGCAGTGGTGTGTTCACATCTCATCACAACCTCAAACTCCTGGGCTCAAGTTATCCTCCCACCTCAGCCTCCCAAGTAGCTGGGACTGCAGGCACACACAAACATGCCCAGCTAATTTGTTTTACTTTTTTGTAGAGATGGAGTCTCACTATGTTATCCAGGCTTGTCTTGAACTCCTGGCCTCAAGTGATCCTCCCACCTTAGCCTCCAAAAGTGCTGGGACTGCACCTGGCCCATAGCTGAGTTTGAATGGAGGTGCTCCCTTTGGCTAGTTAAACCTTTGCTTCTTTAAGTGTGAAAAGAAGGTAATAAGAATCACATAGACTGGGAACAGTGGCTCACACCTGTGATCTGAGCACTTTGGGAGGCTGAGGAGAGGATGGCTTGAGCCCAGGAGTTTGAGACCAGCCTGGGCAACATAGCAAGACTCCATCTCCACAAATAAAATAAAATAGTAAGAATATTGGCCAGGCATGGTGGCACACACCTGTAGTCCCACCTACTCAGGAGGCTGAGGTGGGAGGGGATTACTTGAGCCCAGGAGTTTGGGGCTGCAGGGAGCTGTGATCATGCCACTGCACTACAGCTTGCATGGCAGAGCCAGACCTTGCCTCAAAAAAAAAAAAAAAAAAAAAGAACATAATAGCAGTGGGCCAGGAGAGAAAGATAGGACATGCTACCTCAGCTCCACTACATACAGATAGGTGAACAAGAAACTACAGGAGAGAGAACTTCTAAAGGGCTAAACAGAGACACCCAGAGGACACCCAGAGGAGTGCAGAAAGGGCAATTTTTATCCAATGTCTGTGCTAGTCAGGGCTAAGGTATACTATGCTGCAGAAACAAATAAGTCTGGAAACATCAGGAGCTTAGTACAGCAAAAACTGATTTTTTGCTCAAGCAAAATCTGATGTGCATCACCAGGGCCCTGCCCCATCTGGGGACCCCGGGATGCAGTTATCTTCCATCTGGTGTTGCCACCAACAGGCAGCTTCTAGGGTCACTGAGGCAGGGAAGAGAGCACTAAAAAGGCCATACACTGGCTGTTAAACGTTGTGTCCAGACATGACACATGTCACCTCCACTGATATTTTGTTGACTAAAACTAGCCACATGGCTTTGCCTAACTCCTAGAAGATTGGAAGTTTAGAAGAGCACATGGGCTACGGGTGACCATTAAAAGTCTCTGCCACTGTACTAATGTTAATTGAGCCCTCCCTATGTGCCAGGCACTGTTCTCAACACTGTATATGGCTGATCTCATTTAATCCTTAACCTTATGAGGTAGTTACTAATATCTGTATTATATTGTACAGATAATGCACTGAGACCCAGAGAGTTTAGGTAACTTGCTGGTGTCTCATAGCTAGTAGGTAGTGGGGTCAGGATCAAAGCCAAATAGACTTTAGGGCCTGAGTTCTTAACCTCTGCACCTGCTCCCTCTCTAATGCCATCTCTCCTGGAGGGATTTCTGTAAAATTATAGGCAATGTAAATAAAGCACCTCATATGCAGTGTCTGACATGTAATAGTTCCTCACATATGGCAACTGTTTCTATTATTATTGTTGTCGTTATTGGCTACCTAAGTCCCTTCTGACTCAAGGCAGGGTATAAATAGATGACTATGTGATAAAGCTTCATTAAAATGTACCTCTTTTGTCCTGGAATCTGGGGTTGCATGGAATGTTTTCATATAACATTGCAGAGAAGTATCAAGTAAATGCCATCACCGGGAAGGATTTTAGCAAGTCGTGCACATGCTGACCCGGTAATGGCATGAAAGCAAAGTCTGCATTTTAATTACCGCCCCACCATGTCTCGTTACTGGTATCTGCAAGGCTTCTCTGAGCAAAATTGAAGGATACAATAGTCGTTTATTTTGTATTTGTTTTCATTAAACATTACCACTGATCTTGACTTGTTCTGTAGGTACTTAAAACACAAATACTGTGTTGTAAAGTGATTTCTGAACCTCTTTGTGTAGCAAAAAATATATCTGGTCTTGAAGTGACTCCCCTGTCTCCTTAATTGACATCACTCCTGCTTCTTCTCAGGAAGGCTCAGCACCTAGAGCCTGCCTGATGTGTGGGCGGGTGAGCAGGTAGCACTACCCTGGAAAAAGGAGCTGTTCTGGATTCTCTAGATTTTCATAGACCAGTGAAGGATATCATTGAGTTTGTGGAAGGACTGGGGCAGTTAATGGTGTGCATAAACCTGTGTGATTGTGGTGGTTGGTGCCATAGCTTCTTGCCAGGTAGGAGCTGGAAGGCGAAGTCTTAGTACTTGAGAGATATTTCTCCTTCTTCTTTAACATTGGGATTTGGGGGATGGTTCCTTCTTCTTTCTTACCTTCTTTCAAGGAGCGTGATTTCTGCTATAGGCTGTAGCCCATCGTTTCTGACAAAACAAGATGCACTCCTAGGGGTCTCTCATGGGGTAAATTCCGGAGTGGACAGTGCTGTGCTTAGCAGTGGGACAGGAGAGAAAGATAGGAGATGCTACCCCAGCTCCACCACACACAGACAGATGAACGAGAAACGACGGGAGAGAGAACTTCTAAAGTGCTAAACAGAGACACTCAGAGGAATGCAGAGGGGGCAATTTTTATCCAATCTCTGTTTCCATTGCCCAAGTGTCAATACGTAATCCAAAGATCCTTCAGAAGAACATTCACTTAAAAGCCAAAATGATATTGGAGGATCTAGCTGAGGGTGGCCGAATCACATATGTGGATGCCTCTTTTATTCTGTTCAGAACCCACAGGTATTACTGTGTCTGAGAACTAAGTAGGTCACGTTAGGTAATGAAATTCCCCAGTATCATTTTGGCTTTTAACTGGACATCCTTCTGAAGGATCTTGGAATTAGGTATTGACACTTTGGCATTGGCAACATACTGGATAAAAATTTGGCAAGTCTTTAAAAAGAAGTATTCTGTAAAATAACATATACTCTATGATTACAACTATATAAAAATACCTATATATGTGGCCAGCCTCCAGACAGAACTATACATAGTGAAGGAAGTTATTTTATAGTGGTGAGATTATACAAGAATTTTTTATAAATGTTTTTGATATTGTATTGCCCCCATTTTAATGAAGGAAGAACAAATTATTATTCTGTTATAGCCAAAATATGACATTTTAACAAATCAATGGGAAAAGCATCAATGGTGAAGTTCAGAGAGAGAATCTTTAAAATAACTAAAAAAATAGTCACATTTGCAAGGAAACGCTGACCTTTGGGCAGAGAACTTGAAAGGGGGAAAATTTTAGGGAAATACAGGAGGTTTTTTAGAAGTCAATAGATCCTAATCATTAGGGATTTGCTATTGATATTTTTCAAACATCAGAGCAAAGCCAAGAGCATTCTAAATTTTTTTTTTTTTGAGATGGAGTTCCGCTCTTGTTGCCCAGGCTGGAGTGCAATGGCGCTATCTCGGCTCATCACAACCTCCGCCTCCCAGGTTCAAGCAATTCTCTCTTGCCTTAGCCTCCTGAGTAGCTGGGATTATAAGCCACCACCACGCCCGACTAATTTTTTTTGTATTTTTAGTAGAGACAGGGTTTCTCCATGTTGGTCAGGCTGGTCTTGAACTCCCTAGTTCCGCCTGCCTCAGCCTCCCAAAGTGCTGGGATTACAGGCGTGAGCCACCACGCCCAGCCAAACATTCTAAATTTAAGAAGAAAAAAATTATCCATAATCACAGAAATGCCACAAACCAAACCATCTTTCTGTTTGTTCCTTATACTCTAGCATTTGCCCATCTATATCCAAACATTTCACGTAGCTTTAGATGCCTTTTATTCAGTTCCCCCCACCCTTGGCCCTGCGCTACAGAAGACATAAATATTTTCACCCGATACTTTATTAATTTAAGTATTCAAAAAAGCATTACTGATTACATTTTAAAACACTGTTATTCTTGAACATTTGTTGACTTGAACTATCTAACCTTCTCTAAAAAAAAATTATTAAGATGATAGCTTGAAAGAGATGTCAGGCTTGTCATCTTCCACTTGAACAGAGATGAGGAAAGGTGATGGGCACAGTGACCTGGACGCCACCCCTCTGGGATGCCTTGGCCAGACTCTGCAGCGGAGGGCACTGGCCCTAAAGTCCCTTCTAATGCTTCAAGCATTTGGTTCTACATTCTAGAATTTTTAGAGGCTGACATTCTCGAAAGGTGAGCTGCAGATGAAGAAAGACCCAGCACATAGCCTGCGCCAGAATCCTCTGGTGGCCTGAGTTGGGGAAACGGGGTGCCCGTACGGGGTTCAGAGCCCAGGAACCTGCCTTCAGGAACCTGCCTGGCCTGTCCAATCCGAAGCTTTGCCCTTTTAAAACCAAATTGCTCTCTGCAGTTTAAGCTCCTGGCCATTTCCTGTTTTGCCCTGATTCAACCTGCAGAGCCGGATTGCACCCTCTTGGCCGGGTCCTGGGAGAGCAGCCGCCTCCGGCGCCTCCGCTGTGCTCGGCCAAGTGGAACCCCTGAACAAATGCCCTCGGGAGCGCTCCCGGCCTGGCCGGCTGCAGTTGGAGACACAGCGCCATCTAGTGGAAGAGAGAAAAAAGCCCCAGTTGCTTTTTTTTTTTTTTTTTTTTTTAAATTAGTGGAGAAACCTTGAAATGGACTGAGAATCAACCTTTCTCGTTTGATACCAAAGGAGCTTGAGGCCAAAGCAAATCCAGAGAAGGAAATGGATTTCCTGAGTGTCACACAGCCAGCCAGTGGCAGCTTTGACGCTACAGAACCTCATCATTTGAGGCGCAGTTCAGCAGTCTTGGCACCATGCCACGGTGAGGAAACCAGAAGGTGAAAAAGCTAATTTCGGTTGAGTGGCATTTCAGAGCTCTGCTGAGGTGGAGGTGAACATATGCTGGGGGCTGATGTCGAAAGAGAAGTTGTCAGTTATTTACTGTTCTACAGAATGCCTTGGCTGGACTCTCGGTGATGGGTGCAGGGCTAGGGAAAATTCAGTTATCTGCCCTGCCCCTTACACTCCAATCGGCCCTGAAACTCACACAGGATAAGATCATGTAAATTACACTGGGTTAGGGAGCAGGAGGGGCCACAGAGGGTCACTCGTGCCCTGAAGGTGGAGAAGGGAACGAGAGTTTACGGAATGTTGGCCCCAAAATTTCTTATCCCCTTTTCCCTGATAAGGAAAAATTTGAGCCTCTGATCTCAGTTCTACCTCCTTCTCCTGCTTCTTAGAAACTCCTGCAACTCTGGGTTTCTGGTCTTGAGATCCCAGACAAGGGGTGGGGCCAGCACCCTTGTTTTCTGCTCTCTGGAGACTGCCGTGACCTGGATGAAACAGGACTGCCGTGAGGAACTGCGCAGTACTTGGACTTTTCAGCCAATCTACAGCTAAAAGGCACATCCACGCAGTAGACTGTTGCCCACGATTGTGGAGGGGGAAATGCTAGCTGCATTATTCAGTGTCAGTTTCAGGGGTGGAGGGAAAGGTTAAAACCAATGCCTAACTTCATTCCTTCAAAAGAAAATCCTAAATGTTGACTTGAAACATATGGCTATGCTTTGGGATAAATCGTAGTCTAGTTTCTCATGGCTATCCTAAAACAGCAAAAGGATCTCTCGGCTGCATTCTCTTCCTTCAGAGCCTGGGCCCTTCCCTTAACTCCTAGGCCATCATCCCAGCAGGAAGGACCAAGCCCATCTTGCCTTAAACCGAAGGTTGCTGGCAGAGTTTCAGGCTGTATACGTGAGTATGAAGGGTGCGCAGTTAACCTTTAAACTCAATGCTTTGATTTCATTTTTTAAGAGGTTGATTTGAGTAAGGGAAACTTTGAATGCCCTTTTCTCTTCTAGCCTAGGGAATCTGACTCAGGGACCTTTGTGGACTGGAATGTCCTGAACTGGCCAAGACTTGACAAACCCTCGGGTGCCTGAGTCACAGTGCAGCATCACATGGCCTGGTTTGCCCCAGGTTTGCCCCAAGCTGCCCCTACACAGAGAGCTGGCCCCTCTCCAGGGCCTGCTCCACCTGGTTCTATCCCCTCTCCAGGGTCACTGTCCTGCCCTCCAAAATGCTTCTCCTCCAACGCACTTGGTTACAACTGGGCTTTGTTTCAGTGCCCGGGAGCCTGTTGAGATGTAGACTCATAGACAGTTCAGTTTTCCAAGCCAACACATCCTGGAAAAGGAGTTGTAAAGAATATCTTCATGATGCAGACCATATTTTCCCACAGAAACACCGTCATAACTGGGGTGTGCTCCTGACCAGAGACCTGGCTCCAAATGCATCCTGGTGATATCCCCAGCATAGTCTAAAAGCTAACGTATCCCGGAAGCTCTGCGATCATTTATCAGAAGAACTCTCAGACAAGCCTTTCGTCCTTGACACTGGCAAGGCCCTCAGCGCGTGACTCAGTGTCCTGCACTGAGCCTGTCCCTCCCCAACCACACATGCCGGATCCCCTTTCCCTCCTCCCCTGGCCTTGATCTTGAGGCTGTTAGCCTGCTAGTTGTTCTGCATTGGCTGGTTCTTCTCTTTTCCTCTCTGAATTCCTTTCACTAAAAGACTTTGGAACAATTCATAATTTCATACGCCTTCCCATCCCTGCAACTCCCACATGACAGAATCCACCCTGTGATGAGCCTCAGACTGTCATAACAGCAACCCTCCACAGATGACTAAGCCTAAGGGAACCCCCATGTAACACAGGTCAGAGCCCTCACACAGCCTGAAGATACCTCAAATCCTCTACGCCTTAAGGTGAAAGGGTAGCTAAGTAGGACATTTCTTTTCCCAAAAGATGTTTGTTGAGTTCTTTCCATGTGTCAGTACTTTCCAAGGCTCTCTCAGGAGACAGATACGAATAAAACGGACAGGCCAGCTGTGGTAGCTCTCACCTGTAATCCCAGCACTTTGGGAGGTCAAGGCGGGAGGATCACTTGAGCTTAGGAGTTCGAGACCAGCCTGGGCAACATAGGGAGACCCATTTCTACTAAAAAAAAAAAAAAATTAGCCAGGCATGGTGGTGTGCACCTATAGTCCCAGCTACTCAGGAGGCTGAGGTGGGAGGATCCCTTGAGCCCAGGAGGTTGAGGCTACAATAAGCCATTATCACACCACTGCACTCCAGCTGAGTGACCGAGTGAGACCCTGTCTCAAAAAACAAACAAAAAAACAGATGAAAAAGTTTTGCTTATATGGAGCTCTAGAGGGGAAGGTATAAATGGCATTTGTCCAATGAGCAGAAAGGCTTGGGAGTCGGGAAGTCTGAGGAGCTAGTCTAGATGCCTCCACTCAGAGTGGAGGCTAAGTCACTCCCTCTCTGATCCAGTCTCCTCATCTGGAGAATGAAAAGATCGGACTTGGTCACAGGGAAGGGCTCTCAACTGTGACCCGCCGAGGGCGCTTCGATTCGTGACCCTATAGACTCTTTGGCTTGTACTAGATAGACTCTTAGGCTTCTCAGCCAAGAGACTAGAGCTCCCCTGCCTCTCCTTCAGTGGAACATTTGAGCCAGCTCCCCTCTCTGCCCCCACAATTCTTTTCCGCTTTGCTCATTCTTTGGCCTTAAGAAAGAAAGAAGAGAGAACACATCTCCTTCACGTTCACCTGCCTGCCTTCCCCTCTTATTTCCTTTGTACCCCCACCTTCTCCATTTTTATGTGGTCACAAACATTTTTCAAGGACAGTTTTAAGTGACCCCCTTCTTCGAAGATGGCTTTTGTGGGTGGAATGCCTCTTTGGGGTCACTGTGATGCCTTTGGGGTATCTGTCCCCTTAAGCATGCCCAAGGAAGCAGTGGATAGATCCCAGGGAGGCATTCAGTACAGTTGGTGCAACAGAACCACTGGAAAGCAATTAACAGGCTGAACACCAGAGTAAGGACAGTGGCCAAAGAACAGGCACCCTGTGGTAAACAATTACCAGTGTGGGTAGGAACGGCAATGTAGGTCAGCTCTCAGCCAGGAAATCGTTTCACGAGTGCAAAATGCGAATCCTTCTGGAAGTGGGATTTAGGGAAAGAGTTGTTTTGTTTTCTGTGTTTGGGAGGATGACCACCTGGTCACTCTGCACCTCCCCTTGGTTTCTAAGACAGCTGGTCTTGGCATCCACTTCCCTCCAAAAGAAAGTGGCTCAGAGGCCTTTCTAACTTTGACCTTCTGTCTCATGATCATGATGGACGAGGCCAGTTCCTGCTTTACGGACCAGGTCTGGGCTCCAGATAGTGTGCAGGCATTGTATGTCCACGTTTTGGGAGGACTGGATATTTTTTGGCATGGAAGTATTCGATTCTTTCTTGCTTTTTTATGTTTTGAGAACACACAACTTTCAGCATCTAGAGTACTTGTAAAGATTTGACGTTTTACATGAGTGTCTAGGGAACCTGAAATTAAGGTCAATGTCCAGGCTTTAAGGACTGTTCTGGAAGGGATTTGGTCAGCAGAAACAGGGGACTGGGGTTCAGATCTGGTCTAGAGGCTCAGGTCCATATGAGCCACTGTGACATTTAACCTCCTAACTTGGCGTGGGCACAGGCTCTTTGAGTTTACAAAGTGTTTCCGTGTTTCTTCTCTCTCTGTTCCTCAGAACAGTTTTGGAAAGCAGGCAGGGCAGGTGTTAACATCTTTGCATGTCAGATAAGGTTCAGAAAGGCTAAAGCTTTTTAAAAAAAAAGTAGAGATGAGGTCTTGCTATGTTGCCCAGGCTGGTCTTGAACTCCTGGCCTAGAGCAATCCTCCCGCCTAGGCCTCCCAAAGTGCTGGGATAACAGGCGTGAGCCACCCCTGGCCAAGAAAGGCTAAAGCTTTTACATGACAGTCAAGACTGGAGTAAGATCTCCTAGTATGGAGGCCAGGAGTCTTTACCCCAGACAGTAGTGTAATTAGGAGCTCTTCTGAGAGAACCCTGCTCAGACAGGGCAGTTGTACTAGTGAAAACATATTTCCGGTATCTAGCTGTTAACTTTATTCTAGGAAATACTTGGATTTAACAATAACTCAAGGGAGGTTGGGCCCACCACATTGCTTGCTATCAGCATGCGGCCCACTGGATACCACCTTCCATAGAAGGCCCAAGCCACAGAACCCTGACAGGCATTTTCCTGGGTGGTTCCTGATTCTGCTTCAAGAAGACCAGAGGAGAAACTGCATCTTCTAAATATCTGTGGCTCCCTAGGGAAGCGAGAGTTGCCATTTCAAAGGGCTTCAGAGGCTCTGCTCTCTGATCTCTGACCTCACTCCAGTGCATCTTTCCCCTGAGGCTTCATTCCCTGCTGGCATACTTTGACCTCTGGATTATGGGGGAGTACTGACTGAACCCCAAGATCTTCACCTTCTCAGGAACTGCATGGGACATCTCTTTGACATACGGCCCTAATGATGGCGGAACTTTCTGCTAGCCTTTTCTTTTCTTTTGGATGCGGGGTCTCACTCTGTCACCTAGGCTGGAGTGCAGTGAGGCAATCATGGTTCACTGCAGCCTTGAGTTCCCAAGCTCAAGCGATCCTTCCGCCTCAGCCTCTTGAGTAGCTGGGACTACAGTGTGCGCTATCACACCTGGTTAATTTTTTTTAATCTTTTTGTAGAGACAGAGTCCCACTGTGTTGCCCAGGCTGGTTTGCTGGCCTTTTCATAAAAGAACAAAGAACTGTCATCCTTAACTTAGCAATGTAAACCTCCATCCATGAAAAGCACCTGCTGACAGCTAGTCATTTTAAGAAATATAGCATTTCTTAAAATGGTACATGAGAAAGTTTGCAGAAGCAATTGTCTAGAACCCTTCTGGTCTTGCTTCACACTGCCAGCTGAGTTATCTTCCTAAGTGAATCACAGTAGAATCCTGCTTTGACGCATTTCTAACCAGTTGGACCAGCTGCAGCTCACACTGCCCTCAACTCCCCAAATAGCATTCCATGCAGTAAATAGTAGGTTGGTCCAAAAGTAATCGTGGTTTTTGCCATTACTTTTAAATGGCAAAAACCGCGATTACTTTTGCACCAACCTGATACTTGGCATGAAACAGCTTCCAAGGCACTCTCTAGAGCCTCATTATAGAGGGGTAAATGTTAGGGGCAAAGGAATTCATTGTGTGCCCGTAGGAGTTTAATGTCTTTTTTTTAAGCCAGGAATTGAGAAGTGTAACTAATGAGCACGCCGTGAAAGCCACAGACCACCTCATTAAATGTCAGAGCCATTTCCCAGCTTGGGGAGAAATGAACATCCTCAAAGAAAACTCACCTCATCAATTAATGAAGATTTTTTTTAATGTGGTAAATATTCAACAGACGTTTCTAATAGACGAAGAGCATTCACCAGAGGACTTAAAGAAGAAAAGCCCCAGATTTCTGGTGGGATGTGGAGGGAGGAGGGTGGTGGAGAAGGAAGAGGCTTCTCACCTTCTTGACGAAGCATCTGGTCAAGAAGCAGCTGGTTTGTGATTTCAGGGTTCAGATGATTTTCAGTGGCTCTCCCTTCCTTTCAAGGACCCTTCTGTCATTGTAGGTATTGCTTACTCTTCTAGAGCCACCATTAGGATTGTTGTGTGGTTAAAAGAGAGAATCCAGGCCGGGCACGGTGGCTTAAGCCTGGAATCTCAGCACTTTGGGAGGCTGAGGCGGGCAAATCGCTTGAGGTCAGGAGTTCCGAGACCAGCCTGGCCAACATGGTGAAACCCCATCTCTACTTAAAAAAAAAAAAAAAAAAAATTAGCCGGGCATGGTGGCCTATGCCTGTAATCCCAGCTACTCAGGAGACTGAGGCAGGAGAATTGCTTGAACCCAGGAGGCAGAGGTTGCAATGAGCTGAAATCACACCACTGCACTCTAGCCTGAGTGGCGGAGCAAGATTCCATCTCAAAAAAAAAAAAGAAAGAAAAAAAGAGAGAGAGAATCCACCAGGTACAGTGGTGCACACCTGTAGTCCCGGCTACTTTGGAGGTTGAGAGGCAGGAGGATTACTTGGGCCCAGGAGTTTGAGGCTGCGGTGAGCTATGGTCTTGCCACTGCACTCCAGCCTGGGTAGCATAGCAAGACCTTATCTCAAAAACAACAAAAAAAGTTTTTTTTAAAATGTAATATGTGTAGAGCTTCACCTACCCTTTACTGAACAGCATGTGTTGTTCCTACTTGTTAAACACTATAAACAGCAATTCTTAGGTTCCACCGTGAGGATGAGACAAACTTAAGGCTGCCTACGTCTGTTTAAAGCAAAAGAAAAACAGAATTCATTAAAAAAACATTTAAAAAAGCTAGGCACAGTAGTGCATGCCTGTAATCCCAGCTACCTGGGAGGCGAAGGTGGGAGGACCCCTTGAGCCCAGGAGTTCAAGGCCAGCCTGGTCAACATAGCGAGACCCTGTCTCAAACAAAACAAAACAAAACAAAACAAAAATCACAACAAAAGAGAATCCACAAAAAGCTTATGCTTCAGTGCCTGACACATAGCAAGCGTTTGGGGGTATTTGCTGCCTTATGTTATTTAAAATATCATTATTGGGGGAGGACAGTGTCCCTTTGTGTGAAAGGGGAAATAGAGGCAGAAGTCAAGGAGAACTGGTGGCCTTGGCCACTGCAGAAGGTCCCATCTCTTCTTGGGCGTACCTGTCACAGGCCAGTGACAATGACAGTGTTGGAGGAAGTGTTGGAAGAAGCCCAGACTGCATGTCCATGGGCACTGGTCAGGCACCAACAGCAGCCCTCCAGGGTATGTTGGCGGTCTGGGTTATGTGAAGAGAGCAGTGGGGTTGCAAATACAAAGCCTCCAGAGCCTTATTCAAGAGCCTTATTCATTGCCTGGTGCCCTGCAGCAAGGCCCTGCTTACACTGCACCAGCCTCAGCATAGGCCTCCAAACGGACCTCCATGCCTCCAGTCAGTCTCACCCTCGCCTCCCCTGCATGCAGCCGCCAGAGAGGCCCTTCTAAGATGAGCTTCTGACTTGGGTCCTGATACAGCCCTGGGTTAAAATCGCCACTGGCTCTCCTTTGCCTAGGTCAAATCCACACACCCTGGTGTGGTCTTCAGGGCCCTTTGCAATCCCCTTGCCTAACTATCTCTCTGGAAGCATTGGCACTAGCCACTCTGAACTCGCCATGTGCTGGGAGGGCAGGCCCTTTCTCATTCCAAGCTCAGGACATGCCCTTTCTCCTGCCTGGAAGGCCCTTCCCTACCCCCTTCTCTGCCTGGCAAGCTCCTGTTTCACCAGTCAAGACTCAGAGGCAGGGTGGCTTGTCTGTGTGGCCTTTGCTGACTTCTTCCAGCAAGGGCCTTCCTGTGGCTACCTGGTAGGGCACCCTCACACACCAGCTAAAACTCTTGTGCCTCCCTTATAGACGATGACCTCTTCCAGGGCAGGTCTGAGCTCCCGAGGCCTCGCCTAGAACCTGATGTATAGGAGACATTAGGTGTTTGTTGAATGCAGTGCCCTCTGTATGCAATGCCAGAGTTTACAGCAATTTTCGAAAAGTCTGACTTGATGGGTAAGATGCAGTGCTTCAATCGAGTAAAGGAATTTCTTTTTTTTTTTTTTTTGAGACGGAGTCTCACCGTGCCGCCCAGGCTGGAGTGCAGTGGCGCGATCTCGGCTCACTGCAAGCTCTGCCTCCCAGGTTCACGCCATTCTCCTGCCTCTGCCTCCCGAGTAGCTGGGACCACAGGTGCCCGCCACCACACCTAGCTTATTTTTTGTATTTTTAGTAGAGACGGGGTTTCACCATGTTAGCCAAGAGGGTCTCGATCTCCTGCCCTCGTGATCCACCCTCCTCGGCCTGCCAAAGTGCTGGGATTACAAGTGTGAGCCACCGCGCCTGGCCGAGTAAAGGAATTTCTTTTTTGTCTGTAGCCGAAGAAATAAAAACCAGTCTGATGGGCAGGAGGTAGGGGTTGGGGAGTTTCTCTTCTCCATCTTCTGTTGCCTCCTCAGACTCAGTTGCACCCCAGCTCTGAAAGGGACCCCGGGGAATGTCTGCTATGGTTACTTTCCATCTCTGCCTTCGCACACTGTTTTGTTAAGGAACTTTCTGCTCACCAATATGTTTCCTGCTATTCGAGAGGCAGCCGCCCTTGCCAACCCCACTGCCACTTTCTGCATGAGGCTTGGGTATTGCAGAACAACGTAGCCTGGCCTTGGAAAACACTCTTTGGGACTTGCCATCTGTGGTCTCTTTCAGCCTCCTTCAAAGGCACACTGTGAACATTTATACCAGAAATTTGTCCTAGACATAAAAATTGTGTCATTGATGATTAAAGGATGGTAAACACCATTTAATCACCTCCTCATTTTTGTAATAACAAAATGCCAAAGCACTGGGGCCTGGACTTGAAATGTCCTCTGAACTCTGTAGCAAGGGCTCTCATCTTGGGTTGGGGGGATCAAAGTATTTCAAAACCACCTGCCAGTTTTTCTTGCATAGATGGGCTGGCTGATCCTGGTGCCCATTCCCTCCTGCCCCCCAGATTCGAAATGCCCCTCCTTTGCCTCCTTTGTCCTACCGCTGTCACCAAGCAGGACTTCACCATTAGAGACACTGGGTCTGAATCCCAGCCCTCTGTTCAGTGGCTGCGCCACCATGGCCAAGTTGCTCTTCCTCTCTGAGTCCCATTTCCTCCTCTGTAGAATGGAGGTAAGACGTTTGTCTCAGGGGAACACCCTGAAGATCAAATGAGAGTCTGTGAAGTTCTTAGTAGACACCAAAAACAAGTTCATTCCATTCTCCTCATCCCTTCTTTGTTTTAGCTAGAAATTCCCCCCAGGTTCCACCGAAGAAACGGCACCCCAGGTGGCCACATAGGAAGTTCTCTGGGCACTTTCACTGTCTGGACAGTGCAGCTTCGGCACAGAAAGAATGAGGCCTTGGGCAAAACATAGGCCATCTTCCTCTTCTTTCTACTGCCTGGGAAAAGCTCTACACACAGACCAGGCACTTCATGGCAAGGGGTTCCACAGATTTGAACGCATGTCTGGGCCAGCAGAGGTGGGGAGCATTGTGGTGCATTTCCATGGGGGGCAGTGAAAGGCAGTAAGCTCTCTAGGAGGTATGCCAGGTAGTGCTGTAGAGTGACCAAATGGCCTGGCTGTGAGAGAGAGACCAAGAAGAAGCACCTGGGGAGAGGGTGAAAGCTGACCGATGAGGCAGGGCCATAGCAGGGCTATGGTGGCAGTGGACAGAGAGCCCTTGGTGGCCCACCAGCCATTTGACTCCCTGCTCAGGACTACTCCTCTTACTTTAAGGTTGCATTTGAGCACACTGCAAGCATGTCCACCCATGTTCTTGACCTCACTGTTTTTAAAATGGAGACAAGTCCCTACCTTACAAAGTGGTTGGCAACGATGGTGACAATGATGCTGTCCAGGTGCCGTTTTGGATGCTGAGAGCTTCATGTGTATCCACACATTTAATTCCTACAACCCTGGGAGGTAAGTACACTAACAACCTGTGTTTTCAACACTGGGAACTAAGGCACAGAGAGGCTAACTAACTGCCCAAGGTGGCCTGATGGGTAGGTGGGAGACCTGGAATTGAGCCCTGGTGATCTGGACCCGCGGAGCTTGCACTTCACCACCCATGATGCTACAGAAAGAGCTCTTTTTGCCTTTGCAACTTAAATGACTTTTTGTGGCTCAGGTTGTCCTCCAGTAGTTGAGGTAAGGTCAGCAGCACTGGCTTAGAGAAGATACATCTAGGAATCTGAAGATTCCTCTTCCTCTTAGATAATGCACCTTTAGGTTGCCATTTTCCAAAGGCCCCGAAACAATGCACAAGGGGTGTGCTCTAGAGTTCATGGGATGCTCATTTATTATTCAATATGTGCTTACCAGCCAGGCACTGGGTGCCTGGGGCACAGACAGGCAAGGCCCCTGCTTTCATGAACCTTATATTGGGATTGGGGAAACAGCTGATAAATAAAAAAGCCAACAAATAAGATAATTACAGGTAATCATAAAAAAATGAAGAAAAGCAAAGGCAGGTTAATGGGGTACAGACTGAACAGTAGTTGGAGAAGGGGAAGGAGAATGGGGAAATGACACGCTGGTACAGCAGGCAGATTGTTCTGTAGGAATTTTGAACTCAACATTCCCTAATTCTGTGATCTCCTTCAGGCAGAAAATGTCATTTGACTTGTACAGCAACCTCTACACACACCCACTTGCCCAACCACCCTATCCTGACGTAAGGTGTGTCAGTTTAGGCACAGGCTAAGCATTAAATAAGGGAAGATGTTCTCCAAATGCCAGAGCTTCTGGAGCTCAGCTAGGCTGTCAGCCTCCTTGTTCACCTGGCGCCCGGTGTAAATGCTTCAGAAACAGTCCCCTGCAGGCTGGCTACTGGCTGGGTCAGAGGGCTCGATAGCAATTGTTGAATCTCAGATCTGAGCGTTTTGCAGAAAGAAGCCTGTTTGCACTCACAACTTTGCAGTAGCACCTGCTTTTAGCAAAATCTCCAGTTACAAGCCATGAAGACCCCAACCCTAGTGGGCTGTGGAGTTATAGAACTGAGAGGGTCCTGAGAGGTCACCCAGCCTCTGTCTCCAGACAGGGAATGTATAAGCCATCCTGGGCCCAGGGCTCCATTCCTCTTCTTGGATAGACCCAAGGACAAGAGCTCATAGTCGTCTGGGCCTGGGCAGCATGCACTTCACCACCCATCGTGCTACAGGAGGAGCTCTTTTTGCCTTTGCAACTTAAATGACTTTCTGTGGCTCAGGTTGTCCTCTGGTAGTTGAGGTTAAGTCAGCAGCACTGGCTTAGAGAAGATACATCTAGGAATCTGGAGATTCCTCTTCCTCTTAGATAATGTACCTTTAGGTTGCATTCCAAGGGCCCCGAACCAATGCACGAGGGGTGTGCTCAAGGCTGGGAGCTCCTGGAGGGCAGTGGGCATCTCTTTCTTTTTGTATCCCCAGTGCTTGGCACAAAGCAAGTGCTCAGCAAGTGTCTGTGGAGCAAACAAAGAGAGAAATGACAATAGAAGATGGGTAGTTGCTAAAATAAAAATGAGCGTTTGTACCTATTTTTACAGGTGTCAAAGCGTTCTCCATGCACATTATTTCGAAATTTATTCCCAAAATAAATATTTCCCGAAATGTATTCACCCAATGTCCTCAGGGTTACAGCTCTGCCTTGGATCTAGACTCGGAACTCAGGCCACGGTGTTTTCCTTCAGAAGTGTGGTCCCTGAAAGGGACTCCAGCAGGGGCCATTTGAGTATTTGATTGCTTATGCAACACTGTCTCACTTGTAGGCTGGGCTTCCGTTCTTGTGAAAATGTGAACTATTTAGAAAACAGGAACCTACCTGTCTTCATGGTCTCTTGCTGCAAAGAATATATTATCTGGATTAAGGTAATGAGAAACCTGCTCTGAAATATGTGGATGAGGACCAAAGCAGATGGGCTGAATTAATCTGTGTTTGCCAGCTCTACATAGAGCGCTGCAAGGAACTTTGGAAACCATGCCAGGCTCTTTGGGGATGGCATCATTGTGAGACCCATCACTGTGAACTGGCTGAAGGGCTTGGGTGACTCAGATGACCTAAGTTAGTTTTGTGCCTATGATGCTGAATTGCTTTTTGTTTTTTAAAGCAGGATCTTTAAGTTTCATTTCTGAGAGGTTGACACCTATTAAGTACAGTGCCCACTGCTAGGCACCAAGAGGCACAACGATGAATTAGCCACAAGCTGATCTTGCAGAGCCTTAAAGCCTTGTGGAAGAGGCCAGATGTGCACTGGTTCTTTCCTACTCAGCCCTTCGACCCTCAGCTCCTATGTTACTTTCCAGAGGCCTCCCCCATCCTCAGTCTGTGATTCCATAATACCCTTGAATTGATTCATCATTCCACATTCACTGAGCAACTGCCCTGTGCCAGGCACTGTTTTAGGCACTGGGGGTGCATCAGTGAAGAAAATTGACAATTGTGCTAATCTCGTGATAGATACGATAGCTTTCTGTGTACCTCTCTGCCTCCCTGCACTGGGCTGGGAGCTCCTGGAGGGCAGTGCGCACATCTTTCTTTTTGTATCCCCAGTGCTTTGCATAAAGCAGGTGCTCAGCAAGTGTCTGTGGAGCAAATAAAGAGAGAAATGACCACAATAGAAGATGGGTAGTTGCTAAAATAAAAATGAGCATTTGTACCTATTTTTACAGGTGTCAAAGCATTCTCCATGCACGTTATTTCATCCGACTCTTCACAACAACCCCTCACGGAGCACTTGTTTCCATTTGTGGGTGGGAAGATGGAGGCTTGGAGAAACAATGACCTACCCAGACGAAGAGCATGGGACACTCGATTCCAAACCCTCTGCTCTTTCTACGCCACATCGGAGTGTTTTATAAAATGATTTGAGGGAGATAATGAGCTGGAGAAACTCAAGAGAGGGAGAGGTCTCTTCTGGCCAAGGCTTCAGGGAAATCAGGGCTGAAGCTGACACGGAAAGGTGGCCTCCTGAGAAGTGGTGCTGGGGTCGGGGAAGAGGAAGCCTGAGCAAAGATATGAGAACAGGACAGCCCTGGAGAGTCACAGACCATAGGTGTTGGAAGGGACCTTGAAATGACCTCATCCAGCCCAGAAGTTCTTAGCCCAGCTGAGCCTTAGCATTCCCTGGGGAGTTTCTAAAAGAGTAGTTCCCAGAATCCAGCTCCAGAGACATTAATTCAGTTGATCTGGGGCAGAACTTTTTTAAAAGTTCCAGAGTCTTTTGGATGTGGAGTCCCCCTTTTAAAAATCCATTATTCTATTTTTGCCCATTGGACAGTCTTAGAATTCAAAAGCCATTTGGGAGGCGTTTCTGGCTACACTGAGTGGGGGTTACCCATCCCAATCTGTAGAAAGCGTACTGTCTGGGATTTGCTGGTGACTTTCTGCATTTCCCCTAATGCTTGCAGCCTGGCCTTTGTCTGCCAGCCACACCCCCGTTTACACACTGGTCTTGCAGCTCCTTTGCCTGAATGTGAAGGGACAGCCTCTTGGGTGGACTGTGAATGTACATGTCAATTTCTCTCTTGAGCAGGTGCCTGTGACTCACACCTTGGACTTCTTGGAGGATGGGACTGAGGACTCTAGACAGGTTGATGCCAGATGCCTTGGCTGGCAGGCCTGGTGGGGAATGATATGAGCAGGGTAGTGTAGCCTGAACAGGCAAGACCAAGTGCAAGAGCATTTTCAGTAAGACCCACGAATGTCTCCTCAATGGCAGTGGGGACAAACGCTCTCTGCAGAGTGAACTGATTTCCTGTGCTCCCAGGCTGGCCTTTGCCTCAACCTGCCTCTCACACCTCCTCCACACTCTTTTTTTTTTTTTAAAGTCCAAATTAAAAGGCATTAGAAAACAATGGCTTGGTAGCCCTGGTCCTCAGACTGAATGCTAACGGCTCTGACCAGGCTGCTGCGAAGTCAAGCAATCAGACATCCTTCCAGAGACTGTTTATTGTAGATAAAAAGGACTATCTCCTGCCACTGTTGTGCTAGTCAATATCTCACTTGACTATGGACAAGTGAGATAAAAGGCTAGTATTGTTCTTACCATATATGCCCGTTTGAAATTCACATGGCTCTTCCCACTAGATTGGAAGTTCCTCGAGAGCAGAGACCAGTCTGGTTCACGGTCATGGTCATGTCCCATGTCTGTTGCATGTACATATTCTGTTTGTTGGCTCAACGAAAAGATACGTATTTAAATAAGATTTGATTCATTAAAATCTTGCATGCGTTTTCAAGACCATGTTCAAGACCATACATATTTTGAGAGGTGTAATGCTTCATGTAAATATGAATAGTAAGAACAAAGACATTTCTCTCTCAGCCCCCAGCAGTCCTACTTTCCTTGGCTTTAATTGGAATAGAGTGTCTGGATTATGACAACAATGTAACTGTGCCTTCATGTTTTCATTTTAGTATTAAAAGTGTGTTGGGAGGCATGGGAAATGTTAATACTTAACAGTAATCAGCAGCATGGAAAGTTTTTGAAGTTTAGTTTCCATTTTCAATCAACAAAATTAGGGAAAATTTTAAAAAGCAGTAACCACAAAACTGAAGATGCTACAATGAAGTTGTTACGTGCTTTGCTATATAATGCATTGAAAAGTAAAAGCAAAATCCATAAAAATTTTCATGTAATTTGACCTACCAATCCTATTCCTGGACATTTGTCCTAAAGAAGTAATTCAAAAGATGCAAAAGCTACCTAAATGAAGATTTCAGCATAGACTTCTATAGCAAAAAAAAAAAAGAAAAATTGGAAACACATAGATTTTCCTTCCATAAAGGGAAAGTAGTTTAATAAATTATGGTACATCAACATGTTGAAGTATTACTCAGTCTTAAAATAATTATGAAGGCTGTAGATATTTGGAGAAAGAATATTTAACTGTGTTTGCTAAGATTACAAATGTTAAAAATATGCATGTGTGCCTACTGGCAAGAAAGTAATGTGCAACATAAATTTAGTCATTAAGAATGAAAAAAAATATATGCAAAATATTAACAACAGTTATCTCTGACCAAAAGGATTATGGATGATTTTTATTTTCCTCTTTAATCTTCTCTATATTTCCCAAGTTTTCCATTTTTCAAAAAAAGCATGTGCTTTTGTTTTTGGGGAAGAATATAATGACTTCTATAAGAATGAGCCTTTTGTGCCTGGAAAAATAATGTATAATGATGATGTACATTATGGGTTAGCATTTACTTCAATGCTACTTTTACAATAAAATTATCACTTTTTAAAAAAATAAATAGGTTCTATACCCAGAAGCTGTCCACTTCTCATGACACCTGTGGGGACCACTCTGGTCATCATCTGTCACTTAGATTATGCTAATAGCTTCTACTTGGTCTTCTGTCTTCTGCCTTTGCCTAATCTCAACTCGGCAGCCAAGAGCGGATTTGAAGACATCCATCGGGCACCACTCCTCTGCTCAGCTGCCTGCAGTGGCTCTGCATCTGACCCAGAGTGACACTGTGTGTCTCCTGCCCCCATCTCTGACTGCCCCACCCACCTGGCTCCAGCCACACCCATTGCTGGTCCTTCCCCTAACAGGCTGGAAGTGCTCTCTTCTGAGGACCTTTGCACCCCCTCTTCCAGGAGCCCTCTTCCCCCACCTATCTACAGACTGACAACCTTGTTTGCTTCTGATTCTTCACTTGGGTGTTCCTTGACCATCCGTGTCAGACCTCATCCTCTGCCAATTCCCTGCCCCGCCCATGCTCTCCAGATCCCCACAGCCTGCTCTTCTTTCTTTCTTTCTTTCCTTTCTTTCCTTCCTTCCTTCCCGTTTTTTTTTTTTTTTTTTTTTTTTTTTTTTTTGAGACGGAGTCTCGGTCTGTTGCCCAGGCTGGAGTGCAGTGGCGCGATCTCGGCTCAATGCAACCTCCACCTCCCAGGTTCAAGCGATTCTCCTGCCTCAGCCTCCTGAGTAGCTGAGATTACAGGCACATGCCACCACGCCCGGCTAATTTTTGTATTTTTAGTTGAGATGGGGTTTCACCATGTTGGTCGGGCTGGTCTCGTGTACCTCCCTCCTTGGACTCCCAAAGTGCTGGGATTACAGGCCTGAGCCACCGCGCCCGGCCTCTACTTTCTCTTTTCCATGGCATGTATCCTCTTCTACCATTCTACATTAATTATGTATATTCACTTTCTGTCTCCTCCCGTTAGTATGTGGGAGGAGGGAGTTTTGGCCTGTTCACTGATGAGCCTGATATGTGCCTGCCATCTAGGTGCTTAATATATATTTGTTGGATAAATTTGTTACAGATGATTTGAATCAGGTGACAGCCTGCTGGGAACTCCATTAAGAAGAAAAAGAGCACTGGGCGCAATGGCTCGAGCCTGTAATCCTAGCACTTTGGGAGGCTGAGGTGGGCTGACTGCCTGAGCTCAGGAGTTTGAGACCACCCTGAACAACATGGTGAGACCCCATCTCTACTAAAATACAAAAAATTAACTGTGCATGGTGGTGCGCAGCTGTAGTCCCAGCTACTCGGGAGGCTGAGATGGGAGAATCACTTGCACCCGGGATGCTGAGGTTGCAGTGAGCCGAGATTGCGCCACTGCACTCCAGCCTGGGTGACAGAGTGAGACTCCATCTAAAAAAAAAAAAAAGAAGAAGAAGAAGGAAAAGAACGAGCTGAGGCCCAGGCCTCAGCTGGGGAAATCCTCTACAGAGTGGCCAAGAGTCCAGATCCAGAGTCTTCAGGACCTGGTATGCTTATGTCTGGTCTGGGCTGATGCAGGATCAGCCAGGGTTGTATGCAGGTGGTGGGGTGGGGGCAGCAAGTTTCCAGAGAATATGTCCCAGCTGGCAGGGTGGGCACCCCCGCCATTCTCCCAGGGTTTGTGTGCAGGTGGCTGGCCATTCTTGTTAACAGTGGCTAGAGCTAGAGCAGACCCAGGCTGTCTGCTGGAGGTGCTCACCAGCCAGAGTGGACCCATGACATCTACATCTCCTATCAAAGAGAACAAATGTCAGAGAGACGCAGCTCTTAGCCAGTCACAAAAGGGACCAAGGCCCCACTGCACAGATCCCCTCATATAAACACGAGGTGAGCATGAAAACTATGAAACTAGGAGCTTTATTAATTAAGCCCCAGAATGATGGCTTTGTTTGCCTTCCCAAGAAGAAATGCATCCCCAGTCAGCTGCTGGACTGGAATAAATGGAGGGAAGGGTGGCAAGAAAGGGAGGGATGAAGGACAGGAGATAGAGATAAACAGTGTATTTAACTAGAACAAGGATTTCTTATTAAGTAACCTTGGTCAGCAGTCATATCATACCCCTAGAGGTAGATGATACTTTTAACTTATATCTCAACATTAAGTGAAACAGTGACCTTAGTTTTATCTCTTAATTAAAACAATGAATAGCTTTGATTTTCTCTGTACACTTTGTCCAAAAACACTCGTGCATTTCCTTGATGGGAATGTTCCTGCTGGTCAGTGTCTTTCCCCTGCCTGCCATGTGCTTTGCTGCCGTGGTGGTTGTTTGCTTGTTTGTTTTTGCAGAAACAATCCACGTTGGCGATATTGGTCAAGCTAAGTCCACCTGGGTGAATCCCAACTTGTCAAACTATCCTTTTTTTTCTCCTTAAGAAAATGGATTATATGTCCAGAATCTGGCCACCTCTCATGACATCTCTGGCTACCACCCTGGCCCGAACCACCATCACCTCTCTCTGGTCACCTTCATACCTCCAGCACTCAAGTCTTCCATCTTCCACCCCAGCCCCTCAACACGGCAGCCAGAGGGCGCCTCTGAGCAGGACAGTCTGAATGAGGCTTGCTCAGTTTTACCCGTGGGCATTTGTCACCACAGTCGTTCAGTCTCTTGGGATAGGATTTAAGTGTGTCCAAAAATACCTCCAGAGATTTGTGCTTCCGCGTCGACTGTTAGGAGGGCTGCTGCTTCCTAAACTGTTTGAACATAAAGGCACACAGATGAACGTCAGAAAGGGCTGGGAGAAGCTTCCCTAATCAGGAAAGGAAAGTGGCACGCCACCCGTGTAGACAAAAAATAAAACACCTAATTTTAGTTTTATGAGTGTTGTGTGTTGGTAACTGAGTCACCAAAAGTCTGTTCTCCTTTGATTGCTAACTCCTCCGAAGCGACCTCAGGCCTTCCCTGTTATATGGTGGGGTTTGGTTGGTTCTGGTTTCTGGATGAGAGTCAATAGGCTCGTGAACTTTTAACTTTACTGTGGGGTGTTGCCTTAATGGACTGAGAAAACAGATGTTCCTGCTTAATTCTTGGAATGACTTCTAAACTAATGCTAAAGCAAAATAATATAGCTGTCTTCTTTATTCCGTTTAAAAGGTAGAAAAGTAGATCCTCTTACCATGTAAAAGTCTCTTTTATCCGAACTTATTATGAGGATTTTATTTTTAAAACTAAGTAAAGAGAAACATCTTTGTCCCAAGAGGCAGGGTGGCTTTATTTGACATTAGAAACCCATTTAAAACGGCAGGTAAGAGCATGAACAAAAGCAAAGTTTAGTTCCTCGAATGCCTGCTTTTGTAATGCAGGTGGATCTGGCTCTAGTCTTTAAGGTTATTAATTGGAATGAATGCCCCAAGGCTGCTCTTAGTTTCTCTGTGAAGCATTTTATATGGGAGCTCTGGGGTGACTCTGGGTCCACAGTCATGTTCACAAGCCATCTCTTCCGCAGGAGTGCCCTGCCTTGAAGGCTGTTGGCTGGGTCCCCAGATATTCTCAGGGCAAGATCTGTTGTGTTATAACCACCTGCCATCTGTTGGTGCAAATTTTCTGGATTCTAGATGATGAATCACTTACTTCTCCTGCTGTTCCTTCTGCTGCCAAGACTAATTTACCTATTGGACTTTATGAGGGAATATACTAGAGTAACCTATCATGAAGGTTTGTCCTATGCAAAGTTCCTACTCCATCACTAGAAAAGGTGGGCAAGAGCTTCCTTAGCATCTCCAGAGGGTGGGATGAAGAGCCAGCAGTAACAATGTGGGATCCTCACTTTGGGGTCCTTTGCAGATAAAGCTATAGCCACTGACTTCAGTAAGGTTTGAGTTGAGAGTCCAATGGTGGGTTCATGTTTTCTTGCCAACACTTTCTTTTCAGGACACCCATGCTTGTCTCAAAGTGTGGCACTGGGTAAGCCCTCAATGGCCATCGGTTAAATGAATAACTGAGGTCTATGACCCCAAACTGGGCAAGGCTGACCCACCCAAAGCCACCAAGAGGAGTGTGCTAGGCCGGTTGAGCCCATTTAGGACAGGGGGCCTCAGCTGCAATGCAACATGTGGAGCCATCAGGAACTCTGAATTCTGATTTAGTTTGTTCTTGCCAATCCCCAAAATCAGAGTACTTGGAATGATGTTTAGGAAAAATTCAGGTGACTCTTATCCAGACAAGCTAAGTGCTGTGACAGAAGCTGAGAGCAGGAGCCCCGTCGCTTCTGCAGTGGGCATCAGAAGTGTCCGGGGAGGAGGACTTGGTTCTAACAGTGGAACAAGTGCTTTCCCAATGAGAAAACTGAAGATCAGGCTAACACACCCCTCTGTCCAGTCGTGTGTGGGAGCTGAAGCCTTAGGTTAAAATACGAGATGCACTTCTCCACTGACTCAGTTTCACACAAGTTGGTTTTTATCGTATCATCTTTTGTCCAAAAAAAAAATGTTTATTATGATGGTTTGAGTCTAGCTTTATTCACATATCCTAAAATATCCTAAAATATTTCTATGCTTATGCCTTCCACTTTTTCCCAACCCCAAAATTCTAAGCTCACCAGCAGCAGCAAACCCTAAGCACAGAAGATTCTAACTCCTTCAAGCTTGCTCCATTTCACTCAAGTTTTCTAAAGCTTTCCTGTCTGGAGAAATTACCAAGTCCCAGGTGGGTGGGATTTTATTCTTACCACAGAGTAGGTGTGATTTTATGGGAGGCTCTTCCCCCAGCCTCCTAGATCAGACATAGAGTTATGTGCTCAAGTCCTGGTGGGAAGTGAAATTCCTGTACTTTTAGGTGCTGGGCTCAAATTCTGTCTGCTGTGGTCATTAACGGGAAGAGGTGGCCAGTTGTGTGGGCCTGCCTGAGGCACCACTGGCCCCAGCTGACCTTTCCAATCAAAGGAATGGCTGACCAAACCAGGATGGTATTAAGAAATTCTATAAAACATTCAGAAATAACCTATTCTAGAATGATCTGGGCAGTGTGGGATGCAGTTAGGACCAGACCAGCCTTCTTCTGAGCAAATGGCAGTGGTGCCCATCTCCACTAAGCCTCAACGTGCGAGAAAAAACACTCCCAACCATGCAGCTTATCTGAGCACAGGATGCGCTTGTTGCTGGGGTAGCCACATGTATATGCTTCTGGAACTCCTGATTCCTGCCTTCTCTCTGTATACCCAGGAGGCGGGAGCACACACCAGAACTCAGGACTTTGTGATGACCATGCTTTGGGGGAACAACATGCACAGAATGTCTGAGTGTTCCCTACTCTGAAGGATGATTTGGCCATAAAAGGGATCAGATGAGTCATGGAGTCTGGCTGAACTTGCAATAGAAGAGAACATTGGCAAACTGTCCACATCAGCACTTCGAAGTTGGAAACACAAGACCCCATGGTCTTCAAAGCAGCTCAGGCTAAGACAGGCTGATGTACTTCATGCCGGTCAACCAGATGCTCGGGCACATGGTCTCTCAGCACAGGCACAGCAAAGTAACACGAGACCAAGGCACCCCCCTCCTCCTCCAGAGGTTCTAAGTCAGAACAGGCACCTCTGTCACAGCTCCAAAGGACACACCATGTTTGAAGTGGGCAACGCACTGAAACTGGGGAATAAAACAATTGCTCCACCCCCAAATAAGCCAAGGAGGTTGTCAGTACAAACCTGTTTAAACTTATAGGTTTGTACATTTTAAAAACAAAAGATTCCATTACTGACAAAAGCAAAAGAAATCAGACTGCACTGGCTTTTCTCGGTTTTGGAAGAATTCAGCCCACAGAGTAGCTCCCAGAAGTTGTAAACCTAGTCAGTCTCTATTAAAAAGTAGCTACTGGGTAATCCATGCTCATGGAAGCAACTTACTTTCAAGCTTTAGGACTATTTTAGAAATGCTGATGTTTTGGGGAAGAAAACCCATTCTTCCCTTAGATGCCACCTCACACAAATAGTAAATCCCTAAGAAACTGACCATGCATGGTAAAGGGCTACTTCCAAAGATGGGGTCAACGGCCTGTTTCTTCAAAATACTCGCAAGAAACACAAATGCCAGTTAGATAGTTCCTACACTGTGGTTATTTACCAGACTAGAATCCTCTCTGGGAAGTGTTTAATCCTGCATCAAATACAGACAGGAAAGCATTGGCTTCGAGAGAATCACAGTTCACTGTAAAGGCAAGCCGGTGTTCGAAAAGGACCATTAATTCAGAAGGACCCAAAACTCTGGAAAGGAGAAGTCATGATCACTGCTGTTTCAGGAACAACCTTGGTAACTTGCCAGTTACGCTGGTGGTGGAGAGAATGGAACAGCTGGAAGGGAGACTTCTTAGCGCGCTCGGCATAGGCACAGACTTCACTGCTTCAGAGGACACGCAGTGCAGACGAGAGTCCCAAGCTTCCCAGCTGCACCAGGTCCACATGGCACTTGAAACAGGCTGCCTAAGAGGCCACAACGCCCAAGCATGCTCCTTTGCTCAGAGACCCAGGACCTCAGCTGGGTGGCTGTGGACTCAGGGCCACCCTTCCCCATCTTCCAGTGAGATGCCCAGCACAGACTTGTGGGGGATTCTGCACTCTTGCAGAGATTTGGTGAGGTCAGAAAATCGCCTCCTGGGCACCTCCATTGTTTCAATGCTGCAGTGTCGGTAGGAGGTTTTGTTTTTCTGTTCGGCCACAGCAACAATGGTTTGCAAATCATCTGTTGGCCGGAAATGGCGTACAAACCTTTGGCCTGTTGGTGATCTAACAGCAAGCAGCAACCTTGGTTCTTGGTCCGATGGTTCCTCCAGATTTCCAGCCCTGGAAGAGCCCTGTTTCTTGGTTCGGACGATGAATTTCCTCTCCACGGCACAAGCTCGAGCTCTGGAATCTTCTTCACTTGTCTTCATGGTGCCCGTCTCGTCTTGGTAAAGAGCCCGGATACTGCTCAGTTGCAGTGAGCTGGCCTTTTTGGCAACGGTTTCCACAGCCTCCTCCTCCAGGTTCTTTCTGTTGATGGAAGGAAGGACTGGATACTTATTGAGAGAAGAGGAAGCCCCAGTGGGTACTTGCTGCTGCAGCTCAGGGATCTCATCAGAAGCTCCCTGGTTTGGAGATTTGGGTGCACAGGCTCCTGGTTTTTGGCTGCTTGGCAACTCATAGGGAATGGCTGGAGGCGGAGATGGTATATGATGAGCGCACACCTCCACGCCCTGGGATTTCTGCAGACTCGGTCTTGTCCGTCCCTTGGCGGACTTGGGCCTTATCATGTGCATATTTAGTGAGTTTGGCTGCCAAATGAGGCTGTCAACTGCTGTGCTGACAACAGTGCTACACTCAGGTGGTGCTATATTCACAGGGGCTTCTGTGGCCATTGCTTCTCAAGACCCCTAAGGAAGCAGGAAAAAAACAGGAGTCCGTGGGTTAAACTTCCTGGGACTCCTAGATCCAAGCCATTCCCTCCCTGAGTGCCCAGAATAAGCACAAATTTCTGGCATCTAGTAAGGGGCACCAGCTGCAATTTATTCATTCAGGCATGCATTCATTTATTTTAGGCACTTGCGAGAGATCAGCAAACCGAAGTCCTTGCAATGTAAATTATTATAGTGAGGAAAGACAGGGGTTAAAACCCACAAGTAAATAGATATTTTCAAAGAGTAACAACCGCTATGAAGAAAATAAAAATTATTGCACCAGAGCGTGATTAAGGTGGGGGACTAATTCTTATTCTTTTAGGAGGGGGGAAGTTTCTGGTAAAAACCAGAAAACCTGCTGTGTTTCAGTAAAACTTCATTTTTGGACTCTGAAATTTGAATTTCAGATAATTTTCATGTGTCACAAAATACTCTCTTTTGATTCTTTTTCAATGATTTAAAAATGTGAAAGCTATTCTTAGTTCATGAGCCACACAAAATAGGTGACGGGCCGGATTTGGGCTGTGGGCCATCATTTGTTGGTCCCTGTCCTACAGCAACTCTGGGCGCATGCTAATTCTACAGATGTATGAGCCAGAAAGGTAGAGTGATTTCCCAATGGTCACACAGCCAGCTGGTGGCAGAGCTGGAGATAGGACCCAGGTCTTGTGACACCCGATCCTGTGTCCTCTGTACCCATACAAGCTGCTTCCTGAGCCCAGCACATCACATTCTGTATGTCTGCTAGCTGCTCACATTTCTTTTTTTCTTTTTCTTTTTTTCTTTTTCTTTTTTGAGACAGAGTCTCACTCCATCACTCAGGCTGCAATGCAGTGGCACCATCTCAGCTCATTGCAATCTCCGCCTCCCAGGTTCAAGCAATTCTTGTGCCTCAGCCTCCCGAGCTGTTCAGACTTCTGTCTTCCCAGCTACCCGATAGGCACCCTGGGGCCTCTGTATTTGGATCTCCCACCAAAAGTCTGTGTGAGTGCTGGTTAAATCCACCAGGAGCAATGAACTGAAGCATGGTGGGAGGCGTGAACATTTCTCTGTGCAGACCCGGAATTGCTAAACCATGACACCTCCTCTTTCATTGCCATCTTGGTGGCCACTTCACTAACACTACTACCAGCACCTCCTCCTCCCAATCTCCAGTTCCATCTTTCCCTAAACATTGCAGACATCTTATTGGGCTCCCTGCCTCCCTCTGAATCCTGACCACCACTGTGACTCCTGCCTTCTCTGCTTGAAAGCTGACCTGGCCTCTCCTAGCCTTCTAAAGACCTTCTGGTGACTTTCCAGTGATTCATGGTCCCCAAGAAACAGCATATTTGGGAGCAAAGGACAGAGGACCAGGTGTCACAAAGTGTGGGTTCAATTTCAGCTTCTCTGCCACTGGCTAGCTACCTGATCAAGGGGCAATCACTCTACCTTTCTGGCACAAAACTTTCCTCATCTATCAAATTAGCTAAATGATCTTAGAGGTATTACTTAAGTACCTCAGAACATCAGTCTTTTTGTCTGTAACATGAGGATAATAACATGAAATAATGTAGGTAAGGTGGGAAGCACCAGGCTTAGTGCATGGTAGAAACTTAATTAAATGTTAAGCGTTTTTTGTTGTCGTCGTTGTTTGCTTCGGGTTGTCTGTTTAGTGCTTCCTATGTGCTAAGTTCAAAAGCCTTCCTTGTTTTGCTCTAGAACTTTTCCCCGTGTGTCCTCGGTGATTCTACTCCTGGTTAACCAGCTGGGTGAGTCCTGAAACTCATGCCTGCCCTGTCCACTGCACAGAAATGCAGGGAGGTGGACTGCAATGAGCTACCACCTACGCAGTTGCCTCAAAACATGTGAAAATAAAATCCCGAGTTGATCACTTCTCTTCTAATTCCACATTTTACTTACCTCAGATTCACTTCCTGCAGAATGATTTGCACTTCCTGCAAATTCACTCCTTTCATCACAAAATCTTGAACAATGTAATCTGAGCCTCTCAGGGTTTGTATTCTAACCTCACCATTCTGCACATGTAACCACTGCTGCCTAATTTTAAGGAGTATCTGCTTCCTCTCCACTCAGACCAGGACCAAACGCAACACATTATCCCTATATCTTCCTGATGTCCTGCTCAATTCAAAATCTTGGACAAAGCTACCCTCTTTTAAAGGCCTCTATGTCTGCTGCATTCCACTCACAGCCTGAGTCTCTCTCCACTCCCATTTTCCACTTCTCCCTCGTCTTTCACACCCAGTCTGGCTGCTAGTAGCTCAGGAGCCTTCTCCTTAGCAAACTTTTGGCATCAAAAAAGACTGCCCATCTCCTTGTTAATTTCATCTATTTTCTGATCAACTGTGAAGAATGTGTTTTTCCCCCTTTAGTCTCCTTCTCAAGTCTTTCTCTGGCAATTAGCAGCTCTGCACTTTCACTCAGGATGGCAGGAGAAGGTCATAACTGTCCAACTGTTCTGCCAAAGATAAGCTCCACAGGCAAACCCACGCCCCTCTCGGCCCACCCTCCCCACTTGTGGAATGGCTATTAATTTGCCACAGCTTCTACAGAATTATCACAGGCTTGGCTTCCAACACCCACACATGCCTCAGGAAGGTTTAACTGTCAGTGAGTTTGGTAACTTAGAAACCTCTTCCTTAACAACTTTGATGAGGAGAGTCATGTGTTCTCACAGGCTCTCTGTGGGATTATTTTTAACAGTAAAACTTGAGTATGTGCATGCACTTTCTATACCTTTTGGTTCCATATAATTATCCATGTTCAGGGGGTGTCATATTCAAGACACCCTGGTCATAAGATAACATGACTGTGAGCTATCTCAGAGAAAAACCTCAATTATGACTAATTCCTAGGAGCCCACTCATGGTTATTTAGAGACTAACACCTCCTTCAGGTAAAACCATTATATCCAACCTGCTTTCATAACCCACTGCCTCCTCCCGAGCACAGGGACCATCTGTTACACGGAGGGAACACCAGCTCTCCCCAGCACCCATCACACAGGGATGGGCGGTGGGGGAAACAGGTGTTTGGGGATCTGGGCCAACTGTGCCTTTATATTCACACCTCAGGTCCTGAACTCTGCCCACCACCCTCAGTCCAGGATTGAGGCAGCAGCCATGATTCTCCCTGCTCAGTTCACTTCACCACCTCTAGGCCTGGCAGCCACTCAACCACAAACCGATTTGACAAGATCTAGGCGTAGGCATCTATCAAGCTGCCAAGCTGAATAGGCGAGTGGCCTGTTTACTTAAACACAATAGCTGCACCCCAGCGGCCTGCTAGGAGTCAGGAAGCAAACACTGCCAACTGTTTCCAAGAAGTTGCCAGAAGGGCAGGTGCCCATTCCTTAAGATTCACCACCAAATCAACTGGAAAGAAGGAAATGTGGATAGGAGAAGCTAAAGCAGGGCTCCTGCTTTCTAAGGGTGCCCACCACCCACCACAGGGTCAGACCACCCTATTTCACTCACAACCCAAATCTAAGCCTACAGTATATGCAGTAAAATATAACCACCTACATACCATCTGCTGGTATATACCAAGATACATACATTTGAATTGGTCTTTTAAAACTGTATCAGTTAATCCTATCCGTTGCCATCCCGCCCCCCCCAACCCACACCCCCACCAGGCTTTCAGGATAAAAATGCTCTGAAGAACCAACAGGAGATGGTGGTTGGCCTGAGAATGAAAAAACTCTGGTACCATTCCCAGTTCTACCCCAAACTAGGGATTAGAATACACTGTCCTATGCAGAGTGCCACACTGAACCACAAGCCACCAAGTGATCAAATGTTTGGATAGAGAACTGGGGATGATTCCAGCGTCAGAAGGGCAGGGAGGTGGTGGGGATAACTCAATTAAGTCCAAGTTCCAGCGCCCTAGAAGGCAACAGGCTTAAGAGGCAGAGGAGGGATCTGGGGGAGGGGCGAGAAAGAGCGTTTAGAAAGCGAGAATTGACTTCAGAGAAAGAGCACAGGACTGGGGGAGGGGCCCTCTGGTTCTCGTCTCTGCCCTGCCGGAGACTGGGACATCCTTTTCTCTCCCTGGGTCTGTGTCCCCGTCGCTACATCCCAGCCTGGAGGGCATGGCCCAGCGGTTGCATAGGTCCCTCGGTTTCTGCAGAGCCCGGGAGTCACCCTATTTTGGTAAAGGTGAGCTCTGGCCAGGCTTGCTTTGCCTCGGGAGCAGACTTTTCTCCAGGCTCCTCGCCTGTCTCCCGGGGTTTGCGTCCCCCGGGCTGGGTCTGGGGAGGCCCTCCCGGGTGATGTGCTGGGGTCTCGGGGACTGGCCTCCCCCGGCCCCTTCCAGGCCTGGCGGAGGCCAAGGGCAGGCCGCGGGATCGGGCAGCCGCTCTCACCTAGCCGTTCCGCTCCATCCGCCGCCTGCGCCCGGGCTCTGTCCTGCTGGTAAACAACCCTGGTCTCCCGGGCAACGCCGCAGGGTGGGGGGCCACGTGCTTCCGGCGTGACCGGAACCGGCCTGGGTCGGGTGGGGTCGGGTGGGGTCGGGTGGGGGCCGCTGGGCCAGGAGGGCGGAGGCCGTGAACTCCAGGTCGGTGGATTGCGAGCCTGGAGTGGATTGCCTGGCCTGGAGGCGACAGGGACCCGCGGCCTCCTTCTCTCCTCCTCTTCCTAGCGTCACCGCCTCTGTTTCTCTCTGGGGGAGAGTGTCTGGGAGAGGGAGAGCCCTGGCCGGGGCATGGAGGAGCGGGGAGCAGCACCACTAGTCTCAAAATCCGTTTCTCACCTTGGGTCAGGCCCTGACCCTCTCAGTGTCCCTGGTTTTAAAATGAGGCTGTGGGACTGATGGATTCTCGGAACCCTAAACTCTGAGTGGATGCTTCTAGGGTATCTGAGTTGCGGGGAGCAGGGCCCCCATCCTCAGTACAGCCCTTTCAGCGCCAGTTCCCTGACCTCTTTTCACATCAGCCTCCCACTCCGGGGCCACACTGGGAACCTTATCAACAGCATCTGCACCTCCTTTGATGTCCCCAGCCACAATCTCTTCCACTTCCAGCCACTTGAGTCACTTCCGCTGTATCTGTTTTTCACCATCTTTGGGTTTCCTGTCCATTGCTGTCTCCGCTTTCCCCCTCGATATCAATCTGCTTCTTCCCTATCCTGGCCCATTACCTCGGCATTCTCAAAAGGATCCTCCCTGCCCGAGTCCTACTCTCCTTCCATCTGATGAAACCTGAAGCCAAACCAGTCCACCTACACACGGGTATTGAAGAAGTCTTGGCCAGCCACACACCTTGGTGTAACAGAAACACGAGGTCTCTAACCTCAGTTAGACTCTCAGCCCTGCACTTCCATCCCCAACCGACCACTGGGTTCTCTCTCCCTCCTTTCTTCTTTTTCTTCCTTTTTTAAGGGGAGACAGGGTCTCGCCCCTTCACCCAGGCTGGAGTGCAGTGGTGCAATCACAGCTCACTGCAGCCTGGACCTCCCCAGCTCAGCCTCCCTTGTAGCTGGGACTACAGGCGTGCACCACCATGCTTGGCTAATTTTTATTATTTTTTGTAGAATGGGGTTCTGCCATGTTGCTGAGGGTGGTCTTGAAGTCTTGGGCTCAAGTGATCCTCCCGCCTCAGCCTCCCAAAGTGCTGAGATTACAGACATGAGCCACCTCGCCCAGCCTCTCCTTTCTTCTCAATGGCTATTTCAAAACGTTGTTTTGCTTGCGAAACCTCCCACCTCTCCCTCTCCCACCTCCCTCCCTCCTCCCTCTTAGAAGATACCTTTACTGCCCTCTTCAGAGAGAAAATAGAAGCCATCATATGGAAACTTCCTCAGCCTTCTGCCATCAGACCTGCAAACTTGCCTGCCTACACTTCCTTGCTTTCCTCCCTCCCTCCAGTTCTAATGTCTTCTGATTCTCTCCAAGGTGAATTGCTCCTCCATGGGTCGTGAAAGAAGATCATGTCAGTGGTGGTGTTTCTGCTCGTCTCAGAAGGGAAGTCTGTGACCCGTGGGAGTTGCTGGGGAGGGCCTGGTCTGGGCCAGGCCTCTTCTTTGGGTTGCCCCCTCACACACTCTGGTCATCCAGGAAGCCTCTGTGGCCCTCGGAATGTGTAAAAGATGGTGGTTTTAGGAGCTGCTGGTTTTGCAACTGAGTGCTGACGGCTTATTTCTTGTTAATGATTCTGTCAAAAGTGTCTTAGCGATGCTCTTCAGCCCTTCATCACCCACCCAAAAAAGATTAAAGTGGATTCTTCATCAGCTATTTTAAAATCACCTAAGAATTATACAATCCTTTGGAGAATCAAATTGGCTTCTCACCGTGTGTGTGTGTGTGTGTGTGTGTGTGTGTGCGTGTGCGCACGCACGCGCGCCTTTGCCAGTGCACAGTGAAATGGCGGTCTGTTTAATGTCAGCAGTACATGCAGTTAACGTCAGCAGTACCTGCCTTTTGCTCTCCAGTGTTGTGTAATGCCCAGCCCCAGGGGGAGGCAGGAGAGGAGGAAAGGAAGGCGCCAGTCCATTGCTGTGCCTCTGCTGCCTTTGTGCCCGACCTTCTATAAAGAGGATGTCTTCAAAGGACAGACCTGATAATGCCTGGTGTCTGGCACATACCCAGAGTGGATCTCAGTAAACATGGGCAGAGGTCATTGCCCTGCCAGCTGAAATGTGGACTCACCTTCCTTTCTAGCCATGTCCCAATCTACTCTCCAGCTCTCTCCCTGGGCTGCAGCCAGCTTGCTCCCCAGATGGGCCCCAGCTTTTTCATCTCCAGTGTCTTTGCCCATGCCTGCCCCACCCTGCTCTCTTCCTTGAAGTTAAGCCAAAATGACTGATCCTTCAAGGCCCATCTTAAAAGCCACCTCTTCCGTGAAGCCCTTTCCTGACCACAGCCTCCCCACAAAAGCTCATGTGCTCTCTCTGGTCGCCTTTGGTCCAGTGGAACATGCCCAAGATGGTGCTGTGCACCCTCCCTAGGTCGGCTCCCTTCATCTTCACAACGCTCCTTAATGGAGGCATCATAGCCCTCCTTTGCTTTAGAAAACAGTGGAGCCTCAGGGTTCCCCCTGGTGAAGGAGCAGCAGAGCAATTTTACAACCTGCATCCAGCAGTTTCCAAAGCCCACCCTGGACCCCAGAGTCCCACCCCCAAGCTCCTCACCTGCGTGTTCCCCCATGGCCCTTATCTGTGCTGTCCGTTGCACTGGTCGTGGGGACTGCAGGCATGGCCTCTGACGTCAAAGCTTGAGTATCAATCCTGGCTCCACCACTTGCCAGCTGAAGACGTTAGGTAAATGATTTACCTTCGCTGGATGTCAGTTTCCGCATCTCTAGAATGGTGATGATAAGCACAGGATTGTTGTGCGGCTGAAATGAGGTAACACACGTGCCAAGTGCTTAGTGAGGGCTACTAACTCTTGTTGCATCATCTTCACTTACAGTGTACATCTCCTTCAGTAGGTTATGAGCTCCTTGAAGGCAGGAACTTGCCTGTCTCGGAATCCCCTGCCTTGTCCACACAATGCTTACTTTGTGATACGTGCTCGGCAATGATGATGGTGGTGCTGATTCCAAGGCTAGCGTTTCCACTGAGCGATCCAGCAAGCTGCTAACTGGTATCCTCCCCAACCATATTTGGCTTGGGGTCCAAATGACCTCCCCAGGGGCTTGCTGAAGGCGGGGGCCCCGGTTTCTTAGCGGCTTGTCCCCACAGAGTGTTTGGCCCCATTTTGAATTAGTGATTTCTAGATTTCAGAGTCTATAGCCAGTGTCCTGCTCTGCCTGTCCTTGGTCTCATTAGACATGTGGATTGAGATCATGGATAACCTTTAAGCAGAAGGTGAACCAGGTGGATATTCTAGTAGCAAGGCCAAGAGGCTGGCAGTTAGTCATGGCTCCTGTGATCAGCTTCCTAAGGGGATCTGCAAGAGGGAAGTTTCTGGATGATGAAACTTAACCCTTGAAGTACAGACATGGGTCACTTAACCATGGGGATACATGCTGACAACTTCATTGCTAGGTGATTTTTTCATTGTGCAAACATTGTGGAGTGTGCTTACCCAAACCTAGATGGTCTAGCCTGCTACACACCTAGGTTATATGGTATAGCCTGTTGCTCCTAGGCCACAAACCTGTACAGCATGTTGCCGTTCTAAATACTGTAACACAATGGCAATTGTAACACAATAGTAAGTATTTGTGTATCCAAACAGATCTAAACATAGAAAAGGTACAATTTAAAATATGGTATAAAAGATAAAAAAAATGGTATGCCTATATAGCGCAGCTACCTTATAATCTTATGGGACCACCATCGTATGTGTGGTCTGTCATTGGACCAAAATGTCATTATATGGTGCATGACTGTACCACAGCTTTTTATTATTTTCCCCGTATTGTTGGAAAATATCCAAAAATGTATAGCCTGCTTTCCAGTCTTGTTAAGCAGAACACATCAAACACTGTAACTCACCTTGGCTACTGTTGACCAAGTATTTTCACCTTCAGGAGCTTGTGGAATCTTGCTGGCATTCTGTGGGGGGCCAGAATCATTGTCTCCACCTCTCTAGTGGAGGAAGGTGAGGCTCAGATTGTTTAAATCTGTCAGGAAGTGGCAGAACAACTCCAGCCCTCTTCTTTGACATAGGCCCCTGAGTTAGTTGCTCTCCACCCTTGCAGTCTCTTGCACAATGCTACCTTTCCTTGGCAACTCGCAGTCAATAATTGTGCTCCAGGTGCACTAGTTTGATGTGGATGGAGTCAGCTGCCCCAGCACACAGTGACCCAGGCTTCTAGGCTTCGTTGATTATCGCTTTAATCACCCCTTGCTTACCTTCCTATTAAGAGAAGCTGCTCTGACTCCATTCCTGTCCGGCTGCTGGGCCTGAGAAATGAAGCTGAGCAGCTTGTTAGAACTGCATCTAAAACAAGAGTCTAAGAGTGTTGTGATACCTGCTTCGCTGCTTGGGCTGTTTTGGGTTTTGCCTTCTCGGTGGTGTTTTGGATAGGCACGGAAGCAGGAGAGCTTTCAAGGATTAGGATTGCCAGCTATGGAGTCAGACGCACCTGGGGTTAAGTCTGGGACCTCTCAGTTTGCAGGGCAAATGACCTGACCTGTGCCAGCTTCAATTACCCTTACTGGTAAACTGGAATGAATCGTATATGCCTCATCGGGAGGATTCGGGAGGATTCAAGGAGAATCCTAATTCACATCCTGTGCTTAGCCTCCTGTTGGTACTCAAGGGGTTGCAGTTATTGTTTTTATTTCTGCAACTTGAAGTATGATAAGACTCTTAACACTCATTCACTCATTCATTCATGCCTCAAATATTTATTTACTGCCCATCTCTCCATGCCTAGTTTCCTTATCTGCAAAATGAGGGTAATAATGGCACTTATCTAGCTAGGGGATGTGAAGATTTAGTGAGTAAATATATGTAAAGTGCTCAGAACCCCTGCAAGGCATAAGTGTGATATATACGTTAGCCATCATCGTGGGTAGTATTAGTTTGTGCCAGGCACTGATAAGAAGGCACTAGGGATAAAGAGGTGAACAAAACAGACCTGACCTCTGTCCTTAATGAGCTTGCAGGCTCCATCCATCTTATTTTCTCTATGGGGAGGAAAGCCAACCAGTGTTTCATTACTGTTGATAAAAGCTGAATTGATGGGTCCAGGAAAGGACCCAGATGGTGGCGTCTAGGGACCCTGCAACTTACTGGCTGCTGCCCTAGGGGCTGGCGTGGGAGGCCATGCCATGCTTTCTACATTCTTGCCCCTCATCAAGCCTCGGGCCCTCGGGTCCTGTGCTCTTGCTTTAGCTTCAGCACAATCGTAGGCAGCCCCAAATGACTTGTCAAATGGAGAGAACCATGCCTGAGTCATAGCTGTGAAGGTCAGTGCATGAAAATGCCCTCAAACCTTCAAAATGCCACACGAACAAGAGGTCTAGGCAGGGAGACTGGCAAGGAGAAAGAGCACTGGACTTGGAGAAAGGGACCAGAGTTTAAGTCCTGGCCCACTTCATAGCTGTGTGGATTTTTTCAGGTTACTTCCGCTCTCTGAGACTTGGTCTCCTCCTCTGTCAAATGTGAATGTGATAGAACCTGCCTGGTAGGGTTGTAGTGAGGAGTAAACAGGAGCAGAGCATAAACTTAAGGGGAATTTAAGGCCTTCTCAAATACCACCTCTCCTGGGAAGATTTCTGTGACCTTCCCAAGAGAGTTCACTGCTCCTTCCTCTGAGCTCAGAGGCATTTATACAGTCACTGGAGCAGTGCTTATCATTCCACATGGATGCAGGCTGAGCTCCCTAGAAACAGACTCTGATGCAAAAAAAGTATGTTGCTGGGAGGCTCCAGGAGATACAGCTGTAGGGAAGTGAGCAAGGGAAGAATGGGGAGAGGGAGAAGCTGACATGCAAGGGAGAAGCTGACATAGAAAGAGAAGCTAACACACAAGGGAGAAGCTGGAACAGAGGGAGAAGCTGACACATAATGGAGAAGCTGGCACAGAGGGAGAAGCATACACACAAGGGAGAAGCTGACATAGAGGGAGAAGCTAACACACACACAGAGAGAAACTGACACACGAGGGAGAAGCTGACACAGAGGGAGAAGGTGACATACAAGGAAGGGAGAAGCTGACACAGAGGGAGAAGCTGACACACAGAAGCTGACATAGCAGAAGCTGACACACAAGGGAGAAGTTGACACAGAAGGAGAAGCTAACACACACACAGAGAAGCCAACATAGAGGGAGAAAGTGACACAGAGGGACAAGCTCACACACACACACACACACACACACACACACACTGACATAGAGGGAGAAGCTGACACACAAGGGAGAAGCTGACACACACAGAGAGAAACTGACATAGAGGGAGAAGCTGACACAGAGGGACAAGCTAACACACACACACACACAGAAACTGACACAGAGGGAGAAGCTGACACACACAGAGAAGCCAGCATAGAGGGAGAAGCTGACACAGAGGGACAAGCTAACACACACACACACACACACACAGAAACTGACATAGAGGGAGAAGCTGACACAAAAGGGAGAAGCTGACATGCAAGGGAGAAGCTGACACGGAGAAGCTGACACACACACAGAGAAGCTGACCTAGAGAGAGAAGCTGACACACAAGGGAGAAGTTGACACAGAGGTAGAAGCTGACACACACACGCACAGAGCCCAACATAAAGGGAGAAGCTGATACAGAGGAACAAGCTAGCACGCACGTGCGCGCGCACACACACACACAGAAACTGACATAGAGGGAGAAGCTGACACAGAAGAACAAGCTAACACACACACACACACACACACACAGAGAAACTGACATAGAGGGGAAGTTGACACACAGAGGCAGTTGCTGAGGCCACAGGGAGCTCTGGGGCTGGGACCGCCTTTCAGAGCTATCCTGAAAAAGGCAAGGGATGGCCCTTTAAACTATCACCCCAGCCAGGGATTGGCTAGAGACTCCTTCTCCTGTCTTCCCTGGGAGGGGCCATAACCTTGGGCCACGCGGTACCTGCAGCAGAGAGTGGTTCTCAGTGAGGGACAGCGTCAGCAGCAGCTGGTACCCCAGCCCTGAAGAGGGGGCCTGCCAGGACTGTGTGAAGCATTCGAGAACTAATGGAGAACCAAACAGAATTGCAGCCCACATGGGGCTTTGGGGCTATATTTGGTCTCTGTTTACCTATTTGGTCTCTCTAGCCAGCTTGGCAGCTTCCTTGGGTCAGAATGTTCTCATTAGAAGAGCTCATAGTTGGTGCTTAATAAGAGTCTATCGGATTTCATGACCAGTAATGCACCCAGGTCCCTTTCTTTGTTTCTCTAAAGTGTATCACCTGCTCATTCAAAAGAACTGAGCCCCTTTTTCGTGGGCTAAACTTGCACATGATTTTTTTTAGACTCAAAAGAGAAAAAGGAAGCAAGCCTGTAGAGACAGAACCTAATTAAAAAACATCCCGCACAGCAATTGAAGTGAAGGTTGGCTGGGACCAGGCCTGGTCAGGGCCCGACCTCGCAGCATCCACCAGAATGTTGCCAAAGGGGGAAGATAGCAAAGACACCCTGATTAACTCTCCCAGGGATCTGCAGCAGGATGGTCATTTTGAAGTTTTCCTTGGAAGCTTTGCCACCAGGTGTAAATCTAGCCCAAGCTCTGCACCTGCCAACTTCTCTAGGCTCAACCGAGCTATTGTTTCACACTCCAAGTCCTGACGTTACCAGATTTAGCCTGATTTATGATGGGGGCTATAAAGACCACTTGTATGTAAAGAAAGCCATTGGCTGATCCCTGGCAGCTCCATGGCAGGGCTGCAACCCACATTCTTCTCTACTGTTCTAATATGGGTATCATTACCCATACTAATCGGAATATGAATTCTGTGTCTACCTATGACTGCATTTGATAGTACAAAACAGTTTTACTTTCATTATTCCAGCAGGTCCCACAATGGGCCTGTGAAGTAGACAGCTATGTGATCATGAGGAATTTGTTCACCCTCTCTGGGTCTCGGTTTACCCAACTTCAAAATGATAATAGAACCTCAGAAGGAGTTGTAAGGGTCAAACCATGTAATACCTGTGAAGCCCTTAAAATAAAGGCTTGAAATTATTGACAGGAATTTCTAGTCTCACTCTGCAAGAGAAGAAACCAAGGTGCAGAGAGGTAAAGTTGATGAATATGATGCCTGGGTATCAAGGAAGGAAGGCACTGTGGGACTAGATGCAAACCAAGCTAGGAATTCCTGTGTGGGATTTCTATTATGAACAACATAGGTGCCTTTCCAACTCGGGAACAGAGGAAATATGGACTCCTCAAAAGAAAAAAAGAAGAGATGAAGGGATGATGTTGCCAAAGAAAGAAATTTGGAAAAAAAAAAACCAAACCAACATTTGCACTTTCAAAACCATGGAACCCTTCTTATTTTTATATGTTCAGATCTAAATGCCAGAAAGGTTACCACATTCAAAGGGAATGAGATTTGAAAATGATTTCTTTGAGTCCTCTGCTGAGGTCTTTCCAAGGCACTACAATTAGGGCTTTGCACCCAAATACCCTTGCCTCATTTTGGTCATTTTGTCCTGGAACAGAGGTTCAGCTGGGAGACCCCTCACACACAGGTGAAGGCGTGGCTGTAGAACCTCAGACCCCCTGGTCTCCTCAGGAATGAAGGTCATTGCCATCCTCACCCTCCTCCTCTTCTGCTGTAAGTAGAGAGCTTGGTGGGTCAGCACCAAGCTTCTGTCTTCCTGTTTATGTCAGTGGGAGGGGGGACTCTCCAGGTGGCACCAGGTGAGGGAAGTCACAAGTCCCGCAGAAAAGAATCAGGAAAGGAACGGGCTCCCACCAACGTCCTCTTGCTTCTGTTTCTGCTATAAAATGGGCTGATCCCAGTGTTGGGATCTTATAAAGTGTCTAGGAAATCAGAGGTTGCCAACCATTTGCTAGAAAGGGAGTTTGACTACTATTTTACCCCCCTCACCCTCAAGAGTCTTTTTTCCTTTGGATGCTAGTAGCCTTTATTTAAGGCCATTTGGATTCAGAACAAAAATGCAGACATATATCCAGCTAATTTAAGAATGATTAATGCTTATCAGAAAGACATTTTTATGGTGACTTATGGGATAATTGGTAGTTATAAGTCATTGCTGCCGGGAGATCCGATTGCTTACCTCTGCAAAGTGAAGAAAGACCTACTGGGAAACAGTTTGGGGTCTACTGGAGACTGATAGACTCTTTTGCTGGATTCGTTGAGTGGAGGTTTGTCCAGATCCATTTTCCTGTCTCTTTCAATTGAGTCACAATAACTTTTGAGTCCCTAAGTCAAAGATGTCAAAAACAGACTTCCTTTCCCCACAGTGAGTGGTGGAATTTACACTTTGCAAGGTGATAGTGCAGGAGGATACCTGTACGCAGGGATGACCGCCTCTGCAGCCCCTCAGTGCGGCTCCAGGGACTGCTTGGGCAGCAGTGACCGCCCATGGGTTTCTTCCGCCACACCCCCGTTTAGACTGAACACGATAGTGAGATCGAAGGCACCTGAGAAAACTCCCCCAAACTCTATTTCTGTTTCTCTTCTTCAAGTTCATGTCTTTGTTGTATTTTTATTGCAAATTTACTACATGCTTATAGTTAAAAAGTAAAATAAATGAGTATATAGCAACAAGGTAAAGCTCCTCCTCATCCTCCCCAGACCCCAGTTTTTTCCCTACATCCAGATGTGACCACTCTTAAGAGTTTGATATACATCCTCTATACAGCGTTTACCCACACACATTCAAAACACCATAATAGGAAGGGAACACATGCTGGGCCGGGCGCGGTTGTTCATGACTATAATCCCAGCACTTTGGGAGGCCGAGGCGGGCGGATCACCTGAGGTCAGGAGTTCGAGACCAGCCTGGCCAGCTGGCCAAGATGGTGAAACCCCGTCTCTATTAAAAATACAAAAAATTAGTCAAGCATGGCAGTGGGCACCTGTAATCCCAGCTACTCAGGAGGCTGAGGCAGGAGAATTGCCTGAACCCGGGAGGCGGAGGTTGCAGTGAGCCGAGATCACACCATTGCACTCCAGCCTGGGTAACAACAGCGAAACTCCGTCTCAAAAAAAAAAAAAAAAGAAGGAAAGGGAACACACGCTTATTATGAAAAGACATGAGACAGCGGAGACGTGTATAAAATGAATGTTGCCTGTTTCTTTCTCTCTCTTCAATCCCAATTGCCTAGAGATAGTGCTATCAAATGTAGTTTATTTTTGAGACACATAATTTTGTTATTATCCCCCTGTCGGTGGACATGTGGGTGGTTTCCAATTTTTTGATATCACAGATAATGCTTCAGGAAACCATTTTGTGTATGCATTTGTGCCCACTCTCATAAGCATCTTGTAGAAGCAAAAACAGCTGAGTTCATGTGTACTTGTCATTTAAAAAAATAATAATTGAGGATACCTTTCCTGCCTCTTAAGTATTTTGTTTCTCCTGTGAGATAGTAAAGGCCTGATGACATCTGGAGGGACTGGCGTTTCTGGCTTTGAACTTTTGCCATTCATGTTGCATCAGACCCGAGGGTGTTCTGCCTAGAACTGTGGTTTCTTGCTTTGAGGGGGAAGACTATGGTTGATGGGAAAGCCTTGTTCTGAACCTCATGGAAACTGGGTATTCATCTGGGTTAGCAAAAAACTAGCTGTGTTACAGGGGCAAATCTGAACCTATTTTATTCCCCAGGAAAGAGGCTGGTGATTCCAGCCATGCCCCTTGCACTTCGCTTTGGGGATCTGGTGATATTTCGAATGCTCAGCACTCTAGTAAGGGGAGGGGACATCAAGGCAGCATCATGCTCATTGCAACTTCCTTCTTCCTTTTTTTCTCATCGGTGGTGGCAGCCCCCACCCACAGCAGTTTCTGGCAGTTTCAGAGGAGGGTCAAACACATCACGGGGCGAAGTGCCTTCTTCTCATATTACGGATATGGCTGCTACTGTGGGCTTGGGGATAAAGGGATCCCCGTGGATGACACTGACAGGTGGGTGCAGAGGCTCTAAGGCCACTTATCATTTGTTTTGCATTAAAGTTCATGCTCAAAGCCAGAGAGAGGGTGTTAGGATTCTTGCCTGGCAAATAACAGAAAACAACTCAGGCTAATGGAAGGAAGAACTGAACGGGATTTGGAGGATGGGTCTTGAGAAACCCAGGGTCGGGGCCAGCTTCTTGAGTGTGTGACCTGTGAAGTTTCACAGGGCCCAACACTCATAAGGGTCAGGGCCAGCTTCTTGAGCGTGTGATCTGTAAAGTTTCACAGGGCCTGGCACTCATAAGGGCCTAAACATGGTTTACTGCTCTGCTGCCACCATCTTGAAATTCTTAATAAAGGGCCTCATGTTTTCATTTTGCTTTAGTCTCTGCAATTATGCCGTTGGTCCTGCCCAGAGCTCTAGAAGCTGTTTCATCCTCATAGTAAAAGTGCTGTGCTTTCAGCTCTCCAGCTTTTAGGACTATAGGCACAGCACAACTGACTCACTAGTCCTAATTCCATATTCTAGGAGAGGGAATCCAAGTGGCCCAGTTTGGAGAAGTTGTCCATCTGGGTGAGGTTGCATGGCACAAACCTGGCTTCAGGCCTACTCCAAAGGATGGGGGTGGGGGAGTGTGAGTTCCTAGAAAAAGTAGAGGTGGGTGTCATCTGGTGAATGTACGTGTGGGGAGGTAAGAAACGGGACAGTTTGCGTGTCAATTCATTTGAAGACATAAGAAAGCAAAATGTTCCTTGCCACATTTAACCTAGTATGGAGAAACATGTCCCCACAGTGGGGCCTTAAATATCACTCCTGGAGCTCGAGTCTTGTGGGTGGGGCTCATGGAACCATGGGAGGACCTCAGAGCCTTGGAAGGGCAACTGACGCTTATGAAATGCCCTTATGTGCCAAGCACTGGGACTGGCGATTGGCATACAAACCTAATTTAATTCTCGCAGGGAATGCACGAGACAGTGATACCAGCCCATTTGACAGGTGAGGACAGTGAGTTGCTAAACCACCTCCTAAAGGCAATGCAGCTTCTAAGTGGCAGAGTTAGGATTGAACGAGAATTTGCCTATTTCAAAGTTTGTCCCCTCTCCTTGATGGTCTGTGCCTCCCCTGTCAAAGTCCAAAGGCTGATTAGAAATTGAACATCATTAGCCAAAGCTGATCAACAGCAGAGCCCCCACTTGCAGATGGGAATGGTGAGAGAGGGAGACTGAAACATTTTTCTTGGCCTTTCAGGCCTTAGAATCCAAGCTTAAGTTTCTGCCTTCCTGTCCCTTGTGTAGTGGTTGAGGACATGGACTGAGCCCATGCTCCAGATGGTATTTCTCCTCCAGTGCTCTCCCATCCAGCCCCCAGCCAACTCTGGGTGCCATGAATGGGACTACGTCGGCTTTTACAGACAGTTGTCTCCTCAGAGACCGTTACAGTGCCTGACTCACAGTAGGTGCTCAGTAAAAAGTGTTAAATGAATGAATGGGCCTAGGTTTGTGTCCTGGGTCTATCATTCTCCAGCTGCCTAAGTTTGGGAAATTGGCCTCTTGGAATCTCAGTCCCTCCCCTACAAAAGGGCAGCAATGATTGTACTTTATAGGTTTCTATGAGTAGCTAATGAGATAGCAACAGATACTAGAGAGGGCTCAGGAAATGCTACTGGTTATTATTATTATTTTTTATTTTATTTATTTTTTGGGAGACGGGGTCTTGCTCTATTATCCAGGCTGGGGTGGAGAGGCTCAATCAGAGCTCACTGCAGCCTCCGTCACCTGAGCTCAAGCAATCCACCCACTTCAGCCTCCTGAGTAGCTGGGACCACAGGCTGGTGCCACCATGCCTGGCTTTTTTTTTTTTTTTAAACTTAAAAAACATAGGCGGTCTCCCTATGTTGCCCAGGCTGGTCTCAAACTCCTGGACTGAAGCGATCCTCCTGCCTTATCCTCACAAAGTGCTGGGATTGCAGGCATGAGCCACCACACCTGGCCTATGTTTAATATTATTGATAATTCACCTCCTCACCTTCAATGCCTTCTTGCCTAGAGGAGGAGGCAGGTGAGCCCTTTCTAGTCCCCAGATAAGGTCCTCCAGCAGATTCCTGAGGGACCCACTTCCAGGCACAGCCCCTCATCTCCCTCTCCCTACGAGAAGCTGAAGGAGTTCAGCTGCCAGCCTGTGTTGAACAGCTACCAGTTCCACATCGTCAATGGCGCAGTGGTTTGTGAGTAGCCTTTTCTGTATGGAAATGTCTTTTAACCTGGGCCTTTCCTTAACGTTCACCTCCTCTTTGACCCAGAGATCTTTTAGAAAATGAAATGCTTCCAAGTGCTTGGAAGGAGATATTCCTGAGCTTTCTCCTGATGCTCCAGAGCTTCTCAGAGTGTCCGTGCTCATCCTGCCCTGGTCTCTCCCACCCATGAGTGTACCTCCTGAACTCTCTGGGGGCCCAGAGCCTGGCAGATAGTACATGCTCAGTAAATACTTGTTCACTTGAGCTAATCTTGAAGCTTCCCTTGACAACTGCTGCTGTTGAGAACATGTTTCCTTGTTTCTGTGATTTTGTTAACAAAACGGCTCAGCTGTCTTCCAGTTGGACAAATATTTATTAAGGGCGACTGCATGCCAAGCACTAAGATAGGTGCTGCCAGGGCCACAAAAGCAAATAGGTGGGAAGGGAAGGGGGACTCACATGTTACTGAGACCATTCAAGGAGCCATGTGGGCAAGTGGATCAAGTGCCCTTCACATGGGGCGTGGCCCTGGCATCCGGAGCGTGTTCTGCGGCTGGTAGGGTATGGGTATGTGCAGGGCAATCCTGGCCTAGACAGCAGGCACATTTGGAGGCACGGGACAGTAGTCTTTCGTGAGCACCATCCTTTCCAGCATAGCCAGGGTGGATCCTGGGGTCCTGGGCTGGGAGGGTGAAGAGCAACAAATAAAGAAGTGGCTTCTTGGCCGGGCGCGGTGGCTCACGCTTGTAATCCCAGCACTTTGGGAGGCCGAGGCGGGCGGATCACGAGGTCAGGAGATCGAGACCATCCTGGCTAACACGGTGAAACCCCGTCTCTACTAAAAATACAAAAAAAATTAGCCGGGCGTGATGGTGGGCGCCTGTAGTCCCAGCTACTCGGGAGGCTGAGGCAGGAGAATGGCGTGAACCCGGGAGGCGGAGCTTGCAGTGAGCCGAGATTGCGCCACTGCACTCCCGCCTGGGCCACAGAGCGAGACTCCGTCTCAAAAAAAAAAAAAAAAAAAAAGAAGAAGTGGCTTCTTATAGTGTGTGGCTCACTTCCTGCCTGGCCTCGTGGGGTTGCATGAATCACTTTCCTTCCCAGGTGTATTTATTCAGAGCTGTGAGTGCACCTTGGAGTTCCTCTGTTTCCTCCTGAGGTCAGGGAACTACCACCTCTCTGCCACTCATCCCCTATGGCGGGAGATACATCCTCCATCCCGTAGTGGGTTCCAGGGCTCAGAACCCTGGTCTCCTGAGCTCCCCCAACCCACCACTTCAGCTCAGCACACACCAATACCCAGAGTTAGGACTGTGAGGTCTCCCTGGCACCAGCTGTGTGGGTTGGGGGCTCGGACCCCTGCACCGGGAGGACCTGCCTCAGCTCTTGGCCTGCCCTGCCCACTGCCACCAGCACGTGGTTGACAGGGAAAGAACCCCCTTTTGTTCCCCACGTGAGCTCAAGGAGACTTCCTGAGTTGGAGCTCTCTGGTGTGGTCCTTCTCAGGCCTAAAGCAAAGTGTCTTTTCTGTGACACCTCCAAGGCCATGTTCAGGAGAGGGGAAGGGATCAGGGCCTGGTGGGAGGGATGGGGAGAGGGGACTGGAGAAGGTGGCCTCCAGGGATCGAGTTTCCCATGGCCTCTTCCCACCTGTCTTTGCCACAGGGGTGGGGACACCTGGCTGGCCCAGCCCAAGCCTCCACCCTGGGCTCCTGTGGGCTGGCTGCACTCGCCAGGGCTGGCCTAGGCTCTCTGCACCCAGGGAAGCTTCTCTATTCAATGCTCTTCACCCTCCCAGCCCAGGACCCCAGGAGATGAGGGAGAGTGGAGCAAAGGTTGAGGAGCAGAGGCTGGAGCCCCAGGCAGTGGCACTGCTGGGCAGTGGTGGGAGGTGCCAGCCAGGGCTGGGAGTTGGACCCGAAAGTACGTGGCCTGGGCTGTACTTTCTTCCCACGTTGCCCCTTCAGAGCAGAAGCAGCCAGTTGCTCCTGAAGCCTTGACCAGGGCTCCTGAGTCCAGAGCCTTGCTCAGGGCACTAGCGTGGGAGGAGGCTTCCGCATCAGTACCAGGGCATCAGCACCCGCCTCCTCAGCTGACCCAGCCCGTGAGGACCAGGCCAGCCCCTGTCATCCCCACCCCCACCTTGCCAAGCCCCTGCCCCCAGGAGCAGGGCTGAGAGCGAGGTGATCTGGGTTCTAATCCAGAGTCTGCTGCTGACATGTGCTGAGCCCCAGGCCCATTGGTTTACTTGCCCCAGTATTGAGCGAGCATCCACTGGGTACCCGCCCAGTGCCGGTGCTGTGCCAGGGGCCAGGGGCACAGAATAAAGCAGACCCAGTCCCTGCTCTTCTGGCATTCACAGTCTTGTGGAAACTCCAGAGCTAAAGTGCCCTTAGAGATTATCCAGATCAGCCCCTCCTTGTAGCAATGAAGAGACTGAGACCCACAGAGGGGATGAGTTTGATCCAAGAAACAGACAAGATTAAGATGCATGTGTCTTGAACCTTTTCAGTGCTCTGGAACATACCGTCTGGCCGGAGTTGTCTGGGCTTTGGTTTTCCCATCCATGAAATGGGTACAATAACAACAGCTATAGTGTATGAGCCTCTGTGATAGATGCTGTACGCACAGCACCTGAACTCACATGATAAACCACTGAGGTGAGCATTATCTCCCATTATCAAGGAGGACCCTGGGGCTCAGAGAGGTTAAGCACGATGGCCAAGGCCACACAGCCAGGGAAAGAAGAGTTGGAATTCAAACCCCGGGTGCCCTGTCTCACACTAGCTTCCCCTGTGGAGGGTGCTGGTGTGTGCATGATTGGAGGCCCTCACACAGTGTAAGTCTCAGGATCTGCAGCAAACTGGTCAGAATGCTCTGCCCTGGCCCAGGGAAGGAAAGAGGGGCAGATGGAGTTTGCTTCGCTGTAAGGCCCCGGAGCTTTGTGTTCCTGCTGAGAAGCCTCAGAGTCGGGCAACACTGGGTCTAATTCCAGCTCCACCCCTTGTATTAATAGCTGGGCCTTAATCTCCTCATCTGTAAAATGGAGAGAATCGCCTGTACTTCATAAGGCTGCTGGAAGGATTAGCTAAAGCAACCCAGCTACAGTGGCTGGCCTACAGTAGGTGCTTCATTAATGCCCTTCCTTTTAGATGTGGAAATTCCTCTTTTTGTCCAAGTTTTCTTTTCCTCTTTGCTTACGGCACTGGGATTTTCTTTATTACTGTTTCTTTGAAGAGTCCGCTCTGTACTTGTGCCCATCGGGCTATGGTCAGTAACCCCTTATGGAATAAAACCCCTTTCCTGGCCAGGTGTGGTGGCTCATACCTGTAATCCCAGCACTCTGGGAGGCTGAGGCGGGAGGATCACTTGAGCCCAGGAGTTCGAGACCAGCCTGGGCAACACAGTGAGACCCCTGTCTCTACTAAACATACAAACAATTAGCCAGATGTGGTGGTGCATACCTGTAGTCCCAGCTACTCAGAAGGCTGAGATAGGAGGATCACCTGAGCCCAGGAGATGAGGCCACAGTGAGCTGTGATTGCACCACTGCACTCCAGCCTGGGCAACAGAGTGAGACCCTACCTCAAAAAAGAAAAGCAACAACAGAAAAACCTATTTCCCTATCCTAATTGCACCTCCATTCAAAGAGCTGCCCCTGCAAGAGTTAACCAACTCCCTAGCCTCCCATGAGTTCTGAAATCCTGCACCCAGGCCTGGTCCCAGGTTGCCTAGCAACCGGGGGCTGCTCTGGGATGCAGTAGGTAAGCAGGGGAGGGAGAGGAAGAAAACAACTTGGTCTGTCCACGACTCTAAATGTCACTGAGAGATCAGTGCAGAGAAAGGCCTGTCACCAGAGCCCAGGGCCCAATTTGCCTGGTGGTAGGGACAGCTGCCCTCAGGCCACCTGGGAGGTGGTTATCCCTCCTTTGAGTGGGCTTACATAAGTACTTGGCATTTTTGCAAGGGACTTTAAGCTCACTCAGCAGTGACACCCCCTCCGCCCACATGCACATACATGTGTGGTACAGGGAGGACCCGGTGTGGGAGGCAGAGATGGGGTTCCAGCCAACTGAAACTCCATCATCTGCATCTCCCGGCCTCTGACTGCCTCCCTCTGCCAAAGCGGGAAGATGAAAATGGTAACTGCTGGAATTTGTATTTTGCAAAGACTTTTCTCATTTACTGCTGAATATATTCCTCATCTCAGCCTCCACTCGCTGACACGCTACCCACTGTCTCTCCCAGCATTCATCTCTACCTGAAATGATCTTGTTTACTTCTCTGTGTCTGTGTGCCTCGACTCTCCCCCACCGACTAGAAAGGTCCGTGAGAGCAAGGAGCAAGCCTGTCTTGTTTGAGGGCACTGGTTCTCATAGAGCCCACAGGGAATGATGCCCCTGGACTAAGCAGTGTGGGGTCTGCTGGCTTGCACCTGTGCCCCCAGCTCCTAGCCAAAGACCAGACACATGTTGGGAACTCAATACTTGTTTGTTTAATGAGTAGATGAACAAAAGCACTCATGAAATAGGCAGTGCACGTATCTTTATCACCATTTGAAAGCTGAGGAAACAGGCTTGGAGAGGGAAGCAACTTGCCTGACACCCCAAAGCACAGAAGCAGCATATTTGGCCCAAGAACCTGGCTTCCTGTCTCCAAGGGGTCAGCTGCTGGCATTGGCCTGTAGGCCATGTGAGTGTGGCAATGTAGTCAGCAAAGAGCCTTTACTGCATGTTGGGGTCAGAAGATCAGCAATAAGGAGGACAAAATCCTTGCCTGGAAGGAGCTTGTGTTCCAAAAAGAACAAGAGACCACAGCATATTCATTAATAAAGACACATTCAAACAGGGCCAAGTGCTCTGAAGCACCTCAGACAAAGCGACAGGCTGCAAAATGACAGCGTTTGGGGGTCAGGAGACAGAAGGGTGCCTGCTTTAGGTGGTCGAAGAAGGCCTCTCTGGGGAGGTGGCATTTGGTCTGAGACCTCAGGGCCAATGTGCTAGGAGCAGAGGAGCCTTGGGGAAGAATGGAGATGAGGTTGGACAGGATGAGACACGTGCCTTCTATGTCAATGGCAAGGGAGTCATTGGAGCATGTGAAGCAGAGGATGCTCTACTTTTGCCCCAGAAAGATCACTCTGGCTACAGTGCAGAGAAAGAAGAGAGTCAAGGAGGAAAGAAGGGCCTCATTAGGGGACTGTTGCAAAGCACAGGGAGGCACAACCACAGCCAAGATCAGCATGGTGACAATGGGGATGGGAAGTGTCAGATGTCGGCAATGCTGTGCGGGTAGGGTCAGGGCCGACAGGACCTGCTGATGGGTTCAGCGTGGGGTGTGAAGGGAACAGAGGCTGCACCCCAGGCTCCTGGCCTGAGTGGCTGTAGATAGTGGCACCAAATACTGAGCTTGTGAAGATGGGGGGAGAGCTGATGATGAAGACAGCAAGAGTTTGGTGTGAGTCACCTTGAGTTTGAGACACGTGTCAGACATGTAAGGGGTAGGCAGGTGGACACGTGCTTATTGAAGTCTGGAGCCCAAGGGAGAGGTGTGGGCTGCAGCGGAGAAGTTGGGAGTATTCAGAGTTCTGACACTGACCAAGAACACCCCTCAGAGAATTCAGAGACAACCAGGGCTGAGGCGAGGGGCTTAGACTGGGGCCTGGGACAGCCACAGGCAGGAATGCAGACTTGCTGCCTCTTCTTATTTGTGGAGATGTAGTTCATGCAGCAAGAAAGTCATTCCAAAGCCCTCCTTTCCTTTCTTCATGCCTCAGTTTCTCCATTAGCACATTAAAAGATGCAAGATCTGGAGTTAAGCTTGTTTTTAAAAGGTGGCCTCCAAAGACGGTTTTTCTTGGCCTGGGGCTGTCTCATCATCCAGGTCATGACAGGCCCGGTCCATGGTTGAGGAATGCCACAGAAGTGACAGTCCACTGCAAAAGACTGCTGCTCCAGATCAGTTCTGGAAGGCCTGGCAATGGGGCAGGCCACTGAAGTAGAACTGGATGTCAGATGCACGCATTAGAAAGGACAGGAAGACCAAATGAGAAAGGGAGAGGGGGCAGGGAGAAAGGAAGGAGAGCTAGAGACTTGAGGCAAAGGAAACAAGAGATGGAATAGAAGAAGACAGAGGACCAGAAGACAGTGAGACCAACAGAAAGAGAGAGGGACGAGAAAGAAGGTGGCTGAGGAAGGTGAGAAAAGTGTTTCCAGGGCGACAGCAACTGGACCAGGCCCTCTAGTTGGACAGTGAGGCTGGCTGGGGGGCCTGAGCTCAAGTAGCCCTCGTCCCCTGAGAGAGTGGGGGCTACCTGGGGAGCTGGGCTTGATGCATCTGGAAGGATCTTCACAGAGGCAGGAGGGGGAGTGGGAGGGCAGAGGGCACCCAGGCGCTAGAACAGTGGGAGTGGCGGGAGCCGCAAAACCGGAGAGCCAGAGGAGTGAACATCCCTGGCAGATTCCCTGCGGGCGAGCAGGGAGGGCAGGAAGCTCAGTGGTGTTGGCACAACGTGAGAAGTTCCAGGGAGGCGTGGGAGGACGGCTTCTGCAGGACGCAGACTTTGCAGAGGGAGAGTGGCAAACAGACTGACTGCAGGCAGCTCTGCCGGCTCCACAGGGCGCTGCTTTTTCTCCACGTGGAGCTGGAGTGCATCACCCTGAGAACAGCAGCAAGCGCCCACAGGGCACCTTCTGCGTGCCAGGCACATCCGGACCACTTGTCGGTAGACACCAGTGACCCTCACCACCACCCCAGGAATGGGACAGTGTCATGTGTTTCTGAAATGACTAGGTTTTAGCACCATTTCATAGATGAGGAAGCTGAAGCTAACTTGCCCAAGGTCATAAACCGGGCGTCTGGTGGCCTCCCCTCCTCACTGCCAACCCTGAGAGCGGACTAGGGTGGAGTTATCTGGAAAGAGGAAGCTGTACCTGAGAGCCCTAAACACACATGCGCGCGCGCACACACACACACACGCACAAACACACAATGCACGCACACACATGCGCACGCACATACACACACATGCACACATGGACACATACCTGCACACACAAGCATACACATGCACACAGGCACACGCATGCACACACGCGCATGCACACACATGCACACACATGTGCATGCACACAGTGCGACAGCTCTGATTAGTAGGTAAATAAAAGGTTCCCATCTAGTGGTGACTCGGCCAAAGTGCAGACACTGAACCCCAAAGGCCCATAGAGGCTTCATTCATCCCTTCTCTTATTCTTCATTCATGGATTCTATTGAGCATCTGCTCTGTGCAGCATCTGTCCTGGATGCTGGGGATACTGTGATGACTTAGACAAGGTCTCAGCCGCACACAGCTTATGCTTCTTTGAGGGGAGGCAGACACAAGCCAGGAAACCAATAAGAGAAGTTAAGTAAAAAGCACAGTGAGTGAGACAAACGGGTATGGAGGACATGGCCAGAGAGAGCTTTAGTTCAGGTGGTCAGGGAGCACCTCTCTGAGGAGGTGAAATTTGACCAAGCCTCAAACAGTGGCAGGGATCCCACTGCTTGCAGATCCTGGGGAGAAGCATTTTAGACAAAAAGAACAGCAAGTCCAAAGGCCCAGAGACAAGACAGAGCAAGACCTGTGACATGAAACAGGCTGGTGTGCCCAGAGCAGGGAGGCTGGGAGAGTGGAGGGGGAGGGCGATGAGGGTGGAGAAGCTGGTGAGGGTGGCATCCCGGCAAGTGTGCCTGGCCACGGAGGCCACGGAAGGATTCAGCATGTCTTTCCCGAATAGGAAACCACACTGGGGCTGTAAGCCAGAGAGTGAACGTAACTCGGGTTACAGTTTGAGAAGGTCCCTGCTTATTTCCTTCCGTGAAGGAGGAAGAGCTGCTGATGACAGAGATTTGGGCAGTGGCCAAAGACATAGAGAGAAGAGGGCAGAACATGGGCTATTTTAAACACAGAGAAGATTAGCGGGACCCGCTGGCAGACCGGACATGAAATGTGGAAGGAGCGGGGGCAGCGAGGTCGGCTCCTAGTTTCCTGAGAATGTGGGTGAATCACGGGCTCACAGGCAGAGGGAGCACTAGGATATCAAGGGTTCCCTTGTGAACGCCTCAAGTTGGAGATGCCTGAGACATCCAAGTGAGATGTCAAGCAGGCAGCTGGAAATAGGAGATGAGCTCTGGGAAAATGCTCCCATCACCCTGGCCTGTGTGCTGCCTGGGCGCACCCATTCAGGGCCCTCCACGCAGCCCACGCCCCTGCCTCCTGATTCCTTCTAGGCTTCTCCAGCACTCGTGGGATGCCCAGATGTGATCAGGGAAGGGCTTGAGGATGCAGGGAAGCTGTGGCTGAGAGCCCTAAACACACACATGCACACGCACACACACATACACAGGCACATGCACACACGACCATACACACACACAAATGCACGCAGATGCACACAAATGCATATGCACGCACACAAATGCATATGCACACACACACATGCACACATATGCATACACGTATCCCTTTCAGTGGCTTTCCTTTCTGTCCTTAACCCTTGGCCCCTTACAGTGAGCTCCCAGTTCTCCCCAGCCTTAGAACCAAACCCTGGGGCTGGGCTGGGAGCCCCCAGTGACCCTCTGTGTCTCTGTAGGTGGATGCACCCTTGGTCCTGGTGCCAGCTGCCACTGCAGGCTGAAGGCCTGTGAGTGTGACAAGCAATCCGTGCACTGCTTCAAAGAGAGCCTGCCCACCTATGAGAAAAACTTCAAGCAGTTCTCCAGCCAGCCCAGGTGTGGCAGACATAAGCCCTGGTGCTAGGGACACCACAGGGTCCCTCTCATCATCCAGCATCCGCTCTAGTGTTGCTCTTCCAGGAAGCCTTCTCAGATCATCCCCAACAGGCCCCTGTTCTTCCACTGGGAGGGAGGACAAAATGTCTCCCGCAGGGCAGCTCACCCTTCAGCATTCTGACCAAGGGGACTCCCTGTCGTTCAGCATCAGAGGGCTGGAGAGCAGAAATGGGAAAGATGAGATGCCTGCCCTGCAGGAGCTGGCATTCTGTGGAGTGGGGAGGACTACAAATGCATGGATATAGAAGTAAGAGACACATTAGACTGTAGTAAGTGCTATGATGCAGTAAAACAAAGGGACGGGATAGAGATGCACCCAACCCCACATCCCAGGGTTTCCAGGAGGGGAGAAGCCCCAGGATCTACCCCAAACTCTCTCTTCACCCCCACTGCAAACCGGGACACAGAGCAGACTTGAGCGCCAGGCCCATGCCCAGCTCTAGCTGGCAACAAAGCCACCACTTTCCTTGCCCCTCTGCGTCCTCAGTTTTTATGATGTCATTCTTAGCTTTTCTTATCAAGAGGCAGAATCTGTTTTCCCCATCCCATGAATCTGAACTGGTCTTGTGGCTTAGTTTGGTCAATAGAATGTTGTGGGAGGGATGGTTTACCAGTTTTGAGCTAGGCCTCAGGAGGTCTAGGGCATGTCTACTCTCTCTTAGGACAGCTGCCCCCACCCTGCAAAAAAGCCTGGGCTAGCCTGCTGGAGGATGAGAGCCCACCTGGATCAGTTGTCTCAGCTGATTTCAGACACGTGAGAGAGAGCTCAGCGAGACTCAGCTTGTAGCTGACTACAGATGTGTGAGGGAACCTGGCTGAGACCAAAACAACTGTCCAGCTGAGCCCAGGCTAAACTGCCAACATGCAGAATTGTGAGCTAAATAAAGGCTGCTGTTCTAAGTCACTGGGTTTTGGTATGGTTTGTTAGGCAGCCATAACTAACAGGTGTAATTGGTCCTTATTCCCTTATTCACTGAGAGTGATGGGTTCTCAGCCCTGAGCTGGACTTGGAGGCCATGGAAATGCAGTGGACATGGCCTTTGTTCCTTACCTTGAAGGTGTGGAAGGAGGTCAAGTTCATGGAATAATGGAGAACACACAGCTGTAATCGTTTGCTTGTTCAGGGAACACACATTTATTGAGCACTTGCTATGTGCCAGGCACAGTGCCAGGCAGTAGGGATCCAGATATTTAAAGAAAACAAACAAAAATCAGGTCCAAAACTCCTGGGGAGAATGCTGAGAGTGGTATCAGCTTTTAGGAATTCAGACACAAAATCTGGATTGAAAAATGGACAGATGTGAAGACAGAAAAAGACACCAGATGTGGAGTGTCAGTGGAGGGTCTGGGGGCCCAGGCTCCTGCGCTCTGGCTGGCTCAGCTTGTACTATCATGTGGGTGACTGGCCTGCTCTTCTGTCCCACACACATGGGTGGAAATTGCAACTGCAGATGGGCAGCTTGAGGTTTACGAACATCAGGGAGACTGTAAGCCGGCCATGAGGGAAGCAGCTGTAGAAAGGTGGGCATGGAACCAAGGTGGCCAGGCCCAAGCCAGCAGGCACCCCCCCACCTTGGGGATCCTGACCACTGCAGAGACCAGCTCCAGACTGTGAAGGTGCCTGGCTGACCGACACAATGGAGGAAGAGGGGTGAGGGCCAGGCTTAGGGTGGGGGATAGGGTTCCCGTGTGAGATCCAGGCCGTGTTTTTAAAAAAAATTTTTGAGACAGAGTCTCACTCTGTCATCCAGGATGGAGGGCCATGGCACGATCGCAGCTCACTGCAACCTCCACCTCCTGGGTGCAAGTGATTCTCCTGCCTCAGCCTCCCAAGTATCTGGGATTACAAGCGCCCACCACCATGCCCAGCTAATTTTTGTATTTCTAGTAGAGACAGGGTTTCATCATGCTGGCCAGGCTGGTCTGGAACTCCTGACCTCAACTGATCCACCCACCTCAGCCTCCCAAAGTGCTGGGATTACAGGCATGAGCCACTGCACCCAGCCCCAGGCCATCTTTTTCACTCCCTCCTCTCTTCCATCCCCTAAATCTATAAGACAGAAATGATGGGCCCTTGATGGTATGCAAGCCCCATTTGTTTGGCATTGATGCCCTGATTCTTGGAGAGCTGAGATGGGAGTGTAGAAGAATGGGCAGACTCTCTCTGGGAAAGCCTACTGTCCTCGAAGGGAAATCATCCATTCCATGAGCACATGTTACTGAAGACCTACTCCAAGCCAGGCCCTCTGCACCAGACTCCACGGAGCTCTTGGACCAAAGGGAAAACAAGTAAGCAGGGGATTGCAGAACAAGCTGGGGGTGCCAGGATTGGGGTGGGCATGGGGAGCAATGCCCACCTCCTGGAGGATGAGGGAAGCTTTCCTGAGGACTGCTGGGGGTCTGACATCTCATCTGAGACTTGAAGATGAGGAGGAGTTAGGAGGGCCGGTGGGGCCATGCAGAGCCTCCCAGGTTGAGGTCTGGAGAAAAGCAGCATATGTCTATGCAAGCTCCTTGTCCACCTGCCTTGCCCATCTCTGCTGAAGGCTCTTTATCATTTGTCCCTGCAGCCCAAAAACCTGGGTGTTGAATTATCATATTCCACATCCCACACCCAATCTGTTGGCACTACCTTCACAATGCATCTAGATTCTGTATTTATAAAATGCTTCCATCAAATGTTTACATGGAAAAAAAAAAAGAGAGAGGGGGGAAAAAATCTAGAATCCAGCCACTTCTTATGACTTTCACTGCCGCCTTCTTGGGTAGGAGCCACCATCACTGGTGCCACCATCACCGTCACTGCAGCTGCTCTCTGCTGTTCTCCCTGCCCCCACCCTCGGCCCCTCCATCTCCTCCTCACACAGCAGTCGGCCAGCAGTGACTGAGCCTGGCACTCTCTGCTCAGACCCTCAGTGGCTCCCACTGGGCTGTCTTTACAGTGCCACCCCTTCAAGTCTGGGCTGGAATCCCACCTTCTTGATGAGGCTTATGCTGACCACCCTATTCAGTCCTGCCCTCTCCCACCGGCATTGCCCATCCTCTTGCCCTCCCCTTTATTCATCTGATGAAAACGGGACTGGGGAGGGGGGCGGACTAGTGACTTGTTGCAGGGCACCAGCTAGTGCCCAGCAGGGCTGGAATGTGAACCCCTGTCTTCTGAGTCACAATCTCTTACTTCCCACCCACTTTCTCAAAATGAGGAAGCTGGATCTGATGCCCTCTGAGTCTCAGGCTCTGGAGTTGGAGTTCAAATCCTGCATTTGTTGCATGACCTTGAGTCATTTACTTGGCTCCTCTGGGCCTCAGTTTCCTCCCTGCAGAAGCAAAGCTATGAATAGTCCCCACTGCAGCAGGATGAGCTGTGGACAAAACCCCTCAGACACCAGGTTAAGGAAGGATTTGGCTTTATTCGGCCAGGAGCTTTGGCAGACTCGCATCTCAACAGCTGGGAGCTTTGGCAGACTCATGTCTCAAGAACCGAGCTCCCTGAAGACAGAGTTCCTGGCCCTTTTAAGGGCTTACAACTCTAAGGGGGTCCACATGAAAGGGTCATGATAGATTGAGAGCACATGTGGTTAGAGTGGGGGGTTGATCTTTTAACCTCAGGCCTGGTCATCAGTGGCACCGGCTGGTCTTGCCAATGACTTCATTCCTGTTGTTTTTCAACTTTTACTTCCTCCTCCTCTTCAGAGACAGGAGACAGTAAGAGAAATGGCCTCACTTCTCATTCCCCCCTTTGAGAATCTCACTCACTAGTGGGAGTTCTCACTGTCATCTTCACTACCCAGGTCTTCCAGTCCAGTTCCATCAATTCCTAGAGTTACATACTCTGTTTTCCAACAGGGATAAACTAGTTCCAATGGGTTATAGCACACATCAAGCTGGTCACTTCTTGGGCTGCATATCTTGTACTGGGTAGCATTATACACACAAGTCCCTTTTAAACAGAAAGTCTGTTTTAACTTTTTGCCCTACCTCAGTCTGAGGAAGGTCAGTTGAAGTCCTTACTGTACAAGTCCAAAATTTTAGGAAAATGAGTCCCACGATGAGTTTCCTCATGCTTCAGCCATGCACGGACCAGTCAGCTTCCAGGTGTGACTGGAGCAGGGCTTGTCATCTTCTTCAAAGTCATCTTGCATGGGTTGTCCAAGCTTGGTCTCACCTCCCAGGTCTCAGATGCTTTAGGTTTTACATGGCTGTGGTGAATCCAGGCTGGGATTCCTTCTACCTTTATGGCTGTGGGAGTGGTCAAGACGATGGTCTGGGGTCCTCTCCACCGTGGCTGCAAGGAGGCTATGTTCCAATCCGTGATCCATACCCGATCACCTGGGGAGAAAGGGTGAACTGGGGAGAATAAGCTGACAGAGCACCTCTCATTTACCCAGGCTGAAATTGTTTGTGTAATTTTGCCTAAAGCCTGTAGCTGTTGCTGTAAGTCAATTTCACCTAGCTCTCGAGGAGTGCCTGGGAGTCCCCATAGTCTGGGAGGGGGGCCTATGATATAATATTTAATAAGGGGAATATCCTGTTCTTTTAGAAGGGGTACATCTAATCTTAAACAATACCATAGGGAGGCTTATACCCACTTTAATCCTGTTTCTTGACACACTTTCCCTAAACTATTTTTGATAGTCTGATTCATCCACTCCACCTTCCCAGAACTCTGTGGTTGGTAAGCGGTATGTAGTTTCCATGTGATCCCCAATACCTTTGCTGTCTTCTGTACCAACTAGCTACAAACACCAGCCCATTGTCTGAGCTGATTCGTAAGGGCAGTCCAAACGTAGGGTTGAGATCTCGGAGAAGCACACAGGTTACTTCACAAGCTTTCCCAGTTCGTGTTGGATAGGCCTCCACCCACCTAGAGTATGTACACACTAGAACTAGCAAATACCTGTTACCTCCACATTTGGACATCTTGGTGAAGTCTACTTGGAGATCTTCAAAGGGGGCTGCTCCATAAGCTTGTATGCTGGGCGGGACAGTTGGACCTTGCCTAGCATTGTGCTGCTAGCAGGTGACACACTGCTGCACCACTGTTTTGGCAAAGGCTTACAGATGTGAGATGTAGAAGAACTGGCCCAACAACTTTTCAAGTGGCTCTTGGCCTATGTGCGTGGTCTCATGCATAGCCAATATGACTGCGGCTCCTAGCAGTTGTGGTATGGCTATTCTCCTGTCCGATAACCAGATCCATCCCTCTTCTATCACCTGTCCTCCCTCTGCCTAGAGAAAGTCCTTCTCTTCTTTAGAATAAGTAGGTACAAGGTCAGGTGCCTGAGGGAATAGGGGGGCTGTGATTGATGCCCAGAAGGGGGTGGATGCTACTTTTCAAGCCTCTGAGTCAGCTTGGGAGTTCCCCAAGGCAATCGAGGTGGAAGCTCGCTGGTGTCCTCTGCAATGCATGACTGCCACCTTTTGGGGCTTCCATACTGCCTCTACTAACTGCAGGATCTCTTGCTGGTACTTTATGTCTTTTCCCCCAGATTTCAATGGGCCTTTTTCTTTATATAATGCCCCATGCACTTGGAGGGTTAAGAAGGCATACCGAGAGTCAGTATAAATATTTACAGTCTTACCTTCACTTAGCTCTAAGGCCCAAATTAAAGCAATGAGTTTGACCTTTTGGGCTGAAGTATCCTGGGGCAATGATTTGGCTTCAGTGACAGCATCCAGGGTTACCACTGCATATCCTGCACACCTCTCTCCTTGTGGGTTGACGAAGCTGCTCCTGTCCATGTACAGCTCCCAGTCTACTGATGTCCAAGGATGGTCTTGGAGGTCAGGCCTGCTAGAATAAACTGTGTCCAACACCTCTACATAGTTACGTTCGACTGGGCTCTCTGACACTGGGAGTAAGGTGGTGGAGTTCAAGGTGTTGCAAACTTCAATGGTTATGCAGGGATTTTCACGGAGCAAGCTTTGGTACTTAGTTAGTCTACCATTTGTTAGCCAATGATGTCCTTTGGTATGCATTAAAGTCACCACAGCATGGGGGGTGCTTATGTTCAGGTTTTGCCCAAGAGTTAGTTTATCTGCTTCTTGTGCTAGCAGGGCAGTTGCTGCCAAGGTCCTCAAACATGGGGGCCAACCTTTAGAAACTCCATCTAGCTGTTTGGAGAGGTAGGCTACTGGTCTTGGCCAGGGCCCCACCGTCTGGATTAAAACTCCCAACTTCCATCTTTTCACTCTGCCACATACAGTGTAAATGGCTTCATCAGGTCAGGTAGCCCCAGGGCTGGGGCTGACATGAGTTTCTCTTCTAACTCATGAAAAGCTCATTGCTTTTGTGACTTCCATTCAAAAGGCTCTTTGTTACCTCCCTTTATGACTTCGTACAGAGGTTTGGCCAGTACTGCAAAGTTTGGGATCCATAACCTGCAGAACCCCACAGCTCCTAAGAATTCTCTCACCTGCCTTTTGGTCTTAGGCTCCGGTAGGTTGCAAATGACCTGCATTCTTTCTGATCCCAGGCTGCGCTCCCCCTGTTGGATAGTAAATCCCAAGTAACGTACCTCCTGTTGACATATCTGAGCTTTCTTCTTGGATACCTTATACCCACAGTCCTCCAGGTGCCAGAGCAGGGTATCCATTCCCTTGGCACACCCAACTGCCATGAGGTGTCCCAGCAGGAGGTCATCGACATACTGGAGCAACACGCAGCCTAGGTCTCTGGTGGGAAACTTTTGCAGGTCTCGAGCCAGGGCCTCCCCGAAGATGGTGGTGGAGTTCTTGAACCCTTGGGGAAGCTGGGTCCAAGTGTACTGAGTGGTGACACCTGACCCTGGATCCTCCCACTGAAAGGCAAACAGTTTCTGGCTCTCAGGGGCTAGTCTGATGCTAAAGAAAGCGTCCTTCAGGCCCAGGTAGGTGAACCAGCTGTCCTCAGCTGGCAGCAACCACAACAATGTGTATGGGTTAGGTACTGTTGGATGTAAAGTCACCGTAGCTTGATTGACCAAGTGCAAGTCCTGTATCAGCCTGTAGTCCTTGGTCCCTGGCTTGGGAACAGGCAGGAGGGGAGTGTTCCATGGAGAATGACAAGGGACTATAATTCCAAAGGCCCTCAGGCACTTGAGATGGACCTGGATACCTTCAAGAGCTTCTCTGGGGACCGGGTACTGTTTTTGCCTGACCAGTGATGATTCCCGTTCTAGGTAACTTTAACTGTAAAGAGCTGTGCTTTGTAAAATAGATGGTGGCTTTCAGTTTGCTAAGTAGGTCCCTTCCTAGCAAAGGCAAGGGGCAGTCAAGCATGTACAGGAACTGGTAAGTCACTTCATGTCCCCCTATGGTACAGGTCTGGGGCAAACAGAAAGCTTGCTTTGCCAAAACCCCTGTGGCTCCAATTATATCAATAGTCTTTTTGGATAAGGGGGCAACCGGGGTGGTCACTACAGAATGTTCAGCACCAGTATTGACTAGAAACTCAATGTTCTGCCCCCAGCTGTCATCCTGACCATGGGCTCTTTGGGGGCACATGAGCCTGGTCCCCCTCTGTCCCATAACCCTTCTGGCAGATTGAACAAGTCTCCTTCGTCCTTGTCTGAGACCCTTTGCTCAGAGTCACCTCATTTCCCTTTCAACTGGGGGCCCCTTCCTTCCAATGTCCTGTTTTCTTACAGTAAAGCACACTGGTTACGCTGCAAGTGTGGATGGCCAGATTGGGTATTTTTCCTGGGGCCCCCCTTCTCTCGCCCCTTTGGGGGAAACCCCTCTAATAGCTGCCGCTAGCAGGTCAGTGTTTCGCCGGGCTTGGCATTCACTCTCTGTGGTGCTCTCTGCGGCTTACTGCATCTCTATTTACAAACACCTGGTTGGCTATCTCCAATAACTGTGACATATTCATGCCTACAAACCCAGCCTGTTTCTGCAATTTTCTTCTAATGTCTTCTGTAGTTTGACTAAAGCCATGGTAATCATGCACTGATTTTCAGGGCTATCGGGATCAAAGGGAGTATACATAGGATAGGCCTCACATAGTCTCTCGTAGAATTGTGCTGGGCTCTCATCTTTCCCTTAAATGACCTCAGAGACTTTGTTAACATTTGTGGCCTTCTGCGCTCCCTTCTTTAACCCTTCCAGAAGGGCTTCCCTGTACCGGTTTAGCCTTTGCATACTGTCTTTCATCTGGGTCCCACTGGGGGTCTGTTCCTGGTAATTGGATCCTCACATACTCTTGGGGGTTTTGGTAATCAGCAGGAACATGTTCTTCCAGCCACTTAGTTGCTGCTTGGAGCACTCTCCTCCTTTCATCTGTGTTAAAGAGGTACATGAGCACCTGGTGGCAATCAGCCCAGGTGGGGTTGTGGGTCTGGATTATAGTTTGGAGCAAATCAATTATAGCTTGAGGCTTTCCGGTATAGGATGGGGTATTGTTCTTCCTATTGAGGAGATCGGTAGGGGTGAAGAGCTGGTACACAAAGGCACGCCTTTCCACCATATGCCCGTCCTCGTCTACCCCAGTATACCATTGCTCTCTCGGGGGCATTTGTATCCCAGTTCTAGGCCTCAAACAGGCTGCCAAGGGAGGGGTTTCTCCCGAGGCCTCACATCCTTTCTTTTCTACTCTTGATGGCCTAGGGGTATATAGGCCTTGTGGAAGCTTGGGTGCAGTGGGCTCAGGAATGGAAGGCCTTCCTTCTTGGTAAAAGGGGGAGGTCACTGGTGCTGTTTCTTGCCATGAATCCTCTGATGTTGGGTCGGACAGGACTTTAGGAGTTGATTCCCTCGGCAGGTGGACCAGGATTCTTCCTTGGCTGTTTGTCCCTTTGCCACTAGTATTACTACTGCCTATCCTCTTAACCACTGTGGGGGGGTCTAAAACCAGCTGTAACCAAGTGTCTATGTATGGAAACTGGTCTAGGTATCCTTTACCAGTTACCTTGTGCCACACCTTTGAAACAAGGGACCTGTCTAGGCTTCCTTCTGTTGGCCAACCCACTTCTAATGCTGCTCAGTCTATCTCACACAAAGTTCTAAGCTTTCCTAGTGTCATAGTTAACTCCATAGTCTCCACCAAATCCTTCCTTGAAATTTTTCAACATAGTTCCTAGAAGAGTGGGCTTACTTTGCGTTCCACCCACCTTCCTCCCGAGACAAAACAACACTCACACTACAAGAAGGAAAGGGTAAAGGGGTCACTCTAGTCTCGCCTGTCTCAAACTCAAGCACTCACTTTCACTTTCCTTTTTGCAAACAAGTCAAGCCAAATCAAAATCAATACTGAGACCAAAGTGCCGATTGCAAACAAGTCAAACCAAATCAAAATCAATGCTGAGACCCAAGTGCCGATAAGGGCACACGGTGGGTGATCAGGCTACGCTTCCACTCAAACGGAGTGGGGAAATTCCCAGGACCGGTCCTACCGTATTCCAGTTGTCCAGACTCCAAGTGCCAGTTCCTTCCCAGTGTTCAGCCACTGCGTTGATCCTCCACGGGGGCCTGCCATGCACCACTCTGATAAGGCATCCCACCGGGGCAAATACCTACCCAGGAGCGCTCTCAGGATCTGCGTCACTCAAGCTGGCCAGAGCCGCCCACAGGGATACTTCACAGGGCAGGCCTAAACTGCCTAAGGGGCTGCCTCCACCGTCCATCAGTCACCCGATTTCCCGGTCAGGGAACTAAGAAAGGTAGCAGGATGAGCCGTGGACAAAACCCCTCAGACACCAGGTTAAGGAAGGATTTGGCTTTATTCGCCTGGGAGTTTCGGCAGACTCGCGTCTCAAGAACAGAGCTCCCCGAAGACAGAGTTCCTGGCCGTTTTAAGGGCTTACACCTCTAAGGGGTTCCACGTGAAATGGTCGTGGTAGATTGAGAGCACATGTGGTTAGAGTGGCGGGGTTGGGGGGAGGTGGTTAAACTTTTAACCTCAGGCCTGGTCATCAGTGGCACTGGCTGGTCTTGCCACTGACTTCATTCCTGTTGTTTTTCAACTTTTACTTCCTCCTTCTCTTCAGAGACAGGAGACAGTAAGAGAAATGGCCTCTCTCCTCACCCACCTCCTAGGGCTGCTGAGAGGGTTAAATGAGAGGACACACAGAGCTCTGGGCACAGTGATCGATGCACTCTGCTTTTCTTACTTGGGCCCTGACATCCTGAGATCACAGACCCCCTTCCTTGGCAGAGCATGGGTGTTTTAGGGGGGTTGACTTTGGCAGGGCAATGTGTCTTTTTTTTTTTTTTTTTTTTTCTCAGACGGAGGCTCGTTTTGTCACCCAGGCCGGAGTGCAGTGGCGCAATCTCGGCTCACTGCAAGCTCCGCCTCCCAGGTTCATGCCATTCTCCTGCCTCAGCCTCCCGAGTAGCTGGGACTACAGGCGCCCCCCCACCATGTCCGGCTAATTTTTTTTTTTTTTTGTATTTTGTTTAGTAGAGACAGGGATTCACCGTATTAGCCAGGGTGGTCTTGATCTCCTGACCTCATGATCCGCCCGCCTCAGCCTCCCAAAGTGCTGGGATTACAGCAGTGAGCCACCGCGCCTGGCCCAATATGTCTTTTTTTTTTTTTTTTTTAATTGTGCACCCCTGTCTCCTGTTGCTAGGAGCCTTGGTGTTTTTCTCCAGAACTTTCCTTGTTGTCACAGTGGGTGGCATCAGCTGCTTGTCAGGAAGCCACAACTAGGGAAGCCAACAGCTAGTGTTACTGCGGCAGCCTCTGGAGGAAGGGCTGCCTCTCTGCATTCATAGTCAGGGCCGGGCCGAGGAAGTGGCGGCTCTCAGGCCCAGCTGGGGGCAGGGTCAGTCAAGGCCCCGGGTGCCTGGCTATGGCTTAGGGACAGCAAGGGTCCACAGACCCTTCCTTTCTACATCCTCTCCCTCCTCCTCCTCCCACCCGCTCCCTTTCCCCCTCACACTCACAGGCAGGGAGCCAGATTGTCTTGCTAAATAACAGCTTTGCTTCTGCCAGTTTTCTGTTTGGGGAAGAATATCACAGGCAGTCCACTTCCATCAGCAACACCTTCTTCTACCTGCCGCTGTCTGCCACCCCGACCTGAAGGTCTTTTGCCCAGGGCACCAGTCACCCACTCTAGAAAATTTCCCTTCTCCACGCCAGGCCCTATGCTAGGGGCATTCTCATCCCTGAGCTCATGTCATCCTCAAACCCTATGGGGTGTGCTTCATTATCAACCACATTTTACAGAAGGGGGAAACTGAGGCTGAGAGGGGTGAAGCGACTTGCCACATCTACACTGCCCGCTAGGGACAGGGCCAGGGTGCCACCCAGCCTGTGCTGTTTGCTTTAAGGGCAGCGCTTCTCGAGAGGCGGTGATGACAACAATGAGAGGATGGTGGAGGCCATACTGACGGCTTCCTGTGCTCTCCTGGACACTGTGGGCCTGGGGCAGGCCCTCAACAGAATTCCACTCTGGGTCCAGGGCAGAGGGGCGGGAGGGGTGCAGTGGAGCACCGGTTGTGACCCGTGATGTCCACTAGGTGTCGCCCGCGTTCTGGAAAAGCTGTCAGCGACGCCCCACAGGTCCGAGGAACCCGGAAAGGAGCCGGGAGGGGCATGGGTGTCCCGAGGGGGTAGGCGGACCTAGGTCTGGGCAGAGATGGCAGCCCCAGGACAGGGAGGAGCACTAACAGCGCCGTCCTCACGCTTTAGCGTGGAAGACCTCAGTCCCCCGGATGGAGTCTTCATGGGTCCCCAGGGGAGGAGATCCCCAGGCGGTAGAAGGGCCCCCTCCTCACAAAATGTGACCCCCTGCTCCTCCTCTCCACGCCAGGGAGACCCCAGCTGCACCACCCCAGCTGCATCCATCCCCTTTTGGCACCTTTGGGACTGCCACACAGACCTGGGTCCTCACCCCTGTGCTCCCGGCCACACCACTTGGCACCGCGTGTCAAGGTTAAGAGCTCAGCGTCTGCCTCCCGCCTGGGCTGCAGGCTTCTCGGGAGGGTGGGGGCGGGCAGAGGCTGGAAGCCCAGCACCACAGCTGGCACACAGGGGACTCTCATGCAGGGCTGCTGGGTGAACGAACCCGTGGGGTGAGCTTGTCCAGGGATTTTCAAACTTTTAAAATATTGAGTTGAGGAATCCCTCTTCTTGCAGGGTCGCCTGTGAAAGCTTCCCCATATAACACAGGGGTACCGGCTGATGTCCCCAGGGAAGCCCACAGCTTTAGGGAGCATGAGAAACAGCCGCTCTGGGCCAGGCGCGGTGGCTCACGCCTGTAATCCCAGCACTTTGGGAGGCCGAGGCGGGCGGATCACGAGGTCAAGAGATCGAGACCATCCTGGCTAACATGGTGAAACCCCGTCTCTACTAAAAATACAAAAAATTAGCCGGGCGTGGTGGCGGGCGCCTATAGTCCCAGCTACTCGGGAGGCTGAGGCAGGAGAATGGCGTGTACCCGGGAGGCGGAGCTTGCAGTGAGCCGAGATGGCGCCACTGCACTCCAGCCTGGGTGACAGAGTGAGACTCCGTCTCAAAAAAAAAAAAAAGAAAAGAAAAGGAAAAGAAACAGCCGCTCTGGTCCCTGCAGGGGAGGCAACGGATGCCCATACAGGAAGGAGCCTGAGTCGGGAAGGGGCCAGGACCCAGCTGCCCTGCGGGACCCTCATGGCCCCACGGTCACTCACTTTCACTCTGAAGAAATATCCAGCCTCCATACTAACGATCTCGACTGTAATAATCTCCTGCTTTCCCCTCCCCACCCCACTCAGCTCACAAAGCCCTTTCCTCCCCACTGTCTCAGTGGCTGTCACAACAAGCCTGGGACCCTTCACTGCAGAAATGTAGTCCCATTTCACAGATGGGCCCACCAAGGCTCAACAGATGTCAGCGGCAGAGCTGGAAGGAGAACTGGATGGGCCGGCATCAGGACCTCGGTCTCTCCTCCCACTGCCCCAGGTGCCCACATCATAATTCAGGAGCTGCAAGGAGCAGGGATTAAAAGTCAGATGCAGCCAGGAGTGGTGGCTCACACCTGTAATTCCAGCACTTTGGGAGGCTGAGGTGGGCGGATCACCTAAGGTCAGGAGTTCGAGACGAGCCTGGCCAACATGGTGGAACCCTATCTCTAATAAAAATACAAAAATTAGCTGGGCGTGGTGGCGGCCGCCTGTAGTCCCAGCTACTCGGGAGGCTGAGGCAGGAGAATTGCTTGAATCCAGGAGGCGGAGGTTGCAGTGAGCCGAGATCACACCGCTGCACTCCAGCCTGGACAACATGGCGAGACTCTGTCTCAAAAAAAAAAAAAAAAAAAAAAAAGTCCGACACAGAGGACTCAGAGCCCAGCCCCACCACCTGTGACCTGTGTGACTTGAACTCTCTGGGACTCGGTTATTCAACAGAAATGGGTGGAGAGAGTACGGCAGAGATCTGTGCCTGAAAAGGCTTAGCCCCGTTGTTATCATCATACCATGGTCATGGTCCCACTGCCGGACCACGGGGCCTAGGGTCCATGGTTTGGGCACCACTTCTCACTCCCAGGCTGGGGGCAGGAGGGAGACGGGCCATGCCAGCTACTGGGCAAGGGAACCCACCTTCCCCAGAGCTGGAGAAGCAGGGGGAGTCACTGTGTCCTCCCCCGACACCTGGCCAAGGAGGGGCCAGCCATGGGGAGTTGAGGTAGGAGGCCTTTATTCATTTGAGGAGAGGAAGCCGAGTCCTGTGGAGATTATCCAGGAGCTGCAGCATCCGAAGCGTCTGGGGTGAGTGGGGGCAGGCAGGACCCCTGGCAGCAGAATCCCATCCCCAGACCCTGGCCTAGTCTTTCCGAGGGACAGGGGAGGGTGTGTGTGCGCGGGGGAGGGGCGCAGCTGGGAACCTGCGTTCCCCCAAGCCGGAGAACCATGGCCAGCAAGAGGCGGCAGTGTGGCATGGGGGGTGGGGGGCGTGGGCCCCTCCCAGACTGACTGTGGCGCTGGGTGGCAGTGTCCTTGTCTCCAAGGCTGGGGCTCTGGAAACCGCCTCTGGTCAGGTTTCCTGTCCTTTTTTCATACATGTCCCTTCTGCCTCCTTCTCCACCCTTCCCGGCTCTCCCTCCCCAGCGACAATGGTGCTCCAGGGGCACTGCCAGGCGAGCTTGCTGGCGGCTGTTGAGTCCGGGCGGAGGGTGGCTTCAGTGGTTTTCGGGCAGGTGGGGCTGGCTCCGTGGAGGCTGCTGACCCTGAGTTGAGGCTCGGGCAGGTAAGGAGGAAGGTAAGGTGCACCTGGAGAAACAACAGTGCTGGGGGCCGCAGGGCCGTCCCCTCCACTTCAGCCCCAGCTCCACGCCCCACACAGGAACCCAGCCCCGTAAGGCCCTGGCCCCCAGCTCCTCTGTGTTGCCTGGAGGCCCGTCCCTGCTGGTGGCTGTCACTCACCTCGTCTCTCCATGCTCCCATCTTCTCCCCTCTCCTTCACCACCCTGTTCCTTACTGCCTTCTAGAAGCTTCCATGTAGCCTCCTACCTTGACCCTCTTCTAGAAGTTTCCAGGCTGCCTCCCGCCTTGATGCTCTCCCTGCTTACGTTTCCCTCTTCACTGAGGTGGGTCTCAGCCCTCAGCCTCTTCCCCACCAATGGGACTTGTGACGCCTGCCCACAGCCCAGGGAGAGAGGGTGTGGGTCCCCCTCCGGTGTTCTGGCTGCTGTTCCAGGTGCAGGCCAGGAGGGATGGGACTTGCAACACCCATCCACAGCCCAGGGAGAGAGGGTGTGGGTCCCCCTCCAGTGTTCTGGCTGCCATTCCAGGTGCAGGCCAGGAGGGCAGTGTCTGTCAGGGACCCGGAGCCGGGGGGTAGGAGTGCTCCTCAGACCCACGTGGTGTGGCAGAGCAGGGTTGGGGTGATGTGCATGGGTCGATGGGGGACACAGAGAAGACTTGTAGGTGTTGAAGGCCATATTTTTGTGTGTCCCCATATTAGCCTGGGGGGTGTACCTGGGTGTGTGGCTCTGTCAGTGCCCAGGAGCCTGCTCTGAGGCTAGACTTCAGGGCTGGGACACTCAGCACTGCACATCCCCTAGGGTCTGAACCTGGACTCATGGCCACCTCAGTGAGGGCTGGGGTGGGGCACCTGCTCTGTGAATGGGGCTCTAGAGAGCTTCAAGCCCAAAGTAGCCACCACCCCAGGCCATCCTGTGGGATCAGCTGAGGGGCTCCCGGAACCCATGCTTTGTGACCAGCAATCTGCCTTCCTGTGATCTTGGGCCGAGGATGCATCCAGCTCTGGGCCTGGATGCTCAGGCCCAGACTTTCTAAGGCTCAGACTTTCTAAGGCTCCGGGGAGTTAAACTGGCGCCAGCAACAGAGGCCCCACTCAGAGGCCCCTCCTCCTCTCTCTCAGGTCTCCCCGGCCACCCTCAGGAGAGACCCCTATAAGCTCCGTGCCTCCCACCCAGTCCAGAACCAGCAGCAGGAGGCACCCATGCCTGGGGCTGGGCTGGGGGAGTCAGGACCCAGGCCTTCCTGAGTCCTCTGAGAGCTGAGCCCTCACTGGAGAGCTCCAGGGAGGAGGCAACCAGCAACCCTCAGGCTCCTGGCCTGGCTCCTACCCTCCCTGCACCTCGTCTGGTCCCCAAGCCAGACCCTCCTCCCGCTCTCTCTCTCAAACCTCAGAGGCTCTAGGGAGGGGCGGGGGGCGCTGGGGATTGGTGACTGCAGGTGACCTCCTCAGGGGGCGGTTCATAGATGCTGCAGTTGGGCGTGGGGCCCTGGCAGTAGACATTGAGGAAGCCACGGTACTCCTCTCGGTACGTCTGGTTCATGAGGCACAGAACCATGTTCTTGTCACACATGCATGTCTGCTTGTCACACTCTGTCTTGTTGAGGTCACCTACAGGGGGATGGGGTGGCAAAGGCTGTGGATGAAAGGGGCAGCAGCTCCCCCAGGACTACTGCTGGGGAAGGGGAGCACACAGACTTGGAGAGCCCAGTGGTCCTTGGAATGTGTTACCTGGGCGGCAGGACCAGCACCACCCACGGGCCCCACCCCACGCTTACAAGGTCAGCAGCTCTGGGCTGGGGCCCGGCAGTCTGTGTTGTAACAAGCTCTCTAGGGGACTCTGGTGCATAGTAAAATTGGGGAACCACTGAAGCCCAACACAGTTATTGCATAGCTGGGGAAACTGAGCCCCAGAAAGGGGGATGGGTTTACCTAAGTCACCCACAGAACTAAAGCACCCCCCACGCCTCCCAGGCTTGTTACTTCCTGCCATCCCAGACCTCTTCCCTTCAATCACAGAATCAAAGAACGCCCAGTGAAGAGGGAGTTATTGCCGGGCGCAGTGGCTTACGCCTGTAATCCCAGCACTTTGGGAGGCCAAGACAGGTGGATCACCTGAGGTCAGGAGTTGGAGACCAGCCTGGCCAACATGATGAAACCCCATCTCTACTAAAAATACAAAAAATTAGCCAGGCGTGGTGGTGGACGCCTGTAATCCCAGCTACTCGGGAGACTGAGGCAGGAGAATTGCTTGAACCCTGGAGGAGGAGGTTGCAGTGAGCCGAGATTATGCCACTGCACTCCAGCCTGGGCAACAAGAGCGAAACTTCATCTTAAAAAAAAAAAAAAGAAGAGGGAGTTATTGGTAAGAAATGAGTGGGAAAAACAATTGTTCAAAAGCTTAGTGCCTAAGAGCCTCTCACATGCCTAATCCAGGGCAAATGCTACTGTTGTTTGTCCCTATGCTGTTGTTATAATTAGTAGATTTCGGAAATCATCCTTAGGTGCACAATAGAATCAGCTGGAGGGCTTGTTCCAACAAAGACTGCTGGACCTCACCCCTAAGTATCAGATTCAGTAGGTCTGGGTGGGGCTTGATGATTGGCATTTCTAACAAGTTCCTGGGTGCTGCAGCTGCTGCTGTTGCTGGTTCAGGGGCTACCCTTTGAGAACCTCCAACTAGCTTGATCGGTCTGCAAACTTTTCATACCTTCTACCAGCAAAATCCTGTTTCTTAAACGAAACTCTTTAAAGAAAGCTGATGCATCAGACGGCCCCAGAAGAAGCTGCTTAATGATAAAATACACTAAAGTACCAGCTGAACCTCTCAGGGACTGTGACCAGCACCTCTCAGGGCCTCTGGCTCTGATGGCCCCAGGGATTCCCAGAACCCAGCATGAAAATCACTGCTTTAAGTTCGTCTGTTACCCCTGGTGGGTGGTGGCTGGGGGAGAATCTCTCTCCTCCAGCTGCTTTAATAGGGGGGCATCTGCTATCTCAGGCCAGCCCCTCCACCTCATGTTTGAACAGCAGAACATGAGGACCACAGAGATCTGGGCCCCCAAGGGGTCCCAAGTGCACCCCAGTCTCCACTAGACTCCTTCCCAATGACAGAAGATTTGAGTGTCTTTGCAAAGCCAGCGTTGCTTGTGAGCTATTAATAAGCAACAACTGGTACCACCAGGTGAAGACATGGGGGCAAAGAGGGCCCAGTGGTTGCCCACAGGCTGGGCCAGGGGGAGTCCTCTCCCAGAGAGGAGCACAGAGTAGGGCAGGGCAGGGACACCTGGGCGCTGCTACTTGGATGCCACTTGCGCTTACCTACATGTCTCAGTTGGGAAATAGCCACAGCAAGTTCATGGTAAATGAAGGAACCCGCCAGGCCAGGTGCTAATACCTTGGATCCCTGGAAACACTGGGCGTCCTAGGATGGAGCCACCTCTGCAGGTGGGGTCCGAGTGACAGAACCAGAAGAGAAAGAGTCCGCTCTGATCCAAACCCCTCAGTGGACCCATGAGTGAGGAAACAGGCCAGATGGGGAAGGAGCTGCCCAGGGCTACATGGAGCAGGGAGATGGTGACAGAACCAGAGTTCAAACCCAGGTCCCCTGACTCCCAGGCCAGCATGTCTCAGAGCCTCCCTGCAGAGCTGCAGTCTCAGAACCATCTGGGGAGCCGGCTGAAAGCCAAGTTCCTGGGCCCCACCAACACCCACGGAATCAGAATCACCCAGAATTTGGGGGACAGGAGAATTGGGATGCCAATTCCAGGACTGGAGCATCAGAGCACCTCAGGGAGATGTTCTCAAGCCACAGCTAGGCTGGTCAGATTCAGATTTAGCAAAAAAGCAAAACCAAAATCAAAACACAGGATTCCTGGTTGAATTTCAATTTCAGGCTGGGCTGGTGGCTCATACCCATAATCCCAGCACTTTGGGAAGCAGAAGTAGGATTGCTGGAGGCCAGGAGTTCAAGACCAGCCTGGGCAACATAGTGAGACCCCCATCTCCACAAAAAATACAAGAATCAACTGGGCATGTTGGCACTGGCCTGTAATCCCAGCTAATTGGGAGGCTGAGGCAGGAGGATCACTTTAGCCCAGGTTAAGGCTGCAGTGAGCTACGATGGCACCGCTGAACTCCAGCCTGGGCAACAGAGCAAGGCCCTGTCTTAATTAATTAATTAATTAATTAATTAAAATTTCAGGTAAACAGTACATGTTTGGCTGGATGCAGTGGCTCACACCTGTAATCCCAGCACTTTGGGAGGCCGAGGTGGGTGGATCAAGAGGTCAAGAGATCAAGACCATCCTAGCCAACATGGTGAAACCCTGTATCTCCTAAAAATTTAAAAAGTAGCTGGGCATGGTGGCATGCACCTGTAGTCCCAGCTACTTGGGAGGCTGAAGCAGGAGAATCACTTGAACCTGGGAGGCAGAGGTTGTAGTGAGCCGAGATCATGCCACTGCACTCCAGCCTTGCGACAGAGAGAGACTGCGTCTCAAAAAAAAAAAAAAAATACATGTTTTAGTAGAAGTATGTCCTAAACATTTCCTTATCTATAAATATTAATTAATTTTATACTAGCATTTAGTTTTGAGTATCAATATGTCCCATGCAATATTTAGGACATATTTAATATTAAAACATTTTTCATTGTATAGCTAAGAAATGAATTTCACTAGGCAGCCTGTATTTCTTTTTTTCTTTTTCATTTCTTCTTCGAGACAGAGTCTCACTCTGTCTCCCAGGCTGGAATGCAGTGGCGTGCGATCTTGGCTCACTGCAACTTCTGCCTCCCAAGTTCAAAGTGGTTCTCGTATCTCAGCCTCTCCAGCAGCTGGGATTACTGGCACATGCCACCAAGCCCAGCTAATTTTTGTATTTTTACTAGCGACGGGTTTTCACCACATTAGCCAGGATGGTCTCGAACTCCTGACCTCAAGTGATCCGCCCGCCTCGGCCTCCCAAAGTGCTGGGATTACAGGCATGAGCCACCGCACCCGGCTGGCAGCCTGTATTTAATCTGGCAAGCCTGTCCACCATCCCAGCACAGGCTGGTAGAGCCAGCCACTCCCTTCTCTGGGGGCCCAGGTGACAGGGGAGGGACTCACTGCAGACTATCTCAGTGTTGTTCTCGATGGTGTGATCATAGTGGTCCACATAGGGGTGACAGCCTTGGTCAAAGAGTTCCTGGTAGCAGCAGTCGTGGGCGTGGCAGCACCTAGGGAGCGGCAGAGGTGAGTGGACAGGCATGGCTGGGCCGGCCCATCTCCCACCAGCAGAGACCTCTGATCATCTCTTCCAGTCTCTCGCAGGTCAAACGTTCGAACTGAAGCCCAGAGAGGGACAGTTACTTGTCTGAGGTCACACAGCCAAGCAGAGCTGGGGCCGGCACCCCAGGTTCTGATTCTCACAGCTTCAGCTTCGTTGGCACCTGCCAGACCTGCCCCTCCCAGGACACATTCTCCCCTGTGTCTTTGTTCTATCCACAGGGCTCCCAGCTTTCCCCCAGAGCCCCGGCTGCAGCAGTGGGAGGAGTCAGGGACCTGCCTAGGTTTACGTCAAGGTTGGAGGAGCGTCGACTGTAGGCAGAGGCCACCCCTGGCTGTGCCTCATGGCCAGGGAGGGACAAAGGTCTGGAGGGTCAACAGGGACTGGTAGGATGGCGAACAAGAAACACAGGCAGTGTGGCTGTCCCCATCACCTCTGGGGGCGTGAAGTCAGCTAGTCAATGTGTATTTATTTAGCTTTCTGTGATACAAACTTGGTGCTGCCTGCTGTTGGGGAGATAGGAGCAGAAGACAAGCCATGGCTGCTGGGAGCTCACAGTCTGATGGAGGAGGCATGGTCCTGTCTTCCAGAGCCTCCAGTGTGAGGCAGGCAGGGGTCACAGCCCTTGCCTTTGTGGGGTGTCAGCTGTGTGACTGCTCTCCCATGTGTGTTTTGGAGCAAGTCAAAGGTCCCTTCCTAGAGAGAGGAGGGGCTGAAACACTTCCAAGCCCATGGCCTTGGAGATGGACAACAGAAAGCGCTCAAAACAGTTTGGAAAGAACATAGTCAAAGACCAGGCTCTGGTCACCAAGTCATCAAAGAAGCTGGATCCTTTGGGGAAAGAAGGTCTCCCCCACTCAGGGATGGAGGGCAAGGTCAGTCTGACCTTCAGCTGTCCTCATTTGGCCCCTGACAGGAGCCCAGGCCTCTGGTACCTACCAGTCCACCTCATCCTTGGGCTGGCCACGGCCCCCCAGCCCACAGTAGCAACCGTAGCCCACGAAGGACAGGATGGCGCTCCTCCCTGTGACGGCCTCCACCATGGCCTTCAGGTTGAGCAGGCTGCCGTGAGCTGTGGACAGAACTGCAAGAGAACCAGGGGGTGCTCTGAGCCCCTGCCCCGGGGCTGGCCGCTCCCAGCCTCTCTCATCCTGAGAGTCTGGACTGACCATCCTCCCAATACCTAGGGTAGGTGGGAGAAGGAAGGAGAAAGCAGGAGAGGAAGCTGGGGCAAGAAGCGTGGGCAGCTAAGCCAGAGGAAAGAAATCTGCAAGGTACCATGTATGGTGTGCACCCACATCCCTGCGGCCCTGAGAAAACAACGCAGGTCATCCTTGCTAGGGACTTGCTCCATGCCAGGTACTGTCCCAAGCCCCTTCCATGTGCATGAATCCATTGAGTGCTCACTGCAACCCCCTGCATGCTCTTGTTATGCCTCTGTGCAGATGAGAAGACTGAGGCCCAGTGCATTTAGTAACTTGCTCTACATCCCGTTGTCAGAAAGCAGTGGAGACAGAATTTGGACCCAGGCAGTGAGGGTTTTGCATCCACACCCCCTGCCACTTGGCTGTACACACTTCTCAAGGGGGATGCCCAAGTGCCTGGTATGCTGGAGGGAGCTTCGCAAAGGCCACATGCTCTTAGGAAGCTCAGGGGGTTGATTCTGGGTCCCTTCCTGGTCTCTGCCTCCTGCCTCTGCCCTCCTGGGGGCCTCAGAGTCCCCACCCTGATCCCGGGCCTGGTGCATCTCAGGATCAATCCAGCGACAATTCGGTGCTCTGATCGCTAATGAAGAAACAGAAAAGGCTTCGTATTACAGGCTGATACTGGCTGGAGGTGGGAAGAAGGAAAACAGTCTCCCCACACACACACAGAGGGAGAAATAGTGCAAGGACACTTCCTGCACCAGCGAAATCAGCTTCATGGCACCTGCCAGGCCGGCCCACCCCAGGACACATTCTCCCCCTGGCCACTGCTTGTCTCCATCTTGCAGTCTGTGCCTGTGCGGTGGCTCTCTGAATTGCCTGCGCTGCCTCTGCACATCCTCCTGGATGCAGCACTGGGTCCACACGCCCAGCCTGGCACCTACAGTCCTTACCTGGGGGAAGCTGCCCTACACACACCAGCAGGAGAGCCAATCTATCACGATTTTATGGGTGAGGAAACTAAGGCTCAGAAAGGTGCAGGCTTGCCCAGGTCCCACAGGCTGGAGGGGGCAGAGCCCAGACTGCCCCAGGTTTGTGTACTGCGGAGCTGGGAAGCTAACCGCAGCGCAGGGCAGTGCAGCTCCGCCTGCTTCCCCCACCCCAGCCATTCTAGCTGCAGTCAGCGTGAGGGGCCTAGCTCAGCACCCTTCCTGCCACTCTCTCCATGTCCACCCTGCTCCCCAGCCTGAATGAGGAAATGTACTGGGAGAGGGGAAAGCCAACGGTTTCAGAAACTGGTGGCTCAGGGGAATCCCAAAGGCCACTCTTGCCTGCTTCCAGAGACATGGTGTCCGACATCTCTAATGACAGGGAACTCACCACCTCAATGTGCCTTAGTGGGAAGAGCATTGAATCTGGAGTCAGACAGACCTAGGCCAATAACCAAGCCCAGCTGGGACTCCCTGGGGCTCTGTTCTCCCATCTGTAAAATGGGAGTAACAATCTAAACCATGAGAGATCAGGCAGGCCAGTGCCCTGCTGGAGGCCTGGCACACACCAGCAACCTCTCGGATCACAATGCCCAAAGCAGAGGATGGAGATCATGACGCCTCCTTGCAGGGCACCTTGGAGGTTGAAGTGTGATCATGAAGGTGTGTAGAGTGCCTGGCCCACACAGCGCCTTGAGGAGGGACCCAACCACTGCGAGGCCCTGGCTGCCTCCCCATCTGCCCCTGGCCTTGTAAGTGTTACCCGGGAGGGGGCACCTCCAGTCCCAGGACCCCCGACAGTCAACTCCCATGTGGCAAGAGAAGAAGAGCAAGAAGTCTACGTGGCCATGCACAGGGTGAACACACACTGACACACACACACCCATCTCACACACACTCACACACCTGCCCACCTCACACTCTCCTTTACACACCACATGCACTTGCATACACACTCATTCCCAGACACCTCAAACTCACACTCACCCCCACATACCTGATACACTCAACACTCACACATACATACCTGATACACTCATACACCTACACTCACCCATACATACATGATATACACCCACACATACCTGATACACACACTTGCACACTCGCCCTCGTGCATTACAGATGCACTCACATACACAACGCATCCAGGGGAGAATCAGGGGCCTGGCCCAAGGCCACATCCACACTGACCGTCCAAGCGAAGGAATCCAAGTCCGCATTCAGTTGGGTTGAAGGCTCTGCCCCTAACCAGTGGCTTGGACTGAACTCAAGCAGTCGTCTTCTCAATAACAAGTCACTTTGCCTGAATGCAACCAGCCCTCTCTCACGTCTGGCCACGTGGAACCTTATTTTGGTTTTTGTCATTTATTTCTTTTCCTCAAGCCAGGCTGTGTTCTGGCGAGGTTTAACAGGCTGCATGCAAGGCCAGTGAGAGGCCCAGCCAATGGTCCATGGAGCTGGGACACCTGCCACATAAATGATGCCGGGACGAGTGGCAGGGTCAGGTCTGTGTCAAGAGCCTCACGCAACAATCCTATGGGGCGGCTGCCCAGAGCCATGATGCCCTGGGTACCAACCCCAGAAAGAAGCCCCTGACCTCCCACCACTATGCAGTACACAGACACCCATCCTACACACACACACCCTCCTGCAGATCTATGCACCCTTCATCCATAAGCATGCTCTGAAGACACACACCCCAATTAACACACACTCACACAAAGAGACACAAATGGGCTCGCACTCAGGTGCCTACACTGTCACATACTTTATGGATGCATGTTGCACACATAGACATCATCACATGCTCAGACACACCTACACACACATAGATGCCTGTGCCTGTCTGCACACAAAATCATTAACTCCAGTCTGATGGACACACACTAGTACACATTCAGGTACACAAATGCCCAGCCAACACCAGCATTTTACGATGCTTGCTCAGCCCTGCGCCCTGCCCCCCAGGGCTCATAAATGCATGTTTACAGGTGGCTGGAGGGGTAAACAGCCCCAGAATTGGGTGCAGCCTGCTGGGCTGAGACAAGAAGCAGAAGCCCAGAGACAGGAAGGAACCTAGGCTGGTCAGTGGAACCATAACTCAGGCGCCCAAGGTCACGGGAGACAAGCTGGGAGTGGGAGAGAAGGAGGAGCCCTCTGGAGTCTTTACTCACCGCTGCCAGCAAGGATGGCCACGGTGAAGAACTTCTTCATACCCAGGCTAGACCTGAGGGAGGACGAAACCCGGAGCTTGAGTCCATCCCCTCCACCCTTGGCAGTGTTGGACCTGCTGCTCCCTTCCTGAGCCTCAGGACAGGTGTCATCAATGCTGTCCCTTGATGTCCTAGTTGCTGCTCCTAGCGCTGTCATCAGTACCTGCCCAGCCCCTCCTGGAGGAGCGCACCCCAGATGGCAGAGCCAGGAGGCACGAACACCTCCTTGCCCCCCACTCTGGCAGGAACCCCCTCCACGCATCAGCCTTCAGGACAGGAAGCCTGCTGTCTCAGGCCAGACCTCCCATGCACACACTAGGGAGTCCGGGAAGGAAGTCATATGACCCAGCCTAGCAGCTGGGTCTTGAACCCAAAGCCAGGAGTCCTAGGTCCCTGGATTCCAGTCCCAGCACCGCTTCCAAAATGTGTGGCCTCAGCCTCCCTGGGCCACATGAGGGTTGTGTGGCCTCACTCTCCCTGGGCCACATGAGTGCCACGTGAAGGTTGACTAAATGATCCCTTTGGGGTTCTGCCCACCACGTGGACTCTTAGGAGAAAGGGATTCTAGGAGCCAGTCCCTCACGCCTGTCCCTGCCCCTCCCTGGAGGATTCCATCTCAGGGCAACAGGCACCTACCTGGAGGTTCTTGAAGGACAGGAGGCCCCGAAGCGTGGGCCCCTCCACCCAGAGAAGCATCTATCCAGCACCTTCTTTTTGAACCCTTTGGGGTTGGCCTTTGCCCCATCTGCCATGTTGCGGGTTCTGGGGGGCCAGCAACATAGGTCTCAGAAGGTCTGAGATGCGCTCCAGAGGCTGCGGGGAGCAGGCCCCAGCTTCACGCTGCCTCGCACACTGGCAGGGGAGTGGCAGGTGACACATGCCCTAGAAAAAGGAGGCTCCACCTCCTCCTCCCTCCCCCACAGCCCTGCCCACAGCCAGCTGGTACAGTCCCCACCGCTGGGTGCTCTGGTCTGCCTGACTTGGGGGTTTACATACCTGATAGGAGAGTCAGTCTTTCCCCATGCATCTGAAAGGAAATTAGCCCAAAGGCCTCTCTTTCCCCATCTGAAAGATGTTAAAGATAAAACATCACTCAGTGACACTTGTTGAAACACAGTAAGGCAGGCTTTGTTCAAAGGGGCCATGGGGACAGGTGTAGGGCCATGGCAGTGGCTTCCGCAGTGGGGAAGAGAGACTGGACTCAACAGCAGATACAATAAGAAAAAGCGGGAATTCATAGCCAAGGAGCAGGGTGGGGTCTGAGGTTGGAAAGTTAACCAGAAGAAACATCAGGGGTCATGGGGGGTTGGGAGACTCTGGCTAAACCGATCCACCAGGATTCCTGCTGAAGGCAGGTGGGTTGCTCAGACATCACCTGGGGGCCACGGAGGACAAGAAACCCAATCAGATATGGAGGACAAAATTGAGGATTCTACCTAAACCAACTTAGCAGCGTTGTGACATTGCCAAATTTGCCCTTGAAGGGGGCACAATTATCTGACGGAGATCCTGGGGGGCCTGGTTGTCAGCACCATTTGCCTTTTTTGAAGGGGGGTGGTATGTATGAGAAAGATGGGACTGGAGAGAATCCAAGGCAGTGTGAGCTCTGGGAGCCCCTCTCAGGGCTGGGTCACCTGGGCTGAGCTTGGGGGTTTGAGCAGTCGCACTGATAGAAGATCCCATGCCAGTACCACCACTTCCCAGCCGTGAGGCCTTGGTAGGAGAGCTCCCTTCCCTGGTCTCTGAGTTCTCAGCTGTAAGTGCACATAACAAGGCCTCACCGAATGAGGGTGATGCTCATACAAGTCGGGTGTCATGTGGTGGGTTGGGGCAGGTGTAAGTGCCCAGTTAAAGATCTGATTGTTACAAAGTAGAGGGCTGGGCACAGCGTGATCACTCACACCTGCAATCCCAGCACTGTGGGAGGCCAAGACGGAAGGATTGCATGAGGCCAGGAATTTGAGACCGGCCTGGGAAACATAGTGAGACCCCATGTCTACAAACAATAGCAAAGTAGGGGCTGATCTCCAGCCTTGGGGAGAATTGAGATACTGGGAGGGGATGGTAAGGGAGGCAGGAGAAGGTGACTCTTGGAAGTTGACACTGCAAATAATCCCCTCACCTTCAAGTTGATCCATCTCTCTCAATGTCCTCAAACCTGCCAACAAGGGGCAGAAGAGACCCCTGGGGCTTCCCTTCCTGCCCCTAGCTTTGCCAGCCTCCTCTTCTGGCTATACCAAACCACAGTCCACATGTCATCCCCCTCACCCAGCCCCCACCCTTCCTCTGCCCAGCTGCCTCTCTGTGGATCCAAGTCCATCTCCTCTCCAGGAAGTTATCCCGGAAAAACCCCACTGCATCCAGTCACAGGTCCTTGCATGGGAGGGTGTTTGTTTGCATTTGGTGATGCATTCCAAAACATATACAGGTGATGTTACCTGTATATGTTTTGGTTTATGAATCTTGACACTTCCTTCAAACTGGGGATCCTGGAAGGAAGGGGCCTTTGTTTCTTCCAAAAGCCTAGGGCTTCCCCCTTGGGACAAGGCTGCATCTGCTTCATCAGACTGGGAGTGATTGGAAAACAAGACTAGTCTCTGTCTTCACTTGTCTGCACAAAGTTTGGCTTCTATCTTTGCCTCCATTTTCTCAAACACCACTTAATGATGTCACCACACTCCAAAGAAGGAAGAATCGAGAAGTAAGGCCCAGTATGTCCAAATCCTGAAGATACAGCCTCCAACCTGCAGATAACTAGAGCCACTCCAACGTAGGTCGAGGAGGCCAAGGCTGGGGCCGGGGACCCCTGAGAGCCTCTGAGCAGCATCACTGCTACTTTCTCAACTGGAATTCCCACTGGACATGCTGGTTGGGCTGGTCTTCAGAGAGGCTTGATCCTTGAGGAAGAGGACGGGCTCTTCCCTCTCCCTCCACCCTCCCCCTACCAAGCTCAGGGTGCTCAATAATGAGTCAATAATAAACTGGTTGACCCAGTAATTCCACTTCTGGGACTGCAGACCAAATGCCAACTTGAGTTGCTCCTAGAGACACTGAAGGGGTGTTTTCTTGATGCTCCCCCAACCCCATTAGAAGCAACTTAAATTAGGGGTTAGTTAAGCAAATTATTAGCCATCCATCCATAATCATGTTTTCAAATAATATTTGTTGACACAAAAAAACCACCCTGTACTACAAGGTAATAGCATTTTTAAAAAGGAGTTGGTGTACACAGGTATAAAAATTATCTAGAAGGATACAATGTAAAAGCATTAGTAATGGACATCTTTAGACGTGGAATAAATGGTGGTTTTTATTTTTTTATTTGTAATTTTTGGTATTAAGATGAGTATAAAAATACATTCAACAATTACAATAAAATGGCCAATTTCCTCGAAAGGCACAAAGTCACTCAACTGGAAATAGCTGGATATTTATGAAAGCTGCTGAATATATAGTTTAAAATCTTCCCATAAACAAACTCCAGGTCCAGATGGCTTCACTGGTGAACTTGACCAAATACTTAAGGAAGAAGAAACACCAATTGTATTAGTTTGCTAGGGCTGCCATGACAAAATACCACAAATGGAGGGACTTTAATAACAGAAATTTATTTTCTCCCAGTTCTGGAGTCTGGAAGTCCAAGATCAAGATGCTGGCAGGGCTGATTTCATTCTGAGGCCCTTCTCTGTGGCTTGAGGATGCCACCTTCGCTCTGTGGCCTCACGTGGCCTTTCCTCTGCGCATGCCCATCTCTCATGTCTCTTTGTGTGTCTAAATTTACTCATCTTATAAGGACACAAGTCATGCTGGATTAGGACCCACCCTTGATTCCACTTAATCACCTCTTTAAAGGCACTATCTCCAAATACAGCCATATTCTGAGGTACCATGGGTTAGAGCTTCAAATTACACATTTAGGGGAGGGGAAAACAATTGAGTCCATAACACCAATTACACACAAATTCTTCCAGAAAATTTAGATAAAGAAAGTTCTTCCCAATTCATTCTACTAAGCCAACATTATTCTAATGCCAAAACCAGATAAAGACATTACAAGAAATGAAAACTACAAGACTACGATTCCTCATCAACATAGATAAAAAAATTCTTAACAAAATATTGGCAAACGGGCAAATGCTGGTAAACAGGAAAATATACCATGACCTAGTGGGGTTTATCCCAGGAATGAAAGATTGGTTTTGCATTAAAAATCAGTCAATGTAAATATACCATACTAACAGACTAAAGAAGGAAAGCCATATGGTCATCTCAACAAATCCAAGAAAACAAAACAAATGCCATTTGACAAAATCCAACATCCATTCCTGATTTAAAAAACTGTCTGCAAACTGAGACAGAATGGAACTTCCCCAGCTTGAGAAAGGATATCTACAGCTGGGTGCAGTGGCTCATGCCTGTAATTCCAGCACTTTCAGAGGCCAGGGCTGGTGGATCACCTGAGGTCAGAAGTTCGAGACCAGCCTGTCCAACATGGTGAAACCTGGTCTCCACTAAAAATACAAAAATCAGCTGGGTGTGGTGGCACATGCCTGTAATCCCAGCTACTCAGGAGGCTGAGGCAGGGGAATCGCTTGAACCCGGGAGGCGGAGGTTGCAGTGAGCCGAGATGGCGCCACTGCACTCCAGCCTGGGCAACAGAGCCAGACTCCATCAAAAAAAAAAAAAAAAAAAGATAAAGGGCATCTACAAGAAACCTATTGCCAACACCAGGCTTAATGGTGCAAGACTGAATGCTTTTCTCCTGAAGATTAGGAAGAATGTCCACTCTCATCACTTCTATTCTACGTTGTACTGGTGATTTCAGTTAGTGCAACAGCCAAGAAAAGAAATGAAAGGTCTTCAGATTGGAAAGGAAGAAGAAAGTTGATGTCTATTGGCATCAACATAATAGTCCATATAAAAAATCCTGTAGAAGCTACAAAAAAGCTGCTGGAACTAACAACTGAATTTAGCAAGGTTGCAGAATATAAGATAAAAATACGAAATAGTCATAATAATTGTACTTCTACATACTAGCAATGAATAATTGGACACTGAAATTTTAAAAAAAAATTTACAATAATATCCAAAAATGTGAAATATTTAGGGATAAAATTGACCAAAAAACAGATATTGTACATTAAAAACTTTAAAATGAGGCTCGGAGAAATCAAGGAAAACCAAAGTAAATCAAGGGATGTGTCATGCTTATGAATCAGAAGGCCCAATATTGTTACAATGTCAATTCTCATTTGCTCATTAGTCAGTGCACTCTCAATCAAAATCCTAACAGACTTTTCTTGTAGAAATTGACAAGGTGATCCCAAAATTCATATGGAAATTCAAGGGATCTAGAATAGCCAAATCAACTATGAAAAGATGAATAGTATTGCAGGACTTACACTACCTGATTTTAAGACTTATAAAGTGGGCCAGGCATGGCAACTCATACCTGTAATCCCAGCACTTTGGGAGGCCAAGGTGGGAGAATTGCTTGAGCCCAGGAGTTCAAGACCAGCCTGGACAACATAGCAAGACCCCGTCTTCACAAACAAACAAACAAACAAAAATTAGCATGGCTTGGTGGCACACACTTGTAGTCCCAGCTACCCAGCAGGCTGAGGCAGGAGAATTGCTTGAGTCTGGGAGGTCGAGGCTTCAGTGAGCTATGATTGTGCCCTGCATTCCAACCTGGGTGACAGAGTGAGACTCTGCCTTAAAAAAAAGTTACTGTAATCAAGATAGTATGGTATTGATATAAAGATAAACAAATAGGTCAATGGAACAGAATAGATGATTGAGAATCAGACTTACAAATGTGGAAAATTTATTTTTGACAAGGATCCAAAGGGAAGTTCATGGAGAAATAACAGAATTTTCAACCATGTTGCTAGGCCAACTGACTATCAACAGAAAGAGAGAGAAATAGAGAGAAAATAGGGAGAGAAATAGAGAGAAAGAAAGGGAGAGAAAGAAGAGAGAGAAGGAGGGAGAGAGAAAGAGAGAAAGAAACAGAGGGAGGGAGAGAAAGAAGAAAGAGAGAGGATGAGAAGGAAAGAGGGAAACAGAACAGGGATCAGGGGAGGAAGGAAGGGAGAGAAAGACAGAAAAGAAATAAGAATTTCAATTCATACCTCTAACCATATACAAAAATTAACCAAAACTCACCACAGTTCAAGGGTGCTAAGACAATTCAACAGGGAAAAAATGGTCTTTTCAACAAACATTGTTGAGATAACTGGATACCTATATGCAAAAGAATGAAGTTGAACCCCTTCCTTACACCACATACAAAAGTTAACTCAAAATGGATCAGAGACCTAAACGTAAACTATAAACCTTTTACCAGCCTGGGCAACATAGTGAGACCTCATCTCTGCCAAAAAAAAAAAAAGAATGAGCTGGGCATGGGCATGTTTGCACATGCCTGTAGTCCCAGCTATTCAGGAGGCTGAGGTGGGAGGATTGCTTGAACCCAGGAGGTCGAGGCTGCTGTGAGCTGTGATGGTGCCACTGCACTCCAGCCTGGGAAGCAGAGTGAGATTCTATCTCAAAAACAAGACAAAACAAAACAAAACAAACAAACAAACAAACAAAAAATAAACTTTTAGGCTCCGTGCAGTGGCTCACACCTGTAATCCCGGCTCTTTGGGAGGCTGAGGCAGGCTGATCACTAGTGGTCAGGAGTTTGAGACTAGCCTGGCCAACATGGCAAAACCCCATCTCTACTAAAAATACAAAATATTAGCCAGGTGTGGTGGTAGGCACCTGTAATCCCAGCTACTCGGGAAGCTGAGGCAAGAGGATCATTTGAACCTGCAAGGAGGAGGTTGCAGTGAGTCAAGACTGCACCACTGCACTCCAGCCTGGGTGACAGAGCAAGACTCTGTCTCAAACAAAAAGAAAAAAAAAAAAAAACAATAAACTTTTAGAAGAAAACATAGGACTAAGTCTTTGTGACACTGAGTTATCAATGGTTTCTTGGTACATCAAAAGCGCAAGTGACACAAAAAAGATAATTTGAACTTTATCAAAATGAAAAATATGTGTGCTGCAAACTGTACCATCAAGAAAATAAAAAAAAAAAACAGAATGAGAGAAAATATTTGCAAACCATGTGTCTGATAAGGAACTTGTATCCAGAATATCTAAAGAGCTCTTATAACTCAGCAGTAAAAAGATGACAACCCAATCTTGAAAATAGGCAAAAGATTTAAAGACATTTATCCAAAGAAGATAACCTTATGACCAACAAGCATGTGAAATGATGCTCAGCATCATTAGTCATTAGGGAAATGCAAACGAAAACCATAATATGATACCACTTCAGACCCACTAAGATGGCTGCGATCAAAAAGACAGATGATACCAAGAGTTAGTGAGGAGGCAGAGAAACTGGAACCCTCATACATTGCTGATGGAAATGTAAAATGGTGAAGCCACTGTGGAAAACAGCTTGGCAGTTCTTCAAAGCATTAAACATGGAGTTACCCTAAGACCCAGTAATTGCACTCCTAGGCATATACCTGATATGGTTTGGCTCTGTGTCCCCACCCAAATCTCATCTTGTAGCTCCCATAATTCCCATGTGTTGTGGGAGGGACCTGGTGGGAGATGACTGAATCATGGGGGCAGATCTTTCCCCTGCTGTTCTCGTGATAGTGAATAAGTCTTACGAGATCTGATGGCTTTAAAAAAACGGGAGTTTGCCTGCACCAGCTCTTTCTTTGCCTGCTGCCATCCACGTAAGATGAGACTTGCTCCTCCTTGCCTTCCGCCATACTGTGAGGCCTCCCCAGCCATGTGGAACTGTAAGTCCAATAAACCTTTTTCCTGTATAAATTACCCAGTCTTGGGAATGTCTTTATCAGCAGTGTGAAAACGGACTAATACAATGGACATTTGGTTGATGAATAGGGTATATCTATACAAGGAAATATTCTTCAATCATTAAAAGGAATAGAGTAGTGATACATGTTATAACATGGCCGAACCTTGAAAGCATTGTTAAATGAAAGAAACCAGTCACAAAAGTCACATATCACACGATTTTGCTCTATGAAATGTCCAGAATAGGCAAAGCTGCAGAAACAGGAAGTAGGTGATGGTTTCCAGGGGCTGAGAAAAGGGAGCATGTGGTGACAGGGATTGGGGAATGACTACTGATGGGTAGAATTTCTTTTTGTGGTATCAAAAGTGTTCTAAAATTAGAACACTTGCAAATGGTTATAAATGGTTGCAAAACTATGGATACACACACACACACAAAACCCATTGAATTATACACTTGAAATGAATGAATGGTATGGTATATGAATATCTCAATAAAGCTTTTTTTTTTTTTTTTTTTTTGGTAGAGATGGGGTCTTGCTATGTTGCCTAAGCTGGTCTCTAACTTCTGGGCTCAAGCAATCCCCCTGTCTCAGCCTCCCAAACTGCTGGGATTACAGGTGTGAGCCACCACGCCCAGTCAATAAAGCTGTTTTCAAAAGTGAAATATATTATTCAACCTTAAAAACGAAGGAAATTCTGACATATGCTACCCTACAGATAAATTTTGAGGACTTGGGCTAAGTGAAATAAACTGATTGGAAAAGGACAAATACTGTATGATTTTGCCTATATGGGATACTTAGTCAAATTCACAGAGACATAAAGTAGAATGGTGGTTGCCAAGGGCTGAGAGAAGGGGAGAGTGGGGAGTCAGTGTTTAAAGGGTACAGAGTTTCAGTTTTGCAAGATTAAAAGGGTGCTATGGATGGATGGTGGTGATGGTTCCACAACAATGTGAATGTACTTAACGCCACTAAACTGTACTAAAAAATGATTAAGATGGTACATTTTGTGTTGTATTTACTACAATTTAAAAAAATATTTAAAAAATGGATCATAGACCTAGATATAAAACCTAAGCTTATAAAAATTTCTAGAAGAAAACCAGGGAGAAAATTGTTGTGACCTTGGATTAGGCAGATTTCTTAATACAGCACCAAAAGCACAATTTGTAAGAGAAAAAAAATCAATAAAAAGGACTTCATGAAAATTTAACTTCTGGCCGGGCACGGTGGCTCACGCCTGTAATCCCAGCACTTTGGGAGGCTGAGGCAGGCAGATCACCTGAGGTCAGGAGTTCGAGACCAGCCTGACCAGCATGGTGAAACCCCATCTCTACTAAAAATACAAAAATTAGTTGGGTGTGGTGGCAGGTGCCTGTAATCCCAGCTACTCAGGAGGCTGAGGCAGGAGAATCGCTTGAACCCGGGAGGTGGAGGTTGCAGTGAGCTGAGATCACGCCATTGCACTCCAGCCTGGGGGACAAGAGCAAGACCTCATTTAAAAGAAAAAAAAAAAGAAAATTTAACTTCTGCTCTTTCAAGCATCCTGTTAAGATAGTGGAGGCTGGGCACGGTGGCTCATGCCTGTAGTCTCAGCACCTTGGGAGGCCAAGGTGGGAAGATCACTTGAGCCCAGGAGTTTGAGACCAGTCTGGCCAACAAGGCAAAAATCTGTCTCTACTAAAAATACAAAAAATTTAGCCAGGCATGGTGGTGTGCACCTATAGTCCTAGCTACTTGGGAGGATGAGGCACTAGAGAATTGCTTGAACCCAGGAGGTGGAGGTTGCAGTGAGCCGAGATCACACCAGTGGACTGCAGTGCAACCTGGGTGACAGAGTGAGACTCTGTCTCGAAAAAAAAAAAAAAAGATAATGGAAAGACAAATCACAGAGTGGAAGAAAATATTTGTAAAGCACATATTCAATAAAGGACTTGTATCCAAGATATAGAAACAACTCTCAACACTCATTAATAAGAAAATAAACAACCCAATAAAAAATGAGCAAAAGATTTGAACAGACACTTCACCAAAGAAGGTATACAGATTGGCAAATTAGCACATATCATCATTAGTCATCAGATATATAAAAATTAAGAACATGAGATTCTGCTGTGCACCTATTAGAACGCCTACAATTGAAAAAGACTGACCAAATCAAAATGTAGCACAGTTGTAAAGCAACTGAAACTTACCCACACTCGTGGTGGGAAATGTGAAATGGTACAACCACTTTGGAAAACGGGCAATTTCTTATAAAGTTAAACATGCACTTACCATATAACACCCAGTCATTTTACTTGTTGGCATTTACCCAAAAGGAAAAAAAAAAAGCATATGTTCATACAAAGACTAATTCACAAGTGTTTATAACAGCCTCATATTCATAGTAGCCCAGAACTACAAACAACCAAGTGTCCGTCAACTGAAGAAAGGATAAACAAACTGCAATGCATCCATCCAACTAAATACCACTCAGCAATAAAATTCATGCAGCAACGTGAATGAACCTCAAAAGCATTAGGCTAAATAAAAGAAGCCAGATACAAAAATCCTACAAATTGTGTGATTCCATCTATCTGAGATTCTGGAGAGGGCAAAACTCACCTACAGTGACTGAAGTGGACCAGTAGTTGTCACTGGTCCGTTTCTGTCACTATCATACAAATACTTGACAAATGTCATATATTTGTAAAAATTCACAAAACTTCAAATGAATATATTTTTATATAAAGTGTACCTCAATAGTGAGACCCTGTCTCAAAAAAAAAAAGAAAAAGTTTCTAAAATTAGATTGTGGTGATGGTTGCAAAACAGTGAATCTACAAAAAAAAATAATTTTTATAAGAAACAATTTCTACATTTATAACAAAAATATTTAGATAATCACCATTTCACCAAATATTTCCTAATCATTAACCTGTTAACTCTGGAGAGGGAAGCATCAAATGTCATTATTCCCATTTTATGGAGGTGGAAACTGAGGCAGCAAACTGGGAAGCCATGTGTCTCAGCCCCATGAACCAGGGAAGACCCAACTATAGGCGGCTCCCTGAGGACCAGGCCAGTCTCTCCGAGCAGGTCTCTGTCCTGCAGGGATTGCGTGTGCATACCTGGGGTCCAGTGGGAGGGGAGCAGGCAGAAGAAAGGAGCAATGACCTACCGGCTGCTCACCTCCTCCAGGAAGTCTACTATGTATTCATTATTTTCTCTGGCCTCTCTTAACACCTGTATTAGTTTTCCAGCGCTGCCATAACGAAGTCCCACAAACTGGGTGGCTTACACAATAGAAATTTATTTTCTCACAGTTCTGGAGGCCGGATGTCTGAGAGAAAGGTGTCAGTGGGGCTGGTTCCTTCTGAGGCCTCTCTCCAAGCGTGTAGATGGCTACTTTCTCCCTGTGTCTTCACATGATCTTTTCTGTGTGCCTGTCTATGTCCTGATCTCTTCTTCTCATAAGGACACCAGTCATATTGGATTAGGGCCCACTCTAGTAACTTCATTTTAACTTAATCACCTCTTCCAAGGCCCTACCTCCAAATACAGTCACATTCTGAAGTATTGGGGGTTAGGACTTGAACATATTAATTTGGGGTGGGGGACACATGGGCTGTGGTGCTGCCCATGACAATACCATATGGCTCCTGACTGTGGGCCTCTAGGGGGAAAAATTAGACTTAAGGTGAGAAGAACCGGTTCTGGTCAGTCCTTTGCTGGAGACCCTTCTTTTTGGGATATCGAAAATGTTCTAGGCCTGGAGTGTTGGCTCACACCTGTAATCCCAGCACTTTGGGAGGTTGAGGCGGATGGATTGCTTGAGCCCAGGAGTTCAAGACCGGTTTGGGCAACATGGCAAAACCCCATCTCTACAAAAAACACAAAAATTAGCTGGGTGTGGTGGTGCGTGCCTGTAGTACCAGCTACTTGGGAAGCTGAGTTGGGAGGACTGCTTGAGCCCGGGAGGTTGAGTCTGCAGTGATCCGAGATTGCACCACTGTACTGCAGCCTGGGTGACAGAGTGAGATCCTATCTCAAAAAAAAGAAAAAGAAAAAAAGTTCTAAAATTAGATTGTGGTGATGGTTGCAAAACTGTGAATCTGAAAAAACAAAAACAAAAAACACCACCAACAACATTGACTTATACATTTGAGTGAATATCTCAATAAAGCTGTTTTGGTTTGTTTGGTTTTTTTTTTTTTTTTTTTTTTTTTTTTTTGAGACAGCGTTTCGCTCTTGTTGCCCAGGCTGGAGTGCTGTGGTGCAATCTCAACTCACTGCAACCTCGGCCTCCCAGGTTCAAGAGATTCTCCTGCCTCAGCCTCCCGAGTAGCTGGGACTACAGGTGTGCACCACCATGCCCAGCTAATTTTTGTATTTTTAGTAGAGATGGGGTTTCACCATGTTAGCCAGGATGGTCTCGATCTCTTGACCTTGTGATCCACCCGCCTCAGCCTCCCTAAGTGCTAGGATTACAGGCATGAGCCACCACGCCCAGCCAATAAAGCTATTTTTAAAAACAGATTATGTGACTCAGCCTGAAAAAGGAAGGAAATTCTGACATATGCTACAACACAGACGAACTTTGCGAACATTGTGCTAAATGAAAGAAGCCAGGTAGAAAGGGAGAAATGCTGTATGATTTCACCTATGTGAGGTACTTAGTCAAATTCGTAGAGACAGGAAGTAGACCCTGCAGAGCCCCACCAACCTCATCTGCACATGGTAAAAATAGTGCCCAAAATATAAAATGTGCTTCAAGGAGCGAGAAAGATAGAAGATTCTGTGCGTGCCCAAGTGCTATTATTTCCTGTGGAGTGGATGGTGGACCCTTTCAGGCTAACCCTTCTGCCAGATTTCATGAGGCTATGAGCCCCTATGGGATCATATTAACAGGCAGAAATGGCTCTGTCCCACCCACATAAGTCAGCCCACCGGCCCTCCCAAAATAACGCCTTGCCATGTCAGCTGAGCATCTTCAGAAGCGTCTCGGGAGCCCCAGCTGCTCATATCCCTCTGCCCTGCTCCCCTGACCCCAGTGTTGACATCCACTCACAGCTACTCATGGAAGCCTTGGCACCCACAGAGATTGGGCCTACCCCAGGGTGCTGACCTTAGATTCCCCCAAAGCTGCAGACTCTCAGGGTTCCAGGAAAGTCGCCTTGCCTTCCAGCCTCAGAGCCATACACGCTCTGTATGGAAGAGGTGCGTGCCCCCAGTCCCATCCCATGCCACAGTGACACCCTCTATCACCTGTGCCTTGCATAGCCCCTCTCAGTGACCAGAGGGGTGCCAGGAGGTTCTACAGGGTCTCTCTGCAGTACTCCGGCCAAACCCACCAGACAATTATCTTGTTGTCCAGTCAGCCCTCCATTCCAACTCCTCAGGCAGGGCAACCGACTTCTGTGCAAATCAGTGTGAGCCCCTCACCTGCACCTACCGGACAGGCCACCAACTATCTGCACTGCCCAGGTCCCAACCAGCTGGAAAAGTGTCTGGTCACTCTGAGGACACTGTAAGTTCCTGGTGGGCAGGGCCTTGTCTTGCTCCTTCGTCTCTGCACCCTGCACAGTGTGCTGAGTCTGGCTGGGGCTGGCACAGAGTAGGTGCTCAAGAATGTCGGTGGAATGGAATCATGTGCTGGGCTCCTGTAGGACTTCCTGGAAATGTGCTCTTTGCCTCCCTTGAGCTAATACTAATAACAGCACCACCAAGTGCCATTATCGAGTGTTTGTTCTGCACAAAGCACATTGCCAAGTGCCGTGCATGCCCCACGTCTAGGAATCCTCATACCAATCCCACTAGCTGGGTATTATCAGTTTCCCCTGCCCCGTGTAACAGATGAGAAAACAGAGGGGGAGTCAGGATCCATGTCAGGTCTGTCTGACCACCAGGCCTCCTTCTGGATGCCCAGGGTCTGCGGCCTCCCACCAGATGTGGCCTTTATGAAGCAGCAGGGGGCTGGGCTGCATCTAAACACAGGAAAGAATCTTCCAGTAATGACCATCTGGAAGCTGCTGGGCATGGGGATTTCAAATGATTTTGAAAGTGCCTTCTCGTGGCCACTGGCTTGGGAATCCCCCCATTGCATGTGACCAGCTTTGTGTCATTCTGAAACAAGACTCTCTGGGCTTGAGGTGCAGAAAGAGGGCAGTTTGCCCTGCCCCTTGCCTGAGTTTGAACCCTAGACCTTTTCCTCCTGTTACTGACCACTTACCATGTGCCAGTCATGCTACCTGTAATCATGACAACAAGCCTAAAGGAGCTGCATCATTGGTGCCATTTTCCAGTTGGGAAACTGACGCTCAGAGAGATGAAGCACCCCGATCAAAGTAACACAGTTATTAAACTAGAAGCCAAAGACAGAGTTTTCTGATATCAAAGCTGGGGCTTTCTTTCTACTACATGGCCTTGGTTGCTCATAACCTGGAAGGATACCTGATAATTTGGAAGGATGTCCAAAGGACTTCCTGCTGAAGTTTGAACCTATTTTTTTTTAAGAGACAGGGTCTCAGCTGTCACCAAGGCTGGGGTGCTGTGGTACAATCACAGCTCACTACAGCCTCCAACTCCTGGGCTCCAGGGATCCTCCTGCTTCAGCTTCCTGAGTAGCTGGGACTACAGGGGCAAGCCACTCTGCCTGGATAATTTTTATTTTTGATAGAGATGAGGTCTGGCTATGTTGCCCAGGCTGGTTTCAAACTCCTGATCTCAAGTGATCCTCCTGCCTCAGCCTCCCAAAGTGCTAGGATTACAGGCACTACAAAAAAAAAAAATTAAACCATCATCCTCATCCTCATTATTATCATTCAAATGCATGTTAATGTAACATACATCCAGGAAAATGCACAAACCTTAGTGAACAGCGGGATGAATTATTGCAATGCGAACACACCCATGTAACCAACACCAAACAGACAGAACATCAGCAGCACTGCCTGAAGGAAGACCTCTAGTAACCCCCTCTAATCAGCATGCACAGCCGTGGGGAACGCTGTCCTGACTTGTGAAATCACACATGAGCTTGAGTATTGTGGAACGTCGTAGCAATGGAGTCTCACACTCTGTGCTCTTTTGTGTCTGGCTTTATTTTTCGTTCTATGCTTGTGGGATTCATCCATGTCCTTGTGTGTCATTGTGGTTTGTTGACATGGTGTTCTCATCGGTTGACTATACCGCCACAGGTCTCTCCATTCTACTGTTGACAGGCATTTGGGGGGACTCTCGTTTAATCCATTTCCTTTGATTCAGGTGGAGAAAAGTGGGTCACTCTCCCACAAAAGCTAATCTCTCCCTCCTCCCTCTTTCCCGCCCTGGGGAAGCCCTTCTCCTTTGCTTCCCTCTGATCTTGCAAACCTGTGGGAATTTGGAGCTTCATTTCAGATACACTCTGGCAGGCTTTCATGGTGAATGGAACCCGGGCAATGGGACTCTTCTGGTCAACAGGGCTTTGCACGGGAGGTCTCCTGCCATGGGCTGAGAGGATGTGCTGTCACCTAGGGGGGTATTCTTAGGAAGTGAGAAAGAGGGTCCACTTTCTTCTGGTCTGCAGCGAGGGTGGGGGCAGCCAACTTCTAGACTCTGCCAGCTCTTCTGGCTTTCACGGTTGTCTATGCTGGGCGGGTAAGAGAATTCATATGGCAGTGCTCCAAGACACAGTGACTCATCCATGGAATGGAGATTATGACAGTACCTACTTAGACTTATTATATGTGGAGTTCTTAGGGCAGTACCCCCCCCACCCCACAGTAAGGCGGGCTCCAGCAGAGCTGTGGTCTAACCCAAACTCTGCTGTGTACCTGCTGTGTGACCCTGGTCAAGTTTCTAACCTCTCTGAGCTCCAGCTTCCTCACCTGTAATATGGGAATAGCAGTGTCTTCTTCATGGTGTGGCTGTGAAAATCAAATGACATAAGAACTCAGGTCCTGACATATGGTAGAAACTCAGTCGGCAGTAGCTATTTCTAACAGAGTTTCCCCTCTCAGCATCTGATAGCCTTCCTGTTCCCTTCCACCCTCCACCTGGAGAGCTTGCCAGGTTGTGGCTTAACAGTATCATCAATGTTTTTCCAACTGTTGCCAGGGAAGTAAAAACACACAGACTTGCTGATATGTCCCAAGAAACAACGAGGCCCAATAGATACTAAGACCTGCTGATGGGCAGAAGCAAGGGGGTTTCAAATTCACAGACTTTCAGAGAAAGGAAAAGCCATGGAAACCTTTATATATTCATCCTCATTGTTAATTCTTCAAATGCAAATTATATAATGCCTTTTTTTCTTGAGATAGGGTATCGCTCTGTCGCCCAGGCTGAAAGAAGTGCAGTGGCATGATCGTGGCTCACTACAGCCTCAAACTCCTGGGATCAAGCAATCCTTCCACCTCAGCCTCCTGAGTAGCTGAGACTACAAGCCCACATCACCATGTGCCGTGAATTTTACTTCCTCTTCTTCTTTTTTTTTTTTTTTTTTTTGAGATACGGTCTCACTCTGTCACCTAGGCTGGAGTGCAATGGCTCGATCTCGGCTGACTAAAGCCTTGACCTCCTGGGCTCAAGTGATCCACCCACCTCAGCTTCTCGAGTAGCTGGGATTACAGGCACACAAGACCATGCCTGGCTAATTTTTGTATTTTTTGTAGAAACAGGGTTTCACCATGTTGGCTAGGCTGGTCTCGAATTCCTGGTCTCAAACAATCCGCCCACCTCGGCCTCCCAAAGTTCTGGGATTACAGGCATGAGCCACCGTGTCCGACCTCCCAGCTAACTTTTAACTTTTTAGTGGAGATGGGGTTTCACCATGTTGCCCAGGCTGGTCTTGAACTCCTGGGCTCAAGAGACCCACCCACCTCAGCCTCCTAAAGTGCCGGGATTACAGGTGTGAGCCACCACACCCAGCCTCCAAAAATCTTTATGTCTTCTGACCCAGAAATTTCACTTCTGGAAATCTATACTAAAGAAACCATCAAACAATAGAAAAATGCCCAGCAATGACACAAACGACAGAATTAGTAGTTGGAGGACATTGAAAGTTATAACTACAGTTGTCCTCCTTTATCTTCAGGGGATACATTCCAAGACCCCCAGCGGCTGTCTGAAAGCACGGATAGGACCCAACCCTATATAGACTACATTTTTTCATACATGAGCCATACAAATCTATGGTAAAGTTTAATTTATAAATTAGGCATGGTAAGAGATTAATAATGATGACTAATAATAAAATAGAACAATTATGACAATATACTATAATAAAAGTTATGTGAATGTGGTCTCTCTTTCTCTTTCAAGAGAGAGTCACAGCCAGTGTCACGGCTGGGCACTGTGGCTCATGCCTGTAATCACAGCACTTTGGGAGATCAAGGTGGGCAGATCACGAGGTCAGGAGTTCGAGCCTGACCAACATGATGAGACCCTGTCTCTACTAAAAATACAAAAATTATCTGGGTATGGTGGTGCATGCCTGTAGTCCCAGCTACTCGGGAGGCTGAGGCAGGGGAATCACTTGAACCTGGGAGGCAGAGGTTGTGGTGAGCCAAGACTGTACCACTGCACTCCAGCCTGGCGACAGAGCGAGACTCCATCTCAAACAAACAAACAAACAAACAAACAAAAAACCTCAGTGACCTGTATACCACAGGTCACTGAAACTGTGGAAAGAGAAACTGCCAGGAAACTGATAAAGGGGAACTACTGTAGATTCTCTATGTTTAAGGATATAAAAGAAGCCAGGGACAGTGGCTCACGCCTGCAATCCCAGAATTTTGTGAGGCCAAGGTGGGTTGATCACCTGAGGTTAGGAGTTCGAGACCAGCCTGGCCAACATAGTAAAACCTTGTCTCTACTAAAAATACAAAAATTAGCTCGGCATGGGCACATGCCTGTAGTCCCAGCTACTCGGGAGGCTGAGGCACAAGAATGGCTTGAACCTCGGGGGTGGAGGTTGCAGCGAGCTGAGATCATACCACTGCACTCCAACCTGGGCAACAGAGCAAGACTCCATCTCAAAAAAATTTTTTTTTAATTTGAAAAAACAAAGAAAGATGAGCATGTTAAGGAGAAGCACAGAAAATATTTAAAAGACCCAGATTAAATTTATAGAGAGGACCAAATGCACTGAGATGGGAAAAAAACAATGGATAGTATTAACAGCAGATCAGAGAATGCAGGAGAAAAGGTTAGTTACTCCACTTATTTTAAGCAGTGATGATGAGGGTGATGATGATGATGAGGAGGAGGAGGACGGGAGTCACTGCAGCCGACATTTATTGGTCTCTAGCTGTGGACCAAACCCTGTTCAAGTATCATCTTTTCATCCTCACTGTAACGCTATGAAGTAGGTACTGTCATCACCCCTGTCTTACATAGGAGCAAGAGGAAGACACGGAGTTAATAATCAGCTTGCTCCAAGTTAAACAGCCAGAACATCAGGGAGGCCAGGCTGTTAACCCAGTCAGTCTGGGTTTGAATCCCATCTCCCCAGTCCTCTTAACCTCCCATGTTGTGGTTACTGTAATGGCATTCCCTAGATCGGTGAGGCTTGGTGCCATGTGCTTTATGGACATTGTATCTAAATCTCACAGCCATCAGGGAAGGGAGGGACTGTTGACCCCATTTTGCAGATGAAGAAACCAAGGTTCCTGGAGGTGAAGTAATTTGCCTAGGGTCCCACAGTTGGTAAGAGAAGGAGCCAGGATTTGAACCAGATCTGTCTGATCCCAAACCTTGCCTGTTGGATGTGCCCTGGGGCTTCTGGATATGTCTGAGGTAACTCTGAAGATGGGGCTTTTGAGGACGCTTTGTAGCACCAATATGGTGCCTTCTCTCCCTTTAGGGAAAAGTCTTCTGGAATCAACAAAGGGCTTGTGGCTACTTTTGCTCCCATCCCTCCATACCAGATGGAGGGTGGCGTGAGTTCTGACAGGTAGCCACGTGGCCCGCCAAGAGTCCCTGTCTGGAGGATTGTCTATAGGGTAAGGTACCACACTGGTAAGTGCACAAGACTATTGAGCCTACATGGGAGGGGGTGCATCAAAAAATGTGCCAGAGGCATCTGCTTTGCTTGCTGTTGAATTACTTTGTATGTAGATTGTTGACACACATATGAGCTGGTCAGTTGGTTGACTGAGTCAAGGAACAAAGGCAATAATCAGATTTAAAAGGGAGGGAAGAGAAGACAGAGAGAGGGAAGCTCCTAGCAGTGGCTGCTGCTGGCATATTCTTTTGGATGAGCTGATTTGCTGGTAACAGAGGTCAGCCTGGGCATTCTGTCCTTAGACAGCCATCTAACAGGCATCAAAGCTGTGGGAACAAGGTTCTCGGTGGAGCCCCAGTGGCTGACCTTCTCTGTGTCGTGGCCATGTGTGTCCTCCCGTCAGCTCCTCCACCCAAGTTGGGCCGGCTTCACCCCATTTGCCTCATTAGGATTCTCACATGTAAACTAGGGCAGACCTTCTGTAGGGTAAGTTGTCAACACATATCAATTGCCTGCCTTCAAATTGTGTGTGTGCTTTGATTCAGCAAGTCTACATTAGGAGTAGATCCTATGGAAGCAATTCTGGACATGAACTGACTGAAATTTGGCCTTCTTTCACTCTACAGTCTAGATTAGTAAAAAAATATCAGAAGCCACCCATATATCCATCAATGGGGCTTCATTAGATAAATGGTATAGCAGTATAATAATATATATAATAGTATAATGAAATAGGAACCTGCCTTTTTCTTTTTGAGACGGAGTCTTGCTCTGTCGCCCAGGCTGCAGTGCAGTGGCACAATCTCAGCTCACTGCAACCTCTGCCTCCTGAGTTCAAGCAAGTCTCTGCCTCAGCCTCCCGAGTAGCTGGGATTAGAGGTGCCTGCCACCAGGCCGGCTAATTTTTGTAGTTTTAGTAGAGATGGGGTTTCACCATCTTGGCCAGGCTGGTCTTAAACTCCTGACTTCGTGATCCACCCGCCTCGGGCTCCCAAAGTGCTAGGATTACCATCACGAGCCACCGTGCCCAGCCAGGAACCTGCCTTTCACAATGTTACTAGAGAGGAATATTTAGTGACATAGAAATATGTGCAAGTTATATCAGCAAATGAAAAAATAGGCTACGAAGCTCTGCATATATAACATTTTCCTAATTTGGTTGGGGAAAAGTATGGAGAGAGAGAGAGACAGAAAGAGAGACAGGCAGCAACGGGACCACAGAGGGACGTACACCAAAATGTCAATGGTGCTTAATAGGTTTGCAGGTGATTTTAAGTTTATTGTTTAGGTTTTCCAAATCTTCTACACTGAGTGTATGTTTCTTTTATCAAAAAGGGCATGGTGGGGAAGCTAAGGCATGGTGCTCACACCTGCAACCCCAGCACTTTGGGAGGTTGAGGCGAGATGATTGTTTGAGGCCAGGAGTTCGAGAGCAGCCTGGGCAACATAGTCTTGTCTTAAAAAAAAATTGCCAGGCATAGTGGCTCATGCCTGTGGTCTCAGCTTCTTGGAAAGCTGAGGCAGGAGGATTGCCTGAGCCCAGGAGGTCGAGGTTACAGTGAGCTATGATCATTCTACTGCACTCCAGCCTGAGTGACAGAGTAAGACCCTATCTCAAAATATATATATATATATGAATATAAATAAATAAATACATTAAATAAATAGAAAAAAAATGTGTTTAAAACAAAACAAAAACAAAACAAAACTCCCCAGTGCCAGAAAAGTGGAAGTGAAAGAAGCATGTGTTGCCTCCATGAGAGTGGGGGCTGGGAGGGAGGGCTGGGCAAGGCTGGGTGGGGTGCATCTGATATAAGGGGGCAGCCTGCATGGAAAGGGACTGCCAGCATCTGCCTCCACTGCTCTGTGCTGGGATCATGGAACTTGCACTGCTGTGTGGGCTGGTGGTGATGGCTGGTGAGTCGGGGACGGGACCCAGGCTGGGAAGGGAAGGAGGGAGGCCAGTGTACCCCTGTGCTCTCTTTCCCAGATTAGGGGGCTGCTGCTCTGATCCCCAGGAGCCTGGCCCCCACTCCCCAATCCTTCTGCCCCTCTGCAAAGAGCCTTCAGTGGCCGTCAGTCTCCTAGCATGGTAGCTTCAGCCAGAGAGCTCTGGCTGGCCAAGCTGTGCTGCACATCTCTGGACTGCTGTGAAAGTTCAAACTAGAAGTCCAGCACCAGGGTCTGCTGGGCCCATGATGATGACGCTTTGGACACAGGTCACTTCACCCCTACCTCTCCCACTGAATAGGAGCAACCCGTACGAATGCATAGCACTCCATATTTTTAGAGCCGTTTCATGTTCATGATCTGCCTTGAACCTGGGAAGAGGGTTCCCTTGACTTTCGGTGAAGAGGGGGCAATTTCCATTTGATCTTAAGCAGACCAAATATAAAGTGCAGTTGCTAGCAAATTGGCCTTTTTGTCCTCAATCCATCTCAAAATTGTGATTTTGGAAAAGACTTGCATTTTAAAATGTAGTTTTATGTTATCTTGGGACTCTGAAATTCTCTAGAGGAACATGTCTCCAGGATTACAGCAAAAACCATTAGGAAATTTGCAATTGAGCTGCAAAAATTCATCTCTCAGATGTAAAGAGGGAAGACACTGTAGAGATCAAATACACAGATGAACCTGCAGTCAAATGCAGGCCCCGCCATCTCTTAGCAGTATGACTTTAGCCAAATCACCAAACCTTTCAATATCCTCATCTGTAAAATGGGTACAACCCCCTTCACAGGGCTGTTAGAGGGACTCTAATGGGAAAACAGACACTAAGTGTTGAGTAAACTTAAATAATAGCTTCACACATGGCACATGCATGAAAGATGGCAGTGGCACCTCCTCCCACCCACTGTGTCCATCCCTTGGGAGAAGGAGCTTCACCCCTGTCAGTGGCAGCCAAGGGTAGGAAAAGTTACCCAGGCAAGAACGGCTGACAAGCTAAGCCAGTTCATCAACACCTCCCCAGCCACAGCTCCAGCTCCGTTTCTCAGGCTGGGTCCTCCTCACCTTAAAATTATGGCAAGTAAGACCACCCGAAAGCATTCTGAATCAAAGCTGAATGTATTTTTCACATGGCAAGAAAGAGCTGCATCATTCAGGTGTGAGTTCAGTTTATGTATTTCTGAGCCCAGATTGAAAGGGCTATATTTAGGGCAAAAAAAAGAGGACCGGGGTACCCTAAGAAAGGCAAGATTCTGAACGCGGGGCTCTGGTTGATCTGCAAGGTGGACTCTCCGTTTGCAGTTGGGTTCCTTATCATGGAATCTAGGAATCTCTGATGGATTGTGTATGATTCCAGAGGGCCCGGGATCCTTCACCAGTGCAGCCAAAGCTTAGCAAGTCTTCTCTTGTACATGTCTTAACAGCTAGAGGCACCATGTCAAACAGGCGTGGCAACATGGACTCCCACACATTGAGGGGACGTACTGGGGACATGATGGCCCAGTCACTTTGAGTTGCAACCCAAGGCCACCTGTGTGTGGTCTCACTCTTTGTCCACTGCATGAGTTTCTCCCAACCACCCTTCCCAGCCCAACGGTCCCCAATGTGTGGCTCACCCACTGTGTACTATTGACTTCATTTGCCTGAGGTTGGGTGCGGGTTCCATAAGTAAACTCACTCGAAGAGGGGCTGCCCAGCCCAGTCTCCCTGAGACTCTGGGCTCCATCGGGACGTGTGCTCCCTGCATTCTCTAATCATCTCTAGGAGTTGCACACAGGCACAGCTCCATTCCCTTCTGCCATCTGTTTCTCCCAACCTCCCACTTGAATTCATGGACTTAATATATTTTATTTCTCCTAACTCAACATAATGCATTCCTCTCTTCCAGTAAAATAAATTCCCCTTACTATCAATTCTAATCAGCAGTTATTATGAGTGAAATAAAATTATCCATGAAAAGCACTGATTTCTAAATCATGCTGCCTCCCAGAAGACCCACACACTCTCTTTATTACAGACTCAGATTTTTCTAGGGGCTGGAGGTAAGAAGGGTGACTTGGGACCATTCTTCCTATTATGGAGTGGGAAATCAACACCCAGAGACAGAGAATGAAACCAGACTGTTGTAAATGATGAATTCTGGCTCCATTTACCAGCCACTAAGACTCTGAGCAAGTTACTGAGCCTCAAACTGCTCATCTGTAAAATAGGGTTTAAAAATAATATTCATTGTACCAGTGTTGGTTTTAACAAATGAATCACAAGTAAGATGATAACATTTGAGGAAATTGGCTGAGGGGTATACAGGAGCTTTCTATCTTTGCAACTTTTTTGTACATCTGGAATTATTCCAAAATAAAAAGTTTATTTATTTAATATGACAGTAATTATCCAGCCAGATGGAGTCGAGAAATCAATACAAAAGAAGACCTATAGTAAGCACTCAGTAATTGTCACTTTTTTTCCTTGAGACAAAGTCTCACTCTGTTGCCCAGGCTGGAGTGCAGTGGCAAGATCTCGGCTCACTGCAGCCTCCACCTCCCACCTCAGCCTCCCAAGTAGCTGGGACGACAGGTGTCCACCACCACGCCCAGTTAATTTTTGATGTTTTGTAAATACAGGGTGTTACCATGTTTCCCAAGCTAGTCTCAAACTCCTGTGTTCAAGCAATCTGCCCACCTTGGCCTCTCAAACCCGAGATCATGCCACTGCATTCCAGCCTGGGCAATAGAGCAAGACTTTGTCTCCCAAAGTGCTGGGATTACAGACGTGAGCCACTGTGCCTGGCCTGTCGCTATATTTTTAATAGCAGTAGTAGATGTCGTTTTATTATTATCATCATCTGAGGTCACTCATTTGGTCTGGGCAGAGCAGAGGTGCCGTCCTGTGCCCATTGGCGCTGCCCTGAAATTCATCTCCTCTTCTCTCCTGGTTGCTGGGCTGCTTGGCAGGTGTGATTCCAATCCAGGGCGGGATCCTGAACCTGAACAAGATGGTCAAGCAAGTGACTGGGAAAATGCCCATCCTCTCCTACTGGCCCTACGGCTGTCACTGCGGACTAGGTGGCAGAGGCCAACCCAAAGATGCCACGGACTGGTAACTCCTTTCTCAGGGCTGGCAATCCTATACTGTCCCCGACTACGGTACTCTTCTTTTCTCTCCACCCACCTGTTCATTTAGTTGAGTTGAATCCATTTTGTTGAGCATCTACTATGTGCTAAATACCACTGGGTGCCAATACGGTCCCAGCCCTCCTGGAGCTTGCCTTCCAGAAGGTTCCCCAGGGTCCCTGAAGGCCAGACGCCCCCTTGCACTCCCATCCCCTACTCTAGTGACAATGCCCACATTCACTCCCCACTGCAATGGACGTTGGTTTTTAAAGCCCCCTCACCACCTCTTTTTTTCTGTTATCTCATTTGATCTTCATAACAACCCTGGGAGTCAGCTAGAGGAGCGGTGAGAGCCAGCCAGGCCTGGGGACACTGCCACGATCTGCCACTTACAGGCTGTGTGACCTTGGGCAAGTGTCTTGACCTCCCCGAGTCTCAGTTTCTTCATCTCTGAAGAGCGGATAATATGAGTACCTCCATCCCATGGTGGTTTTAAGGAGTAAGAGAGAATGCATAGATAAAGCAAGTGTCTAGTGCATAGGAATCGCTCAAAAAATGTTAGTCATCATGATCCTGAGGAAGACTGCAGCCCTGCAGGCCTTGACTCTTCCCAGGTGGGGACACGGGTTCTTCTCCAGTAGGGGGAGCAGCCAGAGACCCCAGTAGGCTGGGGACCCATGCAGCTGTGCACCCTGTCTGCTCCAGGTGCTGCCAGACCCATGACTGCTGCTATGACCACCTGAAGACCCAGGGGTGCAGCATCTACAAGGACTATTACAGATACAACTTTTCCCAGGGGAACATCCACTGCTGTGAGTACGCAGACCTCAGGGCAGGAGCTGGAGACCCCAGGAAGGGAGATCTGGCCCCCACTGCCTTCACAGCACAGCTACTTGACCTCTCTGTTTTTTTTTTGCATGGGTCCACTGGCTGCAGTTGGGCTGTGAAGAGGCAAGAATGGGTATGGGGGTATGGAGAGGACCCATGGGAGGTTTGGCCCCTTTAGCACCTGGAATTCAGGCCCACGACTGACCAGCTTGGTGACCACATTGCTTAACCTCTCTGAACCTCAGTATCCTCATCTGTAATCTACCCCATTAAGTTATTGCAAGAGCTAAAATGAGACAGACAGAATGGGCCTCACAGGATGCCTGCCATAATAAATTACACAGAGCTACTGATTGGCTGTTACTTTCATCATCACTGATGCTCGTGGCAGCCTGTCGAGGATCGGCAAAACCCTGATTATCTCCATTGTACAGACCAGGAAACCAAAACTAGAGTGGGGAAGTGTCTGCCTCCAACTGACAGAGCCTGGGCTGGAACCCAGGGCACCTGGCCCCTACATCCTTTCCAGCATCACAAGCATAGAAATGTAGCAGGTCCTCAGGGCTGGGAATCTAAAGGGCTCATCACAGCAGCTGCTGTTAATTGAGGGCTTCATAATAATAGTAACAATAATATCCAACATTTATTGAGCACTTACTATAGGCTAAGTGCCTTGTCTTGTTACTTTAACTCTCATGACAGCCCCCTAGGCAACTCTTGCCATTATCCCCGCTTCATGGATAATGAAACTGTGATCCCTCCTGCCCGGGAGTCTTTGCATAGACTGTTGCCATCCCCCACTCCCAAACCCCAGCTTCCTCCAGGAAGAGCAGACCCTTCCGATCTCAGCTCAAAAGGCTCTTCCACCCTGTTTTCTGATCTCCTAGCCCTGCATGGTTCCTCATGTTAACTTTGCATAGTTGTTTTTTTCCTCCCTGTGGTGCTCTAATACCTGCCCCTCTCTCATGTCCCTATCGTTCAGTCCTCTCCTGCCGTGACACGGTAGGTGCTCAACAATTGTTTAATGAATGGGTGAATAAATAACTGAAGGTGCAATGGCACACAGGGAGGTCACGGTACGTGGCCAAGTCATGCAGCTAGAATCGAGGTTGCTGGGACCGGTACCTCTACGACTGAGTAGGAACTGCACTGACTTCAGAGGCTGCTAGACTCATACCTGCCTCTGTCTCGGAAAAGGACAAACACATAGCTCCCCCTTCTCCGTCCACAGCTGACAAGGGAAGCTGGTGTGAGCAGCAGCTGTGTGCCTGTGACAAGGAGGTGGCCTTCTGCCTGAAGCGCAACCTGGACACCTACCAGAAGCGACTGCGTTTCTACTGGCGGCCCCACTGCCGGGGGCAGACCCCTGGGTGCTAGAAGCCCACACCCTCTACCCTGTTCCTCAGCATGGAGCTCTGGCATCCCCACCTCAGTATCTAACCTGAACCAGCCTGGCTTTTCAAACACTCCGGGGGGAGGTAGTCCCAGCCTCCCCCGGAACCCTCTACCAATGCCTTCTGACCTTCTGAAGCTTTCCGAATCCTCCCAGTTGAGGCAGTAGCTGTGTCCTCTGAGGGTGGATGGGAATCTTGGGAGAAGCCCAAGCAAGGGAGCCCTCAGAGGTGGTGTTTGGACCAAAGCATCGGGGTGGGGGAGGGGTCTGCCGCTGTCCCCCACCTGCTGGCCCCCTTGTCCTTCCTCACCCCCTCCAATATAGTCTCGGAGCTACAACCGCAGCAGCCACTATAAAGGGCAATATTGATCTTTCTGTCCATGTGGCTCTATCTTTTAAAACCTCAAGGCCCTCCACTGTCCTAAGATAAAGCCTCTCATAGGCACTGGGGACCCTGCACAGTCTGGCCATGTGACCCTCTCCCCAGGCAAGCTCTGAAGTCCCTGCAGGTGGAGGCCATGCCTGTCTTAAACTCAGTTGCATCCCTGGTGCCCAAAGCAACACCAGAACCAAGAAGGAGCTCCATAAATCCTTCTTGGGTGAAGCCTAGACAAAGCCGCCAGGTCTTGTGGCTCCAGGCACCAGAGCCTTGAGTACTTTCTCCTGCCTCCAGGCATTGGCTCAGGGTGAATTACAAGGGGCTACTGAATGGCTATTACTTTCATCACGACTGATCCCCACCTCCTCAGGGTCAAAGGGCTACTTTCTGGAAGTCTCCCCAGGCTGACTCCTTCTCCCTGACTGCAAGGGCTCACTCCCTCCTCCAAGCTCCCACAATGCTTCATGGCTCTGCCGCTTACCTAGCTTGGCCTAGAGTGGCAAATGGAACTTCTCTGATCTCCCCCAACTAGACTGGAGCCCCCGAAGGATGGAGACCATGTCTGTGCCATCTCTGTTTCCCCTGTTTTCCCACATACTAGGTGCTCAATTCATGCCTGTGAATGGCGTGAGCCCATAATGGATACACAGAGGTTGCAGCAGATGGTGTGGGTACCTCACCCAGATATCATCCAGGCCCAAGGCCCCTCTCCCTGAGTGAGGCCAGGTGTTGGCAGCCAACTGCTCCAATCTGCCTCCTTCCCCTAAATACTGCCCTGGTCTAGTGGGAGCTGCCTTCCCCCTGCCCCACCTCTCCCACCAAGAGGCCACCTGTCACTCATGGCCAGGAGAGTGACACCATGGAGGGTACAATTGCCAGCTCCCCCGTGTCTGTGCAGGATTGTCTGGGTTGAATGACACTCTCAAATTGTTCCTGGGATCGGGCTGAGGCCAGGCCTCTCCTGGAACCACCTCTCTGCTTGGTCTGACCCCTTGGCCTATCCAGTTTTCCTGGTTCCCTCACAGGTTTCTCCAGAAAGTACTCCCTCAGTAAAGCATTTGCACAAGAATCCTTGTCTCAGGCTCTGCTTCTAAGGAAAGAGACTGAAGAGGGACAACTTTTTCCTATGAGGACTCCCAATCTGCCATTTGTGTGTGGCTAGCTGTTTCCAGCCAGGGGGCTGAGGCACCTGCAGTCACCCACACTCTGGGCCTGTGGCACCATCTGTGCCTCAGCTGACTGAGCAGTTCTGAGATGTGGTGACTCATGTGAAGTGGTGTCATAGGAATGAAGGACTGTGGGCGCTGGGTTCAAATTCCAGTTCTATGCACCACTCCAGGTAGGGATACCCATGGGGGCAGCTGTGCCTGTGTGGGGGAACAGGGTAGGGAAATCTCCATACCTTCTCAATTTTGCTGTGAACCTAAAACTGCCATATAAAGATAAAGTCTAGGCCAGGCATGGTGGCTCATGCCTGTAATCCCAACACTTAGGGTGGCTGAGGCAGGCAGATCACCTGGGGTCAGGAGTTCAAGACCAGCCTGCCCAACATGGCAAAACCTCGTCTCTACTAAAAATACAAAAATTAGCCAGGCATCGTGGTGGGTGCCTGTAATCCCAGCTATTCAGGAGGCTGAGGCAGGAGAATCACTTGGACCTGGGAGGCAGAGGTTTCAGTGAGCCCAGATCGCGACACTGCACTCCAGCCTGGGCAACAGAGTGACACTCTGTCTCAAAAAATAAAATAAAATAAAATAAAATAAAATAAAATAAAATAAAATAAAATAAAATAAAATAAGTCTAGTTTTTTTAAAAAAAATTCCACTTATATCACTGACTAACCATGTACCTTACAGGAGGAAACATTCTCTGCATGTAAAGTATAAATGAAAATAAGAAGAGACCAGCCTGGGCAACATAGACCTCATCTCTACAAAAAATAAGAATTTTTTTTTGTTATTGTTGTTGAGACAGGGTCTTGCTGTGTTGCCCAGGCTGGAATGCAGCAGCATGATCGTGGCTCACGGCAGCCTCGACCTCCATGGCTCAAGTGATCCTCCTGCCCCAGCCTCCTGAGTAGCCAGGCACCCGAACACCTGGGTAATTTTTGTATTTTTTGTAGAGATGGGGCCTCACTATGCTGTCTAGGCTGGCCTCAAACTCCTGGGCTCAAGTGATCCTCCTGCCTTGGCCTCCCAACATGTTGGGATTACAGTCGTGAGCCACTGCACTGGACTGAAAATTTTTTAAAAAGAAGAGAATAAGAAGGTGTTCATGTTTGTATTAAATAAGATTAGCGTAGATTAAATTCTTAGCACAGCAGGCACCTGGCACAGGGTATTAACTTTAAATGTTAACGGCATGGTTAATGTTGTTGTTTCGTAGTGACCAGATCTAAAGTCACCCCCAAGAGAAATCAGGAGGAGAAAGTGTCCTCCTCCTTTCCCGCCAAGTCTTCTCTCAGTGACACTGGATGCATTTACTCAAGAGACACCATCGGGAGCTGATGACTCTTATTTGTCTACCAAATTTGGCCCAATAGCTCCCTATGGCTTTGCAGCAACATCTCTCTTAATATTCATGTTGGCTGACTTAGCCATTACGATCCCCATTTTATAATTGAGGACCCTCCTGAGGTCCCACAACCCAAGAAAGGCAGAGCCACAGCTTCGCCCCAGCCTCTTCTTGCTCCGCTCCCTCGCCGCATCACGTTTGTATTGGTTAAGAAGCTTCCAGCTAAAAACTGTGACTCATTGGGCTGAAACAATGCAGGCGTTTATGATCTCACATGATGAGACGTTCGGAGAGGAGGTGGTTCCAAGTCTGGCTCTTCGGAGCTTGATATCATCAGGGCCTGGTTTCCTTCCTGCTCCTGGCAAGCCACCTCTGTGTGTTGGCTTTGCCCTCTAGGTGACTCCCCTCACAGCTCCAAGCTGGCAACCATGATGCCAGCCCGCAGGCCAGGACGTGACAGCATCCAGCCAAGGAGACGCTGTGTCTTCCTCTCTTCCTGTGTCTTTTTGTTTGTTTGTTTGTTTGCTTTTTTGTTTGTTTTTGAGACGGAGTCTCGTTCTGTTGCCCAGGCTGGAGTGCAGTGGCGCAATCTCAGCTCACTGCAAGCTCTGCCTCCCAGCCATTCTTCTGCCTCAGCCTCCCGAGTAGCTGGGACTACAGGCGCCCGCCACCATGCCCGGCTAATTTTTTGTATTTTTAGTAGAGACAGGGTTTCACCATGTTAGCCAGGATGGTCTCGATCTCCTGACCTCATGATCCGCCTGCCTGGGCCTCCCAAAGTGCTGGGATTACAGGTGTGAGCCACCCCACCCGGCCTCCTCTGTCTTTTTAATAAGCCCCCCAGCACCACCCACCGACTTCTCTTCAGGACAGGCCGCCCTAACCCAGAGGTTACCCAAGACAATGGGATGAGCCTGGTTGGTTTAGATTCATTAGGATTTATTTACCCCCAAGACGGAACAGGATCAATGTCCCTGAGGGGTTGGGTAGCTGATGGAATTTGTGTTGGGCGAGCAAGCCCAGAGCCAGGGACTGCAACCCGCTCTCACTTTGGCTGGGAGCAGAGCTGTGCCTGGGGTGCTCCCATCTGTGACCACCTTATCACCAGGGCAGGCTTGATATGTAGTAGGTGATCAATAGGGATTTGTTGAACAAATAAATGAATAATGAATGAATCTCAGATTGGTAAAGACATGGGATTTATTTAGATTAGGAGGCTAGATGCTCAGGTGGGGCCTCAGGCAGCAGGACTTGGAATGTCCCACCCTGCAAGTTCTTGTCCTGGATCAGTGTCCAATGATTGAAATTGGACAAGAGGCAGCAAGGAAGGAGTAATTCCCAGGAGAGCCTCTGTTCTCCACTCACCCCTCTGAGTGCTCCTGGATGGCAGAGGCAGCCACTGTGCTTCCTGTTCCCTCTGGGGTTAGGCTCTGCCCAGTGTGGGAAGTGGAGTGGACACGGAACACCTGTGGTGCCCATTCACCCCTCCTCTTACCTACCTTGAGGTGCTGGTACTGTTACTGCATTTGACAGCTGTAGAAACTGAAACTCCAAGGGTGAGTCACTGGCTGATAAGTGGCAGGGTTGGGATTCGAACCCAGGTATCTCTGGCTCCAGGGCCATGTCCCAGTCTATCTCCCACACTCTTGACTGAGACAGTCCCTGACTCACCCCTGGGTGCTCCTATCGGGGGACTAGCCACACCCAGGGACTACCAGGTGGGGGTGATGTGTGTCAAAGGCAGAAACCTACCCATTGGTGGGTACAAGCCTCAGGCCACCTGGAATGCATGGTTCCACCTCCAGGGGGCCCAGCCCAGGGACAAAGTGACAGGGACGACTTCTCCAAGGCCCTGCCTGTCTTTCTGGCTGGATCCTGCTTCCAAATGCCCATGTTCATTCCCCACATCCTTGCCTTGCTTTGTTGTGCAGGAGGGGCTGGGCTCCTGCCACCCCCTCCCCACCCTATCTCAGTGTCCCCTTGAGGAGGACTAGGGGGCATTCACACTTGGGGTTCCTGACTGAGGTCAGCTGGAGGGTCATCCTGACCTCAGGGCACCAGGGCAAGCTGAATAGCCCATGTCTCCCACTGGCTGGCCTGGCTTGTTCTCTAGAGCTCAGAGTCCCCTATTTTTTTTTTTTTTTAATTTAAAATGAAGAGATTTTTAAAGCAGTTTGTAAAAGCTCAAAGCAAGGTCAGAGAAGGCAGGATGAGGATTCCTCTCTGGTCCCTTTCAGTTTTTGGTTCCTGGCCAAGCCCCGTTCACCTTGGGGCCTCTGCTGGGGGAAGCCTCCCCTGGGTCTTGGCAAGACGGGCTCCTTCTTCACCCAGAGCTCAGCTGAACTGCTTCTCCCTCCAAAAAAATGTCCCTGCCCTCCCAACCGAAAGCAACTACCTCCCACCCTTGGTTACTCCCAGTCTCCCTGCCCTGTTTTAATTCTCTGCTTTACACTTTCTGATGGTTTTCTTAATCAGCATTCAGCAATTCACTTCTCTCACCCCAACAATTGACTGGAATATGAATGCCTTGGACACAGGAAGGACCACAACATTCCCAGCATCTAGAACAATACTGGGGGCATAGGACATTTCTGTTGAATGAATGAATGAATGAATAGGGATTGATAGGAAAGCTCCTGCTATTTCTTTCAGCTGGGCTACTTCCCAGCTGTGTGACCTTGGGCTTGTGGTTTTGTTACAAGAAAGGGGTCCGGATCTGGACCTAAGAGAGGCTTCTGGGATCTCACGCAAGAAGGAATTCAGGATGAGTCCATAGAGTAAAGTGAAAGCAAGTTTATTAAAAAAAATAAAGGAATAAAAGAATGGCTACTCCATAGGCAAAGCAGCCCGAGGGCTGCTGGTTGCCCATTTTTATGGTTATTTCTTGATGATATGTTAAACAAGGGGTGGCTTATTCATGCCTCCCCTTTTTAGACCACATAGGGTAAGTTCCTGATGTTGCCATGGCATCTGTAAACTGTCATGGCACTAATGGGAGGGCAGGAGTGAGGACGACCAGTGGTCACTCTCGTGACCATTTTAGTTTTGGTGGGTTTTGGCTGGCTTCTTTACTGCAACCTGTTTTATCACAAGGTCTTTATGACTCGTATCTTGTGCTGACCTCCTATCTCATTCTGTGACTTAGAATGCCTTAAGCGTCTGGGGATGCAGCCCAGTAGGTTTCAGCCTTATTTTCCCCAGCTTCTATTCAAGATGGAGTTGCTCTGGTTCACACACCTCTGACAGTTTTACTTCTCTGATTCTCAATTTGTGATTAGTAAAATTAACCAATAACACCTACTCTTGAAAGGGAATTTTTGACCAAACCCTCATCTCTTTCCTACTGAGAACTTCCCACCAGTGAGAAGGTTGGGACAGGGTGGAAGGGGTGGGTGGGCAGGTAGGAAAGGCAGGGACATTCTGTCACCTCCCAAGCCTTCTCTCAGGATGATCAGAAATTAGCTCTTCACCCTCTGCCAGGAACACTCCCCCTACTTTCAGGAGGCCATTGAAGTGGGGTCAAAGTGCATTCTGCTCGTGGGCTGCCTCTGCTGGAGCCCCTTCCAGGATCCAGGGCTAGGCTGGGGTGAGAGGAAGCCAAAGCTGTCCCTGTTCCCTCCTCAAGGATTCAGCCCTGAGATGATGCAGCAGCTGTCACTGGCTCTGCGGTAAGCGTCCCTCCCTGCCCCAAACACCAGCCCAGGAACTGCAGAGCAGAAGGAAGGGAGTAAAATTCAGCCATAGTGCTTCTGGCTTCCTGAGAGGGAATGGGAAAATGCCAATTTCTGGGTTCCCGTGTGCTAAGAACCTTATATACATTTTCTCACTTACCCTTCATTCTGCATGACCCAGCAAGGTGGGTATGATTTTTTTTAAAAACGAAGGTGGGTATGATTGGCCACACAGTACAGATGAGGACACAGGTTCTGATGAGTTAAACTTCTTGCCTGAGGTAACTCACTCATGGAGAAGTGGTGGAGGCCACTTTGGGAGGCCGAGGCGGGTGGATCACTTGAGGTCAGGAGTTCAAGACCAGCCTGACCAACATGGTGAAACCCGATCTCTACTAAAAATACAAAAATTAGCTGGGCTTGGTGGCATATGCCTGTAATCCCAGCTACTTGGGAGGCTGAGACAGGAGAATTGCTTGAACCAGGGAGGCAAAGGTTGCAGTGAGCCAAGATCGCACTCCAGCCTGAGTAACAGAGCAAGACTTGGTGTCCCCCCACCCCCTGCCCCCAGAAAGAAATGGTGGAAGCTGGGCAAAAGTGAGCAAAAGCCATGTTAAGCCCAGGGTCCTGGTGCGACCCTCGCCACCCCAGGTAGTGTGCTCCCTACACTGGAACTGTAATAGGTCTGTTGCCTGGTGCACACAGCAAGTTAACACGATGAGACACCAGGTTGCAGCAGAGAAGGAAGTTTAAACTTAGGGTCACCAAACAAGGAGACAGGAGAGAACCTTAAATCCATTTCCCTGAGGAGTTTGGGGCTGGGGTTTTTAAGGGTTTTGGAGTGGGACAAAGTGTGGAGATCATTGAATGGTTGAAGAGTGCAGGTTGATGTCACGGGACAGGGAGAGGAAGAACATGCATTCTCATGCTGATCTCGTTCCTCTGTGAGAGTCTTCAAGCTGGTGGTTGGAATTTGGGGTTTGAAAAATACCCTAAGCAATCCTTAAACTAGTCAGTCTTGTGATTCTAATGTCAGAGATCATATCTATAGGAACAATGGGAATACCAATCAATTGTAGTGTCAGGAATCCTATCTATAGTAACATGAGATGAAAGTGGGTCAGTATCTAGTGCTTTGTGACTTTTAGCAACATGGAAGTGAGCCAATGTGCAGCCTGATTAATGCTTCATTATCACCATATTTCTGTCCAGAATTCTTGAGGATGGCTTCAAAAGCAGCAGGTCTGAAACTTTATGGTGGACAAAAAATCACCCAGGGGAGCAAGTTTACAATGCAGGTTCTCAGGGCCCCAAACCTGAAGAGTATGATTCTGTAGGTCTAGGGTGGAGCCCAGGAACCTGTATTTTGTAAACTGAAAATAAAATTCTAAGGCTCCCCAACCATTGGAATGAACTCCCTCCTCTCAGCCAGGGGCATTCCAAAGTTAGCCTGAAAAACTAGTTTCAGGCCATGATGGGAAGGAGAAGCCAGATATGCCTCATTAAACCCTCCTCCCTTTTGGAATTACTCATAAGACAGGATCTATTAAGCTGATAAGAAACATTTACAATCTATTAACTCTGATGCCTGCTCTCTGGAGTCTTCATCTGCATGATAAAACCTTGGTCTCTACAACCCCTTATCATCACCCAGACGTTCCTTTTTATTGATAATAACTTTTTCAACCAATTGCTAATCAGAAAATCTTTGAATCTGCCTATGACTTGGAAGCCTCTGTTACAAGAAAGGGGTCTGGATCCAGACCCCAAAAGAGGGTTCTTGGATCTCATGCAAGAAGGAAATCAGGGTGAGTCCATAGAGTAAAGTGAAAGCAAGTTTATTAAAAAAGTAAAGGAATAAAAGAATGGCTACTCCATAGACAGAGCAGCCCAGAGGGCTGCTGGTTGCCCACTTTTATGGTTATTTCTTGATGATATGCTAAACAAGGGGTGGATTATTTATGCCTCCCCTTTTTAGAGCATATAGGGTAACTTCCTGACGTTGCCATGGCATTTGTAAACTGTCGTGGTGCTGGTGGGAGTGTAGCACTGAGGACAACCAGAGGCCACTTTTGTAGCCATCTTGCTTTTGGTGGGTTTTAGCTGGCTTCTTTATTGCAAACTGTTTTATCAGCAAGGTCTTTATGACCCATATCTTGTGCCGATCTCCTATCCCATCCTCTGACTTAGAATGCCTTAACTGTCTGGGAATGCAGTCCAGTAGGTCTCAGCCTCATTTTACCCAGCCCTTGTTCAAGATGGAGTTGGTCTTGTTCTAATGCCTCTGACACCTGCACTTCCAGTTGTCCCGCCTTTCCAGCCTGAACCAATACACATCTTACATGTATTGACTGATGTCTTATGTCTCTCTAAAATGTATAAAACCAAGCCGTACCTCCACCACCTCGGGCACATGTTCTCAGGATCTCCTGAGGGCACTGTCATGGGCCACCAGTCATTCATGTTTGGCTCAGAATAAATCCTTCAAATATTTTGCAGAGTTTGACTCTTTTGGTTGACAGTTTTTAACAAGGGCTTCCCAAGATCCTGATGCACCTGGCCAGGGATTACGTGCTGAAAAGCGTGTAGGCCCCCCCTCCTCTATCACCCCCACTATCCCCACTTCCCCTACTCGCAGCACCTGGAGCAGACAGAGACCTGTCTCCATTGCCAACCCAGGGATGGAGCAGCTGTTCACACCAAGGTTTGTCCATCCTCTGTAGACACGGCTCCCTGGGCTGCCAAACTAGAGACCACATTCTAGATCACCTGCACCCAAGCCTGCGAGGTTTCATCTGTCAAGTAGAAGATGGAGGAGGACTATGCTCAGAGCTCAGCTTGCCACAGGTCACCTTCCTGAGGCCTGGTTGAATATTTGCTTTTGGGTTTTTTTTTTTCACTTAATCTAAATTTATTTTATTTTATTTTATTTTTTGAGACAGAGTCTTGCTCTGTAGCCCAGCCTGGAGTGCAGTGGCACCATCTTGGCTCACTGCAACCTCTGCCTCCCAGGTTCAAGTGATTCTCCTGCCTCAGCCTCCCCGGTAGCTGGGATTATAGGCATCCAACACCACACTCAGATAATTTTTGTATTTTTAATAGAGACAAGGTTTTGCCATGTTGGCCAGGCTGGTCTCGAACTTCTGACCTCAGGTGATCCACCTGCCTTGGCTTCCCAAAGTGCTGGGATTACAGGCGTGAGCCACCACGCCTGGCCTAAATTTATTTATTTAAGGGTTTATTTAAGAAGGAAATTCATATCCCTCTGGCATAGGGAAAACAAGTATCGCTTGTCATAAACAGAGGGTGACCATAAAAATAAATATAATTTCACTTAGAGAAAGGTGCCCCCCACGCCTTGCACCAAGGAGAGAAGAGTGATTCTTATCCTTGAAGACGAATTTGCCTAAACTGACCTCACTACAGTAGCTCTTATCTCGCATTAGCTCCCCATGTCTTTCCTAGTCACTTCCCCACAATTTATTGTCCCTCGAAGCCCAAACCCACTTTCCTTTGTTAAAAGGGTACAGAAGCCCTGAGCTTTTTCATTCTGGTCACTTTGGTGTTGATGGGGAGTTGCAGGTCAATGTCAGGGAGAAAGACTTTTCCTCTACTCTTTTATTTTCTTTTTTTTTTTTTTGTGATGGGGTCTCACTCGGTTGTCCAGGCTGGAGTGCAGTGGCACAATCACCGCTCACTGCAGCCTTGACCTTCCTGGTTCAAGCAATCCTCCTGCCTCAGCCTCCCAAGTAGCAGGAACTACAGGCGTGCACCACCACAACTGGCCTTTATTCTCTTATTTTACTGCACTGGGGCCCTGTGAATGAATAACAAAAGACCTATTAGCAGAAGAAAAGGCACTAAATTTCTATTGATATTTAGACACATGAGAGTTCACATAAAATAAGTAAAATTCAAAGATGGGCCCTTGGGACACTGTCCACACTGAGACCTGCTCAGTGGCGTCCAGCACCAGGAAAGCCCTGGGGCGCACAGAGGAGCCACGGTCCCCGTCCCATGAGAGGCTCTGTATTACGGCCGTGGGGAACCAGCTCAGGCTGGCGGGACTGCCCCAAATGCCAGGATCTGAGAGCCTGGTTCAAGTTCTGGCTTCGCCACTAACTTGGGGGCAACCTTAGGTGAGACACTTTTCTCTCTTATCTCTGGGTTTTCCACTCTGTAAAATGAGATGTTGTGAGGTGCAAATTGGGTCATGGATTTGAAAACACTTTGAAAAGCATAAAAATGTGAAAAGGTCTGTGTAGAAGGGAAGTCTGTAAAATGACTCTTTAGAACTTCTACTAGAGGTTCAATAGGACAGTATAGCTGTCTCCAGATAGAGTTTCTTAAGACAGTAACAAATGTGACCATTGCTTGTAGATCTGTGCAGAAGATGTAACAATGACTTGCTTGCAACCCACAAGTTTATTTGAAACCTGAGTAATCTCAGCATCCAGCAGCTGGTTCACTTTGATTTACAGGAAACCAATTATGCAACATTCTGAATTTACTGGATCAACAGTTTAGAACTGATGACTCAAAGAGACATGGTAACTAAAGAATTGTCAGGTTCTCTGAATCAGGCTTGCCCTGATTTAATGAATGAGTTGTTCACTGATTCTTAGAATCGACCATTTTGGAATTGTTGCATAGGTTATTTTGAGTTCCAACTTTTCTTTCTGTAAGGTTTATCTCACTATCCCCCAACTCTTTTGCTGGGCCAGGAATACGTCACTGCCAGGGCATTAACACAATGACCCCAAATTATTTTAAAAAGGTTAACCAAATTATAGGCGTTGTATTCAGTTCAAAAAGGCAAAGAGGTGCATAACACATTTAAAGAAAATGTTCTATCAAAAGATGAAAAATGTTTTAAATAAATTTTTATCATTTTATTTTATATGCAGCAAGGTCTTGCTCTGTTGCCTTGGCTAGAGAGCAGTGGTGCAATCACGTCTCACTGAAGCCTTGATCTCCTGGGCTCAAGCGATCCTGCCACCTCAGCCTCCGGAATAGCTGGGACTACAGGTGCACACCACTGTGCCTGGCTCATTTTTAATTTTCTTTTTTTTTTTTCTGTAGAGATGAGGTCTCACTATGTTGGCCAGGCTGGTCTTGAACTCCTGGCCTTAAGTGATTCTCCTCACTTGGTCTCTCAGTGTTGAGATTGCAGGTGTGAGCCACCATGCCCAGCTTAAATACATTTTTAAAGGAGAAAGCTATAAAATGTCCACATTAGGGGGATGATGATGGTGATGTTTTGTTCTTTACTCTTTAGGAGGGTGCACCTCCCATCCCTCTACCCCTGAGTAGTGCACAGTCCCAAATTTAGAAACCTGGAAAATTAGTACCAGGACCAAAGCTTGTCTCAGCCTCTGGGGATGTCATCAGGTATACCTGTGGATATGTGTGAATAGATCAAGTAAGCTTTGCTCATCTCTTGGTGCAAAATAACAAAATAGCATGTGTGAGTGGCCCATACGGCCCCCCAGGGCTTGTACCCCTTCCCAGTGTCCCACAAGTGACCACCGGTTGCATCACTGGGGAGCTGGTTGACAGATACAGATGTCCAGGCCCTAGACCAGCCGTGTTGATTCCTCTTGGAGCTCTGGTCATTCTGATGCAGCCCTTCTACCTGTCAGTCCCTGGGACAGCCTCAGAATCCACCAGGTCCCAGCTTTCTCCTCTCCCCTAGGCCTGGATTCCTTCTGTCCCAGTGGAGGCTGTGCCTTGCCACTGGGGAGAGGTGCTCACTGAACAGGAGTCACGAGGTCCCCCCTGTGGGAGAAGGGGGCTGAGAGACTGTAAATCAGAGCCTTTACACACAGCGCATGCCAATCTCTGCTGGCTTTGGTGGAGATGGAGCCAAGGGGCTCATGGCAAACTGCCACCTTCCTGCTTAGACATAGCTGCTTTCGTTTTTGTTTTTGAGACAGGGTCTCACTCTGTCACCCAGGCTGGAGTGCAGTGGCATGATTACAGCTCACTGCAGCCTCAACCTCCTGGGTTCAAGCAATCCTCCCACCTCAGCTTCCTGAGTAGCTGAGATTACAGGTGTGGACCACCACACCCAGCTAATTTTTAAGTATTTTGTAGAGACGGAATCTCACTGTGTTGCCCAGGCTGGTCTCAAACTCCTGGGCTCAAGCAATCTTCACGCTTTGGCCTACCACAGTGCTGGAATTACAGATGTGAGCCACCACAACCTCTTGGTTCAACTCAAAATGCTTTCACTGGCCTCCTGTTCTCATCACAGTGTGGAGTTCTTGCTTCTTGCATGTCAGTCCCTGAGAGACTAACAGGTGGTGGTGGAGATGTGGTGGCCTTAGTGCCTAGCCCAGGCCTGGCACACTAAATGTGTGTTGAAGCACTAACTGCGAGTGTTTGAGCGGATGAATCAACAGGATGATGTGGGAACCAGAAGAGAAAGGAGAACCTCTGCTGGGGAAACAGGGGAAGTGCACGAGGCAGCCTACGGGGAGGGAGGGATTTTGCCGTGGGGTAGGGGGACAGGCGTTCCAGGCAGAGGGCACCACCCAGGCAAGGACTGGAAGTGTCGACATGCGCCACTTTGGGACCAGCTGCAGGGCTGTGTGCCCTGGACCCAGCCTGGATCTCCCCACAGGTGCTGTCTCCCGCATGATTGCTGCTACTCCCTCTTGACACCTCACCAGCGCTCCCCTAAGTGGCACCGATGCAATTCCAGCATCACCGGTTGCCACATCCAATGTAGTGAGTGCTTCATGGGGCAGCCTGGGAAGATGAGAAGAGGGGCCACCTTCTGCCCCAGACACCTGTCTTGGCCCCTAGGACTTGGGTTTAGGGCGAATGGCTGGAGTCAAAACTCTTGGGCTGGCGTTTGGTGGTCCTCTTCCATGACAGGTGCCATTGATTGAGCACCTACTGTATATAGGGCCCCATAGCGGATGCTTTATGTGCATTGTCTCATCAAATACTCCCAGCAACCTAGTGAGGAAAGTGTCATTAGCCCACTTGACAGCAGAGACCACTGAGACTTAGATAATTGAAATCACCTGTCTGAGGTCACACGGTGAGGAAACACACAGGGCTAAGATATGAGCCCTGATCTGATTTTAAGGCCCTTACAACACAAGCTCTGCGTGATTTAAACTCAGTGGCTTGGATGTCTGTCCCACAGAGGAGCCAAATAGCTGTGCTTGTGTGGCTAGTTCCTGCGCTGAGTGGTTAGTGAACGTGTTGGGACTGATGCTGTCAGAGGCTTGGAGATTGCAGGCCAGAAGCCCAGTTCCATTTGTTTGTTTGTTTGGGATTTTTGTGTGTGTTTGTTTGTTTGTTTTTTGAGACAGAGTCTTGCTCTGTTGCCCAGGCTGTAGTGCCGTGGCACAATCTTGGCTCACTGTAACCTCCATCTCCTGGGTTCACGTGATTCTACTGCCTCAGCCCCCCAAGTAACTGGAACTACAGGCACCCACCACCACACTTGGCTAATTTTTGTATTTTTGATAGAGACCAGGTTTCACCATGTTGGCCAGGCTGGTCTTGAACTCTTTACCTCAGGTGATCCACCTGCCTCAGCTCCCCAAAGTGCTGGGATTACAGGTGTGAGCCACCACACTCAACCTCAGAAGCCAGTTCTGATCTAATGTTTGAAGACAAAAGAGAAGGATGAGGGGGAGTCCAGGGACATTAAGCCCCAGGGGAGCCTTTGGGGGTTTGTTTAATTAAGACTAAGACACTAAAGCCACTCAGACGCCTGCAACTTCAGAGCCAGAAGGGCCCTGAAAGGTTATGGGAATGAGGCTTTCTCAGATCCTTTTGAAGGCAACCCACAAAATGTAATAAAATTGACATCTGGACCCAGTCAACCCACACATACACAGCCAGCATAGGCACACGATGTGCTGAAGCAGCTCTTTACTACTTGTGATATATTAACACACACATGTGCACACACACTGGATGCAACCCTCTAAACTGATTTCATGACCCACTAGTGGACGGGGATTGCAGTTTTTAAAACATGATCTATCAATTCTTCTGTAAAGATGAGAAGCCGAGGCCCATGACAGGTAAGAAGGCTGCCCAAAGTTAGTACTTGCGCAAAGTCATGACTAGAGCCTGGTGTTTAGTTTCTTTTTCTTTTCTTTCTTTCCCCGCCACTCCCCCGCCCCCTCTTTTTTTTGAGATGGAGTCTCACTCTGTTACCCAGGCTGGAGTATAGTGGCACGATCTCGGCTCATTGCAAGCTCTGCCTCCTGGGTTCACACCATTCTCCTGCCTCAGCCTCCTGAGTAGCTGGGGCTACAGGCACCCACCAACATGCCTGGTTAATTTTTTGTGTTTTTAGTAGAGATGGGGTTTCACCGTGTTAGGCAGGATGGTCTCGATCTCCTGACCTCGTGATCTGCCCACCTCAGCCTCCCAAAGTGCTGGGATTACAGGCATGAGCCACCACGCCTGGCCCCGAACCTGGCATTTAGTTTCTAATACTTCTAGTTACCCAAAACTGTGGTTAATAGAATGTTAGCCCATCTTAGTATGTATGAGGTACTTGGATAATTTGGGGTACAAGACACTGAACTGGACCTCACAGCTACAGAGGGTCTAATTCTGTGCTTCTGAGGAAGTTCAGAAGGTGCTTGAAATGCCTCTGGCCAGTAGAAGACCCAGTGGGAGTCCTGGGGGGCCAGTCTTCCCCCAGACCAGGTTTTCTGTGTTGAGTTCCTAATTCTGACTTCTGCCTCTCACATTGTAAAATCTGACTCCTGGGTGTGGTTCCCCAGAAGACACAGCTGTGACCCCTGCCCTCTGGGCACCACTGATGGCAGTCATGATGTAGAGGTATGCATGGGATTTAACTCGTGGACATTTACTGGGCGCTCCCTCTGTGCCAGGCCCTGTGTCAAGCACAGTGGAGAGTGATGAGAGCAGCGAGGCCTAGGCTCTGTGCCAGTGGGCCCAGCCTTGGGATTTGCAGGGACCCAGGCTCAAATCCCCACTCTGCCCATCTCTGATTGCATGGCCTAGGGCACACGTTCAGCCTCAAATTGAAAGTTACTCCCCCATTAAGTGGGATGATTACACTTAGTTGTTGGGCTGTTGGAGATTCAATGAGATAACCTGTAGGAAAGTCCCTGGCACCTGGTAGACAATCAGCAGGTGGTAGCTCTTATTATTGTTACTGATTTTAAAAATGCGATTAGTAGCTAGAGATAGGGGATGAACATTCCGGAGGGGGAAGAAACAGCAAGAGCAAGGGCAGAAAGGTGGGAAAACCAGAGCAAGAGCAGAGGAGTGGAGGTTTGGGAGGTGGGGAATAACTGGGAATTCAAACTGGAAAGGCAGTGCAGCCACAGCGAAGAACCTTAACTGTCAGGCTGAGGAACTTGGCAATGGGAAACCACTGAAGGCCTTAGAGGAAGGGAGTGATGCAACTGGAGTTCATGAAAGAGAAGGTGGCCAGCAGACCCTTGATTGATAATATTAAACCCCTGCCAGGGAAGACACTGTATAGTTGTGGGCTTTCTAAATTCAGCAAGAAAAGGGGCCCTGGCACCATCCTGGGAAGGTCTTGACACCTGGGTCAGGGTAGAGGTGGGATGGTCTGTCTGTCTGGCCAGAAGTGAGAATCCAGATTTCTTCCCTGGCTGGTCCAGGTTCTGGGAGCAAGTGCCAGAAGCAGATCTGCAAGTGTGACCTGAAGTTGGCTTCATGAGTGCAGCAGCACCTGGACACGTACAATGGTTGGAAGCTCATTTTCAGCAGGAAGCCATGCTAGAAGATGACACTTCCCTGTGGGACACTGGGGGACTGAGTTAAAGACTCTGAGCCCCCTGAGGACACCACCTAGCATGCCAGTCCTAATGCAATGCCCATCACCTTACCCAGCCAAGCCCAGCCCAGGGAGACCTCAGGGACAGTGAGGTCACCGGTGAGCCCAGCTCTCATCCAGACTGCCCACTGCAGATGTCAAAATCCCACAATCACTGTATTGTCTGCCCAACTCATTGGTTCTCTCTGTTTCCACACTGGTATGTGAGCTTCCTGAGGATAGGAGCTGCATCTCAGTCATTTACTTATTTATTCAGTCACTCATTCATTCAACAAACATTTTCCAAGCATCTGCTATGGTCCAAGCATGCTGGCATGTTGATACAGGCACTGGGAAGCCTGTAGCAACCAGGATTTGATATAAGCAACAGAACTACTAGGAGATACCTATATATAAAATAAGAGATGTATTATAGGGATTTAGCTTGCTGTGATTATGGGAGCCAGTAAAACAGTGTGGGTGGGGCTGTTTCTGTTTGTGCTAGTGCTGTGACCTGCAGTCCCGTGTCCCAATTGGCAAGGCAGAGTGGAACTACAAGGATGAGTAGAGCTCTATGAGGACAGACAACGACACCCTTCAGCCTCTCGCTACCCCCACGTCTTCCATGTTGATGATGCAGTGTCTTCCAAGGGAAGCCAGTGCCCTTCATCATGGAACCAAGTATGCTCCTGGCTCCGAAGTAAGAGGAGCTGAAGATCCTCTGCCAGGACCTGGAGTTGCTGCAGCTCCCAGTGCTTCCCCGCACTAACACCATGAGCCAGCACATAAGGGCCAGCATACATTGGCTGCAACAGCATTTCATGCCCTGCTTCGACTATGAGATTGTAAAAATTAAATTACTCCATACCAGTTTCCAAATCTTATGCAAGACATCTCTTGAGACCCATGCTAACCTGGAACTCTGCAGGGAAGGGAATTCTAGGAAATGAAACTTTGGCTTAGTTAAGTGAAATAATACAAACCCCCAAGAGTCCACCCCTTGTTGACTTGGCACCCATATGCACCTCTCCCAAATAAAGGCAATAGCAAGATCATCTTCCTGCCTAACATAATGCAGTTTTCCCTGTATACAATCTAACAAGCTATCCTCTCCCCAAAGTGGATAGAGGATACAAAGTTCTCTTATCCATCTCAATTTCTCATTTCTATTCTAGTTGAGTGACAATCCCCTTTTGATATCCTCTGACTTGAATATTGAGATATAAGGTTAACAACACTGATACACCTTATGTAAACAGCAGCACCCGAGATGGGGCTGCAATGCTGCAGCCATCCACTGTCAGGGAATGGTAGCATATGTGGAGAGCCATCTGTAAAACAGGCCCGGGTCTTTTTCTTTCTCCTGCAATTGGTCACAGGGAACTCGCCATGAATTCATAGGTATAGGTGAAGGAGGAGGCTTGTGGCAGGCACTAGGGCCATGGGCATGCTCACACAACTTACTTGGGCCTTCAGAAGCTATTCAAGCCCGATTTCACAAGACCATTTCCATTTGATTATGCAATTGCTGCTATCCATGCTGAACTTTGTTTTGATGGGCCTGTTAACACCCAGTTCATGATAGGCAACTCAGGTCTCATGATAACTTGGTAACCTGAGGTCAAGCATTCAGTGTCTACCAAGACCTGCTGGCAAGCCAGATACTGTTTCTCAAAAGGAGAGTAGTCCTCTGCAGTTGATGACATGGCTTTGCTCCAAAACCCTTAAGGTCTGCCCTATGCTTTACCCACAGATGCCCCTCTGAGCTTCCATGTAGCATCTCTATGTGCATATACACGTCAAGCACCATTGGATCTGCTGGGTCATACACCCAAGTGGCAGAGCCACTTGCATGGCAGCCTGGACCTTTTTGTTCTGGGCCCCACTCAAAACAAGCAACTATTCAGTTCGATTGGTAAGTGGGTTGAAGTGGTACTTCATTGGTATCACTGGTAAATGGTACTTCAGTGGTACTTTGACCTGAAACATGAGCTACTCTCTAAAATCTGAAGTGCCCACAAGGCACTGTGCTTCCTTCTCAATAGATGGGAGGGCCAGATGCTGTGACTTGCCCTACCTTTTGAAAGGGATATCTCAACATGCCCCAGACTAAAGAACCCCTGGAAAATGCCACTGCAGTAGCAGGCCCCTGAATTCTTGTGGGATTTCTCCCCCCTAAGGCAAATACATGTCATACATGTCATCACCAATGCTGACGTCCTGTGGGATGCAAAGATAATCAAGGTCCCTCTGGACTAGATGATGGCATAGAGCTGGAGAGTCAATGTAATCCTGCAGTTGGAAAGTGTAAGTGTATTGCTGTCCCTGCAAGCTGAGAGCAAATGCTTCTGACAGTTTTACTAATAGGTATAAGGAAAAAGTCATTCTGCAGTGGAATAATTAAAAAATAGGTGCCAGGGGATGTGTTGATTGGCTCCAGCAACAAAACTACAGCAGCTGTGATTGGAGGCATTGCTTGATCAAATTTGCAGTACTCCACTGTCTCTCTAACAGGCATCTGTCTTCCATACAGGCAGGCAAAGAAGCATTCATGTCCTGTATGCAGATTTTATTTTGTAGAGGCAGGGCCTCATTATGTTGCCCAGGCTAGTCTCAAACTCCTGGGCTCAATGAATCCTCCCACTACAGCCTCCCAAAGCACGAGGATTATAAATGTAATCCATCATGACTGGCCCTGTCTGTGGATCTTGAGTGAGATTTTAAAGACTTGAGACCATCACTTTCTTTTTCCAAGTTCTCCAACCCATAATAATATTTTTGTTTCCATTAAAGTGCTCTGTGCCATCAACTACTTGGTCACCCTTGAACAGGTGTGGACAGAGGTGATCATTTAAGTAGCTGTTTTATCTCTTCAGGCTGTGGTCAATCAATGTTCCCCTTACTACTAAAAACCAGTCATTTATGCCTTTAAATCTAATCAAATAAGAAAACCAATTCCAGATGCAATTCAAAGAGCCCATCCTTCAAGCTGTTCCTCAGAAACCTCTCCTAGTACCAAATTCTGAAGAGGTTAAGGAGTTCAGGCAGAAAGGCAGAAGTACTCTCATACGACAATACTTTTTTGGTAGAGATTTGACCTGGTACGGATGGGATTGCTGGCTTAGTCCTTCATAGGAGGCTGTTTCTCCTGTGCCTGGTGCTACAGCCTGAAGTTAGCAGGGCAGACAGTCTGAAACGGAAGATGGGTGTGAAGGGGCAGGGGAGAGCAAGGACAAATTGGAACCTGGGAGGATGCATGGAGCCCAAAAGAACAAACAAGAAACAGATGGGTCTCAATACCTTCCACCCTAGTTTCACTGCCTGTGCACCCTGCAGGGGAAGTTGGCTCCCTTACTTACAGAGCTAAACACACATCTGGCCCAAGAGTCAGAGAAATTAAAGAAATCCAGCAGGCTCGCCCCAGCAAGGCGAGCCAGCAGATCCATGATCCATGGGCCTGAGCCACAAACACAACATGCCCTGCTCCCAAGTGTAAAGAGAATATGACTGCACTTCCCATCTGCCTCCCAAATCTCAACAAAACATCTCTTTGGGCCCTAAACTACAGCAACTAACCAGAACCTAACCCAGAACTCTACAGGGAAAGGAATTCTGGGAAACATAGCTTAGCTAAAGTTACACAATCCAAACTTGCCACACCCACCCTGAACAAAACAAAATGTGTTTTCCTCAGTGCCTGTTGCAAGACCTGGCCCCAGCTCCAAGCTTCCCCTGCATGATGTTCTACTAAGAACACGGTTTTGGGCCGAGGTGGGAGGATCGCTTGAGGCCAAGAGTTTAAGACCAGCCGGGGCAACATAGCAAAAGCCTCAGCTCTACAGAAAAATAAAATTATCAAGGTGTAGTGGTGCATGCCTGTAGTCCTAGTAACTCTGGAGGCTGAGGTGGGAGGATCATTTGAGCCCAGGGGTTTGAGGCTGTAGTGAGTTATGATCACGCCACTGCACTGCAGCTAGGTGACAAAGTGAGACCCTGTCCCTGAAAAAAAAAGAGACCACAGAACATGGCTTTGGGATCAGACAGACTGCTTCCTTCCCACCTCTCTTCCTTATTACCTGTGTGGTCTCAAGCAAAACACTTCACTTTCCCAGTCCTCAGGTCCCACCCATCACATGGGAATGAAAACAGCAGCCTCACTGGGCAGTTAATAATGTCTACATGGTGTCCCGCACAAAGAAGAAACTCCAGCCAGACTCGCTGGCTCAAACCTGTAACCCCAGCACTTTGAGAGGCCGAGGCAGGCAGATCACCTGAAGTCAGGAGTTCAAGTCAACATGGTGAAACCCTGTCTCCACTAAAACCACAAAATTAGCTGGGCATGGTGGTGCATGCCTATAATCCTAGCTACTCGGGAGGCTGAAGCAGGAGAATAGCTTGAACCCAGCAGGCAGAGGTTGCAGTGAGCCAAGACCGTGCCATTGCACTCCAGCCTGGGTGACAAGAGCAAAATTCCATCTGAAGAAGAAGAAGGAGAAGGAGAAGGAAGAGGAAGAAGAGGAGGAGGAAGGGAGGAAGAAGAGGAGGAGGAAGAGGAGGAAGAAGAGGAGGAGGAAGAAGAAGAAGAAGAAGAATATCCATACACCTCCTACCTCATCAGCCCACCTTAGCTCTGTCCTCCTCCCTTCCATCCTGATCAGTGGGCTTTACTTGAGGCTTTTTCAGTTTGGTAACAACTACAAGGGGGCTCCCCGCTGCCCAACCCCTCTGTAGATATGCTTATAGAGATCATTTTACTTATGTTTGGAGGCTCACATTTGTGCCTGAAGCCCAATTCAGATGACAGTAAAGGATCTGTATGTACAGGGCAGTCTGTCCATTAAGGATGTATAAAGATCTAGCTAGGGAGGCATTGCGATCTGGTCTGTATGTTTCCCTAGCTTTCTTAAAATGGGATGACCTCCCTGATGGTTCTCCTGCCAGCCAAGGGATCAGCAAATGCAACAATTGAGGAGAACGCCTTTCCCCAAGTTTCGAGGCTCCCTTTGCTCTCATAATTTCCCCAGAGCTGTTCACAGCAGCCAAGGTGGAAGACAGCAATGGGATCTCCTCCACTGAGGATGAAGCCCAGAGCCCCAGACTGACTGACCACCCGGGGACAGCCTCCAGAATCCAAAGAGGCAGTTGCAGCAGGGAAGACATGGAGCTGGCCCTCAGCTGGAATCCAGGGGTTCCCCTGACGAACCCCTAATGTGGGTGACTCCCTGAACTGCTCCTTTTGTGGGCTGGGGTTGAAGGCAATGTGGGATAGTGGCCAGAGCCCAGAGTTTAAAGCTAGGATCTGAGATCGAATCCTACTTCTGCTGTTGATGTGCTGTGTGACTTTTGGACAGTCTCCTAAAACTTTCTGGGCCTCAATTTCTTGGTAGATAAATGAAGGTTCTCCATGGTTCCTTCCAACTCAATCCCACACCAGCCTGTAGTGTTGCCTTCATAACCTCATAGCATCCTGCTCCTGTGTGGATGCTGGGACTCTGAGCTGGGATGTGCCAATGAGAAGGGCCTGCCCACACCCCCTCCTGCAGAACTTACCAGCAAAACACTGCCCTGCCTCCCACCTGACCCCCATGGGAGAAGGGAGAAGTCTGGACTGGGTTCTCTTCTCTGTCATCCAGAATATCACAATTGAAGGAAAATGGGATTAGAGTGAAGACTTCAATTTCCCCCACATACCCATTCAAAATTGGATCTGGGAAATGGCTTTGATTTTAAATATTTCATGAGCAAATTCAGCATTTAAGTCCCTCCCTGTGTGGCATTGTCAAATATAGACACCGAGTCTAAATCAAACTTTTCTAAAGCACTGGTGCATTCAGGGTAATCTCATAAAATTAAATTTTATTTTGAAAACATTCGACACTAGAGCTTTTTAAATATAGACCTATTTATCATGCAGTTATTTTGGGGTATGTCGGAATAAAGAAGCCATAGGTCCTTTCTTGGAAGGATGTTCCTTTGTTTTGGAATACATCCTTTCTTCTTTCAGTCTTGGTATCAGAACATCCTTTCTTTTATGAATTGATAGACGGGTTGGTTTTTTTAATGTCCTTACTTTGTAAAAAATAAACCCCACAGCTGACACCTATTAAAAAAAAATTCCTGCTGTGTGAAATCCTAGAACCTCAGCATTCTCCATATCAGCATCAAGGTGGGCTTTAGAAGTCTCATTTTACATTGCAAGGAACAAGACAGTTTATTTCTCAAAGAGACTGAAAGTCAAAGAGGTTCAGTAACGGGTCCAAGACCACACAGCTGAAGAAGCCAGCACTGGGATTTGAATGCCACCCTCTCTGGCCTGGAAGCTGAAGCTGGCATAATCACCAGTTATCTTTCCCTGACCCCATCGAGGAAGAATGAGACCCAATACTGGAGAGGACCCCAAGGTGTAAGAAAATTAGCCCAAGAGAAAGCCTGAAGCTCATCCCAGAAAACCCTGCATTTACTAATCTTCCCTTCTGTTTCGGAGATAATGTAGACATCTTTGGGTTTATTGCCCCAGTGGCAGAGAAAGAGGCACCAGCGATCCCCCACAGCAGAGGAAAATGCCAATGTGGTTTTTATTAGCCTTGAGAATGAATTTTATTTAATACCCATACACCAGATTTAGAGAGTCAATTTGGCTCTTCTTGCGTAAAAATTCTCTGGAGGGTGGTGGTGATGATAATCTGATCGCAGAAGCTGAGAAGTAAGTGCATCTCAGGAAAGTGTTCCAACTGGAGCCAGGACGCTGTCTTCAGAGAAGAAAAGAGACACAGCCAACCCTGAGTTGGAGGAGAGCTCTTGGCACCAGAGGGGCTGCCCTCAGAAGTGGAGGCCTAGGGACCCTGGGACCCTACCAAGTCCTATGACCAGAGTCACTCTCCTGGGACTCGCTGGAGGGTACAGTGTGGCCCTGGGGGTCCGCCAAGCTTCGAGAAAGACTGAGGTCTGTGACTTAGGAGCCTCTCTCAGGAACCAGGCAGAGTCAGTACTCTGTGTTGTAGAAAAACAGAACAAAAGTCTTGGTCTGGGAGGAGCTCGCTGGGGAGGCCTAGGAGCAGAGGATGTTGGGAAAGTATTGGTACTGTGGGTTGTAGCTCCGTAGGTTTCTCTTGAGGCAGTAGACGAGCTTCCGGTCACAGGCACAGAGGTTCACATGGCAGAAGGGCCCGGGCTCTGCAAAAGGACACCAAGAGCAGAATGAGGGTGGGAAGAGCATGCTCCAGTCTCAGCAGAGACCCCATGGACTTCCTGCTCCGAGGAGCTTTCAGCCTGATGGAAGAGGCATGGCTCCTAAATCGGGGGAATAGAGAATCTGATGGAAGGGGCACAGCTGCTGCTCAGGGTGAGGTTTCAGTGCAGGAGACAGCTCCTGCCCTCAGGGAGTTCCCAGTCTGATAGAGGAAGCACCTTCCTTCCTCTGGGGGACTCCCAGTCTGATGGTGGAGGCAGCCGCTGCTCTGGAGGAACTCTCATTCTCATAGAGCAGAACCATCCCCAGATTTAGCCTTGAACTCAGAGGCCCTGAGCTTGAATCCTGCTGTGTGCACTGGCAGGCTTTCTAGCTTCCATTTCTTGATGTCTAAAATGGAGAAGCCTAAACATACTCTACAGGTATTTTGTGGGGGAATCAAGAAAAAGGAAGCATGTCAAGCACTTTTGCACCCAGTGGATGATTCAGCCCTACCCTGGGGGTCTGATACAGCTGCAATAATCCTGCTCCTCTCGTCCCAGTTCTGCACCCAACTCCTCCTCCCCCAACAAGATACAGGCTGGCTGTTCTCTAGGGCAGCTGAACTTAAAGTCAGGTGCTCTTCCAATGGCCCGAACGGGAAGCCCCAGCCTTACCGCAGGTGACCACGCCCCACGCGAATCTGTATTTGTAGGACTGTGTGCGAATGTTGCAGCCCTTCTCCTCCAGCCGCCCATAGCAGTGGTCATGCGCCCAACAGCACCTGTCCGTGCAAGAGACTTAGATCCCGAGTGGGAGGGGTGCCCTCCTGACCCCATCCCTAATAGGAGCAAAAATTCAACCATGTCACTTTAGCAGAGGCCACCTTGGTGGACGCGATGTGGCAGGGAGGATCTGGTAGTGTGACTGAGTAATTTCCTGCTCCTCATTTCTAGCCAGCAGGTCATGGACCCTCTTTTTCCTCCTGGTCTCACGACTAGACTACATTTCCCAGCCTCCCTTGCGAGTAGGTGTGGCCACATGATTTGGTCCTGGCCAGGGGAGGTAGGTGGAATTAATACACTCCACCTCCAGACCTGCCCAGACAAACTTCCCACAGTTTACTCCACTGTCCTTCTGCCGCCATCCTTCGGCTGGATGGAGATGACCCAGCAAAGAATTCTGAGGCCATAGGGGATGGCAGAACTACAAGATGGGAGGAGCCAACGTGTGATTCCTACTGAACTGTTATGTGATCCAGAAATAAACTTCTCGTATCACAGGTCCCACATCTGTGGATCAACCAATATGGATGGAAAATGTAAGCAGGCCTATTTTCTTGTGTCTATACTAAACATGTACAGTCTTTTTTCTTGTCATTATTCCCAAACAATACAACAACAACTTCCATAGCACTGACGTTGCATCAGCTACGATAAATAATTTAGAAATGATTTAAAGTATGTGATCGCAGCTGGGCGCGGTGGCTCATGCCTATAATCTCAGCAGTTTGGGAGGCCAAGGCAGACTGCTCAAGTCCAGGAGTTTGAGACCAGCCTGGGCAACATGGTGAAACCCTGTCTCTATTTAAAAATGTATATATAATTAGCCAGGCATGGTGGCACGTGCCTGCAGTCCCAGCTACTCAGGAGGCTGAGGTGGGAGAATCACCTGAGTGCAGAAGGTCTAGGATGCAGTGAGCTGAGATCGCACCATTGCACTCCAGCCTGGGCAACCAGAGTGAGACCCTGTCTCAAAGAAAAAAAAAAATGGTTGGGGGGATACAATCACATAGGTTATATGCAAATACTATGCCATTTTATATCAGGGACTAGGGCATCTGCAGATTTTGGTGTCCACGGGGATCCTGGAACCAGTCCAAGGGATGACTGTATGTTAGGTGTAGCAGATTGCATATAAAAGGTTTTCTTGGTTTACAGAATAATTGAGATCTTACAGAGGAAACACCCAGTTCCTCCTATTACTAATATCTTATATTAGTATGAGACCCATGTTAGAATTAATGAACCAATATTGATACATTATTGATAATTATTCACTAAATAATACATCATTATCTCACTAATTGTAAAAAAAAAAAAGCCATAATTGATTCAGAGTTCCCTAGTTTTTACCTAATGTCCTTTTTCTGTCCCAGGATCCCACTGGGGATCCCATGTTACATTTCATTGTCTTGCCTTTTTTTTTTTTTGAAACGGAGTTTCACTCTCATCGCCCAGGCTGGAGTGCAATGGCGCGATCTCAGCTCACCACCAAAACCTCTGCCTCCCAGGTTCAAGTGATTCTCCTGCCTCAGCCTCCTGAGTAGCTGGGATTACAGGCATGTGCCACCATGCCCAGATAATTTTGTATTTTTAGTAGAGATGGGGTTTTTCCACATTGGTCAGGCTGGTCTCAAACTCCCGACCTCAGGTCATCCACCTGTCTTGGCCTCCCAAAGTGCTGGGATTACAGGCGTGAGCCACCGCGCCCGGCCCATGGTCTTGTCTCTTTAGGCTCCTCTTGGGTGTGGCAGTTCCTCATGCTTTCCTTGTTCTTGACTGTTTTGAGGGGGTACTGGTTAGACATTTTATAAGATGCCCCACGATTGGGATTTGTCTGATTTTCTTTTTTCTCATGATAAGACTGGAGTTTGGGGCCATTTATTTTGTTGCTAAATTGTTCCAGGGTTGGCCACTGGGGGCTCTTTCAGTCAGCACAGGTGCCACTTGTCACATCCCCATCAATGTGGGCTTCCGTTTTGTTTGCGTTTATTTAAGCACTTCCTTACTTTTTGGCACTAAAAGAAGTTCCAGGCTCATCTCGTATATTTCCTGCCTTGGTCCTAGAATTGACCATTTCTTCAAGGAACCCTGTATATATATATATGACTTGGAAGGGGCCTTCTATTGAAGAATGACATTGGAAACTAGATCTAGGCATTAAGTGTGCTTGTTGCTACTGAGATGTCATTTCTTTTAGACCCTCTCCACTGATAGCAAAAGAATGTTTCTATTTGCCCATGTGTATAAAAAAAAAACGTATATGCTACTTGGGAGACTGAGGCAGGAGAACGGCATGAACCCAGGAGGCGGAGCTTGCAGTGAGCCGAGATTGCGCCACTGCACTCCAGCCTGGGCGACAGAGCAAGACTCCGTCTCAAAAAAAAAAAGTATATGATCACACAGGTTATATGAAAATACTGTGCCATTTTATATCAGGGACTAGAGCATCTGCAGATTTTGGTATTCACAGGGGTCCTGGAACCAGTCCGAGGGATGACTGTATGTTAGGTGTAGCAGATTGCACATAAAAAGTATTCTTGGTTTACAGAAAAACTGAGAAGATCTTACAGAGGAAACACCATTTTCTCCTATTACTTACATCTTATATTAGTATGATACTAATATATCCATGATATCTATGCATACTGCTACCTATGCATACTTCCACATGTAAACATCTGTATCTACAATAAGCTAAACAGGAGTCCATACTGATGTCTCCAACTTTAGTCCTTTTGCACATGGATCATTCTGGCTTCCTGCCCTGGCTTATCCCACTCCAACAGTGAGAAACTTGGCCCCAACCATCTGTCCTTCATTTGCTTAATCATCCCTTTCCTTTATATATGTCTAGCAGTATCAGAATTGTTAACCCAGTTGGGTATGCTTTCCAAGGAGCAAAATCTCCCATTTCACATGTTCTTCTAGAACTTTAGCACTTCCCGATCAAGAGGTGGAATCTAGATGCCCTCCCTCTTAAAGCCTTTGTGACTGCTTTGACCAAGAGTACAGTGTAAGTGACACAATGGGATTTCTGAGGCTGACCATAAAACACCATATCCTTTGGTCTTGCAGTTTGGGGTCACTCACTCTTGCAACCCAAGAGTCACCATGCTGGGAGGAATCCCGAACATCCTTGGAGAGGCCTAAGTGACAGGAATTGAGGCCTCTGACCCGCTCCTAGGCCAGGAGATGCTGACCACTTGCCAGCCATAGGAGTGAGCCATCTGGAAGGTGGATTGTCCAGCCTCAGTTGTCCAAGCTGAAGCTGCGACAAGCCATCCCCACAAGCCCTACCCAAATGGCAGATTCATAAGCAAAGTAAATGACCAGTGCTGTATAAGCTACTACATTGAGGACCACTTGTTACGCCACAGTTGACCAACTGACACCTTAGGCCACTGAGATCTTGGGATTGCCAGCTAATTTCTTTGAGGCTTAGTTTTCTTATTTGTAAAATGGTACTTTAATACTCATCTTCCAGAACTGATATGGAATTGAATAAGAAAACATGGGTGCAGAGCCTGGAGCCTAAAGGGCAGTTATAGCGATCAGCTCACCAATCGGTGCCATCCTTGGGGGTTCCTCGGCCGCCCCAGCCGCAGTAACAGCCGTAGAAGCCGTAGTTTGTCAGGGCGTTCTTCCCTGTCACCTTCTCGATCATTGATTTTAGGTCCAGCAAGCCTCCTTGCACAGCAGGCACACCTGGAAGATAGCCCATGTCCCCAGGTGACACCCAGGCAGCCCAGCCCTGCTTTAGGCCCACTGCCCAACATCTCCTACCCTTTCTCCCACCCAGGGCTTGGAGGGACCTGCATGTCTCTTTTTTATTCTCTCCATTAGTGGGAAGGGAGGTGCAAGCAGTATGGAGAACTGGTTAAGAGTTTGGAATTGAAAAATGAGCAGACCTGGGTTCAAATCCTGGCTCTGCCACTAATTCAAAGTATGGTATTGAATGGAGTCAGAGCCTCAGTTTCATCCCCTGGAAAACGGGGACCCCAAATTAGCAGCTACATCTTGGAGTTGTCATGAGGGTTAAAATAAGATCAACTATGTAAATTTTGAGCACGGTGGCAGACACATAGTAAGTGACCATGACATATAAGGTGTAATTCATAATGTATTTGCATGAAGCAGGCAGATAGGAGCTTCCTGTCTCTCTTGGCAATACATCCCTCTTCCCCACCACTCCCTCCCCTCACACCCTTTAGAACATAAGGCAGAGAATCTAAAAGCAGGATGGGACTCTTAGAAATCGCTGAAGCCAGTTCCCTCATCTTACTAATGGGAAACTGAGGCATGGAGGGAAGAGGTGCCCTGTCCAGGGTTTCACAGTGAGCCCAAGGCTCTCTCCTTGCACCAGGCCTCCAGCTCCTCCTGGAGTCTCCAGGGATCTAGCAAGACATCAAGGAGCAGGACAGCCTGTCGGGGGTTGTATATACGGTCACGGGGCCGCAGGATGGGACTAAAGCCATCTATACAGTCACTTCCCAGCTGGACAAGCCTGAGCTGAGAATGACCCAGGAATCATAGGTTGGGATATTTAGATAAGAGTTTTGATTTTTATTTGGATTGATTGGGGGATTTTGTAAATCTTATTTTATTTGCATACAGGGAAAAAATCTGCCTCCTACACTTGCCAGCCACATAACCTCTATGTCCACAACCTTTACACAGCTGAGGTACAATATCTCCTAGGACCCTGCCACAGCCTTACGCATGGACTGCATTAGCCCATGCCAGATGAGGAAGCAGAGGCTCGGAGGCATGAAGGCTCTTGCTGAATGTCTATGCAGTCAGTGCAGAGCCGAGATTCAAACCCAAGTCTCTACGACCTCAATGGCTGGTGTCCTTTTCACCACCCTGTTACTCCCATGGGGTAAAAGTTCATTCGAAGGTCACGGGGCCAGCACTTACTACAAGCCAGGAACCAAGCCAGTGGGAGGAGGCCTTTCATCTCTGGGGTTCTGGAAAAAAAAACACATCCCACAACAGATCTATCAGGCAATGCCCCCGTGGCCCATTCAGATCCCACCCTGGCTCTCCACCAGGCCCCATCTATTCCACTCCCCGTCATGGTGGGCAATAAACAAGATGAGTCCAGCCAGAAAAGATGAGGCAAAAAACTGTAGGTCCACTGAGGGCCCTGGAGGCAGAGGGACAATAATGGAAGCATTTGCAGGGACACTGTCCCTACCACCAGTGCACTTTTAGCCACAAACACCCCAGACATACTCACCCCGTTGGCAAAATGGCTAAAAGGGACCAGAGAATGGGCAGGATTCTTAAATGGAGATTTGGTGGCATACGTGGAGAAGCAGGACTTGATATAACCTAGACATGGCCTTTGATGAAAGATGTAAGACGGAAGAAAAAAATTCCTGGACAGAGAGCACTTGACGCCCACAGCAGGAGGGCAGAAGGAAAGCCGGTGATTCTACATCTCATACTCCTTTTAGCTCACAGTGCTGTAGTTGCCTGTTTTTAAGGATGTCTACCCTGATGGTTCTTTGCAGGCAGAGGCTGGGCGGATGCACACCTCTATTCTACCACTGAGAATAGTGCCTGGCCCAGAGGAGGTGCTCAGCAGTGAAGCCTGGGCTCCCACAATGTGCCAGTGGCTTTCAGGGCCTGATTATGGCTCTTATGGGCCCCAAGCGCTTTTGCCTTTGTAGGCATCTTTCTGCTATATCTTTATATCTATATTCACATAATTATTTTTGACAACTATGATGCTATAAAGAAAAATGTAATCCAAGCTGGATTTATTATTATATATTCATTATTATGTTCATTTCCTTCCTCTTGATTTTAAAAGAATTTATAAAATTAAGACACTCTCCTGGGACCCAGGCACTGTGTCTACCTAAAGAATAAGTCAACCCTGGGGGCTCACGAGAGTGCTGCAGGGTAGGTATTACTGTTCTCATTTTGCCACTGGGAAAGTTGAGGCTCAGAAAGCTCAGGGACCTTGCCAGAGGTCACACAGCCATTAAGCAGTGGAGGCTGGATTCGAGCCGCGTCCTTCTGCACCCCTCACTGCACCACGCAGCCTCCCTTCCCAGAGGCATGAATCCTTTAGGGGTCTGTGTTTGTTCCTTCTCATGCTCTACCTCTCAGGCCAGAGCCCTTGGCTTCACTCCTTAGAATCTGTCTTTGGTAAAAACAGCCATTGCCAGCTTAGAGTCCAGGAAATTCCATGTGTCTCAGGCCAGCACCTGATTCTAATTTGGCTTCTCAGAGGTTCCTTGCCGGCAGCTGCCTGATTGCCTTCCTCCTAGGATCCAAAGTCCTTGTTTGTCCACAGCTCGGCAGGCCTGGGGCTCTCCCCTTCAGTGCTCTGTTGTCTCAAGTCCCTGAGTTGAACGGTCGCTTGTGCCAGAGCTCTACCTGAACCCCTGGCGCCTCCCAAGACCTGGCCTCCAAACATGCTTCAGACTCCCCTGGGCTCCTGGCTACTGGGCTGGCAGGCCAGCCCTTGTCCAGTAGCAACTCTGAATTCCAAGAACATTCCTGAAGGTTCTGTCCACAGCTGGCCTCTGGGACAACCCTTGTCCAGCAGCAACTCTGAATCCCAAGAACATTCCTGAGGGTTCTGTCCACCCATAGCCTCTGCTCCAAGGGCTCCAAACAGCCAAAGAAATGGCCCTAGACCCCACCATTCCACACCAATCTTTCTCTGCTGCTCCCTGGAGCTGTGGCACAAGGACACCACCTGCCACTCACTGAGCACCTCTGGTGTGCCAAGCACTATCCTCTATCTCTCTAAACCCATCAATGACCTTGGCAGGCCCGGTGTCTGTCCTTTTAAACAGTCACTTGTTCAATGAATAACAGTTGTTGATTTTACAGATAAGGAAATTGAGGCTCAGACAATTGAAGTGAGGTCCCCAAGGGTTTAGCCCATAACTGTGAATCTATTTCCTTGACTGACTCTACTCCACTGCCTCTGAGCATCCCTGGGCACTAAACATGCTTTTGATTTTCTATATTTTAGGACGCTTTGACATCTTGGAGGCCAGAGACAGCCTGCTCCTTCCAGGGCTGCTAGTTAATTCCTAGACACCTCAGATGGCTCCTCTGTGAGCATGCCTTTCATATACAGACCAACTGTGACAGTAGGTAGCTGGTCAGACAGGAGCAGGGCAGGAATGTCAGGCAACCATCAGGTGATGGGCAGGAAATTATTAACCATCTCTCTAAAATAATAACTGGTCACAGCCAGCACCAGGGAAAGGTAGTCTCCCAATAAACAGGAATACCTGAAGCAGGTGATCAGCAGCTTCCAGTAAGATCTCAGGAGCTGGGTGAGTGGGCTCACACATGTGCATGAAGAGGCAAAATGGCGGCATTTAACTGGTATATGACCTGCTAGGGACGTTCGGCTGGTAAGGGAAGAACGCCTCAAGGGAGCATGCGTACAACTACAGTCAACACACTGTGCATGCTCCCTCCCAAGTGCTGGCAGGTCACTGAGCGTGCGGACAGCCCACCCCACCAACCCAAGGGAGGAATCAGGGGATAAGGAAAACAAGACCCCTGAAGTATGCCATGTATAAAACCCCAAGTCAAAGGTCAAACAGAACCCCTGAATCTCTCAAGTCGCCTGGTTGGCCCCTCTTCCAAGTGTACTTTACTTCTTTTCATCCCTGCTCTAAAGCTTTTTAATAAGCTTTCACTTCTGCTGTGAAACTTGCCTCAGTCTCTCCTTCTGCCTTATGTCCCTCAGTCGAATTCTTTTTTTTGTCTCACTCTGTCACCAGGCTGGAGTGCAGTGGCACCATCTCGGCTCACTGCAACCTCCACCTCCCAGGTTCAAGTGATTCTCCTGCCTCAGCCTCCCAAGTAGCTGAGATTACAGGTGCCTGCCACCACGCCTGGCTAATTTTTTGTATTTTCAGTAGAGATGGGTTTCACCATGTTAGCCAGGATGGTCTCAATCTCCTGACCTCAGGATCCGCCCACCTCGGCCTCCTAAAGTGCTGGGATTACAGCCATGAGAATTCTTTCTTCTGAGGAGGCAAGACCTGAGGATGCTGAGGCCTGTATGGATACGTCCCACTGCTGACACAACCAGTGCCTTGGTACACCCGGGCCACCTTTCCCTCACTCTCACACTCCAAGCCAAGGTTTCTCCTGCCCTAAATCACCCCAGGGCCAGAAACTGGACAACTAGGGAAGCCTGGAGTTCCACTGACATGATTCAAACTGACCGGTCCTAAACTGTGTCCCCTGCCCCACCAGCCTTTCCCAGAGATCACAGCAAAGGCCCTGGGCGATGCTTCCCGTGGCTCCTCCTGACCTGCCGACCTGGCACTTCCTGCGTGGCCCTGGGTGGAAGCACGCCTTCTTCTGGGAGCTGTAAATAACAAGCTATCTTTTCAATGGCAATCATTTCTTGATCTGTTGGCCTCCCCATACCTGGAGAAAACCCACACCCTGGAAAGAGTAAAAAAGCAGTTTCATGGTGGAGGTGGCAGAGGCATGGAGTGGCTGCCCCGAAGAGTGGAGAGCCATCCACTCAGCAGAGCCCAAAGCGGGCGCCAGGAGGAGGATGTGGACTCAGCTATTTTAATCAAACGACCACAGAGAGGAAGCGCATAGCCGCGAGAGAATTTCAGAGGAGGGCAGCGGTTGCAGTAATGAGAGGGGAGAGAATAGAGACGGACAGCCCATAGGAAGATGTGGAGGCCAGGACGTGGCCAGGTTGCCAAGGGACGGGTCCCCCAAGTCCACATGCAGCAGCTCCAAGACCTCCCAGTTCAGGTCTCCTGGCTGGAAAGAACGCACAGTGCGGAGCCTCATTGCACGGAAGGCACTGCTGAGCCCTCCTGCTGTCTGTGAGAGAGGTGATGGGGGTTCACTCCTCTTCGGGCCCTGCTCCCCTGACCAAGGGGGCCAGGTGTCTCCTCTCATAGCCCCTCTCTCGGCCCTGCTCTCTGCACCTCCCTCAGGCAAAGCAGCCCCAAAGATGAGATTCCTCACCAGTGAGACCTTTTCTCCGTCCTCAGGCCCACAGAAGAGGCCGGGGCTGGGCCCACCTGGTTTTAAAGACCTCTCTGTCACCTCCCACACCCCTGCATGGGCCAGCTCCAAGATTCCTGGTAAGTCACACAGGAAGCCCTACTTCCCCTCACCCTGGCACAACCCCTGGGGATTTTTTTCCATTGTGTATTCAGAAGCAGTTGTTTATTTTGGTTGTTTTTTTGAGACGAAGTCTGGCTTTCCCTCAGACTGGAGGACAGTAGCCCTATCTCAGATCACTGCAGCCTCTGCCTCCCTGGTTCAAACAATTGTCCTGCCTCAACCTCCTAAGTATCTAGGATTACAGGTGCATGCCACTACGCCTGGCTAATTTTTGTATTTTTAGTAGAGACGGGGTTTTACTATGTTGGTCAGGCTGGTCTCGAACTCCTGACCTCAAGTGATCCACCCACCTCACACTCCCAAAGTGCTGGGATTACTGCCACAGAAGCAGCTGTTTTCTGAAGCAGGTCACAGTGCCCAGGTGGCTATCAGGAGGGACAGTGATCAGAGTTGAGCTTGGGCCACCCTCGATCCAGGGCTCTTCCCCACTAAGAACAGGAACCCTGGAATCCCCCTCCAGGGCACAGCCTCCCTCCCACCCACCACACTGGGTCTTTGCCAAGTCCCCCAGCCGTGGGCTCCTGCTCAGATTTTATCCTGTTTTGCTCAGCCTCAACCCAGGAACTGCCAGAGAAGACAGGCAGCCCCGCTCCCGGACTTGCAGCTTTGTCCCCGTCCTCTTCCTCTTGTTCCTAACTTGCCAACCCCCAACTTTTTCTGCCTTGTTCCTGAGCTGGGGTGACTCGGGAGATGCCTGCAGAAACACCACAGAATGTTGCCTGCCACGTCCAGGTGGTAGCCCTTTTTTGGCACCTGACTCTGTGCTAACTTCCTACAGTTCTTCTCTCAGGGAAGGGGAAAGTGCCAGGCTTGCGGTTAGAGAGATGCAAGCTGGAGTCCCAGCTCAGCCACTTAGTATCTGTGTGACCCTGGGCAAGTCACTATATTTCTCTGTTCTTAATGTAAAACATGAGAATTATGAGCCCCTCCAAACCCAGAGGCTCCTGGTGAGGAATGTAGTATATAAAACAAGGCACATGTGGGTCAGGCACAATGGCTCACCCTGGGAGGCTCAGGTGGGAGGATGGCCCGAGCCCAGGAGGTCCAGGTTACAGTGAACTGTGATTGCACCACTGCACTCTAGCCTGAGCAACAAAGCAAGCCCCTGTCTCTATTAATGAATAAATGAATACATAAAAATAAAAATAAGGCATATAAACTAATGTCAGTTGGGGAAGTATATGGCCCAGTGGGTAACATCACAGGCTCTATATCAGCTCCAAGTCCTGGGTTCAAATCCTGGCTTCCTCACCACTAGCCACATCACCTCAGGGCTGACTGAAGCTCATTTGCCTCAGAGAGCTGTTGTTAGGATTAAATGAATTCTTAAATTTATAACTTAGAGCCATAGCAAAGGCAGAGTAATGCTAATAAATCAATGACAGCTCACCTTCTAGAATGTTCTCACAGGACATAAGTAGCTACTAGTATTCTCCATTTTCTACTTCTGTTAATTCCACCCTTCACACCACCACCCCACACACACTTTTTTGAGAAGACTTGGATTTTTTTTTTTTTTTTTTTTTTGAGACAGGGTCTGTCTCTGTCCCCCAGGCTGGAGTGCAGAGACACAATCACATCTCACTGCAGCCTCCACCTCCTGGGCTCAAGCCATCTTCCCTCCTGCCTCTGCCTCTCGAGTAGCTGAGACTACAGTGGGCACCACCATGCCTGGCTAATTTCTTTGTGCATTTTTTATAGAGTCGGGGTCCCACCATGTTGCCCAGGCTAGTCTCGAATTCCTGGGGTCAAGTGATCCTCTCACCCGTGCCTCCCAAAGTGCTGGGATGACAGGCATGAGCCACTGTACCCCGCCAAAGACTTGGATTTTTGGCTCCTGCCTCTACTTGTGTTGACTTCTTTTTCTCTCCCTCTCTCTTGTCATGGTAGCATCAGAGAGAAGCCCCTCCTTAAGGCCCCCATGAACCCTTCTCTTCCTAGGACTAACCACTGGGCTCCCGGAAGAACCCTGTGAATTCAACTCAATATCAAAAATATTTATGAAGTGTCTACTACGTGCCAGGCACTGGGATCCCACGGTGAATGAGACAGAACTTGTGCCTTCACAGAGCTGCCCTTGTGGCTGGTGGGAAACAGATCGTGAAGACAGAAGTAAACACAGATGGTGTCTGGCGGTGATCAGAGCCATGGGGAAGAGTCCTCTCCCCATCCTGTATTTTCGTTTCTTCTTCTCAACCAGTTTCTTCCCCCACCTACGAACACACACCTGCTCCGCCATTCTCAACCAAACAAAACCAAGCCACAAAAAAGAAAAAAAAATCCCTTGCCTCTAGGGACAATTCTACTTCTTTTTTTCTCTAAAAGTCAAATTTCTAAACAGAGAAGGCTGCCCTTCGTCATCCCCCACTCTGAACCCTTCACTGCCTGGCATCTGCTGCATCCTTGAGCTTGCCCTCAGGGACCCCCAAAGCCTGGCATAGCCCAAGCTTGGGGGTCACCTCCTCAGTCCTTCAGGGCACTCATCTTGAAGTCCACCTCCTCCTTCTCGAAACTCTCTCTCCCTCTGGGCTTCACAAGGCTGCACTGTGCCGCCTGCCCTCCTGTGGCTAATCCCCCCATCCCATCTCTGCTGGCCCCCCAAATGCAGGTGTGTTTGTGGGACCTGCCCTCTGGAGTTGCCCTTCTCTGTCTCAGCCACTCTCTGGATGAGCTCATTCGAGTTCAGGGATTTAGCTCTTATTTCTATGCAGGCATCCGGGGGTGTCCCGGACAGAGAAGTTTGGCCCTAGCTTTGACTCAACAAACAATGCTTAATGAAGGAATGACTGAATACAGCAACCAGGAGAAAGCACAATGTCAGATCCAAGATCCAACGTAGGAGAGACGTGTGTTCAAATCTGTGTCTCAGCTGTGACCACTGTGTCACCTGAACCAGCTTTTTCTCCTCTTTGGGTCTCAGTTTTATCTGTGTAAAATAGGATAATCATAGAACCAGACTCACTTAGTAACGCTGATAATTCGATGAGATAAGTCAGGCAGAACGGCCCGGGACAGTGCCTGGCACCCTGTAGGTGCTCAGTAAGTCATAACTACCATAAATATTGTGATTATGTCTTTCCAGTAAACTGAGAACTCCATGAGGGTAGGCTCTGCGTCTGCTTCGCCTCTGTAACCCAACACTTGGCACATAGTAGGTGCTCAGTAAGAGTTTGCTGAGTGAATGCACGACTCCTCTGGCTCCAGCTCCATTCTCACCCCACTGCCCAGTCCACACGTCAAATATGATTACACAGAGATGGATGGATGGATAGATAGACAGATGATAGATAGAGTCTGATATTCTATCCCAATAACCCTTGGGAACCTCAGAACTAAACTCACTGTCCCCTCAAAACAGTCTTTCCCAGTTCCCCTTTCTTGGCAATGGATCCAATCATTCACACTTCGGTGATTAAAGATGCCCCAGCCACTTCCACCTCCAATTGAATGGAAGCCTCTTGAGGGCAAAATTGTCCTCTGATCCATTTCTGATCTTAGCACCTGGAACAATGTCTGACCCATTATAGATCCTCAAGAACTATTTGTAGAACTAATTAAACATCACATAAACACACTTGTTCTCTGTCATTTGCTGGGTCTATCACATGCAGGCTCGCCCCAGGGCTAAAGCCCTGCCAAGGGTAGCCATGGAAACCTGGAAACTCCCTCACCCTGAGAACCTAAGCTGCTGAGATATCCCTGGCCTTGTCAAATGGTTTATTGGCACATGCAACAGGATTACCCAGAGCTCATTGGCAGAAAATCTACATCAAGTCCTCCTCCTCCGGGAAGTCTTCCATGATCCTTCTTTCCACAGGGAGCTTACCTGTCTCTGGAATGTTATAGAACTCATCTGATATGCTGTCCACTCTGGCATTTCCTGTTGGAGGGGATTACAAGGCTGATGGCTCAGAAAGGAATGAGGGAAGAACTCGGTCTTTAATGAACATTTGCTATGCTACAAGTGCAAGGCAAGTTCAGCATTCATGGTATTCCTTAATCTTCACAAAATCTCATGGGGCATTATGATCCCAACGTGTAAGCAAGGAAACAGAGGGGCAGATGTTAGGTACCTCATCCAAGGTCACACAGTTAGTAAAAGGAGGACCCAGAATCGTACACCTGACCCATCTGTCTGTCAAATCTGTGTTCTTTACAAAAAAGGGTTGAGACCCAGTAAGGACATAATGATTGGGATTTTCACAAGACATCTAACCAGAGTGTCACGTGGTTTCCTTATAAACAAGGTGGAAAAGTGAGAGCTGAGTTACAGTTGGTTAAGTTGGTTCAGTGTTCCAATAATTGCCGATGAGTGGAACTGGATTTTTGGTTATAAACTTTCAGCCCAGGGCTCCATACAGCCCTAAGAAATGCTTTGCTTGATCTACACGGTGCTTTAAAAAAAACAAAATGGAATTAGCTGCCAATGTATAAATGCTAAGAGATCCTAGACAGACATCCACATTTCCAGGCCAGGCACAGTGGCTCATGCCTGTAATACCAGCACTTTGGGAGCCCGAGGCAGGCCCGAATTGAGGTCAGGAGTTCGAGACCAGCCTGGCCAGTGAGGTGAAACCCTGTCTCTACTAAAAAGTACAAAAATTAGCTGGGTGTGGTGGCGAGTGCCTGTAATCCTAGCTACTTGGGAGGCTGAGGCAGGAGAATCGCTTGAACCCGGAAGGCGGGGGTTGCAGTGAGCCGAGGTTGCGCCACTGCACACCATCCTGGGGGACAGAGTGAGACTTTGTCTCAAAAAAAAAAAAAAAAAAAAAGAGAAAGAAATCCACATTTCCACATTTCCATTTCCAGTTTCTTTTTAAAAGATCTAGGAATCCTGGGTCTGGACTCCTACAGGCAACAACTGGCCATTGCCAAGAAGTAGCTGCCCCCATAGATGTGGTATGTGTTTTGCTCTGCCCTAGTCCTTAACCACTCCTTACAGTCTTAAGTCTAATCTGCCTCACAATTGCTCTCTGCCTGGAGGAATCACTGGTCAGCCCTCATAAGCCAATACAAGCTGCACACCATGGACTGAGGCTGGATGCATGGTGCCCATGCCCTGGAACGACCACTTATTAGCTGTGTGACCTCTGGCAACTTTCTTAACTGCTCTGTGCCTTAGTTCACCATCATGAATAATTGGGTAAATAATTGTACCTGTCTCATGTCTATGTTCTGAGTTGATACACGGTAGATGTTTAGGCACATAGTAAGGTCTCAATAAATACTGGTTATTTTTAACAGGATGGTGGGACATGCCCCCAAGTGACTGCTCAGAAACTTTCTTCAAGTGTTTAGTAGGAATTCAGGAATGGTGGGAAGGACTGGCCAAAGAGATGGAGCTGGGTAGGTCACAAAGGCCCTTGGGGGTCAGGCTAAGGAGGTTGGATCTTGATCTTGTCCTGATCTTATCCTGATCTTGATCAAGAACAAGATAACCTGAGTTCTATAAGAAGAGAGTGAATAGGCCCTGTCCAAAGACCCCCAAAGCTGAACTGCACAAGGACAGGGTGGGTAACACAGCTCAGCAATCACATGCGTGACCCCCAAACCCAGTACTAGTCACATCACAGAGGCAGTGGTCATCTTTGGCGGTGGTGGCAGGACTGTGGTGCCCAGAACGAGGGTTCCTAGCAGGCCACACCCAGAGGGATGTGCCTGGCCCTGGGCCCCCATGTGAGGAGGCTTAGGAGGTGTCTGGATCACAGGAGACAGAAGGGAGGGAATTGGGGCTGACTTGGGTTTGGAAAGTGGCTGGGGGTACCCAGTCTGTCTCCAAATCTCTGAAGGGCTGTGGGGAGTAGGAGGAATCAGAACTGTCCCATGTGGCTCCAGATTGCGGAACCAACACCCACCAGGCACGGACGCGCTAAGCAGTCAGATTTTGGCTCAATCCAAGAACGTTTTTCTAACAGCTCATGTGTCCTGGGAATTGAATGAGCTGTCTTGGGAGTGGTGAGTTTCCTCTCCCCGGAAGGCACTTTTTATTTGCCACTTTTTAGGAAAAGAAATGTCGCATGGGAGGTGGGCACTGAGTGGGTGGGATATGCCCCCGCTCGACTTCTCAGGAAAAGGAACTTAATCTTTAAGTGTTGGAAACACTTAAAATGCAGACAAGATCTGTCAAAGCTCATGAAGTCAGCTTCGTCAGTTATGAAGCCTCGGTTCTATCCTGTAAAAAATGTTTTTAAAATTACATTTTGCCAAGGTTCAAAAACAAAGAAAACTCATAAGCCCTTCAGTTGCTCCGTAACATGGAGAGAGCTGTCAATTATTTTGTGCTCCCTGCCCTGTAGGACCCCCTCCCTGCAACAGTTTATGCAGGCCAGAGTCGTGTGCAGATATGTTACAAGAGCAATGACCAGCATGAGAGAAGTGGATGGGCTCCAGGATGCCCGCAGGCTCTGACATTCTGTGCTCTCGAATTGACTTATTCTTGAACTCTCTGAGCTTTTCCAACAACAGCTTTTGCATTTCCTGCTCCCCCTGCCTAGAATACTTAGTCCTTGATTCTTTATCCTCCAGGTCTCGCCTTAAATGCCACCTTCTCCAGGAGGCCTCCCCTGACTACCTACCCAAGGTCACCCTGTTTTTCCCCTTCATGGCACTGACCGTCATCTTTAACTCTCTTTTACTTACTTGTTTATGGCTCATGTGCCTTATGCCTGCCCCTAGAATATAGGCATCTGAGGGCGGGAAACATGTTCATCTTGTTCTTTGTTATATTATTAGCAGGTAGCAGAGGGCCTAATGCATATCTTCTTTTTTTTTTGGATGGAGTCTCCCTCTGTCGCCCAGGCTGGAGTGCAATGGTGTGATCTCGGCTCACTGCAACCTCCGCCTCTCAGGTTCAAGTGATTCTCCTGCCTCAGCCTCTTGAGTAGCTGGGATTACCACGCTGGGCTAATTTTTGTATTTTTCATAGAGACGGGGTTTCACCATGTTGGCCAGGCTGGTCTCGAACTCCCAACCTCAAATGATCTGCCTGCCTCTGCCTCCCAAAATGCTGGGGTCACAGGTGTCAGCCACCGCACCCGGCCCCTAATGCATATCTGGTGGCTGATAATTATTTGTGGAATAAAAGAATGATGGGATGGATGAACCAATTAAATGTGGAAGTAGAAGCAGCCCCAAGTGGGTTTCAGCCAGGCTGTAAATTGGCAGCTTCCTGTAAAGATACACACCACTAGTTCTATCTGGGTGTCAGCCTAGCATGCACATGCAGCTTATACATATGTTACAGCTATTGGTTAATAACAGGCTCAAGTTCAACTTTCACCATAACTTTGGCTAAGAAGGCAATCCACACACCAACTTCATAGCAAATACATGTTTTATCTTTGAAAAATGTAATCCATTAAACTGTTCACTCTTAAGAAATCTCCCATGAACTAACCTTCCTTTCTGTCTTTGTTTCTGTTGTTTTTCCTCCACCTAAAATGCTCTCCACTCTCTTTTTCTAACTGGTTAAAATCTACTTGTTTTTCCACATGGTTAATGTCCCTTCTTTTTTTGAGGAGGGAGAAACCCTAGGAAAGGCTGTCACTCTGCCTGGCAAGATCACAGATGGTGCCCAAGGTTCTAGGCTCATGAGCCTGAATCATCTACAATTCAAGGCCGCTCCACCTGCCTCAATCCCAATCCAACCCAGCAAATCTTTCTTGAGCAATTTTGTGGGCAGAGGTCCCGTTAGGCACTACGAGGACCAAATGCAAAGTGAAATCCACCCGTGCAAGCACCGAAAAGTTTCTAACCCAGTGTCTGTCTGTTAAGACAGGGGATGTGGGAACAGGCCTTCAGAATGTCCGTCACGTCTAGAATAACACTGAAACTTTTTCCCTGGGCCTAAGAGGAGGTGCCTCCTCTTTTGAGACACCTTCCCTGATAGCTCCCCAGCAGAGTTCATGGCTTCCTCCTTTTTTCCTGGGTCAATCTTCCTAACCTCTGTAACAGCACATAGCACATCCGCCCAAGTCAGAGGCACCTGTCTCCCCTCACAGGACATGGCCTCGCACAGCTTGGCCCCCAACCTACGCCAGCCTTGCCTTATACCACCCCTAACGCATTCCTGGGAATAAGCTGGATGTGAAGGCTTTTAGTTCCTTAAACTCACTAATTTCAATCTCTCTCTCTCTTTCTCTGTCTCTCTCTCCCTCCCCCTGTTCCCTTTTCATCTGTTATTCCCTCCCTTTCTTGTCTTACTCAACTCCTACTCATCTTTGTAAACTTAACGTACTTATCATTCAATAACTATTTAGCAAGCACGTATCATGTGCCAGGCACTGTTCTAGACACTGGGGATACAGCAAAGAGCAAAACAGCTGAGAACCCTACCCTCATGGCAGAGCTTGCATTCTGGAGGGAGAAGCCAGAAATAGACAAGCGAATAAGTAAAATGTACAGCTTGTCAGGTGGTGATCGATGAAATGGAGAAAAATAAAGCAGGGAGCAGGGTGGGAGTGCTGAGTGTGTGTGTTTGGGGATGGGGACGGGGACTGTTGATGGTGGGAGTGGCCACTTTATTTATTTATTTTTGAGACATCTTGCTCTGTTGCCCCAGGCTGGAGCGCAGCGGTGCGATCTCAGCTCACTGCAACCTCCGCCACCTGGGTTCAAGCAATTCTCCTGCCTCAGCCTCCTGAGTAGGTGGGACTACAGCTGTGCACCATCATACCTGGCTAATTTTTGTATTTTTAGTAGGGACAGGGCTTCACCATGTTGGCCAGATTGGTCTCGATCTCCTGGCCTCAAGTGATCCACCCACGTCGGCCTCCCAAAGTGCTGGGATTACAGGCATGAGCCACCACACTGGGCTGGAGTGGCCACTTTAAACAGGGTGGCCAAGAAAGGTCTTGCTGGGGAGGTGACACTTGAGTAAAGCCGTGAAGGAGCAAGCTATGGGGACATCCTAGGGGAAGAAAGCTCCAGGCAGAGGGAAGAGCAAGTACAAAGGCCCCAGGGTAGGAGTGCACCTGTGAGCTGGGAAACACGGAAGCTGGGTCTACCTTTGCCAAAATGTCTTGTGAATCCATCGCCCTGCCCGGAACTGGATCAACCCCCTGCCCTGAGCTCTCCCAGTACCGTGTGCTCTCTCTCTTCACAGCACCAATCACATTGTGTTGCAATGTCTCTCCCACCAGGCTGTGAGCAACCTGCGGACAGGGACAGTGTCTTTTATTAATACTTTGACATCTCCAGTGCTCAGTGTAGGGCATGATACATATTTATTGATGAAATCAATCAACAAATGAACAAACTAGACTGTGAATCCTTGAGGGTGTCTCATTTATCTCTCCCTGGCAGCACCTAGCACTCTGCATGGCACAGATTGGATCCTAGGAAAAAATGTTTGTTGAATGGCTAATAAAAATAGCTGATGCCTTATTGAGCCCAGATACCACACTAAGTTCTTTATGGGCCTTCTCTCATTTTATCCCTAGGGTGACCCTATGAGGTAGATATTACCATCATATGCACTTTGCAGATTGGGACACTGAGGCTTGAAGAAAAAAAAATGACTCACACCTGTGCCCAGCTGGTCAGTGACAAAGCTCGGAGTTGTCCTGATCCATTTGACTCCTGAGGCCACGTATACTTAGCCCAAAGCTAGACCGTCTTCAGAGAGGGAAGCGAGAGAGAGAGAGAGGGAGAGATGGAGGAAGGGAGGAGAAAGATCTCCCTATAAGGGCATCTTACCCTCCTCTGGGTTTCTTTCTGTGTGTACCGAAGTGTCTGGCACACAGTGGATGCTCTCAACAATTAAGGGATGTTAAATAGATGTCGGCGAATTCTCTCCCTAAAGGGGAATATTTGCCTGTGGTTTAGGTTAAAAAGAAATCCAAGCAAGGCCTCAGATTAACGTAAACACAAGTCCTAACTCAGCCTGTTCATAACTCTCCCTGGTTTTGCCCGTAATTTTAGGTATGACCTTCCGGTAACCTCCATCTTCCCTTGAGGTGTGGCCTGGCCTCCTTAAAAGCCCGCTCTCCAGGCCTGACAATGACAGGTGAAGGACCCTAGCAGCCTTAGAGAGACTCCTTCAACAGAGGCTGTGCCTGCGCACCTCCCCCTGGGCCTCCTCTTGGGCTCTCCACACACCCCCTTCTCCAGTCTCTCCCTCCCAGCTGGCGTCCCTCCACAACCCCCAATTTATGCAGCCCCCATCAGTAACTAACCTCTTTGGCCTGGCCTCAAATCCTGCTCTAGAGGTCTGCTCCCATGAGCAACTTCCTTGGGCAGACCCTGGAGACCCGGGTCTCGCGGGCTCCCCGTCTCCAGTCGGAACATTGGTATCCACAGACCATGGATCCGGGGGGAGTCAAATTCTTGGCCTCCAGAATCTTAAAGCTGTGAATGGGAGTGACCGATGATGAGGACAAACCCGGAGGTGGGGAGGAAAAACTTCTGCCTGGACCCAGCCGGGTAGAACCCTGCTCAGCCCCCGACTGCCTTTGCAGAGGCAGGAAGTCCTGCACAATCAGGGCCTGTGGCTGGCTGTCCTGCCAAAGGGGCTGGGCAGTCACCCAGAGAATTCCAATGCGGGTGGATTTGAGTCCTGAAATATCCAGGTCACGGCTTTAGCCACTTCACAAGCCTTTGCTAATCCCCTCAGCCCGAAGTAACCCCTACCTCAGTCCTGGGCTCAGAACCTTGTTAAGGCTCTGACAGCCTGCTTAGAATCTTGACTATCTGAGTCCCTGGGGGCTCATCAGTCTTGGCGGGGACAAGAACATGAACACAATACTGTATCTAGTATACAGTAAAACTATCTAATATACAAATTTCCCCTATTGTCCCAATAATGGTTTTTATATCCAATTTGTTGGCTTTTTTCCGATCCAGAATCCCAACAAGAATCAGGCATTGCATCTAATTGTTGTGGCTCTTTGGTGTCCTTTAATCTAGAAAGTTCTTTAATCTGGTTTCTTTCTTTCTTTCTTTCTTTCTTTCTTTCTTTCTTTCTTTCTTTCTTTCTTTTCTGAGCTGAGGTCTCACTCTGTCACCCAGGCTGGAGTGCAGTGGTGCAATCTCAGCTCACTGCAGCCTCGGCTTCCTGGGCTTCAGCGATCCTCCCAGTAGCTGGGACCACAGGCACATGCCACCCCATGCCTGGCTAATTTTTTGTATTTTTTGTGGAAAGGGGTTTCACCATATTGCCCAGTCTGGTCTCAAACTCCTGAGTTCAAATGATCCACCTGCCTCAGCCTTCCAAAGTGCTGGAATTACAGGTGTGAGCCACCACGGCCAGACTTAATCTGGTTTCTTCTTTAAAATGACATTGATGCTCTTGAACCCAGACCAGTTGTCTTGCAGAATACTCACCAATTTGGATTTGCCTATTGCTTCCTCATGATTATCAGGTTAAATGTTTTTTGTAAGCATATTGCATAGGTCAGATGAGGGGCATGCACATTTTCAACGTTACCAGTCATTCCTAAAATACTCTCTTCAATGGATGTGCCAGTTTACATTCCTAGCGGCACCATAGCCAGCACTTGATAATATCACATTTGTCAATTCTTCCCAATCTGATGAGTATAAAATTGCGTATCATTGTTTTCACTTGCTTCCCCTAGCTGTTGGTGCAACTGAGCATTTTTACACACACCTTATGGCCATTTGGATTTCTTCTTCAACGAATGGTCTGTTGGTATCTGTGCCAATTCTGGGCCTCTTTGTCCTAACTTCCATCCGGGTCCTTCCTGGCTCTGCTGTGTTGGAGAAGGACGTAGGGGGGAGTGTGTTCCCTCAGGCTTCTGTATCAGCGGCTTCCAGGAGGCAACACATTGGAAAACAAGACAACAAGTGTTTGCTATATATGTTGCAAATATATTCTGTAAGCATGCCAGTTGTCTTTTATTTATGGCATTTTTATAATATAAAAACTTTTGGCCGGGCGTGGGGGCTCACTCCTGTAATCCCAGCACTTTGGGAGGCCGAGGTGGGCGGATCAGCTGAGGTCGGGAGTTCCAGACCAGCCTGACCAACATGGAGAAACCCCGTCTCTACTAAAAATATAAAATTAGCCAGGCATGGTGGCACATGCCTGTAATCCCAGCTACTCAGGAGGCTGAGGCAGGAGAATCGCTTGAACCCAGGAGGCGGAGGTTACAGTGAGCAGAGATTGTGCCATTGCACTCCAGCCTGGGCAACAGAGTAAGATCCCATCTCAAAAAAAAAAAAAAAAAACTACCACTTTTAACTTTCATGCCATACAAGTTATCAATCAGTAATGTTTAGTACCTTGTTTGCAAAGTCCTGCATGCCTCTCTGTAACATGAGTTTAACAATATTTTTCTCAGTATCTTTCTCCTATTGGTTCTAAATTTCGGGGTTTTACACTTAGGGCTTTAATCCTTTAATTCATTTGGAGTTTATTTTCATGTGTAGTATGAGGCAGAAATTTAGTTTTATTTACCCGTAAGGAAAGTCAATGATTCCAGCACCTTTTGTTGAACAGCCCAGTGTTTCCCCTCTGATTTTATTTTATTTTTATGTATTTATTTTTTATTTATTTTTTTTGAGACGGAGTCTCGCTCTTGTCGCCCAGGCTGGAGTGCAATGGCACGATCTTGGTTCACTGCAACCTCCACTCCCAGGTTCAAGCGATTCTGCTGCCTTAGCCTCCGGAGAAGCTGGGATTACGGGGGCCTGTCACCATGCCTGGCTAATTTTTGTATTTTTAGTAGAGATGAGGTTCCACCATGTTGGCGAGGCTGGTCACGAACTCCTTACCTCAGGAGATCCGCCTGCCTCAGCCTCTCAAAGTGTTGGGATTACAGGCATGAGCCACCGCGCCCGGCCTCCCCTCTGATTTTAATGTTTTCTTTATCACGTAAGTTTCCACCTATGCTTAGATCTATTTCTGGGCTTCCCTTATGTTGCTTTGATCTATTTTTCTACACTTGCCCTAATATCACTCTGCCTAATTACTATAATTTTTTTTTTTGTTTGAGACAGAGTCTCACTCTGTCGCCCAGGCTGGAGTGCAGCAGTGCAATCTCAGCTCACTGCAACCTCTGCCTCCCAGGTTCAAGGAATTCTCCTGCCTCAGCCTCCTGAGTAGCTGGGACTACAAGTGTACACCACCACACCTGGCTAATTTTTTGTATTTTTGTAAAGACAGAGTTTCACCGTGTTGCCCAAGCTGGTCTCGAACTCCTGAGCTCAGGCAAGCTGCCCGCCTCGGCCTCCCAAAGTGCTGGAATTACAGGCGTGAGCCACCAAACCTGGCCTAATTACTGTAATTTTTTTTAAGTCTTCATATATACTAAGGAAAATCCCTCTTCTCTCTTCTTTAGACATATTTTGGTTATTCTTTTTTTCCAAGAGATAGGGTCTTGCTGGATGAGATGGCTCACACCTGTAATCTCAGTACTTCAGTACTTTGGGAGACTGAGGTGGGATCACTTGAGCCCAGGACTCGGAGACTAGCCTGGGCAACATAGGGAGACTCCATCTCTACCCAAAATTCAAAAAGTACTTGGGCATGGTGGTGTGCACGTGTAGTCCAGCTACTTGGGAGGCTAAGGTGGGAGGATCGCTTGAGCCTCACAGGCAGAGGCTGCAGTGAGCCATGATTGTGCTACTGCACTGCAGCCTGGGTGACAGAGTGTGACCCTGTCTCAGAAAAAAAAGACAAGGTCTCACTCTGTCACTCAGGCTGGAATGCAGTGGTGTGATAATGGCTCACTACCATCTCGAACTACTCAGCTCAAAAGATCCTGCCACCCAAGCCTCCCAAGTAGCTCGGACTACAGGCACATGTCACCACAGCTGACTAATTTTTTTTTCTTTTTAGAGATGAGGTCTTGCTATGTTGCTCTGGCTGTTTTGGAACTCCTGGCCTCAAGCAGTCCTCCTGCCTCTGCCTCCCAAAGTCCTAGAATTATAGGCATGAGCTACCATGCCTTGCCAAGAGAAATTAAATCAAAAGAAAAATAAAATACCAATATCTTACATATGTACACAAAACAAAAAGCTTCTCTGGTACATAAAAAAAGTTATAACTAAAGTAATAGACCAACTGGAATGATTCAATAGAAAGTTCATAGGAGGCAGTCGTGTGCTATAAAATGGTTTAACAATCAACTCTTGTAAGGAAGGTGGAAATCCCTGATTTGTAGAGTCTGCCAATTTCTTCAGTGTAAATACCCCCAATATGGCTGATCCCAAGTTACCAACATGATACCACTGAATGTGGAGCTGGGAAAAGAAATGTTAAGTTGGACTTTATTAAAATATGAAACTCCTGCTTTGTGAACAATACAAAAGTCACAGACTAAGAGAAATGCTTCCAAAACACATATCTGATAAAGGACTTGTGTCCAAAATATACAGTGAACTCCTAAAACTCAAAAATAAGAAAATGAATAACTCAATTAAAAAATGAGCAAAAGATCTGAACAGACACTTCACCAAAGAAGACATACAGATGACAGTTAAGCATATGAAAACACATTCAATATCATATGTCATTAGAAATTGCAAATCAAAATAACTATGACATACCTACGAGGATGGCTAAAATCCAAAACGTTAACACCACAAATGCTGCCAAGGATGTGGAACAGGGACTCTCATTCAATGCCAGTGGAAATTCAAAATGGCACGGCCACTTTGGAAGACAGTTTGACAGTTTCTTTTGTGCATCTGTGCAGTGGCTATTCACAAGTGTGATTATAGCATACTCCAGTCTCAAACTCCTCGGCCCAAGAAATCCCTCCTGCCTCAGCCTCCTGAGTAGCTGGGACTACAGGTACATGCCACCACACCCTGCTCCAATTTGACAGTTTCTTACAAAGCTAAATATAGTGTTACCATTCAATCCAGCAATTGTACTCCTAAGTATTTACCCAACAGAGCTGAAAACTTATGGTCACTCAAAAACCTGCACACAAATGTTTACAGCAGCCTTATTCATCATTTTCCCAAAATGGATGCAACCAAAAGAGTTTTCAATAGATGAATGTATAAACAAACTCTGATACAGCCATACAATGGGATGCTATTTAGCAATAGTATAAGAAATAAGCTATCAAAAAGAAATAAGCTATCAAATCACAAAAAGACATGGAGGAACATAAAGGCATAAATTAATTCAATCTGAAAAGGATATATACTGTATAACTCCAGCTATATGACATTCTGGAATAATTAAAACTATGGAGACAGTAGAAAGATCAGTGGTTGCCAGGGGTTTGGGAGGACAGAGGGATGAACAGGCAGAGCACAGAGAATTTTCAGGGCAGTGAAACTGTTCTGTAGGATATGGTGATGGTGGATACATGACATTATGCATTTGTCAAAACCCATAGAACTGCACATCACAAAGGTGAACCTTAATGTATACTATGGGCTTTAATAATAATATATCAATATTGAGTCAATTTTAACAAGTGTGCCACACTAATTCATGATGTTAATAAGAGGAAAATCTGTATATGTTGGGATAAGGGGGCGGTATATGGGAACTCTATACAATTCTTATGTAAATCTAAAGCTGTTCTAAAAAGAACCATCTACTAATTTAAAAAGAATTCCTATTGTCATAAATGTCCTGAAGTTATTGCGTGCATTCTCATTACAATGCAAGCATGGTAAATACTTTATTTTCTTCCTTTGTTTCAGGTCTATTTTGTGTTTGACATGTTTTGGTGCTCTCAGGCAGTACATCTCAAATTTTCCTGTGTCTACAAGTCAACTGGGGGATCTTGCTAAGATACAGGTTGTGATCTACCAGGTCTGGGGGAAAGCCTGAGATTTTTACATTTTTAACAAGCTCCCTGGTGATTCCCATGGAGCTGGTACATGGTCCACACTTGGAATAGCAGGACCTACAAGCAGACAAACAAGACTGGAGACCCAGACTCCACCCTTTGTACTCTGTTTTCTTTCTTTTTCTTTTATTGTAGATACAGGGTCTTACTATGTTGGCCAGGCTGGCCTCGAACTCCTGGCCTCAAACAATCCTCCCACCTTGGCCTCCCAAAGTGCTGGGATTACAGGTGTGAGTTACCATGCCTGACCTTGTATTCTGTTTCCTTTTTTTTTTTTTTCCTTTTTTGAGATGGAGTCTCGCTCTGTCACCCAGGCTAAAGTACAGTGGCATGATCTCAGCTCACTGCAACCTCCGCCTCCCAGGTTCAAGCGATCCTGCCACCTCAGCCTCCCATGTAGCTGGGACTACAGGTATGCACCACCATGCCCAGCTAATTTTTTGTATTTTTAGTAGAGACAGGATTTCACCATGTTGGTCAGGCTGGTCTTGAACTCCTGACCTCAAATCATCTGCCTGCCTCAGCCTCCCAAAGTGCTGGGATTATAGGCATGAGCCACCACACCCGGTCTGTATTCTGTTTTCTAAATAAGGAAGAAGAACTATCTAATTTTATGACTATGCTAACCAGTAGTTATATTTTTTTAAAAAATCTTGAAAGGTCTGTTTCCACTGATGTTTCATCCTGAGTCATATCCATTTTCTATTTCCAAAGGCATTGGGATTCCCTGCTCCAACTAAATGAGTCAGTTGAGATCAGAAGTTCATATGTCCAAGTGAAACTCAGCGAAAGGTCCATAATGCTCCCTGGCAGTCAAAGGGCCACTAAGTGTTGGTATTTGCATAAGTCAAGTGCATTTTGCATTCTAGAGGCGATCAAGGTCACTGCCAGAGTTGCCCCAACAATGGCTACTTTGTGGTCAGTAAGAACATGCTGCTTACTTGCTTACTTGAAGGAGAGTCTTAAGCAGGTGGCAAACATGATGAGAGAAGGTGGTTGCACTGGACAGATTTCGTGTTCCCTGATAGCTAGGGCACCGGGCAAAGCCTCACAGAGGATTGGAGCCCCATTTCTGCCATGAACTTGCTGAGCCTGTTTCTCCATCAATACATTGGGATGATTGAGCTCCATCTGTGTTAAGAGCTCCTCCAACTCTGTGTAATTATTTTTATTTTAAACATATTCATTCCAAATCAGGGCCTTGCTCTTCATTTCCCAGGCAAGGGTTTCAAGTTTCCAACTGCAGCCTCTGCACCTACCATGCTCATCCTGCCTTTGGTCCATAGAACAGTGGTCAGATGAGGTGTCTGTCCTTCCAGCTGCTCGACTTCACATCTTAAAGCCAAGGAAGAGTCTAGTTCTGGAGGGGCAGCCTCTCCTGGGCAGGTCAGAAACAACTCCAGGATGTGAGCAAAGATAGAACCTGCTCTTCCCCATCCCTCTCCCCACAGTTTCCACTGACCCCAGCTGGCCTCAGAGACATTTGACTGGAGAAGATCCTGGCTCCATCCTGAGGCCAAAGGAGAATTTACTGCAGTTTGATAGACTCAGAAAGTCGACTGAAAAAATGATGGAATGGGCAGCCATCACTAACCAGGGCACCTATTTGTTGTGAGAAAATCAAACTCTTTTGGTTTTTTTCATTTTCATCTTCATTTTTATTTTTTTAGGGAGGTGGTCTCACTCTGTTGCCTGGGCTAGAGTACAGTGGCGTGATCATAGCTCACTGCAGCCTTGAACTCCCGGGCTCCCATCCTCCCACCTCACCCTCCAGAGTAGCTAGAACTACAGGCACATGGCACTATGCCTGGCTTCAATGTAAACCAAACACAGACTCTCTGAGGGACTATGAGTAGGTGCTTCCCCACGTCCATGGATCTTCTCAGTAGTAAAGCCTGGGCTCTAGAAACTTGGGGCCACAGATCTCTCAGAGATCTGTCCAGTGGTGAGTTGACTGGGGCCCAGACAAGCAGCTTGTCCATCATCTCAGAGTCTCTCGAAGGCCAGGCCTAGAACTCATCTGGCTGCCTTACTACCTGGTGTCTGGAATGGGCCCCCTAGGCACACAGATGTACCATTTATTCATCCAGTCCATCACCCAACACACATTGACAGCGCCCCTTCCATTCCACAGGCCCTGTGCTACATGGTAGGGGAAAAAGAAGGACAGCAGTGTGCCACCTCCCCTGTCCCCTCTGAATTTTGGTGGTTTGTTTGTTTGTTTGTTTTAATACTTAACGAGGTTTCCCTATGTTGCCCAGGCTGGTCTGAAACTCCTGAGCTCAACTGATCCTCCCACTTTGGCCTCCCAAAGTGCTAGGATTACAGGCATGAGCTGCCACACCCAGCCTGCTCTGAGTTTTCAGCTCAGGAGAGGACAGAAGTGGGGACTTGCTTTGATTCCCCTGAAGCCACCAGAGTTTTCCTCTCAGAGGATGTCCCTGCTCATCTTCTGTGTCTGGGAACTCCGCATTGGTTTTAAACTGAAGTTTCTTGCATCTTTCTGGCGTGGGATGTGGAGAGACAGGAGTATGAGATGCTGGGAGTTTCCTGTCTGATGGGAAAGACCATTTCGTATTCTCCAGGGGTTCTCAGTCTGAAGGAAGAGACAGCCTCTGTATTAGGCCATTCTTGCACTGCTATAAGGAAATACCTAAGACTGGGTAGTTTATAAAGAAAAGAGGTTTAATGGCCTCATGGTTCTGCAGGCTTTACAGAAAGCATGATGCCAGCGTATGCTCGGCTTCTAGGGAGGCCTCAGGAAGCTTAGTCATAGTGGAAGGTGGAGAGGGAGCAGGCACATCACATGGAGAAAAGAGGAACAAGCAAGAGATCTCAGAGTGAGAGGTCACTCATCACCAAAGGGATGGCCCAAGCCATTCTTGAGGGATCTGCCTCCATGATCCGAACACCTCCCACCAGGCTCCACCTCCAATATTGGGAATTACATTTCAACATGAGATCTGGGTGGGGACAAACATCCGAACTGTGTTAGCCTCTATCCTTAGAGACCCCCAGGCTTTGAGAAGCCCCTTGTTTGGGGGACAGATAAGATACACAAATACAAATATGCAAAGATGTACAACAGTTTATAAAAAGGCAGAGGGCTGGATTATTGCTGAAGGAAGGATAGGAGGTGGGTTACCCACAGGGGAAGGCCTTTGGAGTAAGATATATGGAAAGAGGGATTCTTTTAGGCCCTGTTTATTTCAAGCACAAAGGAGAAATCTGCTTTCATAATAGTGCTTAGATTTTTTTTTTTTTTTTTTTTTTTTGGAGACAGGGTCTTACTCTGTTGCCCAGGCTGGAGTGCAGTGGTGCAATCACGGCTCACTGCAGCTTCAACCTCCTAGGCTCAAGCAATCCTCCCACCTCAGCCTCCTGAGTAGTTGGGACTACAGATGTGTGCCATCATATCCAGCTTATTTTTAATTTTGTTTCTAAAGATGCGGTCTCCCTAGGTTGCCCAAGCTGATCTCGAACTCCTGAGCTCAAGTGATCCTCCTGCCTCAGCCTCCCAAAGCGCTGGGATTAGAGGTGTGAGCCACCATGCCTGGTATGTGCTGAGAGATTTATAATATGAGTGGGGCAGTCAGGCCAGGGTGGTGTGGATGTGAGATGGCTATTCTGGGGCAACAATTCTTAAAGTAGAAAACAGCATGAAGTATGCTCTCTGGAAAAGATGAAGAGGTAGATTCATTTGTATCCCTGGGTCAGATCCCACAGAGAGGTGAGAGCAATGGAGAGATGAGGCCAATCTGGGAGGAGGTCCGGAATCACCAGGCTGCCTGGTCCATGAAGGGCCATCCAGTCCAGTTTCCTGCTGCAACAAAAGACTTGCTCTAGGCCGGGTGCGATGGCTCATGCCTGTAATCCCGGCACTTTGGGAGGCCAAGGCAGGTGGATCACCTGAGGTCGGGAGTTTGAGACCAGCCTGACCAACATGGAAAAATCCCATCTCTACCAAAAATACAAAATTAGCTGGGCATGGTGGCTCATGCCTGTAATCCCAGCTACTCAGGGGTCTGAGGCAGGAGAATCGCTTGAAACTGGGAGGCAGAGGTGCGCCATTGCACTCCAGCCTGGGCAACAAGACCAAAACTCCATCTCAAAAAAAAAAAAAGAAAAGAAAGAAAGACTTGCTCTATGTAGCCCTAAGTGGGCTGTTGGCCTCCTCCTAAAAGTCATTCTAACACTAGCCACTTGTTTCCTTTGAGTCTTAAAACCACCTGCTAAAAGGAGGTGCTCTTTACATCTAGCCTAAACTGACCACTGCAATCTAATGTCTTTCTGTTGAAAACACTGAACTGGCTGGGCATGGTGGCTCACGTCTGTAATACCAGCACTTTGAGAGGCCGAGGTAGGCAGATCACCTGAGGTCAGGAGTTTCAGACCAGCCTGATCAACATGATGAAACCCCATCTCTACTAAAAATACAAAAATAGCCTAGCGTGGTGGCGCATGCCTATAATCCCAGCTACTTGGGAGGCTGAGGCAGGAGAATCGCTTGAATCTGGGAGGCAGAGGTTGCAGTGAGCCAAGATTGCACCACTGCACTCCAGCCTGGGTGACAGAGTGAGACTCTGTCTCAAAAAAAAAAAAAAAAAAAAAAAAGAAGAAAAAAGAAAGTCAGTAAATAGTGAACTGATTGAAGATAAGGGCTGGTTAACAGTGTTCTACCTCCAAAAGCATGGCTTTACAGTGCCGTAGGTTGAGCCAAGAAGGTCAGTGGCCTATAGCAATCTGGCCCCTGCTGACCTCCAACCTATGTTTCACCCTTTGTGCTCCACTGGGCTGGGCTTTTCTCACTTCCTCAACATCACACTTCCTCCTTGTGTGCAGCCCTAGTGGTTACAGTATTCTCCAGAATCCTTGGGGGTGCTGGAAAAGCAGGTCCTAGACTGAGTTTCCAGAAAAAGACTCCCAGAGTCACATCCCAGAACTGATCTGTTAAGGGAACGGCTGCTTCTACCACAACAAGGAGCTGCTCATTAAATCATGAAGCTGTTGTTCCCACTTCTATCCCCAGAGTCACACCTCTGCTATGACAACCTATACCAGCAAATCCATGCTTTACGTCCTGCCTCTTTTCCCACTCACTCAATTCTGATTTCAATTCCCAAGCAAATATATCTGATAGGCAGAATCTTAAAATGGATGAAAGCTTACCTGCAAGGAAGCCTTAGCCATCATTTTTGCCTTTCCAGCCTCTGCAGAGTAGAAAGGTACACTAGAAGGAGATGAAATAGATGTTGAGCAAGCCAGTTCATAGATAACCTCCACAGTTAATAATCCTTTCATTTATCTGACTGATGCATAACCCTCTTCCCATATTTGTACTTCACTTCCAACTAAGTGGTCCTCCTTTGAGCCTATTGTTCAGTAGCATGAAGACCCTAAAATGGCCATATGGTCTTTCTCTCTCTCTCTTTTTTTTTTTAGACAGGACCTCACTCTGTCACCCAGGCTGGAGTGAGGCAATCAGGGCTCACTGCAGCCATGATGTCCTAGGCTCAAGCTATCCTCCCACTTGAGCTTCCCATGTAGCTGGCACTACAGGCATGTGCCACCACACCCAGCTAATATTTTTTAGTAGAGAATAGGTCTTGCTATGTTGACAAGGCTTGTGTTGAACTTCTGAGCTCAAGCGATCCTCCTGCCTTGGTCTCTCAAAGTGCTGGGATTATAGGCATGAGCCACCACACTCGGTCATGTGAGCCCTTTTTTTTTTTTTTTTTTTTGAGACAGTCTCACTCTATCACCCAGTCTGGGTGATTCTCTCACCTCAGCCTCCTGAGTAGCTGGGATTACAGGTGCACACCACCATGCCTGGCTAATTTTTGTCTTTCTGGCAGAGATGGAGTTTCGCCATGTTGGCCAGGTTGGTCTTGAACTCCTGACTTCAAGTGATCCTCCCATCTCGGCCTCCCAAAGTGCTGGGATTACAGGCATGAGCCACTGCACCTGGCCCATGTGATCATCTTTAACATTCAGTTTAGTTGAACCAATTTTGCACACCCTAATAAAGGCATTCCTCACTTGGCTACTAATATCTTCAGCCTCAAGACTGGGCTGCAGAGGAAGCTGTTGGCCCTGACACAATCAATAAACCAGCTTGTCAAATCGAGAAGCTGCTGCTGGAGCTGCAGCCCCAGAATTTAACACCCCTCCTACACACTGTACTGGCAAAACCACTTCCTGCAGGCTTGACTCACTCAGCCATTAAATCAGTTCTAAATTCAAGGCTCATATGATTGTATCTTATTTACAAATCCTGAATCTCATTCAGAAACCTAGCTGCAAAAGAGACCAGGCATGTTGTCTACAAGTTCACTTTAAATATAAAGACATATATAGATTAAAAGTAAAGGGAAGGAGAAAGATATACCCTACTAATACTAATCAAAAGAAAGCTGGAGTAGCTATGTTAATTTCTGCAAAGCAGATTTCAGAGTAAGGAAAATTATCCGGAATAAAGAGGGGCATTTACATAATGATGAAGAGGTCGATTTTTCAAGAAGACATAACAGTCCTTAATGTGTATGCCCCTCACAACGGAGTGTCAAAATACGTGAGGCAAAAACTGAGAGGACTGCAGGAGAAATAGACAAAGCCACTATTATAGTTGGAGACATAACCACCCTCTCTCAGTAATGAACAGAGCCAGCAAGCAGAAAGTCAGTAAGGACATAGTTGAACTGAACAGCACTTCTAACAGCTGGATCTAAATGACATTTATAGAATACTTCTCCCCAACAACAGTAGAATACACATTCTTCTCAAGTTCATGTGGAACACTCACCAAGATAGACCACATTCCATGCCATAAAACATACCTTAACAAGTGTAAAAGAATAGAAATCATACAATGCATGCTTTTAGACCACAATGGAATTAAACTAGAAATCAGTAACATAAGATAGCTAGAAAATCTCAGAATAATTGGAGATTAAACAACACACTTCTAAATAACACGTGGGTCAAAAAAAAAATCTCAAGAGGAATTTAAAAATATTTTGAACTAAATTAAAATGAAAATATAACACCAAAATTTGTAAGATGCAGTAGGGTGCGGTGGCTCATGCCTGTAATCCCAGCACTTTGAGAGGTCAAGGCAGGTGAATCACCTGAGGTCAGGAGTTTGAGACCAGCCTGGCCAACATGGTGAAACCCCATCTCTACTAAAAATACAAAAATTAGCTGGGTGTGGTGGCACATGCCTGTAGTCCCAGCTACTTGGGAGGCTGAGGCAGGAGAATCGCTTGAACCCAGGAGGTGGACGTTGCAGTGAGCCAAGATTGTGCCACTGCACTCCAGCCTGGGTGACAGAGCGAGACTCTTTAAATATAAAGACATATATAGATTAAAAGTAAAGGGAAGGAGAAATATATACCATACTAATACTAATCAAAAGAAAGCTGGAGTAGCTATGTTAATTTCTGCAAAGCAGAAATTACCCCCCAAAAAATTTATGGGATGCAGTGACAACAGTGTTTAAAGGAAAATGTATAGCATTGAACACACACATTAGAAAAAAAAAAAGACCTAAAACCAATAATCTAAGCTTCTACTTTATGAAATAAAAAAAGGAGAGCAAATTAAGTCCAAAGTAAGTAGAAGAAAAGAAATAACAAAAATTAGAGTAGAAATCAATGAAATTGAAAATAGGACATCAATAGAGAAAAGCAATGACACCAAAAGTTGATTCTTTGAAAATATCAGCAAAATTATAAATCTCTAGCCAGGCAACTAAGAAAAAAGAGAGAATACACAAAAAACTAGTATTATAAATAAATGAGGGGCCATCACCACTGATTCCATGGACATTAAAGGAATAAAAGTAATATTATAAACAACTCCATGCTCAGAAATTTGATAGCCTAGATGAAATGGACCAATTCCTTGAAAGATCCAATTAGCCAAAATTCACATAAGAAGAAATAGATCATTTGAATAGACCAGCATCTATTAAATAAATTGAATCAATAATTAATAACCTTCTAAAATAGAAACTATTAGGCCCAGATAGTTTCACTGGTAAATTCCACCAATATTTAAGGAAAAAATCATATTAATTCTGTACAATCTCTTCCAGAAGGTAGAAGCAGAATGAATACTCCCTAACTCATTCTAGGAGGCCAGTATTATTCTAACACCAAAACTAGACAAAGATATTATAAGAAAGGAAAATTACACACCACCATATCTTAAAAACATAAATGCAAAAGTCCTCAACAAAATATTAGCAAACTGAATCCAATAATGCCCAAAAAGAATTACACACCACAACCAAGTCAGATTTATTCCACACATACAAGGCTGATCCAACATTTTAAAATCAATTAATGTATTCTGTCACATCGACAGCCTAAAGAAGAAAAACAACACAATCGTAGCAATAGATACAGAAAAGGCATTTTACAAAGTCCAGCATTTATTCATGATTTAAAACTCTCAGCAAACTAGGAATAAAAAGGAACTTTCATTGAGTTCCAAAGACTGAGCCTAGGATAGGGGGGCAAGATGGCCAACTAGATGCAGCCAGGAGGAACACCTGCCCTTGAGGGAGTGGGACATTGGGAAGACTGCCACACTCTGAGTGGATCTTTAGAAGGAAGGCATTGGGAGCTACCGCAGTGGGGCAGGATGCTGATGATGCAAGAGGATGTGTATTTTGGGTGGAAGGGGTATGTGGGAAACATTTGTACTTTCAGCTCAATTTTGCTTTGAACCTCGCAGCTCTAAAAAGTAAAATCTTTTAAAAGAAGGGGAAAGAGGGAAAGGGAAATGCAGTGTTTAGCCTTTTAGCCTCTGGAATTTAGGGACAGATACCAGGAGGCTGGAATAAATGTTGAGTGAGCCAAGATGCAGAAAATACTTACCCAGATAACTCCTAAACTCCCTGCAGACCTCAGATAAAATGTCATCTTCCTAGAGAACCTTCTCTGATCCCCAAACTAGTTGAGGACCTTCTGTTCAACATGCTGTTGCAGCACTTAGTTCTCCACTGCACTTACTACACGTATAGGTCAGGGTTCAGTCAGGGAAGCAGAAACATTATGAAGATTAAAGAAGGAGAGATTTATTATGGGAAATAGACCTCCTGCAACTTTAAGAGGAGCTAGGGAAGCAAAAATCTAAAAGACAGAGTGAGACAACCAAAGAAGGGTCACTGCTAGTCCCAAAGCACTGGGTCGGTGGACAAGTTGGATCTACAGGGAAATCTGAGAAACTGTCTCCAATTCCCAGAGTAAGAGGCAAATGGGAGCTTCTGGAGAGGTCTACTAGAAGGGGTTATCCCAGTGCAGCTACCAGCTCTATGGTCCTGCAGCCAAACATCAGGTGGTGGGCCAGAGCTGTAGTTGGTCATCAAGACCAGTGGGCAGTAAGAAAAGCTGGACACAAAGCAGAGGAGAATGAGAACAATTGAAACCACTCCAGAAACCCAAGCACCAGTCTGTCCAGAATTCTGGCTACAAGGACTTGCAGAGAATAAAGGTCACTGATTTATTTCCGCCCCTAAAAATCTTGGGCAAATTTACCTGTTGGCCCACTCTAATCTAGAACCATACGGGAAAGAGAATTCTGGGAGACATAGTTCCCAGATTAACTGAATGGATCATGGAACAATCCAGCACACAATATTCTGTGACTGTGTGGGGGTTTCATCATCTGGCATACGTTTCTCTGTGTTGCCAGATTGAAATGCCATCAGGAAAGGGACTGTTTTTGTTTTGCTCACAGTTGCATTCCCACATAGTACCTAGATTATTGAGTAGGTCCTCAATAAATATTTGTTGGAGGAACAGTGATTTTTTTATTAGGATTTCAGCAATGACTTGGAAAAATTATTTTTTCATTATAAGAGGAATGCCTGCAAAATGGAAAGTCTAATAAAACATTCTGTTGGGGAGGGCATAGTGGAAAAGGCAGTCTCATACATTACTAGTGAGAATGTGAGCTAGTTCAACTATTCTGTAGGGGAATTTGGTATCACCTAACAAAACTACGTATGCACTTACCTTTTGAGCCAGTAATCCCACTTCTAGGAATCTGTCCAGAAGATATAACTGCAATATTATGAAAATACATATGTACAGGTCACCGACTAAAGCAATATGTGTAATTGTGAAACAGCAGAAAAACCCTAAATGTCTATCCTGGGAGAATGGTTGGAAAAATTATAGTACATCCCAACAATGGAGGACTGTAAAAATGAAAGAGGGGCTTAGACCCCACTGAGACAGCCACCAGAAAAGACCTCTCCAAGTTGGGAGGAAAACATTAAACATATTTTGAAAAAAAAAAGAAAAATGATCTCCATCTCTTTATATGAAATGATTTCCCACATCTACTGCTAGGTGAAAATAGCAAAGTACAAAATGATCTATGGTCTCGTATCCATCATATAAGAAAGAAGAGGCTAAAAGAAAATATATGTGTATCTACACATTTATGCAAAAGAATTTCAGGAAGAACCAACCAAAAATGAATGCAGCTACCATGACAGACACACCCTAGAGGGACCTCCAGTGAGTTCACCTTTGAATAATCCTTCCTCCTTTAGTGCAGGAAGAACCTCTGAATTGCTTCTAACTAATGGAATATAGCAAAGGATGTGGGGTAATCAGTCACTTGATTATATTACATTATAGAAGACTCTGCCTTAGCGGATTGAATTGAGAAATTCTCCTGGTGGCCTTGAAGAAGGTAACTGTCATGTTGTAACTGCCTATGGAGAGGACCTCTAGGAGTTGAGGCCATGGAGGAGCATGGAGGAGGACCAAGTGGAGGGTTATGATCTTCACATAGGAACATGGTCCAAACAGCATCTTGTTTGCAGTCTTGTGAGATAACAAATCTAAGTGGTTCTAAGCTGCTTGTTTTGTTTTAAATTTTAAGTTTCTGAAAACTTATTACACAGCAATAGATAACTAATACTGTAAATTAGTTTGTGTAGTATGGTACTATAAAACTGGAAACACATCCTTATTCATTTGTCAAAATCCATGGAATATACAACACAAAGAGTCAACCCTAATTAAACTGTGAACTTTGTTTGATAATATGTCAACATTGCTGCATTAATGGTAACAGAGGTACTGCACAGAGGTGCCATTAACAAAAGATAACTAAATCTGCAGGAGGAGAAGGGAATTAGCTGGAAAGAAGAAGAAAATGGACAGAGAATAGTAGAGACAAGTGAGAAACAACACTCTTCTGAGTATTCCTTTTAGTATGACTTTCATCTTTTTTCACAAGGGAAAGTTTTGCATATCACCCCCCCCCCCGCAAAGTAATACATAATTAAAATCAACTAGGATGTGAATAGAACCCAAAATAGAATACAATCACAAAGAAATATAACTATATGAAAAATAAATTTCATAATCACACTTAAGGGAGGCAGGAAAACAACTAAAAGACTGACCTAAATAACTTCAGAAAACAGTACTTTTATGGTATACCATAAGGCTAAAGATAAAAAGAAATGTACACAAACACTACCTGCTAGTTAGTAAATTTGTTTCTCACAGAGGTATGGATTATCAGTTTTGAAACTTCTTTATTTGTACTACAATTGAACAAATAAGTAAAAATGTTGTAAATTTAAAAATTCCTGTCAGATAAAAGAGTTATAAATTGAAAAAGAGAAGGCTTGAGAATTGTGAAACCTGAATATCTGAGACAGGTCTCAGTTAATTTAGAAAGTTTATTTTGCCAAGATTGATGACACACATCCACGACACAGCCTCAGGAGGCCCTGATGACATCAGGCTAAGGTGGTCAGAGCACAGTTTGGTTTTATACATTTTAGGGAGACATAAGACATCAATCAACATAGGTAAGATGAACATTGGTTTGGTCCAGAAGGGTGGGACTACCCAAAGAAAAGGCAGGACAATTTGAAGTGGGGAGGGGGCTTCCAGGTCATAGGTAGATAACAGACAGATGGTGGCATTCTTTTGAGTTTCGCATTAGCCTCTCTAAAGGAGGCAATCAGATATGCATTTATCTTAGTGGGCAGGGGGTGACTTTGAATAGAATGGGAGGCAAATTTGCCCTGAGCAGTTCCAAGCTTGACTTTTCCCTTTAGCTTAGTGATTTGGGGGCCACAAGATTTACTTTCCTTTCACATTTCCCCCTTTTCTTTTTAAAAATAGTTTGGAGAAAGAATTTTAGAAGAAAATGAGTCTCTAGTCTCAGGTTTTGTCTGATTACTCATGGATTCCTGGATGAGTAGGTCCGAAGTTATTACAAAAGTTCATTTTTTGCAGGTTGTGAAGTCTCATGTCCTCTGAAGAGAAAATACGGGGAGGAAGGGAGAAAAACAACAACAAATGAAAGAACAATCCTGGAAAATCAAGATAGGCCACATTACTCTGAGGTCCATGCATCAGGTATGAAAGTGGCTTATGTATGTAAATAGGTTGCTGTTATTTTCTTCTGAAGTTTGAATTGTCCATCTTCAGTTCACAGAGCTTTACAAAAGCACAGCTTAGTTTTCAGTGACTCCAAATTAGGAAAAATGGAGGAATAAAGAAGGAAAAAAATGGAAAACATTATTTGAAAGACTTGTAGCCAAGAAAAATTATAATTCAATCCAAGGTAAAAACAGGTGTACTATATTTTTTGAAACATAATTTTTCATTCTCCAGTTTCCCATTTTTTTTTTTTTTTTTTTTTTGAGATGGAGTCTCGCTCTGTCGCCCAGGCTGGAGTGCAGTGGCGCGATCTCGGCAGTTTCCCATTTTTAATAAAGAAAAATCATGGTAGGACTGATTTGCTTTATTATACTTGGACTGATTATTTGTACACAGTGCAGCAGCAAGAATAATTATTTTTTACATAGGCTTTTAAATTGGCTTTGATGGAACTTTGTTCCATAGAAGGAATCTCAGATAAAACTTTGTTAAAGCCAAGCCCAGCCATAGATTTTTACCATCAAATACTTGAATTGGGTGAATTCCTCTCCCCTTGAGGTTCCAAGATAAACTTGGGGCTCCTGGGCCTGTCAGAAACTGTCATTCTTTACTTACCTCAGGTCAGGAACCCTGTACAGGGACTGTATAGACTAGGTATGAGGCCAGTTTTCCCAAGGGGCTTTTATTGGCTCCATAACTCAAGTTTGATTCCTTAAAGGAAAGCATGCCATTCCAGTCAAAGCCTTGGCAAAATAACCAGTTTCTCCAATTGTGTCCTATTATAAATGAAAACAGATTCTTACTGCACTTATGCAATTAACTGTATTGCCATAAGTTATGAATACCCACAAATAGTTTCCAAATTCTGGAGAAATCAGGTGGAGATAAACAAATATGTTCTAAATTTTGTTCCATAGGAGTATACTAAATTGTTAAAAGCTGTTAATAGCTCAAAAGAAAATTGTCCTTGACTCTGAAAAAACAAAGGATCAGCAACATTTTAAGCAAAAAGTCAAAAAGATTACTTCAGTCTTCTATTAGTTCAGTCTGTGTAGTTAATTCCTGTTCTGCTTCATATTCATGAACATTTCAGTTCTCCATGAGTCATGACAGTTTTTCTTCTATTCTGATGTCACAATATCCAAAGTTATCAGAAACTTGTATTTAAGAGCACCTGTTAGAGTTTCATAACTGATTATAATAGCATCTTCTAAAGAGGACCTAAACAAGACAATTGTCTGTGGATGACAAAAAGTTTCAGGGCAGCCATAGTCAAAGACACAATTGACAAGGGAATTTATTACCTCTGTGGCACACAATAATTTAACATAACTATTTTAAATGATCATAACTAATTAACATAACATAATTACTATAGATAATATACACTAAGTCAATCAGAATTATAGAAGTTTCCCATGATTTCGGAACACATACCAATAACATATTTATATAAACATAACCCAAAGAAAACCAAACACAATTTCATATTTAACAATATTTCCTGTATAATTTTTATACAAATAAGCAAAATTATGTCATTTTTGGACTTCAGGGAATCTAATATCTTAAAGAATTAATTAGGTCAGAAAAAGACAGAATTTATAATTTGATTTTGGAAAGTTTGTAAAATATCAAAGCTTTAAAACACTTGATATCAGAAGTCATTGTAAAATAAGTCATTCATTTAACCAAAGTGATAACTCAAGTATTTCCCAAAAAAAAGTCAAAAACCTTTATTATTTGAGAAAGGAGACTTCATTTTCCAAACTATAAACCCTAATAAAACAGCATGAAGCCAATTAAATTTGTTTTTCAAAATTTTACAATCTATAAAGTTTTAATCTTGACCATAAAATTTCCATAAGCCTTTTATAACCTTTATTAAAAAGTTGGTTAATGCTTCAAGAAGATCTTGTTAGTCTGACACAGGGTCCCATATGCTGGTCTTGCATCAGTGTGCCTTTGACATTAATGATTAACTTATAGAGAAACTGAACTTATTTTATCTCTCAAAATTGGCCCTTACAATCTCACATGCCCACCTCTTCCATGATAGTCTCTGGGCCTTGAGGAGTTGATTAGCTTTAATTTCTAGCCCTGTGTCTAAGAATGCAGTTTATTTTGATTGGCATCTTCTACTGGGCCTGAAGATGAGGCTTTAATTACTGACAGTGTTTAAGATCTAGCAGGACTTGGTGTCCTTTTTAGACCCAGGAGTCAAAGCCCTGTAACTCAATGTCACAAATACTTAAAAGCACATACAGAAAGATACATGAATATAATAACCTTAATTTTAAAAAATTTTATCTGCCTTTTCCTAAGCAAACCAAAACTTAATAATAATACATAGGAATTGTTTCAATAAACCTTAAAATCTATTAGGCCAGTTACCAAAAGGCAAAAGAAAAGACCTTCTGCACTTCACAGGATATTATGTTGGAAGAAAACATTTCGTTTAGACCTTTAAGAAAACATTGTTAGCATTAGGCCACAACAAATAAAACTTGAGGAAAAAACTTATGTGAGCTGAAAATAAGTTGAAGGAGAGCGTTACTATTTCACACCCTTTAAAAGGAGAGAGAAAACCAAAAATGGTGAGATGTAATAAAAGTTGAACTTTGGGTTTGTATTCATCTGTTCTCATGCTGGCAATAAAGACATACCTGAGACTGGGTAATTTATAAAGGAAAGAGGTTTAATGGACTCACAGTTCCATATGGCTGGGGAGGCCTCACAATCATGGCAGAAGACCAAGGAAGAGCAAAGGGACATGGCAGCAGGCAAGAGCACATAACATGTGCAGGGGAACTCCCCTTTATAAAACCATCAGGTTTTGTGAGTCTTATTCACTATCATGAGAACAGCAAGGGAAAAACCCACCCTCATGATTCAATAACCTCCCACTGTGTCCTTCCCATGATATGTGGGGATCACTACAATTCAAGGTGAGATTTGGGTGGGGACACAGAGCCAAATCATATCAGGGTTAAAAAAAATTAAAAGCTCTTATAATTTATTAAGAATAAATCAATTCCTTAAGAAAATTTCATTGTTCTAACCAATTATTTAGTGTATGAGTTTTTTACATCAAGCTCAGTCTCTAGAAAGATTATAATGTTCCTTTAATTATAGACAACTTGATCGTGTAAAAGCTTTTTAAAATAAATCCTCTTATTGTGACTTACACAGACCATTCATGATATGCCTGGACTTTCTGGTTTGTCCTGAACATCCCTCTTTCTTAAATAACCAGTCATTTTATTCTAGGACTAAATTTACCATACAAGATTCTTTCTCATATAAAATTATGTATCTTTAAGCTTTCTTACCAGAAAAAACCCTCTTTATTTTTATAACTTTCCTTAAACCTCTCTTATTTCCTTGTTCCTTTTACTTTGTTTTATATATAACCTTTAAATAAGCTTTGAATTCGACAAAAATTGTTCAACATTTTTAAAAAGAACACAACTTTTTTAGAAAGAATGTCTTCCTACGAATATATTTTTATTGGAAAATACCCAAATAATGAAATATCTATTACTTAATTTAATATAACTTTAGATTCTAAATTGTGACATTTGTCTACAAGTATTCAGTCCATTACACTTACCTAATTATTTTATTTTAATCATTTGCCTAGATTGTTTATGAAAACTGTCATAGTCATCATTTAAACTTATGGAACCACCACTGCAAAATTATAACAGACCCAGTGAAGAAGATCTGACCTAACTGACTCTATCTTGCTTTTAAACCTCCAAGCTGTTCTTGTTCATACCTGGGCATAGGCCAAACTAACTTTTGGAGGAACTTAGTTTATAGTTTAGCTTTGAAATAAAGATGATAACAGTCCTTTCCCAAAACAAACCTTACTGTCTGTGGACTAGACTGCCTAAAGCCACAAGATTAGAAGTTATGGTAATCTTACTAAATTCAAGATGTAGCTAGTTTCATTAAACAAATATCAATGTCTTATTTATTAGAAATTACACAAGCAAAGATCATTCTGATTGGGGCTTGGTTTAGAGTTTTGTAACCCCTATTCCAAATTTTGATGCCTTATAGTATTTGGTAGGGATATGTATAAAATTTCTTGATTCATAAGCACAAACAAAAATGTATGCTGGAAATTCTTAAGACATTTCTAATATTATTATACTTTACCAACAATTTTAAGGCTATCTTATTTATTAAAGATTTTACTTAAGTTATTAAACTTGAAAAAGCATTTGACTACTCTTTTCTTTTTTCCTGATAAACTATTTGATTCAAGAGCTTTTATTTTCTTAAGCCAATTAATTAGAGCTTTTATATATTTTCAGTAGTGAAACATTGTGTACACAACACATAAATAGATAGATGTGTTAGGCATGCCAATAGAAGTACATCTTATAGAGTCATAAAAACCTCTTTTTTCCCTCTCAGACTTTAAAATTCTTGAAAACCTGTTTCAATAACCTGTATAAATTATTGGTAACCCTAGGCAGTTGTCAGCTAAGTCATCTTAAATTTGCATATCAAAGGAAACAAATCAGGTGAAAATCAAATAGTAAAATTTACATCATTAGGTACAGAGAGAAAAAGTCTAGCATGTTACAGGAAAATTAAAATGGATTGAATTGCCAATTAAACATCAAATTATAGAAATTATAAATGCCTTTTAAATATATACACATACACACACACACACACACACACACACACACACACACACAAAGATCCTATAGCTTTTACTTCAGAACTTTAGCCATGAGATAAACACAAATTCACCAGCTTGCAAACAAAACACCTGTTGGATCCAAACAGTGGTTTTTATCTTAATAGAAAAATAACAGCAGATTTAAAGCAGGCAGAAAATAAAATAGAGAAAAAAAGAGAACTTATGAACTCTATACTTTGCAGGTTGACCTTAGGGCTCTTTTTCTCAATGTAAATGTGCACAAAGACCATACTACTTTCATTTTACATAAACTCTGGCAAGTAGAGATGCCATAAAACCTACAGAGTGCTCACAGAGGAGTCATTCTCTTTGTTTTCTCCTCATTCTTACATCATTTGTTTCCCACTTTTTTTTTTTTTCCTAAAAGGAGGAACTGAGCTGTGGCTTAGGGTTTTTGTGTGGTGGATCAATGTGTGCTTGCTTGTGGGCAGGACTCCACAGTGTGTCACCACTGAGTTGTTTCCACCCTCTTACATGTCTCAGTTTCTCTCTCCAGAGGTCTAGGACTTCAGAGAGGGCTCAAAACGCTGGGCAATCAGCCCTTATATGAGTTTCCTGGATGAGCCTCATTCTTTCAAATTAATTGTTGTTGAGGATTTCCCTGCAGGGCTGCTGCAAATCACAGGGGGTTAAACCCCCAGACACTCCCACAAGGCCCCTGGTTACTCAGGGGCACCTTTTGGCTGGGAGGAGCAAAATGACCTTTCTCTTCAGAGCTGAGAAAACTCAGTCTCTCATTTACCTATGAAAACAACAGTTTCTCACACAAATGCACACAGACAAGCTCATTCAAGATTAATTTTGGGAGAAAAAGTAAATAGAGAAGACCCTTTAGAATGTATCTCCAAACTAGAATTAGGATCCTTAAACAACAACTTCCTAGGAGAAAATAAGAAACAACAGCCAAGACCACTTTCTGTAAACTGTACTCAGCCACCCCTACTTTGTAGCTCCCATTTGCCATAACACATGCCAAGGTCAAATCCTCTCACAGTACAAAGTAATCTCTGGTACCCCCAAAGCCAAAAAGGTCAGCTCATTCAATACAGGAAAACAGAGCTTTAGACCTAAGAAGAATCTGCCCATGACTCTCGAAATTCCACAAAGAAAGAAGAACATCCCAAAAGGGGTGATTGGTGCCTTTGTTCTGAATTATTTAAAGGGGTTCAAGTCATTAAAAGCCTTTTCTAGATTTTTGATGCTGCAGATGGCAAGAGAGGGAAGGAGATATAGGGTGGAAAAAAAGTAAAAGAACTTTTTTTAAGATAGGAAGTAAACACAGAAACCAAGCACATGGTTTTGGGGATTTTTGTTTGTTTGTTTTTTCCTCTTTTGCAGTTGCAAGGAATTTTAACCAAATTAGAGAGGCTTTGTTACCCATAATTTGGAATTCTCACTTGGATTTAACCAAGTCAGGTAGAGTTGGTCAAATCTGATTGGCAAAAGACTGGAAGAAACAACAACAACAAAAAACCAACAATATGATCGCTGAGCACTCTAATGGTAAAAAGAAATTAAGACAAGCTGGTTGTTAGACTTTAGATAAGACAAAACCCAAATTCAGCTACTTACCTAGGGATGGGTCTCAGGCTGAAGACTGTCCTCTACCATCCTAGAAGCAGGAAGAAACTCAAACTCATCCTGCCTGCTGGGAGTGAGCTCAAATTCCATAAAGGAGTTACCTGCCTTCCAACATCATGGAAACAGGAAATCTTGCTTTCCTTGTTGGAAGCAAGTAAAACTCAAAAAAAAAGGATGGGGTGGGTAGAGTTGTACAGCAAAATAAACTTTAGATCTCCACCAAATTTTGGGAGATCAGAGATTCTCTGTGTCACACGCATCCGTGTGAAGAAACCATCAGACAGGCTTTGTGTGAGCAATAAAGCTGTTTATTTCATCTGGGTGCAGCCTGCACATGGACACGCATGACATTTAGTGCTCAGACTTGGATAGGGGAGCCTCCACTGGGAGATCAATCCCCTGTCCTCCTGCTGTTTGCTCCATGAGAAAGATCCACCTATGACCTTGGGTCCTCAGACCAACCAGCCCAAGGAACTTCTCACATTTTAAATCGGGTAAGCAGCCTCTTTTTACTCTCTTCTCCAACCTCTGTCACTATCCCTCAACCTCTTTCTCCTTTCAATTTTGGTGCCACCCTTCAATCTCTCCCTTCTCTTAATTTCAGTTCCTTTCCTTTTCTGGTAGAGACAGAGGAGATATGTTTTATCCATGAACCCAAAACTCCAGTGCCAGTCACGAACTTGGGAAGACAGTCTTCCCTTCATGTTTAATCACTGTGGTGACGCCTGCCTGATTATTCACCCACATTTCAGAGGTGTCTGATCACCGCAGGGATGCTTGCCTTGATCTTTCACCTTGGTAGCAAGCACCACCTCCCCAGGGGGGCAAGTACCACCACCAACCACTTCTCTCCGTGTCTCTACCCTCTCTTTTCTCTGGCTTGCCTCCTTCACTATGGGCAACTTTCCACCCTCCATTCCTCCTGTTTCTCCCTTATCCTGTGTTCTCAAGCACTTAAAACCTCTTCAACTCACACCTGACCTAAAACCTAAATGCCTTATTTTCTTCTGCAATACTGCTTGACCCCAATACAAACTCAACAATGGTTCCAAATAACCAGAAAATGGCACTTTCAATTTCTCCATCCTACAAGATCTAGATAATTCTTGTCGTAAAATGGGCACATGGTCTGAGATGCCTGATATCCAGGCATTCTTTTACACATCAGTCCCACCCTAGTCTCTGTTCCCAATGTGACCCATCCCAAATCCTCCTTTCCCTCCCCTCTGTCCCCTCAGTCCCAACCCCAAACGCTGCTAAGTCTTTTCTATCTTCCTTTTCTACCGACCCATCTGACCTCTCCCCTCCTCCCTAGACTGCTCCACCTCAGATCGCACCCTGCCAGGCTGAATCAGGCTCCAATTCTTCCTCAGCCTCCGCTCCTCCATCCTATAATCCTTCTATCACCTCCCCTCCTCACACCCAGTCTGGCTTACAGTTTCATTCCGTGACTAGCCCTCCCCCACCTGCCCAACAATTTCCTCTTAAAGAGGTGGCTGGAGCTAAAGGCATAGTCAAGGTTAATGCTCCTTTTTCTTTATCCAACCTCTCCCAAATCAGTTAGCATTTAGGCTCTTTTTCATCAAATATAAAAACCCAACCCAGTCCATGGCTTGTTTGGCAACAACCCTTAGACGCTTTACAGCCTTGGACCCAGAGGGACCAGAAGGCTGTCTTATTCTCAACATGCATTTTATTACCTAATCTGCTCCAGACATTAAATACAACTTCAAAAATTAGAATCCAGACCTCAAACCCCCCCCACAACAGGAATTAATCATCCTTGCCTTCAAGGTGTACAATAATAGAGAGGAGGCAGCTAGACAGTAATGCATTTCTGAGTTACAATTACTTGCCTCTGCTGTGAGAAAAAACCCAGCCATACCTCCAGCACACAAGAACTTCAAAATCCCTAAGCCACACATGCCTAAGCTGCAGTGGTCAAGCATTCCTACAGGACCTCCTCCATCAGGATCTTGCTTCAAGGGCCAGAAATCTGGCCACTGGGCCAAGGAATGCTCACAGCCCAGGATTCCTCCCAAGCAGTGTCCCATCTGTGCAGGGACCCACTGGAAATCAGACTGCCCAGCTCACCCAGCAGCCACTCCTAGAGCCCCTAAAGCTCTGGCCCAAAGTTCTCTGACTGACTGACTCCTTCCCAGATCTGCTCAGCTTAGTGGCTGAAGACTTACACTGCCCAATCACCTCGAAAGCCCCCTGGACCATCACGCATGCCTAGCTTCAGGTAACTCTCACAGTGGAGGGTAAGTCCGTCCCCTGCTTAATTGATATGGGGGCTACCCTCTCCACATTACCTTCTTTTCAAGGGGCTGTTTCCCTTGCCCCCATAACTGTTGTGGGTATTGACGGCCAAGCTTCAAAATCCCTTAAAACTCCCCCACTCTTGTGCCAACTTGGACAACATTCTTTTATGCACTCTTTTTTAGTTATCCCTACCTGCCCTGTTCCCTTATTAGGCTGAGACATTTTAACCAAATTATCTGCTTCCCTGACTATTCCTGGACTACAGCCACAGCTCATTGCCACCCTTCTTCCCAACCCAAAGCCTCCTTTGCATCTTCCTCTCATATCCCACTACCTTAACCCACAGATATGGGACACCTCTACTCCCTCCCTGGCAACCAATCACACACCCATTACTAACCCATTAAAACCTAATCACCCTTACCCCACTCAATGCCAATATTCCATCCCACAGCAGGCTTTAAAAGGATTAAATCCTGTTATCAATTGCCTGTTACAGCATGGCCTCCTAAAGCCTATAAACTCTCTTTACAATTCCCCCATTTTACCTGTCCAAAAACTGGACAAGTCCTACGGGTAAGTTCAGGATCTCCACCTTATCAACCAAATTGTTTTGCCTATCCACCCTGTGGTGCCCAACCGGTACACTCTTTTGTCCTCAATACCTCCCTCCACAACTCACTATTCCATTCTTGATCTTAAAGGTGCTTTTTCCATTATTCCCCTACACCCCTCATCCCAGCCCCTCTTTGCTTTTACTTGGACTGACCCTGACACCCATCAGTCTCAACAACATACCTAGGCTGTATTGCTGCAAGGCTTCAGGAACAGCCCCCATTACTTCAGTCAAGCCCTTTCTCATGATTTACTTTCTTTCCGTCCGTCTGCTTCTCACCTTATTGAATATTTTGACAACCTTCTACTTTATAGCCCCTCCTACAAATCTTCCCAACAGGACACCCTCCTGCTCCTCCAACATCTATTCTCAAAAGAATATTGCGTATCTCCCTCCAAAGCCCAAATTTCTTCCTCATCCATTACCTATCTCAGCATAATTCTTAATAAAAACACACGTGGTCTCCCTGCTGATCATGTCCGGCTAATCTCCCAAACCCCAACCCCTTCTACAAAGTAACAGCTGCTTTCCTTCCTAGGCATGGTCAGGTACTTTCACCTTTGGATACCTGGTTTTGCCAACCTGACTAAACCATTACATAAACTCACAAAGTAAACCTAGCTGACCCCATAGATCCTAAATCCTTTCACCATTCTTCTTTCCATTCCTTAAAAACAGCCCTAAAATCTGCTCCCACCCTAGATCTCCCTAACTCATCCCAACGCTTTTCATTACACACAGACAAAGTGCAGGGCTGTGCGGTCAAAATTCCTACACAAGAGCTGGGACCGCACCCTGTAGCCTTTCTGTCCAAACAACTTGACATTACTGTTTTAGGCTGGCCCCCACATTATTCCTAATACCACACCTGACCCCCACGGCTGTATCTCTCTGATCCACCTGACATTCACTCCATTTCCCCATATTTCCTTCTTTCCTGTTCCTCACCCTGATCACACTTGGTTTACTAATGGCAGTTCCACCAGGCCTAATCTCCACTCACCAGCATAGGCAGGTTATGCTATAGTATCTTTCACATCTATCATTGAGGCTACCATTCTGTCCCCATCCACTACCTCTCAGCAAGCCAAACTCATTGCCTTAACTCAGGCCCTCACTCTTGCAAAAGGACTACACGTCAATATTCATACTGACTCTAAATATGCCTCCTATATCCTACACCACCATGCTGTTATATGGGCTGAAAGAGGTTTCCTCACTACGCAAGGATCCTCTATCATTAATGCCTCTTTAATAAAAACTCTTCTCAAGGCTGCTTTACTTCCAAAGGAAGCTGGAGTCATTCACTGCAAGGGCCATCAAAAGACATCAGATCCCATTGCTCAGGCCAATGCTTATGCTGATAAGGTAGCTAAAGAAGCACCTAGCGTTCCAACTTCTGTCCCTCACTGCCAGTTTTTCTCCTTCTCTTTGGTCACTCCCACCTACTCCCCCACTGAAACTTCCACCAATCGATCTCTTCCCATACAAGGCAAATGGTTCTTAGACCAAGGAAAATATCTCCTTCCAGCCTCACAGGCTCATTCTATTCTGTCATCATTTCATAACCTCTTCCATGTAGGTTATAAGCCACTAGCCTGTCTCTTAGAACCTCTCATTTCCTTTCCATCATGGAAATCTATCCTCAAGGAAATCACTTCTCAGTGTTCTATCTGCTAGTCTACTACTCCCCAGGGATTGTTCAGGCCCCCTCCCTTCCCTAGACATCAAGCTCAGAGATTTGCCCCTGCCCAGGATTGGCAAATTGACTTTACTCACATGCCCACAGTCAGGAAACTAAAATACTTAAAATAGATTTTCCACTACCTATCCAAATCCTATAAAACTGCCCCACCCCTATCTCCCTTTACTCTCTTTTCAGACTCAGCCTGTCTGCAGCTAGGTGATTAAAAAGCTTTATTTCTCACACAAAGTCTGTTTGGTGGTCTCTTCACACAGACACAGGTGACACTCTGGAGGGGGTGCTCCCAGACCTCAGCAAATTGTTCTATTGATTTGGGCCATAAACTTAGCTTATGCTGATACCAAGCACCTATAGGAGATTCGTCAAAGATCAGGGGTACCTCCACTCAGAATCCCTTTGTGGTTGCCAAAATGTAAATGCTGAATATCTGAGACAGGTTTCAGTTAATTTAGAAAGTTTATTTTGCCAAGGTTGAGGACACACACCCATGACACAGCCTCAGGAGGTACTGATGATATGTGCCCAAGGTAGTCAGAGCACAGTTTGTTTTTATACATTTTAGGGAAACATGAGACATCAATCAACACATGTAAGATGAACACTGGCTCGGTCCAGAAAGGCAGGACAACTTGAAGCGGGTAGGGGGCTTCCAGGTCTTAGGTAGATAAGAGACAAATCGTTGTATTCCTTTGAGTTTCTGATTAGCCTCTCCAAAGGATGCAATCAGATACACATTTATCTCAGTGAGCAGATGGGTGACTCTGAATAGAATGGGAGGCAAGTTTGCCCTGAGCAGTTCCCATCTTAACTTTTCCCTTTAGCTTAGTGATTTTGGGGCCTCAAGATTTATTTTCCTTTTACAAAATACTTGTTGATATCTTGGATTGGAATTGGAGTTATCAGTATGAATTCATCATTTGAGTAAATGAGTGTGAGTGTTTGTGTGTGTGTGTGTGTGTGTGTGTGTGTATTTGTCAGCTTTGAAGCAATGACATCCCACTAGCAATGAGCACTCTTAGTTCCCAGATATTTGTTTCTAAATGTCATTTTGAGAAAAAGGAAAAAGAAAAGAACCATGACATCTCAGAAAACAAGTGGCTAATTCCAGGGCTTTGAAAGACAGAAGATAAATTTGGGGCATTTTGTGGTGTCAGAAAGTAGGATGTGCTAAAACAAAAACAAAAGCAAAATGATGAGGAGATGCACATAAGTAAGATGGCTGAATAAGACTCTCCATTGCTTATCCCTTTGCATCATCTTGAACAACTATCTGTACAAAAATACCTTCACAAAAGTTAAAGAAACCAGGTGAAAGATTACAGTGCCTGGGTATAGCAAAGGACATATAGTATAGCTTTACTATACTATAGCAAAGGGTATAGTAAAGCAAAATAAACTTTCTAAATAACAAAGGAACACATTGAACAGTGTAGGAAGGACAGTTTTTTGTTTGTGTGTTTGTTTGTTTAATGATATTCTTGTCTATTTTGAACAAAATCTTTAAGGGCAGAATATTTTGAATACAAGAGTAGAAAGAAGACTCAAAACAAAACCCATACCAGTCCATTGTGGTTCTTTGTGAATAGTTTGGTGGTGAGAATGCATTCCACAATATCTAGTTTATAAATTTTATTTTATGGCCCACAGGGTCAAATGAGAGATATATTACAGACGGTTACATTATAAACCTAAGTTTAAGAAACCTGACCAAGCTAATGCTGAAGGTCTATTCTTTTTGTGATCTGATTAAAAGCCTGCAATTCTTGAACTACCTAAAAACTGTACAGAATGGAATATACACAGATACACAGTCAGTATGTAAAGTTCTTATAAGACATGGCACACAAAAAATGGCTTCTCTCTCTCTCTCTCTCTCCACTTCCCCTCACTTTCTCAAATGATATTTCCTATTTATAGGAAATGTTTACAACAAAAGAAGAGCTAGTAGAATCAGACTAAGTAAATTGCAATAAGGAGAGTTGGTGTTAAATCCAGTATTTTTTAATTATTCCATTCCTCAGCAGCAATTTGTAAAGTTTTACTGACATTGATTCTTTGCAACAATGTAGAGCTGAATTGTGGAATAGTTCTCCAAGTGTAATTCCTGTCTATTTAATCCTTGTTTTGTCCTCTATGAACATTACTGGGCCAGATATAACATTGCTTTTGGAAGCTTGAAGAAACCCTGAGGAAACAAGTTTATTGACACCTTCCACTGCTCAGAGGCTAGAATCAGTGATTCTGCCCTCCAAAAGACATTAATGTCCATGCTTTGGCCATAGTTGACCCTCATTATAAGATAAACAATTTCATTGAGGAATTTCTCAGAGAAGCCCTCTCCTCTGGAGCAAAATCACAGCTACAATTCAGGCCTCCGGTCACAAGATGCTGGGGAATGCCTCAGTCACAGATTCTTGCTCGATGGACAACCTACATCCACAGACAGTGAACCTGTAACTCGAGACTCAGGTGCCACAATAGGTTCACAAGACCCTAACTGAGCTTAGGAACCCAGTCCCACAGCCTCTCCAAGCACCTACACCTGGAACCCACACCACCACAACTGAGTGTAGACAATGTCAGATCTGATGCCAAGAGGAATACCCTCAGCTGTTACCCCCATTGTGGGGAAAATGAGAATAGGAGGACTCCAAAAGCCCTTGACGCTGAGGACATCAACAACCACAGGACTGCTGTTACTGCCAAAACTTCTACAGTCTAGGCCACTTAGTTGCCCACTATTATTACTTATCCTTTTTTTCTTTTTTTGAGACAGGGTCTCAATCTGTCACCCATGCCAGAGTGCAGTGTCCAATCATAGTCTACTGCAACTTCAAACTCCTGGGCACAAGTGATCCTCCTCCCTCAGTCTCCTGAGCATCAGGGACTACAGGCATTTACCACCATGCCCAGTTAATTTATTTCTTGTAGAGATGGGGTCTTGTTATGTTGTTATCTCAAACTCCTGGACTCAAGCAATCCTCCTGCCTTGGCCTCTCAAAGTGCTGGGATTACAGAAGGATTTAACCTTACCTAGAGCTGAAATGAATTTAGAGAGCAGAGCAAAATATAAAGTAGAAGAAGCAGCAGGAAGAGTCCTGTGGGCATTCCTGATCCCCAGGAAAGCCATTTCTGACGTTGTCTCACAGGGGTCCTTGGGGAGGGCTGCTAGTGTAATTGGGGAAAGATCACAGGGAGAAGGAAACTTCCAGTTAAATCTTATAATAATTTTGACTAGCTGTGAACTTTCCTGGGCAGATTTTTTTTGGGGGGTGGTGGTGGCAGGGAACAGGATGTGCAGATATGACCACAGAATCCACCGCAGTCAGGGAAGGGCAGGGCCTAAAAGCCCTGCTTGCTTTCTCAACAGGGAGGCTTGTAACCTGGGGCAAAATCTCAGCCCTACTCACCAGCTGCCTGGATATGAACTCAGTGCTGGTGGTGGAGCACAGTGGGAATGAGACTAGTCTTGCTGGCTGCATGGGAACTGGGTGAAGCCTGTCACTGCCAGCTTCCCCCTACTTCCCTGGTGACCTGCATGACACAGCAAAAGCATGCATAATCCCCCTGGGAACCTAATGTCATTGGCCTGAGAACCACATCCCTATCCCCCACAGCCATTGCAGCAAGCCCCACCCAAGGAGAGTCTGAGCTCAGACATGCCTAACCCTGCTCCCACCAGATGGTCCATCTCTACCAGCCCTGGTAGCCAAAGACAAAAAACATAATCTCTTGGGAGCTCTATGATCCCGCCCATTGCCTGAAAAACCTGAATACTTACTTAGGCAACCTTAGGGCAAACTTGTATTCCCCCATACTACCACAGCTGATGGTCTCTTGAAAGCACCAGCCCCTAGCTGGAGGCCAGCCAATGCAAGCCATTATAGCAACTCATAACAGAACAACCCTGCTCCAAGAAAGGAGAAAATAACAGCTAATTCCACTGCCTGTAACATCCTGGCCAACTAGAGGTCCTGAGTCTGTCCATGTGACAATTTCACTGCTAGCACAACCAGCATTCAAGAAAACCAGCACACCAAATAAAACTACAACCAAGGACCCTCACAGAGTCCTCTTCACTTCCTTGCTATCTCCACTGAAGCAGGTGCTGGTATTCATGGCTGAGAGACCTGAAGATGGATCACATCACAGGACTCTTTGAAGGCGTTCCCCAGTACCAGCCCACAGCCCAGGAGCTCTGCTGGATGGCTAGACCCAGAAGAACAATAATGATCACTGTAGTCCCGCTGTCAGGAAGCCCCATCCCTAAAGGAAGGGGGAGAGCACCACATCAAGGGATCACCCCATGGAACAAAAGAATCTGAACAGCAACGCTTGAACCCCAGATCTTTCCTCTGACATAGTCTACCCCAAATGAGAAGGAACGAGAAAATCAATTCTGGTAATATGACAGAGCAAGGTTCTTTAACACCCCCATAAGATCACACTAGCTCACCACCAATAAATCCAAACCAAGAAGAAATCTCTGAATTGCCAGAGAAAGAATTCAGAAGGTCAATTATTCAGCTACTCAAGGAGGCACCAGAGAAAGGTGAAAACCAACTTAAAGAAATTTTTAAAAGGCCAGGTGTGGTGGCTCGTGCCTGTAATCCCAGCAGTTTGGGAGGCTGAGGTGGGCAGGTCAGCTGAGGTCGGGAGTTCGAGACCAGCGTGACCAACATGGAGAAACCCTGTCTCTACTAAAAATACAAAATTGGCCAGGTGTGGTGGCACAGGCCTGTAATCCCAGCTACTCCAGAGGCTGAGGCAGGAAAATCACTTGAACCCAGGAGGCAGAGGTTGCAGTGAGTCGAGATCATGCCATTGAACTCCAGCCTGGGCAACAAGAGCAAACTCTGTCTCAAACAAAAAAAAGAAAGAAATTTAAAAAATAATACAGGATATGGACAAAGAAGTCTCTAGAGAAATAGAAAGCATAAATAAAAAAACAATTGCAACTTCAGGAAATAAAAGACACACTTACAGAAATGCAAAATACACTTGAAAGTTTCAACAATAGAAGAAAGCAATAGAAGAAATATTTTCAGAGCTTGAAAACAAGGCTTTCTAATTAACCCAATCTGACAAAGAGAAAAGAAAAAAGAATTTTTAAAAAATGAACAAAGCCTCCAAAAAGTTTGAAATTATGTTAAATGACCAAACCTAAGAATGAATAATTGGTGTTCCCAAAGAAGAAATCTAAAAGTTTGGAAAACTTATTTGAGGAAACAATTGAGGAAAATTTTTCTGGCCTTGCTAGAGATCTAGACTTCCACATACAAAAAGCTCAAAGAACACCCAGGAAATTCATCACAAAAAGATCATCACCTAGACATATAATTATCAGGTTATCTAAAATCAAGACAAAGGAAATAATCTTAAGAGCTGTGAAGCAAAGGTATCAGGTAACCTATAAAGGAAAACCTATCAGATTAACAGCAGATTTCTCAGCAGAAACCCTACAAGCTAGAAGGGATTGGGGTTGTATCTTTAGTCTCTTTAAACAAAACAATTATCAACCAAGAATCTCGTATCTAGCAAAACTAAGCTTCAGAAATGAAAGAAAGATAAAGTCCTTTTCAGACAAACAAATGCTGAGAGAATTTGCCATTACCAAGCCAGCACTACAAGAACTACTAAAGAGGAGTTCTAAATCTTCAAACAAAACCTTGAAATACACCAAAATAGAACCTTCTTAAAGCATAAATCCCACAGGACCTATAAAACAGTAACACAATGAAATAAAAAAACAAAATAAAAACAAGGTGTTCAGGCAACATCTAGCACAACAAACTGAATAATACCTCACATTTCAATACTCACATTGAATGTTTAAATGACCTATATGCTCTACTTAAAAGATACAGAATGGTGGAATAGATAAGAATTCACCAATCAAGTATCTGCTGTCTTCAAGAAACTCATCTATCACATAAGGACTCACTTAAACTTAAGGTATAGGGGTGGAAAAAGATATTCCATGAAGATGGACACCAAAAGCAAGCAGGAATAGCTATTCTTATATCAGATTGTTAGCCCAAACTGCACCATTTTGTAAGATGCCCACTATTTTGCAGACCTTCGTCAAAGTGAAACATTCCAAAGAGGTTCAGGCTGTGAGAAATAGCCTGTCTCTTATATTCTGCTGGGAGAAAATGCAAGGAACACCACATTCTGCCGGAAAAGGGCCAAAACTCTCATCCTGGGAACACGTTATCAACATTTTCCCAGGCAGCAGGCCATGCCCCGCAACTCCCCTCCCACCCAGGCCTATCAATTGCCCCAGCCTGTAAGTAGTGGTGGGAACTTGGATTAAGTTGGTCTCCCATCTCTATAGGTCTTATGCTGGACATAAAGCCTGGATTTGCTGTTAAGCTGCCCTCTCTCCCTCTCTTTCTGTACCTTTCTTTAACCCTTGCCTTCGCTTCAAAATCTAACATTTTGGGTGCCAAAACCTGGAATGGGGATTGGGTTCTAAATGGGTAAGTCTTCTCTTACAATCTGGAAAGCAGCAAGCAGAAAAAACTAGAACCAGACCTGCTTCCAGATCCTGAGTGGACTCCCTGTTCCCAGCCCCCTTCCCTCATTCTCATCACATCCAACACCTGTCTCCAATTAGTGGGTGACTCTCCTTTTTCCTCCTTTCCAGATCCCTATTTCTTCCAATTCACCAGAAAATCCCAGCGCTGGGTGAGAGGTCTTCCCAGTCACCAGGTGACCATGGCCTGCCTTCTTAGGGGATGCACTCAGAATGTTTGCTGCTCCAGCCTTTCCTCACTATCTACCTTGTTACTTTCTGTTGATCCTGAAGTTTGGAACGTTTCTAGACTCACAATAGCCAAACATCACATCCCAGTCAAAATAACTCTCCAAAACCCCTCCATTTCCCTTCATCAGTCTCAATATCCCCTTAACCCAGCCAGCCTCAGGGGCCTCAAACCTACTATCTGTAAACTTTTACAAGCTCAAGTTCTCAAGCCTGTCAATTCTCCCCACAACACTCCTATCCTGGCTGTCAAAAAAACCAGATGGGTCTTACTTCTTGGTCCAAGATCTTTGAGTTAACAACCAGGCAGTGGTTCCAATCCATCCAGTGGTCCCCAACCCACATACTCTAGTCTCCCATATTCCCCTATCTACCACACACTTTTCTGTATTGGATCCAAAGAATGCCTTTTTTACTATTCCCTTGGATCTGGCTTCCCAAAGTCTTTCTACTTTCACTTGGTCAGATCCTGATACTCACACATCCACCCAACTAATATGGACTTCCACAGGGGTTCCAGAATAGCCCCCTCCTATTCGAACAGGCCTTCACCAAGGACCTAGCTGAACTTCCCCTTGCTCCTAACACCCTCCTCCAATACATCAATAACCTCCTTCTCTGTAGCCCCTCCTTTAACCTGTCCATCCAACACACCACTCAGCTTTTAAAATTCCTCTATAGTTGAGGATATCAGGTCTCACCCACAAAGGCTCAGGTAGCCCAAACCCAGGTCACTTACCTTGGGATTGTTCTAACCCCTAATTCTTTGGCCGTCCCAAATCAACCAAAGGAGCTAATAAGGGACATGTCCCTTCCCTTCATAAAGAAGGGCTTCCTCTCCTTCTTGGGCCTTGTGGGATACTTCCGACTGTGAATTCCCGACTTTAGCTTGCTGGCCAAGCTCCTCTACATGAATTCACAGCCGGAAGTATCTCATAAGGCCCATCCTAGAACCCCTGAACTCAGCTTGCCCCATCAACTACCACTTTAAAAACTTTAAAAAAAAAATGCCCTTTTAATGACCCCAGCACTGGGACTGCCCAACCCCACCAAGCCCTTTACTCTGTATGTACATTCTAACCAAGGCCTTGCTCTTGGACTACTCTGCCAAACATACAGCAACACCCCACAAACTATTGCATACCTCTCAAAACAACTGGACTCTGTCATCCAAGGCTGGCAACTCTGCCTAAAAATATTGGGTGTGGCCACATTGCTGGCCCCAGAGGCACAGAAACTCACTCTCTAACCAACACATTACAATTGCATCTTCCCATAACCTACAGGACCTCATAAGCCATCAATCCCTTCTATCCCTCCTGTCATCTTGCTTATAGCAGGTATATGTCTTATTCATAGGTAACCCTCTAGTCACCCTCCAGAGATTAAAGCTCTTAACCTGGCCACCCTCCTCCCTGTAAACACATGAGCTCTCTCACTCCTGCCTGGACCTCTTAGACTCCCTCTCCTCCCACTTCCAACACATTTTGCAAGCCCTTTTGCAGGGAACACCTACGTGGTTCATTAACGGAAGCTCTTTTAGGGAGCCATGTCCAGCAGCTGGCTATGTCATCATTGCCAAAAACAAACTCCTAGAATCCAATGCTCTCCAGCCCCATACTACCTCTCAACAGGCAGAACTACCTGTCAACAAGAGGAGCTAGTTGCCCATCCTAGCAAAAGGAAAAAGGAAAGGGTTAACCAATTTACACCAATTCCAAATATGCATACCATATCCTACATTCTCAGGTCTTAATCTGGCAGAAAAGGGGTTTTCTAACTACAAAAGGAATCCCCATAGGAAATGGCAAACTCATACACAAACTGCTGGAGGTGGCTGAACCACCACTAAAGGCCACCATTATCTATTGCAAGGAACACCAAAAGGCTACAAATGCCAAAACCAATGAAAACTTCTTAGCAAATTCAGCAGCCTGGCAGGCACCCCTTAAAACCCCATCATTACTGCCCATTTTTCCCAACATACATCCTGTATATACCCAGGAAGAACAAACCTCACTCATCCAGGCTGATGCCATTCAGGAAGGAGGATGGTTTTACCTCAGTAATAAAATTGTCTTGCCCAAGTTCCAGGACCTTCTGTACTTTCATATGTACACAACCATTTTCATACTGGTTACCGCCCCCTATGCCAACTCTTATACACATTCTCCTGCCATGACTGCCAATCTCAAAGATATTACTAAGGCATGTTCCCTTTGCACTCAAACTTCCCCTCAGGGAGCTATCAAACCACCTCCTTTCCCCACACACCAGGCCTGAAGACACCTGCCAGGGCAAGACTGACTGGCAAATCAACTTCACTCACATGACCCCCTGTAAAACAAATCCAGTACCTTCTGACAATAATAGATACATTCTCTGGATGGACAGAAACTTTTCCTACCACCATCAAAAAAAAAAAAACCACACACACACTGTCACTTCTATTCTCTGTATTACCCGCATTATCCTCCCATTTGGACTCCCCTCTTCTATCCAGTCAGACAACAGGCGAGCATTTGTTTCACAGGTTAACCAATAGCTAGCGAAGACTCTAAACATTAAATGGGCATTCCATATTCCTTATCACCACCAATCTTCAGGTAAAATTAAGCAGGCCATTGCCCTTTTAAAACAACAAGTAACCAAACAGTCCCTAGAGGTTAAGATGGCCTGAACTTCACTTCTCCCATTGGCCCTCATGGGTTTATGAGCCATGCCCTAAAATCCCCTCAGCCTAAGCCTATTTAAACTCATGTACAATGCCCCTTTATCCTCCAGAATCTCCCTGTTTCTCCTCCCCCTTCTATACCGGGTAGTTGGCCTGCATGACACCTCACTCAACATCTAATAAGACAGTACACAAACACTTACTTGCCCCAGCCTAAAGGTCCATCATCAAAACACACCTCCCTGTCCCTACAACAAGTGGACTGGGTCTGGATCACAGACTTCTCCTCCTCCCTTCTCCAATCTAAGTGGATGGGTGCTCACCAGGTTATTCTAATTACTCCCACATCGGGAAAGCTAACATCCTTTCTACACGGGATACACCATTCCAAACTAAAAAGAGCACCAAATTTACATCCAGAAATTCCCTCCCCACACCCCCCACCCCAAAATTCTTCCTTTCTTACAGGACTAACCTAGCGGCACTTAACAAAAATTCCAGAAGTTGCCAATCCAGGAGGCCCTGGTCCATAACACTCTCTTCCTCCAATTTCAAATCTTTTATCTGGTACATTGTTTCAGATCTTTCCTGTTATTCCTTCCCCACATCCCTGGATAGACCACTCCTATTTCCTACACTAATCCAGGAGCTATGGCTGCAGGGTATCTTCCAAAATTTCTCTCCCACTCAAATCTCCTTTTGTCTTCTTTGTGAGATACTCTAAGTCTCCACCCCCAGCCTCTGGCAGTAGGGCCCCCTTTGTCAACTTCATACATTACCTCTTAAATCAGTCACGATCCCCTCTTTTTTCCAACTGTTAGATTTGTTTGTCCACACAAATCCAGCTGTTCACAGCCCTTCCTGTTAATCTAACCACACGAACCCGGTCCAAAATAAACCTACATCTCACCTAGTCGGCCAATCCATTCTCTCGACTGCAACCTATATCCTTCAGCCCTATCAGAACCACAATGGCTATTAATTACAAAAACCCATTTCTCTCTCTCCCTCTCTCTGTCTCTCCAAAACCAAACAGCCTTCATCTCCTCCCTGACCAACAAGCCTTCACAGGGGATACCCTTACTAACAACTGTCAGGGAAAGAAAGAGAGATCAGACTGTTACTGTGTCTATGTAGAAAGAAGACATAAGAAACTCCATTTTGTTTTCTACTAAGAAAAATTATTCTGCCTTGAGATGCTGTTAATCTGTAACTTTAGCCCCAACCCTGTGCTCACAGAAACATGTGCTGTGTTGACTCCAGGTTTAATGGATTTAGGGCTGTGCAGGATGTCCTTTGTTAAAAATGTGTTTGCAGGCAGTATGCTTGGTAAAAGTCATCACCATTCTCTAGTTTCGAGTACCCAGGGACACAGTGCACTGCAGAAGGCCGCAGGGACCTCTGCCCAAGAAAGCCTGGGTATTGTCCAAGGATTCTCCCCACTGAGACAGCCTGAGCTATGGCCTCATGGGAAGGGAAAGACCTGACCATCCCCCAGCCCGGCACCCATAAAGGGCCTGTGCTGAGGAGGATTAGTGAAAGAGGAAGGCCTCTTTGCAATTGAGATAAGAGGAAGGCATCTGTCTCCTGCTCATCCCTGGGAATGGAATGTCTCGGTGTAAAACTCGATCATACATTATATTTACTGAGATAGGAGAAAACCGCCTTATGGCTGGAGGTGAGACATGCTGGTGGCAATACTGCTCTTTACCGCACTGAGATGCTTGTGTAAAGTCAAACATAAATCTGGCCTACTCTCACATCAAGGCACAGCTCCTTTCCTTAACCTTATTTATGACACAGAGACCTTTGCTCACATGTTTCCCTGCTGACCCTCTCTCCACCATTACCCTATAGTCCTGCCACATCCCCCTCACCGAGATAGTAGAGATAGTGATCAATAAATACTGAGGGAACTCAGAGACCAGTGCCAGCGCTGGTCCTTCGTATGCTAAGCGCTGGTCCCCTGGGTCCACTCTTCTCTCTCTATACTTTTTCTCTGTGTCTTATTTCTTTTCTCAGTCTCTCATCCCACCTGACGAGAAATAGCCACAAGTGTGGAGGGGCTGGCCCCCTTCAACAACTATTCAACTTGGAAAAACAAAAAGTTGGAACAAAAACTTTATCCAGGATTCAACCCCCACCTTCTCATGGCTTGCCACCATAACCTACAACTTTTGTCTGCCCACCCCTATTGTTTTCTTTCTGTGTAGCACAAACTCTTATCTTTGCCTGCAGGCAAGTTGGTCAGGAACATACACACTGGTGTTTCAATCTCCAGACATTAACATTTTGCCTAACAACCAAACTATTCAGGTTCCTTTCCTAATCTCTATTTCCTCCTCCTCCGCACACACCAGACTAACTATACACATCATCCCCTGTTCGCAGGACTGATACGTAAGTGCTGGGAAGGGAAGAGTGTGGTCCCTTTAAATGATATGGAAGGGGAGAAGGGACGTGCTGGGTAGAGGAAGGCATGGTCCCCGGTAGGGCTCCACTCCCATAAAGCTAGGTGAGGACAGGCATTTGCTGCCCAAATGTTGCATTTCCCAAGACCACCCTCGCCTGCCATGCCCCCATCTTGTGCCTATAAAAACCCGGGACGCTAGCAGGCAGACACACAGCGGCTGCACGTCAAGAGGAGCAGATCAGCGGAAGAACACACAGGCAGCTGGACCTTGAGAGGAGCATATCAGCGGAGGAACATATCAGCGGAGGAACATGTCAGCGGAGGAACATGTCAGCGGAGGAACGTATCAGGGGAGGAACACACGGGTGGCTGGACGTTGAGAGGAATGCACCAACAGGCAATAGCATGCTGGCAGGCCACCAAAACAGCAGAACTACATGGAGTTTGGTGGGGGCAGTCAGAGGAGAGCGCAGGGTGCCAAGCGGCCTGAACCAGGGGAAAACCATCTCCCTTCTGGTTTCCACATCTGCTGAGAGCTACTTCCACTCAGTAAAACCTTGCATTCATTTTCCAAGCCCATGTGTGATCCAAGGATCACAGGATACAGAAAGCCCTCTGTCCTTGCAACAAGGTAAAGAGTCTAATTGAGCTGGTTAACACAAGTCGCCTATAAATGCCTAAACTAAAAGAGCACACTAACACACGCCCACTGGGGCCTCAGCTGTAAACACTCATCCCTAGACACTGTCGTGGGGTCAGAGCCCCACAGCCTGCCCATCTGTATGCTCCCCTAGAGGTTTGAGCAGCAGGGCACTGAAGAAGCAGCTGCAACCCCATCGCACACCCTGCAAGGGGTATGAGGGAACCTTTCTTGTTTCAGACTAAACATCCCTGCTGCACTCAGAACCGTGATAGCAGGTTACCTCTTTCTCAGGGCCCTTAATCTTCCTCCTCTTAGCTAACAATTGGCCCATATATACTCACCTTCATAGCCCAGTCAGTCTCCCAAAAGCTGAACTCCCTTGTCCAGGCAGTCATCCAGAAACACATTGATACCGTCGTTCTCCTCCACTAAGTCCAGTATCAGCGCTTCCAGGAAAACAACTCTAAAGTCGAACACCCACTACTTCAAAACCCAAACCCTGGTTACAGTGCCCCTAATTCGACAGGAAACAGCCAGATAATCAACAACGCCCCTCTTCCTTTTATATTAAAGTAGAAGGCAAGAAAGTCCAATCTGCACCATTTTGTAAGTCCCCCGCCATTTCACAGACCGTGCTTAAAGTGAAATATTCCACAGGGATTCAGGCCATGAGAAATAGCCTGCCTCTTATCATATTCTGCTGGGAGAAAGTACAAGGAACACCACGTTCCACCACAACAAGGGTCAGAAATGCCTCATCCTGGGAACATGTTATCAATATTTTCCCAGACAGCAGGCCATGTCTCCCCAAACCCCTCCTGTCCAAGCCTACAGATGGCCCCAGCCTGTAAGCAGGGGCGGGCACTGACATTAAGCTGGTCTCCTGCCTCTTTAGGTCTTATGCTGGACATAAAGCCTGCACTTAAAACCTAACACAGACAAAACAGGCTTTAAAGCAACAATAGTTTAAAGGAAAAAGAGGGACATTATATAATGATAAAAGGACTAATCCAACAGGAAAATACCACAATCCTAAATACATATCCATCTGACACTGGAGCTCACAAATTTATGAAACAATTACTACTAGACCTAAGAAATGAGATACACAGCAACACAATAATAGTGGGGGACTTCAGTATTCCATTGAAAGCACTAGACAGGTCATCAAGACAGAAAGTCAACAAAGAAACAATGGACTTAAACTATACCCTAGAACAAATGGACCAACAGATATTTACAGAACATTCTACCCAACAGCTGAGGAATATACATTATATTCATCAGCATATGGAACATTCTTCAAGATAGACCATATGATAGGCCACAAAACAAGTCTCAACAAATTTAAGAAAATCAAAATTGTATCAAGTACTGTCAGACCACAGTGGAATAAAATTGGAAATCAATTCCAAAAGAAACCCTCAAAACCATGCAAATATATGAAAATTAAATAATCTGCTCGTGAATGATCAGTGGGTCAACAATGAAATCAAGATGAAAATTTAAAAATTCCTTGAACTGAATGATAGTAACACAATCTATCAAAAACTCAGGGATACAGCAAAAGCAGTGTTAAGAGGAAAGTTCGTAGCATTAAATGCCTACATCAAAAAGTCTAAAGGGGCACAAATAGACCTAAGGTCACATCTCAAGGAAATAGAGAAACAAGAACAAACCAACCCAAACCCAGTGGAAGAAAAGAAATAACAAAGAACAGAGCAGAATTAAATAAAATTGAAACAAAAAATACAAAAGATAAATAAAACAAAAGCTTGTTCTTTGAAAAGATGAACAATATTGATAGACCATTAGCAAGATTCACCAAGAAAAGAAGAGAGAAGATCCAAGTAAGCTCAATTAGAAACAAAATGGGAGATATTATAACCAATACCACAGACATACAAAAGATCATTCAAGGCTACTATGAATACCTTTATGTGCATGAACTAGAAAACTGAGAGGAGACTGAAAAATTTCTGGACATATACAACCTCCTAGATTAAACCAGGAAGAAATAGAAACTCTGAACAAACCAATAACAAGCAGCGAGATAAAAATGGTAATTTTTTCAAAACACAGAAATAAACCCAAATACCTACAGTCAACTGATCTTTGATAAAGCAAACAAAAACATAAAATGGGGAAAGGACACCCTATTCAACAAATGGTGCTGGGATAATTGGCAAGCCACATGTAGGAGAATAAATCTGGATCTTCATCAGTCACCTTATACAAAAATCAACTCAAGATGGATCAAGGACTTACATCTAAGACCTGAAACTATAAAAATTCTAGAAGATAACATTGGAAGAACTCTTCTAGACATTAGCTTAAGCAAGGATTTCATGACCAAGTACCCAAAAGCAAATTCAATAAAAACAAAGATAAATAGATGGGACTTCGTTAAACTAAAGAGCTTTTGCACAGCAAAAGGAGCAGTCAGCAGAGTAAACAGGTAACCCACAAAGTGGGAGAAAATCTTCACAATCTATACATCTGACAAAGGACTAATATCCAGAATCTACAATGAACTCAAACAAATTAGCAAGAAAAAAACAACCCCATCAAAAAGTGGGCTAAGGACATGAATAGACAATTCTCAAAAGAAGATATACAAATGGTCAACAAACATATGAAAAAATGCTCAGCATCACCAATGATCAGAGAAATGCAAATCAAAACCAGAGTGTGATACCACCTTACTCCTGAAAGAATGGCCATAATCCAAAAATCAAAAAATAATAGATGGTGGCATGCATATGGTGAACAGGGAACACTTCTACACTGCTGGTGGAAATGTAAACTAGTACAACCACTATGGAAAACAATGTAAAGATTCTTTAAAGAACTAAAAGTAGAACTACCATTTGATCCAGCAATCCCGCTACTGGATATCTATCCAGAGGAAAAGAAGTCATTATACAAAAAACATACTTGCACACTCATGTTTATAACAGCACAATTCCCAGTTGCAAAAATGTGGAACCAACCCAAATGCCCATCAAACAATGAGTGTATAAAAAAACTGGTATGTATATATATGATGGAATACTACTCAACTATAAAAAGGAATGAGTTATTAGCATTCACAGCAACCTGGATGAGATTGGAGACTATTATTCTAAGTGAAGTAACTCAGGAATGGAAAACCAAATATTTTATGTCCTTACTCATAAGTGGGAGCTAAGCTATAAGGATGCAAATGCATAAGAATGACACAGTGGACTTTGGGGACTCAGGGCAAAGGAGTGAGAAGGGGTGGGGAATAAAAGACTACAAACTGGGTATAGTATATACTACTCAGGTGATGGGTGCACCAAAATCTCACAAATCACCACTAAAGAACTTACTCATGGCCGGGTGTGATGACTCACGCCTGTAATCCCAGCACTTTGAGAGGCTGAGGTGGGCAGATCACAAGGTCAGGGAATCAAGACCATCCTGGCTAACACGGTGAAACCCTGTCTCTACTAAAAATACAAAAAATTAGCCGGGCATGGTGGTGGGCGCCTGTAGTCCCAGCTAATCGGGAGGCTGAGGCAGGAGAATGGCATGAACACAGGAGGTGGAGCTTGCAGTGAGCCGAGATCAAGCCACTGCACTCCAGCCTGGGCGACAGAGTGAGACTCCATCTCAAAAAAAAGAAAAAAAAAAAAAGGAACTTACTCATGTAACCAAACACTACCTGTTACCCAATAACCTGTGGAAATAAAAAATTTTTTAAATAAAATAAAATGCCAACAAAAAAAGGTCCAGGACCAGATAGAGTCACAGCTGAATTCTATCAGACATTGAAATAAGAATTGGTATTTCTCTATCTTTTGGAATTGAAACTATTCCAAATAATGGAGAAAGAGGGAATCCTCCATAAATCATTCTATGCAGCCAGTATCACCCTAATAACAAAACCAGGAAAGGACATAAAAACAACAATAATAAAAACTACAACCAATATCCCTGATGAACATAGATGCAAAAATCCTCAACAAAATACTAGCTAACTGAATCCAACAGCACATCAAAAAGATAATCTACCATGACCAAGTGGATTTCATACCAGTGATGCAGGGATGGTTTAATACACACAAGTCAATAGATGTGACACACCACATAAACAGAATCAAAACCAAAAATCACATGATCATCTCAACAGATGCAGAAAACTCGTTTGACAAAATCAAGAATCATAAAGATTAAAACCTTCAGAAAAATCAGCATAGAAGGGACATACCTCAAGATAATAAAAGCCATCTATGACAAGCCCACAGTCAACATTATACTGAACAAGGAAAAGTTGAAAGCATTTCCCCTGAGAACTGGAACAAGATAAGGATGCCCACTTTCACCACTTCTAGTCAACATAGTTCTGGAAGTACTAGCCAGAGCAATCAGACAAGAGAAAAAGGGCATCCAAATTGGTAAAAAGGAAGTCAAACTGTCACTGTTCACTGATGATATGATTGAACATCTAGAAAATCCTAAAGATCCATCCAAAAAGCTCCTAGATTTGATAAATGAATTCAGTAAAGTTTCAGGATACAAAATCAATGTGCACATATCAGAAGCATTGTTAGACACCAATAGTGACTAAGCTGAGAATCAAGTCAAGAACTCAATCCCTTTTACAATAGCTGTGCACACACACACACACACACATAAAATACTTAAGAATATATCTAACCAAGGAGGTGAAAGACTTCTACAAGCAAAACTACAAAACACTGCTGAAAGTATCATAGATGACACAAACAAATGGAAACACATCCCATGCTCATGGATGGGTAGAATCAATATTGTGAAAAGGACCACACAGCCAAAAGCAATCTACAAATTCAATGCAATTCCCTTCAAAATACCATCATCATTTTTCACAGAACTAGAAAAAACAATCCTCAAATTCATACGGAACCAAAAAAAAAAAAAAAAAAAAAAAGCCCACACAGCCAAAGTAAGACTAAGCAAAAAGAACAAATCTGGAGGCATCACATTACCCAGCTTCAAACTATACTATAAGACTATACTCACCAAAACAGCATGGTACTGGTATAGAAATAAGTACACAGACCAATGGAACAGAATAGACAACACAGAAATAAAGCCAACTTACAGCCAACTGATCCTAGATAAAGCAAACAAAAACGTAAAGTAAGGAAAGGACGCCTTGTCTAACAAATTGTTCTGGGATTACTGGCAAGCCACAAGTAGAAGAATGAAACTGGATCTTCATTTCTCACTTTATACAAAAGTGAACTCAAGGTGGATCAAAAGGCCAGGCATGGTCACTCATGCCTGTAATCCCAGCACTTTGGAAGACCAAGGTGGGCAGATCACTTGAGGTCAAGAGTTCAAGACCAACCAACATGGCAAAACCCCATCTGTACCAAAAAATACAAAAATTACCTGGGCATGGTGGTGCACTCCTGTGGTCCCAGCTACTCAGGAGACTGAGGTGGGAGAATTGCTTGAACGCAGAGGCAGAGGTTGCAGTGAGCCAAGATCACGCCACTTCACACCAGTCTGGGTGACAGAGACCCTGTCTCAAAAAAAAAAAAAAAAAGGATCAAAGACTTAAATCTAAGACATGAACCATTAAAATTCTAGAAGATAACATCAGAAATACCCTTCTAGACATTGGCTTAGGCAAATAATTCATGACCAAGAACCCAAAAGATAATACAACAAAAACAAATATAAATAGATGGGATTTCATTAAACTAAGAAGCTTCTGCACAGCAAAAGAAATAATCAACAGAGTAAACAGACAAGCTACAAAGTGGGAGAAAATCTTCACAAGCTATGCATCTGACAAAGGACTAATATCCAGAATCTACAAGGAACTCAAACAAATCAGCAAGAAAAAAAAATAATCCCATCAAAAAATGAGTTAAGGACATGAATATACAATTCTCAAAAAAGATATGCAAATGGTCAACAAACATATGAAAAAATGCTCAACATCACTATTATCAGGGAAATGCAAATCAAAACCACAGTGCAATACCACCTTACTCCTACAAGAATGGCTGTAATTTAAAATATATATATATGTTGACATAGATGTCGTGAAAAGGGAACAATTTTACACTGCTGGTGGGAATGTAAACTAGTCCAACCATTATGAAAAACAGTATGAATATTCCTTAAAGAACTAAAAGTAGGTCTATTATTTGATCCAGCAATGCCATTACTGGGTATCCACCCAGAGGAAAAGAAGTCTTAATATGAAAAAGACACTTGCACATGTATGTATATAGCAGCACAATTCACAATTGTAAAAGTATGGGACCAACCCAAATGCCAATCAATGAGTAGATAAAGAAAATGTGGTAAATATACATATGTAATATAAAAATATTAAATATAAATATATTATATTTTAATATTATAAATATAAATATATATAAATATATATATACACACACACCATGGAACACTACTCATCTGTAAAAAAGAATGAAATAATGGCATTTGCACAACCTAGATGGTGTTGGAGATCATTATTCTAAGTGAAGTAACTCAGGAATGGAAAACCAAACATCATATGTTCTCATTTATAAGTGAGAGCTAAGCTGTGAGGACACAAAGGCATAAGAATGATATAATGGACTTTGAGGACTCGGGGTGAAGAGTAGCAGGGGGCTTAGGAATAAAAGACTGCTTATTGAGTATAGTGCACACTGCTCGGGTGATGGATACACCAAAATCTCAGAATTCACCACTGAAGAATTTATCCATGTAACCAAACACCACCTGTTCCCCAAAAACCTATTGAAATAAAACAATAAATAAAATAAAATGCTATATGCAATGTAGGTGGCAACTTTTTTTTTTTTTTTTTTTTTGAGACAGAGTCTCGCTCTTTCGCCCAGGCTGGAGTGCAGTGGCACTATCTCGGCTCACTGCAAGCTCCACCTCCCGGGTTCACGCCATTCTCCTGCCTCAGCCTCCCGAGTAGCTGGGACTACAGACGCCCTCCACTGCACCCAGCTAATTTTTTGTATTTTTAGTAGAAACGGGGTTTCACTGTGTTAGCCAGGATGGTCTCGATCTCCTGACCTCGTGATCCGCCCGCCTTGGCCTCCCAAAGTGCTGGGATTAAAGGCATGAGCCACCGTGCCCGGCAGGTGACAACATTTTTGATACACCATCACTAGCAAATAAATTACCATTCAACTTTTGTTTTATTAATACGTACGATATGTACCCTAGTGTTTGTTTAATTTGCATTATTTTTATAATTGACAGTGTTATTTTATGTTGGTAAATTTTATTTTCTTATTATCTTCTGGTTTATTTACTCAGGTCTTAGCATTTATTGCAAATTGCATTAACCTTCTTCCCCTCCCCCCAAGAATTCTGAAGACATTCAAAGCAATAACTTTTATGTGCCAAAAATATCAATCTCTTCTCTATCATATTTGCTTTATTTTTTTCTTTTGTTGATGACGTTTCTTGTGGTGTAGGTATTTAAAATTTTTTCTATCACATCTGTTTATTGTTCTAATTGTTAAAAATCACATATATACTACTTAGGAAGTCTTTCTCCTTCAAACTTTCCAGATGTACTAAACTATCAATTACTTGAGTGTCTATAATTATATTTTCATGGTTGGAGCTTTACATTTAGCTTCTTTATTCATGTAAAGGTATTTTACATGAATAAAGAAAGTTATTCTTTCCCTAATGTTGATAGCAAAACCAACATTATTAAATATTTCTTCTACCTTCAAAAAAATACTAGCAAACTTAATTCAGCAGCACATTACAAAGATCTTTCACTGTTGTCAAGTGACATTTATTCCAGGAATGCAATAATGGTTCAACATATACAAATCAATAAATGTACAACATATCAACAGAACAAAGGACAAAAACCATATGACCATTTCAATAGAAGCAGAAAAACCATTTGATAAAATTCAACATCTCTTCATGATTAAAAAAAAAAACTCCCAACTAGTTAGGTATATAAAAGGAATGTATATCAGCACAATAAAATACATATATTGCAAACCCACAACATACTGAATAGTGAAAAGTTGCCACTTATTGCTTTAAGGTGTGGAAGAAGACAAGAATGCCCATTTTTACAACTTTTATTCAACATAGTACTGGAAGTCCTAGCCAGAGAAACTATGTAAAAAATGAAATAAAAGAATTGGAAAGGAGGAAGTCAAATTTTCCCTGTTTGCAAATGACATAATCTTTTTTTTTTTTTTTTTTTTTTGAGATGGGTCTTGCTGTGTCACCTAGGCTGGAGTGCATTGGCGCTATCTAGGCTCACTGCAACCTCTGCTGCCCAGGTTCAAGCGATTCTCCTGCCTCAGCCTCCTGAGTAGATGGGACTACAGGCACATGCCACCACGCCTGGCTAATTTTTTTTTATTTTTAGTAGAGATGGGGTTTCACCACGTTGGCCAGGATGGTCTCAATCTCCTGACCTCGTGATCCACCTGCCTTGGCCTCCAACAGTGCTGGGATTACAGGGACATAATCTTATATGTAGAAAAACCTAAAAGCCTCACAGAAAAGAGCCTTAGACCTGACAAACAAGTCAGTAAAGTCACAGGTTACAAAATCATATGCAAAAATTAGTATTTTTTCTATATACTAACAACTAACTAGTGGGAAAACATCAAGAAAGCAATTCCATTTATAATGGTTTTAAAAAAAAACCCAGGAGTAAATTTAAACAAGGGATGAAAGATGTCTCCAAGGAAAACTGTAAGACATTGATTAAATAAATTGAAGAGGACACACAAACACACAAAAAAAGACATCTCATGTTCATGGATTGGAAGAATTGATACTGTGAAAATGACCACACTACCAAAAATTATCTACAGATTCAATAAAATGCCTATCAAAATACCAACTGCATTCTTCACAGAAATAGAAAAAAAATACTAAAGATTTTATGGAACCACAAATGACCCTGAATAGTCAAATCAATTCTCAGCTAAAAGAACAAGGCTAGAGGCATCACACCACCAAATGTCAAAATATACTACAAACCTATATTAACCAAAACAGTGTGGTGGCTAGGTACAGTAGTTCATGCCTGTAATTTCAGCACTTTGAAAGGCTGAGATAGGAGGATTTCTTATGGCCAGGAGTTCAAGATCAGCCTGGGCAACAAAGAGAGACACCATCTCTGCCAAAAATAAAAATAAATTTAAAAATAAAACAGGACAGTACTGGCATGAAATCAGACATATAGAGCATTGAAACAGATTAGATAACACAGAAATAAATCCATGTATTTACAGCCTATTCATTTTCAACATAGCCACAAAGACCATTCATGGAGGAAGTGACAGTCTCTCCAATAAAGGGTGCTGGGAAAACTGAATATCCATATGCAGGCAAAAAAAAAAAAAACTAGACCACTATCTCTCACTGTATAAAAAAATCAACTCTAGACTGAGCGTGGTGGCTCACACCTATAATCCTAGCACTTTGGGAGGCCGAGACAGAAAGATCTCTTGAGTCCAGGAGCTTGAGACAAGCCATGGACAACATGGCAAAACTCCACCTTTACAAAAAATACAAAAATTAGCTGGGCATGGTGGTGCATGTCTGTAGTCCCAGCTACCTGGGGGGCTGAGGTGGGAGGATCACTTGAGTCTGGGAGGTCAAGGCTGCAGTGAGCTGAGCTCATGCCACTGTACTACAGCCTGGGCAACAGAGTGAGACTTAGCCAAATAAATAAATAAAGGAATAAATAAACAAACTCTAAATGGATTAAAGATTTAAACATAAGACTCCGAACCATGGAAGTACAAGAAAAAAAACATAATAGGAGGAACAGTTTAGGACACTGATCTGGACAAAGGTATTATGGAGAACACTTCAAAGCACAAGCACAAAAACAAAAATAGACAAATGGTATTACATTAAACTAAAAGCCTTCTGTATAGCAAAGGAAACAAACAGAATGAAGAGACAACCTGAAGAATGGGAGAAAATATTTGAAAACTATTCATCTGACAAGGGATTAATACTAGAATATACAAGGAACTAAAACAACTCAAATAATCCAATTTTAAAATGGGCAAATGACTGAATAGACATCTCTCAAAAGAAGACATGCAGATGCCCAAGTCTGTGAAAAAATGCTCAATATCACTAATCATCAGGGAAATGCAAATCAAAACCACAATGAGATATTATCTCACCCCAGTTAAGTGACTATTACCAAAAAGACAATAATATAACAAATGCTGGTAAGGAAGTAGAGAAAGGGAAACTTATACATTGTTGGTAGGAATGTAAATTAGTACAGCCATTGTGGAAAATAATATGGAAGTTTTTCAAAACACTAAAACTACCAATGGTCTAGCAATCCCACTACTGAGTATACACATCCAAAGGAAAGGAAATCAGTGTAACAAAGAGCTATCTGTGCTCCCATGTTTATTGCAGTACTATTCACAATAGCTAAGATATGAAATCAACCTAAGTGTCTATAAACACATGAATGAAGAAAATGTGGTATATATACATAATGGAATGCTGTTTATCCATTAAAAGAATGAAATTCTATAATTCACAACAATATGGATGAGCTTGGAGGACATTATGTTAAATGAAAAATTCAGGCACAGAAAGGGAAATACTCTATGTTTTCACTAACATATGGAAACTTAAAAAGTTGATCTCACCAACATGGAGAGTAGAATGGTGGTACTAGAGGCAGAAAAGGGAAGGGAAGAGAGGACACTATCAAGGGTTGGCTAATGGATACAAAAGTACAGCCATGTAGGAAGAATAGGTCCCAGTGTTCTATAGCACTATATTGTGACTATAAATAACAACAAATTATTGTATATTTTCAAATAGCTAGAAGAATGGATTTTAAATGTTCTCAATACAAATAAATGATAAATGTTTGTGGTGATGGATATGCTCATTACCCTGGTTTGATCATTACACATATTATATACCTATATCAAAATATCACACTGAGCCCCACAAATAAATACAATTATTATATGTCAATTTAAAAAGTCATAATGAAAGCAAAAAAGCAAACAGAAATTCTGGAACTAAAAAACACAATGAATGAAATGGAAAATGTAATACACAGTATCAACAGTAGACACAAGCAGAAAAAAATCTGTAAACTTGAAGTCAGATTATTTGGAAATGCACCGTTAGAAGAGAAAAAGGAATAAAAAGAAATGAATAAAGTTTATAGGACTTATGGGCAGTATCAAAAAAGCAAATGTTTCAGTTAGAGAAGAGAAACACAAAGAGATACAATGTGTATATCAACAAATAATAGCAGAAAACTTTCCAAATTTTTAAAAAGATATAAATATCCAGGTATAGAAAGGTCAAAAGTCTCCAATCAGATTCAATCCAAACATAACTACATCAAGACATAAATCAAACTGTCAAAAATCAAGGACAAAGAAAAGATCCTGAAAACAGCAAGAGGAAAGAAGCAAATAATATATAACAGAGTTCTAATAAGGCTAGCAGCAAACTTCTCAGCAGAAACCTTACAGGCCAAAAGAGAGTGGGATGATATATTCAAAGTTGCTAAAGGAAAAAAAAATCTGTCAATCAAAAATATAATATCCAGGCTGGGCGTGGTGGTTTACGCCAGTAATCCCAGCACTTTGGGAGACCAAGGCGAGTGGATCACTTGAAGTCAGGAGTTCAAGACCAACCTGGCAAACATGATGAAACCCCATCTCTACTAAAAATACAAAATTTAGCTGTGTGTGGTGGCTCACGCCTGTAATCCCAGCTACTCAGGAGGCTGAGGTGCGAGAATCACTTGAACCCAGGAGGCAGAGGTTGCAGTGAGCCGAGTTCACACCACTGCACTCCATCCTTGGTGAGAATGAGACTCCATTAAAAAAAATCATACCTGGCAAAGCTATTCTTCATAAATGAAAAACAGAAAGGCTTTCCAGATAAATGAAAGCTGAGGGAGTTCATCACCACCTGATTTGTTTTACAGGAAATGCTAAAAGAAGCTCTTTAAGCTGAAAGAAAAGGATGCTAATCAATAACAAGAAAACACATAAGATTCACTGGTAAAGTAAGTACACAGTAAAATTCAAAATACTCTAATACTATACTGGTGGTGTATAAATCATTTATGTCTTTAGTATGAAGGTTAAAAGATAAAACTATTAAAAATAATAATGGCTACAATAATTTCTAAGGGACACACAATATAAAAATTTTTTTAAATTTGTGACACCAAAAATTTTAAATGGTAGAAAGGGCGAATAAAAGTGCAGACCTTATTTTAATGTAGTCAAAGTTAAGTTATCAACTTAAAACGTGTTATAACCATAAAATGCTTTTTGTAAACCTCATGGTAACTACAAAGCAAAAACCTATATGTATGACTCATGAACTACACAGGGGTTAGGGGTACAAACACTCCCACCTCCCCTTGCAGTTGAAAATCCACATATAATTTTGACTCCCCCAAAACTTAACTACTAATAGCCTATTATTGACTGGAAGCCTTACTGATAACATAAACAGTTGATTCACACACATTTTGCATGTTATAAGTATTATGTACCTTATTCTTACAATGAAGGAGTAAGACTTCCAGTCAATAATAGGCTATTAGTAGTTAAGTTTAGGGGGAGTCAAATAATCAAGAGGATATGATTATAAGTATATATGCACTTAACATCAGAACACTGGAATACATAAAGAAAATATTAATAGATCTGAAGGGAGAAATTTAAAAAGATTTAAATCATATCTGGTATCTTCCAACCACAATGGTATGAAAGGAAATCAATAACAATAAATTTTGGAAAATTCACAAATACATGGAAATTAAACAATATTCTCCTGAACAATCAGTGGGTCAATAAATTAAAAGCAAAAATAAAAATAACTTCAGGCAAACAACAATGGAAACACAACACACCAAAACTTACAATATACAGCAAATGCAGTTCTAAGAAGGAAGTTTATAACAATAAATACCTACATAGAAAAATGAAGATCTTAAACAACCTAATATTATAATTCAAGGAACTAGAAAACAAAACAAACTAATCTCAAAGTTAAGAGGAGAAAGAAAATAATAAAGACCAGAGCAGAAATAAGTAAAATAGAAACCAGAAAAACAGTAGAAAAGATCAACAAAACTAAGTTGGTGTTTTGAAGAGATACATCAAATAAACAAACCTTTATCTAGACTAAGAAAAAGAGAAAACTCAAATAAATAAAATCAAATATGAAAAAGGAGACATTACAATTGATAACACAGAAATACAAAAGATCATAAGATACTACTGTGAATAATTAGATGTCCACAAATTGGATCATCTAGAAGTGGATAATTCCTAGACACATACAAACTACCAAGACTGAATCACAAATAAATAGAAAATCTGAACAGACCAATAATGAACAAGGAGATTGAATCAGTAATGAAAAAACATCCAAACAAAGAAAAGTCCTGGACATGATGGCTTTACTGTTGAGTTTCATCAAACACTTAAAAACCTGAAGAAGAGGAAACACTTCCAAATTCATTTTATGAGGCCGTCATTACCACAGTAGCAAAGCCAGACAAAGACACTAAAAGCAAAGGAAATTATATACCAATACCCCTGATGAGCATAGAAGAAAAATCCTCGAAAAATACTACTAAACCAAATTCAGTAGCACATTAAAGAGATTGTTTACCATGATCAAGTGGGATTTACACCAGGGATACAATGATACTTTAACATACACAAATCTATAAATTTGATACACCACATAAACAAAATGAAGGAGAAACCCCATATGATCATCACAGGAAATACAGAAAGAGCATTTGACAAAATTTAGCACCCTTTCATGAAAATACTCTCCACAAATTCGCTATACAGGGAATGTACTTCAGCACAATAAAGGTCATATATGACAAACCCACAGCTAGCATCATACTCAACAGTGAAAAGTTGCAAACTTTCCCCCTAAGATCAGGAACAAGACAAGGTGCTCACTCTTGCCACTGGAAGTTCTAGCCAGAACAATTAGGCAAGAGAAGAAAATAAAAGGTGACCAAATTGGAAAAGAAGTTAAATTGTCTCTGTTTGTAGATAACATAATCTTATATATATAAAACACTCTAAAGACTCCACTAAAAAACCTGTTATAACTAATAAAGGAATTCAGTAAAATTGCAGGATGTAAAATCAACATAAATGTTCTGTGCTTCCAGAGGTTGAAGAATAAATAAATAAATTCAACATACAAAAAGTACCATTTCCATACATTAATAATAAACTACCCTAAATATGAAAATCCAGAAAATAATCCCCTTTTCAAATAGCTATTGCAAAATAAAATACTTGGGAATAAATTTAATGAAAGAAGTGAAAGTCCAGTGCACTAAAAACTATAAAACATTGATGAAAGAAATTGGAGAAGACACAAGTAAATGAAAAAATATCCTATGTTCAAGGACTGAAAGAATTAATATTGTTAAAATGTTCATACTACCCAAAGTGATCTACAGATTCAATGCAATCCCTATGAAAACTCCAGTGGCATTTTTCACAGAAATAAAACAAAAGAGACCCTTGGAAATCACAAGAGACCCCAAATACCCAAGTACTCTTGAGCAAAAAGAACAAAACTGGAGTCATCATACCACCAGACTTTAAAATATACTACAAAGCTATAGTAATCGAAACAGCATGGCATTGGCATAAAAAACAGACACATACATCAACGGAACAGAATGGAGAGCCCAGAAATAAGTCCATGCATTTATGATCAATTGATTTGTGACAAAAGTGCCAAGAACCCTGCTGTGGTTTAAATATTTGTGTCCTCTTCAACATTCATGTTGCAACTTAATCCCCAATGCCATAGTATTAAGAGGTGGGACCTTTAGGGGTTGATTAGGTCATGAGTGTTTCTCCCTCATGAATGGGATTAAGATCCTTATATAAGAGGTTTCAGCATTTAGCCCTTTTTGCCTTTCTGTCCCTTCTGCCATGTGAGGACACAGCATCTGTCCCTTCGAGGACACATCAAAAAGGTGCCATCTTAGAAGCAAAGACCAGGCTTTCACCAAACACTGAACCTGCCAGAGCCTTAATCTTGAACTTCTCAGCCTCTGGAACTCTGCGAAATAAGTTTTTGTTGTTTATAAGTTACCCAGTTTGTGGCATTTTTTTTATAGCAACACAAATGGACTAAGACAGAAATTAGAACTGAGAAGTGACATGTTGCTCTAACAAATACCTGAAAATGTAGAGGTGGCTTTGAAATGGGGTACTGGGTAGAGGCTGGGATAGTTTTTAAGTGTATGCTACAAAAAGCCTGGATTGCTTTAAAGAGAACATTAATAACAATTCTGCTGAAGGCTCCAAAGAAGATAGCTGTAGAGACAGCCGCAGTCTTCTTAGAGATTAGATGGTCATAATCAAAATGCTGGTAGAAATATGAATAGTAAAGAACATTCTGATAAAGTCTTAGATGAAAATCAGGAATGTCTTATTGGAAACTGGAAGAAAAACCATCCTTGTTGTAAGGTGGCAAGGAACTTGGTGGCCTTGTGTCAATGTCTTCATGTTTTGTGGAGGGCAGAATTTGCAAGCAATGAAGGAGGATTTTGGTGGAAGAAATATCTACATGAAGTATTGAAGGAGCAGCATGACTTCTTTTGATTGTTTGTAGCAAAATGTGAGAAGAGAGAAACAAATTAAAGACAGAATTTATAATCAAAAGGCAAGCATAACTTAAAGATTTGGAAAATTCTCAGCCTTCCTGTAAAAAATAAAAAGTCGTGTTTGGGAGAAAATATCAGAAGTGTGGCCAAGTGAACATTTGAAAGAGATTAGTATGGATAGAAGAAAGTTAGATGCTACTTATCAAGACAATGAAAAAATGACCCTGAAGACATTTTGCAGATCTTCAGGGCTGCCACTGAAGGCCTGAGTGTCAGGGCTTTGGAGGCAGAATGGTTTCAAGGGAGGGGCCCAGGGTGCCCATAGGACCGTGGAGCTCACTTCCCTGTGGCATCTCATGTCTCTGCCCCCTGCAGATTGGCTTAGATTTCTCAGCCACCCCACCTTTGGCTCAAATGGGCTAAACTGTGGCTCAGGCCACCCCTCTGGATGCCATGGGGGTAACCCTTGGCAGCCTGCACATGGTGATAATTCTGACAGTGTGCACAGTGCAAGAGGTGTAGAAGCATGGAAGGATACCTCTATCTAGAATTCAAAGTATGTCCCAGAGAGCCTTAGGGCCCAGGAAGAGAACTGCCACAGGGGTGGGGCCGCTGCAGACAGCCTCCACTAAGGCAATGCCCAGTGGGGCCATGGCATCAAGACTGCCACAGAGAGACTCCATAAGGATGTCTGGTGGAACCATGACAGTGGGGTCACCCCAAAGACCACAAAACTGTAGAGCCACCAACGTGCAACTGCAGTCAAGGAGAGTCTCAGGCACTAGACTCCAACCCACGAAAGCTGTAATGTAGGCTGCACCGTGCAAAGTCATGGGGCTCAGTCCCCCAGAGCCTTGGGGACACAACCCCTGCCCCAGTGTGTCTTGGAGGCAGGACGTGGTGTCAAAGATTATTCTCAAGCCTCAAGATTTAATTTTTTTTATCTTGTTGGGGTTGGGACTTACCTGGGATCAGTTACCTTTTTCATCTTTCCTATTTCTTCTTTTCAAAATGAGAATTCCTGTGCCACCACTGTATTTTGGAAGCACATAACTTGTTAGATTTCACATCTAAAGAGGCTCACATCTAGATATTATCTAAATCAAGGAGGAGAATTTGCAATTATCCTCCTTGGTTTAGATGATATTTAGATGAGATTTCTGACTAGTCTCTAAAGTTGATGCCAGAATGAGTTAGGATTTTTTGGTTTACTAGGGTGGAATAAATGTATTTTGTATTTAAGAAAACTATGAACTGTTGGCAGGCAGAGGCAGAGCGATATAGTTTGAGTGTTTGTGTCCCCTTGAAAATTCATGTTGAAATGTAATCCCCAATGCAAAAGTATTAAGAGGTGGGGACTTTAGGCAGTGATTAGGTCATGATGGCTCCTCCTTCATGAATGGGATTAAAGCCCTTATAAAAGAGACTTCATATAGCATTTAGCTCTTTTTGCCCTTCTGACCCTCCCCATGTGAAGACACAGCACCCATTCCCCACCACCCCCTGGAGAACAGAGCAATGAGGCACCATCTTGGTAGCAGAGACCAGGCTCTCAGCAGACACTGAACCTGTAGGCACCTTGATCTTGAACCTAGCATTCGTAAGTGAGAAATAAATTTCTATTGTTTATAAATTACCTGGTTGCTGGTATTTTATTGTAGCAGCACAAATGGACTAAGACAAATGCACAATGGGGAAAAAACAATGTCTTCATAAATGATGTTGGGACTAGATATCCACATGCAGAAGAATCAAATTAGACCCTTATCTCACACCACGTATGAAAATCAACTCAAAATGGATTGAAGTCTTAAATGTAAGACCTGAAAAATTTAAAACTACTGGAAGAAAACATAGTGGGAAAGCTCCATGACATAGGTGGCCAACTGCAACTTTTGGGGAGCTCCCAATCCAATGGGAGGCATCTGCTGCTCAGAAGGAGCTCTTGATCTGATAGAAGACACGCTCCACACCCTAAGGGAACACAGCCGCTGAACTAGCAGCTGGGACTGCAGGCGTGCACCACCACGCCCAGCTAATTTTTGTGTTTTTAGTAGAGACAGGGTTTCACTATGTTGGCCAGGATGGTCTCAATCTCTTCACCTCGTGGTCCCCCCACGTCGGCCTCCCAAAGTCCTAGTATTACAGACATGAGCCATCGTGCCTGGCCCACAGTGAAAAAACTTCTGTTAAGACCCCCAGTCTGTGGTACTTTTTTGTTTTGTTTCTTTTGTTGTTGTTTTTGTTTTTGTTTTGTTTTGTTTTGTTTTTGAGATGGAGTCTCACTCTGTCACCCAGGCTGGAGTACAGTGGCTCGGTCTCGGCTTACTGCAAACTCTGCCTCCTGGGTTCAAGCGATTCTCCTGCCTCAGCCTCCTTAGTAGCTGAGATTACCGGCATGTGCCACCATGCCTGTCTAATTTTTGTATTTTTAGTAGAGACCACGTTGGTCAGGCTGGTCTTGAACTCCTGACCTCGTGATCCACCTGCCTCGGCCTCCCAAAGTTCTGGGATTACATGCATGAGCCACCACACCCAGCCTTTGTGGTACTTGTCTATGGCAGCCTGTAGTAAATTCTCATAATTTTATATTTCCTTGGCATCCATTTTAATATAAGCTGAACTTTCTCATACCAGAAGCAGGGTGCAGTCACCGTTGACAGTTTCTGGTTCTATATTTCATCCCAGTTCCTCTATGGTCAGTCCAGATATCTGCCTTAAACCTCTGCCTCTGGTGACCACCTCTCCAACCTCCTTATGGGACAGCTAGGTACAACATACTTGGCTCACTCCTCTTGTTCCCTACACCCTTCAAGCACTGCTCAGATATGCCACAAGGACCACCTCTCAGCCACAGCATGAACCCATGGAACTTGGCCTACTTGCTCTAAACCCACCAGAGAGAACCCCCCACAGGAACGTGCTTGGGTAATGTGTTGGACCCCAGTAAAGGCTTTGACCTACAGGTCCCTCACTCTCTCTCTCTCTCTCTTGCTTTCTACACACTGGCTGAGAAAAGCATGCATGTTCTGCATCCCCCTTCCTGTTGGTCCTATGAGGCATGCTGTCCTCTTCTCTCTGGGACATGTAAGTAACAAAACTGCTTCTGTTATTCCATGTGCTTTGTTGTGCTGCCTCCTTTGTGTCTCACCTGACCGACACACCTGAACCTAACTGCTTTCCTGGTCAGGCTATATTTATAGCCACCATAAAGAGAGGTGGCTCAACAGGCTCACATCTGAATATCATCATCTAAATGTCATCAAAATCAAGGAGGAGAATTTGCACTTATCCTCCTTTGTTTAGATGATAGTTAGATGAGATTTCAACTTAGACTCTAAAGTTGATGCTGGAATGACTTAAGACTTTTGGGGTTACTAGGGTGGAATAAATGTATTTTGTATGTGAGAAAGATATAAACTGTTGGCAAGCAGAGGCAGAGTGCTATAGTTTGAATATTTGTGTCTCCTTGAAAATTCATGTTGAAACTTAATCCCCAGTGCAAAGGTATTAAGAGGTGGGGCTCTCAAGACCAAATTATGAAGAATTGGTATTTACAAAACACAGCCCAAGCAAGCTAATATATCCAGAGAAAGGAATTGACTGGGAAGGGACACAAAGAAACTTTGTCTAATGTTCTACATTGTGATCAGATGAGGATTACCTGGATGTATCCCTTTGGCAAACTTGCTATATATCAGTAATTTGTTCTTTATTGCTGAGTAGGTTTCTATAGCATGCACATGCTACAATTTGTTTATGCATTCTCCTGATAATGGACATTTTTGCTATTTCCAGTACTGGGGTACTTTGAATAAAATTGTGATGAGTATTCTTTTATAAGTATCTGTGTAAAAATTAAGTTTTTATTTCTCTTAAATAAATACCTAGGACTGGAAATGTTTGCTCAACAGATAAGCTTATGTTTAATGTTACAAAGCAGGTCAAATTTCTTTCCAAAGTGCTTGTTCCATTTTACATTCCCACCAGCAAGGTGTGAGAGTTCTGGTTGCTCTACCTTCTATCCTTAAGCTTTTAATGCTCAACGACCCATCCAACAGAAAAAAAAAAAAAAGGCTCAGTGTCCTTAAGTCCAACCAATCCAGAGTAACCCTTCCTGTGACAATCTTGGACAGCACCAATCAGCTCTCCCCTCAAATTAGAACCTGTTCAAGGAGTGTGCTTAGTGGACAGCCCCAAGCCCATGTTCCTTTGGGATATGCCGCAGTATTCATGAAAAAGCCATGTTCTCCAGTGCTCTTCCCATGATGGTGATGACAGGGGACTAGAGCCAGGTAATTGTTTCCCAGTGCAGGACTCCTCTAATGGGCATAGTTCACCTGAGAACTCCTCATCAGATTGCTGAGACATTCTCAGAGCTGTGCCACAGTTTGAGCTTCTTCCTACCCAATGTTCCTTCCTTTTCTCTCTTCTTTTGAGGTAGGAGGTGGGACTTCACTCCAGAGATGGGGCTTGGACACCAGACCAAACTGAGAACTAAAACAGTATCAGGGTAGAAGTGATACAGAACTGCTGAGCTCCCAGCTAAACCCCACCCTCAAGCTTGGAACCTTGGCCCTAAGTGAAAACAGCTGACCCTTCAGGCTGGGCTGTGTCCACTATTTTCACTTAGGGCCAAGGTTCCAAGCTTGAGGGTGGGGTTTAGCTGGGAACCCAGCCATTCTTTATCAGAAACAGCTTCCCATAAGACACATCCACCAGTGTGCTGTGTCAGTTTACCATTGCCATGGCAACACCTGGAAGTTATCGCTCCTTTCCATGGCAACGTGATGACCCAGAAGTTATCAACATTTTCCCAGAAATTGCTGCATAATCCATCCCTTAATTTACATGTGGTTAAAAGTGGGTGTAACTATGACTACAGAACTGCCTCTGAGCTGCTACTCTGGGCACACTGCCTATGGAGTAGCCCTGATCCTCAAGAAGCAGTACCTCTACTGCTGCTGCATACTGTTGTTTGAATAAAAGTTGCTAACACCACCAACTCAGCCTTGAATTCCTTCCTGGGTGAAGCCAAGAACCCTCCCAGGCTAAGCCCCAATTTTGGGGTTCACCTGCCCTGCTTCAACTTACTCTCTTTCCCTACTCCTTTCTCAATTGCCCCCATTAGCTTTCATGGCTATTTTGCCCCATATATGTCTCACATTTCCAACTACATCTTGGCATCTGCTTCCAGAGGATCAGAACTCACACATCATCTCTCAGGGGGAAAACAAGTAGAGGAGTGGCGAAAACAAGGAAAGTCTTAAGTCTCCCCTACCTAAGAAGCCTACAGATCTCCACTTCTCATCCTTCTTTTAGTTAACCCAAAAAATAAAACACCTAAATAAATAGGTACTCAAGATTGAGATAACTGCCAAGAAGGAAATAAATAGGATTATGTGGAAAAGAGTAAAGAGATGAGGGAGGAAGCTACTTGTTGTAAAAGACATATATGATAAAGAACTATTCTCCAAAATACACAAAGAATTCTTAAAACTCAATAATGAAAAAAAGAACAGGAGATCTGGCAAGATGGCCAAATAGGAATAGCTCTGGTCTGCAGCTCCCAGTGAGACCAACACAGAAGATGGGTGATTTCTGCATTTCCTTTTTTTTTTTTTTTTTTAGTTATATTTTAAGTTCTAGGGTACATGTGCCCATCCCGCAGGTTTGTTACATAGGTATACATGTGCCATGTTGGTTTGCTGCACCCATTAACTCATCATTTACATTAGGTATTTCTCCTAATGCTATCCCTCCCCCTGCCCCCCAACCCATGACAGGCCCCCATGTGTGATGTTCCCCACCCTGTGTCCAAGTGTTCTCATTGTTCAATTCCCACCTATGAGTGAGAACATGCAGTGTTTGTTTTTCTGTCCTTGTGATAGTTTGCTCAGAATGATGGTTTCCAGCTTCATCCATGTCCCTGCAAAGGACATGAATTCATCCTTTTTTATGGCTTCATAGTATTCCATGGTGTATATGTGCCACATTTTCTTAATCCAGTCTATCATTGATGGACATTTGGGTTGGTTCCAAGTTTTTGCTATTGTGAATAGTGCTGCAATAAACATACGTGTGCATGTGTCTTTATAATAGCATGATTTATAATCCTTTGGGTATATACCCAGCAATAGGATCACTGGGTCAAATGGTATTTCTAGTTCTAAATCCTTGAGGAATCACCATACTGTCTTCCATAATGGTTGAACTAGTTTACACTGCCACCAACAGTGTAAAATATTCCTATTTCTCCACATCCTCTCCAGCATCTGTTGTTTCCTGACTTTTTTTTCTTTTTTTGAGATGTGTGGTGTTATTTCTGAGGCCTCTGTTCTGTTCCATTGGTCTATCTCTCAGTTTTGGTACCAGTACCATGCTGTTTTTGTTACTGTAGCCTGTAGTATAGTTTGAAGTCAGGTAGCCTGATGCCTCCAGCTTTGTTCTTTTTGCTTAGGATTGTCTTGGCAATGCAGGCTCTTTTTTGATTCCATATAAACTTTAAAGTATTTTTTTCCACTTCTGTGAAGAAAGTCATTGATAGCTTGATGGGGATGGCATTGAATCTATAAATTACCTTGGGCATTATGGCCATTTTCATGATATTCATTATTCCTATCCATGAGCATGGAATGTTCTTCCATTTATTTGTGTCCTCTTTTATTTCGTTGAGCAGTGGTTTGTAGTTCTCCTTGAAGAGGTCCTTCACATCCCTTGTAAGTTGGATTCCTGGGTATTTTATTCTCTTTGTAGCAATTGTGAATAGGAGTTCACTCATGATTTGGCTCTCTATTTGTCTATTATTTGTATATAGGAATGCTTGTGATTTTTGCACATTGATTTTGTATCCTGAGACTTTGCTGAAGTTGTTTATCAGCTTAAGGAGATTTGGGGCTGAGACGATGTGGTTTTCTAAATATACAATCATGTCATCTGCAAACAGGGACAATTTGAATTCCTATTTTCCTAATTGAATACCCTTTATTTCTTTCTCTTGCCTGATTGCCCTGGCCAGAACATCCAACACTATGTTGAATAGGAGTGGTGAGAGAGGGCATCCCTATCTCATGCCAGTTTTCAAAGTGAATGCTTCCAGTTTTTGCCCATTCAGTATGATATTGGGTGTGAGTTTGTCATAAATAGCTCTTATTATTTTGAGATACACCACATCAATACCTAGTTTATTGAGAGCTTTTAGCATGAAGCACTGTTGAATTTTGTCAAAGGCCTTTTCTGCATCTATTGATATAATCATGTGGTTTCTGTCTTTGGTTCTGTTTATGTGATGGATTATGTTTATTGATTTGTGTATGTTGAACCAGCCTTGTATCCCAGGCATGAAGCCAACTTGATCATGGTGGATAAGCTTTTAGATGTGCTGCTGGATTTGTTTGCCAGTATTTTATTAAGGATTTTTGCATCAATGTTCATCAGGGACATTGGTCTAAAATTCTCTTTTTTTGTTGTGTCTCTGCCAGGCTTTGGTATCAGGATGACGCTGGCCTCATAAAATGCATTAGGGAGGATTGCCTCTTTTTCTATTGACTGGAATTGCTTCAGAAGGAATGATACCAGCTCCTCTTCATACCTCTGGTAGAATTTGGCTGTGAATCCGTCTGGTCCTGGACTTTTTTTGGTTGGTAGGCTATTCATTATTGCCTCAATTTCAGAGCCTGTTATTGGTCTATTCAGAGATTCAACTTCCTCCTGGATTAGTCTTCGGAGGGTGTATGTGTCCAGGAATTTATTCATTTCTTCTAGATTTTCTAGTTTATTTGCATAGAGGTGCTTATAGTATTTTCTGGTGGTAGTTTGTATTTCTGTGGGATCAGTGGTGATATCCCTTTATCATTTCTTATTGCGTCTATTTGATTCTTCTCTCTTTTCTTCTTTATTATTCTTGCTAGGGGGCTATCAATTTTGTTGATCTTTTCAAAAAACCAGTTCCTGGATTCATTGGTTTTTTAAAGGGATTTTGTATCTCTATCTCCTTCAGTTCTGCTCTGATCTTAGTTATTTCTTGCCTTCTGCTAGCTTTTGAATTTGCTTGCTATTTCTTCTGTAGTTCTTTTAATTGTGATGTTAGGGTGTCAATTTTAGATCTTTCCTGCTTTCTCTTGTGGGCATTTAGTGCTTAAATTTCCCTCTATATACTGCTTTAAATGTGTCGCAGAGATTCTGGTAAGTTGTGTCTTTGTTCTCATTCGTTTCAAAGAACATCTTTATTTCTGCGTTCATTTCGTTATTTATCCAGTAGTCATTAGGAGCAGGTTGTTCAGTTTCCATGTAGTTGTGCAGTTTTTAGTGAATTTCTTAATCCTGAGTTCTAATTTGATTGCACTGTGGTCTGAGAGACAGTTGGTTGTGACTTCTGTTCTTTTACATTTGCTAAGGCGTGCTTTACTTCCAACTATGTGGTCAATTTTGGGATAAGTGCGATGTGATGCTGAGAAGAATGTATATTCTGTTGATTTGGGATGGAGAGCTCTGTGGATGTCTATTAGGTCTGCTTGGTGCAGAGCTGAGTTCAAGTCCTGGATATTCTTGTTAACCCTGTCTTGTTGATCTATCTTCTATTGACTGTGGGGTGTTAAAGTCTCCCATTATTATTGTGTAGGAGTCTAAGTCTCTTTGTACGTGTCTAAGAACTTGCTCTATGAATCTGGGTGCTCCTGTATTGGGTGCATATATATTTAGCATAGTTGGCTCTTCTTGTTGAATTGATCCATTGACCATTATGTAATGGCCTTCTTTGTCTCTTTTGATTTTTGTTGGTTTAAAGTCTGTTTTATCAGAGACTAGGATTGCAATCCCTGCTTTTTTTCCTTTCCATTTGCTTGGTAGATCTTCCTCCTTCCCTTTATTTTGCACCTATGTGTGTCTCTGCACGTGAGTTGGGTCTTCTGAATACAGCACACTGATGGGTCTTCACTGTTTATCCAATTTGCCAGTATGTGTCTTTTAATTGGGGCATTTAGCCCATTTATATTTAAGGTTAATATTGTTATGTGTGAATTTGATCCTGTCATCATGACGTTAGCTGGTTATTTTGCCCATTAGTTGATGCAGTTTCTTCCTAGCATTGATGGTCTTTACAATTTGGTATGTTTTTGCAGTGGCTGGTACCGGTTGTTCCTTTCCATGTTTAGTGCTTCCTTCAGGAGCTCTTGTAAGGCAGGCCTGGTGGTGACAAAATCTCTCAGCATTTGCTTGTCTGTAAAGGATTTTATTTCTCCTTCACTTACGAAACTTAGTTTGGCTGGATATCAAATCTGGGTTGAAAATTCTTTTCTTTAAGAATGTTGAATATTAGCCCCCACTCTCTCCTGCCTTGTAGAGTTTCTGCTGAGAGATCTGCTGTTAGTCTGATGGGCTTCCCTTTGTGGGTAACCTGACCTTTCTCTCTGGCTACTCTTAACAATTTTTCCTTCATTTCAACCTTGGTGAATCTGACTATTATGTGTCTTGGGGTTGTTCTTCTGGAGGAGTATCTTAGTGATGTTCTCTGTATTTCCTGAATTTGAATGTTGGCCTGCCTTGCTAGGTTGGAGAAGTTCTCCTGTATAATATCCTGAAGAGTGTTTTCCAACTTGGTTCCATTCTCCCCGTCACTTTCAGCTACACCAATCAAATGTAGAGCTGGTCTTTTCACATAGTGCTGAGACCAGCTCGGTCAGAGAGACATTAACCCAACGGCACTAGAGGAATTAAAGACACACACATAGAAATATAGAGATGTGAAGTGGGAAATCAGGGGTCTCACAGCCTTCAGAGCTGAGAGCCTTGAACAGAGATTTATCAACCTATTTATTAACAGCAAGCCAGTTATTAGCATTGTTTCTGTAGATATTAAACTAACTAAAAGTATCCCTTATGGGAAACGAAGGGATGGGCCGAATTAAAGGAATAGGTTGGGCTAGTTAACTGCAGCAGGAGCATGTCCTTAAGGCACAGATTGCTCATGCTATTGTTTGTGGCTTAAGAATGCCTTTAAGCAGTTTTCCACCCTGGGCAGGCCAGGTGTTCCTTGCCCTCATTCCGGTAAACCCACAACCTTCCAGTGTGGGCATTATGGCCATGATGAACATGTCACAGTGCTGCAGAGATTTTGTTTATGGCCAGTTTTGGAGCCAGTATATGGCCAGATTTTGGGGGGTTTGTTCCCCTGATGTCCCCCTTCTTTGATTTGCAAATCAGTAAAAGCAAAGGCAGCTTTGTCACCGTGAGCTACTTCTCACAGGAGTCAGGATCCACATCTGCAGACTATACAAAAGCACAATCATCATTGAAATTACAGAGCTTCCAAGTGTTTTTATCCATTTTAATGGGTTACTAGCTGCTAATTTGTCTTCAGCTCCTTTAGGCACTCCAGTTCCTGGCATTAAGGTCAGGTGTTGCTGGGATGCTTTAAATATTTGTTCTTTTAATTTTGCAGTATCCAAAGACAAATTTGTAGAGTGTCTTTCTATATGCTTTTTTATTCTTTCCCAAATTTTGATCTTATTAGGAACTATTAATAATTTCCACAAATCCTTGTGTTTAGCTCCTACAGCGGGCCATATCATTTGTGGTAGAGGTGCCACTATACTACCATGGCTCCAGGTAATAGGAACTCTTGCCATACTTCTTATCATTTCTACCATCTGACCGTTTTGTTCAGATCAGCTGAACATAGTGTGGCCATGGCATGCGGACTTGGAGGTGCAATTCCAGCTAAACATCCCCTTAGGGGACCAATTAATAATGATTCCATAGGAATCTTTGCGCAGCACCTCTGCCTGTTCTGCAATGCAATATTCCTAAACAAGTACCTTCATTATTTCTGGCCAGGTTCAATTTTGTTTACAAATAGGTTTTTGAGGGTGGTATGCCTCAATTATAGGAGCAGATTTATTATGTTAAATACTGAGACCAGAAAGCATGTGTAACTGTGTCATAGAGTGATTATATCCAGGCATTATTACCAGCCAGGATTGATAAATATGTCCAATAAGTATAATGGTTCTCTGTGTCAGCCCTTGTTGAAGGAATACTCATGGCAGTGGTGACAACTGCTATCATAGCTACCATTAAATTACTCGTTGCGACTGGTTTTCCTGCTTTCCTCAGGTTTTCTTCCACCATCTGTGACAGCTTCTTGATCTGTCCCCAGGTAATTGGCTGTGTTCAACAGGTGTTGCTCATGACAGTTGGGGTCCTCCTCAGCATCGGTCTCAACATGGCTGCAACCAGAGGGTCCTCAGGATCCTCCTGGAATCTGGCTCATGATAAGGTTTCAGGTGTCTTGATGGTATCCAAATTGGCTGTTGATTTTGGCCTGGAGAAACACAAGCATAACCTCTCCCCCAAGTTATTCTTTTACCTATTTCCCAACTTTTTGTTATTGGATCTCTCCACCAAATCAGTTGTTCTGCTTCCATCTTTGCAGCTGGTTTCTGTAGATGCTGTTCAGCTGCTGATAACATCTGGCTTTTGGGCAGGCTCAAAAAAATTAAAGTTAATAATGCTAGATTCACTTGCATCTGTGGGGTTCCATGTTCTCTGTTTCCCACTTTCTGCTTTTGCAACTGCTGTTTTAGGGAAAGATTCATTCTTTCCACTATGGCTTGTCCTTGAGAATTGTATGGGATACCAGTAATGTGTTTAATATTCCACATAGATAAAAATGTAGCTAGAGCTTGGCTAGTATAGCCTGGGGCATTATCTGTTTTAATAGAACCTGGAATGCCCATCACCGCAAAACACTGCAAAAGGTGACGTTTAACACAGGCAGAAGACTCTCCTGATTGGCATGTAGCACAGACAAAATGAGAAAACGTGACCACACATACATGTACATAAGCTAGTCTCCCAAACGAGGGAATGTGTGACATCCACTTGCCAAAGGGAGTTAGGTTCCAATCCTCAAGGATTAACTCTTCCTGTAAAAGATGAGGAATGTACCATTTGGCAAGTTGGGCATCGCTGGATAATAGCTTTAGCTTCTTTCCAGGTAATGCCGTATCTGCGTTTGAGACCAGAGGCATTAACATGGGTTAAATTGTGAAAGTGTCTAGCATTAGATATTGCATTAGCGACTAGGCAATCAGCCATTTAACTTCCTTCAGTCAAAGGTCCTGGAAGAGGTGTATGAGCCCTAATGTGAGTGATGTAAAAAGGATGCATTCTACTTCTAACTGCTGTTTGCAATTGGGTAAAAAAAGTCATCAGTTGTTCATCTGTATGAATCGTAACTGAGCATTTTCAATTAACTGTGTGGAATGAACCACATATGAAGAATCAGAAATCACATTAATAAGCATATCAGAAGAAGTCAATACTTCAGTTACAGCTACGAGCTCTGCTTTTTGAGCTGAAGTATAAGGCGTCTGGAAAACTTTACTTTTTTGAGCCAAAATAAGAAGCTTTACCATTACTAGACCCATCTGTAAAAATATTCTTGGCACCTTCAATTGGTTTAAATTTAGTTATTTTAGGGAGAATCCAATTAGTTAATTTCAAAAACTGAAACAGTTTCATTTTAGGAAAATGATTATCAAGAATAATCAGCTAAATGGGTTTGCCAAGTAAGACTATTTATAAAAGCTTGCTGTATTTGTGCCTTCTTGAGAGGGACAATAATTTTTCCAGGATCATATCCATGTAATTTAATAATCTGAGTTCTCCCAATCCCTATCATATTAGTGATTTGATCTAAATAAGGAGTTAGAGTCCGTGAATTAGCATGTGGAAGAAAAAGCCACTCAGTATACTAAGTCCTGTTCTTGTACAATAACACCAGTAGGTGAATGCTGAGTTGAAAAAATTAGCAAATCTAGAGTCTTCTCTGGATCTATTCTATTTATTTGAGCTTTATGGATTTGCTTCTCAATTAGCTGTAACTGTGCCTCAGCCTCATTTGTTAATTGCCGAGGGCTAGTGAGACTGGGATTTTCTCTAAGGATAGAAAACAGATTACTCAGGGCATAGGTAGGAATGCCTGGAGCAGGTCATATCCAATTAATGTCCCTTAGTAATTTTTGAAAAGTCATTTAATGTTTTTAATTGATCCCTATGTATGGTTGCTTTCTGTGGCACAGTGGTAGTGTCATTTACTAAGGTCCCCAAGTAAGAGTAAGGAGGAGTAGTATGAATTTTGTCAGGAAATATAACTAAGCCAGCACAAGAAATCGAATTTTGCAAGTGATCTAACATTGGAGTAATATTTCTCGAGTGGGGGCAGCACAAATATATCATCCATAAAATGAATAATGTAACACTGTGAAAATTTTTTACTAGTAGGTTCAATGGCTTGCCCTACATAGGTCTGGCAAATAGTTGGACTGTTTAACATGCTCTGTGGCAACACATTCCAATGATAATGCTTAGCAGGCTGCAGGTTGTTTACTGCAGGAATTGTAAATGCAAACCGTTCATAGTCTTGCTCAGCTAAAGGGATAGTAAAGAAACAGTCTTTTAAATCTATGACTATTAAAGTCAATTTTTTGGAATTATAGCAGGAGAAGGCAATCCTGGCTGTAATGCTCCCATAGGTTGTATAACTGAGTTGATAACTCTTAAGTCAGTTAACATTCTCCATTTACCTGATTTTTTCTTAATTAGGAAAACTGGAGAATTCCAAGTCGAAAATGTTGGAGCTATGTGCCCGTTTTCTAATTGTTCAGTAACTAATTTCTCTAAAGCCTCCAGTTTCTCTTTACTTAGCAGCCATTGTTCTACCCAAATTGGCTTATCTGTTAACCATTTTCAAGGTATAGGTTCTGGAGGCTTAACAATGGCCACCATCAAAAATGATACCTTAATCTTTGGCAAGAACTTTGTCTTTCTGTTTGAAGTGGTTCTTTCAAATCTTGCAAATTTTTTTCTAGTCCCATACCAGGGACATACCACATTTCATGCATTATATGTTGACTTTGAGGGCTATATAATTGTTCTGGAATTAGAACTTTTGCTCCCCATTGCTGTAATAAATCTCTTCCCCATAAATTTATAGGTACAGAAGTTATAATTGGTTGAATAGTCCCATGTTGTCCATCAGGCCCTTCACAATGCAAAATATAACTACTTTGATATACTTCAGGGACTTTACCAACTCCAACTATATTAAATTGAGTGGGTTGAATTGGCCATGCAGATGGCCAGTGCTGTAGAGAAATGATTGAAATGTCCACTCCTGTATCTACCAAACCTTTAAATTTCTTTCCCTGAATAGTTATTTCACAAGTAGGACGTTTATCAGTAATTTGATTCACCCAGTAAGCTACTTTGCCTTGTTTATTTGTACTTCCAAATCCTCCTGTTCATTTAATTTCACTTTTCCCCATTTCCACATACGGCACAATCAGGAGCTGTGCTACGCCCTCTCCTGGCTCTGCTTTCCAGGGAACAGAAGTAGATATAACAATTTGAATTTCCCCATTGTAATCTGAATCAATGACTCCTGTATGTATTTGTACCCCTCTTAAATTTAAACTAGAACTTCCTAGAAGTGATCATATCATACCCTCTGCAAGGGTCCACAGACTCCTGTTGGGACCTTTTGTGGGGGTTCCCCAGGCAGAAGGCTCACAGATTTTGTGCAGCATAAATCTACTGTGGCACTACTGGCTGTGGTGGGGGACAGACATTGTATGGGGGTGAGAGAATGGCCTGCACTGGAAATGCCCCAGTTTAGAATGGGGCCTGGGATGGGCCCCTCATGGTTTTTTCCGAAATCAGGTTCCCTTCTTTATCAAACTTAGAGTGACACTGATTAGCCCAATGTTTTCCTTTTTTATATTTTGGACATATTTCAGACTCAGCAGTTTTCTTTTTTCCCCTGTCTGGCAGCCTGACTCGCTGATTATTTCTACATTCTTTTTTAGTATGAATAGCTTGTTTAAATTCTTTGAGTAATTTAAAAGGAAAAGGCTCAAATGTAGCTATAATATTTCCTTGTTGATCTGGGGGGGTGTATTCTAACAGGGAACTGCCAAGCCTCTAAATCACCCTCTCATCTAGCTTGCTGAATTCCTGCCTGAATAGAACTAAGAGTGATCGCTCAAGGCACTGCTCAAACAGTCACTGGGGCAACTACTTTTCGCCCAGTGTTCTCCGGAAAAGAAAGATCTGGAGGGTCATTTTCTTCAAAATAATGAGGGGGAACACAAGGGTAGGGATGAACCTCTCCCTCCTTTGCCGCTTTAGCTTTAGCTGGCAAATAAACCTGGTCTGTAACCTCTTCTGTTACTTCATTATACTCTCCTTCCTCCGCATCATCAGTGTGAAAAAGTTCCAAGGTGGAATGAATCACAGCCCACACTTGTCCCATTGTTACCCTGATGCTTCCGAGCTCCCCTTCTTACTCACCACGGGGATTGCTTTAAGAGTACTCGGGTGTCCTCCAGCTAGTTCCACATTCTCCAACCATTGCTCTGGTGACCCTTCAACCTGGATTTGAGCCCCCACGATGGACGCCACTTGCCAAGACCAGCTCAGTCGGGGAGACCCTAACCCAGCGGCGCTAGAGGAATTAAAGACACACACACAGAAATATAGAGGTGTGAAGTGGGAAATCAGGGGTCTCACAGCCTTCAGAGCTGAGAGCCTTGAACAGAGATGTACCCATGTATTTATTAACAGCAAGCCAGTCATTAGCATTTTTTCTATAGATATTAAATTAACTGAAAGTATCCCTTATGGGAAACAAAGGGACGGGCCGAATTAAAGGAATAGATTGGGCTAGTTAACTGCAGCAGGAGCATGTCCTTAAGGCACAGATCACTCATGCTATTGTTTGTGGCTTAAGAATGCCTTTAAGCAGTTTTCCACCCTGGGTGGGCCAGGTATTCCTTGCCCTCATTCCGGTAAACCCACAACTTTCCAGTGTGGGCATTATGGCCATCATGAACATGTCACAGTGCTGCAGAGGTTTTGTTTATGGCCAGTTTTGGAGCCAGTATATGGCCAGATTTTGGGGGGTTTGTTCCCAACACATAGTCCCATATTTCTTAGAGGCTTTGTTCATTTCTTTTTACTCTTTTTTCTTTAATTTCTCTTCTCACTTTATTTCATTAATTTTATCTTCAATCACTGACACCCTTTCTTCCACTTGATCAAATCATGTATTGAAGTTTGTCCATGTGTCACCAAGTTCTTGTGCCATGGTTTTCAGCTCCATCAGGTCATTTCAGGTCTTCTCTACACTGTTTATTCTAGTTAGCCATTTGTCTAATCTTTTTTCAAGGTTTTTAGCTTCCTTGCAATGGGTTAGAACAACTTCCTTTAACTCGGAGAAGTTTGTTATTACAGACCTTCTGAAGCCTACTTCTGTCAGCTTATCAAAGTCATACTCCATCCAGCTTTGTTCCATTCCTGGCAAGGAGCTGTGATACTTTGGAGGAGAAGAGGCACTCTGGTTTTTAGAATTTTCAGCTTGTCTGCTCTGGTTTCTCCCATCTTTGTGGTTTTATCTACCTTTGGTCTTTGATGCTGGTGACCTACCGATGGGGTTTTGGTGTGGATGTCCTTTTTGTTGATGTTGATGCTATTCCTTTCTGTTTGTTAGTTTTCCTTCTTAGAGACAGGTCTCTCAGCTGCAGGTCTGTTGGAGTTTGCTAGAGGTCCACTCCAGACCCTGTTTGCCTGGGTATCACCAGCAGAGGCTGCAGAAGAGCAAATATTGCTGCCTGATCCTTCCTCTAGAAGCTTCATCCCAGAGGGGCACCTGCCTGTATGAGGTGTCAGTCAGCCCCTACTGGGAGGTGTCTCCCAGTTAGGCTACACAGAGTTCAGGGACCCACTTGAGGAGGCAGTCTGTCTGTTCTCAGGGCTCAAACACTGGACTGGGAGAACCACTGCTCTCTTAAGAGCTGTCAGACAGGGACGTTTAAGTCTGCAGAAGTTTCTGCTGCCTTTTGTTCAGCTATGCCCTGCCCCGAGAGGTGGGGTCTACAGAGGCAGCAGACCTTGCAGAGCTGCAGTGAGCTCTGCCCAGTTTGAGCTTCCCCAGCCACTTTGTTTACCTAGTCAAGCCTCAGCAATGGTGGACACCCCTTGCCCTGCCAGGCTGCTGCCTTGCAGGTCTATCTCAGACTGCTGTGCTAGCAGTCAGCAAGGCTCCATGAGCATGGGACCCACCAATCCAGATACAGGATATAATCTCCTGGTGTGCCGTTTGCTAAGATCATTGAAAAATCACAGTATTAGGGTGGGGGTGTCCCAATTTTCCAGGTACAGTCTGTCACGGCTTCCCTTGGCTAGGAAAGGGAAATCCCCTGACCCCTTGTGCTTCCTGGGGGAGGTGATGCCCCACCCTGCTTTGGCTCACCCTCCATGGGCTGCACCCACTGTCCAACAAGTCCCAAAGAGATGAACCTGATACCCCAGTTGGAAATGCAGAAACCACCATCTTCTGCATTGATCACGCTAGGAGCTGCAGACCGGAGCTATTCCTATTCGGCCATCTTGGAATGGACTGATTTCTGCATTTCCAACTGGGGTACCCTGTTCATCTCATTGGGTCCAGCCCACAGAGGGTGAGCAAAAGCAGGGTGGGGAGTTGCCTCACCCAGGAAGTGCAAGGAGCCAGGGGCCTCCTTTTCCCAGCCAAGGGAATCTGTGAGGAATTGTGCTACCTGGCCCAGATACTATGCTTTTCCCATGGCTTTTGCAATCCACAGACCAGGAGATTCCCTCGTGTGCATATACTACCAGGGCCCTGGGTTTCAAGCACAAAACTGGGCAGCTGTTCAGGCAGACACCGAGCTAGCTGTAGGAGTTTTTTTGTTTGTTTGCTTTTTTGGTACCCTAGTGGTGCCTGGAACCCCAGTGAGACAGAACCATTCACTGCCTTGGAAAGAGATCTGAAACCAGGCAGCCAAGTGGTCTCACTGAGTGGGTCCCACTCCCACAGAGCACAGCAAGCTAAGAGCCACTGGCTTGAAATTCTTGCTGCCAGCACAGCTGTTTGAAGTCAACCTGGAATGATCCAGCTTGGTGCAGGGAGAGGCGTCTGCCATTATTGAGGCTTGAGTAGGCAGTTTTCCCCAGACAGTGTTAAGGAGGCCTGGAAGTTTGGACTGGGTGGAACTCAACACAGCGCAGCAAAGTGGCTGTGGCCAGACTGCCTCTCTAGATTCCTCTTCACTGGGCAGGTCATCTCTGAAAGAAAGGCAACAACCCCAGTCAAGGGCTTATGGATAAAACTCCCATCTCCCTGGAACAGAGCACCTAGGGGAAGGGGCAGCTGTGGGCACAGCTTCAGTGGACTTAAACATTCCTGCTTGCCAGCTCTGAAGAGAGCAGTGGACCCTTATAAGGAGGGTTCTCCCAGCACAGCACTCAAGCTCTGCGAAGGGACAGACTGTCTTCTCAAGTGGGTCCCTGACCCTCCTGCCTCCTGACTAGGAGAAACCTCCCTACAGGGGTTGAAAGACACTTCATACACTAGAGCTCTGCCTGGCATCAGGCCAGTCCCTCTCTGGGACAAAGCTTCCAGAGGAAGGAGCATGCAGCAATCTTTGCTCTTCTGCAGCCTCCGCTGGTGATACCCAGGCAAATAGGGTCTAGAGTGGACCTCCAGCAAACTGCAGCAGACCTGCAGAAGAGGGGTCTGACTGTTAGAAATAAAACTAACAAACAGAAAACAATAACATCAACATCAACAAAAAGGACCCCCACACAGAAACCCCATCCAGAAGTCATCAGCCTCAAAGATCAAAGGTAGATAAATCCACAAAGATGAGGAAAAACCAGCGTAAAAAATGCTGAAAATTCCAGAAACCAGAATGCCTCTTCTCCTTCAAATGACTGCAACTCCTTTCCAGCTAAGGCACACAACTGGACAGAGAATGAGTTTGATGAATTGACACAAGTCAGCTTCAGAAGGTGGGTAATAACAAACTCTTCTGAGCTAAAGCAGCATGTTCTAACCCAATGTAAGGAAGCTAAAAACCTTGACAGAATGTTATAGAAACTGCTAACTAGAATAACCAGTTTAGAGAAGAACATAAATCACCTGATGGAACTGGAAAACACAGCACGAGAACTTTGTGAAGCATACACAAGTATCAATAGCTGAATCGATCAAGCAGAAGAAAGGATATCAGAGATTGAAGATCAACTTACTAAAATAAGGTGTGAAGACAAGATTAGAGGAAAAAAAATGAAAAAAGCCTTCAAGAAATATGGGACTATGTGAATAGACCAAACCTACGATTGATTGGGGTCCCTAAAGTGACGGGGAGAGTAAAACCAAGCTAGAAAACACACTTCAGGATATTATCCAGGAGAACTTCCCCAACCTAGCAAGGCAGGCCAACATTCAAATTCAGGAAATACAAAGAACATCACTAAGATACTCCTCAAGAAGAGCAACCCCAAGACACATAATTGTCAGATTCTCCAAGGTTGAAACACAAGAAAATATATTAAGGGCAGCCAGAGAGAAAGGTCAGGTTACCTACAAAGGGAAGCCCATCAGACTAACAGGGGATCTCTCTGCAGAAACCCTACAAGCCAGAAAAGAGCGGAGGCCAATATTCAACATTCTGAAAGAAAATAATTTTCAATCCAGAATTTCATATCCAGCCAAACTAATTTTCGTAAGTAAAGGAGAAATAAAATCCTCTACAGACAAGCAAATGCTGAGAGATTTTGTCACCACCAGGCCTGCCTTACAAGAGTTCCTTAAGGAAGCACTAAACATGGAAAGGAACAACCAGTGCCAGCCACTGCAAAAACACACTAAAATATAAAGACCAATGACACTATGAAGAAACTGCATCAACTAATGTGCAAAATAACCAGCTGGCATCATGATGACAGGATCAAATTCACACATAACAATATTAACCTTAAATGTAAGTGGGCTAAATGTCCCAATTAAAAGACACAGACTGGCAAATTGGATAAACAGTCAAGATCCATCAGTGCACTGTATTCAGGAGACTCATCTCAGGTGCAAAGACACACATAGGTTCAAAATAAAGGGAAGGAGGAATATTTACCAAGCAAATGGAAAGCAAAAAACAAACAAACAAACAAACAAAAAACAGCAGGGATTGCAATCCTAGTCTCTGATAAAACAGACTTTAAACCAACAAAGATCAAAGAAGAAAAAGAAAGGCATTACGTAATGGTAAAGGGATCAACTCAATAAGAAGAGCTAACTATCCTAAATATATATGCACCCAATACAGGAGCACCCAGATTCATAAAGCAAGTTCTTAGACACCTACAAAGAGACTTAGACTCCCAAACAATAATTGTGGAAGACTTTAATACCTCACTCTCAATATTAGACAGGTCAATGAGACAGAAAATTAAAAAGGACATTCAGGACTTGAACGCAGCTCTGGACCAAGAGGACCTAATAGATATCTACAGAACCCTCCACCACAAATCAAGAGACTATACGTTCTTCTCAGTACCACATAGCACTTATTCTAAAATCGACCACATAATTGGAAATAAAACACTCCTCAGCAGATGCAAAAGAATAGAAATCATAACAGTCAGCCTCTCAGACCATAGTGCAATAAAATTAGAACTAAGGATTAAGAAACTCAGTCAAAACTGCACAACTACATGGAAACTGAACAACCTTCTCCTGAATGACTACTGGGTAACCAACAAAATTAAAGCAGAAATAACGAAGTTCTTTGAAACCAGTGAGAAAAAAGAGACAACATACCAGAATCTCTGGGACACATTTAAAGCAGTGTGTAAAGGCAAATTTGTAACACTAAATGCCCACATCAGAAAGCAGGAAACATCTAAAATTGGCACCCTTATATTACAATTAAAAGAACTAGAGAAGCAATAGCAAACAAATTCAAAAGCTAGCAGAAGGCAAGAAATAACTAAGATCAGAGCAGAACTTAAGGAGATAGAGACACAAAAAACCCTTCAAAAAAATCAATGAATCCAGGAGCTGGTTTTTTGAAAAGATTAACAAAATAGACCACTAGCCCGACTAATAAAGAGGAAAAGAGAGAAGAATCAAATAGATACAGTAAAAAATGATAAAGGGGATATCACCACTGATCCCACACAAATACAAACTACCACCAGAGAATGCTATAAACACCTCTATGCAAATAAACTAGAAAATCTAGAAGAAATGGATAAATTCCTGGACACATACTCCCTCCCAAGACTAAACCAGGAAGAAGTCAAATCCCAGAATAGACCAATAACAAGTTCTGAAATTGAGGCAGTGATTAATAGCTTACCAACCAAATAAAAGCCCAGGATGAAATGGATTCATAGCCAAATTCTACCAGAGGTACAAAAAGGAGCTGGTGCCATTCCTTCTGAAACTATTCCAAACAATAGAAAAAATCCTGATTCCAAAACCTGGCAGAGACAACAAAAAAAGAAAATTTCAGGCCAATATCCCTGATGAAAATCAATGCAAAAATCCTCAATAAAATATTGGCAAACCGAATCCAGCAGCATATCAAAAAGCTTATCCACCACGATCAAGTCAGCTTCACCTCTGAGATGCAAGGCTGGTTCAACATACACAAATTAGTAAACATAATCCATCACATAAACAGAACCAATGACAAAAACTACATGAGTTCAATAGGTGCAGAAAAGGCCTTCGATAAAATTCAACACTCCTTCATGCTAAAAACTCTCAATAAACTAGGAGTTGATGGAACATACCTCAAAATAATAAGAGCTTTTTAGGACAAACCCACAACCACACACCAGGGCCTTTTGGGGGTTGGGGGGAAAGGGGAGGGAGAGCATTAGGACAAATACCTAATGTATGTGGGTCTTAAAACCTAGATGACAAGTTGATAGGTGCAGCAAACCACCATGACACATGTATACTTATCAATAAACCTGCATGTTCAGCACATGTATCCCAGAACTTAAACTAAATTTTTAAAAAAGAACAATCCAATTAAAAAACTGGCAAGAGACATGACCAGATATCTCACAAAAGGTATACAGATGGCAAATAAGCACATGAAAAGATGCTGAACATGATACGTCATTAGAATTACAAATTAAGGCTGGGCGCAGGGGCTCGCCCCTGTAATCCCAGCCCTTTGGGATGCTGAGGCAGGCAGATCACTTGAGGTCAGGAGTACAAGAACAGCCTGGCCAATATGGTGAAACCCCATCTCTACTAAAAATACAAAAATTAGCTGGGCATGGTGGTGCACTTCTGTAACCCCAGCTACTCATGAGGCTGAGGCAGGAAAATCACTTGAACCCAGGAGGCAGAAGTTGCAGTGAACTGAGATTGTGCCAAAGCACTCCAGCCTGGGTGACAGAGCTAGACTCCATCTCAAAAAAAAAAAAAAAAATTACAAATGAAAACCATGAGATGCCATTACACGCATATTAGAATGGCTAATATCCAAAATACTGACAATATAAAATTGTTACTGAAGTGTCAGGGGTTTGGTCTAGGTCTTGTTGCTTACAGCACAGAAAGTCAATCACCAAGACAGTGAGTACTGCCAGGGAAGAAGGCTTTGATGAGATGCTGCAGCTGAGACAGTGGGAGATCAGTCTCAAATCCACCTGCCCAATCAATTAAAACTGGGAAGTTATATAGCAGGGAAGAAATGTATCCATGTGTAGGAAAACAACAATTAGGAAGGGATAAGGAAGAGGAGTTGGTCAATAGGAAGCAGGTAGTCAGTTAGGTCTATTGGGGGAAATTCAGCCAGATATCGGGCAAAATTCACCCCCGATATTTCATGTAGTTTCTTTTCTATTTTCCCTAAGTGTCAGCTGGTCTGAGAAATAAAGAGACAGACTACAAAAGAGAGAAATTTTAAAGCTGGGTGTCCAGGGGAGACATCACATGTTGGCAGGTTCTGTGATGCCCCACTAGCTGCAAAACCAGCAAGTTTTTATTAGTGATTTTCAAAAGGGGAGGGAGTGGGTCACAGAGATCACATGCTTCACAAGGTAATAGAATATCAAAAGGCAAATGGAGGCAGGACGAGATCACAGGACCACAGGACGGGTCGAAATTAAAATTGCTAATGAAGTTTTGGGCACGCATTGTCATTGATAACATCAGGAGACAGGGTTTGAGAGCAGACAACCGGTCTGACCAAAACTTACTAGGCGGGAATTTCCTCGTCCTAATAAGCCTGGGAGTGCTACAGGAGACCAAGGCTTATTTCATCCCTACAGCTACAACCATAAAAGACAGCCGCCCCTGAAAGCGGCCATTTCAGAGGCCTACCCTCAGGGATGCATTCTCTTTCTCAGGGATGTTCCTTGCTGAGAAAAAGAATTCAGCAATATTTCTCCCATTTGCATTTGAAAGAAGAGAAATATGGCTCTGTTCTGCCCGGCTCACCGGCAGTCAGAGTTTAAGGTTATCTCTCTTTTTCCCTGAACATTGCTGTTAACCTGTTCTTTTTCCAAGGTGCCCAGATTTCATATTGTTCAAACACACATGCTCTACAAACATTTTGTTCAGTTAACGCAATCATCACAGGGTCCCAAGGCAACATACATCCTCCTCAGTTTAAGAAGATGAAGGAATTAAGAGATTAAAGACAGGCATAGGAAATCACAAGGGTATTGATTGGGGAAGTGATAAGTGTCCATGAAATCTTCACAACTTATGTTCAGAGATTGCAGTAAAGACACGCGTAAGAAATTACAAAAGTATTAATTTGGGGAACTAATAAATGTCCATCAAATCTTCACAATTTATGTTCTTCTGCCATGGCTTCAGTTGGTCCCTATGTTCGGGTTCCCTGACTTCCTGCAACATAGTCCATTATGACAGGCAAGGGATCTGGTGTCTTATTGTCCAGATGCAGTTATCTGGTAAGTTTCAATTCCTTGATACTATCTCAGAGGCTTGCTGGTTGGTTTCCTGAGAAAGGAAGTCAGACAAGACAAATGTAACTTTCTCAAGTTTTAAGACTGGGAGAGTCAATTTCCATGTTTATTCAAAGAAACCATAAACATCAGTTCTACAGGACAATTGGGCTGGTTTCAAAATGGCTGGTGAAGATGTGGAGTAATAGAAACTCTCATTCATTGTTGGAGGGAATGCAAAATGGTACAGCCGTTTGGAAGACAGTTTGGTATTTTCTTATGAAAATACACATTAAACTCTTGTTGTATGATCCAGCAATTGTGCTCCTTGATATTTACCCTAATAAGATGAAAACTGATTTCCACACAAAGACCTGCACATGAAATGTTTCAAATCTTTATAGCAGCTTTATTCATAATTGCTAAAACTTGGAAGCAACCAAGTTGTCCTTCAGTAGGTAAATGGATTAACTGTGGTACACACGACAATGTAATATTACTCAATAATAAAAATAAATGAGCTATCAAGTCATCAAAAGACATAGAGGAAACTTGAAGGTATATTGCTAAGTGAAAGAAGTCAATTTGGAAGGCTACATACTGTATGATTCAACTACATGACATTCGAAAAAGGTTAAACTATGGAGACAGTAAAAAGATCTTGGTTGTCAGGATGATGTTTGGGGGAAGGAGGAATAAATAGGCAGAGCATAGAGAATTTTTAAGGTAGTGAAACTACTCTGTCTCATACTGTAAGAGTAGATACATGTCACATTACATTTGCTAAAACCCATAGAGTGTATAATACCAAGAATGAGCCCTAATATAAACTATGGACTTCCTTTGATGTGTCAACATCAGCTCATTGATTCTAACAGAGGTACCACAATGGTGGGGGATGTTGATGGTGAAGGAGGATGTGTGTTTGTGGAAGAGGGAATATGTGGGGACTCTCTGTACTCTCAGATCAAGTTTATTTTGAATGTCACTGCTCTTTCAAAAAGCCTTTTAAAATAAGGAGAGGGAGAGAGAAGGAAATGCAGTGTTTAGCCTTCTAGCCTCTGCAATACTGAGAGACACGCCAGAAGGCTGGAATAAATGTTGAGTGAGCTAAGCCACAGAAACCGCTTACCCAGATAACTCCTAAACTCCCTCCAGACCTCTGGTAAAGTGCCATCTCCTTAGAAAACCTTCTCTGATCCCCCGACTAGTTGAGGGCTCTCTGCCTCATGCTGTCCCAATGGATCATGGCACATGACATTCTATAATTGTGCATGTGTGTGTGTGCATGTGTGTGTGTGTGAGATCATCTGACTGATGTCTGTCTCTGTTGCCAGATTAAAAAATGCTCTCAGGGAAGAAATTGTTTCTGTTTTGCCCACCATGGCATTACCACATAGTGCCTGGATTATTGAGTAGGTCCTCAATAAATATTTATTGAAGGAACAGTGATATTTTTAAAACTGTAAGAAGAATGAACGCAAAATGAAAAGTCTAACAGAGCATTCTGTTGCTGAGGCCATGGAGGAAAAGACAGTCTCAAACATTAGTAGTGAGAATGTGAGCTAGTTCAACCATTCTGTAGAAGAATTTGACATTACCTAACAAAATTACACATGCACTTACCTTTTGACCCAGTAATCCTACTTCTAGGAATCTGTCCAGAAGATACATCTCCAATGTTATGAAAATACACATGCACAGGTTGCTGACTGAATCAATATTTGTAATTGTGAAACACTAGAAAAAACCTAAATGCCTATTCTCGGAGAATGGTTGGGAAAATTACAGTACATTCCCACAATGGAGGACTATAGAAATGCAAGAGGGGCTTTGACCCTGTCAGGGAAGCCACCAGGAAAGACTTCCCTGAGTTAGGAGGAAAAAAATTAAACATTTTTTTTTTTAAAGAAAGAAGATCTCTATCTGCTTATATGAAGTGATTTCCTAGATATACTGTTGGGTAAAAATAGCAAAGTACAAAATGATCTACGATATGCTATCCTTTGTGTAAGAAAGCAGAGTCTAAAAGAAAATAAACATATACCTACACATTTATGCAAAAGATTCAGGAAGAATCAACCAAAAACGAATGAGATTGGCTACTATGATAAACATACCCTAGAATGACCTCCAGTGAGTTTACCTTTGTATAATCCTTTCCCAAAGAACCTGTGAATTGCTTCTAACTAACAGAATACAGCAAAGGATGTGGGGTAGTCAGACCCTTGATGAGGCTACATTATGGAAGATTTCAGTCTTAGCAGATTGGAGTGAGTGATTCTCCTGGTGGCCTTGAAGAAGGGAGCTGCCATGTTGTAACTGCCTATGGAGAGGAAGTCTAGGAGCTGAGGCCATGGAGGAGCATGGGGGCGGACCAAGCAGAGGGGTATGATCTTTACATAGGAACACAAGCCAAACAACTTGTTTGCAGTCTTATGAGATAAGAAACCTATGTTGTTTGTTTGTTTGTTTTTTGAGACGGAGTTTCACTCTTGTTGCCCAGGCTAGAGTGCAATGGCGCGATCTCGGCTCATGGCAACCTCCGCCTCCTGGGTCCAAGTGATTCTCCTGCCTCAGCCTCCCGAGTAGCTGGGATTACAGGCATGTGCCACCACACCCGGCTAATTTTGTATTTTTAGTAGAGACAGGGTTTCTCCATGTTGGTCAGGCTGGTCTCGAACTCCTGACCTCAGGTGATCCACCCGCCTCAGCCTGCCAAAGTGCTGAGATTACAGGCATGAGCCACTGCACCCAGCCAGAAACCTATGTTGTTTTAAGCTGCTAAGTTTGTGATAACTTATTACGCAGCAACAGATAACTAACACAGTTACCTACGGGCCATGGGGAGAGAATGAGGTGGGAAAAAGAGGAAAATGAGAAGATAGTAGGCATGAGTGAGAAGCAACACCTCTGAGTATACTTTTTAGTATGGCTTTCACCTTGTTTCACATGGGAAGGCTTCACATACCCTCAAAAGCAATAAATAATTAAAATCAACCAGGAAAAAGGTAGAGCCCAAAATGGAATACAAATGATAACAAATATATTTATAACTATATGACAAATCAATATAATAACCACTCTTAAGGTAGGCTGCAAGAAAAGAGATAACCTATGTAACTTCAGAAAACAGTATTTTGATGGTATACCACAAAGCTAAAGATACAAATAACTATACACAAATACAGTACTGTAGTTAGTAAATTTATTTCTCACAGTTATGGATTAATAATTCTGAAGCTACTTCAATTGTACTATAATTGAACAAATAAGTAAATATATTGTGAAAAATAAACTTGTCAGAGAAAGGAGTTATAAATAAGGAAGGGGGAGGCTGGGCGTGGTGGCTCATGCCTGTAATCCTAGCACTTTTGGAGGCTGAGGTGGGCAGATCACGAGGTCAGGAGATTGGCTAACATGGTGAAACTCCGCCTCTACTAAAAATACAAAACATTAGCCAGGCATGGTGGCAGGCGCCTGTAGTCCCAGCTACTCTGGAGGCTGAGGCAGGAGAATGGCGTGAACCCGGGAGATGGAGCTTGCAGTGAGCCGAGATGGCGCCACTGCACTCCAGCCTGGGCGACAGAACGAGACTCCATCTCAAAAAATAAAAATAAAAAATAAAATAATAAATAAGAAATGGGGAAGGTTATAATTACCTATATGGTTTTGAACTTTTTTCCAAAAAAATAATTGGAGGTATCGGGGCCACGCACAGTGGCTCACGCCTGTAATCCCAGCTCTTTGGGAAGCTGAGGTGGGTGGATCACGAGGTCAGGAGATCGAGATCATCCTGGCTAACATGGTGAAACCCCGTCTCTACTAAAAATACAAAAAATTAGCCGAGTGTGGTGGCGGGCACCTGTAGTCCCAGCTACTCAGGAGGCTGAGGCAGGAGAATGGTGTGAACCCAGGAGGCGGAGCTTGCAGTGAGCCCAGATGGCACCACTGCACTCTGGCCTGGGCGAAAGGGTGATACTCTGTCTCAAAAAATAATAATAATAATAAGTTTGAAGATCTTGTGGTGCAAGAAAGGAAGTGTTTTTGCCTGAGCTCAGGAGATTGAGACCAGCCTGGGCAATATGGCAAAACCTCTTCTCTAATAAAAATACAAAAAATCAGCCGAGCATGGTGACACATGCCTGTAGTCCCAGCTATTCCGGAGGCTGAGGCACGAGCATTGCTTGAACCCAGGAGGTGGAGGCTGCAGTGAGCTGAGATCACGCCACTGAACTCCAACTGCCTGGGCAACAGAGCAAGACTCTATCTCATTAAAAAAAAAAAAAAAAAAGATGAGAACATGTTAAGACAACATAGGTGTAAACTTAAAGGAACTCTTCATGGCCAAGATGGAACAATTTGAGTTAGAAAATAAATAGCATAGAAAATAAGCCCCTACTAATATAAATGGTTGAATACACAACTAGAAGGAAAAGTTTTGCCCACAGTAGAATTCAAATTCTTCATATAAAAAGAATGAGGAAACCAGGAAAACACCAGTAATAATTGCTACAGCCAAGAACTTTTGATTGATGCTGAAATGGCTACAATTAGTGAGTGGAAGGAGGTATTGAGAGGTGACACCCTGCTGGCAGCCCTTGCAGCCCTCGCTTGCTCTCGGCGCCTCCTCTGCCTGGGCTCCCACTTTGGCAGCACTTGAGGAGCCCTTCAGCCCACCACTGCACCGTGGGAGCCCCTTCCTGGGCTGGCAGAGGCTGGATCCTGCTCCCTCAGCTTGCGGCGAGGTGTGGAGGGAGGGGCGCGGGCAGGAACCAGGGCTGCGCGCAGCGCTTGCAGGCCAGCGCAAGTTCCGGGTGGGCGTGGGCTCAGTGGGCCCTGCACTCGGAGAGGCCAGCCTGCCCTGCCGGCCCCAGGCAGTGAGGGGCTTAGCACCTGGGCCAGCAGCTGCTGTGCTCGACTTCTTGCCGGGCCTTAGCTGCCTCCCCGAGGGGCAGGGCTGGGGACCTACAGCCGGCCATGCCTGAGCCTCCCCTCTCCGCCGCCGTGGGCTCCTGCGCGGCCCGAGCCTCCCCCACGAGCGCCATCCCCTGCTCCATGGCGCCCAGTCCCATTGACCACCCAAGGGCTGAGGAGTGTGGCACACAGCGCAGCACTTGCAGGCAGCTCCACCTGCGGCAGGTGCGGGATCCACTGGGTGAAGCTGGCTGGGCTCCTGAGTCTGGTGGGGACTTGGAGAACCTTTATGTCTAGCTAAGGGATTGTAAATACACGAATCGGCACTCCGTATCTAGCTCAAGGTTTGTAAACACACCAATCAACACCCTGTGTCTAGCTCAGGGTTTGTGAATGCACGAATCGACACTCTGTATCTACCTACTCTGGTGGGGACTTGGAGAACCTTTGTGTCCACTGTATCTAGCTAATCTAGTGGGGAAGTGGAGAACTTTTGTGTCTAGCTCAGAGATTGTAAATGCACCAATCAGCACCCTGTCAAAACGGACCAATCAGCTCTCTGTAAAACAGACCAATCAGCTCTCTGTAAAACGGACCAATCAGCAGGATGTGGGTGGGGCCAGATAAGGGAATAAAAGGAGGCTGCGGAGCCAGGAGTGGCAACCGGCTCTGGTCCCCTTCCAGAGCATGGAGGCTTTGTTCTTTTGCTCTTTGCAATAAATCTTGGTGCAGCTCCCTCTTTGGGTCTACACTGCTTTTATGAGATGTAAGACTCACCGCAAAGGTCGGCAGCTTCACTCCTGAGCCAGTGAGACCACGAACCCACCAGAAGGAAGAAACTCCAAACACATCTGAACATCAGAAGGAACAAACTCCGGACACGCCGCCTTTAAGAACTGTAACACTCACTGTGAGGGACCGCGGCTTCATTCTTGAAGTCAGTGAGACCAAGAACCCACCAATTCCGGTCACAGTATGGTGAGAAAAGGGACATTTGAACCATCTCAAAGTATCTCCCCACAACATATTTATTAATTACAAAAGGAAAAATAGTAACTTTACAGTGGAGAAACCCGTCAGACACCATCTTAACCAGTGATCAAAATTAACATGAGTAGTAGTGAGATATACCAATATCATCGAGAAGGACACCATATCACTTTGTAACATTCTTGCTAAAAATACATAACCTCAATCTGATCATGAGAGTGTATCGGACAAACCCAAAATGGATGACATTCTACAAAAGCTTGACCAGTACTATCTAACAGTATCACAGTCATAAAAGGCCAAGAAAAGTATGGAGATGTCACAGATTAGCAAAAACTAAGGAGATATGAAAACTACATGCAATGTGAGAGCCTGGAAGAAAAAAGACATGAGTAGGAAAACTGGTGAAATTAAAATAATGCCTGTAGATTAGTTAATAACATGAATTTCCTGGTTTCCATGATTGTACAATGGCTATGGAAGATGTTAACATTAGGGAACCTGGGTGAAGGGCATTTTTTCTGTAAGTAAAAATTCCACTTTTGCAATTTTTTTCTGTAAGTAAAAATTTATCTCAAAAAAATTTTTAATGTATGTTCACAAAGGAACATTAGGAAACAGTAGCAGAAAAATTTCAACCGTAATCCTGCAATTAAAAACAACTGCTGGCCAGGCTTGGTGGCTCACGCCTGTAATCCCAGCACTTTGGGAGTCCCAGGTGGGCAGATCATGAGGTCAGGAGATCGAGACCATCCTGGCCCACATGGTGAAACCCCGCCTCTACTAAAAATTCAAAAATTAGCTGGGCGTGGTGGCACATGCCTGTAGTCCCAGCTACTCCGGAGGCTGAGGCAGGAGAATCTCTTGAACCTGGGAGGCGGAGGTTGCAGTGAGCCGAGATCTCACAACTGCACTCCAGCCTGGCGACAAAGCGAGACTCCGTCTCAAAAAAAAAAAAAAAACGAAAACAACAACAACAAAAAAAACCTGCTTATGCAGATATTGATTTGGCAAAAGAAAAAAACTTGTCAATATGCTGATTCTTTTAGTTATTAATAATGCAAGGAAAGTGTTCTGAGCACTGACTAAGCTCAAAGCACCTCTCTTTGAGCACTCCAATCTTATGTAAAATTGCCATCCTCCTACTCCAGATACCCCTCCTCCATCCCTACTGTAAGAATTAAGGAAAGAGGAAAGAAACATGAAAGCTGGCTTGGCAGTCAAGGACAGGTTTATTTTAGAGAGGGGCAGCTGTCTGAGTTAGGTCAGAGGCACACACTTACAGACTAAGAGTTTTTAAGGATTCAGGGTGGGAGAGTTTAACAGAGGCTTGGACTGCTTCTGTGTCTTTTTGTTGTGCCTATCTGGAAGGGAGAGTTTCTGTGTCTGTTCCCATACATCTTTCTGCAGCCTCAGGCATACTCCCCAAGTCTGCTTTTAGCTTTCCTATCTTAGTGCACCTGAAGGGAAAAGAATGTGCTTATTAAGGCTCACTGTTTTACTGGGGCCCATTTTATGAGGGTGAAGTTTGGCAGTTGCCAGAGAAACTTTCCGAACACCTCCCTCTCTGCCCGAGCTGTCTTATCTGTGTTTTATCTGTGTTTTATCTGTGTTTTACTGTCTACTCTTTCTGGCTGTTTGTAGTGAGAAGAGAAATGATTTCCTTGAAATGCATGAGGCTAGAAAGGGAGCTGGAACTTAAAGTGGTGGTGTTTGTCCGAGATGACGGTGCTCCTGCCCTGTCACCTACTGCCTCTCTCCCCATTGCAGTGTCACCACCTATCACATGATGTCATTTACTAGTATGTCTTTTGCTGATTGTCTGTCTCTTTCTGCTTAAGCGGAAGCCCTGTGAAAGTAGAGGTTTCTGTTTGGCTTACTGAGTCCAAGGGCTTGGATTAGGTCTGGGATGGAAGATGAACAAGAGGCCAATTCATGGACTTTGAATTCCTGTAAAACAGCCTGAAATGATGGGAAAAGGAGAGGCTCTATCCGACGTCACCAGAGTCCTTGAGCGTTGGAGTATTTCTTTCAACTGAAGCCTGGACCAGGGCTATCCAGATATACAGAGAGGGAGGCGGTTCTGCCTATTGGAGGAACTACTGTTTCCGAAAGTGCAATGTTTAACAAAGGCAGTGGTCTACCCCGGGGGGTTGAGACCTCTGAACCCTGACGTGGCCATAAAGCCAACTGCTATAGGACTGGCAACCCAGAATAAGAAGAGTGAAGGAAGCCAACAGAGATCCCTGGAGGTTGTGTTAGTTTGCTTCGGCTTTGTATTAGGTACTTTGTGGCTTACACAACAGACATTTTATTGTCTAACAGTTCCAGTGGCAGAAATCAAAGGGCCCAACAGGGTTGATTCCTTCTGAGGGCTGTGAGGGAGAATCTGCTCCATCCCTCTCTCCTAGCTTCCAGTGTTTTCTGGTAATCTTTGCCATTCCTTGGCTTGTAGAAGCTTCACCCTGATCTCTGCCTTCATCTTTGTATGGCCTTCTCCCAGTGTGCCTGCCTGTCTCCAAATTTCCCATTTTTGTAATGACATCTGTCATCTTGGATTAGGGCCCATCCTAGCTGCCCTAGTGATCTCCTCTTAACTAATTATATCTGCAATGACCCTATTTTTAAATAAGATCACATTCTAAGGTACCGGGACTCCAACACAGGAACTGAGAGCAGGAAGGAGGACCACAGTCCAACCCCTTACACAGTCGAGCACTGGAGGTAAATGGTATTCTCGAGAGGAAAGCTGTTTGATGGCTCTTGGGATAGATTAGGTTATGCTCCAGCAACTGCCCATCTCAATTATCATCAGCTTAATACAACAAAAGTCTATTTCTCACTCACACTAAGACCCCTGTGAGCTGCAGGACTTTCTAGGACAACTGTCTTCCGTGCCATGATTCTTACACCCCAGATTGCTTTCATCTTCTGGTTCTACCAGTGGGGCAGGGAAGGGCTGGGGAGTTGCATCTCATAGTCCCCTTGCTGGAGAAACCTGGAAGTGACCCTTCATACCAGTGCTCATGTTTTACCAGTCAGCAGCAGGGCCCTAGGTCTCCATCCCTGCAAGGGGCTCTAGAGTGTAGGGAACAGATGGAATGTTCACAAGCACCACAGCCCCTGCCACAGTGACTTTTTTAGGACTGGTATCGCAGAGTGTTTACTTAAGGCGGTGGAAGCTAAATTCTTAGCATGTGCTGGAGAGCAATGAAAAAGATATTTACTTTATGAATTAAAGCTGGAGTCAGTGTCAGCCCGAAGGCTGAAGGAAAAAGAGCAACAGATCCAGGGAGCATTCACCTGCCCTGTCTCCAAACAGGTGAGGATGGGGAATAAAGTGAAGGCAGTGCTTTGGTGGGAACTTCAAGGATAGCCTCTGGCTTTTTCCAGGTTTAGAAGCTCATATGAGACAGGGGTGGAGGAAAAGAAGAAAGAAGAATAAGAAGAGAAAGTTGAGGCCCTGGCCCAAGTTAGTGGGAAGGGAAATCCACCCCCATTAAACTCTCTCCCTGGTGGACTGTGGGGTGCACACGTGAGGCCTGCACAGGTGCTGGAACATGGTAGAGGCCCAGGACATACTTCCTGTGAATGAATGATTGAGCGGCTGAATGAATGAGTACCACTAAAAGCCCTCTTTTCTATTCCCAAATGCCACATTGAGCAGAAGGGAGCAATCCTTGCTCAGCAATTGGTAGTCCCTTTGGGTGTGCAAATGAGTCCACAGCCTGCAACAGCAGACAGTCTCTGCCCCCCTTAGAGGCGATTGCAGGGAGGTGGCTGACCGTTGATCACACCCAGAGCTGGTTATGGGAATTTACTCCATGGAAAGACTGCAAAACTGCCTGAAATGTGTTTTGGCATCAGCTACTGACACGTAAGGTTTCCCAATCCTCAACTCTGTCCTGCCAGCTGATGAGGGGAAGGAAAGGGATTACCTAGGGGTATGGGCGACCAATCCTGAGTCCACCAACTGACCACGCCCATCCCCAGCCTTGTGCCTCACCTACCCCCAACCTCCCAGAGGGAGCAGCTATTTAAGGGGAGCAGGAGTGCAGAACAAACAAGACGGCCTGGGGATACAACTCTGGAGTCCTCTGAGAGGTAAAGAGCCAGCGAAGCTGATGTCCTGTCAAGAGCAGAATTCCTGCTCATTCGCTGCCTTTGAGAGTGGCTGTGTTGTGCATGCATGTGCATGATTTGATATGTATGAGAGGGTGTGTGTGCATGAGTGTGTTGAGTGAGTATGTGAGTGTAGTGTAAGAGAGGATGTTGGCACTATCAGGTAAGTACGAGAGTGTGTGTATGTGGGCATAGGTGTGTTAACATGTATGTGTTTGGGAACTTGTGTATGTGGAAGGGGTTAGAAGGCCTAGAAGAGAGAGGTTGATGCTTTCATTCTGGAGGAAAATACTGAGGCCGAGCCTCCATGGGTGCCTTGGAGACTCCAAGCCTTGAATCCAGTGTGGGGATATGCAAGCTATGTCTAGCGAGGGACACATCCTCTGACCTCAGGAACCTCCCAGGTAGTTGGGAGGAACCTGGTTCCAACCTCCCAAGAACTCTCAGTCTGATGAGGTACAGGGGAGGTCTCATTAGTGTATCATGGGGTTCTCCACAGGTCTGAGGGCCTGATGTGTGTGAAACCATTCTGCAGAGCTGGGAACGGGTCAGGAGGTGGTTGTGTGTGTGTGTGTGTGTGTGTGTGTGCATTGCTGGAGGGCACTCCTTGTGTGCTCTGAGTGTGACAGAGGAAGTCACCCTGGACTTAGGTTGGATGGGAGAGCATGTCTGTGTGTCTCAGAGCCACCAAGGAGGAGCAGGGGAGCGACGGCCGGGGCAGAAGTTGAGACCACCCAGCAGAGGAGCTAGGCCAGTCCATCTGCATTTGTCACCCAAGAACTCTTACCATGAAGACCCTCCTACTGTTGGCAGTGATCATGATCTTTGGTAAGAGCTGACCCTGACCTCTGAGCATGGGGGGACAGCCCCAGAAGGGAAGCACTCTTGTCCCTTAGTTTTCTCTCCCATTGCAGTGATCCTCTCTCAGGGGGAAAAAAGAAGCCATTTGGGAGGAAGGAGAGTAGCAGAGAGGGGCAGAGAGGGAGGGCGCAGAACCCCATGCCCCATCACCAGACAACTCCCAAATTTCCTTCCAGGCCTACTGCAGGCCCATGGGAATTTGGTGAATTTCCACAGAATGATCAAGTTGACGACAGGAAAGGAAGCCGCACTCAGTTATGGCTTCTACGGCTGCCACTGTGGCGTGGGTGGCAGAGGATCCCCCAAGGATGCAACGGATCGGTGAGGCCACCTATCCCTCCCTACCCTCCTAGACTCTGGCCCAGGCAGGGCTGGGAGCTGCAAAGACAGTGCCGGTTCCTGATGGGCGCAGAGGTCTCAGGATGGCCTGGCTGGAAAAGCAGCCGGCATGTTGGAACTTCTGCTCTAGACTGTTGCAAAGTCACTGGGTCTCTGCCCAGGGTCCAAGGGGGTGAGACCACAGGCACCAGGCCTCCTGGAGCTGTGGGACAAGAGCCCCAACAGGGTGTCTCCTCACAGCTGCTGTGTCACTCATGACTGTTGCTACAAACGTCTGGAGAAACGTGGATGTGGCACCAAATTTCTGAGCTACAAGTTTAGCAACTCGGGGAGCAGAATCACCTGTGGTAAGAGTCCTACCTCACCATCGAGTGGCCCTCATTTGTTTAGACAGTGCTGGGGACTGTGCTGGGCACCAAAGATAGACACAGAGGGACACAGTTCCTGCTTCAGGAAGCTCACGGTTGAGTGGGAAGCCAGGAAAGTGAAAATCCAATGTAGTAAAGACTCCAGTGGGAAGTAAACAAACAGATAAGGCATTAACACAGCCTGAGGCTTGAGGAAGGCTCCTGGAAGGGGTGACCCCTAAGCTGAGTCTGAAAGGCTGTGCAGAGAGTCAGGGAAGAGGAGGGAGCATTCCCAGAAGAGGACACAGCATGGTCAAAGGCACTAAAGGGCACTGTAAGCCATTCTGTACTGCCCAGCAGAAACATGAGGAAGAGGAGCAGTGCTGAGCCATGATGCTGGAGACATAGGAAGGAGCTAGGTCAATCCGGCCCTCCAGGCCGGGCTGTATTTAGGTTTTGCCCTAAAGCAATAGGATGCTATTAAGCAAAGGAGCTACAGGGTCAGATTTGCATTTTAGATGACTCACTGTGGGGACAGGGTCGATGGAGACAAGTGGAAGGGGGGCAGAGAAAGCTATTGCCATCATGCAGGCAAGAGGGAGTAACATCTTGACATAAAACAATGGAGGTCAGGATGGGAAAGGTGGAGAAAAAATCAAGATGCATTTGAGATGGAATCAGCTGAACTGGTGACTGAGTTGGGAGGGATGGGGAGAGGGAGTTGTTGGATGGATATGTGGCTGCATGGATGGCACAACTGTGATAAAGACCATGGGAGCAGGTCATGGTGGAGGGTGGGGAGGAGCAGTTCTATTTCCAGCATGTTGAGTTTAGGGGCCTCCAGCACCCAGGGAGGGGTCCAGCAGGCAGCTGTCTATACAAATGCAGCTCAGGGGAGAATTCAGGACTGGGACACAGATTCAGAAGCCAGCAGCAGAGACCTGAGAGGTGGGTGTGATCACTCATTTGCTGTTTAAAGGCCCAGAAAGGAGACAGAGAAGGGATGGACAGAGAGGGAGAAGGGGAACTGAGCGAGAAGGTCAAGGAGTCAGTAAGGAAATGGTTAGCAAGGGCCAAGTGAACAGGGAGTCCTCCATGAAAAGGGCCAACAAGGCTCCCCTGGATGTTGAGGCAGAAACGCATGAGGGACTCAGGGGAAGCTGTTTCCATGGAGTCGGGAGGGCAAAGCCAGATTAGACCAGGTGGGGGCTGATGGGAAGGCAAATAAAGACAGGAGGCAAAGACAACATTCTGGAGAAAGTTTGGCCCTGAAGGGGAGGAGAGGTGGGTGGCACTGGAAGGCTTTGCTTGGTGTCCCCAGACAGCTGACTCATGAGTGGGATTTGGAAAAAGCGTGGACTCCTGCCCATGGCCTGAGTCCTTTAAGATCAGAAATTATGTCTCCCATCATGGCCTCTCCATAGAGGCATGTATCTTCAGCAGGCGTTAGGTCACAAGCCACATGATGCCAAGCTGACAGTGGCTTGCATAATGGGGATATGTGACTGTCGCATAACTAGAATTCTGGAAGAGTGCAGTGCCAGGCTTGGGGCAGCTTTCCAGCCATGTCATTAAGAATCCAGCCTTCTCCTGGCCTTCAGCTATGCCACGTGGCCAGTGTCTACACCTGGGATGTCAAGAGACAGGCTGCAGGTCCACCCTCCTGGCCTCATACTATGGAAGAGGCTTTCCTTTTGGGCATCTCTCTTTTTGGAGGGAGGAAATAGATCGTTCCCAGAAGCCCCCAGCAGACTTCCCCTTGTTGCTCATTGGTTGGAACAAGGTTACATGATACACAAAGACCAATCACTGCAAAGGAAAAAGGGATGACCCTGCCTGGCTTACACCAATCACAATCTATTCCCAGACCCCCGAGGCTAGGGCTTTGCCTCCTGGACACATCTGTTAGCAAGAGGAAGAGATTATGGCTGTTAGGAAGGCCTTTGAGAAAGTATCCCAGTGCCTGGCTGTGTCTCCACCAGGCTGGAGGCCAGCATCCCAAGGGCAAGAATTCTGTCTCCCCATTGGTCAGAAATATCTGGAGCGCAGGTGTTTGTCTCCAACTAGGAGCTTCTGGAGGACAGGGCTGTGTCTTCTACCCCAGGGTTCCCACAAGAAGCCACTGAATATTAATAAACTCCCATCTTGTGTTTATTTTCTTATGATTTCAGCAAAACAGGACTCCTGCAGAAGTCAACTGTGTGAGTGTGATAAGGCTGCTGCCACCTGTTTTGCTAGAAACAAGACGACCTACAATAAAAAGTACCAGTACTATTCCAATAAACACTGCAGAGGGAGCACCCCTCGTTGCTGAGTCCCCTCTTCCCTGGAAACCTTCCACCCAGTGCTGAATTTCCCTCTCTCATACCCTCCCTCCCTACCCTAACCAAGTTCCTTGGCCATGCAGAAAGCATCCCTCACCCATCCTAGAGGCCAGGCAGGAGCCCTTCTATACCCACCCAGAATGAGACATCCAGCAGATTTCCAGCCTTCTACTGCTCTCCTCCACCTCAACTCCGTGCTTAACCAAAGAAGCTGTACTCCGGGGGGTCTCTTCTGAATAAAGCAATTAGCAAATCATGTATATGTGTGTGTGTATGCATTGCCCTATGCACTGTTAGCATGAGAACAAACAGGGGTAGGGGTTAAAAATACAGGCTCTGAGTCTGGTGTAGTGCTGTGTGCCTGTTGTCCCAGCTGCTCGGGAGGCTGAGGCTGAAGTGCAATGATTGCTTGAGCTCACAGAAGTTCAAGGCCAGCCTGGGCAACACAGGGAGACCTTATCTTTATAAAAACAAAACAAAACAAACGAAAAAAATAGCTTCTGGAGTCAGACTGGCTGTGTCAAATCCCCGCTCCCCCATCTCACTAAGCCTTAGTTCTTTCATCTAGATGGAGATAACACTGGTGCCTCCTGCATGGGCATGTTTGAGAATTAGAATGATGACAAATGAAAAGCTTTGGGTCTGATATGTCTGATAGCTGCCATGACTACTACAAGCGAAACCCAGACATCTCCCTCCCCTTCCCTAGGCAATAGCAGCTCCTACTGGCCTGCTGGGAGAAAGCAGGAAGGTTGGTCTTAATCTGGGAAGCTGTAGTCCAAGTCTTCCGCATGGAATGCTCTTCTCCTGTGTTGCCAGTCTAGTAAGGAGGAAATGTGGGGTGATATAATGCTGGCCACCAGCTGGACCCTGGGGGTGTTATCCCGTCACCAGGGTTGGTTTCCCAGGTGTGCAACCCCTGCAGTCCCATAGCATCCTGTGTTTGGAAGGGTGCCACGCCTGGTTTAATGCTGCGCTGTGGCTATCTGAAAAGTCTTACTAATCTTTAATCAAGAGTTCCTTCCCACACTTCATTTTGCACTGGGCTGCCCAAATTTATTTATTTTTATTATTTTTTAATAGAGATGGGGTCTCGCTATGTTGGCCAGGCAGATCTCAAACTCCTGGCCTCATGCAGTGCTCCTGCCTTGGCCTCCCAAAGTGTTAAGATTACAGGCATGAGCCACTGCACCCAACCCAGTCACACACATAGTGTAGCGGGTCCCACCTTTACTGGGATGCTACTTCCCCTCCTGCTGTTCAGGGTTCCGCTGGGAAATTCCCACCTGGACCAGCTACAGCCCCACCTGTTTCTCCAATAACACGCATCTGGGCTGCTGGGTGTGGATCCCTTCACAAAGGCACCCTGCACAGGGGACACAGGTGGGAGCTGAGTTTCCCACAGGAGAAGGCCCCTGCACAGCCCAGCAAGTTCTGCATTCCCCCAGAGGAGATGCCTTCCCATAATCTGTCTTCCCAGAAGAAGCACCTTTTCTAATTCTGCACCAAATGTTTCATTTGCTGAAGGCGGCCCTGGTCATGTTCACTTTCACACATAGCAAGAGAAATGCACATTAAAATTCCACTGAGATGCCATTTTTATCTATTACAATGAAAAAAATCCAGAAGTGTGACAACTTGATCTACTAGCGAGGCTGCATGGGGAAACAGGCACTTTCATAGGTAGCTGGTGGGAGGGCAAAATGCCCACAGAGGGCAAATTGGCAATATCTATCAAAATTACAAATGTATTTATCCTTTCACTCAGTGACCCCATTTGGAAATTTACCCTATGGATGCAGGCACACACCACACACCCGCACACACACGTGTGCACACACAGAGTGATGTATGAGCAAATTTGTTCACTGCAGCATTGTTCTGAATTGAGCTGGAAATAATCCAAGAGTATGTGTCACGAGAACTAGTTAAATAAATAATGATACCAACTCAAAAAGGGACCCAATGCATTTATATTATGAGGGAAGCTCTCTCTGCTCCAATGGACAAAGGTCTTCAGGATATGGTGGTAACAGAAAAGAGCAAAGAGGAGAATAGTATAAACAGTGTGCCACAATTATGTAGCAAAATACATCTGTTAATATATTTGTGTTAATATTTCCAGTAACACTCAAAGATCATGCAAGAAATTCATCAAAATGGCTATCTTTAGGGGACAAGGCTGGCAAGAAATGAGTCTGGCACAGATGGGGTGACAGAAAGATTTTTTGATACATAACTTTTTATATTGTTTTGATTTTTAACCCTATGAATATATTTCCTATTCAAAAGAAAATTAGCATCATCAAACACACACAAACATTCCTGCGTCTAAGACAGATAACTAACTCTCAGAGACAATATGGTCTAACTCATGGGTTGGCACACTATGGCCTGTGGACCACATCTATGCACTGCCTGTTTTTGTCCAGCAGGCAAGATAAGAATGGTTTTTATGTTTTTTTAATGCTTGAAAAACAATCAGAAGAATCTCTCATACAAAAATGATATGTTAAAATCATATTTTAATGGCAATAAAGTTTTCTCAAAATACAATCATGCTCTTTGGGTTGTAAATTCTCATGCTGGCTTTCACGTGACAACAGTGGAACTGAATCATTGCCACAGAGAACGTATGGTCTTTTGCGAAAGAATTTGCCAATATCCAGTATAATCCAGTGCTTCTTAAACCATTCGTGGTAATGGACCAATTTATTCTTTATTTTTTCCAACTCTGTCTCAAATCAATACTTTTGTTAAATTAAAAATGTACAAAATACAATCCCAGATGTTTTATTATTGGATGCAATAATAAAATTACTCTGTCAAATTGTTTGAAATTTCCTAACATTCTCAATCTCTGTATGTACCTCCCCAGGAAGGGGAAGCAGTTCACAGACCAGCATCGCCCCATGAACCCCAATTGGGAAATACTGGTCGAATTTGAATTGAGGAAAGACAAATGACCTTAATCATTTTTTTTTTGAGACAGGGTCTCACACTGTCATCCAGGCTGGAGCGCAGTGGCGCAATCACTCACTACAGCCTCCATCTCCTGGGCTCAAGTGATCTTCCCGCCTCAGCCTCCCGAGTAGCTGGGACTACAGGTGTGTGCCATCACACCCAGCTAAATTTTTTATGTTTTTTTTAATGTTTTGTAGAGTTGCGGTCTCACCATGTTGTCTAAGTTGGTCTTGAACCCCTAGGCTCAAACCACCCTCCTGCCTCAGCCTCCCAAAGTGCTGGGATTATAGGTATGAGCCACCATGTCTGGACCTTAATGATTTTAGAATTAGCAGTTTGTTTTCATCCTTTGACTTAGAATAAGTACCATTTATTACAATATAAACAGAGTCATTTTCTTTCCAGCTACCCTCATAGACTGCCAGGGTGAGGTTGGGACCATATTACTCCTCAGTGATTCCTCTTTAGCTTCTAAACAGAGGCGGTGAAAAGCTGCTTGAAATAAAGCCTTAGTCAAATGCTTGCCAGGGGCTTTACCTCCATCTTGATCTACGGAAAAGAAAGATCTAGGAAAAGAGTATACATCTCTCCCTCCAGTAAAGACTTTGCATTTCTGGGTATTTATCTAAGAATATTTTCAACATGAGTCTTTGTGTGCAAAATTTTGAAGGCCTTTTATTCCTGAAAGCATTTTTTACAACCTCACATTGAATAACAATTTCGAAAGATATAATATCCTTGGTTCATTTTTTTTCCATTCTTCCTTATTACCTTAGAAGCATTCCTCCATTTCTTCCAATCCCATTCCAATATTGCTAATAAGAAGTCTGATATTAACCTGACTCATCATCTTTGATTGGATATTTGCTCTTTCCCTCTGGAAGCCTGTAGAATTTCTCTTTGTCTTTGATGTTCTTAATTTTCACTGCAATGTGTCTAGTTGACAGTTTTTCTTTATCTGGCCTTTTTGTACTCTGAAGTCCTTTCACTTGTCTTTAATGATAGGAATTTTATATTCATTATTTCATTGAACATTTCCTTCCTTCTCTTTTTCCTGTCTCTTTCTGGGACTTTTACTATCTGGAAGTTAGTACATCTGTACTCCATATCTCTTTGGATTTTTTTAAGAGATAGAGTCTCCCACCCAGCGTGGTGGCTCATGCCTGTAATCCCAGCACTTTGGGAGGCTGAGGGGGGTGGATCACCTGAGATGGGGAGTTCAAGACCAGCCTAACCAACATGGCAAAACCCCGTCTCTACTAAAAATACAAAATTAGCTGGATGTGGTGGCCTATGCCTATAATCCCAGCTACTCAGGAGACTGAGGCAGGAGAATCGCTTGAACCCGTGAGGCGGAGGTTGCAGCGAGCCGAGATCGTGCCATTGCACTCCAGCCTGGGCAACAAGAGCAAAACTCCATCTCAAAAAAAAACAAAAAACAAAAACAACAAAAAAAAAGAGATAGAGTCTCCCTATGTTGCCCAGGCTGGAGTGCCGCAGCTATTCACAGGTGTGATCCCACTACTGATTAGCACCGGGAGTTTCGACCTGCTCCATTTCCAACCTTGGCCAGTTCACCCCTCTTTATGCCACTTGGTGGTCTCCCACTCCCGCGAAGTCATCATATTGATGCCCAACTTAGTGCGGAACACCCGATCTGCACAGCGCATTATAGCCCAAAACTCCTGGGCTCAAGCAATGCTCCTGCATCAGCCTCCCAAGTGGCTGGGACTACAGGCACACACCACTGCATCTGGTTTGAATTTTCCTTGCTATTTTCTCTATTTTCTTTTTATTCTTTTTCCCTAAGAAGACATCTCAATCTAAGCTTCTAACTCTATCTGTGACATTCTTCAGCTAGCTATTCCATTTCAATGATTATACTCTTCCTAAGTAACTTTTATACTTGGGATTTTTTTAAATAATGATTTGTTCTTGCCTGATATTGCTAACATCTTCCCTTATCTACATAAGTATGTTTAACACGCATATTTTAGTTTCTTGCTCATCCACTCTGGCAATTCTGTTTTAGATGGTATGTGTTGACAAGTACATTTCATCTTTCTAGTGGGTGTAGTCTGGGTGTCTCAAGATAAACTTGGGGAAGGGGAAGGGGATGAGTCCAAGATATGATGATTCTCATTTGCTGCCACCCCAGGCAGGTGCTCCTGCTGACAGGGTTTCATCATTGAACATCTGGGAAGCAGCAGCCCTGGCAGGAAGCAGCACTCCAAAGCTGTTACCGGCCCTCCCTGAGATGGGGCAGGGCGGAAGGGGGAACAGTGCAGGATGAGATGAGGGAATGAATGGCTGAGGGCACTTGAGAAGCCTGCATCCATCTGGGTCAATTGCTTACCCAAGCAGGGCTTTGGGACAGCCCTAACATCATCTCTAGGACTTGGGCATTTCAGCTGTTGCTCTAAGATGAAGACGCAAAAGGAGAAAAAGAACAAAACTTAAAGAGCTTCCTCCCAACCTACTTGCTGCTTGCCAAAGCCCACCAATCCACTGCTCCAAGGCACAGCCAACCCCTCTCCCCGAGAACCACACCCAGCAGCCAAGATCAGATTCTAACTTCCTGCAAGACTCTGCAGAGGTTCTTCTGCTATTTCATCATCCAAGATTCTCTCTCAGGCATGTATCTATTAGGCTGGTTTTGGCACAGGGAGCCGGAGCCTATGCTAATTTGCAAACTTGGCAGAAAACAGGGAAATGTATAGCACAATATCTGTGTACCAGTTTAAAAGCCTCCACAGAGAGTCAAACAAACACTAAACATTTTTCAAGAAACCATATATCTAAATAAACATAGGAAGAATAAATTGGTAGTGGAGATGGAAGATCAAGGACTAAAGTGAATAAAATAAAATTGGTACCTTGCAGAAACCAACAATAACAGAGCGTGATGAAGTGAAGCCGTGGTGCACACAGATTAAGGCTTGGTCAGTTATAAAAGCACTTATCCTTTCACTCAGCAAACCACCTCTGGAAATGTACCCTATCAATGCATGATACATAAGCAGTATGTAAGAGACAGCGTGAGAGTGTATCATGTCTCATGTGTGTAAGAGAGAGAGTGAAGACTCAAACCCACAGCTGTCTCCATCTAAGATCTGGTCTTTCCACCTTGACAGTCAGCTGACAGGCCAGCCAGTTGCACCTCTGGGTCCTAGTTTATACCATTGGACCAGAATGAAATACCCATTTCTCAATTATTGCCTTAGCTTGGCTGGATGAATGATGATCACAGATAATCCAAAAATCACTTATATTTCACTTTTGTCCTCAGTTTTAAGATGGAGATAACTAGCACATCCTGCCTAGTTACTAGGGAAATCAAGCCAGGTCCATACCAGGTGGCAGAGAGATGGTTCTTTGAGAGCAAATGTCTTCTGTAGATGATGGAATAGGAGACTAACCAAGTCAATGAATGAGTGAATGGTAGACTAGAAACCAAGCCTGGTTCACTTTTAGCCCCAGGACTGGCCTAGGGCACAGCAGGATGCTGAGATTGTGAGGTTAAAAGAAACTGGTCTGGGCACAGTGGCTCACACCTGTAATCCCAGCACTTTGGGAGGCCAAGGCAGATGGATCACGAGGTCAGGATCCTGGCCTGGCCAATATGGTGAAACCCCATCTCTTACTAAAAATACAAAAATTAGCCAGGTGTGGTGGTGCGCCCCTGTAATCCCAGCTGCTCGGGAGGCTGAGGCAGGAGAATCTCTTGAACCCAGGAGGTGGTGGTTGCAGTGAGCCAAGATCGTGCCACTGCCCTCCAGCCTGGGTGACAGAATGAGACTCAGTCTCCAAAAAAAAAAAAAAAAAAAAAAGAATCTAATAGGCACATCCTACACCCCACAAAGACTACCCCATGAGCCTGTCAGATCCTCCCATGCCCTTCCACTGTGCCTGGTTCCCACACCACTACCTGGGCCCTCTACCATCCTGTGATAGCGCGTGCCCTCACTTCACCCTAGAGTGCAAGGCTGAGGGATCACAGAGTCCTCTTCAACATCTGGTCCAGATGGCCTGAAGGACTTGAATGTAGAAGGGAAGGGAAGGGAAGGAGCTGCAGTCCCTGCTGCTACAGCTGCCTCCACGGTCTTAACAATACGCATCATCCCCTTCCTCTCCACTCATTTCAGATGTCCTTCCCCCTCCATCAGCACTATAGCTTATTTCTTGCTCCTGTAGCAAACATCACCTTCACTCAATAGGATAAACCTAGGCAGGCAACCCAGATAGATTCTGGAAGTGATTCAGGGTCACTTGAGCAAGAAATCCCAGAGTCGCAGACACTCAGATCATGGTTTAGAAGGGAGACCAAGGGCTCCAGCAGGCACATCCCTTGGCCTAGGAGTCCTCACTCTAGGGGAGACGTCCTGGTTCCCAGGCCCAAGGATGGTGCTGCTGCTTGTCTTAGCTCAAGAATGGCTTCCCGGAGAAAGGCTATGTCTTGAGAAAACATGACCTTTTCTGTAGTCACTTTCCACAAGCACATCTTTAGTTTGATTTCCAACTCTTTTATTTGGCCAGCGAGGCGCTGGGCTGTTATTGGTCTCTGAAGACCTTGGAAACCAAAACCCAGACCGTCTGAGCTTCCCACGTGCTGATGAAACCCAACCCAGGGGACTTTTCAAGGGCAAAGCTATGGATGAATTCCATTCCCTGGAGGGAATAAATTACGTCAACCACTTTATGCAGCATGGATGGATGAAAGAACCAGCTGGCCGACCGAGGGATGTTCCCACTCCTCATGTGGGTCATGACCTGGGAGTAACTTTCATCCAAATGAGAGCACGGTGGAGAAAGGCACTCCATAGCCAGGACGGGACAACATGATGACAACAGCAGCAAAAGCATGCCTTGACTACTCCCACTTACTGGAAAATGGACACTGACTTCATGGCAGGTCCTGGGCCAAGCACTTTAAACGTGTCTTCTCATGCAATCCTCTTAACAATTCTATGATAATATTGCTATTCATATCTTCCATTCATTCATTCCACAGGACATCTATTGAGTACATGCAACATTTCTGGCACAGAACCAGGCACTAAGAACACCCCAAAACCCAAACAGGCAAGGCCCCTGCCTCTTGGCACTTACAAGGCACTGACAGGAACAGACGCAGCCAATAAACAAATTTCGAGAGAGAAAAGAGACAGTAATAAGTAATATAAAGAGAATCAAAACAGCAGAATAGGAGAGGGCAGGTGGAAGACAAGGCATGTATTCAGATGGCATGATCAGGAAAGGTGCTGCAGAGATAGCAAAAGGCACTGGAAGCAAGATCACCCATGATATGAAGGAGTCAGCCCTAAGATAATCAAGGAGAAAATTGATCCAGGCAGAGGGAACAGCTAAGGCAAGCATACAGAGGCAGGTCTGAGCCTGACATATTTGAGGACAGAAAGTAGAAAATTGTACTGCAGAACAGAAATAAGAAACCAAAAGAAGGTGCAGTTAGCAGGCAGGAGAGTGTAGAAAATGTGGAAATCTAGGATGTTTAATGCAGCTTGTGTGTGAGATCTCTTCTCAGGCAGATTACAAAAAGACAAAACAAAAAAACCAATTCTAGGAGTCTGGAATAAAATATGTAAATATATGCTCAGCTAGCTGGAAGCTTTGGGAAAGAGAAAGAAAAGGAAGAGAAGGAGGAGGAGGAAACAGGTGCCTCTGGATCAAACCATACCAGAAAGCCTCCAGTCATTTCCGTTACACATGTCAATAAATTTCTTTTATTATTTACACCAATTTGAGTCAGGTCTTCAGTTGCTTAATATTAAAAGTGTCCAGGCCAGCCATGGTGGCTCACTCATGTAATTCCAGCACTTTGGGAGGCTGAGGTGGGTGGATCACCTGAGGTCAGGGGTTCAAGACCAACCTGGCCAACATGGTGAAACCCTGTCTCTACTAAAAATACAAAAATTAGCCGGACGTGATGGTGCACACCTGTAATCCCAACTACTTGGGAGACTGAGGCAGCAGAATCATTTGAACCCAGGAGGTGGAAGTTGCAGTGAGCTGAGATCACACCATTGCACTCAAAGCCTGGGCAACAAGAGCGAAAATCCATCTCAAATAATAATAATAAAAATAAAATAAAATAAAAGTGTCCAAATTGATTTGTATACATTTTTACATTTAATATTTTTCAACCGCCCTGATGAAGTAGCTATTAGTAACTTCCTTGTATAAATGAAAAAACAGAGGTTAGGAAAGATCAAATAATTAACACAAACTCTTACCTAGTTAATGGTAGTTGGGACTTTACCCCAGAGCTCCAAATACTAGCACCTAATTCCAGTGCTACACTACCTCTGTGAAACCCTGAAATCTCAGAATCTTTCCACACCCTACTATCCAAGTGCATGGACAGAAGACAGAGCCAGGAAGTCCCCCACCAGCTAGGAAAAGAGAAGCCGGGCATGGTGGCTCACGCCTGTAATCCCAGCACTTTGGGAGGCCGAGGCGGGCAGATCACAAGGTCAGGAGTTCGAGACCAGCCTGGCCAATATGGTGAAACCCTGTCTCTACTAAAAGTACAAAAATTAGCCTGGTGTGGTGGTGGACACCTGTAGTCCCAGCTACTATGGAGGCTGAGGCAAGAGAAATTGCTTGAACCCAGGAGGCGGAGGTTGCAGTGAGCCAAGATCATGCCAGTGCACTTCAGCCTGGGCGACAGAGCGAGACTCCATCTCAAAAAAAAAAAAAAAAAAAAAAAAAAAAAAAAAAAAAAAAAAGGAAGAGAGAAGAAAGCTTCACTCCCATGGGCTTGAACTTTCAATTTGCAAAAATTTCCAACATGTACAAAGTAACAAAATCACATTGTGAACTCACCTGTATCCATCAACCAGCTTCAACACTTATCAACATTCAGCCTTCTTTTATCATTTACACCTCCAACCACTCTGCACCTCCAATGAATCATCATCATCATCATTACCTTTAGTTCTTTCTTAAAGGTAAAATATATATAGATTGAAAAGCACAAATCACAGCTGAACACGTTTGAGAAACGGATACACCCACATCACCCACATCCCATCACGAGAACATTTCCGTCTCCCAGAAAATTCCCTCACATCCCTTTCCCCTCAACCCCCTCTCTGGATGAATTAGTCGTCTTGCACTACCATAACAAAGTCCCACAGACTGGGGGAGCTTAAACGATAGCGATTTATTTTCTCACAATCCTGGAAACTAGAAAGCTCAGATCAAGCCATTGGCAGGTTGGTCTCTTCTGAGGCCTCTCTCCTTGGCATACAGATGCTGTCTTACCTTGTGTCTTCACATGGTCTTCTCTCTCAGGTGTCCGTGTCCTAACCTCCTCTTGTTTTAAGGACACCAATCATGCTGCATCAGGACCCACCCTAATGACCTCACTTTAACCTAATCACCGCTTTCAAGGGCTGGTCTCCAAACACAGTCAGATTCTGAAGTACTGGAGGTTAGGACTTCAACATACGGATTTTGGGGAATCACAATTCAGCTTATAACATGGAGAAACCATCATTGTGATTATTTTCACCTTAGTTGCCTGTTTTAGAACTTTCTATCAATTGAATCATATATTAGGTGCACTTTTTTTTTTTTGACAAGGTCCCACTCTGTTGCCCAGGTTAGAATGTAGTGGCGTGATCTCCACCTCCCGTATGTGTACTGTTTTACATCTGGCCTCTTCCATTCAGTATAATGATGATGAGATCCATTCATGGTGTTGCACATGTCTGTAATCTGTTCTTCTTTATTGCTGAGTAGCCTTCCATAGCATGCATATGTTACAATTTATTTATTCATTCTCCTGGTAATGAACATTTTTGCTCTTTTCAGTATTGGGATATTTTGAATAAAACTGCTATGACCATTTCTTATACAAGTATCTGTGTGAACATTAAGTTCTCATTTCTCTTGAATAAATACCTAGGACTGGAAATGTTTACTCAATGGATAAGGGTATGTTTAATGTTACAAAGTCAGATCAAACTTCTTTCCAAAGTGCTTGTCCCATTTTACATTCCCACCAGTAAGGTGTGAGAGTTCCAGTTGCTCCACCATCTGTGCTTTACCTTTTAATGCACAATGACCCATCCACCAGGGGAAAAAAAAAGGCTCAATCAGTATCCTCAAGTCCAACCAATCCGAAGTAACTCTTTCTGTGACAACCTTGGACGGCACCACTCAGCTCTCCCTTCAAATGAGAACCTGTTCAAGGAGTGTACTTAGTGGACAGCCCCAAGCCCATGCTCCTTTGGGATCTGCCACAGTACTCATGACAAAGCCATGTTCTCCAGTGCCGTTCCCATGATGGTGATGACAGGGGACTAGAGCCAGGCAATTGTTTCCCAATGGAGGACTCCTCTAATGGGCACTGTTCACATGAGAACTCCCCGTCAGATTGCTGAGACATTCTCAGAGCTGTGCCACAGTTTGAGCCTCTTCCTACCCAATCCTCCTTCCTTTCCTCTCTCCCTTCAGAGGTGTCAGACCTGCTTCCTGATCTGAACACTCTCTCTCCCTACTCCTCCCTGCCTCCTTTATCTTTTAGAGCTGCTTCCCTCCATACATCTCCTGCACTTCGAACTGTATCTCGGCATCTGCTTCCAGAGGATCCAAACTCACACATCATCTCTTGGGGGAAAGCAAGTAGATGAATGGAAAAAGAAGGAAAATCTTTTAGCTCCCTACCCAAGAAGCCTATAGATCTCCACTTTTCACCCTTCCTTTAGTTAACCAAAAAATAAAACACTGAAATAAGTAGGTTACTTGGGACTGTGACAACTGCCAAGACGGAAACAAACAGGATGATGCGGGAAAGGGTAAAGGGAGGAGGGAAGAGCTGCTCTAACTTGGGCGCCATGGAAGGGCTCCCTGGGGAGGTGACATTTCAGCTGGAAACTGAGAGAAGAGAAAAAAGCCATTGTGAAATAACCTTTTAGGCTTTGAGATTGGAACAGACTCATCTCATTCCAGGAGCAGCAAGAAGGCCAGAGTGGCTGGAGTGAAGCGGGCAACAATGAGTTCTCTTCCTGGCTGTCTTGCTCCCCACTGGATCCTGAAACCCCAGAACAGAGCCAGCCATGCAGTAGGTTCTTGAATAAGTATTTGTGAGATAAATAAGTGAATAAGTGAATGAACATGCCCCCTATCCAGAAACGCGTGCACTCGACACGCCTATCACACATTCCCATGCCCTTACACAATTAGCAATGGAGTTGGTTTATTTCAAAGACAAGTGCAACACGACTAAGGGAGTGGACCTAGAAGCAGAAGGAGGACTGAGACCCCATCCAGAGAGCCTCACACACCCCAGCCACCACTGAGGAGCCAAACCCCTGGGACAGGGAATAGGGGTTCAGCCTGGCTTTGGCCATTCTGTTCTTTGGTGGGACCACATCCTACTCCTGCATGGAGAGGCTGGGGGCAGAAAGGGTTTATGGTGCAGGTGGAGGAAAGAAAGCCTCTGTCCCAGACAAGGCTAGAGAGAAGGGGTGGCACTCAGCACTGAGGAACCAGTTTTCACATAAGAAACTGGGGTAGTTGCACATGGTTTTATTGTAGGTGCCGAGGTTGTCAAAGGAACAGTGGGCAGCCTCTCTGTCACAATCGCAGGCTGCCTCCTGGCAGAAGTCGCCTCTGTCTGAAACCAGAGGAAACAGATATCGGGGGGGGGGGGGTGGGGAGGGAAAGACACTGGTCAGTTTTTATTGCTGGACACCATGAGGAGGGACAGAGGATGGAGGAAACTCACCCCTCACCTCTCAGGCTCCTAGACCCGTGGGTACACCCAGTACCTCCCCTCAGAACCTCCTAACCAAGTGGAGGGCAACACAGTCCCTGGCTTCAGGGAGCTCTCAGTCTGATGAGGGAGACCCAGCCTCTGCCCTCCAGGAACTCTCAGTCCACTGGAGGAGACATGGTCTTTCACCAGGAGTCTCCAAGCCTGATGGTGGAGACACAACTGCAACTTTTGGGGAGCTCCCAATCCAATGGGAGGCACCTGCTGCTCAGAAGGAGCTCTTGATCTGATAGAAGACACGCTCCACACCCTAAGGGAACACAGCCGCTGAACTAGGGGAGCCTCACCCTGATGGAGGAGGCCCTGGAGGTCAGGGAGCAGACCCGTAAGGCTTAGCTCAGAGCTTCATCCTAGACTCTAGATCATCAGCCTCAGACTGAGCAGCTCCTCCAGCAAGCCCCCAATGTCTCTCTTCTCCCCTTCACAATCAAACTCTCTAAAAACAAATTATCTGCATTCACTGCCTCTCTTTCCTCAGCTTCCCATCACCCCTGATTCACAGCAGTCTGGCTTCATCCTCACCACTCCATGAAATGTGCACTCCCCCAGGTTCCTATTGGGCCCAGGTCTCTCCCTCCAGGAGTTCCTTTCCATCATTATCACAGGGATCACGCTGCTATTTCTCACGTTAGTAACCACCCCTGGCTGCTCTAACCCCTCTACCTGCTGATGCCCATGACACAGCTCTCTCCCGTTCCACTCCCACCTTCCTGATTGTTCCTTCTCTGCTGCTTTCTGGGTGCTTAAACGTCACCAAATGGGTCATTTCTTTCCATTTTCTTTGGATGACTCTCCGATCCAGGGTCCCAGCACAGCCCCTCCCAAGAGCTGCAGGTGCATACACCAGATGTCACTGGACATCTCCCCCTGGGGGTCCCATGAGCTCCTTATAGTCAACATGGGTCAACCTGAGCTCATCCAGTCCACACAGCCCCATCTAAGACCTTTTCCCAGGGTCTCATCTGGAGATGCCCCCATCTCCACCCAATCTCCACCCAACTGCCCAAGCTGAGAACATGTTAATCACCTTAACAACCACTCTCCTTCCCCCCCAATCCAGGCACAGGTGCATCCGATTCCCCTGCTGCATATCCATCAGGGCCCTCCCCATTTCATTCCCGCCCCTGTCATCATCGCTCTGATTCTGCCTACTGCATCTCCCTTGGGGTGGGGGGTGGGGGTGAGGGAGTGGGGGTGGGGTGTGGGGTGGGGGTGGGTGGGTTTCTGGCTACTTAAGCCTGTCTAGGCCCTTTTATGACCTAAGGCAGCCCTAGTAGGTTTGTTATCATTTGCGATTGAAAGAGCCCTAACTCATACAGGCTTTTGATGGAACCTCACAAAATGATGGAGACTCAGGGACCCCTCAGACCTGCCACTGCCCTGTGGGTCTCTCTCCTGCCTCCACTCCAGAAAGAGAGAGGTTTGTCCTCTTGATATGGCTCCAATGCGTGGAGGAACTCCAGGTTTTTCCTCTTGAGTGGAATTGGAAAAAGCAACAGGGACACACGTGAAGTTGTTTTTTTTTCTTTTTCTTTCTTTTTTTTCTTTTTTATTTATTTATTTATTTATTTATTTTTTGGTTGAGACAAAGTCTTGCTCTGTCGCCCAGGCTGGAGTGCACTGGCGTGATCTCGGCTCACTGCAAGCCCCACTTCCCGGGTTCACACCATTCTCCTGCCTTAGCCTCCCCAGTAGCTGGGACTACAGGCACCCACCACCATACCCAGCTAATTTTTTGTATTTTTAGTAGAAACGGGGTTTCACTGTGTTAGCCAGGATGGTCTCGACCTCCTGACCTCATAATCTGCCTGCCTCAGCCTCTCAAAGTGCTGGGATTACAGGCGTGAGCCACACGCCGGGCCCTGGTGGAGTTGTTTTAAGGAGCAGAGAGTTTAATAGGCAAGAAAGAAGGGGGAAGAAAGAAGAAGCTTCCCTGTACAGAGAACGGGGTGGGGAGGCTCCAAAGCCTAGAGCAGGAACCCCAAGTGGGGTAGAAACCAGCCAGCTATATATAGAGGCTGGAGGAGGCAGTGTCTGATTTGCATAGGGCTCATTTGCATAGGGATTGGTTTAACCAGGCATGTCATTCATGTAGCCCACGAAAAAACTGGCCCTCTCACCCTAGCCTTTTAATATGCAAATGCAGGGTGCCATGATGTTTTACACATGTAGGGAGGGATATGTATGGGTGGCCATGTTGCCAGGCAAGTGTGGGCCAAGGGCAAGAAGAAGGCGGCAGGAATCGTCATGTTTGGGTGGACCCAGTTTCTAATGGCCTGCATTTGCATATCAAAAGTTGCCATCTCGGCTCTAAGAGCAGGGGCTTTACAAGAAAGGTTTCTGGAGATGCTTTAAAAAACGAAAACTGAGAATGATGGTTTGGGGTGGGGGGGGGGTGGAGGGGGAGGGATAGCATTAGGAGATATACCTAATGTTAAATGACGAGTTAATGGGCGCAGCACACCAACATGGTACATGTATACATATGTAACTAACCTGCACGTTGTGCACATGTACCCTAAAACTTAAAGTAAAAAATAAATAAATTAATTAATTAATTAATTAAAGAAAAAGAAAACGAAAACTTCCCAAGGACCATTTTTCCTCTCAATCTGCCTAAAATAATTTCTTAATAACTCCTACAACCCTCTGGGACAGTGCTTTTGGGATTGTGGCCTTTTTGCTGTCATGTCTTTGTGTCTCTCCACCGCACCTACTCTCACTTCACAAAGACTGGTGTGGTGAGGAGCAAATGGACCTCTCAGATCTGAGCTCTGTCACCCACCCACTGGGCCACCCAGAGCAGGTTCCTGAACTTCTCTGAGTCTCCGATTTCCTATATGAACAGAAGACAGCAACAGCTCATTGACTTGTGGGAATAACACGTGATACCACCCCTTCCCTGGGGAAGGAGGGCGCCTCTAAAGCAGTTGGACTGAGGGGCACATAGGTTGACAGGGGATGGGCTTGCAGGACCTCCTTCTGTTTCCTTCTCACTCAGGCTTTTTGAGAGAGGATACTTGGCACAAAACATGTAATTATGCTATAAGAGGACATGAGAGAGATGGATTTGTCCCATAGATGGTCTGCTCTGAAGTATACAAACATCCACTGCTATGCTCCCAAGACAACACCAGCCTCAGACATGAGGACACGCCTTGTGCTGGCCATGCCACAGGCAGCGGAGGACTGGAATTGGGTAGAAAGGGAGGGAAGGAGGGAGGCTGAGAGGAGGCACCCATGAGGAGACCTCGGAACTGATAAGTGGAGCCCAGCCATGCCCAAAGCAAATCACCTCTAGACTCAAAACACTACTAGACTTGAGCCAGGAGCTGTTAGCAGGGCACCTGCGAGCAGAAGGGTGCCACAGCTGGGTGAGAGTCCCGCCCAACCCTCAGCGAGTTGGAATGTCTTCTCAGCCAGACAAGGACAGCAGAGGGCCAAGTGTGGTGACAGCAGGGATCCTCTCAGAGCAGGGAAGGTTCCTGAATGTGCCAGGCCTCTGAGCCCAAGCCAAGCCATCGCATCCCCTGTGACTTGCACGTGTACATCCAGATGGCCTGAAGTAACTGAAGATACACCAAAGAAGAAAAAATAGCCTTAACTGATGACATTCCACCATTGTGATTTGTTCCTGCCCCACCCTAACTGATCAATGTACTTTGTAATCTCCCCCACCCTTAAGAAGATTCTTTGTAATTCTCCCCACTCTTGAGAATGTACTTTGTGAGATCCACCCCTGCCCGCAAAACATTGCTCTTAACTTCACTGCCTATCCCAAAGCCTATAAGAACTAATGATAATCCACCACCCTTTGCTGACTCTCTTTTCAGACTCAGCCCACCTGCACCCAGGTGAAATAAACAGCCATGTTGCTCACACAAAGCCTGTTTGGTGGTCTCTTCACACGGACGCGCATGAAAGAATGGACGCTTCAACCAAGAACAGGGGTTTCACTTTACAGTCTGAATTGATGAGGAAGGGTGGTCCCCCACCCCTGCTCGGGGAGGTCCTTGCATGAGGTTTCAGGGCAGAAGAGGACTGTTGGGGAGTGGTGCTCCCCCCTGCACCAGGCAGCGGGCAGTGTTTGCAAGGAGGCAGTGTTTGCAAGCACCTGATTAAATCTTTCTTCCTTGGCAATACTTGTCATCTCAGTGATAGGCTTTCTGGATGAAGAACAATGTACCAAGTTCAACTCACCACGGAGCCAGAGCTCCGTCATAGTTGGGAGTGGTGAATCTCACTGGGTTTCCTTCTCGCTGGAGGAAGGAAAGTTCCTTGAATGGGATACAGCAGAGATGACAGGACGACGTCAACCAGCCTGAGACCAGGTTCCACCCACAAGTGGCACTGCCTGCACTGTGAACCCCTAGGCTTGAACAACTGGGGACTCGTGGGAGATGTAGGGCAGGTATCAGGGCAAGAAAAACTTGCCTCCTTAAGGATCAAACACCCTTCAGAGAAGCTACAGCCATGGAGACTATGGTAGACTGAATATCCCAAAGATACCTACTTCCTAATCCCTGCAACCTGTGAAGGTAACCTTCTGTGACAGAAGGACTTTGCAGATATGATCAAATCAAGGAATTTGGGATAGGGAGATTATCCTGGATTATCCAGGTAGGCCCTAAATGTAATCACAAACTCCAGAGGGAGTGCGGCCCTGCCTATACCTTGATCCGCACACAGCAAAACTGATTTTTGGATTTCTGACCTCCAGAGCTGTAAGATAATAAATGTGTGTTATTTTAAACCACCGAGTTTGTGGGAGTTTGTTTTACAGGCCTGGGCAACTAAGAGATAGACACACAAATTGGATTAAGGAGATCCTGGAAGACTGGGAAGGAGGTGGGAGATGTCTGCCGGCACAAGGGCAGGCCTTGGGCAGGGAGAAGCTGAAGGAAGTGGAAGCCAGGCCTCCTGGTGGATGGGTAGGGATTGCGGGACAGGCCAGGGAAGCAAGCTGAGAGCCTGCAGGACCAGGAATGTCCCTGCCCCATGCTCAAATCCTTGAGAGGTCCAAGGTCCACAAGAACCTCAGTGCTGTGGGAGTTGATTTGAGTGGAAAAAGAGAAAATCAAGGTAATCAAGAATCAGATCCAGGGAAGCAAACAGGAGAGCACGTGGTGGTGAGATGGCATTTGGAACCAGGTTTGTATTCAAATGTTCAAGGAGAGCAGGAAGAGTGGATGAAAAGTACCAGCTCCAAGACCAGTGCCTTCCCTGTGCATAGTTGAGCCGACTCCTAACAGCTTAGTGTCTGGGAACAGTCACTCAGAATGACATGTGTAAGGGAAGGTGGTGTTAACACCTGGGGAAATTCCTGGACTAGCTGCTCAGAGATTGGGCCTTGCTGAGAATTTTGGAAGTACTGCAACCATGACTGGAGGTGAACTGGCCAGTGCTTTTGCAACTGCACCAAGTTCTACTGGGTGCTGAGCCAGAAATCCCCCAAATTTGGGAATGGTGAATCTCGCTGGGTTTCCACCTCAGGTGTTTCCTCTCTTCCATTACACAGCCAGGTTCCTTCACCCTCCACTACCTCCTTAAAGAACTGGGGGAAATCCACCCAACCCAAGGTCTGCCTTGGGCCAGAGCCAGATAAACAGGCAAGCTGTGAGCCAGGCCAGAGAGGATCTCCCACCTACCACTCAGGGACAAGGAGTTAGGGGTGGATGGAGGGACACTGGTAGTGGGGGGACACAACACCTGTGGTGGGAACCCAGTGACATCTTTGGCAGACTTAAGGCAGCTGCTCAGTAGTTCTGGGAATTGGCAAGCCCCCTCCCTTAGACCTTTATTTGAGCCCATACCCAAGACCAGAATGAAAACAAAGCAAGTATGGCAAAAGGAGCAAAACAGGAGGCAGATTTTGTGTTCAGTGGAGCACAGTTTAATTCATAACCTGTGAGAGTGAAATGTTGTTTTCATTATTATGCTTTCAATATTCTGCAGTATTAAAAAGTCCACATTTATATGAGAGTTGTTTAGAATTATTTTTCCAAGAGGTTGGGGGATTGCCTTTCTTACTTCATTAGTTTTTACTGTTTCTTATTGTGTTATAAACCAAATCGGTACTATTTCTACTTTTTTTTTAATTGATTCTTTCTTTGAGTCCCACACACACTTGACTAGAAGGACTAACCTGTATTTACAGGGCACAGATTCAGACCTATTAGCTTCCTTCAATAAACACCTGTTGAGCACCTATTATGTTCCAGCTTGTTCAAGATTAATGTCGGATAACTCAGACGTCTGGGCCGGGCACAGTGGCTCATGCCTGTAATCCCAGCACTTTGGGAGGCTGAGGCAGTCAGCCCAGCCTGGCTAACGTGGTGAAACCCCATCTCTACAAAAAAATACCGAAAAAAAAAAAAAAATTAGCCAGCTACTCAGGAGGCTGAGGCACGAGAATTGCTTTAACCCAGGAGGTGGAGGTTGCAGTGAGCCGAGATCTGCCACTGCACCCCAGCCAGGGTGACAGAGCGAGACTCCCATCAAAAAAAAAAAAAGATAACAGAGATGTCTGTCCAAGATTCCTGCCCTGGGGTGATGGGTGGGTGTGGGCAGGAGGGGGAAGACAGTCGATGAACAATAAACATAACAAATAAGTAAATTATATAGTACTTTAGAAGGTGATAAATGCTATGGGGAAAGTACCACAGGTTAAGAGGAAAGGGAGTTGCAGGAGGGGTTTTAATTGTAAATAGGGTTAGGGTTAGGGAGGGCCTCATTGAGAAAGTGGCGTTTGAACTAACATTGAAGGACATGAGGGTGTCAACCACACAGATATCTGGGTGAAGAGCCAGCCAAGAAGAGGGAACAATGGATGCAGGGCAGGTTCTTGGCTTTGCTCAGGAAGGAATTAAAGAGCGAGCTGGTGGTGGAAGAAAACAACTTTATTGAGGCAGCAGCGTTACAGCTCTGCGATTGCTCCACAGCAGGGTTACCCCACAGGAAGAGTGTGGAGAGGAGCAGCCCAGGGACAGTTTTGCAGTCGTATTTATACCCACTTTGAATGACATGCTAATTAAGGGGCAGTTATTCAGAATTAGCTAGAAAAAGGGCGGTAACTTCCAGGTGTTGCCAAATTGTCTTGGGGCTGGTGGGCGTGTCTTACAGAGAGGTGTTTTCCATGCCTCTTTCCAGTTTTGGCCAGTCTTCAGTCTGGTCTGAAGTTGGGTCCCTCCGCCTCACAACCGGTGCTGAGGAAGGCTGGGGCGTGCCTGGCATGTTCAAGGACCGGCCAGGGGACTACAGTCCTGCCGCAGGGTGAGCAACAGGATGCAGCAGGGAAAGAAAACAGGGTGTCTGACAATGTGGGGCCTTATTGATCACTAGAAGACTTTTGTCTCTGAGAGAATGGGACCCTCTGCAACACTTTGAGCAAAGTGACAAAGATGTGACACACTAACTGTGATCATGCTGGCTGATGCATTGAGAAGAGATGCTAGGAAGCCAAGGCAGAAGCGAGGGAGGAGGAGCTTATAGCAGTGATACCAGCGAGGGATGGTGGAGGCTCTCACAAAGTGGCAGCTGTGGAGGCAGGGAGAGGTGGTCAGTCTCTGGATATAATGTGATGGGAAAGCCAACAGGACCTGCTGACACTGAATACAGAGTGTGTGAGAGAGAGAGCAATCAAGGATGACTCCAAGGTTTTTAGCCTGAGCAAGTGGAAGCAGAAATTGCCATCAACTGAGATGGGAAAGGTGGAGTGAAGCAGTCCTGTGGGGGCAGATCAGGAGTTCATTTTTGGTTGTGTTGGGTTTGAGATGCTTATTATTAGACGTCCAAATGAGGATGTCAGGTAGACAGTTGAATAAGTGCATCTTGAGTTAGCTGAGCTGCAGGGATTAACTTAGGAGTCATCAGCCAATAGATGGTTTGTATAACCATGAGAGTTGAAAACATCGCTAAAAGAGTAGAAGAAGATAAAAGGTCCAAGGACAGCCCTGGGACACCACCCTGGGCAGAGGCTGGGAAGGAAGAGAAGAAGCCAGGAAGAGAGGGAGGAAGGCAGGAGATTGAAAGGTCCTGGAAGTGGAGACAAGTCATGGCAATGGGTCAAGGAGGAGGAAGGAGCAGCGTGTTCAATACTGCTGATAGGTTCAGTAAGATGAGACTTGAGAGGCAGGCACTGGACTGACAATGTGGTGGTCATTGGTGATCTTCAGAAGAGCCATCATAGCAAAGTTCTGGAAGGAGATTGAAGGATAGGAGTGTGTGTCTCAGTGAAGGTCTAGATCAAAAAAAGGTGGCCCCTTCAAATTGGGTAACTCAGGGAGACTTTGATAAAGGGACTTTTGGCAAAGGTGTGGGCAGGCATAGGGAAAATCCCAAGGAATTGAAACTGACCCAACAGCCCCATAGACAGATCTTTCAAATAAACATATCCAAAAGATAAACATGACCTTTCTGATCTTAAAGATGGAAATGTATATTTGTTTTTTCTGAGTTCCTTCCTCAGGAAAGAACCTTTAGGTCTCTAAGCAAAAAAGTATCAGAGAGCTGAAACCAGATCACCACATTCAAACAAGGAGACTCTGGACCCCTCATTCCTTATGACTACTTCCTTGCCCCTCCCTAGTTCCTGTTTTCTTACACATTGTTACATTTCTTCCCTGCTACATAAACCCCTGGTTATAGATGGTCAAGGAGGTGGATTTGAGACTGAGTTTTCATCTCCTTGGCTGCAGCACCCGATTAAATCCTTCTTCCTTGGCAATACTTGTCATCTCAGTGATTGGCTTTCTGTTTGGCGAGCAGCAGGACCTACATCAAACCCCTGGTGTTTCAGTAACAGAATTTCTAACAGTGTGGTAGATGTTACCATTGCCAAGCCTGAAAAGTCAAGGGAAGGAAATGGCTACTGGAATGCAGAGAGAGTGGTGAGGACAGACACAGAAACTGTGAATTTGAGTGGATGGACACAAACAGCCCACAGCAAGACCCCTCTGTGGGAGGGGTCCAGGGAAATAAATGTGCCAGTCTCATGCTCCTCCCTCCATCTGATTCCCCTGATGGTCCTTCCTGTTGCCAAACCCAACCAGGAGCCAAAGGGCAAGGGGACCTGTAGATGCAGTGATGCAGATCAGCCTCCTGGGATGCACACAAGGCAGGTGGAGCAGGGTGGGGAGCAGAGTTGGGAGGCCACATGGAGACTATCTGGGACAGAGTAGTTTTGAGAGAATGGTGTTTGCTGTGATTATGATGAATTTTAAGGCATTTCACCAATATTGTTTACTGTGCCCAGTATGTGCAATGGCTACAAGAGAAAGAGGTATACAATTATGATGGAAAGGAAAAGAACAATATTTTTTTAATCGGAAATGATAGGATCATGAGAAATGTTACCTGTTTCTATAGGATGAATCTTTCAACAGAATGTTTCTAAGGAACAAATTGTATAACAAGAAAAGAACATGGTGGTGCCAACCAGAAAGAGAAGCCCTCACCCTCTGTCCTCAAACTCCCTCCTCCCATTTGACCCACACTCTCCTGTCTTTTCTCCCACCTCCCTGGCCATTCCTTCTCTGTCTCCACTGCAGACCTCCTCCTCTACTTGACCTCAGATCCCCCAGGCTTGGCTCTTGGTCCTAGTCTCTCCCAATATACCCTCTTACAAGGTGGAATGTGGACACAAAGGCTGGCACTCCAGCAACTATATTGAACCATGAGGTACTATACTCAGAATGGCACAGCAGCAAGTTAGAGGACACCTGTCCTTGATGATTGTGGACTCACTTTTACACTCAAGACTGTCTACTTCCAGATATCTGTGAGAGAGAAATAAACTTCCATCTTGTTTAAGCCACCATCATGTTTTATTTTTATCATTCACAGCTGAACCTAATCCTGATAATACTGCCACCAAACCAAAGCTGAAAATTAATCCCACATTCTATTTCCAATTTCTAATTCAGCCAGTTTCATTTCAGCCTCATTGTCTGGTACAGCCTATCAGAGGTTCTGTGATGAGTTCAAATGAATCAGAAGGATGCTCCAAAAACCAGTTTCAACAATGTGCCCTGCATTTGAATATAAACTTTCTCCCATTACCAAATTCTCAGGAAGTAAAGTCTGAGAATTGCTCTAATCATTTATTCTAAAATGCATATCTTTTCCTCATTTTAACGTCTCTGCAATCTGGATGCATCTTAAAATCGATGTCATCTTACAATTGTCTGACAGGTAGCATTTGTGACCTAGTTTTGTGAAAAACCTTCCATTGATCCTTCAGATAAGATTTTTTAAAAACCAACATGAAAGCATATGAGATTAAAGAAAACAGGGGTATATTACCTTGCAAACTGAAATCCAAGGGGATTATGACCCAAAATTTATTCTCCCCAATTTCAATTCTAGCTAGAGGATTATAGATGCCTGGTCATCAAGATCTCATTTTCCATTTTATGTGTCTGATCAGTCCTCTAACATCTCAACCTTTCTCCTAAGGCAGTGGTTCTCCAACTTGAGCAAGCATCGGAATTACACGGAGCCTTGTAAAAAATATTTCCAGGGCCCAATCCCTGGAGTTTCTAATTCAGTAAGTGTGGGGTGGGGCCTAAAAATCTGCATTCTCACAAGTTCCCAGGTAATGCCAGTACTACTGGTAGGGGACTACATTTTGAGAACCACTATTCTAAGGAAATCTCTTCTATCTTCCTTTATTTTGTTTTTCTCCTTTTCAGATTCTAAAAACCACAAAAACAAAAACTGAGCCACACTTCTGAAATAATTTGGGTTCCTGGTTCCTTTTTAAATTCCCTGTGCAATCTTGATCCCTAGAGACAAAGTGCTGTATTACAAAATGCAAGCCACTCTAATTGCCTTCTTAAGCCTCGAGTCAACAGTAATTGGATTGCATCATTTCTATACCTTAATATAGGTAAACGGCATGTTATAGTTATAATAAGAGTGCCCATTCCTTTTTTCCTTTTTTCTTTCCTTCTTTCCTTCCTTCCTTCCTTCCTTCCTTTCTTCTTCTTTTTTTTTTTTTTTTGAGAAATAGTATCTTGCCTTGTTGCCTAAGCTACAATCACAGCTCACTGCAGCCTTGACCTCCTGGGCTCAAGCAATCTTCCCACCTCAGCCTCCGGAGTAGCTGGGACTATAGGCACACATCACTAAACCCAGTTAATTTTTTTTTCTTTTTTGTAGAGATGGGGCCTTGCAATGTTGCCTAGGCTGGTCTTGAACTCCTGGGCCCAAGTGACCCTTCCGCCTTGGCCTCCCAAAGTGCTAGGAGTGCAGGCATGAGCTACCGCACCCAGCCTTCTTTTTCATTTTTTCTCTGTTATAAAATGTACCATCCTTCCATGAGTGAGTCCAACATTTGGCTATGATATGACTTCTATAACTAAGAAATCCAGAGCCAAATTAAGACTTTGAGTGGAACTGCCCACATGTAGATATGCCATCTAAACTCAAGGCTGATCCCTCCATAGCTGGCTTTTTCAACCTCACCACTATTGACATTTGAGGCTTGATCATTCTTGTTGTGCGGTGGTTGGCCTGGGCACTGTAGGATGATTTGCAACATCCTGGCCTGCACTCACTGGATGCCAGCAGTATCCTCCCAGTTGCAACAAATACATCTCCATACATTGCCAATGTCCTCTGGGGGCCAAAATCACCCCTGATTGAAAACACTGCTCTACAGTTGGGTCTCTTGACTGACGCCACTCAAAACAATGTAAAAGAAATGGAATTCAGGCAGTTCCTCTATACCAACTACACAGGCTTTTAATGCCAAACACTGAAACCCCAGGGGTCTAGAGCAGCACTTCTCAAAATTTAACATGCCGGAAAGTCACCCAGGGAATCTTGTTAAAATGCAGATCCTGATTCAGGAGGTCTATGGGAGGACCTACCTGGGTACTCAAAGTGTGGTCCACATCTTAGTTCCCAACACAGATCGAATGAATCAGAATCTGCATTGTAAGAAATCCCCATTAAAGTTTGAGAAGCGCTCACACCTGTAATCCCAGCAATTTGGGAGGCCGAGGTGGGTGGATCACGAGGTCAAGAGTTTGAGATCAGCCTGGCCAAGATGGTGAAATCCCATCTCTACTAAAAAAAAAATACAAAAATCAGCTGGGTGCGGTGGCAGGAGCCTGTAATCCCAGCTACTCGGGAGGCTGAGGCAGGAGAACTGCTTGACCCTAGGAGGCAGAGATTGCAGTGAGCCGAGATTGCACCACTGCACTCTAGCCTGGGCGACAGAGCAAGATTCTGTCTCAAAAAAAAAAAAAAAGTTTGAGAAGCAGGCTGGGCATAGTGGCTTACGCATATAATCCCAGCATTTTGGGAGGCCGAGGCAGGCGGATCACCAGAGGTCAGGAGTTCGAGACCAGCCTGGCCAACATACTGAAACCCTACCTCTACTAATAATACAAAAAATTAATCGGGCATGGTGGCAGGTGCCTGTAATCCCAGCTACTCAGGAGGCTGAGGCAGGAGAATCGCTTGAACCCAGGAGGTAGAGGTTGCAATGAGCCAAGGTCGCACGCAACCTTGCACTCCAGCCTGGGCGACAAGAGCAAAACTCCATCTCAAAAAAAAAGTTTGAGAAGCACTGCTCTATACAGTGGTGAAGCCTAAGTCCTGGCCTGCAGACGTGGCTGAAGAAACAGGAAATGCAGCAAACCATTGTGCCCCCAGTGTCTGCAGGACTTGCATACAGGAAGCCCCTCTCTCCTCCCATAATGAATCTTTGCCTCCCCTGTGCACGCTGCCTGAAGCCCCCATGGCCCTCTGGCATCTGCTAACCCCAGATATCCCCTGCAGATGTGCAAAGGCCAGTTCCTTGCAGTTCCAGGTCAACTTGCAGTAACCTACAAATTTAGGCTTGCATGGCCCATGACTCTGCTGGATCCTGGTGCTCGCGTTTTGCTAAGTCCCTCCGCATGAAGCTGCCTGTGTCTGATGAGATTGTCACTTGCATCCCCACCTGTATGGGAACAGCAGCTTACTTCAAATGTCACTTCTATTTTGCTTCCTTAGCTCTACTCATGTGTTTTTTTAAGTTCCTAGCCAATACATCAGATTTGGGGTCTGGAGGCAACGTCATTAGAAAATACCTTTTTTCCCTGCCCATTTTTTTTCTCTTTTCTGTTTTTTTTTCTTTTTTTTTACTTTCTTTTTTCTCTTTTGAAAAATTTTTTGTTTGTTCATTGTTTTCTTTTACTTTTTTCTGAGACAGAGTTTTGCTCAGTCACCCAGGCTGGAGTACAGTAGTGTGATCTCGGCTCACTGTAACCTCAGCCTGCTGGGTTTAAGTGATTCTCATGCCTCAGCCTCCCGAGTAGCTGGGATGACAGGCATGCGCCACCACACCCAGCTTTTTATTTTTATTTTTTTATTTTTTGTATTTTTAGTAGAGAGAGGGTTTCACTATGTTGGCCAGGTTGGTCTCGAACTCCTGGCCTCAAGTGATCTGCCCGCCTCAGTCTCCCAAAGTGCGAGGATTACAGGCTTGAGCCACCATGCCTGGCTGTTTGTTTTTTATGCCTGCCCATATTTTTGACCAATTAAAAGACAAAAGAATCAATCAGGTAGAGCTCAAATTATTTCTGATTTTTAAAAACATCAATTAGGGCTAAATTGGAGGATGTAGCTTGTGACTATGGAAACAATGAGCTTCCTAACTCCACACCCCGAATTGGATGACTAACCTACTTAGTCATGGGCAATGCTGAACAACCGGAGGGCCAGAGCCTTTGCAGCTAAGCTGGCCACCCAGCCAGAAGCAGACCAGAGCACATGCCCTCAGCAGGCAGGCAGCACTCAAACAGGAAGGAGAGAGAGGGGCTGAACTGGACATGCCCAGTTTCTTCTCCTAAACTTGTCAATCAGGAAGACTCTTCCAGAGAAGAATGAGGGAATGGATGGAGGGAGATCAGGAGTGTTACACAACGGATGCTCCATACGTCAGAAACAAACAACAGGAACAGAGCATAAGCATTCCCCCATAAGAATGCCCATCCTTTTCAGTAACATGAAACAATCTACTTAGAAAATTTTTTTTAACTTTTATTTTAGGTTCAGGGGTATATGTGCAGGTTTATCATATAGGTAAACTCATGTCACAGGGGTTTGATGTACAGCTTATTTCATCACCCAGGTACTAAGCCTAGTACCCAATAGTTATATTTTCTGCTCCTCTCCCTCCTCCAAACCTTTACCCCTAGTAGGTCCCAGTACCTGCCTTTCCCTTCTTTGGGTCCATGTGTTCTCATCATTCAGCTCCCACTTATAATAAGTGAGAACATGCAGCATTTGAACAAATGGGATCTGATTAAACTAAAAAGCTTCTGCACAGCAAAAGAAACTATCAACAGAGTAGACAGACAATCTACAGAATTGGAGAAAATATTCGCAAAGTACGCATCTGACAAACATCTACTATCCAGCATCTATAAGAAACTTTAACAAATTTACAAGATAAAAACAACACCTGCCGGGCGCGGTGGCTCACGCCTGTAATCCCAGCACTTTGGGAGGCCGAGGCAGGCAGATCACAAGGTCAGGAGATCGAGACCATCCTGGCTAACACGGTGAAATCCCATCTGTACTAAAACTACAAAAAATTAGTTGGGCGTGGTGGTGGGTGCCGGTAGTCCCAGCTACTCGGGAGGCTGAGGCAAGAGAATAGCATGAACCCGGGAGGCAGAGCTTGCAGTGAGCCGAGATAGCGCCACTGCACTCCAGCCTGGGCGATAGAGCGAGAATCTGTCTAAAGAAAAAAAAAAAACCATTAAAAAGTGGGCAAAGGACATGAAAAGACACTATTCAAAAGAAGACATATATGTGGCCAGCAAGTGTATGAAAAAAGGCTCAACATAACTAATCATTAGAGAAATGCAAATCAAAACCACAGTGAGATACCATCTCACACCAGTCAGAATGGCTATTACCAAAAAGTCAAAAAATAAGGCCAGGTGGCTCACGCCTGTAATCCCAGCACTTGGGGAGGCCAAGGCAGGTGGATTGCTTGAAGTCAGGAGTTCAAGACCAGCCTGACCAACATGGTGAAACCCTGTCTCTACTAAAAATACAAAAATTAGCCGGGCATGGTGGTGCATGCCTGTAATCCAGCTACTCAGGAGGCTGAGGCAGGAGAATCACCTGAACCCAGGAGGCGGAGGTTGCAGTGAGCCAATATCGCACCACTGCACTCCAGCCTAGGTGACAGCGATATTCCATCTCAAAATAAATAAATAAAGAATGCTGGGCATGGTGGCTCATGCCTGTAATCCCAGCACATTGGGAGGCCAAGGAGGGTGGATCACTGGAGGTCAGGAGTTCGAGACAAGCCTAGCCAACATGGTGAAATCCCATCTCTACTAAAAATACAAAACATTAGCTGGGCATGGTGGTGCCTGCCTGTAACCCCAGCTACTTGAGAGGTCGAGACAGGAGAATCGCTTGCACTCAGGAGGCAGAGGTTGCAGTGAGCTGAGATCGTGCTACTGCACTTCAGCCTGGGCATCAGAGTGAGACTCTGTCTCAAAAAAAAAAAAAAGTCAAAAAGTTGAGGTTGCAGAGAAAAGAAGTATTTATCTTTCCAATGTTTGAAAGAAAGTCTCCAGTGAGGCCAGATTCTGGTGCCACGTGCCTTTTTATCAAAAATATTCAGTAATTTTTCTTTTTTCTTCTGTTAACATATTTAGGAGCATATTCTCTATTTCTTTGACATGAGTATCCTCTACTTCCTTGGCAGTCATCCATTTGTACTTCATTATCACATAATGAAGTACATTTCATGGTAAATTTCTGGAAAATCAGCACAGTTCGTTCCAAGCCATGGGAGGTTGCTCTCTACTGTGTATCTTCCTCCATTATAGAGTGACTTTATCTCCTTTAATGCTTTTTTTGTGACTTTTTAACCAATGGTGGTAAGTCCTCCATTTCTCATATTCATAAAAGTTCCGAAGTACAGAGTTGAGCTATATTGCATTGTTCTGTAAATGTATCTTGTGTTTCCTTTGCCCACAACCACTTCTCATTGAGTTAAATTCTTAGTATATTCTACTTTTGTTTTTCATTTAGGCAGCTTTTGTCGTGAACTTTGGGCTCTATCTCTTGTTAACGCAGATCCAGAAGAACATCATATCTCAGTTGTCTAATTTTTGTTAACATTTTAACACAAATACTATAGAATTTTATCTTCGGCTCTCCTAAGTGATAAGATAAAGCCTTATCACTTTCTTCCATGTGTTACAGTCATTTCTGTGCCTGTTATCTCCTCTCCAGGTCAACGAATGCATAGGATAAGCTCCATGTTTGATTCATCTTTGCACCTGGACAAAACCTTGCATATAACAGATGCTCAATAAATATTTGAACAAATGACTATTACTGTTTTGTCCATGCTGCTTGGTCCATTTTATGTATGTAATCCTTCAGCTTCCTTCTAGGTGTGCCACAGAGCCTAGTTCTGTGGACTAGCCCGCTCTGATCAGACCCCCTCCCACGTACTGGAACTCCAAAACGCTATCTTACAGATCTCATGCCATGTTGTCTAACTGACTGATTGCTTTTTCCTTCTGTACTTCACCGCCAGCTTTTTGATAATGTTTGAAGTCACTTATCTTATTTCTTTTTATCTGTTCCTGAATCACCTTTGTTTTGTTCTCTCAACAGCTAAAAACTTGACAAATTATTTCAAAGCTTGATCTGAAAATGTTCTGTCGAAGTTTAACAAGCTGAGCCTGGGTAGGAAAAGACTCCAAGCTGTTTTAACCCTTGGTGGGGAGAAATGAGAAAGAGATGGGCCTGAGCTTGGCTGTTAATACTGCACACATGGTATGATTAACACTGTGTAGTCTGGCCTTGGGACACATGATGATGGTGGTGATAAGGACGATTGTGATGATTAGGAGAAGGAGGAGTCACAAGTATGAATTTCTTCCATGACATTCAAACACAAGAAATGTCACACTGCTTTAACTTTCCAAGTAAAATCAGTTTGACTCACCTAACCCAGATGGGTGGACAATTTAAATCATGTTCTGGGGGTAATCGCTTCTTCCTCCCTTGAAGTTGTGTGGGAGTCCTGAGGATTTGCCCAGCCCAGAACATTTCAGAAAGGGTCTCTGTACAGCGTGCCTGCCTTTCCTGGTGATCAGTTGGTGTGTTTGAAGAGTGGGGCTCTACTCTCTCCAAGTCAAAGTTGGGCCCAGGGGTCTTTGCTGAAGTTCCCAAAGCCCAGCACAGGAATTCAGCCTCACCTCTGTGTGCTTCTCACAGATGCTCCTACCCAAGAGTCTCCAGAGTACAAGTAGGACCAGATGTCTTCCACCTCTGAAACCGGGTTAGTTTGGATCCTTTTCCATTTCAAATGACAGGACCCAACTCAAATCAGCCTAACTCACAAATAGAACTATCAGTTCACATAATTTGAAGCTTTAGAGTGGAAGTCAAAGTTGGATCCAAAGATCTTTCTCTTTCTCTCTCTCTCTCTGTTCCTCCCTTAGCATATTGGCTTCATTCTACAGGCAGCCTCTTCCACTCAGTCATGAAAAGTGGTCACTGACAGCTCCAGGCTTGCGTGATCTTCACAGCTCAAGGTCCCAGAGAAAGGGTAGACCCATACGTCAAATCTAATGAAAGACCCTGATTGGTCCAGTTTGAGTTGGGTGCCCATTCCTAAAAATATGCATGTGGCCAGGGATAATGGAGGACAGTGTTTGGGCATCCTGGTTCATAAGTCTACCCTTGTGGTGAAAAGGGCAGGACAGCATGACAGATAGCCCTACAGAGTCACATGAAATGAAAGAGAGGGATGGTTTTTCAAAGTAAAAAGTGGTCATATTACTCAGGGTCCTCTTAGAAGGACAGAACTAATAGGATATATATATATATATATATATATATATATATATATATATATATATACACATATATAGATATATATATATGAGTTTATTAGGTATTAACTTACCCAATCACAGGGTCCCACAATAGGCTGTCTGCAGGCTGAGGAGTAGGGAGAGCCAATCTGAGTCCCAAAATTGAAGAACTTGGATTCTGATGTTCAAGGGCAGAAAGCACCCAGCACAGGAGAAAGATGTAGGCTGGGAGGCTAGGCCCATCTCTCTTTTTCATGTTTTTCTGCCTGCTTTATATTTGCTGGCAGCTGATTAGACTGTGCCCACCAGATTAAGGGTGGGTCTGCCTTCCCCAGCCCACTGACTCAAATGTGAATCTCTTTTGGCAACACCCTCACAGACACACCCAGGATCAATACTTTGCATCCTACAATCCAATCAAGTTGACACTCGGTATTAACCATCAAAGTGGTTGTTATTAATACCAACAAAATAAAGAAGATGTGTCGACACAAACTCCTCCCACTCTCTCTTTCACACACACACACACACACACACACACACACACACACACACACACAATGTATAGAGCCTGGGCATCCAACCTCCCCACTCTTGGCCATACCACTACCACTACCCTCCTGGTGAAAAATCAGAGGGCTTTTCTCTAAAGAATTTCAACAAACAGGGAATAATTAGAGCAACTAGTGTAGACTTTAATGCATGCGATAAAAGATCTCCCGCAGCATTGTCGTGCATTCACCATAAAACAGAACTCACTGGGTAGCAAGCCCCACCTACATGTATGGAGATGTGTATTGTCTTGTTTATAAATATGAACAGACCATCAAGTACCACCAGAAATGGGGAGAAACACTGCAAATGAAGAAGGCCAACATTATCAAATAAGGGAGTTGGGGAATGACCCAGAAGAAATAAAGATAATTCAGGGAGCAGATACTTAAAAAAAAAAAATCTCTCATTGCAACCCTCAGAGGTTCAAGAAAATAATGACATCTAAAAAATGACAATAGAAAGTTATGTTAAAACAATAATTGGGGCTAGGCGTGGCACTTTGGGAGGTTAAGGTGGGTGGATCACTTGAGGTCAGAAGTTTGAGACCAGCATGACCAACATGGTGAAATCCCATCTCTACTAAAAATACAAAATTAGCCGGGCGTGGTGGCGCACATCTGTAATCCCAGCTACTTGGGAGGCTGAGGCAGGAGAATCACTTGAACCCAGGAGGTCGAGGTTGCAGTGAGCCAAGATTGCACCATTGCACTCTAGCCTGGGCAACAAGAGTGAGACTCCATCTCAAAAGAATAAAAAATAAAAATAAAAAATAACAAAGAAAGGTTGAAAGATTAAAGTCATGGAAACTCTCAGAAAGTAGAAGAAAAAGACAATAAAAGAGAAAACGTAATAGAAAAGATAAGGCTGGGCACGGTTGCTCAGGCCTGTAATCTCAGCACTTTGGGAGGCCGAGGTGGGCTGATCACAAGGTCAGGAGATGGAGACCATCCTGGCTAACATGGTGAAACCCCATCTCTACTAAAAATAAAAATAAAAAAATAGCCGGCCGTGGTGGCAGGCACCTGTAGTACCAGCTACTCGGGAGGCTGAGGCAGGAGAATCACGTGAACTCAGGAGGTGGAGCTTGCAGTGAGCCGAGATCACGCCACTGCACTCCAGCCTGGGCAACAGAGCGAGACTCCGTCTCAAAATAAAAAAAGAAAAGATAAGAGATTCAGAGGAGCAAGAGTTAACAATCAGCTGATAGGAAATCCAAAAAGCAAAAAGAGTACAAAAAAAAAAAATTCTCAAAGAAACATGAGAATTTCCCAGAGCTGAAGAATAAGTCCGCAGATCCAACAACCCCACTAAGGGCCTGGCAAAATAGATGGGGAAAAAAGTTCGTGCCTAGTCATATTAATGTTAGAATACTAAAGATGAAGAAAGGACCCTAAAAATTTCCAGAGATAGAAGGGGAAATAAACACGACATCTACAAAGGAATAAGAATCAGACTGGCATCAGACTCCTTGTCATCAGCACCGGATGGCAGAAGGCAACCGAAAAATACCTCCCAAGTCCTAAGGGAAACTACTTTTAGTCTAAAGCAGGGGTCAGCAAACTTTTTCTGTAAAAGGCCTCAGTCACAACTACTCCACTTTGCCAAAACAGTACAAAAGCAGCCATAGACCTTATAGACATGAATGTTCATGGCTATGTTCCAATAAAACTTTATTTACAAAAACAGGTGACAGACTGAATTTGGTCCATGGGCCATAGTTTTCCAAGCCCTGGTCTAGAAGTATACATCTAGTGAAAATATGATGCAACCAAGATATTTTTGGACAAGGAAGGACCTAGAACCTTGCTTTTTTTTTTTCCATAGAAAATGACCTGACAATGCAGTTCATTAACATAAGAAGGTAAGCTAAGGTGAAGATATCAAGTACAAAGAACACTGGGTCTAACCCACAAAGAAAATTTTTAAAAAAAGAAGTTCAAGGATTAAAGGAATGAATGGCAGCTGTGCCTGATAGAAATCTAACGCCAGTCTGAGTCTTACCTTTTAATTTAGAGGGGACATCCAGACAGAGCACAGCCTACTGAACTCTAAGGAACTCTACTGAAGGTGAGGTCCTGTATATTCATGTCATTGACCTCCAAATCAAACAAGACTTTAGTGGGTTGCCCGCCCATTTCATTTCTGGGGACTCCCATGTGGCTCAGCACATGCTCCGAGATCTGATGACTTCATCCAAGATGACCACATCCATTTTCCCCTTGTGATTACTGCCTCCTGGCTGTACCAACCTCGGCATCCCTCAACTGTACTGAAAGAATTTCAGCTGCAACCCTTCCCACTGTCATCCCTGGCCAAGAAACAGAAGTCAGGAATAAGCTTTTTAAAACATTCTTATGCTCCCCTCATCAATCTGGTTCTCAAAGCAGGGATGACAGGAGTGGAATCTGGACCATTTCAGGGAGATAGTGAGAGAGTGCGCAGGAGGCAGGATGCATGGGATAAATACCCTCTGGAGTTCATGTCTCCTAAGTGTTTCATTCCTCCATTCACACTGTCTTCATTGTTCAGACAATCAAGGCTGGCTTTCCACGTCATGTGATGTGAACCAGCACTTGAATTCACCAACCTAGGCAACATTAGGCTCACAGGGGCTGTCCAAATCAGCACATCGAATTGCAGAATCTCAGGTCAGGGCACTCACAGCAATAAATTCAACCTGACCCAAAATTTTATTCTTCATTAGGGAGGCTCAATATCTATTTCCACAGTTTCTCCTCTGATTTTTGAGAATGTAAATCAGCAAGTTCCTTTCATTCTTTCTGGGATAAATCTTCTGTTTTGTATTCTGGCAATCCTAAATTTGAGCTTGCTGTTTATTCACACCTACATTTGTTCACCAAATGCTTAGATGCCTACTCTGTACCAGGCATCATTCTAGGCACTGGCGGGCTGGGGGCGAAACAGAAGAAATAAACAAAGAAATGTTATCCATAATATATTGGGTGGTGCCAGGGATGACAAGTATTTCTCTCTTTAATTAACGTAATGTTGCCGAGGCAACCATCCCATCATGAGGCCTCCCCATTGTTATATGTCAGCAACCACCCAGCCCCCCAAGCTTTGCCCATGGTGAGCAGCTGGCTGTTTAGTGACTGTGGGTATCATGGGCAGTTAGTGCACCCAATCACAGTCTCCTTTCTGCCCGATTCCCTATTTCCCTCAGGGGCTATTGTCTGCAACCCTCATCCTGGTACTAATTTCCATATCAATTAAAGTTCTTTGGTTGCAAGCTATGACAACTTATTCTGGCTAACTAAAGCCAAAAAGCAAGCAAGCTGGATGATTCATGAAACAGGAGGAAGAGCTGATCCACCAGGCCTTGGGAAGGACAGAACCCAGGGAGTCTCGGTAACACAACCTCACAGATAGTCTCTTGAAGACACTGAGGACAGAATGGCTCTGCTACAGAGGCATTAGGCTAATGGATCACTCTGCTGAAGAGGCAGAGTCCCAGGAGAGAGGCCGATTGACTGGCTTGGGTCGTGTACCCACCTTTGGGGGTGGAGCCTCATTGTGATAGGCAGTTCCAACAGGACCACATAGAATGAGAGAGGGGTTTTCCCAAAGGAAAAGTGGGATGATGGCATCAAAGGAAAGGAGAATGAATGTTGAGCAGAGAAATGCAAAGATGTCCACAGGGCTTCTGAGTTTGCGGGGCCTCTGTACCCACACTTCCTACTGCTTCTCCTCCTCGACCATCAGCTGAACCCTGTTCATCCTTCAGGGGTCAGCTCAGGTGACAGCTCATCTCTGTAACTCTCCTTGAAAGCCTCCAGGCAGAATTAATTGTCCCCTTCTCTGTGACGCCCACACCTCTGCTTCAGATGCTCACACATTTGCTTTTCTGTGTCCACTGGGATCAGCACTTAGTCTTGTCATCTTTTCAATCAGCAGAGTGTTAGAAAAGTAAACGTTTGCTAAATGGAATGTGTTCAATTATTTTCTTTCTTTGTAAGGACTTGGTAACCATTAATTTGCACCTATTTTGAGCATCTCCAGGCAACACTTGGGTGGTTGCTCCTGTTCTGGCAATTTCTTTCTGACTTCTGGCAGTGTCTCTATTTGTGTTGTAAGATTTGCTGGGAAGACCAGAGCTAGTTTGCTTTGTCTTTGAGACATGCTCTTTGTTTTGCATCTAATCTTGCTGGTTTTTCTTCCTTTGGTTGTCATTTCTTTTTGTTTAAGGGACTTGTATTGTTTGTTTTGTGTTCTGGCTGACAAGAAAACACCCTGGGCCTTGGTATGCTCTCCTGGGTATCATGATGTATCTTCTGGAAACTGATGACAACAAAATTCATATGCCAAGATTAAGACTCTGGGGCCTAGAGCCTGGGCACGGTGGCTCACGCCTGGGAGGCCGAGGTGGGTGGATCACAAGGTCAGGAGATAGAGACCATCCTGGCTAACACGGTGAAACCCCGTCTCTACTAAAAATACAAAAAGAAAAAAAAAATTAGCCAGGCGTGGTGGTGGGCACCTGTAGTCCCAGCTACCCAGGAGGCTGAGGCAGGAGAATCACTTGAACCTGGGAAGCGGAGCTTGCAGTGAGCCGAGATTGGGCCACTGAACTCCAGCCTGGGAGACAGAGCAAGACTCCATCTCAAAAAAAAAAAAAAAAAAAAAAAAAAGACTCTGGGGCCTAGAGCAAATATCTCCAGAATTGCCCCAATCCAGTTGAGGTTCTTCTGAATTTTTCTCTGAGAGTAGTTTCAGCTCCACAGTTTTATTAAATTGGTTTGGATTTGGTTTTTCTCCTCAACCTCAAAACAGTGAGCCTTTCTCCTCAACCCACTTCCAATTGTAATAGGCATTTCTGAATTTACTATAAATAGTTCTAGAAATGCCCTTGTTTCTGGAAACACAGTAGTGAGAGGGACACACTCTGATTGTTTCAGCAGCATCCCTTTGCCTCTTAACACCTTCCTTCCAGAACCCATATTTCTATTTGGGGAGCCGCTCCTTCCATATTGCACAGCAATTGTGCGGTTGGGTGAACTATTTCCCCGCCCTCAGATCCAAGGGTGGGTCCCAAAGGATAAGTCCCAATCAGCTTCCATCTTATCTCCTTTGCAACAAAGATTGAGCTAGGTTTAATCAGAACAAAGCTAAAGACTTTTATTCAGTGACTGTGGGAAGTTGTGCTTCCTCTGTTCTCTCCATGAGGAAATAGGAGGTCAGTCACGGTGGCACATGCAGTCATCTTCCAACCATGACAGAACCAACTTAAGAACAAAGATGACACTAGGACAGAGCAGGGTAGAAAGAACTGTAAGAGAAACAGCCAGAACCATGACCCAGCCACACCTGAAAGCTTTCAGACCTCTGGAATCTTTGCTGACCTGTGCCAACAAACCATTTTATTGTTTAACTTAGGAAAATTGGTTCTTTTGTCACTTGCAATGGAAAGCACCAATATATAAATATATATTGTCATATAAAAAGTCATTTAATAAATATATATCTTCTTTTATTCATTCAGCACGCATTTGTTGATCACTTATTCTGTGCGAAGCACCAAGGATATAATGATGAATCTTTTACTCTCATGGAGCTTAGCATCTGCAAATGAAGAGAGAATCAAAGAGTCACCAAATTTTTTAAAATGCTAAATAAACTATGATGAGTGCTCTGAGAGAAAAGTACAAATGCCTTAAAAACATGGAATAGATTTCTGTGACAGAGACAACAAAGATTCTGGTTCTTCTTCCTTGGTCATTGGGAGATTATTACTGGAATGAACACAACTGTTCAGACAGCGACTACATTTCCCAGTGTCCTTTGCATCTGAGTGAGGTCATGTGATTTATTCTCCCCAGTAGAATGTGAACAGAAGTGATGGCTATGGCTTTTAGGCTAAATGGTTAAGAAATGGGTGTTTCTCACATATGTTCATTGCATCACTGTTCACAACAGCAAAGACATGGAATCAACCTAAATGCCTATTAATGGTAGACTGGATAAAGAAAATGTGATACATACACACCATGAAATACTACCAGCCATAAAAAAGAATGAGATCATGTCTTTTGCAGGAACATAGATGGAGCTGGAGGTCATTATCCTTAGCAAACTAACACAGGAAGAGAAAACCAAATACCACATGTTGTCACTTATAAGTGAGAGCTAAATGATGAGAACACATGGACACATAGAGGGGAACAAGAGACACTGGGGCCTACCAAAGGATGGAGAGTGGGAGAAGGGAGAGGATCAGGAAAAATAACTAATGGGTACTAGGCTTAATACCTGGGTGATGAAATAATCTGTACAACAAACCCCCATGACATGAGCTTACCTATATAACAAACCTGCACTTGCACCCCTGAACTTAAAAGTTAAATAAATAAGAAATGGGTGTTTTTTTCCGCACCTTCTCTCTTCCCTGTCTGCTGGCTAATGTCAGTGCTCAGGATGACTTTGAAAGCCACACGTCAAAGACAGAAAAGCCTTCATCAACCTGGATCCCTGAAAGGCGGCATGGGCAGAATGCCCCACCCATCACCCCATTTCAACCCTCGCCAACCCGCATTCTCCTGTTACATGAAAGAGAAATAAACTTGTGTTAAGTCACCGAAACTTGGGGAGTTGTTTGTTGCAGCCACTAGCATTATCTTAACTGATATGACTTCTTTGGTGAAGTGACGTCAGTGCTGAGACAGGAAGGAGTTACCTGGTTAAAGAGCAGAGTGTGAGCCACAACATTCCAGGGAATTGTTCCTGGCCAGAAAGGAACAAGGTGCAGATAAGGAATTTGTTTGTTTGTTTGTTTGTTTTGAGACGGAGTCTAGCTCTAGCTCTGTTGCCCAGGTTGGAGTGCAGTGGCACCATCTTGGCTCACTGCAACCTCTGCCTCCCCAGTTCAAGCGATTCTCCTGCCTCAGCCTCCCGAGCAGTTGGGATGACAGGCGCCCACCACCATGCCCCACTAATTTTTTTTGTATTTTTAGTAGAGACAGGGTTTTGTCATGTTGGTCAGGCTGGTCTTGAACTCCTGACCTCAAGTGATCCGCCCGCCTTGGCCTCCCAAAGTGCTGGGATTACAGGCATGAGCCACCAGCAGATAAAGATTTAAAAGAAGGCTGGTGTGTACAACTACCATGTGTCATAGGCTGTGTTGGGCAACCCACTGAGCCATTCCCCAGCATCTATACTGCAATGTGGCTCTCTCTTCTCTACTTGTCTTTTGCCTGGGCAGTTATTCAGTGTGAGGGGTCACTTAATGGTTTTCAGTTATGCCTCATGTATGTCCAATCGGCCAGGCCCTGAGTGTGCAGTGTTCTCAGAGGGGCTGAGTAACTTATTCAAGGTCACAGAACTTCTAAGTGGCAGAACTGGGACTTGAACTCAGGTCTGTTTGTCCAAAGTCCATGGATGTTATCATGGTATGTTAATAGGCAGCCTATTACCTCCTGCTATCGTCTGTAAATTTGGAGATTCGTGAATGTCTTGGGATACATCTACTGTGAATATACCCCCTCCCCATGCATGGATTTGCCATAATTGGAAGCAAAGCAAATCAACATCTTTACTAAGTACCTGCTAATTGCAGGGGCTTGTGCTCAATGTGAGGGAGAAGCAAAGAAACAGAAAGGCAAGAGACCCAAATTTAACCTCGAATTTGGCCACTAACTCCCTGAGTGACTTTCAGCAAATCCCTGCTCCTCTCTAGGCCTCAGTTTCCCCTTATATACTATGAGAGGTTTGGATGACATAATCTCTAAGGCCTCTTCAGGCCTGATACACCCAAGGTCTATAAGTAGAAGACAGTTCCCTCTTTGACCATTCACGTCTCACTGCCCTGCTCCTCTGATGCTACCTAATAACCCTCTGGACTTCACTGTTTGTTGCTTTGACCCCTCGTGCATTGATTCCTATGGAATGACAGGAAGATAGATTGTGACTTTTGCTTAGCGATGGCTCCTATTCACTGTGGTGGCCTCTCTGACATATATCCTGTCCTTCACCCATTGTTTCAGCAGGAAATGGGACTGGCCCCAGGCTTAGTCCCAGGAAGTGGGCTCTGATAAGTGTAACCCATCAGGGGTCACTGGCCATGGTAATCCAAATCTAAGCCAACTACCACTTTCCACTTTCCCAAGCACAAGAATTGAGTCAGTCAGCAAAGGACCTAAGGTGAGCCCATTAGAGCTCTTGCTGATGGTGGAGGAAGAGGTCTGTCTCTTGAATGAGAAAGAGGAAGCAGGTAGCCCCAGGAAGCCACTGGCTGGTGCTCATATCACTACTGTGGGCAACAAAAAAACTCAGAATAAAGGGGACAAATCCAATATGTGGAGGAAAGCAGAAGCAAGTGGAAAATCACAGAGAAACTGAACCTGAGACCTGATCAAACCTAAGCTGAAGGCTGATCTACCTATGGACTCTTTAGTTACTTGTGCAAAAATTCCCTGTAATGGTTAAGCCATTCTTTTTTTTTTTTTTCTGTTCTTTACAACCAGTGGAATGCAAGCTCTGAGAAAGCAAGTGAACTGTCTGTCTTCCTTGCCCTTGCCTAGAATAGCACCTCACATAGTAAGTGCTCAATAATATTTACTGAAAGAATGAATAAGCTGAAACATCTTGGGCTCCAGGAACTTATCATGTCTAAAAGCAGGGACATGAATCTCTATAAAATCTCTATGAAACATTGTCCCTGCCCTCCAGATGCTTCCAGGGTAATCATCAATGTGTGTGTAAGTCAGGGATTGGCAAACTATGGCCCATGGGCCAAATCCAGCCTACTACCTGTTTTTATTATAAATAAAGTTTTATTGGTATATACTCATGCCCTTTTGATTGCCTATTGCCTATGGCTGCTCTTGAGCTACAAGGACAGAGTTGAGTAGTGCAACAGACCATATGGCCCATAAAGGCTTAGAATATATATTATCTGGTCATTTACAGAAGAAGTTTGCCATTGCCTGGTATAAGTCATTTTGAAGCTATCCGAGAATGGTGCTTTTCCCATTAGTCTATGATAAATTGTTTAATGGCCATAAATGCCTCCCATCCCAGCATGTAGGTTTCTTTGTAATGTGACTTTGTTACTCCCCACCTTCAGAGGTGGCATCTATTTCTCAGGCTCCTTGCATCTGGACTGGCATTGTAACTTGCTTTGATCAAATGGATGTGGCAAAAGTGCTGCTGCAGGTGGGCCCCAGGGCCTGGGCTTCCAGAGGTGAAGAAGTTTCTGCCTTTGCCGTCTTGGAAGCCCATCAGGCCACACGAAGGAGTGGCCACACCCCTCATCCTAGTGGAGGAAGGGCACTGAAGTGCCCCAGCTGACAGCCAGCACCAGCTACCAGACATGGGAGTGGGGTCATCTTGGACCTTCCAGCCAAGCCAGCCATCCAGCTGATGACAGCCATCTGAATGAGCCCAGGGGACACCAACAAAGGAACCATACAACGGACCCCAAGAATTGTGAGAAATACAACTGACCCCAAGAACTGCTGTTGCTGGCTGGGTGTAGTGGCTCGTGCCTGTAATCCCAGCACTTATGGAGGCTGAGGCAGGCAAATCATTTGAGGTCAGGAGTTTGAGACCAGCCTGGCCAACATGGTGAAACCCCGTCTCTACTAAAAATACAAAAAAAAAATTAGCCCAGACGTGGTGGCACACACCTGTAATCTCAGCTACTCAGGAGGCTGAGGCAGGAGAATCACTTGAACCCGGGAGGCAGAGGTTGCAGTGAGCCAAGACCACGCCACTGCACTCCAGTCTGGGTGACAGAGTGAAACTCCATCTCAAAAAAAAAAAAAATACTGTTGCTTTAAAAAGCCACTGTGTTTGGGGGTGGCTTGTCACTAGCAACAGATTATTGGAACCCAGCCTCTTTCCCATCTGGCATCCCCCACTAAGATCCCACCAGAGCCAGGGCTATGGCACGATTTAGAACTGCGTGGGTGCCTGCAGTTTCTCTCAGGTGAGAAAACAGAGGCCCGGGGGTGCCTCCCTAGGCTAGGGACAGAGCCAGAAGCCTCATCTCTCGCCACCCCGTGTGAGATTCTTTCCTCCACCCTGTGTCTCGGACTCCTTAGATTCTGAAGGAGTGGTCCCCTCACTGGCGCTCCATTGTTCCCTGGACAAAGACCAACCAGGCCCAGCTGTGCCACTTAACAAAGATGCTGGTGACCTTCTAAAAGATGACAGCAAACCCACGCCATGGACTCCCATTCTTTACTTTCCATCACAGACAAGAGAGCCCAGCTGTGTGATGACAGCTGTGCAAAGCTTGTTCCTACTGGAGGGACAAGCCTCCCAGGCCTTTGGGTGCCCACAGAAGCTCCCTGCTGTGGGGAGCAATACTAGGATGAAAATAGCACAGGGTCTGTCAGAAAAGTGTCCCTTTCTCCTGGGGGACTCCCTGGTCCTCGCCACCACCTGCAGGCTCTAGGCCACCTGCACCAGCTCAAGCAAAAGCCTTTCTGTCAAGGGAATGGGAGGTCAAGGTCCCAGGGTCAGCTTCCCAGCAAATCATGCCCTTCCAGCCCCACCCACCACCAGCCCCAGGTCCTCAGCTTCCTTTCAGCCTTTCCTGGGTGCCATCTCCCTCGGACCACAGGGCCTTTGCACAGGCTGTTCCTCCATTTAAACTCTCTCTACTTCTTTCTCTACCTGGGGAACTTTTTGAGATCCCTGGTCAATCATTTCTTCCACAGAGAAGCCCTCACTGACCCCCTGCCCAGAAGAGACAGCCCCATAAAACACTCTCATAGCCCCATGGAACTTTTTTTTTTTTTTTTTTTTTGAGATGGAGTCTCACTCTGTCACCCAGGCTGGAGTGCAGTGGTGCAATCTTGGCTAACTGCAACCTCCGCCTCCCGGGTTTAAGCGATTCTTCTGCCTCAGCCTCCCAAGTAACTGGGACTACAGGCCCGCACCACCACACCCAGGTAATTTTTGTATTTTTAGTAGAGACAGGGTTTCACCATATTGGCCAGGCTGGTCTCAAACTCCTGACCTTGTGATCCACCCACCTCAGCCTCCCAAAATGCTGGGATTACAGGCGTGAGCCACCACACCTGGCCAACCCCATGGAACTTTCTATCAAGCTACTTACCTCTATCTGTAAGTGTCCATTCGGTATGTAATGAGTAATATCTGTCTCCCCACTGGACTGTAAGCTCCACGAGGGCAGGAACCACACCTGGTTTTGCTCTCTGATGGATGCCCACCACATACTAGGTCCTCAATATAGTTTATTGACTCAAGAAGCAATTAATTCTTCCAGGAATAAGGTTATCCCATTTTGCTTAGAAATCCTTAAAGGTCTGAGGGAAGCAACATAAGGCTGAGTGATGAGATGTAGCAGATAAGGGCCCTCAGCACAGTGCCACCATGTGGGGCATTAACAAATGAGATTCATTTGTTCTGCCATCTTTATTGTTAGGATAATGATGATGATGGTGGTGGTGATGATGATGATGATGGTGGTGGTGTTAGTGGTAATGATTGTGATGGTGATGACAGTGATAGTAATGGTGAGTATGATTACGGTAATTTCATGATGATTATGATGGTGATAATGGTGATGGTGATAATGATGATAATGGTGATGGTGATTATAATGATGGTGATGGTGATAATGATGATGGTGATGACAGTGATGTTGATGGTGATGATAATGGTGATGAGGATGATGATGTGGTGATTTTATTAGTCCATTCTCGCGTTGTTATAAAGGAATACCTGAAACTGAGTAATTTATAAAGAAAAGAGGTTCTATAGGCTGTACAAGAAGTATAGTGGCTTCTGCTTCTCAGGAGGCCTCAGGAAACTTAAATTGTTGGGAAAAGGGCTTGTGGGGTGCCTGTATAAACTGGCCATAAAAATATAGGAAAATAAGTTGTGAAAAGCCACAAAAGGCCTCTGAGGAGGAAAGCCTCCTAATTGCCATCATGTTCCCATGCTCAGAGCGAGACCCGCTCTCTTATTTGTAAACACTGTATTCCAGGAGAAAGACACTCCTTTGAAGCATGGGAATGCGGACAGACATGCAGGCTCCTAGTTAAGCCCACTCCCACTAGCTACTCTCCAATAAGTTAAAGATACACTGAGCACAAGGAGATTCATTTAAACTACTATTGCTATAAATTACACCTATGATGCACTGCCACCCTTTCACTGTTTCACCCTGAACATCTGCTTTTTACATCTAAGTGACTGTACCCAATAAATAGTGTGGAGACCAGAGCTCTGAGCCTTTTGCAGCCTCCATTTTGCAACTGGTCCCCTGGCTCCCACCTTTATGAACTCTTAACCTGTCTTTTCTCATTCCTTTGTCACCACCGGACTTTGGGTACCCTACGGGTGGTGTTGAGGCTGGTCCTCAACATTCTGGCGCCCAACGTGGGGCCTGAAAGAATCCGGTGAAGGAACACTCAAGTGTGTGAAACAGAGGACCAACAGACAAAGGACTCCCAAGGATGAAAAAGTTTCAAGCTCTGCAGGTAAGCGGGGCACTCGGAGAAAGCTAGGGACACAAATGGGACAAACTGAAAGTAAGTACATCATATATTTGAGCTTGCTACAGCAGCTCTTGAAGCATGGTAGGGTAAAAGTTGATACAGAAAAACTTATGGATTTCTTTCATGCTGTGGAACAATTTTGCCCTTGGTTCCCAGAACAGGGAACTTTGGAATTAAAAGATTGGGAAAGAGTTGGAAAGGACCTTAAAGGAGCACATAGAAAGGGAAAGGAAATCCTTTGCCTGTTTGGTCAGTTTGGTCATTGGTGTGTGCAGCACCAGAGCCTTTTCAGACAGATGATGAGGCTGAGTCAGAGGAGGAGAGAGAGGAGTTTAATGATCAGGACTCTGAACCACCTCTACCAAGTACTAACAAAAAGGAGGGTCCAGAGATGATTTCTCCCAATTCCCCTAGTCTCCCTAAACCTACTCAGAAAATTGTTCAGCCCATGCCTCCTTCAGAGGAATGTCCAGAATGGCCACCTCCTCCTCAGCCAAGTGAGTGTAGGGGGAGGGAGCCCAAGACTCAGCTCGCCGTGCCCATTATTGCCTGACCAGCAGTTTGTTATGGAGAGGGGGATATTCAGGCTCATCCTGCAGTTCACTATGGAGAAGGGGCCATACAGGCTTCCATTCATCAGTCACGAGAAAGTGGGGACTTGGAGACTTGGTAGCTTCCAGTGACTATAATACCGCCTCAGCAGACTGGGGGGCATGCTCAGGCTCACTAGGAATCTTTTCCTTTTAAAAGATTAAAAGATTAAAACAAGCAATAGGGCAGTATGGACCTAACTCACCTTATATTCAGACCTTATTACAGGCTGTGGCTTATGACAAATGTCTGTGCCGCTATGATTGGGAGACATTAACTTGGTCTACTTTATCCCCTTCTCAATTTTTACAATTTAAGCCTTGGTGGACAGATGAGGCCACTAATCAGGTGCATAGAAATGCTAGATCTCAGCCACCTGTTAACATTACCTCTGATCAATTGCTTGGAATAGGACAAGCCTGGGGTACAACAGAACAAGATAGTGATGAATGATGAAGCCATTGCATAAATCAGATCAGTGTGTATGAGGGCCTGGGAGAAGATTCAGGATCCCAGTGTTACATATCCCTCCTTTAATTCAGTCAGACAGGGCCCTAATGAACCTTACCCAGACTTCATTGCCTGCCTAAAAGATGCAGCTCAAAAGGCTATCTTGGACGCACATGTCCGAGAGACAATTGTCCAACTATAGGCCTTTGAGAATGCTAATTCTGAGTGCCAGGCGGCCATTAGACCTGTTAAAAGAAAAGCACCAAAAGACAAGGTATTAAGTCAATATATTAAAGCCTGTGATGGCATTGGAGGACATGTATACAAAGCTAACCTCCTAGGCCAGGCAATGGCAGGTTTAAAAGTTGGAAATAACACACAAAAGTTCTCAGGGTCCTGTTAAAATTGTGGACAAATGGGGCATACTAAAAAACAACGTGAGAAGGGTCAAAACAACAAAAACACACGATAACTTTTCCTCAGCCCAAAGAGCTGAATTACAGGCATTGATTACAGTATTAAAAGATTTTAATCAGCCAGTTAATATTCTTTCAGACTCAGCTTATGTTGTGTAAGCTACTCAGCATATTGAAACTGCCTTCATTAAATATATTATTGATGAACAGCTTTATCAATTGTTCAACTCTTTACAAACAACCGTGCATACTCAGGATTTTCCTTTCTATGTAACTCATATCTGAGCACATACCAATCTTCCAGAATGCTTGACTGAGGCTAATGAGCAAGCTGACTTGTTGGTTTCCCCCATACTTACTGATGCCCAAAGTTTCCACTCATTAACACACCTTAACGCAGCAGGACTTAAAAACAAATATCAAATTATGTGGAAACAGGCCAAGGACATTGTACAACATCGTCCTCAGTGCCAGGTACTGCAACTATCCCATCAAGAAACTGGTGTTAACCCTCGAGGGTTGACACCTAACATGATCTGACAAATGGATGTCACCCATGTTGCTGCCTTTGGCAAACTTTCTTATGTCCATGTGATCATAGATATTCTCATTTTATATGAGCTACTTGCCAAACCAGCAAGGCTGCAGCACATATAAAAAGACACCTGCTTTCCTGTTTTGCTGTTGTAAATTCCACAAAAATTAAAAACAAACAATGGACCAGGCTACTTTAGTAAATCTTTCCAAACATTTTTAAAACAATAGAGCATTGAACACAGTATGAGTATCCCCTATAATTCTCAAGGGCAAACGATTGTTGAGTGAGCCAATCGAACCTTAAAAATGCAATTACATAAACAGAAAATAGAGGGAGATAGGGAAAATTCCACCCCTCATATGCAATTACAATGGGCTCTTGTTACCTTAAATTTTTTGAACATCTCCCGGAATCACGTTACTACAGCAGCTGAACAGCATTTAACAGGACAGAAGGTAAATGTTCATGAGGGAAAACCTGTGTGGTGGAAGGACTTTAAAACAAAGTCCTAGGAAAGAAGGAGAGTTATAACTTGGGGAAGAGGGTTTGCTTGTATTTCCCCAGGAGAAAACCAGCTTCCAGTTTAGGTACCTACAAGACGTCTTAAACTCTACCATGAGCAAAATTCCAAAGAAGAGAAAAGGATTTTGGAACCAAGATCTCCACCTCCCAGCATGCCTGATGGCTCGAATGAATGTTTCAGCCGACCAGATGAAGACCAACAAAACCCATCAAGCAAGCCCACCGACTTGAGGACAGATCAAGAGGCTGACCCAGCTTGCAGAAAAAAAACGAAAAGCACAACAAAAACCACTAACCGCAAGTCACCTGATGGTGGCTATAATTGCAGTAATTACTATGGCGGTAAGTCTCCCTGTGGCTACAGCAGACCAAAATTATACCTATTAGGCATATGTCCCATTTCCGCCTTTAATTAGGCCTATCACATAGTTGGAACCCCCAGTTGAGGTTTATATTAATGATAGTGTTTGGATGCCTGAGCCTACAGACCCTCGTGGGCCCTCTCACCCAGAGGAGGAAGGAATGTTAATAAATGTGTCCATGGGTTATCAGTTCCCCCCTCTTTGCATAGGGCCGGCTATCGGTTGCTTAAAAGGCTACTGACAACATTGGCTAGTTAAAATTCCAGGTCATAATCAAAGACCGGTATCCTATCATTTATTTTCTGGATGGAGCCCAGATCATTCACAAAGTTTGGTTCAATTAAAACAGTTCAAGCCCAGAAAAGAGAGGTGTCAACAACCTCAACAATGGTCAAAGAATTTAGAAATATTGATTTGGGAAAAAATTGCATCTCTGATCACGCTGTGGTACTACAAAATAATTTCTATGGAATTGTCATTGATTGGTCCCCTAAGGGGACCTTTGCAGTTAATTGTACCAATGAGAATAATAGATGCAAGACAGGACTAAAACAGATACTACACAATCAAAAAGATGACACTATTTACACTAAAAAACGTGCCCAGTTTCCCATAACTTAGACCGATTTTGGTGCAGCCGGCCCACAACCTAAAATGATTAATCCAATAATGGGCCCTGAACATCCCAAATTATGGAAGTTAATGGCCCAATCTCATATTCAGGTTTAGGAAGAAAAATATTATCTTAAAAAAAAAAGTGAGAGACTTCAATTTGTGTATCAGGTTTCTTCCAACTGAACGGTGCCCATTCAAAGTTGTTTCAAGCCTCCTTTTATGTTGATGGTCGGAAATATTGATATTCGACCTAATTCTCAAACTATTACTTGTCAAAACTGTTGCCTTTTCACGTGTATTGATTCCACATTTGATGTAAAAACATCTGTGTTGCTGGTGAAGGCTAGAGAAGGAGTTTGGATACCGGTTTCCCTCAACAGACCTTAGGAAGCCTCTCCTTCCATTCATATCATCACAGAAATGTTAAAAGGAGTGTTTACCAGAACAAAAAAATTTATTTTTACCCTTATAGCAGTCATTATAGGCCTTATTGCAGTCACAGCTACTGCTGTGGCTGCTAGAATTGCTTTACACTCCTCTGTTCAAACTGCAAAAGATGTAAATAATTGACAAAAGAATTCCGCAAAATTGTAGAATTCTCAGACCCAGATAGACCAACAATTGGCAAACCAAACAAATTATCTCAGACTGTTATTTAGATAGGAGATCGTATAATGAGCTTAGAGCATCGATTGCAAATGCAATGTAATTGGAATACCTCTGATTTCTGCATAACTCCCCATTCATATAATGGTACTAAACATCATTAGAAAAAAGTTAGACATCATCTGGAAGGAAAGAATAAAAATTTAACATTAAATATAGCCAAATTTAAGGAACAGGTTTTTAAAGCATCTCAGGCTCATTTAACTCCCCTGCCTGGAACTAACACACTCTCACTGGAGCTGCTGATGGACTTTCAAATGTAAACGCTCTTAAATGATTTAAGACCACTGGAGGATCAACTATTGCAAATTGTGCTAATGTGTATCTGTTTATACTGTTGGCCTTTAGTCTACAGATGCGAAAGACGCCTCTAAAAAAAAAACCAGACACCACGAACAAGCCATAATAGCAATGGTGGTTTTAAAAAAGGAAAAAGGGGGGCATGTTGGGAAAAGGGCTTGTGGGGTACCTGTATAAACTGGCCATAAAAATATAGGACAATAAGTTGTGGAAAGCCACTAGAGGCCTCTGAGGAGGAAAGCCTCCTAATTGCCATCATGTTCCCATGCTCAGAGCGAGACCCGCTCTCTTATCTGTAAACACTGTGTTCAAGGAGAAATACACTCCTTTGAAGCACTGGAATGTGGACAGACGTGCAGGCTCCTAGTTAAGCCCACTCCCACTAGCTACTCTCTGATAAGTTAAAGATATACTGTTTGAGCACAAAGTAGATTCATTTAAACCACTATTGCTATAAATTACGCCTATGATGCACTGCCACCCTTTCACTGTTTCACCCTGAACGTCTGCTTCTTAGATCTAAATAATTGTACTCAATAAATAGTGTGGAGACCAGAGCTCTGAGCCTTTTGCAGCCTCCATTTTGCAACTGGCCCCCTGGCTCCCACCTTTATGAACTCTTAACCTGTCTTTTCTCATTTCTTTGGTGCCACCGGACTTCAGGTACTCTACAGGTGGTGAAAATTGACACTAATTTTCAGTTGTTTAGAAGGTAACTCCGCAGTGATTCATTGTTTGGGCTCTTGTAACCCAGGCGAGGAGAGCCGGGGGCTGCCAGGAGATCAAAAGGAAATGGTGAACAAAGGTCTCCCTTTTCAGGAGACCATGACTCACAGCTGCTAGGGGAATGGTACTAAACCATTAGAAAACAGCACTAGGGGAATGGTACTAAACCATTAGAAACTGCCCCCATGATCCAATCACCTCCCATCAGGCCCCATCTCCAGCATTGGGGATTACATCTCAATGTGAGATTTGGGTAGGGACACAGATAAAAACCATATAAATGATATTGATGGTGATGAAGATGGTGATGGTGATGGCAATGGTGATGATGATGGTAATATTGATGGTGATGACAATGATGGTGATGGTGATGATGGTAATATTGACGATGATGATACTGATAGTGATTATGATGATGATGATGGTGGTGGCTTCTAAGCTAAAAGGAAGAAGTTTATACTAAGAAAAAAAAGATATCACTGAGAGGCTGGGCCCTGTTCCCTCCACTCACCTCCACCCTAACAACCCTCCATCGTGAAAGTTAAAACCTGTCAAGTAGGGACAGTAATCCCATCAAAGTGCTGGGAGCCCTGGCCAGGCCACATGCTATATCCCAGTGGGAGTAAGTGCCTTGAGCTCCTGGGGCATCTGCTTTCTCCGTGGCCAGGGAAAGGAGAAAAGGAGGGACCCAATATTTATGGCTCCCGGGCAAGGCCTCCTGCAATGGCTTTCCACATTTCATTTCATTTCCATTTCTTCTGGTCTACAACCTTGACAGGACAGTCTAGTTACCTCTATTTTATGGATGATGAAGCTGGACTCAGAGAAGTGATGGGACTGGCCAAGATCACACAGCCCCTAAGTGCAGAAGCCATCACTTAAGCTCTGGTCTTGCTGATGCTTTCTACTGCATTGTGCCAATGGGTGGAGACCATAAAATCAATTACCTTTCCCCAAATGTCTGAACTGTCCTCCAAGAACAAGTCCTACCAACACTCCATCTTTAAACCTCAACTGAGAGCATCTCCGCCTGGAAGCCTGCCTGCCTTTTTCTGCTTGGCTCTGGCCCTACAGTCTTTACTTTTCTGCTACAGGTGTAGACCTGCAGGGACTTGAAGGAGCCCTGTCCTAGCCAGGCCAGGATTCAAAATGGGTCACAAAAAGGATCGTCTCAGAAACCTGGCCCTTCCTGGGAAACACCCCTTATGCCACCACAGGAATGGCTGTGGGCCAAACCTACTAGGGAATCGACGCTAATTTTCAGTTGTTTAGAAGGTAACTCCTCAGTGATTCACTGTTTGGGCTCTCGTAACCCAGGCCAGGAGAGGCAGGGGCTGCCAGGAGATCAAAAGGAAATCGTGAACAAAGGTCTCTCTTTTCAGGAGACCATGACTCACAGCTGCTAGGTGATCCTGGGCAGGTGGACTCACCTCTCTGACCCCTTCTCCCCGCAAGTCTTCTCTGAAACAGGGTGAGAAGAGCCCAGCATGAAGAGAGTCCCAGGAGGAGTTATTAGCAGGAAATGAATGGGAGGGGCAGGGAGAAAAGGGTTTCCTGGGCTTTACTCTTATTTTATTTATTTATTTTTTTCTGAGACTGAGTCTCACTCTTGTTACCCAGGCTGGAGTAAAGTGGCGTGATCTCGGCTCACTGCAACCTGCTCCTCCCAGGTTCAAGCGATTCTCCTGCCTCAGCCTCCTGAGTAGCTGGGATTACAGGCGCATACCACCACACCTGGCTAATTTTTGTATTTTCAGTAGAGATGGGGTTTCACCATGTAAGCCAAGCTGGTCTCGAACTCCTGACCTCAAGTGATCCACCTGCCTTGGCCTCTTAAAGTGCTGTGATAACAGGTGTGAGCCACCGTGCCCGGCCGATAAAAGGTTTTTAACGTAAGAGTATGAACACTCAGCCCTCCTCTCCTTACTCCAAGGCGAAACCTCCCCGGGCCTCTATCCTCCGGCTGGTTGGGGTCAGGGAATTTGTGTCGGGATTCCTTCCAGCCTGTAGGGTGAGACCCAGACTCAGTGGGTTTAGTCTCCTCTCCTGGAACGGAGGCTGGCACCAGGCCCTAGACCAGCTCCTGAAGCCTGGAGCCCGCTGGTTAGGCCGAGGGCTGCAGTACACCGGTTGTCACGGGCCCTGGGCACATCAGCCTTTGTGGGCTCTTCCTCCATATATTAAATGTTATGACTGTCTTGGTTTGAAGACAAATATAATCCAGGTGGGATGGTACTGGTTTTTCTCCTACTTTTATAAGAAAGTAACACATTCTGTTGGGGTTAAAAGTAGTATGGCTGCTAGGCACCACCTCCACTTCGTGCTGGATGAGTTGGCCCAGGTGAAGCCCTTTATGTTGCCTGGGTTTAAATTCTAGCTCATCACTTATGCATGTGCCTCAGTTTCCCTCCTCTGTAAGATGGGGATGACTGCAGCACCCACGTGATGGGGCTGTGGTCCTGCTTGAAAGGGGCTTGGCACAGCGCCTGGTGCATAGCAAGTACTTGGTGAGGGCTGGCTGCCTGGTTGCGTGTGAGTTTTCCATCCTCCTGTGCGGGAGGCAAGAGGGACACCTTCTATCCTCATAATACAGGCAGGAAAACTGAGGTTCCAAGCAAGGGAAAGGACCTGCCCACGGCCGCCTAATACGCAGTGGAACCAGGACTCCAAGGCCACAGACCCAGCGACTCCCAGGCCCTGAACGGTGACGGAGGTGCAGGGTCAGTGATCCCAGTCACAGACCAGAGCAGGAGGGTCGGGGAGGGGAAGCGCCAGGCCAGGCCAGGGCCTCCTGCCTCCGGTTCTGCCCGGGTGGAAACTCTGAAACAGGACGGACTTGGCCCTGGGCACCTCCAGGCTGTGAGAACTGAGGTTTTTCAGTCTCTCTGAGTCTCAGTCAAGTGGAGATGAGGAAAAGATACCAAGAATGACAAGCACCTGGCACAGCCCGCGCCTCACAGCGTGGTCAATGGATGATTTTTTGGAAAGGGTGGGTGATGGGAAGGGTGTGAGTAGAAAGAGCCACGAGATTGCCCGCCATCCCCCACACTGCCTGGAAGCAGAGCCCACAGGCCCCAGCTGGCCCCTCCCCGGGGACTTGGCCAAAGTGTCAGACCTGGAAGAATCGTTGCATCACTGGGCACTCACGGGTTAATGACAGGGAGTGGACAGGACCTGGGTATTTAACTAATTAGGAGGCTCCCTGAGATCAGAGGTGGCCCTGCTGCTTTCTTCTGCTGCCTTTTATGCTCCTTGTGCACCTCCCTTCCCCCCAACCTGGGATGAAATCTCCCCACGTGCTGGTGTTCCTTTGCCTCCTGGGTAAGTGATCTTTGTGACCTTCAGCCTTCTGCCCCATCTGGCAACCCCAAGCTCCCTGGATGCCCCTGAGCCTGGCCCTACCGAGGGTGTGGTGGATGCCAAACACTGGAGGCTGCCCCCTTCCTGCCACCAGGGTGACCCTGAGGCCAGTTTTGCCTGAGCCAGCGGTGGCTGGAGCAGAGGGGAGGAGAATGCAGGCTGGGAGGGGTGAGGGGCATGGGCCAGGGGCTGGCGCTTCCCGGATGGCACACCCTAGGCTCCTTCTCCTATCCTAGCTTCCATGTTTGGCTCCAACCTGCCAAGGTGGGCAGGATTCAGTCCCATGGCTGAGTCAGGAGCACCGGGAAGAATTTGGGGAGGTCAGCTGAGGTGGTCAGGAGACAGGTCCAGTGCCATCTGATGAGACCTGGGGGGACAGAGTGTTCCTGGGTGAGATAAGGGCTGACACCTGGGGAGGACTGGTGGCTGGTGGGGAGCCCCTGGAAGGGGTGAATGAGTGACACTGTAGTAGATAGAAGAGTGGGAGGGGACACTGGGGGCGCTGACACACTGGAGGAGAGGACTAGGGGATGAAGGTGCAACGGATGTCACTGGCAATATTATTACTTATTACCACGGTTGTTGTTGAGAGTGGGTTGCTTTGGGGAGGTGAGCTTAACTGGACAACTGGAGAGATGCCTGTGATCAGATTTGAGGGGACATCAGGGGAAGTTGGCTGCAGAGGGTGGGGCCCTCCCTCTCCCTCTCCCTCTCCCTCTCTGCAGTGGCTCTGGTCACCGGGAACCTGGTTCAGTTTGGGGTGATGATCGAGAAGATGACAGGCAAGTCCGCCCTGCAGTACAACGACTATGGCTGTTACTGCGGCATCGGTGGCTCCCACTGGCCGGTGGACCAGACTGACTGGTGAGGAAGCAGCCTGCAGGGGGACCTCCATGGGGATGGAGGAGCTGGGGGATCCTGGGAGGATCCTGGGAGAAGGAGGGAAGCCTGGGGGCACCTGGAAAATTCAGGCTGATCTCTCCTCTGGGCTGCTTTGGGCTCGGGGGCCCCGAGCAGCCCCTGGTCCAGCCCAGCCTGGCTCACAGGTCCCTCCAGGTCAACCATGACCCTTACAGGTGCTGCCACGCCCACGACTGCTGCTACGGGCGTCTGGAGAAGCTGGGCTGTGAGCCCAAACTGGAAAAGTATCTTTTCTCTGTCAGCGAACGTGGCATTTTCTGCGGTAGGTGGAGAGCCCTGAAGTGACCTAGACACCCTGCGGTGAGGTGGGTGGAGGCAGCTTAAGACAGGAAGCCCCTCCTGATGGTGACCTTGGGCCTTATCAGAGCCAGACCCTGGGCTGGAGGCATGGGGTTTCCCGTTACCACGTAACAGTGGAGACCCAGATGTTCACCAGGCACCCAGGCCAGAGAAGCCCGTACCCCATCAGTGCAGCCCTCAGCCCCAGGTATCTCCCTACCCACAGACACCTCCCAGCTCCAGCCTCTGGAAAGAGGAGCAGAGGGGTCTGAGCTGAGCCAGGGCCCAGAGGAGCTGGACTCAGGCACCCTCCCAAGGCCTCAACAGGAGCTAAAGGTGAAGTCCTTCGGACAGAACGAGCTGGGGCTTTGACTGGGGACAGCAGATGCTGTTTCCAAAGGCTGACTCCTCAATGGGACTGTCAGGCTGGACCCATTTGCTCAGCTGTGCCATGTCCAGTGCCCATTTGGACCAATTAGCTTTCCTTCAGTCCCAGGCCCAGGCAAGCAGCCTCAACCAAGTGAGACTGTCGAGGGACCCCACATGAGAGAGCCAAGCTCTCTCCCTGCCACAAAGCCAGGAGCAGCCTGAAAGAAGGGCAGGGCCTGGTGGGCGGATGCTGCAGCGCGGAAGGATTCGGGAGGTCGCGGCAGACTCAGGTCTCTAAATTCTGTCCTGGCGGCGGGGCAGAGCTGGCTCCATTTCCTCTGCCGCCAACCACTCGGCAGGGCAATGTGCCAGGTACTGAGTCTCTGTCGCTGGGAGTCCATGCAAGGCAGAAGCAGCCACCTGCCAGGATCAGGGCTGAGGGGAGGAGGCAGGTGGGTGGAGACACAAGCTCTGGATTCTACCCAGGGCGTCACCTTCCACCTGCCTGTGACTTTGGACAAGTGATGTAATCCCTGGAAAGCCTCTGTTTCCTCACCTAGAAAACGGAGAGGCTTATACCCACTTCCCCAGCTCAGCCCAGCTCCTGGAAAAAGCCCCCCAAAAGAGGCTGACCGGCTCGGCGTTAAGAGTCCCTTCCAACCCTGGGTGTTGCTGACATAGCGGGCGTGGGCAGAGCCCTGACGGGAGACGAAGGCTCAACTTCAAGAGGGGAAATGAGGCACCTGGCCTGAGCTGTGAGATACAGTCATGGGGACAAAAGGGAGCCAGGGCCACTGCAGGCAGAGGTGACAGAGGCAGCTGCAGTGGAGACAGGAGGAGCCTTCTGGGCCCCTACAGAGCTGATGCCAGCTGGCTCTAGGAAGGACAGGTCAGGGTAGAAGTCTGACTCCCAGGCTGGGTATGGGCAGAAAACTGGGCTCTGTCCACTCTGATGAGGACAGGCAGAGGGCCCTGAGCAGCCTCCAGCTTTGGTCCCAGTGGCTTCCAGCCTAGGCCCACGCCACTCTGGGGCACACATAGCCATCAGATTGAGTTGCTGTCATTTCGTAGCTGTCCTCTCTGCTTGATGGCCACAATCCGCCATCAGCAACGCATCACACAGGGGTGCAGGGGTTGCCTAGAAATCCCCCTGGTCGGGGGCAGTGAGAGTTAGGGAACCACGTGGTGTCCCTAAGGCCGGAGAGAGCTAAGGGCAGTCAGCGTGGGCTTGGGAGAGCAGGGAGGGACAGCGAGGGCAAGCTTCCAGCTTCCCTGGTGTCCTGAGCCACAGTGCGCCCCGCCCTTGTCTCTTGTCTCACCCATCCGTGAAACAACCCGGGAGCTTGGGCTTCCATCAGAATGGAGTTGGTCCAGGTCAAGAACGTGGACCCAGAAGCAGCCAAGAGCTGTCCCACACATATCCTGAGCTTCTGTGGTCCCTGACTCACTTTGTCCCATCCAGCCGGCAGGACCACCTGCCAGCGGCTGACCTGCGAGTGTGACAAGAGGGCTGCCCTCTGCTTTCGCCGCAACCTGGGCACCTACAACCGCAAATATGCCCATTATCCCAACAAGCTGTGCACCGGGCCCACCCCGCCCTGCTGAGGCTATGCTCGGCCTCCCCCCCGTCCCTGGAGGTCCCGCCTCGGGCTGCTGTAGTCCCAGGCCTGGGGAACATTGGCACCAAAGGCCCTCCCTTTGGAAAATTCCTTTCCTGCAAACTCATCCCTCCTTGAGAGCTCAGAGATATGTCCTGGACCATCACTAGCCTCCCAGGCTACCCCTTCTCTGTAGAAAGAACCCTGCCCCAGGAGCCATGGACCCTTCAGCACCCAGAAGACTGTCACTAGCTTCTGGGATCTCAGCTCCCTCTTCTGAATAAGTGAATAATGTTTTCCCATAATTCTAATGTTCTTTGAGTCTCAAATTCTGTCAATCATTCTAGGATTTAATTCACTAGAGTTTCATTCATACATTAATTTTCTGATCACCTACCTTGTGCTGACAGCATGCACTGGAATCAGTGGGAACAAGTCTGACATGGGTGGCCCTGCCTGCAATTCCAGCATTAAATTCTTTTAATTTTCCATGACAGTAAGTTTCTGTGGCTCTCTTTTTCTTTTTCTTTTTCTATTTTTTTTTTTTTTTTTTTTTTTTGAGACAGAGTCTCGCTCTGTCGCCCAGGCTGGAGTGCAGTGTCGCGATCTCGGCTCACTGTAAGCTCCGCCTCCCGGGTTCACGCCATTCTCCTGCCTCGGCCTCCCGAGTAGCTGGGACTACAGGCGCCCGACACCACACCCGGCTAATTTTTTTATATTTTTAGTAGAGACGGGGTTTAACCGTGTTAGCCAGGATGGTCTCGATCTCCTGACCTCGTGGTCTGCCCGCCTCGGCCTCCCAAGGTGCTGGGATTACAGGCGTGAGCCACCGTGCCCGGCCCTGTGACTCTCTTTTTCTAACATTCTACAATCTTATCAAAGATAATGCAATCTCTGGAAGGAATATTTCTGGCCATATGGCTTAATGTGAAAAGCACGAAAAATACCAACCTAAAAATATTGTCCCCACTGTGTCATCAGGCCTCAAATCCCCAACACTGGCAAAGATTGGTTAAGAGTGAGAAGCAGCTCTAGATGGTCTTATCCACACCCCTTCTTTGATGGGCCCCTGGGGGCCAGAGAGGGGATGTTCTACCCGAGGGGGTGTCCCCACTCCCTGGCCCTTCATTTCTTCATGAAGTTGTCATCAGCCACCCACGCTCTGGTATGGCCACGTTAACCAGGCCTGCTGGTTGTAATCTTGGAAAGACCAGAGTGCCCAGGGCCGTTCAGCTGTGAGGACACAGGAAGAGGAGGAGGAAAGGGTTCAGCATCCAGGGCTGACTCCAACCTCCCGATTCTGAAGCCATGAAGAATGTAATGCACTCAAGGATTCCCACCAGGAGGAATGCAGCCTATTCTGGAAGCAATCTATTTCAGCAGATGTTACTTCTAAAGATAGAATTATCTATTATATGCTGATGAAATCTTACAGGACTGGGATTCGCCTGCTCAATGACAGAGCACCTGCCAATGCATTGCACAGGGCAAAGCTCACAGTTGGACACTCAACAAATGACCACTCCCTTCACCCTTCTCAGGGCCTGTGCACAGCATTCAGGACCTTGAGGGCAGGGAGGAGAGCAAAAAAAAATCAAAGGAAGAGCCAGTCATGGTGGCTCACACCTGTAATCCCAGCACTTTGGGAGGCCAAGGCGGGCAGATCACCTGAGGTCGGGAGTTCGAGACCAGCCTGACCAACATGGAGACACCCAGTCTTTACTAAAAATACAAAATTAGCCGGGCATGGTGGTGCAGGCCTGTAATCTCACCTACTCAGGAGGCTGAAGCAGGAGAATCGTTGAACCTAGGAGATGGAGGTTGCGGTGAGCCAAGATCATGCCATTGCACTCCACCCTGGGCAACAAGAGTAGAAACTCCATCTCAAAAAAAAAAAAAAAAAAATCAAAGGGATGTATCGCTGTGACCTTTAAAAGGTGAAGAAGCTCTGTGCTAGCAAAAGGAAGGAGGAGAAGAAAGGGAGGACAGGCGTGTGTACTTTGCTGTTGTAACTGACTCAAATCCTCAGCCAAGTATCACCAGAAGACCATGTCTTAAAGCAAAAACGGCCTGTGTGGGGGAAGAATGCAAACCTCCTTTGCAGGAAAAGTGGTCCTGAGGCGCCCTCTGGTGTCCATTTCATTCAGGCCACTAGGGAGAAACCTGCGCTTGGCTTAAACCTCGATTTCTCTTCCTCAGGTGGGCAAAGTGTGCTTCTGGGCTAGTGAAATTGGTCCCCTCACATTTTCATAAATAAATATACTGAGAAAATGCCAAAGAAGGCCATACAACCATCTGAGGATGATGGCCACTGCAGAAACAGAAAACACAGGGAGAAGGAGCTGATGGGGCAGATTAGAGAGAGGTGACACCTGGGCATGATGGATTTAAGGTACCAATGGGACACCTACCTGATGATCTTAACAGTTGTATAACTGTCCGACGAAACAAACATTGAAACTTAGGAGCAAGATTCCAGCGCAGCCTGCTGTGACCCCTGCTACTCACCCACCCCCACCCACCAAAACCAAGCTGTCTTTTGGCCACAGACCAGCCTTTACTCTTTGCTTTCCCAGGGCTCGATAAATGTTTTGGGTTTTTTGTTTTGTTTTGTTTTTTTGAGACGGAGTCTCGCTCTGTCGCCCAGGATGGAGTGCAGTGGCACGATCTCGGCTCACTGCAAGCTCCGCCTCCCGGGTTCACGCCATTCTCCTGCCTCAGCCTCCCCAGTAGCTGGGACTACAGGCGCCCGCCAACATGCCTGGCTAATTTTTTGTATTTTTAGTAGAGACGGGGTTTCACCGTGTTAGTCAGGATGGTCTCGATCTCCTGACCTCGTGATCCGCCTACCTCGGCCTCCCAAAGTGCTGGGATTACAGGCGTGAGCCACCGCGCCTGGCCAATAAATGTTTGATGACGGGATCAAGGGGCCTGCTTAAATCCTGTTTGCCTATGTGTGCGTATCTAGAGAACCCTTGATACCCAGCAGCAGACTTGCAAAAGAGACTGAAAAAAAGGAAGGGAGAAGCCTGAACTTGAACTGGGAGGTTCCAGGTAGAGCGCTTTGTTCTGCCGCTTTAGCAGCAGTGGCTCTGCTTAGACCTTTGCTATTCAACGTGGTCCATGGGCAGGGGCAGCCGCAGAAGCAGCAGCAGGGATCCTGTTCAAAATGCAGAATCTTGGACCTGACCCCAGACCTGCTGAATCAGAATCTGTAAGTTAACAAGCCCCCCTGATGATTCGTGTGCACATTAAAATCTAAGTGCTGATAAATGGAGTCTCAGTCTCTGCATTTGTCAAATGGAAGTATGACATTTCCCCAGCAGGCTGGTTATGGCAAAGTTTGAGATAACATGCATGAAAATGTACAAATAATGGCTAGCACTGAAAAATCACTCGTGTTCTAGGAATGAATGAATGGATAGTCATTAACAATAGCTAACACTTGCTGTGCACTAGGCATTTGCCAGGCACTGTTGTAAGTGCTTTATGTGTGCTAATTCATTGGATGAGTAAAGTAGGCAACGGGACTGTGTCAAAGCTGGGGAGGGGACATTCTTACCTAAATGTTTCATAGTTTGCCTCTCCAATTTTGATGAGAGGATTTGGATTGGTTTTGCTTTTGTTCCTATTTAGCACCTAACAAAAGCTATGCATGAAGTGCAAAGGTAAAGACCTTCCTCAATTAGTGACCAGAAATCACAGTGGAATTCCCAAGTTCAATGAGGAGTCTGATTAGGATTTCCTGGACATGCATCTGCTTCACTGGGGTTCTTTGCAATGTCACCACCAGAGAACTGAATACTAAAGTTAATTCTTTCCTTCAATAAGTTTTATGCAAATTATGCTTCTGGTCTTTTCCTGGATGCTGGAGATAGACACGAATCAGACAGAGTCAACCAGCAGACAGAAAACAGCAATAATTCTACACTAGCAAGTAATGTGACACCCCTAACAAGAGAGTATCAGGACTAATGGTTCTTAAACCCTCCATCCTTCATCACATCTCCATCCTGTCCACTGATGCCAGCTTCATTTTCCCAGAGCCTGATTTTCATCATGTCACTCCTCTGCTCCTGAACCATCAGTGACTCCCCATTGTCCACCAGCCCCTGGTATTCCAGGCTTGGTGTCATCTGCTTTTCCAGCCTCTTATGCAGCAATATCTATTTACTAAGCTCCTCTGCTGTCCTGCCTTCATATCCTTGTGCAGTAGCTTCTCTCAACCTAAAAGCCTCCCTTGCCCACAGGCACATCACCACGCTAAAATCCATGGGCTTAAAGTGAATCCCAAATGTCGTCTCTTCCTTTATATTCAGAGACAGGGTCTCCCTCTTGCCCAGGTTGGACTGCAGTGGCACGATCATAGTTCACTGCAGCCTTAACCTCCTCGACTCAAGCAAGCCTCCCACCTTAGCCTCCCACGTAGCTGGGACAACAGGTGTGTGCCATCAATTCTGGCTAACTTACTTATTTTTGGTAGAGACCGGGTCTCGCTATGTTGCCAGGCTGGTCTCAAACTCCTGGCCTCAAGCAATCCTCCTGCCTCAGCCTCCCAAACTGTTGGGATTACAGGGATAAGCCACCCTGCCCAGTCCCAAATGTCACCTTTTCTATGATGCTGTTTCAATTGGAGCGGATTTCACCCTCCTTGAACTGCCAAGCTGTGTTTATACCTTTCCTAGAACTGCTTATCCCGTTATTTGGGTCCTTGCATGGTGGCGGCAGACTGCTCTGGGTTCAAATCCTGTCTCTGCTACTAAGCTGTGATCTTGGGACAATTATTTATTCCTGAATAGAACCATCAGCCTCACAGGGTGGTTTTCAAGTTCAAATGAGACCATGTATCCAAAGTGTCCGGGGCATGCTAGCTGCTCCATCTACGCTTGGCCACCTTCTGTATTTTTGCTCTCCAATTGCAAATGTCACACAGTAGATGCTAAACAGGTACCTGTTCAATTGAATTCTGCGCTAATGTCCCCCAAAGGCAGAGATAGATGGTGCAGCATTTTTCCAGGCAGGCGCTACCTGTAACATTGCCAGGTTAGAATGCACACACAGGCCAACTCCAGACACTAAAAAGCCGTCAGGCAGATCTTTGTTGTTTTGGGGTTTTGAGACAGGGTCTCACCCTGTCACCCAGGCTGGAGTGTTGTGGTGTGATAAAGCTCACTGCAGCCTAATACTCCTGAGCTCAAGTGATCCTCCTGCCTCAGCCTCCTGAGTAGGAGGGACTACAGACAGGCACCCAGCCCCAAACCCCAGTAATTTTGTGTGTGCATGCATAGAGACGGGATCTCGCTAGATTGACCAAACTGGTCTTGAACTCCTGAGTGTGAGCAAGCCTCCTGCCCCAGCCTCCCAAAGTGCAGGGATTACAGATGTCAGCCACTGCACCCAGGCCTGATCTTGAGAATCCATTCAGCAAGCACAGCACTACTCTTCCAGTAGTGAAAGGCACATGAGAGGTGTTTCAAGAAGTTCCCAGTCTTTCTCCAAACTGATTATACATCCATAATAAGCTCTGTCCTAAACACTGGAGCATACCCATCCCACTCCTAGGTTTTGCTTGCGCTGGCCATTCAGTCCAACATGTCTTCGCTCCCTATTTCTGTATCCTGTCTCCCCTTTCGTGCCTCGTCCAAATCTCACTTCCTCCACCAAGCCTTCCCGAATTCTCTGAACTCACAGCCCTCTCATCAGTACCTCCTTTATGGCATGTGCTCTCTCCTGGGTCAGTGACGTGTCCACTTTCATTCCCGGACTGGAGGCTTTTTGAAGGCAGGATCCATGACTGTTTCAATGCCCAGAAATAAGGACCCATACAGAGTAGAGGTTCACTAGATGTCAGATGGATTCTTGGATGTTTAGATGAATAAATTGAACAGAAACAATCCTCTGGGGATACCCAAGTCCTTCTACCATAGGGAGGTTCAGACAAGTTTCTCCAAGAAGATAGGAAATGTTTCCTTCTGCCAAGCCAGAATCTGTGAAGTGACAGGACTGGCCTCAAGCCTTTGCAACCAAGTTCTAAATCTCTGCATCTCAATGGTCTGAGAGTGCCCATTCCATCAGCAAAAACCATTCTGTCCAGCCAAAACCATATTGGAGCAGAGCTTTTTATGAACTGTGTCTCAAGACACACACTCTTGTTTCTGTGCATTGGAGGAAGGGAAAGGCCAGAAGCCTGGGGTGGTGACTCGCTGATGCAACTCTAAACACCCAGGTTTTCAGCCAGGCTTTCTCCAAGGTGACCATGAGCGGTTACCAAGAAGGGACAAAGGCACAGCCACTTGTCCCTACCTGGCTCAAGAACACTTCTCTGTCCTTAAAGACTCATCCTATCTCCCACACAGGATCTTACAGGTCACCTGGTCCAACGCTGCCCAAACAGGAAGCCCCTCTAATCCCTAGCAGCAGCCACCTGGCCCCAGCTGAATCCCTGGAATGGGATTAAGGAGGCCATGGAAGTTTTCCAGTGTGCGGGCAGCACCTGGATTGGGACATCACTTTGGACCATAGCAGATTTCCTGGAAGAATCTCAGGTTAAATGGGGTCTGGAATCTGGGCCTCACAGGCTCAGGAACCAGACAGTGTGTGTCTATCCAGAGATGATGGGTCTCTCAGTTGTGGACTGAAGAAGAATCACACAGAGAAGATCACTTGAGAGATTGTGGGAGAATCTGCTTGCAGAAGCTAGAATATTCTTGACTTTCATCCAGAAAACCATCTAGTCCTTTTTTGTGTCAAGGCAACAGGGAGCCAATTCAGAAGGCTGCTTGTTGAATACAAAATGAAGAATGGGAGAATGGGAGTCTCAAGGTCAAAATCATGACATGGTGAGGTCTGCCGAGCCAGAGCCCTTGTGTGGATGGGGCCCCTGCTGGACGCAATGAAGGACTCCCTTCGCTCTGGTTTCCTGTGGACCCTTCTAGGTGAGTTGTGCCCCCAGATGGTACTGTCTGTGCCTTGGCAGGGAGCCTCCTCCTTGAATGGGGTCAAACAATCTTGAGAGTTCTAGAGGAGCCCAAAGTGGCCGCTGACAGACAACTGCTACATATTTAAACAGTTTCAAACTTATCAAGAGATGCTCTCAGATATCAGGCAGAAATCTTAAGTGTGTAGTCCTTAAGAATGACCCTGCCATTGTGTTTGGTGGCTGCATTTAGCTGCACTAAAGCAAAAATCAGCTGTTCTAAGCTTAGTCAGATCCCAAAGTACTATTATACACCTAGAATACTCAATCCAGCACACGCAAACACGCAAAGCTTCCACACAAAGGTCTCCAAAAAGGACATTTCCCAGCACACTCAGCCTCCTTGCATTCACTCAAACGGTGGTCAGATACTGATAAAAACAACTTAAAACTTTGTTTTTAAACTAGAATTTATTGGTATACAAAACTCCATTTCATAGATAAAGTGGCACATCTTTGCAGCTTCTATTGCACCAAGTATCGAAGATTAAAAACACAAAAAAAGAAACATTTGGTTTTGAAAACACTGCAAATAGCCAAGTACAGTACTTTGGTAAATAAAAAATAAAATGGTTCAGATGAACACAATCCGTGGAAAGAAACAATCTAGGGGGAAGGAACTATGGACATCAGACAATGGTCACAATTCTCACCATCGAGCTCCATAGATAAGGCAAGACTTGCTAAGTCTATGGATCACGACCCCATGGAGGTCTTAAGTATCTCCAGACTGAAGCTAGAACAAGTATAGTGCAATTAGAAAGAGAGAAGGCCCCTCCTCCACGGATACATCCACCCCTCTGTAAAGGAGACTGACGCATGCCAACACTTCTACATGGGAAAGGGGAGCCCCCGGGTGTGACGTCTGACTCCTGGCCCTTTTCTTCTTTCCTCTGAGCTTAGTGCTGGTGGAGGCTCTGGAAGAGGCACTGGGGAGGCCAAGGGCCCTTCCTACTATGAAAAATGAACTGTAAGAGTGGGAAAATGTGTGAAGCCTCTTACCAGTACTGCTCGAGGGACCTGCCAGGGATCAAACCGCCAGCTGAGGTCTGTGGCTGAGCTCACATGATTGTCATGGATGGCTGGCAGCCTGCCGCAGGCTGACACGCCAAGGATGAGAGCCAGGCCACAGAGAGTCTGTCCGGCAATCGCCGCCAGCCGCAAGGACTGGCAGTGAGCAGCAGCAGCTCTGGATCACGGCTATGACCTGCTTAGAATAAATTCCCTATGCAAAAGTTCGTAGTTTTACAGAAATAGATTCTTTACACTGGTACCAGCCCCTTCTCAAGTAATTCTGCAAGGATGCTAAACATTTTCATGGAACCACAAAACAGTCCTAACGAGGACAGTAAAGAGAGGGACTCTACAAAGCAGCTGCTTCAAAGACATAGGTCAGAGCCTGAGGTTTTAAAGGAATTTCACCTTGGGAGAGAACTTCCAGGCCAACCACAAGGCACCGCTCTTTCCGGAGGTCCCCATCAGCGGTGTGCGGTAAGCTCTGCATCCTAAGTGCACGTGGTGACTGGTGCTCCGTGTTCTCTCCACGTTACAAATATGACTGTCCCCTTTCTAATATGCGATGGCAGACGTCGTAATTTATGCCATCTAGATCTTCAAATCAATGATGTCATTAAAAAAATACAATTTACTGGCCGGGCAGGGTTGCTCACACCCGTAATCCTAGCACTTTGGGAGGCTGAGGCGGGCAGATCACAAGGTCAGGAGTTTGAGACCAGCCTGGCTAACATGGTGAAACCCCGTCTCTACTAAAAATACAAAAATTAGCCAAGCATGGTGGCACACACCTGTAATCCCAGCTACTCAGGAGGCTGAGGCAGGAGAATCGCTTGAACCCGGGAGGTGGAGGTTGCAGTGAGCCGAGATTGCCCCACCACACTCCAGCCTGGGCAACAAAGCAAGACTCTGTCTCAAAAAAAAAAAAAAAAAAATTTACTTTAGAGCCAGGAAAACATAACTTATAAAAAGTCCATTATTAAATCACCTCAGAACAACTGTCAAAGGCCCCGGAGTTTTAGCAACACTTGTTCTGAAAGCTGTGAATAATGAGAATGGCAAAACAGAAAAACGGCATCAGACTGAGTCTAAAGATTTAACATGGCTAGACAGAGCCTTGAGGTAAGAAAGTGAAGAGCTACGCATCTACCCAAAACGGGAGTCGAAGAGGGCCACTGACGCAACACATTAAAATCAGGAAGCTCCATTCTCTTCCCCCCGCAGAGATCCTTTTGGTCAGGGTAACTTTTAGTCACCTCTGACTAGGAATCCAAGTTTCCTTCAACTGACTGAATATTTCACAGAGGTAAACTGATAGCATTCTATGCTGACCCAGTAAAACCCAGGCAGAGTCTACAGAGTTTCTCAGAATTAGAGAAATTGCACATTGACTACAGGGACTCACTACTAGTACAGTTCAGCGCTGAAGTCCACCTGATGCTACCTGTGTAATATGTGAGCAACTCCCCGACTGAAGGTGGCCCTCCTCCCACCCCACCCCCGACAATCACATCATTTCACACTGAAGCAGCTCCCTGGGGGAAGCAGGGCAGGCATAATAAATTACCCATGGAGAGGCTCCCTCCCAGCCAGCTCCAGCTGCTCCACAAGGGAGATCCCACTTCCCAAGCCCTCAGAATCAAACTGGCATTGGAAGTGTTTTCAGAGCTTAATAAAGAAACTACAGACAACTTCGACTAACATTTAAAATTCTTTCTGCCACAATTTCTCAACCATACTTTGCTCCTGAAAGTGTATGTTCATTATTATTGAAAAACTAAATACACACATACATTCTAACTTTCTAATATCTCCTAGTGGCAACTACATTATCTAGAAGTTATGGTTCTATGCTGCTTTAATACATCTACCTCTCTAGTTCAAAGCTGTTGCCACTAAAATGGTATTTATTTTGACCTCTAAAAAAAAATATTTTCAAAATCCGTAAAACCTTTATATACCGTTTATAAGAGCAGTAAGCAGCTATGCACCACTGCTCCATCCCCTTTCTCCTGACCACACTACAAGCTACCAAGACAATCTCATGTAACATAAATCTCTGCCAGCCAAGATGTAACACAGAGGTTAAGACACATTCAGTTCCTAATAAAGAGTTCACAGGAGCACCTGTACTAGAGTAACAGCTGCTGACAACAGTCATCCCAGGACTAGACATACTGGGCCTCCACTCGGGCTGCCAGTGAAGGAATTTTCAAGTGCCCACTGAGGCAACTAAGCATGTTGATTCCAACCTTCTCATGTACCCAGTGAGACTGAGGCAGTGAAGTCTAAATTGAAACCATTAGCTAGAAGGTATCACTGAAGTTGGATGCATGTACCCGATTCCTAATAATTAACACACTAAACAGACCAACTGTAACTGAAAAGCTGTGAAACCAGTAGTAAAATTACTAAAGCCGTTTGATTAGTTTTTTAAACCACCATTATTATACTCCAGAAATGCTGAAGCCTATTACCAGAATTAGGTAATTTAAAAAATAAATGTTCCCAATATTCTTTAATAACTTTTTAGCAGCTTCTAAAACTTCTAAAACCCAATAGGGCCCAAGGCCACCTTCATTAACCAAGTAAATAAAGCAATTCTACTACTTCTGACAATAAGTCTCTCTTAAGCTGACTGCTAATCTGAATTTCTGGCATACAATCTTATCTTTCTGAGAGGATCTGGCCTCTGCACTCAAGCAGTACAAAACAGACAGGAAAACATCTTCATTCAGAAACACTCAGCCAGTCAGGAATCTGCCCAGAGTTGAAAACCAAGACAACCATAGATCCTAACGCACTCGATCCCACTTCCTTAGAGTAAGGCAACAGAGATCTTTCATTCGTTTGGAATGAGTAGAGTAACACAGCCTCAAGCTCAGGACTCTGCGACGTGCACAGAAAAAAAATGCTGTGTACTTTTTTTAATCTGCTAAATTTTACAATGTACTGTACCCAGGAAGAAACCTAAACCACAATGTCCTAGGAGCAATTCCAAGAGACTACTGATGCTCCAACTACAAAAAGCCACCAAAGTCAAAAACAAAACCAAAAGATACCAGTGAAACTGAAGAAAGCCAAAGGCCTGGTGATAAAGACAATCTGGCGACTCCAGGGCCTACCAAACATTTTAGTTTTCAATTTGCCTCCGAATTTTTATAATTCTGAAATGCGAGGGGTGGGGAAGATAACTAATAATTTACCTTTCAACTCAGCATCAATTATTTGCCCAAGTATTAGGTCCCAAAAGACAAAGATGATCCAAGATGGGCTGCCTCATACGTTATAGTTCTTAAGTTCACATCCACCTAACTCAGTTTTAGGAAAGACGTCTCTCCACTGCTCAAGTCTGTCTATTTCAGAACTGAAGAGTGATTCGAAGGCCTCAACCAAAGTATGTTCTCTTCTCTGCTGGTCCAACCTAAGTCAACCAACCCTGCTGGTCCAACAACTTCCAGCAGATGCTGGAGTTTTCCCAACTTTGAAATGCCAAACAGGGCTTAAATAAAAAGAAATAAATGTAGCATTTTATAAGATTTAATTTCCACAATACTAAGTTTAGCGACCTATAAGGTCAAGTTACCACGTATCTCTCTGAAGGCATCTAAGTCTACAACAGAAGGGAAGAAAATCGTTATTTAAAATGCGAACATGAAAAACCTTATTCTTCCAGGCTTCTCCTATAAAAACATAATTCTTTAGACTCCTCTTAGGCAAAACCCCAGGAGTTCGTCTCCTGTTACAACTATAGACCCTGCTCTACACACTATCAGAATTCCAGAACTGTATCACAAGCAGTAACATGCCATCTCCCCACTGTCAGGAAACAAATACCAAAAACCCAACACCACTATCAACTTCCCAACAAGGCCAGGCCTAATTAACAGTCAGCTGCATTTATCATATGGCTTGAGTGCAAATGAACTAACAGCACCTGCATCCCATCTGAAATAACATCAGAATCAGGAAGGAGAGAAATGCGGTTAATTTCCATCCTGACTGCAGGCCACAACCCTCACGTAACTTTGGGAAAACAATTCCTGAATTATTTTCTGAGTAACTTGGATTAGAAGTAAATCAAAGCATATTCCTGAGTTGGAGATCATTTATAAGCTACCCTATATATCTGTTTGAGAATGAAAGAGAAACTAAGGAAACTTGTCATTCTGAATTTCTAACAATTATTCTAAACTACTCATGAACAATTACAGCAAAACTCACCCCAAATGTTAAGGAAAGATCCTAGGGTCACTGAAGTCTGATTTTCAGGGCAAATAAAGCCACCACTTAAAAGGTTTTTCCTGACCTAACTATCTGCCCCTAAAACTCAGTATTTTAATTTTGTATTACAGAATATGAATGGCCTCACTGCATTTTCATAAAACACCAACATATCACTAATAAAACTTCGAACAAAAAAAGAGGCAGCTTGAACGAAACTAACTCAGTGTGTGAGCTCATGTGTGGGCTTCGTTGGTTGTGTTGCGTTTTATAAAAGGACGGCCTCACTGGAAAGTCTAGCACACAGCAATCCTTTTCCAGCCGCTTCTTACAACTCCCAAGAGGCCAAAGAGTCAGATGTTGAGAGCGGCGAAGGTCTTCACCAAGGTGACCTGCGTGTTCGCCTCTGCTTCGCTTCTGTTATTGTCCCTGTGGCTACCTCTGCTCTCCAGGGCTTTGTGGCGGTGCCTCTCCTCCTGCCGCTTCTTCTTCTCCATCCACTGCTGTTCTCGCCTCTGTTTGTTTGTGACCTGAGAGAGAAGGCCATGGTGGTGAGTAGGAAGCACGGGGGACTCAAGCTGCCACCTGCTAGAAGGGAGATGGTGGCAAAGGGCACAGATTGCTTTTCAGCAGGAACAGGGAAAACCAATCTAAGACGCCAAAGATGATTTACTGTCCACTGCTGCTCAAATTTGCATTTAAATTTATATTTCCTTGCTGAACTAGCAAACAAAATCAATTCCATTCTTCTCTTAAAGAAACCAGCCCTCATCCAGCAAGAGTTGGTAACAAACAAACGTGTCAGAGAACATTTTTCCCCACATAATTTAATGCCCCAGGTAATTCTGACAAAATCCTCAGAAGCTTATTGCATCTCTGCCTCTGCTGTGGCTTTTTACACTGTGGCATTTTGAGCTCAGAACTTCTTGGTGAAAATCTTTAAAATGATTCCAAATTCAGTAAAATGGAAGATGTCACATACTACTTGTGGGAGTGAAGGGCAGGGAGGGAGATGTACCTTTCTGGGAAGCACGTGACAATTTACCAAAAGCCTTTAAAAGATTCATGTATCCATGACCTTTAACCTGTTCATTCCTCTTCTGGGACTTTATTCAAGAAAATAATGCAAAAACCAAAGATTTATACACAAAGGTGTTCATTGCAGATCATGGCATTTATAAAAAACATGGATAAACATGGGAAGAGCCCACATGTACAGTAATGTTAGGTGGGAAAAGGAGGCTTTTCATTTGTACACTGAGGACAATTTCAGGGTGTATTTCCTTCCAACTGTCACGGCATACACCAAACAGGATAAGTGAGGTCATTCTGCTTCTTGATGTAGCTTTATGCATTCCCCAGATTTTCCACACTACTTTTATAAATCAGAAGGAAAATACAAATAAAATTAATCTCAAGCTACCACCACTGCCACAGAATTACACCTGCCCACCACCTGCCCATTCAACCCCATCTTACATACCTTTGCGAGCTGGTTTTTATTTGCTTTGTTTTCTTCACTAGGGCTGGCCTGTGCCTTATTGTTTTCGGTCCTGCCTTCATTTAAGCCCTGATTTCCAAAGATTCTGGCACCACTGCCACCCTCCTCCCACAAAGGGCCACACTGCTTCAGCACTCGACCACTGGGCTCAAGATTCTCTTCTGCATCTTCCAAAGAAAGACATTTCATTAAAACTGAGAACCTGAGAGTTACACAGGGTGATGACTGTATTAATGATTCCAAAATTACCTGGGTCCCTACTTCAGTCATAAGGGAAGTAAGTTTCCTTGAGACAAATTCGAATGTCAAGACAGTGGGAAACATAGGAAGAAAAAGTTGGTAAAAGTTGGAAGATAAATTCTAAAATAACCCACTGACCAGCCTTTTGATCAGCTTCCAACCAGCAGAGTGCTTTTTAGATAAATTATGTCTTAACATGAATTTTTATGGGAAAATCTTTCATTTGCACCCAAAACCCAGAAAAGAAACAGGCTCTAAAGCTGTGCTGTCCAATGTATTAGCCACCAGCTATATGTGGCCATTTACATTTAAATTAAAATTAAACAACATTTAAAACGTAGCTCTCCAGTCTCATTGCTCATGTGGCAGGTACACACTATACTGAACAGCACAGATCACTGGAGGGTGCTGTTTAAAGTCACAAAGACCAAGTTACTTACAGATTTCTAAAAGTACAGCCAATACATAGTGGATAATAAAATACCTCATCACATGGAGCACTATGATGCCAGAAACAGTATCTGACACGTAACATCTGGCAATCAGTATTTATTGATATCATTTTAAATAAATGACTTGAGAAATTAATAAGATGTTACATCCTTTTCTCTTTTTTTTGAGAGGGAGTCTCGCTCTGTTGCCCAGGCTGGAGTGCAATGGTGCGATCTTAGCTCACTGTAACCACCACCTCCCAGGTTCAAGCAATTCTCCTGCCTCAGCCTCCTGAGTAGCTGGGATTACAGGCACCCGCCACCACACCCAGCTAATTTTTGTATTTTTAGTAGAGACGGGGTTTCACCATGTTCGTCAGGCTGGTCTCAAACTCCTGACCTCGTGATCCACCTGCCTCAGCCTCCCAAAGTGCTGGGATTACAGGTGTGAGCCACCACACCCAGCCGTTACATCTCTTTTCTTTCCTCTGAGTCACAAAATTATACTTGGTTCAAATTAAAAAAAAAAAATCAAAATTATCACAAGCTAATACAAATCTAAATATTTCCACCAGAAAAACAAGGTATTTCTCTCTCCATTTTATTTTGGTTATCATTTTGGTCTTCTAAGGCCATCTTATTTCTAAACAGGCTAATTCTTCCCTGATGCGTCCCCCAGCACCCTGTACTCCCAACCCCATTATGTACTATCGCACCAGTTTATCTGTCTCCACTATCCACCCTCTACCCCTGAACTATACTCCCCCTGAAGCAGAGACAGGACCTAGTAAAAAATGTCTACGTACAGAACGTGCTCAATAAACAACTCCTAAATGAATGACAGAACAGTTACCACCTGTGACTTGGTTAAAAAATAAATATTTGGAAAATTACCAACACAACCATTTTGAAGATCTATAAATATTAGTCATGGACTTACTATTTCTCTTCCCTTGGTTCATCCGAAGCACGGCAATTATTGCAGATTCAATATTATAATTTTCAGCTTCCAGGTTCTGGACTATTAAATTAAAATCCTATCCAAGAAACAAACAAACAAAAAAACCACTTCAAAACTCTGGGTATATTTTTCTGCCTAGCTCTACTTCAATAATCATAAACATAAAGATGTAATAGTGAGAATTAACACAAGGTTTCAGGACCTTTTCCATTTAGAAAAATGTCGATTTCCAATAAGGTTGGTCCCTTGAAATAACCGTCTAATGTACACTTATAAATGAATTCCCTCTATAAAACTGCATTTGTACTACTGTAAACACTAGTCAGGAAAAATTAAATCCACATACTTCCTAAGACCTTTGAGCAGTACTGGGTGAAGTCTAGCAAACAACAGGGAAATTAATAAACAGCTCTCATTAAGCCACATACACTAATCAAACTACAAATCTCATGGGCCTATTTTGGCCCACAAGGTGCTGATATGCTAGAGAGGTGCTACGAAACTAAGAAGTAAGCTAGGCACAGCAATGCTTGCTTCTAAATCATTCCTGCAAGACAGAAATACTAACTGAACATCCAGTTGCATTACAAACTTTCTGGACAGCATCCTCTACTTCATCTCTCAGGTCGTCTTCAGAGTCCATTCCCTTTGTCTTGATCTTTTCTCTTTTATTTGATTCATCTTGATGAAGCATCTGAAACTAAAGGAAACAAGTAATAATCAGGGAACTATGTTGAGAATCAAACTATGTTCAGAATCTTTAACACAAGACACTCTAATCTGGAAAAATTCATATATATAGGGGAAAACCTTCTAGAAACAACCTTAAGAGAACAGCAATGACTAGGCTCCATTTTATCCACTCATTGTACTTTGAGTCACAACAGAGGAATTGAAAAGAAAGGCCCAAAAGACAGAATAACTGCTCAGTAAGAAAGGCATTCGCACTCCCATGTCTAAATGCCAACACTGGCAAATGACTGCTGCCTCTGACAGCACACAGTCACCTCAGCTGATTTTCAGAGCCGTGAGCTTAACAGAAAACGATCCTCTATACTCGCACCTGGTGAACTTTTGCACAAAAACGGTGCTGGTCTTGAAGAAACCTACATACAACTTCCCTCTGGTTCCCAAGCCTTATTTGATCATCAGCACGCTTAGAGGTACTGAAGCTCCCGTCCCAGCTGGACAGTCACGGATGAGCATGACTCATCTAACCTCAGGTACATACCACCACACCCAGGGAAACTTGTCAATCCAAATCCTAAAGCCACAAACAACAGTTCACTTGGGATCCATGAGACCTTTACAACCTGGGCCTTAAATCAGAAAAGCTAAAATCATCCCTCTGTAGATGCTCAACCACCTTCTTCTTCTGCTTCCCATTGATGCAGGGAGATAGGTAAATGGGCAAAGACAGTTCTATTTTTTGAATGTAAACATATAGTGGACTCCAGCAATGTACAGTATATTCCTCAGAATGTTAATACAAAACATTCTATTATAAAATTAAACCCTAAGAATTTGACAAAGTTACAGGAGTCTTTGAGCCGGTAGTTTCACAGTTTTGAAATTTAGCCAAAGGAAATAATATCAAATAGAGAAAAGATTTATGGGCCTGGTGCAGTGGCTCACACCTGTAATCCCAGCACTTTGGGAGGCTGATGGGGGTGGGTCACTTGACCTCAGGAGTTCAAAACCAGCCTGGGCAACAAAGTGACATCCCGTCTCTACAAAAAAAATACAAAAGAATTATTTGGACATGGTGGCATGCACCTGTAGTCCCAGCTATTCAGGAGGCTGAGCTGGGAGGATGGCTTGAGCCCAGGAGGTGGAGGTTGCAGTGAGCCGAGATCACACCACTGCATTCCAGCCTGGACAACAGAGCTAGACCTTGTCTCAAAAAAAAAAAAAAAAAAAAAAAAAGAGAAAAGATTCAGGTAAAAGTGCTAACAGTGTTACTTATAGTGGTGAATAACTGGAAACCACCCAAAGGCTTTATAGTATGGATATGGTTAAATAACCACTGTAAATCCACAGAATGATGTCTTCATTCCCACTAAAGGAAGAAACACAATAATCACTCCCCCCATTATTACTTAACAATATTTTGGAGGTAACAGCCAAAGTATTTAGCCAAAATAAATTTTAAGTATAAAATTAAAAAGAAAAAAGTAATCTGTCTTTGTAGATGATATAATTCTGTAACTGAAACAAGAGAATCAACAAAAAACTACTGCAAACCAAAAAAATTACAGCAAATCATATACCTGGGTAAGAATCTAGCATCTAGAATATATTAAAAAACTCTTACAACTCAAAAAGGCAGAACCCAATTAAAAAATAGGCAAAAGACTTGAATAGACATTTTTCCAAAGATATACAAATGGCCGAAAACCACATGAAAAGATGTTCAATGTCATTAGCTATTAAGAAAATGCAATTCAAAACTTTAAGATACTGGCCGGGCGTGGTGGCTCATGCCTGTAATCCCAGCACTTTGGGAGGCCGAGGTGGGTGGATCACGAGGTCAGGAGATCGAGACCATCCTGGCTAACACGATGAAACCCTGTCTCCACTAAAAACACAAAAATTTAGCTGGGCGTGGCGGTGGGTCCCTGTAGTCCCAGCTACTCGGGAGGCTGAGGCAGAAGAATGGCGTGAACCCGGGAGGCGGAGCTTGCCAGTGAGCCACGATCGTGCCGCTGCACTCCAGCCTGGGCGACAGAGCAAGACTCCGTCTCGAAAAAAAACTTTAAGATACTAACTAGGATGACCATTTAAGAAAAAAACATTTGTCAGAGAGGATGAAGAGAAAGCAGAGCCTTCATACATTACCGGTGGCAAGTAAAACAGTGCAGCTGCTGTGGAAAACCGTTTGGCAGTTCCTCAAAATGTTAAATTTAGGTTTATCATATGACCCAGCAATTCCACTCCGAGGTATATCCAAAAAGACTGAAAATAGGTATTTGTAAAAATACTGTACACATATACTCACAGCAGCACTATTCTCAATAGCCAAAAGGTGGGAACAACCTAAATGCTCATTAACAGATGAATGGGTGCACAAAAAATCATCTCTCCAAACAATGGAATATTATTCAGCCATAAAAAAGAATGAAGTACTGATACATGCTACACCATGAATGACTCTCAAAAACATTATACTGAGGGAAAGAAGCCACAAAGAAAAAGTCACATATAATTCCATTTACATAAAATGTCCAGAATAGGCAAATTCATAGAGAAGAAGGGCAGATTGGTGACTGCTAGGGGAGAGGGGGAATTGGGAGTCACTGCTTAATGGATATGAGGTTTTCTTTTGGGGTGATGAAAATATTTTGGGACTAGACAGAAGAAGTGGTTGTACAACAAACACTGCAGATGTACTGAGTACCACTGGACTATATATTTTTAAATGATTAATTTTATGTTATGTGAATTTTGCCTTAACTTTTAAAAAAAGAGGGGTTCTGTGGGATACCTATGTAATTAACATCTTGTTATTAACAGCTCTCACAGACAAATGATAACCAACTAGAAAACATAAAAGATCTCTTTACAATAGACACAAAAAACACAAAACACCTCCTAAGAATAAACTCAACAAAAAGTGGGCAAGATCTATATGAAGAAAATGTTCCTGTGGATCACAAAGTCAATTAAATAATAAAAGACTCAACATCAAAAAGATGTCAGCTTTTCCTTAAATTACTCTATTAATTTAATGAGATTCCAATTTTAAAAAACTCAATAGGGCCGGGCACGGTGGCTCACGCCTGTAACCCCAGCACTTTGGGAGACCAAGTTAAGCAGATCACTTGAGGTCAGGAGTTCAAGACCAGCCTGGCCAACACGGTGAAACCCCGTCTCTACTAAAAATACAAACATTAGCCAAGGGTAGTGGCGAGCGCCTGTAATCCCAGCTACTCGGGAGGCTGAGGCAGGAGAATCGCTTGAACCCGGGAGGCAGAGGTTGCACCACTGCACTCCAGCCTGGGCAACAGGGCAACAGAGCAAGACTCTGTCTCAAAAAAAAAAAAAAAAAAACAAAAAAAAAAACCTCAATAGGATTTCCTTTGAACTAGACACATTGATTCTAACATTCATTTTGTTTTTTTTAAAAAAGACAACATATAAGGAAACTTATAAAAAGAAAATTAATTATGAGTGAAAAATCCTACCAGATTTTAAAATATACCAACTAAAACAATGAGGCATCAACATGTGAACAGGGAGATCAGTGGACCAGAACCAAATGTCTAGGAATAGACCCAAATACATATGGGAATTTAGTATATGGAAAGAAAGTGGCATTTTAAATCAGTGGAGAAAAGATGTATAATTAATCAATGGTTTGGGTACAACTAGGTAATCACAAGGGAAATATAAAGTTGGATCCATAGCCTCCTACCCTTATTTCAATATAAATTTCAGATGAAGCCAAGATTTAATTTTTTTTTTAAGTCAAACTATGAGCTGGGTGCAGTAGCTTACATCTGTAATCTCAACACTTTGGGTGGTCGAGGCAGGAGGGTTGCTTGAGTCCAGGAGTTCGAGACCAGCCCGGGCAACAAAGTGAGACCCTGTCTCTACAAAAAATAAAAAATTAGCCAGGCATAGTGGTACACAGCTGTGGTCCCAGCTACTCAGGAGGATCGCTTGAGCCTGGGAGGTTGAGGCTGCAGTGAAACATGATCATAGCACTGCACTCCAGCCTGGGCGACAGAGTGAGACCCAGTCTCAAAAAATAAATAAATAAATAAAGTGAAACTATGAAAGTACTATTCTAAACTATGGGAGAATTCTTTTTAACCTCAGAGTGGGAAAGACTTTCCCAGTTATGACCCAAAATCCAAAGGGCATATAAGAAAATCGTAACAAATTTAACTATGTAAAAATCTAAAATTCTTTCATAGCAAAGACCACAGGAGAAAGAACAAAAAGACAAATGACAGAGTGCGAAAAACTATTTGCAACTCATATCACAGACAGAGGCTAATTTCCCTAATACATAAAAAGCTCCCCAAAATCATTAAGACAACTTAATAGGAAAAAAATGGAGAAAGAAAATGAATACCATTTACAAAAAATAGAAATATGTCTTAAACACAGGAAAAGATGCATAAATAAGAGAAATGCAAATTAAAACTAGGTTAAGTAAACAATTTTTCCCCTAACAATGAAAAGGATTTAAAAATTTGGTAACACTATGTTGACGAAGTGCACCGTGCAGGAAAAGAGCCACATATTGCAGGTGGGAGTTTAAACCGGTGAAATCTTGTTAGAACGTAATTTGACAATTCACTTATCAACATCCTCTGATGTGGCAAGGACCTTCTAGGAATGTGTCCCACAGATACATGAGTGAAATGAGGTACATAAAAGGTACTGCACATTGCTTATAATAGCAAAGGGTTAGAAACCACCTAAAAGTCCATCAGTAAGTGACTGGTCAAAAATATTATAATGCATCTACAGAACAGAACACTACGCAGCCTTTAAAAAGGATACAGGAAGTTCCTTATGTACTACCATGAATTAAATCCCAAGACATGTTAAATTTAAAAAGCACAGTGCAGGATGTATGTGTGGGATGTGTAGTATGTGTAGGATGCTACAACTAGTGGTGGGGAGAGTAAAAATGGCAAAAGTGGAATATGTGCACATCTATATATATATTTGCTTGGTATGTAAACCACAGGAGATTTTATGATATACTAATACCACTGATTGCATCCAGGGAAAACAGTGTGGCTGAAGTACAAGGGTAGGAGAGTGACTTTGACTATATATCCCATTACATATTTTGAATTCTAATCCATGGACAAATATGACCTATTCAAGAATTAAAATTGCCAGGCACCATGGCTCACACCTGTAATCCCAACATGTTGGAAGGCCAAGGCAGGAGGATCACTTGAGCCCAGGAGCTGGAGGGCAGCCTGGGCAACATAGCAAAACTTCATCTCTGCAAAAAATTAAAAAATTAACAAAGCATGGTGGCGCACACCTGTAGTCCTAGTTACTCATGAGGCCAAGGTGGGAAGATCGCTGGAGTCCACGTAGACAAGCCTGCTGTGAGCCGTGATGGTGCCACTGCACTCCAGCCTGAGCAACAGAGCGAGACCTTATCTCAAAAAATAAATAAAATTGTTTAAAAAACAATGGTTTTGGATCATGTGTAAAAACAGGAAAAAAAGGTTTATGCAATAATGCTAATTTTTTTTTTTTTTTTGAGATGGAGTTTTGCTCTTGTTGCCCAGGCTGGAGTGCAATGGTGCTATGTCGACTCACTGCAACCTCCACCTCCCAGGTACAAGTGATTCTCCTGCCTCAGCCTCCCGAGTAGCTGGGATTACAGGCATGCGCCACCACACCCGGCTAATTTTGTATTTTTAGTAGAGATGGAGTTTCTCTGTGTTGGTCAGGCTGGTCTTGAACTCCCGACCTCAGGTGATCCGCCCGCCTCGGCCTCCCAAAGTGCTGGGATTACAGGTGTGAGCCACCACGCCCGGCCAATGATGTTAATTTTTAAAAACAGGAAACAAAGCTATATAAATAAAATGTCAACCATGTTTTAATGCATTAAATTAATGGAAATCTACCAAAACAGTAACAAAATTTACATTCAGGTAGCTGAGTTGACTTTACATGCTTTTTATTTTCTTCTTTACCTTTACTATAGTTTTCAGATTTCAGATAAGAAGCATGAGTTAGGCCAGGTGCGGTGGCTCACCCCTGTAATCCCAGCAGTTTGGGAGGCCAAGGTGGGCAGATCACCTGAGGTCAGGAGCTTGAGACCAGCATGACCAACATGGAGAAACCCCATCTCTACTAAAAATACAAAATTAGCCGGGCATGGTGGCACATGCCTGTAATCCCAGCTACTAGGGAGGCTGAGGCAGGAGAATCGCTTGAACCCGGGAGGCGGAGGTTGGGTGAGCCGAGATCGCACCACTGCACTCCAGCCTGGGCAACAAGAGCGAAACTCCATCTCCAATTAAAAAAAAAAAAAAGGTGTGGATTAATTTTAAAACATAAAAATAATTTTAAAATTCCATGTATCTTATACACATACAATTGTAACTATCAACTATCAGAAAAAGCAAAATAATAATAAGCAATTTTATCTATCACTCTCACCTAAACTAAGAAATAAAAAATATTTTTAAAATCAGGCCCACAGATTCTCAATGCCAACTTTCTACAAAAACATTACTGGTTTTTAGCGCCAGATATACAGCTCTCAATCTGTTTCCTGTAGGGCGGGGAATACGGGAGAAATCCGAGGCCTCACTCACATCCGTCTGGAGATGTGCAGGTGCCTCTGAGTTGTCATTGATCCTCCGAACACTGTCGTAGTGCTCTCCATACCGATATGCGATGTGTAACTCCCTCACGCTGCTTTTCTCTGTACCACGAATCTGTAGACAAAAGAAGGGGCCATGCCAGTGAGGATCTGAACACTATCAACTTCTGGAGAGAAACACCCACCTGGACTGCTGAGGAAGCCCAGTCAGCAGGTCTATGAGACACTAATTGGGAACACACCTGGGATATGTCACAAGCAATTTCCAAACTACCTCCTTCCTATGCGTGTATGCTTCCGTATGCTTATTTAATATGTAACTCCATGGAAATAAATCATGTAAGAAATTCAAAAACCAGGGGCAGACTTGCGATGAAGTTAAATAAGCTTAAGCTTCAGAGGCTGTATTACCTCTGAGCCCCTCTAATGCACAAGCCCCTTCCAAGGGGAAGGCCCAGGGGCAGATCCAGATTTGTTGAGCTTGAAGCCCTAACTATTTGAAGGCTCTCTTTGAGGAAAAAAAAAATGCAAAATTATAAATATAAAACTGGTAGAACTTCTCCCAAGACCTAGAAAGGGAGTCCTACAAATGAGTGGCCTGATGTTTCATTAGCTTCAAGGTAAATCCACCCCTTTCGTTAAAACGAAAATAGCATTTTCTATTAACCACCTAAATGAGAAACATCAACAACAAACCCAAATCTCCTACCTACGTCAGCTTCAAAACAAAATTACATAAAGTAGTACGGCCTGTAGCGCTCAACCCTGCAGGCGCCACCCACAAGGTATTCTATGTGAACTACACCCCTGACACACAGCACAAGAATGGGGCTCCCTAGAGTTGTGCAGTACAGAAGCCCTAAGGTCTGGGCGTACCCCAAATAAAACTCGCCACGTCCAAAGAAACTCTCATTCTAACTTTGTCCCTTAGAAAGCCCAGTAATGGTTCCTTTGTTTAAACTCCAAAACATCAGCACATTCTTTTTACTGAAAATCACACATAGTAAGATACTGCCCTTACTTTAAACAGTATCCATGGTCTAAAGACAAAGCAAAAACCATGGAACAAACAGGAAGCACACAAGTCTAGATGTCAGTAGCGTGGAAGCTTTTCCAGTAGAATACGCAGATCTCAAGTGCAGAGAGTCTGGTTTAGACACATACAAAATAGAGAGCACCATTTGTCTCCCAGGAAGAGCAATGGGAAAGTAAACAGTTTATTAGAATCTTTGACATAATCCCTAAAGCACTTACATACCTAATAATAATAATATATATATATATTATGAATAGAAAACCTAACTGGAAGAATATTCACCAAATTGTTAACTGTGACTTTCACGGGCAGATTACAGAGGACTTTCACATTCTATGTTACATACATCTAGATTGTTCACAGGAGCACATATTCCAATTATAACCAGAAAAAAAATGTAGGTTTCAATATCTCCATGGTGTGAGTATAAGCCTACTCTTTATTAATGAAAGAGCCCATAACCATGAAAGTAGCAACCAATGCAGTTTCAGTTCTTAAATTTTATAAGATGCTTCACTGGGGTAGGAAGACATAGGGGGATCCAATGGAAATATTAGTAAATTTATTTTAAAAAGATGTACTTTCAATGCTCAGGAATTTATGAAAGAGAACACTACAGAAATAAATTCAAAAAAAAATTTACCTATGCAGAAATGTCTTCCACAACTACCTAGGTAACTAAGAAACTTTGGGAAAAAAGTCATCAATGGAGGAAAAGGCAAGCTGATTACTGAGTTGGTAGTGAGTATTCCCCTTCAAGGTGAGGGTCATTATGCTGTGTATTCAAATGATTTTGTTAACTTCTGCAAAACAGTGTAAGTTTAAAGACAAAAAATAGAACAAAGGGGTAACCAGTATTTTTGCTCAAACATCGCCCTTGGAAAACAGAACCCCATGGAAAATATGATAGCTCTATCTGGTACCCTGATGTCAGGACATCCGCAACACTGCCCCAAAGAACACAAGCAGATACTGTTTCACTCCTGCTCCTTCTATCCCCATAAGGTAAAATTTCTCACCATCCCTGCACTATCTTACTTTGTTGTAGCATAGTTTTGTTAAAAGGACACTGTGCCAGGGACAAAAGGCTGCATTCTTTAATATGACATTCTGGAAAGGCAAAACTATAAGGACAAATCAGAGAATGGGCTACAAGAGGCTGGGTATTGGGGGAGGGGGCCAGTGATTACAAAGTACAAAGAGCCTGGAAGTAACTTTTTCGAGAGTAGACTAGTCTGTGTTGATAGTAGTGGTGGTTACATGACTGTGTTTGTCAAAACACATAGAACTGTATACTTGGAAAAGGATGAAGTTTGCTACATGTAAATTATATCCCTATAAACCTATTTTTAATCAGCAAAGGCTATGACTGAGCAATTTACAAAGGAATATATGCAGGTGTCATATGAAAAAAAGGGCACTGTTACCTTTATGCTAATAACACAGAAGTGTCCGTATATATGTGGATATGGATACATGTGTGTATGTGTTTTAAAAGTGTGTAAAAACATTGTGATATGTTCCTTTCCAGTTATGTATCAATGTTTTTATAGCCAAGTGTGTGTGAATGACAGGAATACTCACTAAAACATTAACAGCAATAACCTCTCTCTGGGTGATTGAATAAAATTTTAAATATAATTTTTAATAAAATTTTTTTCTCTTTACGAGCTTTTTCAATTTTCTAACTTTTCTACAAGTACTGTATTTTAACTTTTTAATTAGAAAAAGTGAGAAAGCGGTGAGTGGTGGAGCAGGGCAGAGTGGGTGGGGAATTAACAGAAACCACATGCTCAGTCTTTAGGAGCTGAGGTACAAAGCAACAGGCAGCACTCTGACTTTAGGGGGTGACAGCCTGTGTTTCCACACTAGGTTCTCTGTCCCCAACCTGCCCAATTAGCTGACTGTTGAATATTTATAGCATTTTAAAAGATTTCTAAATTATACTCCGGACTCCATTTGTACATAGCACAGGGATTACTTCTGAGCCATCACAAGATTTTTGTCTTTGGTTAGGCTCGTAGACCAAGTTACTCCGCATAATTCAATGTTCACAGGTCAAGCCCCTCATCTTCGGATATTCCCAAAGCTGACTTAGAAATAAGAGCTTAAGATAAATGTTTAAATAGGTGACCTACCTGCCACAAAGGGGCATTAAGTTGATGAATCACTACATTCAACTGATGATTTCTTGCAAAGGCTACAATTGCATCATTGCCAGCAAAAGTACCAGGCTTTGCCAAACTGGCCACTGCATGGAAATAGGAAAGAAAAATGACGTCTTTATAGTGGAAAAATCTAAATGCAAACATGCTTTGGTATTTACTGAGTTCCAAATAATAAGAAACAACGATATATATCTGAGAAGTCCATTAACTTTGTCAGAGTCTAGGAATTTAGCTAGTTGAACAATACAAGACTGCTACTCAGAAGAACACTAGTCATTCATAAAGCAAAGATCCATTTATTTCTTCTGCAATAAATGTTTACTGATTACTTCCAATATACTAACTCAATAAAAGGCACTAGAAACATAACAATAAACACAGTAATCTTAGCAGCTTGCATTAGTGAATGGTTGTTATGTGTCAAGCACTGATCTAATCACATCTCATAGACAAGTACTATTATACAAACCATTTTATACATGAGGAAACTCAGATGCAGAATAGCTGAAAACTGTGCCAAGGTCAAAGAGCTGGTACACAGTGGAGCTGAGGTTTCACCTACGCAGCCCAATGCCAAGGTCCTGGCTCTCAGCCACTCCATCAATTTGCCCTCGCGGAGTTCACAACCAGTGAGGGGCAAACAAGATAGGCACTAATGATGCACAAGTACTTCAGGAAGGGCATGTGCAGTAAGAATTTGGCCTTGCCCAAAGAGAGGTCTGGCCTTTATCCTGGGCTCCTGGGAGGTCACTTCTAAACCTCTGGAATTCCCAAAGGTGATGAGAGTGTCTGTTATTCATGACGGGCCTCTCCACCACATCTGGCATCAGACCTTTGTGGTGGTGATAGGGTGAGAGGGGAGACTGAGTTCAACCACTTAGACATGCAGTAAATCAATAAGCAAAACAAAACAAAACAAAAACCTCTGGACACCAAAGTTAGGGTGAGCTTCCCCAGGTGACAATATTCTATGTGTACTGTCACACACAGATGCTATGAGGAGAATATGCCCTGAGGACAACAGAAGCTTCGTGTCTGGAACCTTTCCAGACTGTCCTATGCATCTCTTCCTTTGGCTAGTAGTATTGATCTGCATCCTTTCCCCGTAACAAACCGTAACTGTTAGCATGACAGCTTTCAGTGAGTTCTGTGAGTCCTACTACCATATTATGGAACCTAAGGGAGGTTCTGGGAGACCCCAACTTGTAGATGGTACCAAAAGTTGAGGGAAGTCATGCAAGGACTGTGTTCTCGAACCCTGCAGTTTGGCTAACTCCAGGTGGTGAACATAAGCCAACGTGGAATTGAGGAGCGGGAGGTAAGGTGTATCAGAGGAGCTTCTCAACTGAGACAACTAAGCTAATACCCAAAGGACAAGGAAGAGTTAAGACAGGAGAAATGGATGATGTTCTAAGAAGAGGAGAGACAGACACGAGAGAGAGAGAGAACTCTAATATGGCAGGAACTGAGAATGCTGAGATGGAGAGGTGGAGGAAGTGAGAAAATGTTGGGGGGAATGGCAAGAGATGAGGACAGAGAAATGAGAAAATCCCAGATCATGAAGAACTAAAAAGTCTGGGCTCTATCCTGAGGTCAATAGATGAGTCATCAACAGCTTTTATACAGAGGAAAAACACATTTAGATCCCCCTCTGGCTGTTATGTAGAAAACAGACTGAGGAAATCAAGAGACAATGATACCGAACAGTATGGAGGAAATCTAAGCAAATGGCCACAGAGGTCTGATTTTACGGGGTAGTAGCAGTGAAAGAAAAACTGCTGAGGTAGAGTGATAACATGTAATGAACGGGTAAGAGAAGGGAGGAAGATAAGCATTAAGAATACTCAGGTTCTGACCTGGATACTTGTACAGTTGGGGGAAAGATGTTGCTGATTCTCTGAAGCCACAGTCTAAAAGAAAAGAATAATCCTAAAGATACAGCCAGATGCAAGGGTGACCAGGTCCTTAATAGTATAGTGAACCATTCATTTATTCACTTTATGAATGTCTACCAGATGCCGGGCACTGCCACACCGCAAAACAAAGACACACAGTCCCTGCCCTTGAGAATCTCACAGTACAACAAGGTAGGCAGCACACTGACATTAAAAACAGGTAACTATGACTCAAGACTCACCAATGTAACAAGCCAAGCCTTCAACTGACACACAAAGAGAATGTGCAGACTTCCAGGTTTCTTTTCATTTCTGCTCTGGCCGTCAAAGTGACTTCTTACTTCTGTGATGCTCAAATTCTTAAGCAGCTCCAAGCAACAGGCATGCATAGTGACATTTCAAGAAAACACCTTTCCACTGTTCATCTCAAGTGACTATCACATTGGCAACCGAAGATTTGAGTTCCCTATCCTGTAACACCCCAAAATCCACCATGTGATCTTCACTGACAGTGTTCAAAGTGGAGTTTCACATCACAAACTAAAAACCCGTTTCATCCAAAATGATGTTTTCATTGGATTAATGACACAATTCATTTCGTACAGCACTAAACTACAAAATTTGTCCCATATACAAACATTTAATTTGTAAACTGCTGACTATCCAGTAAACTATGCATATCTGCTAGCCAAAAAGTAATCCCAGGAAGAGGGACCATCTGAACTCAGTGATTGGTACAAACCACCCATTGGAAGTTTTGTTGCTCTGTGTCTGGTGCCTACTGAGTAAGTTCTTTCCTAGTAAGGAATGGGAAACACTTTGGGATCACTGATACCTTTTCTCCCAAATGTCCCCCTCCTGCTGCCCTCTCTCTTGCTAACGGTACAGCCAATTACCCATTCCCTAAGCAGAAACTTCAGAATCACTCTTGTCTCCTCCCTCTCCCCTCCTCACCTCCAATGTGTCCTGTCAATTATACTGCCAAAGTGTGGCTTGGTTTGGGCCTTACTCATTATCCTCAGTAGCTACCTTGATGGAGACCTCCTCTACTCTCATCTGGCCAGTGTGGAGACCTTCTAACTAGTCTCCTTTATCAGTCTCTCTCCCCATCCATTCTTGGCATGGCCTCCAGACTTAGCTCTCTAAAACAAAGGATCAATTCTCTTTCCTGATAACAGACAGAAAAGACTATAAGCCCTGTGATGAAAATGCCATTTGTAAGACATATCAGCAGCAAGCACAGTAGATCCTCAGTAAATATTTGTTGAAATTAAAGTTTACAAGTTCATATGCATTTTCTATAAGATCTATGCCTATTAAATAGGAACCAATTAAAATCACTAACTGACTTGCCTCAAAGAAAACAGATTGTGTTTGGGGTTTGGGTGAGAAATTAACATGATTTTATTGGTTTTTCTAATTTTAAAAGTAATACATGATCATCTAAAAGTCAGAAAAAGTCTATAAAAGATAATTTAAAATACCATAGTCCCATCATCCCCAGATGGCTAACGCTTACTAAGGGCTTATTTTAATTTTGTTATCTAATTTAATCTTCACCAAAAACCCTGTGAGATAGATGCTATTATTATCTCCCTTCTATAGAAGTTTAAAGAGAATGAGTAATTTCTGAAAAATAAGTGAAGCTAAGAATTAACAAACAAAATGTTAGTATCTTTCCAGACTTTTCCTACTGTGTCTGTATACCTTTTAAAAATAGGATCAACCTATACAAGCTATGTTATAGCCTGCTTTTCCCACCCCACAGAGTAAGAAGTCATGAATCGCTTTTCAGGTCAATTAATACCATCATGTTTATTAAGGGCATATACAGCTAAACCTACTGATCCCCAACTACCTAGCATACTGCCGATAACCAAGTAGGCAAACAAATATTTCTTGAATAAATGAATGTCGTGATTTATATAACCAAACCCTTGGCTGGGAGGGGGGAGGATGCCAGTGGACTTAATTACCCAATGCATTACTCCTGAAGGACACAATGTCCCACAGTGAACCTACCATGCTTCTCAAAAGGAATGTCATCTTCTACAAAGGGTTCAAAATCTTCCCGCTGCTTTATCATGTAGTCCACTGTCTCCTGTCTGTGCTTGAGATGATTTCGTGAGTGTCCCTCCAATTGATCACCAAGAGCTCTGAACAAGCAATTGCTGTCAAAACAACAACACGAGTCAAGACCTTTCAAAAATGAACTTAGTTCGTCTAAAACAATGATGCTTCATGCCAGATCATCCATGGAAATATTTTGTGCACACAGAGGTAAAGACTCAACTCTAATAGTCCAGGATTCTTCCAAGACCACGGGGGACAGCATGAGGGCATATTCAACCATATTACCTTCTTGAGAGGCAGCAAACAAGGATTCTATTCCCCATGTACCAGCTGGCTGACTCAGGAGAGTCATCAAACTTCCCTGGGCCTCAGCTGCTTCAACAAGTGGAGCCGGTGATACACTAACCACCTTACTACAAGGTCCAGACCTTATAGGCCATTCCATGCCTAAGGGCTATGATTTACAGATCCTCTTCCAAAATCATGTCCTATCTACAGCCTCTTTTCTAAAACAAGTTCCACTACAGCTACCCAGCTAAGTAATCATTCATTTAACAAATAGTACCCAAAAAATAGCAATTTGTCAAGCTGCCAATACTAACAACTGAACAATACTCTGTTTGAGTCCTAAGAACATAGTGGAGAAAGTCATGAGAAGGAAAGCACTTGGACAACAAACAGTTGTACTATGGAAAGACACTTCCTCCTTGCCTCCTCACTTAGCACCCAGGGAGCAACAATGCCATTGTTATTCCTGCCAAATGAAAACTTTAAACACCACATTTTGTTTCTCTAAAATTAAAATACTGGTAATAAACTGTAAGAGTTATCTTTACTTTCAAACCCCTCAAAGGCTTCTAAATTCCGAACTATCACAAACACAGAGGCTTAGATACACAGAGACTCAAACAAGACAAACACAATCTGGTATCCTTAAAACTACAGAAATAAACAATTCTGAAGCCAAACAGTTGTCCAGTTTTACACCCAACTGTTTACTCTTCCAAATGAAAAACTATGATACTGTAATTCCAAAGTATAAACTCATCACTTTCAGAAAGATTTCATGTCTAAATGTGTAGGAAAAAAGGGGGTTTTGTTTTTCAACTCAGAAAAGTGAATTTTCAACAGAAAGCTATAGAAAGGCTGGAATCTCTTCTAATGTATAAGAATATATACTTTTTTTTTTTTTGCAGGGGAGGGGAGAATTAAGACAGCTTCTATAAATTAAAAACCAAGAAGCTTTCCAACAATCTAAGACAAGATTCTAGAAGGAGTGGAATATAGAGTTCTGTAGGCTAGACTGAGGTGTCTTGCTAAAATCTGACAATGGCAGTCTTTTTTCAACCATGGAGAAAAGTAAGTTAATCGATAAAACAATTTAAATGTCAAGCTTTTCCCTCAAACTTTTCTTAATCAGCATCTGCCACCACTAGCCTATTCTTGAATTTAGTTTAAGAGATGTGATTTATCACAAATTTATGTAGTTATTTTACATTTAATGTACCAAAATTCATGGTATTCTACAGTTACATGTTTGCTAGGAACTTTTAATAACATGAGCAAATGTTCTCCAAAAAAGTAGGTGTAGAACTGTATATGCCACATGAACTCAACCAAGTTCATCTGTACACTATACACATACACAGACACAGAAACACACACAAACGTATGCCAAGAAAACACACAGAAACAACCACTTAAATAGTTCTTACAATGTGCCAGGGACTGTCCTAAACACTTTATATGTATTAAACATGTTGTGTCTCACAACTCTGAGATAGGTCCTATTACCATCCCTCAGGGGAAACCTGCCCAAGGTCACAAAACTAGTAAGTGGTAGGCCCAGGATCCAAGTCCAAATAACGTGGCTCTCGCTCGAATGTCAACACCAAAATGATAGCCATAGTTACCCCTAGGCAGCAGAATTAAAAATAATATTTAAGAGTTTTAATTGTTACATTTTTTAATATGCTTTTCATTACTTACCAAACTTTCTTTGAGCTCACCCAAAACAAGCCAAAATAGACAAATCACTTCCTTTTCTGACAGGATTACAAGGTAATGAACAAACACTCCAGTGACCTGGGTTTCCTTAGGTGAGCCCAATAAGAGCACTCAAGAAACTCATGAGAACAAAGCACCGCTGCCCAAAGGGCCTCTAGGAGATCTGGGCCACTTCCTGAGTTCACACTCTCACCATTACCTATAGCAGGGCTTCTCAATCTCCACATTATTGACATTCCAGGATCATTTTTTTGTTGTGGGAGGCTGTCCTGTGCACTGTAGGAAGTTTAGGAGAATACTTGGCCTCTGCCATTAGCTGTCAGTAGCACATCACTACCTCCCTCCCCATCAGTTGTGACAACCAAAGATGTCTCTAGACATTGCCAAATGTCCCCTGGAGGGCAAAATCATCCCTGCTTGAGAACCACTGTGTTATAGGGATATATGGCAGGTCTCGCATTTGAGTTCACAAAAACAACCAATTACATAAAGAGCACGCAAATGTTTTGAGTGCGCAATAATTTACTATTAGACAATATTGCAACACACGCACCAAAAAACCTAACGTGCTCTCTAGACTGCAGTAATAATAGTAAATGTGCAGAAAAAGGAAAAGGTTTTATTATTTGGGGTCAGACCAGATAGGGTACTGGGTACCATTCTAGTTACTGTATTTTAAGAGAGACGTATTCAGATAAATGATGTGGCTTTAATACAATATGAAGAACTACTAGTGATGTTTGGCCTAAAGAAGGCTCAGGGGGACGTGATCAATACCTCCAACTGTCATGTGAAATTAAAATTATACCTGTATAATAAAACGAAAACCTGGAAGCCACAGAGACATAGATTTTGGCAAATAAAAGGTAATTTCACCTTAGCTCTACGGAGGTAGACTATATAGACTCAGGATTCTGCCAATTTCTATAACTAGCAATTCACAGCAATTGTCTAGATGTGTGTTGTTTAATAGTGGTTGCTAACCGCATGTGACTACTGAGCATCTGATGTGGCTAATCCACAGTGAGGTGTGCTATCAGTGTAAAATACTAGATTCTGAAGCGGTCATATAAGAAAATATGAGAGATCATCAGCCGGGTGCGGTGGCTCATGCCTGTAATCCCAGCACTTTGGGAAGCCAAGGCAGGCGGATCACCTGAGGTCAGCAGTTTGAAACCAGCCTGACCAACACGGAGATACCCCGTCTCTACTAAAAATACAAAATTAGCCAGGTATGGTGGCGCATGCCTGTAATCCCAGCTACACAGGAGGCCGAGGCAGGAGAATCGCTTGAACCTGGGAGGCAGAGGTTCCAGTGAGCCAAGATCGTGCCATTGCACTCCAGCCTGGGCAACAACAACAAACTCTAATGTCTCCAAAAAAAAAAAAAAAAGAAAAAGAAAAAGAAAATATGAGAGATCAATAATTTTTATATTGAATTGTATGTCAAAATAGTATTTTAGATACAATAGCTTAAATAAAATATACTAAAATTAGTTTCACCTGTTTCTTTTTAATGTAGTTACTAGAAAAATTTTAAATCACATACGTGGTTCACATTCTATTTCCCCTGGACAGCGCTGATCTAGATCACTGATTCTCAAAGTGTGTTCCCGGACTAGGAGCATCAGCATCCCCTGGGCAGTTGTTAGAAATGAAAATGCTGGGGCCCACCCAGGCCTACTCAATCAGGCATTCTGGGGTTGGGGCCCAGCAACGTAGCCCTTCCAGGTGTTTTCACTAGCAGTCCAGGTGGTTATGTTGCATACTGAAGTTTGAGAAACACTAGTTGAGCATCTAGACTCTAAATCAGTCACTCTCAATTATGGATGCATATAAGAATCATCTGTAAATTTTTTTTTAAAAAACATCAATAACCAGGCCCCACTCTAAGATTCTGATGTAGTTGATCTAGGGGAGAGCCCAGGCCCTGAATTGTTTCAAAAGTTCCTCCCCAGATATTCTAGTATGGCACCCAACTGAAAACCACTGAGTGAGGCACAAAAGATGGCACTGCTGTTCAGGTGACACAGGCAATAATTAGACAAGATGATGTGTGAATGCCCTTCTACTACTGTGATCCTGCAATATTAAAAACAAAACTAAAAAATAAACTACTTGTTAGTAATAAGATAAACAGCTAAAATTAGTGATTCTTCAATGTTTCAATTTTAGAACACTGCTAATGAGTAATGTAACTCAGAACTACATTTAGTAAGACCCAACTAGATAAGTTCAGAGGGATGTTAATATTGTACTGCCTAATAAATAGAGTTATACATTCTTTTCACACTATAGCCAATCATGTTTTTAAGGAAAACATCAAGGTTAAACTATTTCTTTCTTGCTTTGAAAAATGAATCCAATTTATGTGGGTCCACCTTCCAGACAACACGTGAAATATGAAGCTGGTCCAGGAAGCATTACAAAACCCTCTAAGTAGCTCCCTGATTAATCTACACTAAGCTGACTCAACCCATGTAAAGGCTGTATTACAGGATATTGGTTAATTCATCCCTAAACCCCCTCAGGTTCCAGAATGCTACAGGTACCATATTGCCAACAATGAACATGCTCATAGATACTGTATCAGGCTACTCCAGATTGTAATCAAATCTGAATGAAAACAGGGAACGCTAGAGATGTCAACTATTTTTTAATAGTCTTTAACTTCATTATATTTCACCTGAGTCCTTAATAAACATTAATAAAAGAATCCGTTGTCCAGGCGCGGTGGCTCACACCTGTAATTCCACCACTTTGGGAGGCCAAGGCGGATGGATCATGAGGTCAGGAGTTCGAGACCAGCCTGGCCAACATGGTGAAACCCCATCTCTACTAAAAATACAAACAAATTAGCTGGCTGTGGTAGCAGGTGCCTGTAATCCCAGCTACTCAGGAGGCTGAGGCAAGAGAATTGTTTGAACCCAGGAGGCAGAGATTGCAGTGAGCCAAGATTGTGCCACTGCACTCCAGCCTGGGTGGCAGAGTAAGACTCCGTCTGAGGGGGGTAGAAGAATCTGTTGACACCTGCCAACCCATCACATACACAGGAAACACCATCCCCTGCAGTGATAAAGTCTGTCATCACCACATTCGAAAGGACTAGGATACTGACGAGGGCTGAACCACAGTCCAGCTAATGGAACTCATGTGAAGAACTTGTGAACAGAAGGTGGTTAGCTCCATGAAGCCCACACAAGAGGAAATACGATCATTTTATCTAACACTGTCCGAATAACAGGAACCTTGGAAGAGAGACATGAGCACTCCAGTCAAGCTGGTTTCTGGAGCCTAGCTTCACTGCCCGTTACTTCTACCCTTGTGCCCTACACTACCCGTCACCCTAAACAACCTGTAGATCTCCCAAAAACATCGTGTCCTTGTGCCTCTATATATACTCCTTCTCAGATGGGACCGTTCTCTTGGTGTACTCCTATTGGTCCTTCATGACCCAATCAGAGCATGACACCCTCTGAGAGGCATCTAGCAGTGTATCCAATGAGTATTTACCGAATGAACGAGAAGGACTTCCTGGCCAATTCATAGAGTAGTAGCCTTTTCCTTCTCAATAGTACCATTATAATCAGTCACTGTTACTAAAAATATATCAAACTATATTTTAATTATTTGTATCATCTGTTCTCAAAGTGTGACTCAAGGGACCGGAGATGTGGGAAGGTCTCTGATATGCTTTCAGGGTATCCGTGAGTTCAAAACTAAGATGTAATGTACCTTTTTCATTCTCATTCTCTCACAAGTGCAGTGGAGTTTTCCAGAGGCTACCTGATGCATGAAGTCATCACTCTGATAGCTAATGGAATGTGTGTGTATTCTTGTGTTTTAACTTTGTTTTACTTTCTAATACAGTAAATACTCATAGCTATAACCCATATAAAGTTCTTTCGGTTTCTCAGTAATTTTTAAGAATGCCAAGAGATCTTAAGACCAAAAAAGCTGAGACCCACTGTTACGTGTTTCTACCTTAGGCTATGAAGTCCTTAAGTATCTTAGTCATCAACATATTCCCAGCACCCTACTTAAGGTGTGCTGAATTAACTTGAAAAGTATGCTGTGTGTGTATGGGGGTGTGGGGATAGGGAGCAGAAGTAGTACCCCCAAAGTTTCCCATAACCTTATGAAAGCCCCCTCAAGAGTTTACAACTCCCTGTGCTAATTCCTCCTCATAAGTAACCTTCTATTGAGTACTTCAGTTTCCTGGGCACCCTGACATTGAGAATACCATACCCAGTATAGCAGACACAAGCAATCCAATCATTTGCAAGGAAAAGCCCCAATGTCCCACGCCAATTCCACTGTATTCAATTGGTATTTCTGTTTCTATAAGGGTGTCTTGGGCTTATGCTTAGGCTAGCTGACCTCCCTCTATTATTTTTATATTTCATTCAGCAAAAACGTACTGACTGCCTTCCATGTACCAAGCACTTTGCCAGATGATGGTGAATAAATGTAATCAAGTTCCAACTGCATCTTAAGCAAAAACAGCAACGCAGCAAAGTGTGGTGAACTCTTTGTGAGCAAAAAGAAATCCAATCTGCCTGAAGCAATGAGCATAAACAGGAACGGTGGGAAAGGGAAATTAGGACCAGTTCACAGTCTTAATCAATAAGCTGCAATGTAATGTGAAAATTTTTAAAACACCTTATTCTGCAGTTAATATCTAAGGCAATTCCTGGCCGGGGGTGGTAGCTCATGCCTGTAATCTAGGCACTTTGGGAGGCCGAGGCAGGAGGATCGCTTGAAGCCAGGAGTTCGAGACCAGCCTGGGCAACACAGCAAAATCACCGTCTCTACAAAATAACAATAATAATGAACTAAGGCAATTCCTTATGGTCTTTAATTTCATTTTAGTCTTCCCTCTGCAGGATCTGAGCACTCAAATACGGGGAGGAAAAAAACAAAAGCCAGGCTGTTATTAACACTCTCTCTTCCAAAGTGACACAGCTGACAACCAGACCCCTTTTTACCTGCCCCTGCAATGGGGATCCTAACTGTTCTCCCCTCTTCCTGACCCTTTTCCTTCTTCCATCCATGTTCCTGGAGCCATATCCCCTTTCTTGAAGCTAATTTTCTTCCTCCTCCCCACTCTCCCCCTCCGCGTTCCCTAAAGAAAGCTGGACCTGGATCCAGTCTAAGTCCCAAGAAAGCTTGGGGAAGCACCTTTGCTTACAGAGAAACTGAGGCCCATGGAAGGAAGAATTAGAGAAGCTGCCTTCAGCTCAGTAAACAGGCGACCTAATTTCACAAATGTAAATGGGGGCACCACCCAAAAACCAAGGACTCAAAGGAGGCAAAGCGTTCTACCAAGTGGGGCTTACTCAAACTCCTTCAACTGGTCTTATCGTCATGATAACTGTTTTTCCAATGCCTGGCTCCATCTCATTCCTTCAGAACTCAGCTTAAATGTCACCTTTGAGAGAGCCCTTCCTGGCCACAATCCAGTGGCCCTGCTCCCATATACGGTCTCAGCACCCACTTTCTATTTCGCTCGCGGCGTCTGCCATGATTAGGACCCTTTGGGATCCCCGCGAGCGTCTCGGGGCGAGGGGCTTGTCCGCCTCACTCGCAGCTGGACGCCCTGCACTCGGAGCGTGGCTGGCTCGCGGGAGGCGCCCGGGCCGCCCGAATGAATGGATGGATGGACGCGAGCGGGCAACGGTCGCCAGGCCGAGCCCGGCGCGTCCCCCGGCGCCGCCTCCCTCGCTCCCGGCCCGCCTCACCCGTCCCCCGGCACCTCCCGCAGCTTCAGCCCCAGGGCCTGCAGCTGGTTGGCGAAGCTGACGAACTCCTCCTCGCAGCCGCCGCCGCCGCCAGACTCCGGCCGATTCCGCCGCTCCTTGGCCAGGGCCCGGCGCGCCGCCCGCTCGTCCCGCTTGCGCTCGGCCTCGGCTTTCCGGCTGCCGCTGCCCGGCCGGCTCTTCGCCGCCTGCTTTCGGGACATGGCCTTAGCCTGCAGTCCCCAGCGGCAGGAGGGAAAGGCGCAGGACCCCCCAGCGTCCGCCTCAAGCGTTGGGAAGGTAAAACAGCGCGGGCAACGGAGCCCGGCGACGACTACGCAGCAACCGCGCCTGCGCCGGCGCCCAGCACCCCGGTCACATGATGGAATCCCCGCCTCTTTTGCGGGGCTCGGCGAGCAGACGCCATAGAGAGCTGGAGGGGCACCCATCTTGGTTTGTTCTATTCCGCCCTCTAGTGGTGGATGGTACTCAACGTGAGTGGCAGGAGCGACCGGAGAGGGACCAGAGAGAACAAAGCAGGAACAAGTCAAGCAGAGAAATTAAAGATGATAGAAGAGTGGAACACAGAGCAGCGGCAAAAGTTAGGACCGGAGATGAATAAAAACGATTTAAACTCTTGCTGCGAGCCTACTACAGTTGGATAGGCACTTTCACACGGCTCATTCTTGTTTAATTATCCCCAAATTACAGGAAACTGAATCTGAGTGGTTAAATAATTTCAAGATCACACAGCTAAAAGGCAGAGCTTTGCCCTGGCTCCAAAGCCCGCATACTTGTTTATTTAATCCTGCCCTTCATCTCTCCGCCTTCCTTCGTAACTCAAGGGAGAGGTCGCCCTTCTGTCCAAGACCACTGGAAATCCTAATTCCATCCTAGAGCGACCCACCTAGGTTTGCCTGGACTAGAGGTTTTCTTGGGATGCAGGACTTTCCGTTTTAAAACTGAGACAGACCAGGCTGGGCGTGATGGCTCACACCTGTAATCCCAGCACTTTGGGAGGCCGAGGCGGGCTGACCACAAAGTCAGGAGATGGAGACCATCCTGGCTAACACTGTGAAACCCCGTCTCTACTAAAAATACAAAAATTAGCCGGGCGTGGTGGCGGGCGCCTGTAGTCCCAGCTACTCGGGAGGCTGAGGCAGGAGAATGGCATGAACCCGGGAAGCGGAGCTTGCAGTGAGCCGAGATTGCACCACTGCACTCCAGCCTGGGGGACAGAGCGAGACTCCATCTCAAAAAACAAACAAACAAAAAAACAAAAACAAAAACTGAGGCCAGGTGCAGTGGCCCACGCCTGTAATCCCAACACTTTGGGAAGCCGAGGCCAGGGGATCGCCTGAGGTCAGGAGTTCGAGACCAGCCTGGCCAGCTGGCCAAGATGGTGAAACCCCATCTATATTGCGTGAGGCTGAGGTTTGGAGTACAAATGAATCTGTCACCCAGGTAGTGAGCAAAGTACACAATACACAATAGGTAGTTTTTCAACCCTTTCCCCCAACTGCCTCCCGACTCTTGTATTCCCCAGAGTCTATTGTTCCCATCTTTGTGTCCATGTGTATCCAATGTTTAGCTCCCACTTATAAGAACGTGCAGTATTTGGTTTTCTGTTTCTGCCTTAGTTCACTTAGGATAATGGTTTCCAGCTGTATCCATGTTGCTGTTCTCCCCTCTTCCTGGACATGATTTTGTTCTTTTTTATGGCTGCATAGTATTCCATGGTGTATATATACCACATTTTCTTTATCTAATCCACTGTTGATGCGTACCTGGGTTGATTCTATGTCTTTGCTATTGTGAATAGTGCTGCAGTGAACATACGGGTGCATCTGTCTTTTTGATAGAACGATATATATTCCTTTGAGTATAGACCCAGTAATGAGATTGCTGGGTCGAGTGGTAGTTCAATTTTTAGTTCTTTGAGAAATCTCCAAACTGCTCTCCACAGTGGCTGAACTAATTTACATTCCCACCAACAGTGTAAAAATGTTCCCCTTTTCCCCACAGCCTCAGCAACATCTGCTATTTTTTCTTTTTAACAAAAGCCATTCTAACTGGCATGAGATGGTATTTCATCGTGATTTTGATTTGCATTTTTCTGATGACAATAAGAATGCAAAAGAGAGTTGTAAAGATTAAATAAAAATGTAAAGCCCCAGGCATGAAGTAAGTACCTATTTAATGAAGTTGTTTGAATCAGTTCTCTGGAAATCTCATGAGCTCAGGGGCAAAGACTTTCAAACTTTAGAAACCAGGGAAGAAAGGTTTCTCACCAGCAAATAAGTAAATACAGACTGCTAACATATTGATAGAAAAGCGAACACTTGCCCGTCTTGTAAAAATCTTTTTGGCTGGGCGTGTGGCTCACGCTTGTAATCCCAACACTTTGGGAGGTGGAGGCGGGCGGATCACCTGAGGTGAGGAGTTCGAGGCCAGCCTGTAATCCCAGCTACTGGGGAGGCTGAGGCAGGAGAATCGCTTGAACCCGGGAGGCAAAGGTTGCAGTGAGCCGAGATTGCGCCATTGCACTCCAGTCTGGGCAACAAGAGTGAAACTCCTTCTCAAAACAAAAACAAAAACACAAACAAAAAATCTTTTCTGGCATAAGCCCTTAGCCTTTAGCCCACACACAGATTTTGAATGGGCGAATTTCTCTTCTCAGCGGAGACCTGTGTTAGACAGTGTCTCTAAGTGCAAATCAATGCTGCCTATAAATTATATTTAAAGGCCAAAGGGAAGGAGTATAGTACTTGTAAATAAAATGAATGCTCTGCCCACTTCGCTAGAGTTAATTAAAAGAATCATTGACCCGCACAGTGGCTCATGCCTGTAATCCCAGGACTTTGGGAGGCCAAAGTGGGGGTATTGCTTGAGCCCAGGAGTTCAAGATCTGCCTGGGCAACAAAGTGAGATTCCCCATCTCTGCAAAAAAATTTTAATTAGCTGGGCATGGTGATGCATGCCTGTAGTCCCAGCTATTCGGGAGGGGCTGAAGTTGGAGGATCACTTGAACCTGGGAGTTTGAGGCTGCAGTGAGGTATGACTGTGCCACTGCACTCCAGCCTAGGTGACAGAGCAAGACCCTGTCTCAAAAATAATAATAATAGTAATCAAACCTCATTGGATGGCAGTATAAATTAGTAAAAAGTGTGACTAACAGAATTTTAGTGAAGAAATGCAGCTTTAGGACTTTCAAGAACATACCATCAAGGGTATGGGAAAATGAGAACTCTCGCACACTGCTGTTGGGAGGTAAATTTATCTAGCCACTTTGGAGGGCAATTTGGACTGTATCTGGTAACTTTGGGGTTTTTTTTGTTTTTTTGTTTGTTTGTTTGTTTTGAGATGGAGTCTTGTTCTGTTGCCCAGGCTGGAGTGCCGTGGTATGATCTCGGCTTACTGCAACCTCTGCCTCCCGGGCTGAAGAGATTGTCAGAGATTCTCCTGCTTCAGCCTCCAGAGCAGCTGGGAATACAGGCACACACCACCATGCCCAGCTAATTTTTTTTTTTTTTTTTTTGTATTTTTAGTAGAGGCGAGGTTTCACCATGTTGGCCAGTCTGGTCTCGAACTCCTGATCTCAGGTGATCCGCGTGCCTCAGCCTCTTACTGTGCTGGGATTAGAGGCATGAACCACTGCACCTGGCCTGTATCTGGTAACATTTTAAATGTCTAGTGTCTACATCTCGTGATCTATCCTAAAAATAGAAATATTACATCTCCTCCTAAACTCCTCGTGTGTATCCGTATTCTAAATTTTCCTCGTGCAAGACGATGAACCCCAGGGTATATACTCCGGACAATGTAGCTCCTTCAAAAGTACACTCTCAGACGCAGATAGTCCTAAAGCAAATTACATGCACGTGCACTAGAAGGTATGTCCAAGTGTTGGCAGTTGGCCCGTTCAGGTTCTTGACTTAGCCACGTAAAAGAATTTGAGAGTGAGTCCAAAGTACTCCAAAGAGCAGGCAAAGAAGTTTATTGCAAAGCAAAAGTGATACAGGAGTTAAGAAGAAATCGCGTAGGCAGATAGTAAGGGCATGGGAGTCCTCGGTAAGGCTTTTCTTTTTAATGAAAAGCAGCCCCAAATCATCTTCTAACAGAGTAGCCTGTAAAGTGGAGCTGCAGACACAAACAAGCTGGGAGCTTGCACGGGTAAATGCCACAGGGAACTACCGACTAGACATGTTCAAGATGGCGGCTTCATCGCCTCTTCTCTGCCAGCCACGTGTACAGTAAGGAGCAGACAAGATAGCCTGCCAAGGATAATTTATTTGCATAATAAGATTAGGGTGGGGAACCAGCCTTCCCTGCTATGTAAATGTCACACCTGATTGAACCAATCTGTGAGCCCTATGTAAATCAGACACCGCCTCCTCAAGCTAGACTATAAAATCCAGTGCATCACTACCAACAGTTCTTTTCCACTCGGAGACACCTCTCTCTCCTGAAAGAGCTGTTGCTCTTTCTCTTCTCTTCTGCCTATTAAACCTCAGCTCCTAAACTCCTCGTGTGTGTCCGTGAGCTAAATTTTCCTGGTGCGAGATGACGAACCCCAGGGTATATACCCCAGACAGTGTAGCTGCTTCAAAAGTACACTCTGAGAGGCAAAGCAGGCTGCTAAAAGGGAGAGGCAGCCCCTAGTACCTTACGGGGAATTCCCTTTATGGGAGCTGTACATGCATATTCATGAAATACTGCTGAGGTCAAACATGCAAAGACAGACCTGCAGTTGGCACATGCGCTTAGCATCGACGTGCTCTAACACGCATAACGTGTATCCTTAGCATATAAAACCACCTAGGGGTGTGTTTTTTACTTTTTTGTTTTTTTGAGACAGGGTCTTGCTCTGTCTCCTAAACAGGTGTGCAGTGGCGCCATCACGGCCCACTGCAACCTCCACCCCCCCAGGCTCAAGCCATCCTCCTGCTTCAGCCTCCCTAGTAGCTGGGACTACAGGCGCAAGCCACCACGGCCCGCTAATTTTCTGTTTAATTTTTATAGAGACGAGGTCTTACTATGTTGCCCAGGCTGCTCCCGCCTCAGCTTCCCAATGTGCTCAGATAAGCGTGAGGCACTGCGCCTGGCCTTTTGTTTAACCATTAAAATGAGGAAAAGGTCTGCAAGCTAAACCTTGAGCCTAGCTGCCGATGCGGGACCCCGGAGAAGTCCCTAGCTCCCTCAGGGCAGGCATTTGTAGCTAATAGCTTCTTGGGCTTTTGAAGCTGATTGGCTGGAGATTGGAGAAGCTACAAGAAGAATTAGGGCTTTTTGTTCTCTTTTCCGGGCTGTCTGAGACAGATACCAGGAACTTGTAACCATCTGGTCGGCTGGTATCCTGTGGGACCCTTGCAGAAGAGTTAGGCGTGGGTGCAAAGGATGCGGAAGGAACCCGCGGAGCGTCACACAAGGGGACAAGTCAACATGGCCTTCTAACCTTACTTATCCTGCCTCAGAAGGATGTTTAAGGCATGGTGGTGTGTAAAAACAAATAACTAGAAACAACCTAAATATCCATCAATAGGAAAATGGCTTCTTAAATTATGGAACAGCTATTTATTACATACAACGCAGCAGCATAAAAGAATGAGGTGGTGGATAGATGACGGGTTGTTAGGTGCAGCAAACCACCGTGGTACATGTATACCTATGTAACAAACCTGCACGTTCTGCACATGTATCCCAGAACTTAAAGTAACACAAAAACAAAAAAAGAATGAGGTGGTGGAGAAATGAGGTCGGTCTAGATGAACTCACATGGTTAGCTCTCCTAGGCATGTGGTCAAATGAAAAGTATGGGATCGAATGATCCGTTCAGTGCAGACTTTATGTAAAACTCAACAACATAAGACACAACAGAAGAATTACATGTTTTCTGCAAGTATATGTGTGTACTTTTTTTTTTCCTTTTTTAGTGACAGGCTCTCACTCTGTTACTCAGGCTGGAGTGCAGTGGGGCAACTATGGCTCACTACAGCCTCCAATACCTCGACTCAAGCAATCTTCTCGCCTCTATCTTCATACTCAGAAACATAGAAGATGGTTTGGAAGGGCACATAGCAAATGGATCAGAGTAAGGAGAGAGGAAAGAGTGAAAGTGACCTTATCGTTATTTCATATGTATTTTTAAATGAGGGTATTGTGTTCATGTATTGTGTGCATTATTACAATTAATAAAATTATTATTTTTTTTTTTGAGACAAAGTTTTGCTCTTGTTGCCCAGGCTGGAGTGCAATGGTGCGATCTCAGCTCACTGCAACCTCCACCTCCCGTGTTCAAGCGATTCTCCTGCCTCAGCCCCCATAGTAGCTGGGATTATAGGCGCCCGCCACCATGCCCAGCTAATTTTTTGTATTTTTAGTAGAGATGGGTTTTCACCATGTTGGCCAGGCTGATCTTGAGCTCCTGACCTCAGGTGGTCTGCCCACCTCCGTCTCCCAACATGCCGGGATTACAGGCGTGAGCCACTGCACCCAGCAAAATTAATAAAATAATTAACTTTTCTTTTTTTTTCTTTAAAAGAGACAAGGTCTCGCTATGTTGCCCGGGCTGATCTCAAACTCCTGGACTCAAGCAATCCTCCCACCTCAGCCTCCCAAAGTGCTGGGATTATAGGCATCAGCCACCACACCTGGCCAACAAAATTATTTTTCTAGACTAACAAAATCTATTCTTTCCCTTACATTGAAGCCCTATAGAGTTATCTTGAGATCTACTTTTTCACCTAAAAGGAATTTGCAGTAAGCATGTAGCTTTCCCCTAGAAACAGGCATTTCTGAAGTCTTTAAGAGTTCTTAGCATTTGCTCTCTTGCCCTTCTCACCATATCGCCCCCTAATCAATCTTGATTTTATTGCTAATTTGCTCTTCTTCTGAGGACAAGGTTCTCTAAGCAAAATTAAATATCAAATCAGCCATGTTCAAACTGTCACAGGTTAAGAATTACTAGAATTTGGTGGTTTTTTTTGTTTTTGTTCTTGTTTTTTGAAATGGAATCTTGCTCTGTTGCTCAGGCTGAAGTACAGTGGCATGATCTTGGCTCACTGCAACCTCCACCTCCCAGCTCAAGCACTTCTCCTGCCTCAGCCTCCCAAGTAGCTGGGATTACAGGCATGTGCCACCGTGCCAGGCTGATTTTTGTATTTTTAGTAGAGACAGGGTTTCACCATGTTGACCAGGTTGGTCTTGAACTCCTGACCTCAAACGATCCACCCACTTCGGCCTCCCAAAGTGCTAGGATTACAGGCATGAGCCACCATGCCCGGCCAGGATTACCAGAATTTGAATTCATAATATTTCCCTATATTCGATGGGCACAGGAGACATATGTAGACATCAAAGAATCAGAACAAAAAGCATCCCCTCGGCAGTCTTTATTTTATTTATTGTTATTATTATTATTGTTTTTTGAGACGGAGTCTCGCTCTGTCTGTCGCCCAGGCTGGAGTGCAGTGGCACGATCTCGGCTCACTGCAACCTCCGCCTCTGGGGTTCAAGTGATTCTCCTGCCTCAGCCTCCCGAATAGCTGGGACTACAGGCACATCCTACCACGCCCAGCTAATTTTTTGTATTTTTATTAGAGACGGGGTTTCATCATGTTAGCCAGGATGGTCTCGATCTCCTGACCTCGTGATCCACCCGCCTCAGCCTCCCAAAGTGCTGGGATTACAGGTGTGAGCCACCATGCTTGGCCTTATTTGATTTTATTTTAGAGACAGGATTTTGCTCTGACGCCCAGACTGGAGTGCAGTGGCGTGATTACGGCTCACTGCAGCCTCGACCTCCTGGGCTCAAGCAATACTCCCACCTCAGCTTCCCAAGAGGCTGGGATTACAGGTGCACATCACCACACCCAACTGATTTTTTTATTTTTTCATTTTTTGTAGAGATGGAGTCCCACTGTATTGCCTAGGCTGATCTCAAACTCCTGGCCTCAAGTGATCCTCCCACCTTGGCCTCCAAAAGTACTGGGATTACAGGCATGAGCCACTGCACCCAGCCAAGGCCAGGTCTTTCATTTCCTTATTTGTTCCTAATGTTGTGAAAATGCAACATGGTTTGATTACTGTATTAGTCCATTCTCACACTGTTATAAAGAACTGCCCAAGACTGGGTAATTTATAAAGAAAAGAGGTTTAATTGGCTCACAGTTCTGCATGACTGAGGAGGCCTCAGGAAACTTACAATCATGGCAAAAGGGAAAGAGGCACGTCTTACATGATGGTAGGCAAGAGACAGCAAGTGTGCAAAGGAGGAAATATCAGACACTTATAAAACCATTAGATCTTGTGAGAACTCACTCACTATCATGAAAACAGCATGGGAGACACTGCTCCCATGATCCAATCACCTCCCACCCGGTCCCTCCCTCAACACGTGGGGATTATGGGGATTATAATTCAAGATGATATTTGGGTGGGTTCACAGAGCCTAACCATATCAATTACCTTCCATGACAGTATCCTAACAGGGCACAGGGAAGAATGTTATCAGCAAAAGTCTTTTTTTCCCTCTTTCAGTTACCCTGTGTTTCTGCTTCTGCTTAGATGGTGGTGGTGGTGATGGTGGTGGTGGTGGTGGTGGTGGTGGTGATGGTGGTGGTGGTGATGGTGGTGGTGGTGGTGATGGTGATGGTGGTGATAGTGATAGTGATGTTGAGGGCATGTGTGTGTTTGCATATACGCGCACACACATGTGGAATTCTCTGACTCCTTTTTCTCTCTCTCTCTTTTTTTTTTTTTTTTTGAGATGGCGTCTTGCTCAGTCACCCACTCTGGAGTACAGTGGTGCAATCTCGACTCACCACAATCTTCGCCTCCTGGGCTCAAGCGATTCTTCTGCCTCAGCCTCCCCAAGTTGCTGGGATTACAGGCACATGCCACCACACCTGGCTAATTTGTATGTATTTTTAATAGAAATGGAATTGCACCACGTTGGCCAGCCTGGTCTTGAACTCCTGACCTCAGGGGATCCGCTTGCCTTGACCTCCCAAAGTGCTGGGATTACAGGCATGAGCCACCGCGCCCAGCCTCCCCTGTCTCTTTCTGCCGGCAGTTCCTGTTCTTGATGGCCGTGGGTCATCCTCCGTGTGCCTCTGCCTGTCCCACTTTCCCTCTCCAACTTCCTCCTCTTCCTCTGCATTTCCAGTGCTCCTTTTATCTCACCCACTTAGCATAGGGTGGACCAAAATAAAAAATAAAACAACAGGTTTTGGAGTGGTCAGACAGAATTGAGTCCAGTTCCCACTTCTTACAAGCTGTGTGGCCAGCATTGTTTTCCATAATCTTTCTGAGCTCTAGTTTCTTTGTGTGGAAAAAATGAGAGCAGTTGGGGCTTCTTCTCCGGATTGTTCTGAAGTATTGATATCACAACTCCAGCAAAGTCCCTGGCACCGTAAGTGTTAGTTTCCCTCCTCCTCTTTCCCTTAATTTCTGGGCTTTTTTTTGTTTCCTTCCTCACCACTGCCCATTCTCTCTACTTTCTCCTAAATGGCTATAAGACCAAACTATATTACATATACTAAATTATTCATATGTGTGAAGTGAAGGGTTTAATATCCTTCATCATTCCTTTTCCTAGCCACTAGAAATTGCTAGAAACCTGGCCAGGCACTGTGGCTCACGCCTGTAATCCCAGCACTTTGGGAGGCTGAAGCAGGTGGATCACAAGGTCAGGAGTTCAAGACAATCCTGGCCAAGATGGTGGAAACCCATCTCTACTAAAATACAAAAATTAGCTGCGCATAGTGGCTGCCGCCTGTGATCTCAGCTACTTGGGAGGCTGAGGCAGAGAGTTGCTTGAACCCGGCAGGCAGAGGTTGCATTAAGCTGAGATCACGCCACTGCACTCCAGCCTAGGTGACAGAGCGAGACTCCGTCTCAAAAAAGAAAGGAAGGAAGGAAGGAAGGAAGGAAGGAAGGAAGGAAGGAAGGAAGGAAGAAAGAAAGAAAGAAAGAAAGAAAGAAAGAAAGAAAGAAAGAAAGAAAGAAAGAGAACATTCTGCATTTCTCTCAAGGACAATAAAACAACAGCTATTGTTTGTATGTGACCCTCACTTGATCCATTTCATCATTGGCCCTTAATGGGGAAAATATGGTTATGGGGTGGCAGTGGAGGACTCCTCTTCCTCATGCTCATTCAGTGAACTTGCTGGACCTCGAGCTGTGGGATTTATCTTTTACAGCTCCATAGCAATGTCTTTGTTTGGTGTCTGTGCCAGAGATCCTAATGGCCCACAGTATTTGCAGTCATCGTCATCCTGTGTAAACTCATTATTTACAACTGCATCATCAGCACCTGTGCCAGGACCCCACCCTGGGGCACAAATGAACTAACCAGGTGACGGGAAGTGGAAGGCTGTTCCACAGGCCACACGAGGGGGCAGCAGAAAGACATATTTTGTGATGTGGAGATGAACTGCCGTCAACTCGACTTTCCCCCACGTCTAAGGGAATAGACTTGGCATAAAGCAAAAAAGGCTTATAGAACATAAAAGCACATTGGAAATGATCCTTTTCCAACTTTGCTGTTTTATAGATGGAGAGATTGAGGTCCCAAGAAGGTAAAGTGGATTTGTTGGTCACATTAGCTGGTTACTAGCAGAGCAGGAACTCGAACACAGCCCTCTCTCCCTTCATCATCCCACACTGCCGGGCATGAAGTCCCATCCCCAAGGTGGGCCCAACAACTTCCTCTCTTTTCTCTCAATATACATGGATATTTTTCTGATATGAAAAATACATGTTGGCCGGGAGCGGTGGCTCATGCCTATAATCCCAGCACTTTGGGAGGCCGAGGTGGGTGGATCAACTGAGGTCAGGAGTTCAAGACCAGCCTAGGCAACATGGTGAAACCCTGTCTCTACTAAAAATACAAAAATTAGCCATGCGTTGTGGCGATCACCTGTAGTTCCAGCTAATCAGGAGGCTGAAGCACGAGAATCGCTTAAACCTGGGAGGCGTAGGTTGCAGTGAGCTGAGATCGCGCCATTGACCTCCAGCCTGGGCATCAGAGCGAGACTCTGTCACAAAAAAAAAAAAAAAAAAAAAAAAAAAGAGAAATACCTGCTCATGATAGAAAACCAAAAAAGACATTAAAAATTTAAAAGAAAACAAAATCACCCATACTTGCACTCTCAGGAATAATGATTGTTGCCATTTTGATGTGTTAGGTTGAACCATATGAAATTGCTGATATTTGACAATTTTCAGCCTACAAAAATGACAATTTCATACGGTTTAACCTAATATTTCCTCCCACCTTTTCTCCACGACAAACATAAAATTATTTTAAAATATAAAACAAGGATGAGACTACATGTGTATATTTGTGTGTATTTCTTTAGAGCCTACCTTTTTTTTTTTTTTTTTTTTTTTTTGAGATGGAGTCTTGCTGTGTCACCCAGGCTGGAGTACAGTGGCATGATCTCTGCTCACTACAACCTCCACCTCCCGAGTTTAAGCGATTCTCCTGCCTCAGCCTCCCGAGTAGCTGGGATTACAGGCATGCGCCACCCCGCCTGGCTAATTTTTTGTATTTTTAGTAGAGATGAGTTTCACTATATTGGCTAGGCTGGTCTTGAACTCCTGACCTCGTGATCCACCCGCCTCGGCCTCCCAAAGTGCTGGGATTACAGGTGTGAGCCACCGTGCCTGGCCTAGAGCCTACCTTTTAAAGTGAAGTATTAGCAATTACAAATATATAAAGAGAATAATGCCACATACACTCACATGTCTCCCACTCTTCCCCTGAGAAATAAGATGTCACATATACAATTGAAGCCCGCTATCCACCTCTCCCCAACAGGAGTTCCTCCCTATCACCTTGAGATAACTACTATCATCACTTTGGTATTTATCGCACATTGGTTTGTATCACTAAATCATATGCAGTATTGTTTAGCATTTTTAACTTTATATAAATGAGACCAAGGTAGATGTATCTTCCATGACTTTTATTGTTTATAAAGGATTATATGTACGTATATATATATACACATAGTTTTTTTTTTTTTTTTGAGACAGAGTCTTACTCTGTTGCCCAGGCTGGAGTGCAGTGGTGTGATCTCAGCCCACTACAACCTCTGCCTCCCAGGTTCAAGCGATTCTCCTGCCTCAGCCTCCCAAATAGCTGGGATTACAGGCACATGCCACCATGCCCTGCTAATTTTTGTATTTTTAGTAGAGACAGTGTTTCGCCATGTTGGCCAGGCTGGTCTCGAACTCCTAACCTCAGGTGATCCACCCACCTCGGCCTCCCAAAGTGCTGGGTTAGAGGCCTGAACCACCGCACCCGGCTGAACTGTATATTTTTGAAACTTATCCATGTTGATGATACATGTAGCTTTTGTTCACTCACTTTCAATTTTTTGCTATTAAATATTCAGATTTACTATCTGCCTGACTCCACTAGACAGGAATCTTCCGCGGTGGAGACTCTGTCTTAGTTATCCGTGGCACCCAGGAGGCCCCAGAAATGGCCATTGAGTGGAATGGACAGATGCAGGAAGTGAAAAGCTGAAAATCACTTTGCCAGATAAGCCCAGACTCATCTGTTGAGCACTCAAGGCAGACAGCACTGATAAGAAGGCCCTTGTATCTGGGAGAGGCAGACGTCAAAGCTGAACATTTCTTTATGATGCCTCTCTCAAGTGACAGATTCAGAGTTCTAAGGCATCTGATCCAGAACTGGAGGGGAGGACGGAAGCATCAGGAAAAGCTCCCAGAGAGCCCAGAACTCATTCCTGAAGGATGAGTAGGTTCCTCTCTTCATGGCAACCAGAGCCAGAAGCCCAAATTTATTTTTTATTCTTTATGTTTTTTAGAGAGACAAGGTCTCATTCTGCTACCCAGGCTGGGTTCAGTGGCATGATCATAGCTCACTATAACCTTGAATTCCTGGGCTCAAGCAATCCTCCCACTTCAGCCCCCCAAGTAGCTGGGACTACAGGCACACACCATCATGCCTGGCTAATTTTTTAATTTTTTTGTAGATACAGGGTCTCACTATGTTACCCAAGTTGGTCTCAAACACCTGGCCTCAAGCCATCCTCCCACCTCAGCCTCCCAAAGCACTGGGATTACAGGTGTGAGTCATCGCCCCCAGCCCACATTTTTAGATAAAGGCATTTACTTATATGTCCTCAGGATTCTTTGGTTATACCCATAAAACCAAGTTTTTCAGACCATTAACATGTATGATTGGTAGAAAAATGGCATTGCTGGAGCCATAAAACACAGACAACGAAAAATAACAATTCCTTTGTCAAAATCTACCCACCTCTGATGAGTTCAAAGTTACAGGAATAGTAACAAGTCACAGTGGCAATGAGGCATAGAGGCGAGAGTTTAGGGGCTCTGGAATCAGATGGAGCTGAATCAGAATCCTGGCTCATCCACTTCCTAAATGTGTGACCCTGGGCAAGTCATTCACCTCGTTCAGTTTCTATCTCTTCATCTGCAAAATAGAGATACAAATGTCTACCTTGCAAGTTGATGGATATAACCTGCCTGGCATATAGTGTGTATCCTATAAATGGGAGGAAATCCTATGATCAGACTGGGTTGGCAGAGAACTGCCTTTGACTATTGAAGGTGGACAGGGTTGATGAGAGAGTAAACTCCTCATAGCCATGAAAACCCTGCATCTCACTGTGACTGCTGATACAAGCCACTGGTCCTGTAGAGTAGCTGGGAATCATTCTCAGCCCTCCTCGAGAACACGCCTGTCCTGTGAAGAAGATAAATCTGGTCTGGATGCAGTGGCTCAAGCCTGTAATCCCAGCACTTTGGGAGGCCAAGGTGGGTAGCTCACCTAAGGTCAGGAGTTTGAAATCAGCCTGGCCAATATGGTGAAACACCATCTCTATTAAAAATACAAAAATTAGCCAGGCGTGGTGGCAGACGCCTGTAATCTCAGCTACTCAGGAAGCTGAGGCAGGAGAATCACTTGAACCTGGGAGACAGAGATTGCAGTGAGCCAAGATTACGCCACTGCACTCCAGCATGGGTGACAGAGCAAGAGTTCATCTCAAAAAAAAAAGAAAAGAAAAAAAAAGAAGACATATCTGCTGATAGCCTAGGAAGCTGCTTCCTTTGGCTCTGTGTTCGTTTCTCTTCTTGGAGAAGATGAAAGGAATAAATGGGTACGTATTATATCGGTAAAGTCTAGGAGAGACCCAGTCCTAGAGAGAGGATCTCTCAAATAAAGCAGAAGATTTCCAAGCCCATTTAAAAGTTCACAAAAAATGTCACATGCAAAAGCATAAACCTAAACATCCTGAAAGGAGGGGAAATCCGGTGTTTCCACTACCTACTACTTCCCAGGTGAATATCTCTATAGTTTTCCATTACAAGAAAGAATTGCGGTCAAAATGACCCCCTTGCAGTAGATCTATTCAAATAAAAGAGCATTTAATTTTTGTATTTACAGCTAATCATAATATTACACTCAGTCTCTCCACCCACACACACTTTAAATTAACCTTTATTTCAATTTGCACAGCTAGAACAACTAGAGTTTCTCCATTTTTCTGGTGAAAAAAATGCCATGATTTAAAAGGTACACACCAGGCAGGGCATGATGGCTCACACCTGTAATCCCAGCACTTTGGGAGGCCAAAGCAGACGGATCACTTGAGGCCAGGAATTCAAGACAAGCTTGGCCAACATGGTGAAATCCCATCTCTACAAAAAATACAAAAATTAGTTGGGACTGGTGGGACATGCCTGTAATGCCAGCTACTCGGGCTGCTGAGGCACAAGAATCACTTGAACCTGGGAGGCAGAGGTTGCAGTGAGCCAAGATCATGGTATTGCACTCCAGCCAAGGCAACAGAGCAAGATTCTGTCTCAAAAAAATTAAATTAAATTAAAACTCCTCATCATTTGACTCAATACCTAGCCTCAGAAATAATCATTCAGGCATATATTTTCATGGGAAAGATGACAAGCAACTTAAATGGCTACCCCATAGGGGCTTTTTCAAATAAACAAGGAATTCCGCCATATCATAGAATAATCAGTAACCAATAAAAATAGTCTCATAGAAAATGACAGATCAAATGAAATGAAACGGTGTATGCAATGTGTTATTGGGTGAAAAGAGAAGTTTGCAAAGAGGTGGGGCTCCCATTTTTGGAAAAAGACACACACGTACATACATGCAGAGAGAGAAAGAGAAAATGAAAGAATAGGCATCAAATTAAGTTGATTACCTCTGGGCTCTCAGAATTGGACATGATTTTTACTTTGTTTTGTTTGCATTTTTTGCATGTTTGTATTTTTCTAAATTTCAGACATTAAAATTTTATTACAGTGGTATTTTTTTAAATAAAAAGCATCCCAAAGAAGATGTGAACAACTTTTGGAACACCTGGCCCTTTGCTCTAAGCCTGTTCTCTAAGCTTTCATCAGCACCAGACCTCAACAATTCTAGGGCTGGAGCAGCCTCTCATAGGAAAAGTTCAACTATTTCTTTCTAGAGCAGCCAACCCTAACTTTGATTCTGTCAGGTATGTCATTCGTGACATTATATAAGCATATTATTGGTACCAGGAATTGACATAGCTGCCATACTCATTGGCTTGGCTTGTCCAAAAAGAAAACTGGAGAATACAACTCAGATTTTTAAGATTTTGAGTACTGTTCCTTGGGGACAGTCCACTCATGCTTACAGCTGTGACATTGGCATTACTGTAGCATCAGGAATTTGAGATGGGCTGATTGTCACATGGGTGGCTGAGTCACTTAATTATAGACTAACAAAAGCTACTAGCACTTTGCTATGAAGCTAGAACCCGCCCTTACTCCCCTCTCAGACAGAAATGACCAGCCCACTTTGTGCCATGGTGAATCTATTACATACTCCTTAGATTCTTTGTAACATTCAAGAGCTTTGCAGTCATAAAATGGTAGCCAGGCTGGTCTTCTTCCCAACAATGGTAGTTTACAAAGGTAGTGAGAGCAATGCATTTGGGAACAGATCAAGTGAAAATGTAAAAGTGTCCAAAGAAGTAATATAACACCCCTTTCCCCAACCCAAAAATACTCCCTCCAGCTCTAACATCACCACCTACAGGAAGCCTGTCAGGTTTTCCCAAGCTACTCTTAGACCAAGAACTATCACCTCTTTATCCCCAGATGAGGCCCTGACTTTTGAGAGTCTACAGATGAATGAATGAATGAATGAGTATGTGACTCCGCAAGTACATGAGAGAATGAATATCAGAATGAGTAAGTGAATGTATCTGCTTCAGCAGCATTTGGTAGATATATCTGCTCATTTATTTCACAAAAATTGATGAAGGATTTACTCTATGCCAGATTCTATGATGGGTACTGGGATACTAACAAGATAGACAGGTCCCTGCTTTCAGGGAGTTTATATTATAGTTGGGGAGATAGTCGACACACAAAGAAACAAATGTGTGTATGATTTCAGATGGTGATAGCACTGTGAAGAAAACACATGGGGGTATATGAGACAGAGTGCCTGGGGGTGCTGAATGACTAGAAGATAAGGGCAGCAGGGAAGTCTTCTTTTTGAAGGTGGAATCTAAGCTCTGACTTAGAATGACTGTGTAAGCACTTCTTATGGGCATATGTGACATTACCTTTTTCCTGGGGGGCTCTGGGGAGAATGACTACATCTTATTCATCATTGCATGCTATCAGGTTACAGTAGCAAGCACATGGGATTTGCAACCAGACTACCTGAGTTCAAATTCTGCTTCTACCACTTACTAGCTATGGACCTTGGGTAAGTTACCTAAACATTGAAATCTCAGTTTCCCCACCCAAAAATGGGGTAGGGAATGATGATGATTATGACGATGATAATGATAATACATTTCTAAAAGATATTGCTGTCTGCCCAAAACTCATGCCTCCCCTTCCATAGTGTGAAGTTGTTGCTGAAAAGCGGCTGCCCAAACCTGGGTTCCATTTTCCAGTCTTCTTGTACCCAGATGCAGCCATGGGACTAATTTCTGCCACGGGGACATGAACAGAAGTGACGTGTGTCATCATCCAGGCCTGGATCCCTGAGTCACTGTATGGAGGAAAACTACCCATTGACCAATAACAACTTCATTGGACTAAGTGAGAGAAAAATGAACTTCTATTGTGTTAAACCTCTGAAATTTTAGGGTTTCTGAAACTTTAGCATCTAGTATAACACAAATTAATGCAAACTTTAAGTGCTGTAAAAATCAAATGAGTGTGTCACACAATGCCTACACAAAATGGGCACCAGAGGTTGCTGGCATAAAACAACCGAGGACAGGGCTTTGGGTCCTTTCAAATCAGCCTCATGAGATTTTGACCATGTACCCCTTCTTGTCTTTCTAGAAGGGGATGGTTTTTACTGAACTGGATATTTATTTCTGGGAAGGTTACTGATTATAGGAAGAGTAACATTAGGCCAGAATTACTAACAGTCCCTATGGCTTTATGGCTTTGCAGACTTTTGCATCATCCAGAAAAATGTTTTAATTAACTGAGCATAAAAGAGGTAATCCTGCTCAACAAAATCATTGCTCTCTACTTCAGCCCAGAGCTTGGAGCAGAGCTTGAAAATCAGGAGCTTCCCCCAGGATATAAAACATTTTTTCTCTTTCTCCTTCCTCTTCCTCCAGGACAGTTCTTCTATGATGAGGTCTCTGTAAGACTTTTAGTTCTCAGGCATCTAAGAGTGAAGAAAAGAACCATATGCTTCATGTTTTCATCTACTTGAAAATGAGATAATGAATATAAATCTCCTAACACAGCCAATGACACATCATAGGAATTCAACAAATGGGCATCCTTTTAGTTCATTTAACCCTCACTGTCAACTATGACATGCTTGATATCTTGTCTCGGCCCATAATAAAAATGACCCAGTGGGTATTATTGTCTCCATTTGACAAATAAAAAAACAGAGGCTTAGGGAGTTCAACTATATAGCATTACTGTGTCAAGAAATGTCTGGTACACCAGTTTCATCTGATTTAATTCTCACAATCATGTAGAGAATGCATGAGATTGGTATTATTGTCCCCATTTTGTGGATGAGAAAATTGAGGCTCAAAGAATTTAGATAACTTTAATTCTTGGACAAACATTTTCCAGTACTTTTCTGTGTGCCAGGCTCTGTGCTGAGATGCTGGGGAACCACAACAAAGACATATTCCCTACCCTCCTAGAGCTCACAGTCTGGTGTTAAGAGTTAAGATAAAGAGGCAATGTTGGGCCAGGCGCGGTGGCTCATGCCGATAATCCCAGCCCTTTGGGAGGCCGACAAGGGCGGATCACGAGGTCAGGAGTTCAAGACCAAGCTGGCCAACATGGTGAAACTCCGTCTCTACTAAAAATACAAAAATCAGCCAGGCATGGTGTCGTGCGCCTGTAATCCCACCTACTCGGTAGCCTGAGGCAGGAGAATTGCTTGAACCCGGGAGGCAGAGGTTGCAGTGAGCCAAGATCACGCCACTGCACTCCAGCCTGGGCAACAGAGAAAGACTACGTCTCGGGGGAAAAAAAAAAAAGAGGCAATGTCAACTATGATTTGCTAGAAAATCCAAGTAAGCCTAGGATGTTTTGGGAATAAAGAGGAGGGTCCACCTAACTCAGAACTGGGGAGAGGAGGAGAAACATGAAGTATTTTAGTTTACGTTAGTTGTAAGATAAGATGTGCCCTTGGATAAGATTTAGCTAGAATGGTCATTGCGAAAGAATGTTCCAAGAATAGGAATCACTGGGGCAGTTTCATCATTAGGTGTGGATTTCTTCCTGTTTATTCTTGGGCTTCTTTAAACAAAAGGGAATTGTTGGGCTTCTTGTGTCTGAAGAAATGTATTCTCATTCTGGCACCTTTTTTTTTTTTTTTTGAGACGGAGTTTCGCTCTTGTTGCCCAGTCTGGAGTGCAATGGTGCGATCTCAGCTCACCAAAACCTCCACCTCCCGGGTTCAATCGATTCTCATGCCTCAGCTTCCCGAGTAGCTGGGATTACAGGCATGCGCCACCACACCCAGCTAATTTTGTATTTTTAGTAGAGATGGGATTTCTCCATGTTGGCCAGGCTGGTCTCGAACTCTTGACCTCAGGTGATCCGCCCACCTCAGCCTCCCAAAGTGCTGGGATTACAGGCGTGAGCCACTGCATCCGGCCTCTGGCACCTTTTTTCGTCATTATCTTCAAACATAACCTGTGCTCCCTTGTCTTTTTCCTTCTGAGACTCCAATTATTAAGTTAGACATTTCATGTCATTTACTTCTTCTATATTTCCTGCCTTTTTAATTCCCCATACTGTATCTTAAAAGATTGTCTTTTGACCTGTTTTGACCTTTACAGTTCGTTGCTATTTTTTCTTTAGCTGCGTCTAATCTAACACTAAAACCATCCATTGCATTCTTAGTTTTGGTTCTTATATTTTTCAGTTATGGAATTTCTATTGGTTCTTTTTCAAATATGCTATCACTTTTTATCACTTTCCTGTTTTCTGACAACATCTTCCAACTTGTATCTCCTTGAATGTAGTAAGCATGGTTGTTTTCTGATTGGTCTCTGTTAATTCCATCAACAGTAGTTCCTATGGATCTGTTTCTGCTGTCTGTTGTTTTTCTTGACTCTTGTTCATGGTGTCTCGTCTTTTTTCTGAGATGAAGTCTTGCTCTGTTGCCCAGGCTGGAGTGCAATCGCATGATCTTGGCTCACTGCAACCTCCACCTCCTGGGTTCAAGCAATTCTCCTGCCTTAGCCTCCTCAGTAGCTGGGAATACAGGCACGTGCCACCAGCCCTGGCTAATTTTTTTTATTTTTAGTAAAGATGGGATTTTACCATGTTGACCAGGCTGGTCTCAAACCCCTGACCTCAAGTGATCCGCCCACCTCAGCCTCCCAAAGTGCTGGGATTACATCCATGTGCTACCACACCTGGCTAATTTTTGTATTTTTAGTAAAGATGGGGTTTTACTATGTTGGTCAGGCTGGTCTCAAACTCCTGACCTCAGGTGATCTGCCAGCCTCAGCCTCCCCAGTAGCTGGGATTACAGGCATGCGCTACCACGCCGGGCTAATTTTTGTATTTTTAGTAAAGACGGGGTTTCACCATGTTGGTCAGGCTGGTCTTGAACTTCTGACCTTGTGATCTGTCCGCCTTGGCCTCCCAAAGTGCTGGGATTACAGGCGTGACAAGGCAATGTCTTGTCTCTTCATGTGCCTAGATATCTTTCTTGCTTATTGGATACTGTATTTTAAAACATAATTATTGATTTGAGGCCAAGGATGATGTTCTGTTCTTCCAAAGGGGATTGTCATTAGCTTCTGTCAAACACCTGAGGCTACTGACTGTCTTAGATGATTTAATCAAATTCAAAACATTGAGATTTTCTGGGCCACCCTGATGACTCAAAGACTAGCCACAGTTCAAGCTAGAGTTCAAGCAGATCTCTACAGGCTGACAAAATTACAGCTCAATCATTTAGTGCCTATTCAACATCAGCCAACGTTCCTGGACAAAAGCAGCCTGGAGTATTGGGCTCACCTCTCTGAGATCCTGTCTTTTCCCAGATCTCAGCCAGTCTTCCTCAGTGTCTTGTTAGCTCTTTGACACTTTAAAGATGTTTTTGTATTTTATACAGCTTATTTAGGTATCATCATCTTTCAGCCATTAGATACAGAAACTGAGGGACAGTATGTGCAAAGGCCCAGAGGTCACAAAACTTCTGAGTGGTCAGGCAGGATTGGAACTCAGGGTGTAACTGTTTCAAATACCAGATTCTTACTTCTACACAGCACTGCTCAGTCCACATCATGATGATATACATGGATAAGCTGATGTATAGATGGATAAAAGCTAATACTTACTTACCAAGCCTTTGGCTGTGTCAAACACTCTGTTCAAGCTTTAGATTTTTAAAACTCATTTAATACTGAAAACAATCCTATGAGTTAGGTATTGTCATTACTTCTATTTTACATATGAGGAAACTGAGGCTCAGAAAGATTAGCAAACTGGTGCAAGGTCACACAGCTAGCAACAGTTGAGCTAGAATTCAAACCTGAGAGTCCAACTCAGAGCCTGTGCCCTAACCACAAAGTTTTGAATAAAAGTTCCTTGTTGCCAAGGGTCTGAAAATCATTTATCCTACCACATAGCTTCAGGCACAAATACTAACCCTAGGACCATTGGTTCTCCAAGATTGACCTTCCCAGGTAATACTATACTATTTGTACCCTACACTTGCCTGAGTCCAGATGTAACAAAGTCTTCACTTCCACGTATTGGGAAGCATTGCTTTGAAATCTTCAATTCTGAAAACTGTAACCATCCTCACCGCCTCCATCAGATGTTTTTCTCCAAGGGAGACCAGAACAGTTTACAAGCTAATCAGTTCCTGCCAGACTCATAAATTGGGAGACAAGGGAGGGGCAGTGAAGGGGGAAATGCTTTATTATCCCCATTTTGCAAAGGCAAGTTCCAAGCCAAAGCAGGTGAGTCATCCACAGAGATCAGAATCCAACACCCATTCTGTTCCACCCCCTGAATTCCTTCCTGGAGTGGGGGACTTTACCCCACAGATAAAGCCACTTCTCTTCTCTGCTAGGAAATATGCAAAGTAGACTGTGGGCCTCCCAGGGAGCCAGTGGTGGGAGACAGGTGCATGCCAGGTCCACGAGCCTCCCTAAGAATCAATTGGTCTTATATCCTGAATTTTCGGGGCATGAATAATGATCCAAGCTACTATTAATTAAGCATTTACCACTGTGCTAAAGCATTTTCATGTGTGATTTCATTTAATCCTCCCACAACCCTCTGAAGATTCTATCGTTATCCTCACTTTCAGATTTAAGAAACTGAAGCCTGGGAAGGTAAAGCATTTGCCATGGCCACCTACTTAGGAAGCAACAGGCCTTTGGGTTGACATTTTGAAGTCATTCATCTGACATTCCTTCCCACTGTCTTTCCTTCCCACCTACAGATGTGCTTCTAAACACTAAGAGAACGGGTCAAGGGCAGAGGATTTCTGTGGGATCTGTGCTCACTCATAGTCATGGTAGAGGAAGCTGAATCCCAGAGCAAAGGACACCAGGAAGAGGAGAGGGTTTCTCTGGAAACAGCAGGGTAGGTGCAGGCTGACGTGCTTATTGACATGGCAACCTGAACACACCTGGAGACACCTGCTCCACCACCCAGATGGCCATGAATGGAGCAAGTTCTTCCCACTGTTGCTCTCTTCTCTTTTCTGCAAAGTTACACAAGGGTCAAGTCCCATCAAGGGTCCCATCTCCATCTTTTCTCAAGATGAAGCTGGAAGTCATCTTGCCACTGGGACCCACCCTTTGGAAAGACCTCTGCCCAGACAAGGAAAGTGCTGCCTCAATTGCATGATTTGAGTGACTTTGGGAGGGTATTCCTGTCCCCAAATAGACCTCCTCTCCTGACATGTCACACTGGCCGAAATTCCACTATTACAGCTGTTCTTTTCAGGTAAAAAGAAATGAAACCTCTTTCTAAATATAAACACTCCCAGAAAGGGTACTTGATGTTTGTCGATTGTAATTTTTTCTCACATAAAGATGTTTTTTCCCAGACTTTTAGAATTTCCTTCCATCTGTCTGCTGAGTCTGACTCATGAAAAAAACCCAATAAATATAGTATCTGTTGAATGCTCAAAAAGGACTACACAAATAAACAAGTAGCAGCCCCACATTAGAGAGAAAAGGCAAAGAAAGCCATGCTTAGTCTAACCTGTGTTTTCTAAACCGAGTTGAACACAGATGTGACATCATTACATTAACTTGTTCTTTGTTTTGTTTTTGTTTTTGTTTTTGTTTTTGTTTGAGATGGAGTCTTGCTTTGTCACCCAGGCTGGAGTGCAGTGACACGATCTCGGCTCACTGCAACCTCTGCCTCCTGGGTTCAAGCGATTCTCCTGCCTCAGCCTCCCGAGTAGCTGGGACTACAGGCACAGCCTACCACGCCCGGCTAATTTTTTGTATTTTCAGTAAAGATGGGGTTTCACCATGTTAGCTGGGATGGCCTCGATCTCTTGACCTCGTGATCTGCTCATCTTGGCCTCCCAAAGTGCTGGGATTACAGGCATGAGCCACTGCACTCAACCTGCTAGATGGCTTTTTTTTTTTTTTTTTGAGACGGAGTTTCACTCTTGTTGCCCAGGCTGGAGTGCAATGGCGTGATCTCGGCTCACTGCAACCTCTGCCTTCTGGGTTCAAGTGATTCCCCTGCCTCAGCCTCCCAAGTAGCTGGGATTACAGGCACACACCACCACGCCCAGCTAATTTTGTATTTTTAATACAGACAGTGTTTCTCCATGTTGATCAGGCTGGTCTTGAACTCCTGACCTCAGGTGATCTGCCCGCCTCGACCTCCCAAAGTGCTAGGATTACAGGCGTGAGCCACCGTGCCCAGCCCTACTAGATGGTTTTTAATGCCTCTTTCTAGTGCTCTGTAAGAGAAGAATAGTAAAGAGGAAAGAAAGAGAGCATATGATGGGGAGGAACAATCTGAAAGCCTAAATGAAGATACCAAGCCCATTGGGGCTATTTTGCTTATCTCGTGTATTGTATGAGGTCTACAGATTTTACAACACAGAAAGCAGAAGCAAGAACAGCGACCGTAAAGACATCATCCTGTCGTCTCAGCCTGCACTTCCTGCTACAGCCTTGTCTGTTCAGGGTCTATGCCAAGCAGCCAACACAGTTCCCAGGACGTGGTAGCTGTCCTACAAATGTGTGTTGGTTCAAACATAATTATGCTTTCATCTTAGAAAATGTGGGGGAAATACAAACAAGTATAAAGAAAAAATAACCATTATTCATGATCCCATCTCAAGAAACAGTAACAGAAAATGCTAACAGTTATTGAGTGAATATCACGCACTAAGCACTTTACATGATCTCTCTCATTTACTATTTATATAACCACTGTCAACATTTTAGATTTCCTTCCAGGGTTTTTTTTCTATACATGCCACATATATATTTTTTCTATACATGCTACATATATATGTATATATGTATGTATGTATACATATATGTATGTGTATATATGTAGCATGTACAGAAAAATATATATATATTCAGTAGTTGTACTGTACCCTGTACATATACTTTCTATTCTTCTTATTTTTTCTGATTATCCTCACAAGAGACTTTTGAAATATTGATTTTTTTTCCTCCCATTTTACAGATGAAAACACAGAAGCTCAGGAGATAAATTGCCTAAGGTCAGAGAGCTAATAAATGGCAGAGCTGGGATTTGAACCAAAGCCAGACTGGCAATAATGCCTGGGATTTCACCCCTCACCTACTCTCACCCTTCTTCCCAGGTGCTCTTCAGTGTATCACATAATTGAGAGGTGATGGGCTTCATTTCCCAGGGCATCCTAAAGACTGGGCTTTAACACAGGGCAGGGTGTGGTAATTGCTGTAAATGGCCCAAGAGACCCTTGATTCATACTGCCCTTCTGATGAGGAGACAGCCTGTTGATATCCAGGGACCCAATCAGAGAGGTGTGAGCAGTGCCAGGGTTCATCCGGGGCTGCCATGATGGGAAGCAGGACCAAACTAGCAATAAGTATGATCTGATGAGCATCACTCTTACGACCACCTGGACAGTTCCGCCAGGCAGAGGAGAGAACTGCCAATGTCATGAGTCTAGGGCTGGCAGATAAAATCCAGGACACCCAGTTAAATTTGAATTTAGTCACTTGTTTAACCACTGTCAATATTATAGACATATGTCTAAGTATGGTGACATGCTTATACTAAAATGCTATCTGTTCTTTATCTGATATTCAGATTTAATTGGGAGTCCTATATTTTTATTTGCTAAACATGGCAACCTGAGTAAATGATCCCCCTTTTGCTTTTTTATTTTATTTTATTTTTTCCTCTTCCTCTTTACCCTCCATTTCCACTTCTGTCCTTCTTCCCCACCATAAATACTCAAACTGATTCTGTTTAACCTAAGTCCATCTAACTTACCTTCCATTTGTCTATTTTGATATATGTGTAAATCTTTCACTGTATGGTATTGATTTTTTTTTAATTCACACAAATAGAACCACACTATAAATCTCATTCTTTCCACTTTTTTCCTCAACACTTTCTTCTTGAGATCTATTCATGCTGTGATATGTAAATCTGGATCATGAATTCTAGATTTTACAAAACAGTTCACCGAATATATAGGCCAGGTTTTACTTAACAGTTCCCCAGTGGTAGACAACTAGGTAGCCTCCATCTTCTTGTTCCAGACAATTCTGGGTTAAAGTGTGTGCACATCTGATGGGTGTCAGGTCAATCTCTCATTATTGTAGTTATTTATATTTATCTGGTTATCTTACAGATGTATGTGAGACAGTTTCTCTAGGGTACATTCTCAGAAGTGGGATAGCTGTTTCATAGAGTATATGTGTGTGATATTCAAAATATTTAACAATTGGCTAGGCGCAGTGGCTCACGCCTATAATCCCAGCACTTTGGGAAGCCGAGGTGGGCGGATCACCTTAGGTCGGGAGTTCGAGACCAGCCTGGCCAACATGGCAAAACCCCATCTCTGCTAAAAATACAAAAATTAGCCAGGTGTGGTGGAGCATGTCTATAATCCCAGCTACTCAGGAGGCTAAAGCAGGAGAATCACTTGAACCCGTGAGGCAGAGGTTGCAGCAAGCCGAGATTGCACCACTACACTCCAAACTGGGCAGCAAGAGCGAGAGTCTGTCTCAAAAAATAAATAAATAAAAATTTTAACATCCATCAAGGCGCAGCACTGACCACTTGGAACAGGTGTTGCTGGTGTGCCGTACTGGTATACACCTACCGAATATCTGCCTTGCATACACACAAACATAGTTTCATTGGTACAACTGGAATTACTCAGGAATGGCTTTGCCGGTCTAGACTCCCGTCAGCATTGCATGAAGATCCTCTTTTTTTCACATGCTTGTTACCATTTGAAACTATATTTAAGTTTTGCCAATGTGTTGGCTGTCAAATAAATCTCATCATTGCATTTGTTTGTAGTCCTCTGATTATTTATGAGATTGAATATTTTTCATATACTTATTAGCTATTTAGGTTTCCCCTTTTGTGAATCATCTGTTAATACATTTTGTCCATTTTCCTCTTGTATTTCCATTTTTTCCTTCTGGCAGATATTTAGGAGTTTCTTATATAGCCTGGAACAGTGCTATCCAATAGAAATACAATGTGAGCCACATATGTAATAACAAATGTTCTAATAGCCATATTTACAAGGTAAAAAGAAACACACAATTAATTTTAACAATATATTTTGGCCAGGCATGGTGATTCACGCCTGTAATCCTATTACTTTGGGAGTTCGAGGCAGGTGGATTGCTTGAGGTCAGTTCAAGACCAGCCTGGGCAACATGGTGAAACCCTGTCACTACAAAAAAATACAAAAATTAGCCAGGCATGGTGGCTCGCATCTGTAGTCCCAGCTACATAGTGGAGCTGAGGCAAGAGGATTGCTTGAGCCCAAGAAGTGGAGGTTGCAGTGAGCTGAGATTGCAACACTGAACTCCAGCCTGGGCGACAGAGTGAGAACTTATCTCAAAAAAAAAAAAAAAAAAAAAAAAAATATATATATATATATATATATATATATTTCACATAACATAATGTGTCTCATCTATCGTTTCAACATATAGTCAATACAAAAAATTATTAAGATACATTACAGTCCTTTGTGCATGCTAAGACATTGAAATTTGGTTATATATTTTACACTTCAGCACATCTCAATTTTGACTGTGTCATTATAAGGTGCTCAATACTACATATGGCTGGTAGCAACCATATTGAACAGTGCAGGCCTAGAATCTAAACTCTAGATATTAATTCCCTATTGGTTTTAGGTTGACAATATCTTCTCTGGTCCATCCATCTGTTAATTTTGCTATGGTATCCTTTGTTTAAAAAACATGTTAATTTTTAGGCTGGGCACGGTGGTTCACACCTGTAATCTCAGCACTTTGGGAGGCCGAGGCAGGCGGATCACAAGTTCAGGAGTTTGAAACTAGCCTGGCCAACATGGCAAAACCCTGCTTCTACTAAAAATACAAAAAAATAGCCAAGCGTGGTGGCAGGCACCTGTAATCACAGCTACTTGGAAGGCTGAGCCAGGATAATTGCTTGAACCCGGGAGGCAGAGGTTGCAGTGAGCTGAGATCATGCCATTGCACTCCAGTCGGGGTGACAGAGTGAGACTCCACCTCAAAAAAAAAAAAAGATTGCTAATGTTTAATGTAGCCTAGTCCATTAATTTTTCCCCTAAAATTTGTGGTTTTGGACTCTTGTTTTTAAAATTCATACTCATGTCAAAATGTCCAAGATATGATTTTATATTTTTCTTCTATTAGTTTTATAGTTTTTATCTTTCTTGGGTAGGTCTTTAAGCTATTTAAGGACTTTTTTTTCATATTGTAGGAATTAGGGTGCCAACTTTTTCTCTTATAGAGTGAGTTGGTTTCCCCAGCACCATCTACTAAATAACCAACCTGTCCTTTCTCTACTCATTTGTGAAGCCACTTCTATCATATGTCAGTCTCTCATAGAAACAAGTCTGCTTCTGAGTTCTGTATTTAATATTTAATGCATTTATTACATTAATATATTAATGTATTATAATATTAATTTAATATTTAATCATCATAGTAACCCTTGTTTTGTAAATACAATTAAATTGCAGAGAATTTGGATAACTTGCCCAAAGTCACCCAAATAGTAAGTGTTAGAGTCATGATTTGAACCCAGGTATGTCTGATGCTGTACCAGTTCAGATTGTACTTGGCTCCACATTACAGAAATCAGACTATAGTGGCTGGAACAAAGGGGCTTATTTTTCTCACATAACAAGAATTCTGGAGATAGGCCATTCAGTACAGGTATGGTGGCCCCATAATGCCACCCACCCGGGATCCATGCGCCTTCTATCTTTCTGATAAACCATATTAACCTGTGGCTTTTGTCCTCATGGTACCAAGATGGCTGCCATCTCCTGGAATCTGTCGTCATTCCAAGAAAGAAGAAAGGGAAAGAGCAAAGGCAAAGGAGAGTTCCAGGGGAGCCTGTCCCTCTTAATCGGGGAAACATTTGTTTTTCTATAAGTTGTAATAGACTTCATTAACATTGAGTGGACCAGAAGTAGGTCATTTGGCCATGTCTCACTGCAAGAGAACCCGGGAAATGGAGGGCTACTTATTATTATTTTAAAGCTGGAAACAGTGCCACCCAAATAAAATTTGTGTTCTGTTAAGAATTAAGCAGTGGGGAATGGGTATTAGGTAAGTGTTAGAGTAGGTTTACTGAAAAGCTAATGAAGCTCAAGCTTCGGGGCATCTTGCTTATCAGACCCCCTTCCAGTGCCTTATATCTAATTGGTTTTTTTGTTCATTTGTTTTGTTTTTGTTTTTGTTTTTGTTTTGAGATGGAGTCTTGCTCTGTCGCCCAGGCTGGAGTGCAGTGGTGCAATCTTGGCTCACTGCAACCTCCGCCTCCCGGGTTCAAGCAATTTGCCTGCTCAGCCTCCCGAGCAGCTGGGATTACAGGTGCACACCACCACACCCAGCTAATTTTTGTATTTTTTTCATAGAGACAGGGTTTTACCATGTTAGCCAGGCTGGTCTTGAACTCCTGACCTTGTGATCCACCCACCTCGGACTCCCAAAGTGCTGGGATTACAGGTGTGAGCCACCGTGCCCAGCCTTATATCTAATTGTATATACTTAGTTGTATATTATTTTTCTCCCCCCACCCACTCAAAAATGCATAAATTTCAGGTTCCACAAAACCTGGATTTTACCCCAGGTGGGCATGTAGCAGTGCCTGCCACACAGGCCGAAGCCCACAGTCTCCATTTTGCTATGGATTTTTCTGGTTGTAGTGGGAAACAAAGTGTATGGTCAGGTTGCCAAGTCAAGTGCACATTTTCAACTCATTCCCTTAAGATCTACGTTTATGTTTTTTTTTTGACCAGGACAAGGGCCTGTCCAGGAGTGTTAGTCTAAGAAAATAATATAATAATAATAATAACTGTCCATTTTTGAGTGCCAACTACATGCCAGACACTGTGCTAGGAGCTTTCCCATATGTTTCAATTAATTTTTATTACAACTCTTTGTGGCTCAGAGTTGTTAAGTAACTTGTCCAAGGTCACAAAGTCTGTAAGTGGCCAAATTAGAATGTTAACCTAATATCAAAAATTTTGCCTGGGCGCAGTGGCTCACACCTGTAATCCCAGCACTTTGGGAGGCTGAAGTGGGAGGATCACTTGAGGCCAGGAGATCGAGACCAGCCTAGGCAACACAGAAAAACCCTGTCTCTACAAAAAAAAAAAAAAAAAAAAAGCTTGTGTAATGGCGCATGCCTGTGGTCCCGGTTACTCAGGAGGCTGAGGAGGGAAGATCACTTGAGCCTGGGAGGCTGAGGCTGCAGTGAGCAGTGATCACACCACTACACTCCAGCCTGGGAAACAAAGTGAGATCCTGTCTCAAACAAAACAAAACAAAACAAAACAAAACAACAAAAAAAAACCTTTTCCATGCTTTTCACTACACCATGGTTAAATTTTTCCTAAGGGCTTTGGACCCATGTAGGACTGTAAGCTTTAGCAAATAAAAATACAGATAAGAAATGAATAGTTTTTTAGTATAAGCATTATTTGTTGCTTATCTGAAATTTAAATTTAACTGGCCACCCTAGATTTCACCTGGCAACCCTTCTTTTACAGACAGTTGCTAATGCCATGAAATGAAGAGTACAGAAACTCTGCGTATATATATTTCTTAAAAGTTAAGCAAGATAGCCAGGCACGGTGGCTCACGCCTATAATCCCAGCACTTTGGGAGGCCAAGGCAGGTGGATCACCTGAGGTCAGGAGTTCGAGTCCAGCCTGGCCAAAATGGCAAAGCCCCGTCTCTACTAAAAATACAAAAATTAGCCAAGTGTGCTGGCGGGCGCCTGTAATCCCAGCTACTCAGGAGGCTGAAGCAGGAAAATCCCTTGAACCTAGGAGGCGGAGGTTGCAGTGAGCTGAGATCGTGCTACTGCACTCCAGCCTGGTGACAAAACAGAACTCTGTCTCAAAAAAAAAAAAAAGAAAGAAAAAAGAAAAAAAGTTAAACAAGATAAAGTTTGTAAAGTTTCTGGATTTCACTGAAGCTTAACCCCTTGGTACTGGGCCTTAAAAAGGAGTTGTAGCTCTAGCTGGGTGACTAGGACAAGCCGTTTTCTCTCCCTGGGCTCAGTTTCCCCTTCTATACAAAGCCCCAGCCATCTCTCAGGATCCTGAAGCTGCATTGTCCTATGGCAGTCTGTCAACTCCGTCATCTCCACTTATGAAGAAAGGGACTTTTCCTGCTGGGGAGGGTGTATCAGCTTAGTTTTCCCTTTGGCTGCTTTCAGAGACCAGGATTACTCTGGTGGTGGTCAGCAACCATGTGGTGAAAAGCTGGAATGTCTTCAGCTGTAATGAAACCACAGATGAGTTTCTGAAAACTTTCTGCTTCCATTTAGCTATGGAAGATGCTCTGCCTAAAAGGGGAAGAGGAGGTTCTATGATCAAATAAGTTTGGGAAACAATATAATACACATTGACCCCACATGCTCCTTGGCAATTCAAATGCATGTGTTTGTGTAAGAAGAAATGTAGTAGCAAATCCTGTTACAGGGTCATTTCCCGGGCTTTTCCCACAGAATCTCTTGTTTGCAAAACATCTCCTGCAATGGTTGTTCCATGGGACTCACTTTAGGAGACTGAGCTGCAAGAACTAGTGTCAGAGGCATGTGAACCAGAGCAACTCCATCTTAAATAGGAGCTGGGTAAAATGAGGCTGAAACCTACTGGGCTGCATTCCCATATGGTCAGGGCATTCTAAGTCACAGAATAAGACAGGAGGTCACCACAAAATATAAGATATAAAGACCTCGCTGATAAAACAGATTACTGTGAAGGAACTGGCCAAAACCCACCAAAACCAAAATGGCGACGAGACTGACCTCTGGTCATCCTCACTGCTACACTCCCACCAGCGCCCTGACAGTTTACAAATGCCATGGCAACGACAGGAAGTTACCCTACATGGTCTAAAAAGGGGAGGCATGCCGGGCGCGGTGGCTCACGCCTGTAATCCCAGCACTTTGGGAGGCCGAGGCTGGTGGATCACGAGATCAGCAGTTCGAGACCAGCCTGACCAACGTGATGAAACCCCGTCTCTACCAAAAATACAAAAAAATTAGCTGGGCCTGGTGGCAGGCACCTGTAATCCCAGCAACTTGGGAGGCTGAGGCAGGAGAATCGCTTGAAACCAGAAGGTGGAGGTTGCAGTGAGCCAAGATTGCGCCACTGCACTCTAGCTGGGCAATAAGAGCAAAACTCCATCTCACAAAAAAAAAAAAAAAAAAAAAAAAAAGGAGATATGAATAATCCACCTCTTGTTTAGCATATTATCAAAAAACAACTGTAAAAATGGTAAACAGTGGCCCTTGGGGCTGCTCTGTCTATGGAGCAGCGATTCTTTTATTCCTTTACTTTCTAAATAAACTTGCTTTCACTTTGCACTGCGAACTCGCCCTGAATTCTTTCTTGCACAAGATCCAAGAACCCTCTCTTGCAGTCTGAATCAGGACCCCTTTCCTGTAACATGTATCTGGCGACCGCAACTATAGTGCAGAAACCCCGACCCAACAGCTACCTTTGGGCAAGTGTTGGGGTCCTGTAACATATATTAAAGAGAGCCCCCAACCCAAAGGAGATAGACTGGAGCACTGGTTGGACAACTATGGGTAAGTAATGGAGCAGCCGGGTAAAAAATGAGATTAGGTTAAAGGCCCAACTTAGGGGAGTTAGAGTCTCTCCTAAGACAGAGTGGGTTAGACGGCCCTCTTAATAAAAGGCAAGAATGTTTTACCAATCTTGGGTTAGGGGCCCAACTTAGGAGGGTTAGAGTCCCTTCTAAAATTTAGGGGGTTAGAGACCCCCCGCTTGGTAAAGTCCCTTTAAGAACAGTTTTGCCACTACAGGGTGTTAACTGTTATCCTCTTCGGAGTCATCTGCCTTGTACTCTTTGCTAATGGCTGTGGGTGACAGGATTAGGCAGGTACAGAATCGTGGGACATGGGAGCTTTTTCCTCCCTAAAAGGGAAAACTTGAAAGTGAATGGGATGGCTGGAAAGATCCCTTTGCTACTGAGAAGCAGCCGCAGCTTCCTGAACTGTGGCTGCAATGGGTGGGTCTTTCTCTGGCCTCCCCGATCATTTCACCTTCCCCACCCTGCCTCAGGCAATGCGTTTCTCCCGCTCCTTTCCTTTTTTTTTTTTTTTTTCTTTCTTTTTTTTATCTTTTCTGTTACTCAGGGTAACCGTCTTGCCCAGAGACCACGTGTTGAAACTCCAAGTGGGAGGTTGGATTAAAGATGATGAGTTCCTTCTGTGGGCAAATTTAAGACTTGCTAGTTTAATATTGGGTGCTAAGCAAAGTGGCTAATGTCTATATTTTGCTCTGGTCAGAAGGAAAAAAAAAATTTTCCTTTATAATGTGCCTTGGCCCCCAGGACGATGGTGCGGCAAGCCGGATCACTGGGGCCTCTCAAAGAAAGGGAACCCAGAACCCTGGAATGCCAGCAAAAGGGTAAGAATTTCTTACCAGTCAAATTTCTGGCTTCTTTCTTTCTGGGCAAATGGTTGAATGAATGGTAAGAAAATAAAATTAAATTAAATTAAAATAAAAAATAAATAAATCAGTGTTTATCTCCTCTGTAAAGTTTTAATTAATGTGAAAAAGAATTCTAAGGCTAGTCTTAAGCTGGTGTATTTTGTGCTATGAATTCGTTTTTCAGTGTCAAGGGGTACTTCAAGATAAAACATGGGCTTAGAACACCTGTAAGCCCACTTTTCAAGACAACCCAGCAAGTTGGTCAGTAACAAACGTGGCTGCAGGTCCCTGAAACAAACAAGAAACTGGATGAAGTCTCCACATTGTTTTATGCCCTTGGGAGCTTGACCTTTTAACCACGTGGCAGTACTTTCTTTTGGTCTCTGCTTCAGGGAACAATAATTCTAGGGTTCATATCATATTTAGCTCTAAAAATCATATTAAATAGTTAAAAGCCTTTGCAAGCTCAAAATTAAGTACTCTAGACCTCTTCTGGGAAATAAGATGGGAACTGTCCCATCTGGTAGCTCAGTTCCCAAGGTTTTGCGCTTTCAGAGTGGCGGTCCAGGTTCAGTTCCCCACCTAGAAAGTAAGTTGTTTCTGGTTTAATATCTGTGTGACCTTGTCTATTCTCTTCTCCATGGACTGTCTTAAATTTTCCTTTCTCTAAGCACCTAGGAGGTTACCTTTGGTAAAGTTCAAAAGCTAAAAATATTGGCTGCTTGGCATGGCTAAAGTCAGATAAGAAGAAATCTAAAAGGATTTATTTTTTAAAGAGCACTATGGTTTAAAGTCGGCTTAATTAAAAGTGAATTAAAAAGCTATAAATATACTTAAAAGCCCTCTGTTTTTCTCTTCTTGGAACTTGTTTTACTGAAAAAAAGTTTTTTCTTCTCAATCAACTAAATCGTTTTTCTCCATTTTTTTTCTTGCCACTTTTCTTTTTTTTTTTTGAGACAGAATTTCACTCTTTTTGCCCAGGCTAGAGTGCAATGGCACGATCTCGGCTCTTCGTGAGCTCTGCCTCCCGGGTTCAAGAGATTCTCCTGCTTCAACCTCCTGAGTAGCTTGGATTACAAGCATGTGCCACCACGCCTGGCTAATTTTGTATTTTTAGTAGAGATGGAGTTTCTCTATGTTGGTCAGGCTGGTCTCGAACTCCCGACCTCAAGTGATCCGCCTGCCTCGGCCTCCCAAAGTGCTGGGATTACAGGCATGAGCCACTGCACACGGCCTTCTTGCCACTCTTAATGCACACATGAAAGGCCTTAAAATAACTTCTGGTAGCTGGGACTCCTTGGGAAACACAGAGGAGGCACCACAGACCCCGTTTTGGAAAAAAAGCCTCTGTTTTCCTCATGAAACCCCAGGAATTAAAAGCAGATAGATCCCTCTCAAAATCAAAGGCTCTGTTACGTTTTGCATTGTGTTATCTGACAGTTTTGAGTTCTGAGGGAATCAAAATTTACTTTGCATTATAAAAGAGCTTTGGTATATAATAACCAGATAGGAAATATACTTTAAGGGATGGTTAATAGTAGTTACGGAGGGAGACTTGACTCTGCACACTTAAATCAGAGAAGCATGCTCTTAGCCACCTGGAAGATAAGGAAACATTCCCAACTCCAATGGGAGATAAAACTCCCACGAGGGATGGGCTGATTACAAAATGGGCTAATTGGCTTTGGGTTACCTTGCAGTGCAATGCAAAGAAGAAGGACTGCACTGTCTTCTCCCACAGTATTTCCCTCCTTCTGGGGATCCAGGATCCAGTGTAAAATGGCATCCTTAATTTTAAGACTCTGTCTTTGCCTTCAGCTGCTTATTTGGCCCTAGAAACCAAGCTTTCCCAGCCTTGTTCTTCCAAGGGCTCCACCCTGAAGCCAGTCATCCAATTAAGAAACTGGCAAATGAAAAATCTTACAAGTGCTGAATCTTCTGTCTGTCTGTGTATTTATATGTGTTGTATGTTTATATATAAAAAGCTCTAATTAATTGGGTTAAAAAAATAAGCACTTAAATCAAATATTTTGTCAAAAATAGAAACTTTAATGCCTTTTTGTTCACATGACTTTAGTAATCTTAAAAATAAAGACAGTTTTAAAAATTACTGGTAAAATAAAATGTCTTTAAAATATAAACATTTAGTCTAAATTAAGGTCAAACATCAGATTTGCTAAATGCTTTAAGGTCAAACTATTTCTTTAACTTTTATTTTATTTTATTTATTTAAGACAGGGTCTCACTCAGTCACCCAGGCTGGAGTGCAGTGGCACTCCAGGTAACGTCAGGAAGTTACCCTATGTAGTCTAAAAAGAGGAGGCATGAATAATCCACCCCTTGTTTAGTATATCATCAAAAAAAACCCATAAAAATGGGCAACCAGCCGCCCTCGGGGCTGCTCTGTCTATGGAGTAGCCATTCTTTTATTCCTTTACTTTATTAATAATCTTGCTTTCGTTTTCCACTGCGGACTCGCCCTGAATTCTTTCTTGCGCAAGATCCAAGAACCCTCTCTTGGGGTCTGGATCCGGACCCCTTTCTGGTAACCCTAGGGCTGCTGTTTTAATAACGTATCTAAGATAACAGTCAAAACTGAGTTCTTACTCCTGGAGTGACTTTAAGTCACGGCAGATAGCAACATGCAACTTGGGATTCAGAGAAATGAAGCATAGCTTTTCTTTTAACATTGACCTTATTTTCTACTTGGAATGAATGGAGAACCTGGAAACTGTGTAAGGCAACCCAGTGGAGTTAGGCACAGAGCAGAGACTTGGACTCAGAGAAGGAAGGTGTGAATCCCTGTACTCCCGCTTCCTAGCTGGGTGATGTTGGGCGCATTCCTTAACCTTCCTGAACCTTAGGTTCCACATCTAAAAACCAGGCACAGTTATACCTCTTACATAAGAGTAATGAGGGACTGTATGAGAATGCCTTGCACATACCTGACACATGGGAGATGCTCATTCTATGTTTTTTAATCTGAACAAGTTGAAACAAAGAAAGGAGTGTCCTCATATTGAGAAGATTATAATTGACCAGGATCATACCCAAGCATGGAGTATTCATGGAGAACAGACACAGGTTTCCCTCGTATGCACAGGGCAAGGCAGATCAAAGGAATGGGAGTTACAGAGTCAAAATTTTGGCAAAGGTTAAGGCCAGAAGTGCTGGTAGCCAACCTTGGGGTTGAATGGGATAACGTGGGGCCCAACCAAGGGCTCCCACGACACAGGAAAGAGGCACGAAAGACCCATTCATGGTTCAGCTTTCTCTCTGAGCTTCAGCAAATCAGACAATATGAACCGTATTCACTGTCAAAGCATGATGTGAGGATAAAATGAGGTTTTATATGTGAAAGGGCTTTATTGGACTCTTGTAAAGTATTAAATGGAATACACCCATACAAATAAAATTTGAAAGTAAAAGTTGCATAAAAAGTATTATGTGGATCAAAGTTGGTGTTTATATAATGGGTGTGTATTGAATTCCTTCACCATCAGGTATAAGAAAATGCTCATTCTCTGTAACAGCTAATGAGCCCCACCTCCCTGGTTGTTGGAAAATCCCAACTCAGTCACATTTTGGGAGGCACTACTTTCTCTAGGGTTGTGCAAAAGTCCTCCGAAGCCTGTGCTGAGACCCTCCCATCAGCAGCCCGCACTGGACCATTGTCCCAGCCTACCTTGAAGGTGGTATTTATGCTGCCTTGGAGCCAAACTGGAGCACAGGAAGTCTTTGCCCAGGCCAGAGATCTCTGTGCCTGGGATCAGAATTCCCTCAGCTCAGCCCACAATCATCCCCATCAGAGGTCCTGCTAGCTCCACTTTTCTCTCTGTTCTACGTTTCCTATTTTCTGGAGAGCTTTCCCAAATTTCTCCTCTCCCCCTTCTCTACTAAGGGATTTTATCAGCTTGTTCCATCTTTTCCAACCCTTGAAGCCCTGCTCCCTCTCATACAATCCCACTCTGGCCACCGAGGGGAACCCAGCTCCTAGGCATGGGTAGGGGAGGGCTCTGATTTGAGGGGTCCTAGAAACTCCTGCTTCTGGCTACCTGCTTAGGATGAAGGAGGGGAGACCGCCATTACGAGAATAAAAATACAATTTAATATCTCAGTAAAATATACAAGTAGTATGCTCATTGTAGAGCATTCAATAAGTAGTAGGTTCTTCACACTCCTTAAACAAAGTATAATTTAAGGTTAGTTTAGATTGAGTTCTACTTGATTTTTTTTTTTTGGAGATGGAGTCTTGCTCTTTCACCCAGGCTGGGGTGCAGTGACGCAATCTCAGCTCACAGCAACCACCTCCTCCTGGGTTCAAGTGATTCTCCTGCCTCAGCCTCTCATGTAGCTGGGACTATGGGCATGTGCTACCACGCCCGGCTGATTTTTGTATTTTTAGTAGAGACAGAGTTTCACCATGTTGGCCAGGCTGGTCTTGGTCTCCTGACCCCAGGCGATTCGCCTGTCTCGGCCTCCCAAACTGCTAGGATTACAGGCATGAGCCACAGCACCCAGCCTATTTTAGTTCTGTGTTCTTACTACAAATAAGAGATCCATTCGTTTTTCAAGCAAATCATGTTTTTTGGCAGAAAGCCGATACTACCAACCATGAGCTCTGACCTAGGTCTCAGCACTCACTGGAGGAAGGTCTCTCCGTTGCCGACTCAGCTGTTTCAGGAAACAAATGTCTTGGAGATGAATGGGTAATGCTGACTTTATAGAGTAAAGACAGTCCCCACAGACGATTAACAAAGAAAGGAAAATATTCCAAGCTCCACCCCTCACTCCCTCACCCTCTCATCCTCTCACCCTTGAATTCTGTATCACATTTGGAAAACATTGTGTCTTTCTTTCCTCCCCTTTCAGTCATGGTTGTTTATTTTAGAGTAGGAGGTCACTGTCGAGGAAAAACTGAACAACTGTGTTTTTTGTTTTGTTTTGTTTTGTTTTGTTTTGTTTTGTTTTGTTTTGTTTTTTTCTGTAACACGGGGCCGAGGCTGGAGCCAAGACTACAGCCTAGGACTTTACTCTGGGATGGAAATAAATCTCCCGAGGCCTCTGTGCAGAAGAGGGTGGTTCGATTGCCAGTGAAATGCCTTTGTGTGTTTTTTATGAAAGAGGGAAGAAAAATCAAGGTCAACAATCTGAGAATAGAAGAAAGGGAGAAGGTGGTGGAGCTCATTCCCAGGGAAAATGCTAATGCTCCAGATCATCAAAGCTGGCCATGAACTTGCCATCAGTGTGGTTCAGAGCAAAACAAAAATGCGTAGAAAAAGGCCTGGAGGAGAACACTGGACTGATAAGGAAGACTGCTCATGTAGAGGGGACTGAGACTGGGCCGTTGGAGAAGTGGGTACATGTGATAAAGGATAAGTTAGGCTTCTCTTCAGTGCATTTATTTTATTTATTTATTTTTTTTTTTTAAGACAGACAGGGTCTCACCATGTTGCCCAGGCTGGTCTCAAACTCTTGAGCTCAAACCTCTCAAAGTGCTGAGATTATAGTCATGAGCCACTGCACCTGGCCTATTGTGTTAAATTTACTTATTTATTTATTGTTGAGACAGAGTCTTGCTCTGTCACCCAGGCTGGAGTGCAGTAATCTCAGCTCACTGCAACCTTCGCCTCCCGGGTTCAAGCAATTCTCTGCCTCAGCCTCCCGAGTAGCTGGGATTACCGGTGCCGGCCACCATGCCTGGCTAATTTTTAGTAGAGACAGGGTTTCATCATCTTGGCCAGGCTGGTCTTGAATTCCTGACCTCATGATCTACCCGCCTCAGCCTCCCAGAGTGCTGGGATTACAGGCGTGAGCCACTGCACCTGGCCTACTGAGTTACATTTTATGATTGAATATATATTCATGCAGTACTTGTGTGATTAAAACTAATGTTTAAAAGTTTATCTTAAAAAAGCAAGTACATGAGGTTTAGAGTCATAAATTCTGGGTATGCGATTTACCTTTTCCACTTGGAGATGGTCAGCCATCATTTATTGAGCAACTATTACATGCCAAGGAATATGCCAGGAAATTTATCCAAGTCTCCATTTACTTGTCTCTACAAGGGGTGTGATAATTTTGACTTCACAGGATTATCAAGAATAGGGCTGGGCGCAGTAGCTCACCCCTGTAATCGCAGCACTTTGGGACTCCGAGGTGGGCGTATCACTTGAGGTCAGGAGTTGGAGACCAGGCTGGCCAACACGGTGAAACCCTGTCTCTACTAAAAATACAAAAAATTAGCCAGGCATGGTGGCACGTGCCTGTAATCCCAGCTACTCAAGAGGCTGAAGCAGAAGAATGGCTTGAACCTGTGAGGCAGAGGTTGGCGTGAGCCAAGGTTGTGCCACTGTGCTCCAGCCTGGGCGATAAAGCAAGACTCCATCTCAAAAAAAAAAAAAGAATATTAACTGAAAGCATAGAGATAGGTTAAAACACAAATGCCTGTTATGCATTTATTGTAAGCCTTGTTCAAAAGAAGGTTTAAAGTGGTACTTATTAACTTCCTTCTATTTTTTTAGTTTAATATATTTTTAACAGAGACAGGGTCTCACTATGTTGCCCAAGCTGGTCTTGATCTCCTGGCCTCAATCAGTCCTCCTGCCTTGGCCTCCCAAAGTGCTAGGATTACAGGCATGAACCACCATGCTTGGCCAAGTTAATAATTTTTTGAAACAATCACAAATTTATTAAAAATCTGGAAAGATGGTACAAAGAACAGTGTGCTGGTGAATGTTTAACAATTGGCTGTCCAGAGGGAAAAAAAGACTGGAGTTGTAACATTTGCCAATTTCCATGGTGTAAATACTCCCACTACAGGCAATTTCATGCTGCCAACATGAGGTTACTGCACGCAGAGTTGGAAAGACGTTGAGCATAACCGACTTCAGTGCACTACTAACACACATAACTTTCTTCCCTGAACCATTTGAGAATAAGTTACCAGCCTGATACATCTCCCAAATACTAGAGTATGTAGTTCCTACAAACACAGATATTCCACAATTCCTTACAACCACAAGGAACCCTGAAAAATCAGGAAATTAACATGAAAAACATCTAATCCAGAGGCCTCATGCAAGTTTCACCAACTGTCCCAACAATGTCCTTGATAGTAAAAAAAAATCCAGTTCAGCATCTCACGTTGTGTTTCGCGGTAAAGTCTCTCTAGACTCCCCTTAAACCTGGAGCAGTTCCTCAGTTTGTCCTTGACTTGCATGGACATGACATTTTTGAAGATGGCATGTCAGTTAATTTATAGAAAGTACCTCAATTTGGGTTTGACCGATGTTTCCTTATGATTTTATTGAGGTTTTGCATCATTGGCAGGAATGCCACAGAAGCAAGGTTGAGTTCTTCTCCTTGCATCCTCTTAGAAGAAGTAATTTTTTTTTTTTTTTGAGGTGGAGTCTAGCTCTGTCGCCCAAGCTGGCGTGCAGTGGTGCGATCTCGGCTCACTGCAACCTCTGCCGCCTGGGTTCAAGCGATTCTCCTGCCTCAGCCTCCCGAGTAGCTGGGATTACAGGTGCCCACCACCACACCCAGCTAATTTTTGTATTTTTAGTAGAGACGGGGTTTCACTGTGTTGGCCAGGGTGGTCTTGATCTGCCTGCCTCGCCCTCCCAAAGTGCTGGGATTACAAGCGTGAGCCACTGTGCCTGGCCTAGGTAGAGTAGTGTTTAGATCCATCCCATTATTTATGATGTTCATTATTATTAAGTTTCTATCTGCCTGACTTTTCCACTATGATGTTATTTTTTTTCTTTTGTAATTAGTAAGTATTGTGCAGAGAAGTACTTTGAAACTGCGTAAATACCCTATTCCTCCTGACATTTAAAAATTTTTTTTTAAGACGGAGCTTCACTCTTGTTGCCCAGAATGGAGTGCAGTGGCACAGTCTTGGCTCACTGCAACCTCTGTCTCCCAGGTTCAAGTGATTCTCCTGCCTCGGCCTCCTGAGTAGCTGGGATTACAGGCATGCACCACCATGCCCGGCTAATTTTGTATTTTAGTAGAGACAGGGTTTCGCCATGTTGGTCAGGCTGGTCTCAAACTCCTGACCTCAGGTGATCCACCGCCTCAGCCTCCCAAAGTGCTGGGATTACAGGCATGAGCCACCACGCCTGGCCCCTCCTGACATTTTCAATGTATTATTTTATTGACTTACATGTGTATAGACTCATGGTTTTCTACTTTATTCCATTAGTTTGAATCCATTATTATCATTACTTATTTTGATACCAAATTGTCTCTGATTTGAACAGTGGGACGGAATTCTTTGAGTACTTCCTTACTTTCTAGCATGTTTCAGATTCATCATGCACTGTCTCCACTCTAGCCTTGGAATCAGTCATTTTTCTGAGTTGTCCTGGTTCCTTGGACTCCTTATTAGAATCCTTGGTAGAGAATGGAATTTATTTATTTATTTATTTATTTATTTGTTTATTGAGACGGAGTCTCACTCTGTCACCTAGGCTCAAATGCAGTGGTGCGATCTCGGCTCACTGCAGCCTCCATCTCCTGGGTTCAAGCGATTCTTCTGGCTCAGCCTTGCAAGTAGCTGGGACCACAGGCGAGCGCCACCATGCCCGGCTAATTTTTTGTATTTGTAGTAGAAATGAGGTTTTGCCATGTTGGCCAGGCTGGTCTCAAACTCCTGGCCTCAAGTGATCCGCCTGCCTTGGCCTGCCAAATTGCTGGGATTATAGGCATGAGCCACCGCGCCCAACCAAGAATGGAACTTAGAAACCAAGTTCTATGCTCATTTCTGATGTCACTGTTCCCAGGCCCCCGTGGACAGTGATAAGGAATGTACACACACATTTGCATGCACACATTTAAATCTATCTTTATTTCCATATGTATCCATCTATGTCTATTGAAAGCCACAAGTTCACGCACAAATCTCCAATTTCAATTCAGAACCAGTTTCTTAGCGATTTCTCCCTTTCCATACTTGTCTCTTCCTTCTCCAGTAGTGAAGAATTAGGCCCATTTTAAAATTAAGACATAATTCACATACCATAAAAGTCGCCTGTTTAAAGTATACCGTATGGTGTTTTTTAGTATATTTGCAAGATTGTACAACCATCATCACTATCTAATTCCAGAATATTTCCATCACCCCAAAAAGAAACCCCAAACCCATTAGCAATAACTCCCCACATCTCTCCAGCCTAATTCGCTAATCCCCCAGGAACCACTGATCTACTTCCTGACTCTATGTATTTGCCTGTTCTGGACACTATAAATGGGATCATATATGTGGGTCTTTTGTGTCTGCCTTCTGCTAGTTAGTATAATGTTTTCAAGGTTTATCCATGTTGTAGCCCGTGTCCATACTTCATTCATTTTATAGCTGAATAATATTCCATTGTATTGATAGATGACATTTTGTTTATCCATTCATCAGTTGATAGACATTTGGGTTGTTCCCACTTTCCAGCTATTATGAATAATGATACTATGAGCATTCATGTATGAGTTTTTATATGAACATGTTTTCAATTCTCTTGAGTATATACCTAGGAATGGAATTGCTGAGTCATATGAGAATTCCATTTTTAGCTTTTTGAGGAGATGACAAAATGTTTTCCAAATCATGTGGCTGAATAATTTTGCTTTCTCACCAATAATGCATGATATGAGGGTTCCAATTTCTCCACATTTCCCCCAACACCTGTTATTGTCTGTCTTTCTGATGATAGTTATTCTGGTGGGTGGGAAATGATATCTCATTGTGGTTTGGGTTTGCATCTTTTCACCTGCTTATTGGTCCTTTACATATCTTCTTGGGAGAAATGTCTGTTCAAATTCTTTGCCCATTTTTAAATTGAGCTATTTGTATTTTACTGTTAAATTGTAAGAGTTTATTATATATTCTGGATACTAGACTCTTTCAGTTATAGAATTTGCAAATATTTTCTTTCATTCTGTGGGTTTTTTTTTTCACTTTTGTGATCGTGCCTTTGGAGCATAAACTTTTTTTTTAATTTATTTATTTTTGAGACAAAGTCTCACTCTGTCATTCAGGTTGGAAGGGAATGGTGTGGTCACGGCTCACTGCAGCCTTTGCCTCCCAGGAGCAAGCTATCCTCCCACCTTAGCCTCGAGTAGCTGGGACCACAGGCACACGCCACCATGCCCGGATAATTTTTTGTGTTTCTTGTGGTAGAGACAGGGTTTCACTATGTTGCCCCAGCTGGTCTCAAACTCCTGAGCTCATGCGATCCATCCACCTTGGCCTCCCAAAGTGCTAGGATTATAGGTGTTAGCCACTGCGCCCAAAAACATTTTTAATCTTGATGAAGTCATTTTTTTTTCAGTTGCTTGTGCTTTGTGTGTGACATCTAAGTAGCCACTGATTATTCCAAGGTCATAAAGATTTGCACCTATGTTTTCTTCTAAGAATGTTACACTTTTAGCTCTTACATTTAGGTCTTTGGTCCATTTTGAGCTAATTTTGTTAAATTATGTCCAACTTCTTTCTTCTAAATGTGGATATCCAGCTATTCCAGCACCATTTGTTGAAAAGACTATTCTTTCCCTCATTGAATTGTGTTAGCATCACTGTTGAAAATCAATTGACAAATGTATGAGTTTATTTCTGGGCTTCCAACTCTATTCAGTTAATCTATACATCTATTCTTATACCAGTGCCTCATGGTCTTGACTACTACAGCTCCTTGTGGTAAGTTTTGAAATTGGGAAGTGTGAGTTCTCCTATTTTATTCTTCTTTTTCGAAATTGTTTTTTCCTATTCTGGATCCCTTGAATTTCCATATAAATTTTAAGATTAACTTGTCAATTTCTGCAAAAATAAAGCCAGTTAGGTTTTCCATAGGAATTGCATTAAATTGGTAGATTAATTTGGGGTGTGTGGATATTTTAACAATATTAAATCTTACAATCCATAAACATAGGATATCTTTCCATTCATTTAGGTTTTCTTTAATTTCCTTCAACAATGTTTTGTAGTTTTTAGAGTATATATTTTGCACTTCTTCTGCTAAATGTATTCATATTTCATTTTTGTGATGCTATTACAAATGGAATTTTTTAAATTTCATTTTGGAGTTGTTAATTTCTAATGTATAAAAATAGAATTGATTTCGTATATTGATCTTGTATCCTCAGTCTTGCTGAACCTATTTATTAGCTATAATAATATATACGTGGGAGTGTCTGGGAATGTATTCCTTAGGATATTTTATATAAAAGATCATGTAATATGCAAATAGAAAGAGTTTTACATCTTCCTTTTCAATCTACATGACTTTCCTTGCCTTTCCTCTCCTTTCCTTTCCTTCCTCTTTCCTCTCTTTCTTCCTTACTTTCTTCCTTTTTTTCTTTTTCCTAACTGCTCTGTCTAGAACTTCCACAATAATGTTAATAGAAATTGCAATAATGTGGCTAGGCACGGTCGCTCACTCCTGTAATCCCAGCACTTTGGGAGGCCGAGGCGGGCAGATCACTTGAGGTCAGGAGTTCGAGACCAGCCTGGCCAACATGGCGAAAACCTGTCTCTACTAAAAATAAAAAAATTAGCCGGGCATGGTGGTGGGTGCCTGTAATCCTAGCTGCTTGGGAGGCTGAGGCTGAGGCAGGAGAATCGCTTGAACCCAGGAGGTTGAGATTGCAATGAGCCAAGGTCGTGCCATTGCACTCCAGCTTGGGTGACAGAGTGGAAAAAAAAAAAAGAAGAAAGAAAAAGAAAGAAAGGAAGAAAAGAAGGAAGGAAGGAAGGAAGGAAGGAAGGAAGGAAAAAGGAGGAAGGAGTGGGCAATAATGAATATGCTTGTCTTGTTCCTCATGTTAGGGAGAACACTTTCAGTCTTTCATTATTATGATCTTAGCTCTGGCTTTTTTTTTTTTTTTTTTTTGGTAGGTGCTCTTTATCAGATTTAGGAAGTTCCTTTCTAGTTCCCTAGTTTCCTGAATGTTTTGTTTGTTTGTGTTTGTTTTTGTTTTGTCGAGGCAGCGTCTCCATATGTTGCCCAAGCTGAACTTGAACCCCTGGACTCAAGCAATCCTCTCATCTCAGCCTCCTGAGTAGTTGGTACTACAAGCACATGCCACTGTGCCCAGCATCTTGAGTGTTTTTTATCTTGAAAGTGTGTTGAATTTTGCTACTTTCTCTGTAGCTATTGAGATGATCATGTAGTTTTTTGTCTTTTTCTATTAAAATAGTGTATCACATTAATTGAATTTTGATATGTTGAACCAACTTTGCATTCCTGGAATACACCCCACCTGATTGTGGTGCATAATCCTTTTTATATATTGCTGGATTTGGTTTGCTGGCTTTTTGTTCAGGAATTTTGCATCTATATTCATCAGGAATATTGGTCTATTTTGTTTCGTTTTTCTTGTGATATCTTGGTCTGGTTTCGGTATTAGGGTAATACTGGCCTCAAAATATGAGTTGGGAACTATTCCCTCCCCTTCTATTTTTTGGAAGAGTTTGTGAAGAATTGTTAATTCTTCTTTAAACATTTGATAGAATTCATCAGTGAAGCCATCTGCTCCTGGATTTTTTTTTATAAGAAATATTTTAAGGTATTAATTCAATCTCCTTACTTGTTATAGATCTATTCAGATTTTTTATTTCTTATTGAGTCAGTTTAGTAATGTGTGTCTTCCTAAGAGATTGTCCGTTTCATTTAGATTATCTAATTTGTTGGTATACAATTGTTCATAATATTCCCTCATATTACTTTTATTTCTGTAAGGTCAGTAGACATGCTCTCTTTTTCATTCATTGTTTTAGTAATTTAGGTCTTCTTTCTTTTTCTCTTGATCAGTCTAGACAAAGGTTTGTCAATTATGTTGATGTTTACAAAGAAGCATCTTTTAATTTCATTAATTTTTCTCTATTATTTTATTGCCTCAATTTTACTTATTTCTACTATAATCTTTATGATTTCCTTCCTTCTGCTTTCTTTGGATTTAGTTTCTCCTCCTCCTTTTCTTTCTTCCTCTTCCTCTTTTGTTTTCTTGAAGGGGAAGTTTAGGTCATTGACCTGAGATTTTTCTTCATGTTTAATGTACACACTTACACCTGTAAATGTCCTTCTAATCAACGGCTTCAGCTGCATACCATTAGTTTTAGTGTGTTGTGATTTTGTTTTCTTTCATCAAGGTATTTCCTAATTTCCTCTGTGATTTCTTTTTTGACTCATTGGCTATTTCAGAATTCATTGCTTAATTACCACATATTTGTGAATGTCCCAAATTTTCTTCTATTATTGATTTTTAATTTTCTTCCATTGTGGTCAGAGAACTTAACTTATTATTTCAAACCTGTTACACTTATTGTGACTTTTTTTTTTTTTTTTGAGACAGAGTCTTGCTCTGTTGCCCAGGCCAGAGTGCAGTGGCGTGATCTTGGCTCATCACAACCTCCGCCTCCTGGATTCAAGCAATTCTCCTGCCTCAGCCTCCCGAGTAGCTGGGACTACAGGTGTGCGTCACCATGTCCGCTAATTTTTGTATTTTTAGTAGAGACAGGGTTTCACTATGTTGGCCAGGCTGGTCTCAAACTCCTGACCTCATGATCCACCCGCCTCAGCCACCCAAAGTACGGGGATTACAGGCATGAGCCACCGTGCCCAGCCTTTTCTTTTCTTTTCTTTTCTTTGTTTTTTGTTTGTTTGTCATTTAGAGACAGGATCTTGCCCTGCCACACAGGCTAGAATACAGTGGCATGATCATAGCTCACTACAGCCTCAAACTCCTGGGCTTAAGCAGTTCCAATCTCCTGAGTGTCTAGGATTACAGGTACACATCACCACACCTGGCTAAAATTTTTTTTTTTTTTTTTGAGATGGAGTCTCGCTCTTGTTGCCCAGGCTGGAATGCAATGGCATGATCTTGGCTCACTACAACCTCCGCCTCCCAGGTTCAAGCAATTCTCCTGCCTCAGCCTCCCAAGTAGCTGGGATTACAGGCACCTGCCACCACGCCTGGCTAATTTTTTATTTTTGGTAGAGATGGGGTTTCGCCATGTTGGCCAGGCTGGTCTGGAACTCCTGACCTCAGGTGATCCACCCGCCTCGGCCTCCCAAAGTGTTGGGATTACAGGCATAAACCACTGCGCCCAGCCTAAATTTATTTTAAAATTTTTGTGTAGATAGGGTCTCGCTATGTTGCCTGGGCTGGTCTCAAATTCCTGGCTTCAAGTGGTCCTCCCACTTTGCCCTCTCAAAGTGGTGACTTGTCTTATGGCCTAATGTGTGGTCTATTCTGGAATGTGTCTTACGTGCCCTTGAGAAGAATTTATATTCTGCAATTGTTGGGTGGAGACTTCTACAGATGTCTGTTTGGTCTAATTTGCTTTGTAGTGTTATTCAAGTCATCTGTTTCCTTGTTGATCCTCTAATTATTCTATCCATTGTTTAAAGTGGGGCTTTGAAGTCTTCAACTATTACTTTTGAATTGTCTATTTCTCCCTTCAATCTGGCAGCTGTTGCTTCACATATTTGGGGTCTCCGTTGTTAAAGCACATATGTTTATAATTGATAGATCTTCTTAATGGATTGACTCTTTTCTCATTATAAAGTGTCCTTTGTCTCTAGTAATGATTGCTGTCTTAAAGTCTATTTGGTTAGATGTTAGTGTAGCCATTCCAACTCTCCTTTAGTTACTATTTCATGGTATATAGTTTTTTCCACCCTTTTACTTTTAACTTGTTTGTGATCTTGAATCTAAATTGTATGTCTTATAGATAGCATATAGTTGAATCATATTTTTATCCAGTCTTTCAATCTCTGCTTTTTAATTGGAGTAATCAATTTAGATTTATTGTAGTTGCCAGTAACATAGGCTTTACATCTGCCATTTTCTATTTGTTTTTTATACATCATGTCTTTTCTGTTCCTCTACTCTACTACTGTCTTCTTTTGTGTTAACCAGATATTTTCTTTTTTTGTTTGATTGTTTGTTTGTTTGTTTTGAGACAGAGTCTCAGTCTGTTGCCCAGGCTGGAGTGCAGCGGCGTGATCTTGGCTCACTGTGACCTCCACCACCCAGGTTCAAGCGATTCTCCTGCCTCAGCCTCCTGAGTAGCTGGGATTGCAGTCACCTGCCACCACACCCAGCTAATTTTTGTATTTTTAGTAGAGACGGGGGTTTCACCATGTTGGGCAAGCTGGTCTCGAACTCCTGACCTCAGGTGATCCACCCGCCTTGGCCTCCCAAAGTGCTGGGATTATAAGCCTGAGCCACCACGCCCAGCGTAAACAGATATTTTCTAGTGTTCTATTTTAATTCCCTTGTCATTTTTGCACTACATTTATTTTTAGTGTTTGATTTATTTATTTTTTAAATTTTTTGAGACGGAATTTTGCTCTTGTTGCCCAGGCTGGAGTGCAATGGCGCGATCTTGGCTCACTGCAACCTCTGCCTTACAGGTTCAAGAGATTCTCCTGCCTCAGCCCCCCGAGTAGCTGGGATTACAGGTGCCCGCCACCATGCCTGGCTAATTTTTTGTATCTTTAGTAGAGATGGGGTTTCACCATGTTGGCCAGGCTGGTCTTGAACTTCTGACCTTGTGATCCGCCCACCTTGGCCTCCCAAAGTGCTGGTATTACAGGGATGAGCCACTGCGCCCAGCCAATTTTTAGTTATTTTCTTAGTGGTTGTCCTGAGGATTACATTTAACATTTCAATTTATCATTATGTAGGTAAGATGAATTCTAACTTAATTTCAATAGTATACAAAAACTTTTCTCCATATAACTCCATTTCATCCCCTCCCCTTTCTGCTGTTATTGCCATATAAATTATATCTGTATTCATTTTATGCCTATCAACACATATTTATAATTATTTTTATGAGGTTGTCTTTTAGCTCAGGAGAAAAAAGGGTTACAAACACAAAATACAATTATATTGTTTTTTATATTTACGTATGTTACTATTTTTACTAGTGCTCTTTATTTCTTCATGTAGATCTAGGTTACTAGACAGTGTCTAGTGTTTAGTGTCTAGTGTACTTTCATTTTAGCTTGAAGGATTCCCTTTAGTATCTTCATAAGGCAAGTCTATAAGTGATGAATTCTCTGAGTTTTTGTTTGTTTATCTGAAAGTGCCTTAATTTCTTTTTTCTTTCTTTCTTTTTTTGAGACAGAGTTTTGCTCTTGTTGCCCAGACTGGAGTGCAATGGCTTAATCTAGGCTCACCGCAACCTCAACCTTCCAGGTTCAAGCAGTTCTCCTGCCTCAGCCTCTTGAGTAGCTGGGATTACAGGCATGAACTACCACTCCCGGCTAATTTTGTATTTTTAGTAGAGACGGGGTTTCTCCATGTGGGTCAGGCTGGTCTCAAACTCCCAACCTCATGTGATCCGCCCGCCTTGGCCTCCCAAAGTGCTGAGATTATAGGCATGAGCCACCACACCTGACCGTTTTTTCTTTCTCTTTTTTTTTTTTTTTTTTGAGACTGAGTCTCGCTGTGTCGCCCAGGCTGGAGTGCACCAGTGTGATCTTGGCTCATTGCAACCTCTGCCTCCTGGGTTCAAGTGATTCTCCTGCCTCAGCCTCCTGAGTAGTTGAGACTATAGGCACCTGCCACCACAGCCAGCTAATTTTAGTATTTTAGTAGAGACGGGGTTTCACCATGTTGGCCAGGCTGGTCTTGAACTCCTGACCTCAGGTGATACACCCGCCTTGGCCTCCCAAAGTGCTAGGATTACAGGCATGAGCCACCATGCCTGGCTGAGAGTGATTTAATTTCACCTTCAATTTTGAATGATAGTTGTGCTAGATACAGAGTTATTGGTTGACAAGTCTTTTTTCTCCTTGTACTTTAAATGTTCTGTACATTACCTTCAAACCTCCATGATTTTGGATGAGATATCAGCTGTTAAATTTGTTGAAGATCCATTGTATATGATGAGTAGCTTATCTCTTGCTGCTTTCAATATTTTTCTTCTTGTCTTTTAAAAGTTTGATTACGATGTGTGTAGATGTGGAACTCCTTGAGTTTCTCCTTCTTGGAGTTGATTGAACTTCTTAGATATGTAGATTCTAGTTTTTCATCAAATTTGGGAAGTTTTCAGTCATTTTTCTTCAAATATTTTATCTGCTCTTTTTTTCTCCTACTTGGACCCTCGTTATTCATATATTGGTACATGTGATAGTGTCTCATAGCTCTCTGATGCTCTGTTCATTTTTCTTCATTTTTTTCTTTCTGTTCCTCCAAATGGATAATCTCAATTGAACTATCATCAGGGTCACTAATTCTTTCTTCCACCTGCTCAAATCTGCTGTTGAGCATCCCTCATTGATTTTTAACTTCAGTTATTATACTTTTCAACACTGGGATATCTATTTGGTTCCTTCTCTTATTATTTCTATCTTTATATTAATAATCTCTACTTGGTGAGACATTGTTCTCATACTTTCCTTTATTTCTTTTTTTTTGAGACAGAGTCTTGCTGTGTCACCCAGGCTGGAGTGCAGTGGCACGATCTCGGCTCACTGCAAGCTCCACGTCCCGGATTCATGCCATTCTCCTGCCTCAGCCTCCTGAGTAGCTGGGACTACAGGCACCTGCCACCACACCCGGCTAATTTTTTTGTATTTTTTTTGGAGAGATGGAGTTTCACCGTGTTAGCCAGGATGGTCTTGATCTCCTGACCTCATGATCCGCCTGCCTTGGCCTCCCAAAGTGCAGGGATTACAGGCGTGAGCCCCCGCGCCTGGCCCATACTTTCCTTTATTTCTTTAGACTTGTTTTCCTTTAGTTCTTTGAACATATTTTAAATAGTTGATTTAAAATCTTTGTCTATTAAGTTCAGCATCTGGGGTTTTCCTCAGGGAAGAATTCTAGTGATTGCCTTTTTCCTGTGTATGGGCCGTACTGTATTGTCTCTTTGTATGTCTCATAAATTTATGTTTAAAACTGGACATTTTAAGCAATATAATGTGGCAATGCTGGGCATGAGATTTCTCCTCCCTCCTGAGGGTTTGTTGGTGGTGCTGTCTGTTGTTATTGCAGTTGTTGCCTATTTCATGACTTTTCTGAACTAATTCTGTAAAGCCTTATTCTTTGTTGTGTATAGTCACTAAAGCCTTTCCTTGGTAAGCTTAGCGATCTGTCAGTCATTGGACAGAGATTTTCTTAATCACCAAGAACTTATAAGTTCTCCAATCTTTGTCAAGGGGCTCTGTGTGTGTGTGCTGGGGCATTCTTTCAACATTCAGCCAGATAGCTGAAAACTCTGCCTTAGTCTTCACTTCCTACTTGTGCAGATCCTCAAGGCCAAACAGAGTTAAGAGCATAGGGTCTTCCTACGTTTTTCCTGAGTACATGCATAGCCCTTGGCATACTCACAGCTGCGTGCATGCATGTGGTTTTCTAGGTTCTCAGGTATATGTCAGAGTTTTTCATAGCCCCTGTGAATACCTCATTTCCTGTATTTTTTTTTCCTTTCAAGCATTTCAAATAGCCTATTGTTCACACCAACAGTTACCCACTATTTCAGGCAACCACAAAGTTAAATAATTTCTTCTAAATGTTTCTGCCGAACACCTCTGGGAAGAAGGCTTTAAACATTGGGTGAGCTCCAAGTCAAGACAAATAAAGAGAGTGTTGCAAAGAGGGTCTTCCAGTGAACCACCGCACAAATCACATAATGACAATTCTCTGAGAATGGCATTTTGAAGAAGCTCCAACCCCAGCTTCCCCTTCTTGTGGCTGTCTGGCTGCTGGTTTTTACCATCATTGTGGGCTGCTGGTTTTCATGACTACCCCAGCATTAGAGAGAGGGTAATGAAAATAGTGCAAGTTAAAATACCATAGAGCTTGCTTTTATCATTAAGATTCAGCTATTTTTCTTGAATAAACACTCCCCATATTGCTGCAAGCCTTTGGTTAATTTCCAAAGTTCTGAAGAGTTGATTCTGACATATTTTTGCCTATTTTATTCTTGCTTTTATGGAGGAGAGAATTTTCAAACGTCTTTACTTCCATTTTTAAATCGTTGCTGTTTAATATCTGGTGAGTTGAGAATATGTAGGGGGACAAGGGTGGTAGCAGGAGGGCCTATCAGGGGGCTATCACCAATAATCCAGGAGTGAGATGATGGTGGCTTCGACAAGGGTGGTAGCAGTGGCAATGGTGAGAAGTAATTAGATTCAGGATATATACTGAAGATAGAGCCAATTAGATTTCTGACCAATTGGCTATAGAGTGTGAAAGAAAGAGAAGAATCAAAAACAACTCCAAGGTTTTTCACCTGAGCAACTTGAAGAATGGACTTGTCATCAACTGAAAAGGGGAAGGTTGAAATGAATCTAGACACAGACCTTATTATCTATCACAAAAACTGACTCAAAATAGAATAACTATAAAACTCCTAGAAAATAATATAGGAGAAAACCTAAATAACCTTGGGTATGATGATGGCTTTTTAGATAGAACAGAGTCACAATCAGTGAAACAAATAATGATAAGCTGGACATCCTTAAAATTAAAAAAAAAAAAAAAGGCAGGGCGTGGTGGCTCACGCCTGTAATTCCAGCACTTTGGGAGGCTGAGGTGGGTGGATTACCTGAGGTCAGGGGTTCAAGACCAGCCTGGCCAACATGGTGAAACCCCGTCTCTACTAAAAATACAAAAATTAGCCAGGTGTGGTGGCACACACCTGTAATTCCAGCTACTAGGGAGGCTGAGGCAGGAGAATCACTTGAACCGAAGAGGCAGAGGTTGCAGTGAGCCAAGATCGCGCCACTGCACTCCAGCCTGGGCAACAAAGTGAGACTCCATCTCAAAAAACAAAAACAAACAAACAAACAAAAATTTTTTAAAATCTGCTCTATGGAAGACATTGTCAAGAGAATGAGAAGACAAACATGGACTGGGGGAAGAAAAACCAAAGACATAGCTGACAGAGGACTGTTATCCAAAATATATAAAGAATCCTTAAAACTCACCAATAAGAAAACAAACAGCCTGATTTTAAAATGGGCCAAATGGCTGGGTGCAGTGGCTCATGCCTGTAATCCCAGCACTTTGGGAGGCCGAGATGTGTGGATCACTTGAGGTCAGGAGTTCAAGACCAGCCTGGCCAACATGGTGAAACCCTGTCTCTACTAAAAACACAAAAAATTAGCCAGGCATGGTGGCATACACCTGTAATCCCAGTTACTCGGGAGGCTGAGGCAGGAGAGTAGCTTGAACCCAGGGAGGCGGAGGTTGCAGTGAGCCAAGATCGCACCACCACACCCCAGCCTGGGCAACAGAGCAAGACTCCATCTCAAAAATTAAATAAATAAGTAAATAAATAAGGGCCAAAGACTTTAACAGATACCTCACCAAAGAAGATATACAGATGGCAAATAAGCATACAAAAAGATACCCCATACCACATGGCATCAGGGAAACACAAATTAAAACATGCGATATTACTACGCATCTATTAGAATGGCCAAAATCTGAAACACTCACAACACCAAAAGCTGACAAGGATGTGAAGCAACAGGAACTCTCACTCATGGCTGGTAGGAAGGCAAAATGATACAAACACTTTGGAAGATGGTTTGGCAGTTTCTTACAAAACTAAACATACTCTTACTACATGATCCAGAAACCATGTTGCTTAGTATTTATTCAAAGGAGTTGAAAACTTATGTCCACACAAAAACCTGCACACAGATGTTTTTTGCAGCTTTATTCATAATTGCCAAAAGTTGGTAGCAACCAAGATGTCCTTTAGTAGGTGAATGGATAAACAAACTGTGGTACATCCAGACAATGAAATATTATTCAGTGCTAAAAAGGAATGCACTATCAAGCCACGAAAAGACATGGAGAAACCTAAAATGTATATTACCAAGTGAAGGAAGTCAGACTGAAAAGGTTGCAGGGTGTGTGATTCCAACTTTATTACATTTTGGAAAAGGCAAAACTATGATTATGGTAAAAAGATCAGAGGTTGCCAAGGTTGATGGGTGGGGTGGGGAGGGTGGTCAGGAGGCAATGAATCATTAAGCACCAATCATTAAGGAAATGTAAATCAAAACTACAGTGAGATACCACCTCACACCCATTAGGATGGTGGCTATCAAAAAAAAAAAAAAACTGAAAACAGCTTGTTAGTGAGGATATAGACAAATTAGACCTTTGGGAACCGTTGGTAGTAATGTACAATGATACAACTGCTGTGGAAAACAGTATGGAGTTTTCTTTGAAAAAAATTAAGAATAGAATTACTGCTGGGCATGGTGACTCACACCTGTAATCTCAACAACTCGGGAGGCTGAGGAGGGTTGCTTGCTTGAGTCCAGGAGTTTAAGACTGCAGTAAGCTATGATTGTGCAACTGCACTCCAACCTGGGTGACAGAGCAAGACCCTGAATCTAAAAAAAAAAAAAAAAGAAAAAGAAAAAAAAGAAAGAAAGAAAAGAAAAGAAATAGAATTACCATGTGATCTAGCAATCCCATGTCTGGGTATACACTCAAAAGAATTGAAAGCCGGGTCTTGCAGAGATACTTGTACACCCATGTTCATACAGCATTATTAATAATAGCTAAAATGGAGAGGCAACCTAAGTGTCCATCAGATGAATAGAGAAGCAAAATGTGGTATATCCATACAGTGGAATGTTACTCAGCCTCAAAAAGGAAGAAAATTCTGCAATATGCCGCAACATGGATGAAACTTGAGGATATTACGCTAAATGAATAAGCCAGTCACAAAAAGTTAAATACTGTATGGTTCCGTATATATAAGGCACTTAGAATAGTCAAAATCATGGACAGAAAGTAAAGTGGTGGTTCCAGGGGTTAAGAGAGAGGAGAATGGGGAGTTATTGTTTAATGGGTGTAGAGTTTCAGTTTTGCAAGATGAAGAGTATGGAGATGGATGGTGGTGAGGGTTGCACAATATTATGAAAGCATTTAATACCACTGAATTATCCACTTAAAAATGGTTAAAATGGGCTGGGCACAGTGGCTCATGCCTGTAATCCTAGCACTTTGGGAGGCCAAGATGGGCACATCACCTGAGGTCTGGAGTTTGAGACCAACCTGACCAACATGGTGAAACCCCGTCTCTACTAAAAATACAAAATTAGTCGAGTGTGGTGGCGCATGCCTGTAATCCCAGCTACTCGGGAGGCTGAGGCAGGAGAATCGCTTGAACCCAGGAGGCGGAGGTTGCAGGGAGCCAAGATCGTGCCATTGCACTCCATTACACTTCAACAAGAGCGAAACTCCATCTCAAAAAAAAAAAAAAAGGTTAAAATGATAAATTTTCTGTTATATATATTTTATCATAATGAAAAAGGAGAAAAATACTGTAAAGGTAAAAGAATTTTGGCTGGGTGCGGTGGCTCACACCTGTAATCCCAGCACTTTGGAAGGTCGAGGCAGGTGGATCACCTGAGGTCAGGAGTTTGAGACCAGCCTGGCCAACATGGTGAAACCCCATCTCTACTAAAAGTACAAAAATTAGCCAGGCATGGTGGTGCATGCCTGTAATCCCAGCTACTTGGGAGGCTGAGGCAGGAGAATCGCTTGAACCCAGGAGGCAGAGTTTGCAGTAAGCCGAGATCGCACCACTGCACTCTGGCCTGCTCAATGGAGCAAGACTGTGTATAAAAAAAAAGAAGAAGAAGAAGTTTATGGTACATACCAATATATCCACCGTCTAGATTCTACCATCAATATTCTATTATACTTGCTTCATTGCTTATCTAATCATCCTTCTAACCATTCATCAACTCATCTTATTTTTTTATGTAATTCAAAGTAAATTGCAGATACCAATACACTTCTCCTTAAATTCTTTAGTATGTGTGTCAATACCTATTATACAATATTTGTTTATATTTCCTTTCTTTTGAGGCAAAATTTACATACAATGAAATGCACAAATTCTGGGTATACACTCCTCTTCTCTTAAAATTATTAAATCAGGCTTTAATTCCCACCATTCCACCAATGACCTCCATGTTAAATCCAATGGGCAATCTTTAGCCCTTGATTTACTTATGCAATAGAAGCAGCATTTGACCTGGTTGATCACGCCCTCCTTTCTTTCTTTCTTTGACTCCCAGAACACCATCTTTTTCTCTTATCTCATGGGTTACTTCTCAGGGGTTGGGCTTTGAGGAGAGAGCAGAGAGTGTGAAAAAACGAAGTGGAGAAGGGACAGTGAATGGTCTAGGGACATAGTGGGTACTTGCCTAGCAGCATTGAAGGCTCATTGGAAGATCCCAGTTGAAATTTGAAAGTGAGGCCAAGCCTGGCGCAGTGGTTCATGTCTATCATCCTAAAACTTTGGGTGGCAGAGGTGGGAGGTGGAGGCCAGCAGTTCGAGACCAGCCCGAGCAACACAGTGAGACTCTGTCTCTACGAAAAAAATAAAAATAAAAAAAACTGGGCACAGAGGTGTACCTGCAGTCCCAGCTACTCAGGAGACTGAGATGGGAGGATCACTTAAGCCCAGAAAGTGGAGGCTGCAGTGAACTATGTTCCACCACTGCACTCCAGCCTGGACAATAGAACAAGATCTTGTCTCAAAATATATATACCTAATATAATAAAAATAACCGCCTCTCAAAAATAATAAATAAAGTGTGGAGAACTGGTTTGTATCAAAGAGTTGGTGATTGTAATCATTGGGATTATTAAATATTGGAGAAGGCAAGGGATGAGGATATTGAGGGTTGAGGGGCCATGAAACTCTCACAGGAACACTGGGAGTGCCGGTGTCCAAGGATTGTCAGAGTTTGAGGACTAAAGAGAATGGGCTAGAAAGATAGGAAGTGGCAGGTAGAGAGCTGGATGCATGAAGCTGATACTACGACTTATTGGTAAAAACAAAATATGCTCATTGGAGCAAGGGGCTGAGGTTGAGTGGAGGTTGAGATCACTGAGGGAGTGATGGGGAAGAACTGAGGGCCTGGGGTTTGGAGATCACCAACATGTGAAATCATTATGAATTAAGGCTGGAGTCAGGGGAGAAAGCAACGGTGAGCTGGGAGCCCAGACCATGGAAGAATGAGGGAGAATGAGCGAGAAGTCAGCAAAAGACCAGGACAAAGTCCAGGTACAGTGGCTCACACCTGTAATCTCAGCAGTTTGGGAGGGCAAGGCAGATGGATCATTTGCGGTCAGGAGTTCAAGACCAGCCTAGCCAACATGGCGAAACCCTTGTCTGTACTAAAAATACAAAAAAAAAATTGCCAAGCGTGGTGGTGCACACCTGTAATCCCAGCTACTCAGGAGACTGAGGCAGGAGAATCGCTCGAACCTGGAAGGCAAAGGTTGCAGTGAGCCTAGATTGTACCACTGAACTCCAGCCTAGGTGGTGACAGAGTGAGACTTCATCTCAAAAAAAAAAGACAAGGACAAGGAGGAGTGGGGGAATGTGTCATCTGATGACACGAGGGTCAAGCGGAGTGGTTTTAGGATAAGGGGAAAGAGAAGGGTCTATATATGGCAGTAAGGGAGCAAGGAAGGCACCTGCCCCACCTGCAGGCCCAGCAGTGCCAGCGTTGTGAGAGGAAAAGCAGCCTCTGCTGGAGAGGGCAGCAGGCCAGAGTCCCAGGGGGGCTGGGCTTCTGTGAGAGCCACAGAGTGAAAGGAACTCGGAGAAGTCAGCATGTTGGGATTCTTGCTGATAATCGAGGTGAACTCCAGAGGGCAGCATGGAAAGTTGGCAGGGAGGGGTGGGGAAGGGGACTGAATAGAACGTGACAGAGCCTTTTGGAGATTCACAAGCCCAATGTGAGGAATGACCTGGAAGTCTGGGGTCCTGAGGTTATTGTGAACCAGGAGTATTGGGAGTAGCAAGGGTTGGGTGTCTGGGGCTCCCTCTACCCCTGAGGGCACATGATCATGCTCATGGCTTGTGGCTAAAGGAGAAGTGAGCTCAGGGTGCTGTCCTCCATGCAGACCCCCATTGAGAACGTTGCTTCTGGGAGGCACTGTGACACTAAGCATGGTCCCCTCTTCACCCAAGATGACAAGGGTAGAAGACCTAGGGCAGGGAGGTCTCTATCTTCCCTCAAGTTTTCTTCTTGATCCTGAATAATACAGAAACTTTGCATTGACTGAGAAACTCTTATGCTCCAAGCACTATGTTCGGTGCTTTTTCCACACATTATCTCCAAGCCTCATGCAATTCTATAAAGTAGACAATACTATCCCCTTTCTACAGATAAAGAAATCAAGGCAGGAAAGAAAACAACAGAAGAGCCACAGGAAGTCGCTTCTCACCAAGGGGGAGTAAATGACTAACCCATGAAGCACTCAACAAATGGCAGCTCTTGCAAGAGCCACGTGGTCAAAATCCACCCAAAGCTAAACCACCTCTGGACTTCTCAGTCACATGAGCCAAGAAATGCCCTTTATTTGTGGGTTCTGCCAGCTTGAGTGGAATTTTCCAACTCTTATAACCAAAATAAGATTCCTGACACAAACGCTATTTTGATCTCCATTAGGCAGATGAAGAAACAAAATAAGTTGGTTCTTGGAAGACACACAGCTAAGATTTGAAGACAGGTCTGTCCAATATGCTAGTCTATTGAAAAACAGCCTCCCACCCTCCACTCAAAGCCCATGAGCTCAGGACCCTCTCTTATTTTGAGTTGAGTGTCTTCCTCCCAGGAGAACTCTGGGAAGGCCAAGACTGGACATTTTGGGAAATAAAGAGGGGCTAGTTTGGCAACCTTATGTGCTTGGGCTGATTTCACCATGGATAGCAGTTTAATGGATCAAAGACCATGCTTGGGATGATTAATTTTTACATGGTCCAGTAGTCCAGACCCCGGGTCTGTGCTCCCTGGAATGTGACGAGCAGAGGACAGGTGGAGAAGTGTTCTCACAAAGGCACATGCTGTCTCCAAGCTTTCGGTATCCAGGACAGCATGAGTCGAAAGAGGCAAAAGCCCAGGGGTTTAATCTTGAGAAAGCCCGAGGATGCCAGGTTACACACCTACACTCTCCCCCTACCTCTGCCTGCTGTCCTATAGTTGCCAATTCTTTCTCTGAGTTTTTCTTTATTTTTTCTTTTTCTTTTTTTTTTTTTTTGAGACAGAGTGTTGCTCTGTTGCCCAGGCTGGAGTGCAGTGGCACTATCTGGGCTCACTGCAACCTCCGCCTCCTGGGTTCAAGCGATTCTTCTGCCTCAGCCTCTCGAGTAGCTGAAATTACAGGTGTGTGCCACTACACCCAGCTAATTTTTGTATTTTTAGTAGAGACAGGGTTTCGCCATGTTGGCCAGGCTGGTCTCCAACTCCTAACCTCAGGTAATCCACCCGCCTCGGCCTCCCAAAGTGCTGGGATTACAGGCGTGAGCCCCCGCACCCAACCTTCTTTATTTATTTTCTTCTTCTTTTTCTACCTTTCCTCTTTCCACAATTGTTTATAAGAAATATACACAAGTGAGGCCAGGTGTGGTGGCTCACGCCTGTAATCCCAGCACATTAGGAGGCCGAGGCAGGCAGATTACTTGAAGCCAGGAGATTGAGATCAGCCTGGCCAACATGGGGAAATCCCGTCTCTACTAAAATACAAAAATGAGCCAAGTGTGGTGGCGGGCATCTATAATTTCAGCTACTTGGGAGGCTGAGGCGTAACAATCACTTGAACCCAGGAGGTGGAGGTTACGGTGAGCTGAGATCGTGCCACTACACTCCAGCCTGGGTGACAGAGAGAAACTCTGTCTTAAAAAAAATAGAAAGAAATATATTCAAGTGAAATATAAATACAAAAACCAAACATCAGGCACCAGGAGAGGGTAAACTATAAACTAGGATAGAAAATATAGACTAAAAGGATGGAGATGGAATGCAGCATCACATGCAAAAAGTGACATTTCACGGTAGCTATTGTTGAGCTTCCTGGTGGCCAAAGCAAAAATGGAAAACAGTCAATTATGTAGTTCAGAATATCTGAGTAGTGAGAACAGACACAATTTGCAGTCAGAGGAAGCAAAAAGCTTTTTCCAACACTTGGCCCCAAAAGAAAATTTTCACATGCTCTGTTTAGGTGATACTGAATACTGTCATATAGCATCCCAGGCCACATCCTGAAGGCAAATGCAGTAACAGTTTTCTTAACCCTATTTCCTAACGCATCCTTTGAAGGAAGCTAACAGAATAGTCCCAAAATACAACTCAATGAGAGTGATTAGAAAGCCCAGAGTCAAATGCAACTTTCTAATGGCTTAGCTTGATCCCTCAGCATTTCCTAAACTGTGTCTCTCAGAACCCCAGAGTTGTACATAGCATTAAGAAGTGTTTTGTATGAAAAGAGTTCCACAGGCAAATTAAAGTCAGGAGTAAACAAAATCAAGCAGGTGTTTTAACTGCTGGATTTCTAAAAGCTTTTAATGCTCTAATGCCCATTGTGAATCTCCAAGGTCAAGTGAAGGATGCATTATTTCTCAAACTGATTTGTCTGTGGAACTCTCTTCTTCACCCACCCCCAGATTTTTTCAGAAGTACCTTTTAGAAGCTCACAGAAAACTAGAGATGCATGAACCACAGTTTAAGAAGTACTGATCTGGAGGAACAGATGAGCTAAATTCCTCCAGATAAAAATGTCTCTCCGCCAGGTGTTTGATTAGAGTTGATCATCTATGGTTTAAGGCAGTAGTGCCTGACAAAGCCCAGACCTCAGATGTTTTGATTTGTCAGCCAAAGACATATCATGCATCTTATTCATGCATCTACTCCCATGAATAAGTAAGAACAACTCTTCCCAAAACTCTTCTCTTCCAGGATTCCCATTCTTAATCCAAACAGTGGAGGATGAGGGAAAGAGGTTATGGAGGGTAAAGACAAGAACGTCTCACACCAGGTGAGATGATCCATCTCTGCCAAGTGGGAGCCTGCTCTCCCACTGGAGCCTGGGCCAAGTGCAAAGGTGGGATTCCCTTTGCCCACTAGCTTAGCCTTAAGCTTAGATCCAAGTTTGGCACCTGCACTACTGCCAAAAAGGCAGAGATACAAGATGACATACATATCACAGTGTTGAAAGGGCCAGGGGTTAGGGCTGGGTCAGGGTCAGGGTCAGGATCATAGAATTGAGGGAACAGTTAAGAATGGAATTTCAAGACAGGCCAGATGTGTCCCAGGAGATGGTCAGAAACTAAGAGAACAATCAGAAGGAGGTCACAGATAAGGGTGGGAGGGATGAGAAAGTTTAGAGATGGCAGTGGGAAATGGGTCCAGACCCTAGAATTATTCCAAACTCAAAGAACATGTAGTCCTAGAGGTTCGTCGTCTGATTTCTATAACCTCCGGGGTAGGTACACTGTAATAATTCTGAGTTGGACAAAAATTTTTTTTTCTGTTGCTGCTTAGCTAATAATTCCAACCTTCTGGCTTAAACCAGGTTCATAAACAGGTCATCACAGATCCAAGTTTTAAGACCTGAACCACTGTCCAAAAGGCAGAGAAAGAAGATAACATACATAATACAATTTTGAAAAGGCCAAAAATGAAAAGTGCACATCCAAGGATACCCATCACAGGACTGTTGATAACAGTGAAAAATGGAAACAGTCTAAATATTTAACTCATAGGAGTTGATGAATTAAAATATGGTACATTCACATGATGGAATAATATACAACCTTCAGGAATGATTTGAAATGTATTTATTAATATGGAAAGAGATGTACTGATAATCTATTAAGTAAAAATATAAATTACTAAAATGTAAATAGTAGATTCCCATTTTGGTGGGGGCGGGGGTGTACGGGGGAGGTCTGTAGAAGTATACACAGAAAGCAGTCTAGGCCGGGCGTGGTGGCTCACGCCTGTAATCCCAACACTTTGGGAGGCTGAGGCAAGCAGATCACCTGAGGTCAGGAGTTCGAGACCAGCGTGGCCAACATGGTGAAACCCTGTCTCTACTAAAAATACAGAAAATTAGCAGGGCGTTGTGGCGGACACCTGTAACCCCAGCTACTCGGGAGGCTGAGACAGGAGAATCACTTGAACCTGGGAGGTGGAGGTTGCCATGAGCTGAGATCTTGCCATTGCACTCCAGCCTGGGCAACTAGAGTGAAACTTTGTCTAAAAAAAAAAAAAAAACAAGAAAGAAACAAGCAGTCTAAAAGGAAATATTCAGAATTAACTCTCCTTCTCTGTGGGCTGTGAGATTACTGATTACTGATGTCTTTTTCTTTTTGTTCATCAGTAATCCCTTTTTTTTTTTTTTACAATCAACGTGTATTTTTTAACATAATTATTTTTAAACAACAGAAAAAAAAGACAGTTTAGGCTGCGCGCGATGGCTCACGACTGTAATCGCAACACTTTGGGTGGCTGAGGTGGGTGGATCACTTGAGGTCACGAGTTCGAGACCAACCTGGACAACATGGTGAAACACCGTCTCCACTAAAAATACAAAAAAAAATTAGCTGGGCATGGTGGCACATGCCTGTAGTCCCAGGTACTCAAGCGGCTGAGGCAGGAGAATCTCTTGAACCCGTGAGGCGGAGGTTGCAGTGAGCCAAGATTGCACCATTGCACTCCAGCCTGGGCAACAAGAGCAAAACTGCATCTCAAAAAAAAAAAAAAAAAAAGACGGAAGATTTGAGTCCAGGGAGTGAGGTCAGTAGTAGTAATGGCCCCCCTGCCCCATTCACAAGCCTCTGTCATTTCATTGGCTCCTCAGTAAGGAGACAGGGCAGGTGTCCATTTCACAGACGGAGAGAACTGAGGCCTAGAGAGGTTAAGCGACTTGGCCACTGACTGCCTGTCGGTGGTGAGTTCAGAGCTCTAGCCCAGTGAGTGCCCTCCATCTCAAAAAAAAAAAAAAAAAAGACAGTGTAGTTTTCCAACTTCCTGCAGTTTGTGCCCGAGGCATTCACTATCTCTGTTACATTGTCTTTCTCTCTATACAGTCATAATTTTCTCATTATTGTTATTTTGGTTCCAGATCCCTTTCTTCTGTCTCCTTGGCAATCTATCCTCAGACACGCAGATTCTTGGTGAGGGGTGGGGGTGGGGGTGGGGGGCTGAAAATAGGGATGGAGCCTGCCATGCTCTAAGGAGCACAGAGGCGAGAATTCTGGGACAAGAGTGTGAGCTGAGATGGTTTCCATTCAGCCCAAGGCAAGGAGGAGTGGAGAGCAACTCGGCGTTTGGCTGGGACCTGGCTCCCTGTGTTCACTGGAGTGTGGGGTGAGGGTCAGCTGATCAGGACAGAGGCCAAAGATGAGTGGACAGTTTGATCTCAGAACAGTGCTGCCACCTGACTCCTTTCTGACTTGACGGGAGGCCTAAAATTCAGATCAGACATGTTTTTGCAAAGGTACATGGGTGTGTGGTTCCTTGCACATGTGATTTCCAACATGATCTTCCTCAACTGGACTGGCTCCGGCTCCCCAGCCTGCAGCTAGGCTTGAAATTTCACCCCAACATGAGACTGTGTTTCTCACGATGGAGTGCGTATGACCCCAGGGCTGTGAGAAGCCATAAGATGGAAGAAACTGCATTTCAAATGAAAAAAGAAAAAAAAGCTTTACTCAAGATTAATGAGTTCATATTTGTACAGCAATTAAAACAAACAAATATGTTTTATTTGGAGATTTGGAAGGATTCGTGCATGCTTCGGGATTCTAATGTTGCAGTAAGCACAAATAGAACATGGAGAAGAATGTGAAACCTAGATGAATTTAACATTTTAAGTCTCCGGAGACACTTTTGAATTCCCCTGGGGTAGATCTGCTTCAGGCTCCACCTCAGACTCTGCCCATATTCACTCCTCTTCAAGAAGCATTGGCCGAATCAGTCACCAAAGTGTCTTATCTCATGTCCCTGGAAGAGATCAATTTCACCTAGGTCAGTTACAACCCAAAGTACATAAATTACTAAGCCTCCTGTGAGCAGGTTGTAGTCAGGGGTGGAGGGCTTAAATAATCCATAATTTCCTCAAGTGTTAACGTCTCCATTTTGTTTTATTTTATTTTATTTACTTTTTTTTAAATACAGAGTGTCACTCTGTCACCCAGGCTGGAGTGCAGTGGCACGATCTTGGCTCACGCAACTGCGACCTCCCAGGCTCAAGCTATCCTCCTGCCTCGGCCTCCCAAGTAGCTGGGGCTACAGGTATGCACCACCAGGCCCAGCTATTTTTTGTATTTTTAGTAGAGATAGGGTTGCACCTCATTGCCCAGGCCGGTCTCGAACTCCTGAGCTCAAGCGATCCACCCACCTCTGCTTCCCAAAGTGCTGGGATTACAGGCTTGAGTCACTGTGCCCGGCCTCCATTTTATCAAATTTTAAAACTGAACTGCAGTGAAGTTAAAATTCTTGCCCAAGGTCACATAGCTGGTAAAGTGACAGGAGCCAGATTTCCAGCTATAGTCAGTGCTGGTGATAGTTAAGGCAAGGCACTTTTGAGAAACAAAGTTGTTCCTAAGCCAAGATGGTAGGAGGAGGACAACAGGAAGGAATGCTCTGTTAACAGTGGTCATTTCTCAGGGGTTGCAGTAAGATGAACTTTCACATTCTACTTTATTTCTGTAATACTTGGGTTGTTCCAGCCAATATGTTTTCTTAACGGTGGTTGCCCAATGATGTTAAAAGGTTATTTTTTAGGCTCTAACCCCAAATAACTTCCCTTGGTCTGATTTCAACCTCACTCAGCTACCTTCTGACAATTTGATTTCCCATTAAGCTGGCTAGAGAGAGAGGCACTGGCCGGCTGGGTGAAGCGGCTCATGCCTGTAATCCTAGCATTTTGGGAGGCTGAGGCAGGTGAATCACCTGAGGTCAGGAGTTTGAGACCGATCTGGCCAACATAGTGAAAGCCCATCTCCACTAAAAATACAATATTAGCCGGGTGTGGTGGCACACGCCTGTAGTCCCAGCTACTCAGGAGGCTGAGACAAGAGAATCGCTTGAGCCCGGGAGGCAGAGGTCGCACTCCAGCCTGGGCAAGACAGAGCGAGACTCTATCTCAAAAAAAAGTGAGAGGGACACTGGCCAAGCCAACATCACTGTGTGGCCCACCTGATTTTCTATTCTTATTATAAATGAATGTGGCTCAACACATTTTTCTCCTCTCATCCCTAATCCATCCTAGGGTCTCACAAACAGAAAATAACATTATGCAATGCAAGTCCAAGCAGAGAAAACACAGAATCTCTTCTAGCATGGTAACACACAGGCATTCGGTCACTCTTGTCCGTGTACAAAGTCTGGTTGTCTCATCAATGCCTGACCCTTTGTCAGAGAGCAAGTAAAGGCTTCTTTTCTTCATCCATTGCTGTGTTACATAGAGGTCTTTCACTTGCAAGGGACAGAAGTTCAATTTGAACTGACTTAAGAATAAAAATCAGGGTAGATTTTATAGGTTAATATCCTTGAAAAAATCCAATGCTAGGTGTCCTGCTTCAGGTGTTCAAATAACATCATCAGGCCTTTGTCTGATTCTTTTCTCATTTTTCTTTTGTGCTGACCTTACTCTTGAGCAGGTTCTCTGCACACTGTGGTCCTGGCAGCCCCAGGGTTCCATCCTCTAACTTAGAAACCCAGCACAAAGAGAAACTTCTCAAGGGCTCCAACAGAAGTCTCAGAATTGAATCTCATTGGCTTGGCTTCGATTATATGCCTACGCTCAAACCAATGGCTGCAGCTAGCAGAGCAGAGCATGCTAACTGGCCTGTCCTGAATTGTATCAGGGCCCCACTTCCAGAGAGCTGGAGCCAGACATCACCCTCTCCGTGAGCACAGAATGACGGTGGGAAGCAGTGGTTGCCCAAAGTGAAAACAGAGAACTGTTACCCAAAAAAGGGGAAAGAATGCTAGGCATGGGGGAAAAAACATGCCTAGATCCAAGGCCACCTTCAGCTTGATCTGGGGGAAAACGTGATATAGATGTGTATCTATACCTTAGTATCTGAGACAGGTCTCAGTTAATTTAGAAAGTTTATTTTGCCAAGGTTGAGGACACATGTCCGTGACACAGCCTCAGGAGGTCCTGATGACATGTGCCCAAGGTGGACAGAGCACAGCTTGGTTTTATACGTTTTAGAGGGACATGAGACATCAATCAACATATGTAAAATGAACATTGGTTCCATCTGAAAAGGTGGAGCAACTTGAAGCAAAGGCAGGAAGACCTGAAGTGGGGAAGGGGCTTCCAGGTCACAGGTGGATAAGAATGGTTACATTCTTTTGAGTTTCTGATTAGCATCTCCAAAGGAGGCAATCAGATATGCATTTGTCTCAGTGAGCAGAGAGGTGACTTTGAATAGAATGGGAGGCAGGCTGGCCCTAAGCAGTTTCCAGCTTGACTTTCCCTTGTGGCTTAGTGATTTTGGGGCCCCACGATTTATTTTCCTTTCACAGAGGTAACTGATGGTCTAGCTACAGGTTGAGAAGAAATGGGATGGGATGGTGAGAGTATTGGATTTCAGAGATAGAGGGCCCAGGGGGAGTGGGGAGGTGGGAGTTACCGATCCCACAAGGGAGGGAGCCCCTTTGGGGCTGGTGACTCCAGGACACAGAGGGTGGCCTGCAGTGCCAGCTACTGGGGTAAGGGAAAGAGCTGAATCAGAGGCACAGGACTCTGTGTGGCCCTTGGCAGGTGACATGAGCACCAAAGGATCCTTCACACGGGCTTCTGAGTTCAGAGTGGCCTGAATGAAACATTTGTTTGAGGGAGTGCACATGCCACCCCGCCATTTGCCCTTGAGGGCAAAGTAAGGAAATCACGTTTTCCTAACTGCTGTGTTACTAATATCTGCCTGTCTCACATGAGTCCTCTTAGCCTACGCCACCCGGCTGGGGCCAGTTGTGTCCAAATGAACCAATGAAATTGATTCAACCAGACCTTGGACGCTGGTAGATTCCACAAGGTCCTGCTCCATGGAAGGCCCCTTGGCAGGCAGCCAGCAGCCTACCCTGACCACACCCTGCCCTTGTTTCCCAGCCTTCCCTACAAGGCTGTATCAGGGTTCCGGGAAATGGGGGCTGGGGACCCCGGGCACAGGGCTTGGCTTAGAGTAGGCCCAAATAAATGGCAGCTGTTCTTAGTACTACTGGATACGCAGCATGCCTAGCACAAAACAGGACACCTGTGATTAGGCATGTGAAGTGTGCAGCAGGGCACCGATGGGAAGTTCATACACCCGTAACTGTGAATACAACAGCTGTGGCTCTAAGGAAATGAATACAGTAGCAGGTGCCAAACACCTGTGCGCTGTATGTGGTTTTGTTTTTCTGCGTTGGGTTGGGCTTTGTCCTCCTTCCACTCACTTTTCTTACCTCTCCCCTCCTCTTTCCAAGGCCACCTGCCTGTAAATGTGCTCCAAGTGCAAACAAACTTTTTTCCACTCATCCTGACATCCAAAAGTTTGTGTCTGAGAAAGCAGTGTCCACCAATCCACCTATGTCCGACTCATAGGGCTGTCTGTTTATTGTGCAGATTTGTAGATGCCAGTGAGCCAAGATCGGGCCACTGCACTCCAACCTGAGAGAACGAGACTCCGTCTCAAAAAAAAAAAAAAAAGTTAAATAAAAAAAATTAATAAAAGGTTCAGGGACCTGGGAAGTGGGGGTGAGAGAGTTGGATTCTGCTGCCTCCTAAAGCTTGAGCCACAGTTCTGTGGGCACCCACCAGGTACCTGGCCCCAACAGGAAAGTCCTGATTCACTAGACCCTTGCCCACTTTGCCCTCCTATCAGGCAATTCAAAGTCTCCAGACCCGCAAGTTACTGATTAACCCTAGGTTTTGAGAAAATAAATAATAATAACTGAAGGGACGACGTAAGCCAAGAAACAAGCTGGGCAGCTCTGGGAGAGAGGAGTGTCAGACAGCTGTTGTCAACAGGCACCTGGCCAGAGTGAAAAGGAGGGGCAGATTCCATCCAAGTCCCAGCGGCGCCAGCTGACACTCTCTGCCAATGCCCAGGTGCTGAGCGACAGTGTCCCACCGGTCCCTGTGCCCAGAATGGCCTGCACCAAGACCCTGCAACAGTCCCAGCCCATCTCCGCAGGAGCCACCACAACCACCACCGCTGTGGCCCCTGCTGGGGGTCATTCTGGCTCCACAGAATGTGACCTGGAGTGTCTGGTGTGCCGGGAGCCCTACAGCTGTCCCCGGTTGCCCAAGCTGCTGGCCTGCCAGCATGCCTTCTGCGCCATCTGCCTGAAGCTCCTGCTGTGCGTGCAGGACAACACCTGGTCCATCACCTGCCCGCTGTGCCGCAAGGTCACCGCCGTCCCCGGGGGCCTCATCTGCAGCCTGCGCGACCATGAGGCGGTGGTGGGGCAGCTGGCCCAGCCATGCACAGAGGTATCGCTCTGTCCTCAGGGGCTGGTGGATCCTGCTGACTTGGCAGCAGGACACCCCAGCTTGGTGGGAGAGGATGGACAGGATGAAGTAAGTGCAAACCACGTGGCAGCCCGGCGCCTGGCCGCGCACCTACTCCTGCTGGCCTTGCTCATTATCCTCATCGGGCCCTTCATCTACCCGGGTGTCTTACGATGGGTGCTCACCTTCATCATCGCCCTGGCCCTGCTGATGTCCACCCTCTTCTGCTGTCTCCCCAGCACCCGGGGCAGCTGCTGGCCCTCCTCCAGGACTCTCTTCTGCAGAGAGCAGAAACACAGCCACATCTCTTCCATTGCCTGAGTGCCCTCTGATGAGGCTATCCCTGCAGCCCTTTCTGCCCTTGGGCCCCCGGACTTCCACAATGAACAGGGTAAGGGGTTACGGACTAAGACTGGCTCCTTTGGGAAATCACATGCCAGCGGGACTTGCAAGCCACAACCGAGATGGCCAGCCTGGGTCAAGAATTACACGCTTGGATGACAGGCTTGCACTTGCCCTTGGGATAGCATAGCTAAAACTGTTGGTGGCTAGGGGAGCAGACACAAACTACTTGAACATGACAAGATGGGGGAAGCTCCTGTTCCTCTTATTCCAATGTTCTTGGTTTTTCTTTATATAACTTGATGAAAGTATTGCAGTATTGATGCCATTGTAGAATAGAACTGGAATTCCATTCTTTTTGCAATTTATGTAGCTGGTTTTGTTTTCTTGTTTTCCTTTGTTTTTTTGGGTTTGGGGCAGCAGTTGGTTCACATTTCCCTTTGTTACACATTTTCCCTCCTGGGAGCTTGGAGTCCACGGGGAGGTCCCACTGCGCTTCCTCTAACACTGAGCATCTCATGCCCAGCCTAGCCTCGGCAAGTGTCCTGGTTGTTTAGGTCTCCCATGGAGTTGACCCTAGGGTTGGGGAGACAAAATGTGTGTGAAGGGATGGTGTTTCTGAAGCTGCAGGGGGAGTCCCACATTTAGCTGGCAGAGATGGGGAGGGGTGGAGAGGGCAGGGTTTGGGAATTGCTCCCAGTATCCTCACTAGGAGTTCCCCACTCCGTGCCACTAGGCCCTGACTTAGCAGCAAATCTCGGGGTTACAAGGACTGCAGTCCACATACAGTGGGGCCAGCTGCCCATCTATTGCACAGTCCCACACGGTAGAACTAGATCTTTATGGATGTTACCGTCTTTGTTATTGCATCTCAAGTACTAGTTAAGCTTTTGTCATAAAGATAAGAGGCCCCATAAATGCAACGGTCCTCACCAATAACCCCACTTTTCCCACCTCACCCTGTGAGTCGCAAGCTTTTTTCGTGCCTTCTTTCCACCACGTCTGCTTCTTAACACAGGGGAGGCATTGGCTGGGGGAAACGACTTTCCATGGTTGCCAGGGGCAGGCCTCAGCCGGGTGTTTATGTGGGAGTGCAGATGAGCAGAGGATGGGAGGAGACATACTATTTCCTTCCAAAAGCCCCATAAATGGGAAACATTCTTGAAACCTCAGAGGAGTGCTGTTGTCTCAGGGCAAGTCCGACACCCATGCCATTGGCCCTAATGGCGACTGGTGCTGAGACAGTATGAGTGTGTGTGGGCATGCACAGACCCACGGCTTTAAGCCAGACCAAGTGGGCCTGAAGAACACCATGTCTCCCAAGCTGAAGAGGGTCACTGGGCATTTCCTGAGCTGGCCCCGGGCATGTCAGTTTGGGATGGCTGCCAGTGGGATAGGCAAGGAACATTCCCTCCCAACTCACTTCCCTTCTATTCGATCTGTAATATTTCTCAGACCCTTCGCCAAGATCAAAACCTCCCCCCAATGTTTCAGTTGCTAATGACACCATTTCTACCATAATAATGGTGGTTACTTGTTTATCCAGTACTTACTCTGTGCCAAGTACTGCAATAACTGCTTTCCATGCACTAGTTAATCTTCGCAATAACCTTATGAAGTACAGGCCATTACTATCTCTCTCTTGCGGAGGAGGAGATTGAGGATCACAGAGGTGAATTCGCCTGCCTAAGGTTGCACAGTCAATGCCTGAGCTCCCTCGAGATAACCCAGGGCTCCTTCTGCCTCATGATGCTGCTTCCTTTGTGTACAACTCCCAAATAAGTGGGGATCTGGTCACCACTTGAGGGTTTTTGAGAAGTGCATGGAGAGAACAGGAAACTAATTTCAGGAGCCTCCAAATTCCAGCAGTCAGCTGCTCAGAGAGGCCGGAGAATTTTAGAATCTGTCATCCATGCTAAAGAAAAGAAAAGAAAATGATAGGCCAGGCGCAGTCGCTCATGCCTGTAATCCCAACACTTTGGGAGGCTGAGGCGGGCGGATCACTTGAGGTCAGGAGTTCAAGACCAGCCTGGCCAACATGGTGAAACCCCATCTCTACTGAAAATACAAAAAAATTAACCAGGCATGGTGGTGGGCACCTGTAATCCCAGCTACCTAGGAGGCTGAGGCAGGAGAATTACTTGAGCCCAGGAGGTGGAGGTTGCAGTGAGTTGAGATTGTCCCATCGCACTCCAGCCTGGTTGACAAAACAAGACTCCATCTCAAAAAAAAAATTAAAAAATAAAAAGATAAAAAAGAGAATGATAAAAATAGAATGGTTCTCCTGTAGACTTCTACCTCCCAGCTCTAGCCTCCTCTGCAGTGAGTTAGGCCAGCAGGAACATTAGAGTCTCAGGTTTGAGACCTCACCTGCCCCATCGTTGCCCTTAAGCAGGTCTCTTTACTTCCCTGAATCTCACATTGTGAAAATCAGAAAATAGTGAGATTTGTAAGAGTGATTCATAATAGTGAGATTTCCTGTCCTCATTCCTGGCATGTGGTAGGCCCCCAACCAAGCCCTCCGTCCCCCTGGGCAAAGTTGTTCGGACACTGCTATCACCAGCCCTTTAGAAGCTCAGCTGGTCTCAGTCATCCTCTGGCCTTGGCAGCATGGGAACAGAGAGCACCAGAGGCCAGAATCAACCCAGGCCACCCTGGAAGAGAGCAGAGGAAATAGACACAGAGGAGGAAATAGACATCCTGCAAAAGAATGTGATTGGACAAACCAGAGAGCCAGCCCGGGGCTCAAAGCCAAGCTCTGACCTGGTGTGCGACAGAAGGGAGTTACAGAACTTCTCTGAGCCTTAGTTTGGTCACCTGTAAAGTGGCAGGTGGGGGATACACTCTTCCCAGGGCCTCCGTGAGGATTCAGGGTGCTGCTGGATGAGCAGCCACTGTCTAATGGACTGCTTTTGTTGGCCACCATTGGCCTCCTTGGGTAAATGGGTTTCTTGGGGCTTGTTCAGCTTGACAGCCAGCAGGGGGCAGCCAGTCGAGTGTGGAGTGTTGTCCAGGGCAGGCCAGTCTGGCAGTGAAGTCTGAGCCTAGGTCCTAGAGGGAGGTTCTAACGATGAAAAGAAATTATGGGGAGAGGCCAAATTTCATTCCCATCAGGTCCATCTCCCCATGCAGCAGCCTTGGAGGCAGACATACCTGGCTTGAATTCCAGTTCTCCACTTACAAGTCCCTTCGTCTCTCTACGTCTCAGGTTCTTATCCGTGAAACTGAGGTTATGATACATACCTGCTAGGGTTGCTGGGGAATCAGCGAAATAATCCATGGTTGAGCACTAAGGAGATAAAGAAGGGAGGGGAAGACAGGGAGAGACAGAGAGATGGGATTGAGTTCTAGAAATCCCTAGTGGGAATGATGAGAACAGACATTTAATAAACCTGGGCACTAGAATTCACCTTTTCCATGATCAGCCTCAGCACCAGCAGCATCCTCAATAATATGATAATTGTTGACATTATCTAAATGCACCCTGCAAAGTGTATTACATATATTATCACATATGCTATAAAGGAGGTACTATTGTTGTTCTCAAATTATCAGTGAGGACTTCGAGGCACAGAAAGGTGAAGGAACATGCCCAAGATCACACAATGAGACAGTGGTGGGGCCAAGGGTAGACTGTAGGAGTTTAACTCCAGAGTTTGGGCTTTGAGTCACTTTGCTGTACCAGATGGAACATTGCAGCACACCATAAGTGATCAAGTTATGTGGGTCACCTGCCCCTAAGACTGAAGAATTAAGAAGCACTGGCATCCTCTCATTCAGTGACAACTTCCTGATTTAGTGGGTGCCTGGGACAGAGGGTTGTGGGAATCTACCTGTCCCATCTCCCAGAGCCACTTCCTTGCCTCACCTGATTTATTGCTGGGGCCTCCTGTTCATTGTTGGAACCCCTTTTCAAATGACTGGAGGAAGTTTTTCAAGCTTTCTTAAAACAAATAATTCTTTATCTGTGGCAAAGCAGAGCCGTTCTGGGAAGGAAGGACTTTCCTGCAATTTCTCTGGCTGTGGGAAAAGCATCAAGCTCATTAAAAACAGAAGTCAGATCCAAGCTCTTGAATGTGCCTGGAGGTGTTCCCATGAACTTTATATTTTTGTTAGAGTATCTTGAAATCACTTTTTTAAAGTGGGGGAGGGTGTATCTCTGGGAGCACTCCACAGAGTAGAGAACTCTATGGAGAATTCAAAACACCATGGAGGCCAGGCACAGTGGCTCACACCTGTAATCCCAGCACTTTGGGAGGCCGAGGTGGGCGGATCACCTGAGGTCAGGGGTTCAAGACCAGCCTGGCCAACATGGTGAAACCCTGTCTCTACTAAAAATACAAAAATCAGCCAGGCATGGTGGCATGAGCCTGTAATCTGAGCTACTTGGGAGGCTGAGGCAAGAGAATTGCTTGAACCCGGGAGGCGGAGGTTATAGTGAGCCAAGATCGTGCCACTGCACTCCAGCCTGGGCAACGGAGCAAGAGTCAGTCTCAAACAAACAAACAAATGAACAACAACAAAAAAACCCACACCATAGAATCTAGAATCCATCCATTCTTTTATTCAACAAATACTTCTTGAGGTTCTGCTCTGTGCCAGGTCCTGAGCAGGATATTCAATCTTAGTTGATGAGGTAGGGAAATTAATAGATGCTGAGCATTAGATTCTCATAAGGAGTGCACAGTGTAGATCCCTCGCATGCACAGTTCACAGTACGGTTCATGCTCCTATGAGAATCTAATGCAGCCGCTGATCTGACAGGAGGCGGAGCTCAGGTGGTAATGTGAGCAATGGGGAGTGGCTGTAAATACAGATGAAGCTTCACTCGCTTGCCTGCCACTCACCTCCTGCTGTGCAGCCGGGTTCCCAATTATTAACCCCTGATCCAAGTTATTCCAGTCGGATGCTCTTTTCCAGTACTTTGAATCTGGAGCTGGTGATGCAAGGAGAAATGACTATTTGAAAGTGGCTGCAGCAGCTGCTGCAGCAAACCAGATCGTCCCCACATCTGGTGCTTCCCCTCTGGTTGATTCACTGAAGTCTCAGGTTCCTTCTCTACAATTCACTTTTTTTCTTCTGATAGCCTGAATCAGTTTCTGTTGCTTGCAACCAATATCCCTGACTGAATACAGGAGCTGTCCAGGATCCCGGCTGCTGAAAAATCCCACCATAGGCCTCAGCCCCTCCAAAGGCCAGGGGAGAAGCAATGCCACAGGCCAGGTGGTCGGGAGCCTTCCTACCACACGTTCCCACCTAAGAGCCAGTCTGAACTTGCGGGGAGGCTGTCCTGATGTCAGGCCCAAGAGGGTGGTGCCCACGTTAGCTCTGCCTACAAGTGGGGTCAGACAGGAAACATGGAGTGGAGCTCAGGCCACCACTGTTAGAGGAGGCCAGCCTCCACTCCACTGGCCTCATGATCCCCAGAAGAAACAGGCTCTAGTTCTCCAGACGCCCAGCCAGAGCCCTTCACTGGAGTCAGTCTGCAGAAGAAAACAGTCTGCAAAGTCACTGTAGATGCAGCAATTTCAAAGCAACTTCAGCTCAGTGCACACCCATGAACGTGAGGGAAAGGGAAAAGAACAACAATATTAGTGGCCAATGCTCATGAGTGGTTCCCCCCTGCAGGTTCTGTTCTAAAAGCTTCCTGAACTAAACTTAACTCTTGTATTCTTCACAGCAACCCCATGAGGTAAGTGTGATGATTTATTGTGCTGGGCATTTTACATGTTTTCTCATAGAATCAACACAAAACCCCTATTCAGGCAGCAAACTGAGGCGTAGAGAAGGTCAGAGAAGGTCAGCAATGTGCCCGAGGGACAGGGCTGAGATATGAAGTCAGGCAGGCCAGTCCGGCTCTAAAGCCCCCTCTTAGTCCCCGTACCTACCATCACCCTGCCACCCCGCGTCATTCCCGTCCTTCCTCACCTTCCCCTACCCCCATCAGAACAAGCCAAGGAAAGAACAGGGCCCTCAGTCAAGACAGACCTGGGTTCAAAACCAACTTCTAGGGCCAGATGCAGTGGCTCACACCTGTAATCCCAGCACTTTGGGAGGCCAAAGTGGGTGGATCACCTGAGGTCAGGAGTTCAAGACCAGCCCAGCCAACATGGCAAAATCCCCTCTCTACTAAAAATACATACAAAAAAATTTAGCTGGGCATGGTGGCAGGCACCTGTAATCCCAGTTATTTGGGAGGCTGAGGCAGGAGAATAGCTTGAACACAGGAGGCGGAGGTTGCAGTGAGCCAAGATCGTGCCAGTGCATTCCAGGTTGGGCGATAGAGTGAGACTTTGTCTCAAAAAAACAAAAAAACAAAACAAAACCCAACAACTACAATTTATGCTCTGTGTGACCTTGGGTATGGTATGTGCTTTCCCTGAATTGGGAAATGTAGGCTCATCAGGCCTGCCTCATACAGATTTTATGGCAATCTGATTAGATGACGTATACAATACCTGCACTGTTCTCAACGCAGAGTGGGTGCCCTCCTGTCCCATCAGCCTATCAGGTGCCTGGGAAGGTGTACAATTTAAGGGACACTCCTGACCACTCCCACCCCCATCACCATCACACAACCTGGGGAAACAAGATCTACACATATTTACTAAAGTAAAAAAGCTGAATGAAACTTGAATAATAATGGAAGAGAGTATCTCTGGAGGAGAAGGAGGTTCTGATTAGGGAGAGGCTTCTGGGACACTGGTAATGTTGGTAATGTTCTATTTTTTTTCTTTGAGATAGGATATTGCTTTGTCACCCAGGCTGGAGTGCAGTGGTGCGATCGTAGCTCACTGCATCCCTGAAATCCCAGGCTCAAGAGATCTTCCTGCCTTACCCTCCCAAGTAGCTGGGTCTATGGGAATACACCACCACACCCAACTAATTTTTTTGATTTTTTTTTTTTTTAGTAAGGTCTTGCTGTGTTGTCCGGGTTGGTCTTGAGCTCCTGGGCTGAAGGGATCCTCCCGCCTCAGTCTCTCAAAATGCTGGGATTACAGGCATGAGCTACTGCACTGGCCTGTTCTATTTTTTGACTTAGGTGGTAGTTATACAGGTGGGTGTTTACTGTATAATTACTTGTAAACAGTGCTTACATCCTCTGTGTGCTTTTTCTGTACATACATCATAGCTTTTAAAAAGTAACACCGAATATAATAATACTATAGGGTCTAAGAGCTTGGTCTGAGACTCTGGTGTCTGGTTCAATCTTTTTTTTTTTTTTTTTAAGACAGAGTCTCACTCTGTCACCAGGCTGGAGTATAGTGGCATGATCTCAGCTCACTGCAACCTCCACCTCCCAGATTCAAGCAATTCTTCTGCCCCAGCCTCCCGAGTAGCTGGGACTACAGTTGCACGCTACCAATCCCAGCTAATTTTTGTATTTTTAGTAGAGACGGGGTTTCACCATGTTGGCCAGGATGGTCTCGATATCTTGACCTCGTGATCCGCCCACCTTGGCCTCCCAAAGTGCTGAGCCACCGCTCCTGGCCTGGTTCAATCTTATGCTGAGATGCCTGCTCTGTCCACACTTGCTGCGCTGAGGGTTTCAGAGCTTTGTGAATTGCCCTGGAGAGAAAGCCTTCATCTGGCTCTGTTGGTCACTACTTCCTCCAGCATTGCCCTGCAGTAAGTTCATTCTCTACACTGCAACCAGAAAGGGGCCTTCAGAAAAGAACAAATTTCAGCCTTGCTTAAAACTGGTGGTTCCTCCTTGCCTTCAAGGTAAATTACACCCTCCTTAGCAAGGCTTCCAGCACCTGGCTTCTCCTTAATACTGGGCCTGATTTCTCCCTGCTTGCCCCCAGCATTCCTTAATAAAGTCCTGCTGGCCAGACACGATGGCTCACACCTGTAATCCCAACACTTTGGGAGGCTGAGATGGGAACATCACTTGAGTCCAGAAGTTTGAGACCAGACTTGGCAAACCTAGTGAGACTCTGTCTCTACAAAAAAATATAAAAATTAGCTGGTGTGCTGGTGCGCACCTGTAGTCCCAGCTGCTCAGGAGGCTGAGGCAGGAGGATCATTTGAGCCCAGGAGGTAGAGGCTGCAGTGAGCCATGATTGTGCCACTGCACTCCACCCTGGGCAACAGAGGAAGACCCTGTCTCAATAAATAAATAAATAATACTGAATGCGATGTGGTGTCTTAGACTGGATTCTGGAACAGTAAAAGGACATTAATGGAAAACTGATAAATTCCATACTTTAGTTAACAGTAAGTACCAATACCCAATACCAGTTTGTTTGTCTTGACAAATGTACCATATGTTTACGTAAGATGCTAACACTGGGGAAAAACAGGGTGAAAGGTATATGGTTCTTAGATAAGAACTCTGTAGCTCTCTTTGCAGTCAATCTAAAATCCTTCCAAAATAAAAAGTTTACTAAATAAATAAACAACATAATTAAATCCAAACTCAATATTTTAGATAGCTGTGAGGCTGTCTAAAGCTAGGCTTTGAGCTGAGGCCTATTTTCCTTCATTAAAAGGGAATGATTAGCAAATGTTAGAGGAGTTTTAAAGATTCAATAGCATCAAACAATCCCAACAGAACAAGGATTGAAGGGAATTGCTTTCTTACTGTGCGATTCAAGGTGATTTAATGCAGGTTCATGTACCAGCTAGAGGCACCTCATGTACCACCAGTGATATGGGTCTCACACATTAGAAAATATCAGACCAGGGGCAAGTGCAAAGCATTCTTAGATAAGAAGCAGGTAGAAGTCATGACCCAAGCCTCTGTGTAAGAGATATGGCAGGAGACTATGAAATTATTACCTAACACATGAAAACAGTGAGGGGTGGCCGGGTGCGGTGGCTCACACCTGTAATCCCAGCACTTTGGGAGGCCAAGGTGAGCAGATCATTTGAGGTCAGGAGTTCGAGACCAGCCTGGCCAACATGGCAAAAATCCGCCTCTACTAAAAATACAAAAGTGAGCCGAGCGTGGTGGCGTGTGCCTATAATCTCAGCTACTCAGGAGGCTGAGGCAGAAGAATCAGTTGAACCCAGGAGGCAGAGATTGCAGTGAGCCAAGATGGAGCCACTGCACTCCAGCCTGGGTGAAAAACTGAGACTTCGTCTCAAAAAAAGAAAAAAGAAAACAGTGAGGGGAATTATTAACCCAAATGGCTTTGACTCCAAATCCCCAAGACTTAGCTCTGCCGATTCCAGTTGATGGTCCAATTAACATAAAGTTATTCAGTTCTTTGGGTCAAAGATGGCTTGGAAACACAAACAAGAGATTGCTCAGCAATGTCACATCCATGGTAACCACACATCGTCCGAAGTTACCTCCACCCTGGCCTTCCTCTAAGGGAGTGTCCAATCCCTCCCCAGGGGAGCTCAGATTATTTCTGAGTGTTGTAAGGAAATAAGTGACCATAAATAGCCTTCTGGCTCATTCAGTCTCAAGTTCAGCACAACAGCATCACAGGGATCCTCTGTGGGAAAGAATATGGGCTGCCCTCAGTGAAATCATCCCTAGAATTCAGTTCCACTCAACAAACACCCAGGCCGGGCCAGCCCTCACGTCAGTCCTAGGAGGAGAGACATCAACGGGACATAGCAAAGGAGGCTTCTCCCATTGAGGGTCCATTATCCGCAACTCATCTAAATATCTTTAATTTGTATTGATATTTAGGCGTAAATATCAAGGGCAGGATAGCAGAATCAGCCAGACCCGGGTTCAAATCCTGACTCTGCCACCTTGTAGCTCGGTGATCCTGGCCAAGTTATTCCTCTCTGAGCCTCAGTTCCTTCTTCTGAGAAATAGGGCTAATGATCATATATACTGCATAGGGTTGAAGGATAGAAGGTATATATGGAAGGCACATGGAGCCAGCAATAAGGACAGTGCTCCCTAAGCAGTATTCATGGTGATTTCTAGAATTTCCAGGAAAATTAAAAGCCAATAATTTAGTTGTTCCAAACCTGACTGATCATCAGAATCACCAGAGGAGCATGTTAAAAATACAAATTCCTAGGCTCCCACATCCCTGAGAAATTCTGAACGGGGTAGGGCCAAGGGAGGACTCAGTAACCTCTGTTTCCATTATGCGCTCTTGTGCCTAGCCATAGTAGGAGCTCAACAAATACAGACCTCTTTCCGGCCTGGACTATTGCAATAGCTTCCTAATCAGCTTCCTCTGTCCACTCTTGTCTCTCTGCCCTCCACACAGCAGCCAATGGGATCTTTTTAAAAGGTGAGGTCATGTCAATTCACTGCCCCCAACCCTCTACAACTGTCCATCCACACCCCTAACTGAGTAGACAAGGCCCTACATCAGTGGCTCCTGGAACTGCTCACACATTTGAAATACCTGTGAGCCACTAGCAAAGACATGGAATCAACCTAAATGCCCATCAATGACAGATTGGATAAAGAAAATGTGTTACATATATACCATGAAATACTATGCAGTCATAAAAAAGAATGAGATCACTTCTTCTGCAGGAATATGGATGTAGCTGGAGGCTATTATCCTTAGCAAACTAATGCAGGAAAAGAAAACCAAATACCTCGTGTTCTCACTTATAAGTGGGAGCTAAATGATGAGAACTCATGAACGCAGAAAAGGGAACAATAGATGCTGGGACCTATTTGAGGGTGGAGGTTGGGAGGAAGGAGAGGAACAGAAAAAACAACTATTGGGTACTAGGCTTAATACCTGGGTGATGAAATAATCTGTACAACAGACCCCCTGTGACACAAGTTTACCTATATAACAAACCTGCACATGTACCCTAAACCTAAAACCTTTTTTTAAAGTTTTTTAAAAATTAAAAAAAAGTTTTTTTTGAGTCAGAGTCTTGCTTTGTCGCCCAGGCTAGAGTGCAGCAGTACCATCACAGCTCACTGCAACCTCCGCCTCTCAGGTTCAGGAGAGTCTCCTGCCTCAGTCTTCCCAATAGCTGGGGCTACAGGCACCCGCCACCACACCTGGCTATTTTTTTTTTTTTTTTTTTTGTATTTTTGGTAGAGACGGGGTTTTGCCATGTTGGCCAGGCTGTTCTTGAACTCTTGACCTCAGGTGATCCGCCTACCTTAGCCTCCCAAAGTGTTGGGATTACTGGCGTGAGCCACCACTCCTGGGCAGGTTTTTTGTTGTTGTTGTTTTTTGTTTAAAAGAAAAGAAAAGAAAAGAAAAGAAATACCTGTGGGCTTCTGAACAACACCTATGCCTGGCCAGATCCCAGACCAATGGAATCAGAATCTCTGAGAGTGGGGCCCAAATAGGGTTACCAGATAAAATACAGGACACCCAGCTATACTTAAATTTCAGATACACAATAAGTAATTGTTTAATATAAGTATATCCTGTGCAGTATTGGGACATACTCATATTAAACAATTATCCATTGTCTATCTGAAATTGAAATAAAACAGAGTCCTCTATTTTCATTTGCTAAATCTGGCAACCCTAGCCTAAGCATCAGCAAATATATATATATATATATATATATATGTATTTTTTTAAATTTCGAGACAGTTTCCCTCTGTTGCCCAGGCTAAAGTCCAGTGGTGCAAACACGGCTCACTGCAACCTCCGCCCTCCACGAAGCTGGGACTACAGGCTTGCCCTACTATGCCCAGCTAATTTTTGGATTTTTAGTAGAGACGGGGTTTCACCATGTTGCCCAGGCTGGTCTCAAACTCCTGGGCTAAAGTGACTTACCCGTCTTGGCCTCCCAAAGTCCTGGGATTACAGGCGGGAGCCGCTGCACCCAGCCCTCATCAGCATTTCTTAAAAGCTCACAGTGATACGACCCCCACTACCTGTCTGATCTCATCTCATCCAGGACTCTCCCCCAGCACTCTCCACTCTCCTCTCACACCGTTTTCTTATAAGGGCCAACCACACTCCCACCTCAAGACCTTTGCAATTGCTGGGTCTACCTTGGATGCTGTGCCCTGTAACCTGATAGCCTCCTCAAAGATCGCCTGCAGCGGTTCCCTGACTGCTTCATCTTCTATAGCGTGACCTCCCTGCTTTACTTTTTCTGTAAAACAGATTAAAATCAGTTTGTTTGCCAGGTGCGGTGGCCCACGCCTGTGATCCCAGCACTTTGAGAGGTTCAAGAGTTCAAGACCAGCCTGGCCAACATGGTGAAACCCCATCTCTACTAAAAATACAAAAAAATTAGCCAGGCATGGTGGTGCGCACCTGTAGACCCAGCTACTCAGGAGGCTGAGGCGTGAGAATCGCTTGAACCCAGGTGGTGGAGGTTGCAGTGAGCTGAGATTGTGCCATTGCACTCCAGCCTAGGCGACACAGCAAGGCTCCGTCTCAATAAAAAATAAAATATAATAATAAAGTAAAATAAAATCAGTTGGTTTCTTGTCCATCTCCCTCCACCCATCCCCCAAACCAGAATGTAAGCTCCATGATTTTGCTGGAAACACTTTGATTCTCCTGCTATACCCTCAACATCTAGAACCCCACCAGCCACTCCACACATCCTGGTTGAATTAGTCAATGGTTCATTAGAAGGCTTCCCCTTCCACAACTCCCTAAACATTCCTTTGGGGGAGAGTTACTTAGAGGAAACAAAATTCTTCAATGTCCAATACCAAACCTAACAAAATCTCAAAAGCATACACCAAAAGGGGTAAACATATTTTCTCCATCTTTCCCACCCATAGCCTCAATGATGGGATCAGGAACTGTGTGCAGTGGGGGCGACTAGGGTGAGGGTTGGGTGCCGGGCAATGGCTGAACAGGGTCCAATACCCAAAGACAAGTGTGTTCAACACAAGGTCTCTAATCAAATTAGAGACAGGGCAAAGCAGGGGAGTGCAGAGTGGTGCCTGGTCCCACAAAGCTGATCTGCTGGAAGGGGCTGCCAGACATTAAGAGGAGGGCTGGCTGCAGTTCTCAATCTTGACAAAGCTCACATGCTCAGATATAACCCCTTATTCCCCTAAAGCCTGCACACGATTGACCCATTTGACCCTCACAATAACTTCATGGGTGGGTAGAGCTGCCCTTCTTGGTCCTGATTGGCCAGTGGGGAGATGAGCAGATGAAGGAAGGAACATTTCACAGGTGCGTGAGTCCCAGGCTCTGAGCTGGGATGCTGGTCTCTGACCCCCGTCGGTACCTTTTCCTCCCATAACCCTAGATTGTCTTCACTGGGAGTAAGGGCAACAGCTTCTGAGGCCACGATGATTCATGCCCTAGCTCTGGCACTCATTAGCTCTGTGGCTTCTGCATTGTCTGGACCTGAGCCTCGGTTTCCTCTCCTTCAGAGTGGGTGTGATGAAATTTCACAGGGTTGCTAGGGGAAAGAGATCCATTCATTAAGTGCTTCTTTTGAGCACCTGCAAGTGCTAGGCACAGTCCCTGGGGCTGGGCACACAGCGGAGAGCAAGGCAGCCTAAACCCGCCCACCTCCAGGGCTTTTAAAGTCTAGTTGGGGCTGCGCGGTGGCTCACGCCTGTAATCCCAGCACTTTGGGAGGCCGAGGCGGGTGGGTCACCAGAGGTCAGGAGTTCGAGACCAGCCTGGCCAACATAGCAAAACCCCGTCTCTACTAAAAATACAAAAATTAGCCGGGTGTGGTAGCACACGCCTGTAGTACCAGCTACCAGGGAGCCTGAGGCAGGAGAATCGCTTAAATCCGGGAGGCGGAGGTTGCAGTGAGCTGAGATCGGGCCAGTGCACTCCAGCCTGGGTGACAGAGCGAGACTCTTATCTCAAAAAAAAAAAAAAAAAAAAAAAAAGAACTGTACCTGGCGCGTAGTAGGTGCTCGGTAAATTTGTTCAATGACTGAATGTGCTGGGTGCTCAGGGAAGACTCTCAGATCCCATCCCAAGAGACCAGAATGGAAAGCAGGAAATGGATTGGGGGAAAGGGAGGTCTGAAGGCAGAGAGTCCCAGGCACGGGAGCCTCCAGGCAGAGGCCCTGAGACAGGACCAAACTTAGCGTTAGGGAAAATGAAAGTAGAATCAGGAAGAACTTAGATATCTGAACACTTTGCAAACTACAAAGTGCTGCATACACGTGCGGGAAGGCGGTTTCTGCGGCTGGTTCTTTGTTTACATTATACATTTTTGAAGACTTTGTCTTCAAAATGTGGCTTTGGGGCATGCCACTCTCGGGGCCGAGTCCTTCGCGGGCAGTTTCTGCAAAGTCCAACCCTGCAGGGCCCTTCTCCCGCGCCGCGCTGTCTCGCTGCTTCCTGGAGGGTAAATGGACCCACACACAGATGTGGCGCCGCGGGCTTGCCGGTCACCTGCAGAGGCCGGCACCCCTGTCGCGATGGGTGGTGGAGGTGGGGCAGAGGTGGGACGAGCCAGGTCGGGACCCGCAGCTGGCGAGTCAGAGCCTGGAAGGCCCCGCGCCCCCGCGCCGCGCTCCCTAAGTGCTCCGCCCGGCCGGTGGCGACCAGGCGCGCTCGGGGCAGGCGGCGGGACGGGCCGGGACCGGGGCCGGGACGCGGCGGGGAGGGGAGGGGCCGGGCCGGGCCGGGCGGGAGGAGCCGCTCGCCGGTTTTGCCGCCTCCGCCTTTGCCTTCGCAGCCGCCTCCAGGTAAGGGGGCCCCGGAGGAGCCGCCAGGCCACGGTGGCGCGCACCTCGCTGGGCCACTCCCCGCCGGCCCCACGCGGGGCACTCGGAGCCCGGCCCAGCCCCGGGGCCCTTTGCCCTGCGCCCCGCCCTCCACCCCGGGGACACTGGACCCACCAGGAAGCGGCCGCGCGCTCCCTGGCGCTGCCTGCCCTAAGCCCAGGCCGCCTGCTGGTGGTTGGTTTGTTTTCAGAGCCGGAAGTGCTTTTAGAAATCTTGGGGAGGCAGAGGGGGAAACTGAGGCTGGGCGGAGCACTCGGGCGACTCCGGCCTCGGCCTCCGAGTTCTTAGAGGTCACCCAGCCGCTCCCTTGACAAATGAGGACGCTGGTCAAGGTCAGAGAGGAAGGGGGCTTGCCCAAGGTCACAAGAGGTCCCTGTGCTTCCCCTTGCCCCACGTGGCCCCTCCACGCCCCCGTCAGGAAGGCCTCTAGGACTCCCCCGCCTCCTGTCTCCCTGTCCCCCCGCAGACTCTCAAACAGAGAATTCCAGGAGGGCTTGGGGAGCCTCTGGAGAAAAACCAGGCTCCTCATGTTACAAGGAGGCCATGTCTTCTGGTGCCCATGCCTGAAGTTACAGGAGGGAAGAATTACTGCTGCTGACTTTTGAGTGGATTTTACAGCTGGGTAAACTGAGGCTCAGAGAGGTGAGGTAACTTCCCCAAGACCACACAGCTAGGAAGCAAGAGATAAAAACCTGGGCTACCTGCCTGGAGAGCCTGACCCAGTGCTTCGCACAGAGTTGGCCTCCACAATGCCTTTGCCCTGACCAGGCTGCCTGGCCCTTCCCTGGGGTTGCACTGGGAATTAGGAGCAGGGCCAGGCTAGAATCCCAGACTACTACCTAACTCGAAGTAGGAGTCAGCACATGAGCCCCCTTTTTCCTAACTCAGTGTTCATTGCAGAAAATATGACACTCTTTTAAGCTTTGGGAACATCCATTTGTTCATTCACCAAATATTTGTTGAGCACCTACTGTGTGCATTGTTTAGGCAACGAGGATACAGCAGTGAACAAAAAGGAGCGCTGCCCTCAGGAAGTACACTCCAGAGGGTGGAATAAAGCCCTGCCCTTCAGCCTGGGGAGGGAGGGCTGGGCACAGGGGAGACCACTGGCATTTCCCCAACTGTGAAGTACATGAAGACAGCAGAAGAGATCGGTATTAGAGTGGCCTCAAGCCCTCGTGTGCAGCATCAGACAGAGATGGGCTCAGGTGCTAGCTTTGCAGCTTTGTAACTGAGTGGGATCAGGCAAGTTAAATGACCTGTCTCCAAGGTTGTTGTGAAAATTAAAGGAGCTGAAGCCACAAAAGGCCCAGTGCAGTATCTGACACTTTGGGAGACTTTATACTTTTTAGTCCTAAGGCCCAAGGAGGAGTTGGACAGGAGGAGTTCATCGATTAGGTTGTCATAGCTCAGCATGTAGCTCCCACAAAAGCTGGGGTCTGGAGAGTTCCTCATAAGGCTCAAACCATCTCTCTCTACTCTGGTACCACTGGGCTACAAAGGCTGATCAGCCACCAGGGCTGGCTAACGTGGGACCTAAGAAATGTCAGTGGGTGGTTTCTCATTGTGTTCTCTTTTGGCCTGTGTGTTTTGTAAACAGTGTTGTACATTATAAACCGGGGCTGCTGATGAGGAGTGGGGAACTGGCTCTCTGGAACGTGTGACAGCAGGCAGAAGGGGTGAGAGTGAAATCCAATCCACTTTCCATTTAGCCGACCTCCGCTTCAAGCTGCCCTGATATCATGGTACCACCCTCTGCCTAAAACCCCGCTCTGGCTTCCCATTTTCTTCTTTCTCCTTTTCTTTTCTTTTCTTTTCTTTTCTTTTCTTTTCTTTTCTTTTCTTTTCTTTTCTTTTCTCTCTCTTTCTCTCTCTTTCTCTCTCTCTCCCTCCCTCCCTCCCTCTCTCCCTCCCTCTCTCTCTCTCTTTCTTTCTTCTCTCTTTTTTTTTTTTTGACAGAGTCTCACTCTGTCACCCAGGCTGGAGTGCAGTGATGCAATTTCAGCTCACTGCAACCTCCGCCTCCCAGGTTCAAGCGGTTCTCCTGCCTCAGGCTTCCAAGTAGCTGGAACTACAGGCGCCCACCATCATGCCCGGCTGATTTTTGTATTTTAGTAGAGATGGGGTTTCACCATATTGGGCTGGTCTTGAACTCCTGACCTCGTGATCTGCCCGCCTCAGCCTCCCAAAGTACTGGGATTACAGGCGTGAGCCACCGCGCCTGGCCTTGGCTTCCCACTTTCTTAAGGAAAAGAGAAAAAACCTTTTACATGGACCAGAAGGCTATGTACCACTGTCCCCTGGCCTACACCTCCAGCCGCATCTCAGACCACTTATCAACAGCCCTCTGTGCCCAGGCATGCCACCCCTCCCTCCTTGGGACCTTTGCACCTGCTCTTCCAGGCCACTTCTACCCCCTGCCTCCCTTTTCCCAGGTAACATCTTCTCATTCTTCACATTTTAGCCCTAGCCAGACTTGTACTCCAAATGCCCAGGCCACAAGACTTCTACTGGTATGTCAGAGGTTAAGTTCAGGGTGGAATTATACTCTCATTGCTGGGATTAATTCCTGCCTGTACCCTGTACACCACCCTGACTGTAACCCCTGTGACATCCAGGACCAGGGCCAAGTTTGCTTAGTAGGTGCTCAATAATGATGTCCACCTATAGGGAGGCCCTCTTGAGCATATTGGGGACCTCACTTTATATAAAATGATATTGTCCTTCAAAAAAATCTGCTGAAGTCATTTTTCAGTTGTGGGTTGTTTCATTCAGCACACAGGGATTGAACCCCTGCTCTGCCAGGTGCTGTCCTAGGATGTATCAGGGATTGTGACCCAAAAGCCACTGCCTTTCTGAGCTTCCTCTAGTGAGGGAGATAGACCATAAATAAACCTATAATACATTGTCAGGTGGTGGTAAATTTGATAAAGAAAAATCACAGGCCAGGCGTGGTGGCTCACACCTGTAATCCCAGCATTTTGGGAGGCCAAGGAGGGCAGATTACGAGGTCAAGAGATTGAGACCATCCTGGCCAACATGGTGAAACCCTGTCTCTACTAAAAATGCAAAAATTAGCTGGGCATGGTGGCATGCACCTGTAGTCCCAGCTACTCAGGAAGCTGAGGCAGGAGAATCGCTTGAATCCGGGAGGTGGAGGTTGCAGTGAGCCGAGATCGAGCTACTGCACTCCAGCCTGGCAACAGAGCAAGACTCCATCTCAAAAAAATAAAATAAAAAAAATAAAAATCACAAAGGGTTGGGTTAGAGGCGGGAGTGGAGGGGCCAGCTGTCTTACACTGGTATGAATAACGAAAATATTAATTGCGAATCCCTGGTGCCCTGGGCTTCATCCACTCTCACCCTGACCCTCCTGGTCAGGGAGACAGACACATTAGCAACCGGCCATTATGTCCAAGGAGAGGTGGAGGGGCCCAGACGAAGTCTTTGGAGCTTCAGAGTTGGCAGGCCCCACATTCGCTGGACAAATCCAGGGAGGTGCGTGGCAACCCCTGACCCCCCACCTTAGTAAAGTGGAGAAGGACTTGGGGTTTGAGGTCACACAGGCCTGGAAGGAGCATCCTAGGACTTGCCAGCTGTGTGACCTCCGCTTCTGTGAGTCTCAGTTTTCTCATCTGTAAAGTGGGGACAGCGATTGTCTCTTCTTCATAAGGTTGTTGGGAAGCTGAAGTGGGATCATGGAAGTAGGCCCCAGAAAATCTAAGCTGATTTTATTATTTAACTGTGCTTTTGGAAAGGGCACTATTTGGACAGGGGGACCCAGACGGAGAGAACAGCCTGAGCTGAGGCCCGAGGTGGTATCCCAGCGTGGGCTGGAAGCAGGGGAGTGCAGTTTAGCTGAGGATGAGCTGGAAGCAGGGAGTGAAAGAAAACAAAGCAGGAAAGGCAGGTTAGGCCCGTCCACAGGTGCCTGGGGCTCAGAAGTGGGATGTGAGCCTGTGGATAGATGGGAGCTGGTCAGATTCATCCAATTTGCTGGTTTTCAAATTGTGTTGGAAATCTTTGGCCAGGGTGTAAACCACACCAGAGAGGTAGAACAGCATCATTGTGAAGATGGCTGCCCGTGGCCTAAGACCCAGGCACAAGTTGAAATACCACATGACTCGTCCAGTGACCTTGACCTTCAATTCTCAGGGCCTCTCTGTCCCCATCTGTGGAAGGGTGATAATAGCACCCACCTTGTAGGATTATTGAGAGAAAATGAGATGATATGTAGAAAGAGGTGACACGTGGCTAACATTTGCCAAGCATTTACTATTGTGATTTTTAAATGTTTAAATTTTTTTTAAATTTTTAATTTATTTTTTATTTATTTACTTTTTGAGACAGAGTTTTGCTCTTGTCACCCAGGCTGGAGTGCAATGGCGCAATCTCGGCTCACTGCAACCTCCGCCTCCTGGATTCAAGTGATTCTCCTGCCTCAGCCTCCTGAGTAGCTGGGACTACAGGTGCTCGCCACCACGCCCAGCTAATTTTTGTGTATTTTTAGTAGAGACGGGGTTTCACCATGTTGTCCAGGTAGTCTCGAACTCCTGACCTCAGGTGATCCACCCACCTCAGCCTCCCAGAGTGCTGGGATTGCAGGCGTGAGCCACTGTGTCCGGCCCCTATTTTTTTTTTTAAGGTAAAAATGGCGATAAAATACACATACCATGAAATTTACCATCGTAATCATTTTAAGTGTGTAGTTCAGTAATGTCAAGTATATTCACATCGTTGTGCAACAAATCTCTAGAACTTTCCAACTAGCAGATCTGAAACTCCACACCCATTAAACAACCACTTCCCTCCCCTGTTCCTCCTCCCCGCAGCCCCTGGCCACCACCATTCATTCTACTTTCTGTCTCTATGAATTTGACTACTCCTCATACCTTACTTAAGTGGAATTGTACAGCATTTTATCTTTTTGTGACTGGCTTATTTCACAACTTTTCAAGGTTCATTCGTGTTGTAACGTGTCAGAATTTCCTTCCTTTTTCAAGACTGAATAATGTTCCACTGTGTGTATATATCATATTTTGTTGATCTATTCATCTGTAGATGGGCATTTGGGTTGCTTCCAACTCTCGGCTATGGTGAATAATTCTGTAAACATGGGTGTACAAATATGTTTTTGAGACCCAGCTTTCAATTATTTTGCATATATACCCAGAAGTGGCGTTGCTGGAACATGTGCTGTTATAATTTGAAGGTGGGGTATTGAGGGGTCCCCCCTGTGTTTCATCTTGCCCGTCACTCTGGGGCTCTGGGGGGCAGTTTGAAAACCAGTGGGTCAAATGGACTATTACAAACTTTGCCATTTCTGCCACTTCCTTCTCAGGCACATTTGTCGCTGTAATTATTTTTTAATTATCCCAAGTGGAAACCACCACTCAGTCAACAAATGTTGCTGAGTTCCCACTGTGCTTAACTGTGAGCAGAGGGAGATCGAAGATAAGCGATCAATATAAACAAGTAACTGATACAGAATTGGGAGGCTGGTGTTTGTGTGCTGTGGACAAAGTGGAGCAGCTGGGTTAAGGGGCTAGGATGGGCAGTGGGTAGGGTGGCTGCACTGAAGTGTGAGATTTGAGCACAGACAGAAGGAGGTGAGGGAGTTGGCTGTGTCCTTATCTGGGGGATAAGCATTCCCAGCCGTGGGAACGGCCAATGCAAAGTCTGTGTGAGGTGGGAGCATGCCTGGTGGGGTCCAGGAGCTGCAGGGAGGAGGGTGTGGCTAGAGCAGCATGGGAGAGGCGGCAGGGGTGGGGGGCAGAGAGGCAATTCAGGCCAGATTGCAGCGGCCCCATCATCATTGTAAGGACCTTGACTTTGAGAAGGGAGTCTTGGAGGGTTTGGAGCAGAGGAAGGGCATGGCCTGACTCTGAGATGGCACTCTCTGGGTGCTGTGCTTGAACAGCTGGGTTGAGGGCAGAAAAAAAGCAGATATGTGGAGAGGCGTGACCCAGTAAGAGGTGACAGTGGTTAATAGCAGGCAGGAGAAGGAAGAGAGCAGTGGTAAATGTAGGCACACATCACAGGGCCTGGGTATCCACCCCAATGGCACTGTCACCCCACCCTCCTGCCCCTCCTCCAGACTGCTGAAGCGAGGGTGGGAGGGGAGCTTTCCTTCCATGCCAGCATCTCTGTTTTCTTCTCGTCTGCAGTGTGATTATCCAAAACCCTCTGGGTTCTTCTACGTTGGAACTGTTGTCATGGAGACCTCCTGAGATGCCTCACTGACCTCTCGCTTCCAATATGACTTCAGATAGAGATGTAGAATCAATGGGTGTCTCTTCTAAATGGCTGCAGAGGGTGCTGACCTGGGCCTGCCTAGACTCTGCCCTTCTAGGAGCATCTCAAGATTGTCTTATTTTGGGTGTGGTATGTGTGTGTATTGTAACCTTCAACTATGATCTTTGGCATTTCTGGCCTAAGGATGGTGCTATAGCTTTATGTGTTGTGAATGATTTCTTAGCCAAATGCTTTTCTTTCTCCTTGGCCCCAGAATAATTAGTCTTCAGCCTTCCCATGACGCTGTAGCCATCTCCCTATTAATGCTTATTTTATTGCACTGCAGAATCATTTAAAAACTCAACTGCAATCAGAAAAAGGAGAGAGAGAGAAAGCCTGGTGGGGTCCAGGAGCTGCAAGGAGGAGGGTATGGCTGGAGCAGCATGGGAGAGGCGGCACACTAATATAGTCACTTACCTACACTCATATAGTCACATCAAATTTGACACTGAGGCCAGGCGTGGTGGCTCACGTCTGTAATCCTAAAACTTTGGGAGGCTGAGGTGACAGGATCACTTGAGCCAGGTGTTCAAGACCAGCCTGGCCAACGTGGTGAAACCCTGTCTCTACTAAAGATACAAAACTTGGCCAGGCATCATGGTGTGCACCTGTAATCCTAGCTACTTGGGTGGCTGAGACAGGAGAATTGCTTGAACCCAGGAAGTGGAGGTTGCAGTGAGCCCAGATTGCGCCACTGCACTCCAGCTTGGGAAACAGAACAAGACTTTGTCTGAAAAAAAAAAAAAAAAAAAAAAATTGACCTTGACCTTCACTGACTGCTCCAAGGGGGAAAAGAAAGGCCATAGCTGGCTGGCATGTAAAGAAAAAACAAAAGTTCATTCTTGCATGTGATCTTCTAAAGGCCCACATCATGGAATTTTAAGGACAATTTAAAGGATTTTCAAAGATGGTATTGACCATATTTGATTTTCTCCTTGGTGCTAACTTTAGAATTTTTCAACTCTCCAAGAAGAAATCCAATGGTATTGTTTATGGCATCAGTCAACAAATATTCAGAGTGCCTACTGTGGGTACTTGTGGAGCTGAGGTCAGATATTTATGGAATGTCTCTCTGCCCCAACTACTGACAAAAATGACCCAGTCAGCATTTTCTTTGGTGACGGATGATGTGACTGGCTAGACAAAAGTCATAATCATAGCATATCAAAACAAGGTCCCATTCCAGAAGGACCTCTGTCCATCCCAGGTCTGGGCTGTGCAGCCGAGCTGTAGGCATGGGTTTGCCCTGTTATTCTCACTCTATATCTATATTGTTTCCCTGGAGATCGCATCCTCTTCTAGGTTAAGTATGGGTCTTTCTTGGAGTTCCTTGGTGTATTAGTCCATTTTCATGCTGCTGATGAAGACGTACCCGAGACTGGGTAATTTATAAAGAAAAAGATGTTTAATGGACGCATAGTTCCGTGTGATTGGGGAGGCCTCACAATCATGGCGGAAGGTGAAAGGCACGTCTTACATGATGGCAGACGAGAGAAGTGAGAACCGAGCGAAAAGTCATCAGATCTCCTGAGACTTATTCACTCTCACGAGAATAGCACAGGAAAGACTCACCCCCATGATTCAGTTACCTCCCACCAAGTCCCTCCCATGACATGTGGGAATTGTGGGAGCTATAATTCAAGGTGAGATTTGGGTGGGGACACAGCCAAACTATATCATTTGGTGTCTTCACAGTACCCGGGACAAGAACCTCAGGAGGCTACCGGGAGCTGGGAGCTCCTCCTTCCGTCAGTGACTCCTGAGCCCCAGGGCGCTGCTGGACCAGCCCTGTGTGTCTTAGGTGACCCCAGGGCACAGAGGTACTGCTGGTCCTGACAGAAGGGGCTTTTTCTCGTCGCAGGAATCCAGCACTCTCTTGGAATCAGTGTAACTTCTCAGACACACTTGAGATCCAGTTTTATTTTGGACTGGATCCTGATCCCAAATCAGATCAAGGGGTGGAGGCCCCCAAGAACCAGTATACACAGCAGGTGACGCATTCCCACACCACAGCTGCCCCCATGCTTGTGCAGCTGGAAGAGTTTGGGGTCCCAGCCTGTCCAGTTAGACAATCCATAGAGTTGGAACCATGGGCTCCCCCATTCCAGCATCATGGAGAGCTGAGAAGCTGAGAATTGCACTGTCTGTCCCACCAACCCTTGCTATTTTCTTTTCCTTTTTTTTTTTAATTTTAATTTTAATTTTAATTTTAAGTTCTGGGATACATGTACAGGATGTACAGTTTTGTTACATAGGTAAACATGTGCCATGATGGTTTGCTGCACTTAGCAGCCCATCACCTAGGTATTGAGCCAAGCATGCATTAGCTGTTTTTCCTAATGCTCTCTCTCCTCGCATCCCACCCGCTGACAGGCCCCAGTGTGTGTTCTCCTTCCTGTGTCCATGTGTGCTCATTGTTCAGCTCCCACTTATAAGTGAGAACATGTGGTGTTTGGTTTTCTGTTACTGAATTAGTTTGCTGAGGATAATGGCTCCCAGCTCCATCCATATCCCTGCAAAGGATATGATCTCATTCCTTTTTATGGCTGCATAGCATTCCATGGTGTATATGTACCACATTTTCTTTATCCAATCTATCATCAATGGGCATTTGGGCTGATTCCATGTCTTTGCTATTGTGAATAGTGCTGCAGTGAACATACACGTGCAGGTATCTTTGTAATAGAATGATTTACATTCCTTTGGGTATGTACCCAGTAGTGAGATTGCTGGGTCAAATGGTATTTCCGGTTCTAGATCTTTGAGGAATCGCCACACCGTCTTCGACAATGGTTGAACTAATTTACATTCCCACCAACAGTGTAAGAGTGTTCCTATTTCTCTGCAGCCTTGCCAGCTTCTGTTGTTTCCTGACTTTTTAATAATTGCCGTTCTGACTGGCATGAGATGGTATCTCATTGTGGTTTTGATTTGCATGTCTCTAATGATCAGTGATGTTGAGCTTTTTTTTTCATATGTTTCTTGGCAACATGAATATCTTTTGAGAAGTGTCTGTTCATGTACTTTGCCCACTTTTTAATGGGGTTGTTTGTTTTTTTCTTGTAAATTTGCTTAAGTTCCTTGATATTAGACATTTATCAGATGGATAGATTGCAAAAACTTTCTCCCACTCTGTAGGTTGCCTGTTCACTCTGATGATAGTTTCTTTTGCTGTGCAGAAGCTCTTTAGTTTAATCAGATCCCATTTGTCAGTTTTTGCTTTTGTTGCAATTGCTTTTGGTGATTTCGTCATAACATCTGTGCCTGTGCCTATGTGCTGAATGGTATTGCCTAGATGTTCTTCTAGGGTTTTTATAGTTTTAGGTTTTAAGTCTTTAATCCATCTTCAGTTAATTTTTGTATACGGTGTAAAGAAGGGGTCTAGTTTCAATTTTCTGCATACGGCTAGCCAGTTCTCCCAGCATCATTTACTAAATAGGGAATCTCTTTTTTTTTTTTTTTTTCTGAGGCAGAGTCTCACTCTGTTGTCACCCAGGCTGGAGTCCAGTGGCAGGATCTCAACTCACTGCAGCCTCGACCCCCAAGACTCAAGTGATTCTCCCACCTCACCCTCCCGAGTAGCTGGGACTGCAGGTACTCACCATCATGCCTGGCTAATTTTTGTATTTGTTGTAGAGATGGGGTTTTGCCATGTTGCCCAGGCTGGTCTCGAACTCCTGGGCTCAAGAGATCCACCTGCCTCGGCCTCCCAAAGTGCTGGGATTATAGGCATGAGCCACTGCACCCAGCCTCCTTTTCTTACTGACAAGACTTATTGGTCAAATGTATGGGACTTAACTGTGAACTCATCCCCACTGGCTTGGCTGGGCCACATGGGTCCAGGGCTTTCTGAGATAAAACACACTCCCCTTCTAAGGATCAAGAGGCAGAATTAGTTCTAATTAAAAGGGTTTTTTTCTACATTATAAAAGCACCAATAAGCTCATGACCGAAATGCTAAAAATATAGAAAAATAGAAAGAACAGAAACCAATCACCTCTAGTCCCTTAGCCCCACCAACCAAGAGACAATGATCATAAACATTTTGATGTATTTCCTTCTGATCTTTTTGCTCTGTGAAAGATGTTTTGTTATTTATTTATTTATTTATTTGAGGCAGAGTCTCACTGTGTCGCCCAGGCTGGAGTACAGTGCATTCAAGAGCATACTTGGCTCACTGCATTCTCTGCCTCCTGGGCTCTAGCAATTCTCCTGCCTCAGCCTCCTGAATAGCTGGGGTTACAGGCATGCACCAGCACAACCAGCTAATTTTCGTATTTTTAGTAGAGATGGGGTTTCGCCATGTTGGCCAGGCTGGTCTCGAGCTTCTCAACTCAGGTGAACTGCCTGCCTCAGCCTCCCAAAGTGCTGGGATTACAGGCGTGAGCCACTACACCTGGCTGAAACATGGTTGTTGTTTTTTTTAATTTAATTTTTTTTTTTTTGTGAGACAGAGTCTCACTCTGTCGCCCAGGCTGGAGTGCAGTGATGCGATCTCGGCTCACTGCAAGCTCCGCCTCCCGGGTTCACGCCATTCTCCTGCCTCAGCCTCCTGAGTAGCTGGGACTACAGGCGCGTGCCAGCACACCTGGCTAATTTGTTGTATTTTTAGTAGAGACGGGGTTTCACCATGTTAGCCAGGATGGTCTTGATCTCCTGACCTCCTGATCCACCTGCCTCGGCCTCCCAAAATGCTGGAATTACAGGCATGAGCTACCACACCCAGCCGAAACATGTTTTAAAAACATAACTAGAGTCATATTGTATATGCAGTCGAATTCTGTTCTACTACCTCTCTAGAACAAAATTATCCCTGATTTGTAGCATTTGCTAATTTCTGTGATGTAAATATTCCCAACATGCCAATCTCGGGCTGCCAGTGTCACTGGACACAGGGTTGGAAGGAGAAGCACAAAACGGATTGTCACCAGTGCAGCATGTTGTAATTTTAAATTATTTTTTTTCTGATCTCAAAATCGACACTTATTGTTAATAATTCATAAAACACAGATATATAAAAAAATTAAAATCATCCAGAATCCAATCCCGGTCCCTGCCTACCTGGAGTTAGCCACTGCCAGCATCCTGGTGCGTGTCCTAACAGTACCCTCTCTATGGATAGAGACCTACACAAAATAACTTTCTAGAGAGTTCAAAAGCGATACAAATTTGTGGCAGAAAATTTGGGGGAAATACAGAAAAGTCTCTGATATCTGTAAATGGCAATTCAGAGATAATTTTGGAGGCTGTTCTTCCAGTCATTTTTCTCCTCTCCATTGCTTTAACACGATTGGACTCATGGTGTGAATATTCAGTTTTTAGGCACAGTACAGGTACATTCTCATGCTGGGGAGGAACGCAACATCCAGGAGAAGGGTGTTCCCACTGATAACTTAATAAAAACCCCACTGAAGCTTAAAGAGGTAAAAAGTATTGTTTTCACTAGCATTGAAAATGGCACTAAGGGCTGGGTGCAGTGGCTCACGCCTGTAATCCTAGCACTTTGGGAGGCTGAGGCAGGCAGATTGCCTGAGCTCAGGAGTTCCAGACCAGCCTGGGCAACATGGCAAAACCCCGTCTCTACTAAAAATATGAAAAATTAGCCAGGCATGGTGGTGCGTGCCTGTAATCCCAGCTACTCAGGAGGCTGAGGCACAAGAATCACTTGAACTTGGGAGGCGGAGGTTGCAGTGAGCTGAGATTGCACCACTGCACTCCAGCCTGGGCGACAGAGCAAAACTGTCTCAAAAAGAAAGAAAGAAAAGAAAAAGAAAATGGCACTAAGGATGAAGCTCAAATTAGTTGAGGTTTTGGTTTTGAAGTTTTGGTTTGAAGTTGCGGTTTTGGGTCCTGAGACCTCCTTTGGGTAATTCCAGATGCTTGGCCCTTCCTCCATCTCCCTTCCCCATCTGATGCTCCATTGGCATGTGAGAAAGGGAGTGCCTTTAGGGAGAAATATAGGAAAATCTAGCTCTTGCTTAAGCCTGAAAGCTAGTTCATTCCTCGGTTCATGTAACTGACATTTTCTGAGTGCCCACTCTGTGGTTAGGCACCAGGTACAGATGTGGAGGCGACAGGGTGCCCGCTGAGGAACTGGATGCAGTGACCACAGCTCAGGGTACAGAGAGTTGAACAAGGACATTCAATGAGACAATCCATGGAAAGTGGCAGGGCCGTGCCCAGCACATGGTGAGTGCTCAGCAGTGGTAGCTGCCTGCCCTACCACCCTATTGAGAAGAGCACCCCACGTCAAGGAACGTGCAGGGCAAGGGCCCAGGGGAGCGACGGTGCAGTGCCAGGCTCCCCTGAGCTTTAACTGACCAGCCAGCTCCCTCTGCCGTAGCCTCCCCCAGATCTCACACTCCGTGGACCCACAGGCTGGTTTTTCTGGTTTTCTCCCGCAGGGCAATTTGCATATTTCTCCAAAGAACCATCCAGAACCTGAGCAGCCTGTCTTCAGACAGAGAGAGGCCCACGGCTGTTTCTTGAAATCTGGGTAAGTATTGAAGGTTTCTTTTCCTTCAGTAGCCCCTTATTACTATTTAAAATGGTCTTCTTTCTGAGTTCACATTTTCTGTCTCCCTCTCTAGAATATAATCTCCCAATTAAGGGGTCTTTATATGCCTGTCTTAGTCACCACTGTAGTAGGGCTAATACGTGTTTATTAGATTCATTTAACCCGTTAAGAGGTCAATATTCATTTATGTTTTACTTTTGCCTCAAGAAAAGGTTTTTAAAATTCTTTAGAGATGTTCGACTACTTTTTAAAAAAATTTTTATTTTAAAATAATTATAGGCTCACAGGAAGTTGCAAATATAGTACCAAGAGGTTCCATGCACCCTCATTCAGCCTCCCGCATGGCCGTTGCCTTTACAAGGAAGCCTAATTCCTTAGTGAGACGAACTTGGCCCTGCCTGGGGCAGCCCTTGGCAGCTTCTACTCCCACCTCATTTCTTCACGCCCACCCATTGTCCAAGCCCTGGCCGCACCAAACATCTTTTTGGTTCTTCTAAAGTGTTTCTCCTCTACCTCTGGGTCTTGACACATGCTTTTCCCTTTGTCAAAGACGTGCCCACCCCACCCCTGTCTGATTCACTCCTTGTTCAGGTCGCAGCTTTACCATCACCTTCTCCAGGGAGCCAGTGCTGGGTTCAGGGTCCCCATCTTGGGATCCCTCTGACTCTCATGTTTCCCCTGTCATGGTGTTTATCACACGGGTTGTTGTTGTCTGTTTTTTCTGTTTGTTCTGGTTTATTTTTCTTTGAGAGACAGGGTCTTGCTCTGTCACCAGGCTGGAGGGCAATAGTGCGATCACGGCTCGCTGCAGCCTCAAATTCCTCAGACTCCTGGGCTTAAGCGATGCTCCTGCCTCATACTCTTGAGTAGCTGGGACCACAGGTATGCTCCACCATGCCTGGCTAATTTTTAAAATATTATTATTTTTGTAAAGACAGGGTCTCACTTTGTTGCCCAGGCTCCTGCAGTCCTCCTGCCTCAGCCTCCGAAAGCTCTCGGATTACAGGCGTGAGCCACTGTGCCCAGCCACCATTGTCTGTGTATTTGTCTGTCTCTACCACCATACTGTTTCCTCTAAGGAATACCTCTCCACCCAGCCTGTGACTTCTGCAGGCCTCTGCTGGAATGACACCTTTCATCCACATACAGTAGCCAGCCCTGCTTCACCCCATCACTTCATATCCCCTCACCCTGCCTCACTGTTCCTCCCCCTGACCACTTCCTGAAGGAATGCTTAGTTAGCTATGTGTTGAGTGGGCTGCTGAGGGCATGGATTCTGCAACCAGACCTCCTGAGTGTGTGTCTCGGTTCTACTGCTTATTAGCTCTGTGACCTTGACCAACTTAGGTCGCTTTGTCATTATGTATTGGCATATTATTGCCTGTCTCCCACCAGAATGTAAGCCCCTTAAGAGCAGGGAACTTGTCAGTTTCATCCTCTGATCTGCCCTAAGGCCCAGAACAGGGCTTCCCACATCCTAGCCCCTTCTTCATTCATCCAGCAAGTATTTCCTGAATGCCTACAGTGATCCAGGTCCTGTCCAGAAAGCTCGGGGTGTGGCAGTGAAAAAACAACCAGGGAACTGCCTCGTACACACAGGTAAACAAATAAGTAAAACAAAACAAAACAAAAGAAACAAACAAAAAAACATTATTTTAGGTAAGAATGAGTAGTATAAAAATAGAACAGGGTGCTGAGATAGAAGACAAAGATATTAGGTTGGTGCAAAGTAATTGTGGGTCTTGCTATTAAATTGCAAAAACCACAGTTACTTTTGCACCAACCTAATACTGTAGCCTGGGTGGTCAGGGAAGGTCTCTCAGAGGAGGTGACATCTGGGCTGAGGCCAGATGATGTGATGGTCAGGGAAGGGTGGTCCCAGCAGGGAGAATGGCAGGTGCAAGGGCCTGGAGGGAATGAGCAGAAAGACAGCCAGTGTGGCTGTAGCGTAGTGAACAAGACCGGTGTGGGGACATGAGATGGAGTTCAGTGGCAGGCAGCAACCGGATTGCACAGGACATTTAAGCTTGTCCAATCTTCGGCCTGTGGGCCACATATAGCCCAGGACAGCTTTGAATGCGGCCCAACACAAATTCATAGACTTTCTTAAAACATTATGAGGTTGTCTTGCGAAATTTTTTTTTTTTTTTTTTTTTTTTAGTGCATCAGCTATCATTTAATGTTAGTGTATTTCATGTGTGGCCCAAACCAATTCTTCTTCCAGTGTAGCCCAGGGAAGCCAAAAGATTGGACACCCCTCTTAGGCCATCATACCAAGATTGGAATTTATCCTGATGTGATGGGAGGCTTTTGCAGGCTTTTAAGCAACCTAGTGACATGACTGGTCTATGTGACAAAAAGGTCACTGAGGCCACTATGTAGAGAATGCATTGTAGGGCATCAGGAGAAATTGTGTTGAATGAATGAATGAATTTGGTCTGAGTTTAGCTTTATTATTATTATTATTTTGTTAGATGGAGTCTTGCTCTGTTGTCCAGACTGGAGTGCAGTGGCACAATCTCAGCTCACTGCAACCTCTGCCTCCCAGATTCAGGTGATTCTCCTGCCTCAGCCTCCCGAGTAGCTGGGATTACAGGCACACCCAACCATGCACAGTTAATTTTTGTATTTTTAGTAGAGACGGGGTTTCACTATGTTGGCCAGGCTGGTCTCAAACTCTTGACCTCAAGTGATCCACCCGCCTCGGCCTCCCAAAGTGCTGGGATTACAGGCGTGAGCTACCGCGCCCAGCCTGAGCTTAGCCTTTTGTACTCTAGACACATCCTCATACCTCTGTGGTTAGAAGCAGGCCAGCTTACCCTTCCCTGATCAGAAAGCTGTTTATTATTGAGCTAAGAACTGGCGTGGGGCTTCCCAGATACCAGTTCAGTAAAATACTACCTTGGGCTCCTCTGAGTAATAGGTGCGATCAATATAGCCTCCAAGTGGCACGTGGAGTTGATTAAATGTAGTGGAAATTTCTGACCTGCTGACATCAGGCTAGTGCTGCCCTTGGCACTGCCCTTAGTTCATGGTTTATGCTGTTGCCCCTGTTCCCACCACCATGGTCTGAGCTGACCCTCTGAGCCAGGGAAATTTGCTGCAAATCTCAAACGTGGGTTCCTAGAGCAACCATTGAGGCCAGTCTTGCTGGGTGACTTTGGGCGAGGTCTTAACCTCTCTGGGCCTCCGTTTCTCCATCTGAAACAGGGGAAATAAGATCCCTGTGCTGGTGTAGAGGAAAGAGCTCAAGGTTTGGAGTCAAAAGTCTGGTTTGGATCTCATCACTTACTGTGTAAGTTTGGGAAAATTGCTTGGTCTTTCTGAGCCTGTTCCTCGGTTGTAAGAGGGAATCGTAATGGTTCATGTCCTACTTAACTTTACATGGTAGTTATAAGAATTAAGCAGACTGGAAAATGCTTTGTAAACAGTTATGTGCTGTAAAAGTGTTGGTTTGTTGCTTTGAACTACCTCAGGGTTGTTTTGAAAACAAATGAAATATTAGTTGTGGACAGACTTTTAAATAACTCCTCTACAGAAGTAATATTTTGAGAACAAAAATTTTTATTGCTCAGCTAGATGGGAACAAACTTATGAACAAATAACTGTTTGGAGTGTGGTTATTAGACTAGAAGACTCCTGGCCATGTGATGAATATTTAAAACAGAGTTGGTGGCCAACAGTTCTGTCTTTGGGCCCTATATGTCTGCCATTGACTGGCTGTATCAGGGGAGCCCAGTTACTTCTCTGAGCCTGTTTCCTAATTTGCAAACTGAACATTACAGTCCTACTTGCCTCTAGAGTCTGCTGAGACAATGCATGTTAAAATTGCAACCCCAGTGCCCTACACCCAGTAATAACTCAGTAATGTTAGGTCTTGTTATTATTAAACCTTTGCTATGTGCCAGGCACCATGCCAAGCATTTTACTTATTTGTTTGTTGATCATTTTGTGCCTTTATTTTTTAAACAAGCATTTATATAGCATGAACCCTGTGCCAGGCTCTATTCTAGGTGCTTTACGAGTACTAAGCCACATGGGCTGTGTCCTTTACTACTGACACAGCTCTTCTAGGTAGATACTGTATGGTCCCATCTGTAGGTGAAGAAATCTAAGTACAGAGAGGTTGAGTTGCCTAGGGTCCCATATCTAATAAGTGGCGGTGCTTGTTTTCACGCCCAGGTCTGTCTGGTCCTGAGCCTGCATTCATATCCTTGATCCCCTGTAGTAGAGGCTGGCACCCTTCCCTGTACCCTTCCTGGTGGCTCCCAGGGTTCTTTCTGCTTCTTGGATGCCTTCTTGGCGTGTCCCCTCTCTCCTTTTCTCTCCCTCCTCTTCCTACTCTTCTCCTCCCTTTCCCTTTTCCCCCTGGGAAGGAAGGAAAGAATAGAGGGAAGGAAAAGAAGGAGGGAGAACAAAGAGGAGACCTTCCTCCCTTTTTTTCCTTCTTCCTTCCTTCCTTTGAGGTATACCATACACAAAGTGCATAAATATTAACTATACAGTTCAGGGAATTTTTAAATATATTTATACCCATATGATGACCACCCAGGTCAAGATAGAGATCATTTCCTTCACCCAGAAACCTCCTTTGTACCCATTCTGAGCCAATACTCCCTCCCACATGTAACCCCTCATCTGACTTCCATCACCATACATTGGGTTTAGCATTTTTCAGTTTCATATAAAGGGAATCCCATGGTAGGTACTCTCTCGTGAATGGCTTTCTGTGTATCATTTTGTCTGAGATTCATTCATGTTTGCTGTAGTTCATTCCCTTTCCATTGCTGTGTAATGTTTCACAGTATGAATATGACCATTTATCCATTCTACTGTGATAGACGTGTGGGTTGTTGCCAGTTTGGGACTATTGTGAATGAAGTTGCTGTGAGCATTCATGTATGTGTCTTTTCGTGACTTAAGTCCTCATTTCTCAGGAGTGGAATTGCCAGAGCATAGGGAAGACATATGTTTAGCTTTAGTGGATATTGTCAAACCATTTTCCAAATAGTTATACCAATGTACACTCCCACCAGCAGTGTATGAAAGTTCTGTTTGCAGCCAGGCGTGGTGGCTCATGCCTGTAATCCCAGCACTTTGGGAGGCCAAGGCGGGCGGATCACGAGGTCAGGAGATGGAGACCATCCTGGCTAACACAGTGAAACCCCGTCTCTACTAAAAATACAAAAAGTTAGCCAGGTGTGGTAGTGGGCGCCTGTAGTCCCAGCTACGCGGGAGGCTGAGGCAGGAGAATGATGTGAACCCAGGAGGCGGAGCTTGCAGTGAGCCAAGATCGTGCCACTGCACTCCAGCCTGGGCGACAGAGCGAGACTCCATCTCAAAAGAAAAAAAAAAAAAAAAAAGAAAGTTCTGTTTGCTCTTCATCCTCACCAGCACTTGGTATTCTCAGTCTTTTTAGTTTTAGCTATTCTGATAGGTGAGAGTTAGTGTCTCATTGGGATTTTAATTTCCATTTCTCTGATGACTAACGATGTTGAACATCTTTTCATACTTATTGGCTATTGGGTTTTTTTTTTTTTTAAGAGACAGGGTTTCATTCTCTAGCCCACGCTGGAGTGCAATGATCATAGCTCATTGCAGCCTTAAACTCCTAGGCTTAAGCAATCCTCTCACCTTAGCTTCCTAAGTAGCTGGAACTACAGGCGTGTGCCACCATGCCCAGCTAATTATTTTATTTTATTTTTCTGTAGAGATGGAGTCTCACTATGTTGCCCAGGCTGGTCTTGAACTCCTGGGCTCAATCAGTCCTCCTACCTCGGCTTCCAAAAGTGCTGGGATTAGAGGCATGAGCCACCATACCTGGCCTGAGGAATATCTTTTTTTTTTTTTTTTTTTTTTTGAGATGGAGTCTCGCTCTGTCAGCCAGGCTGGAGTGCCGTGGCGCGATCTCGGCTCACTGTGGAATCTCTTTTATGAAGTATCTATTCAAGTCTTTTGCCCATTTTTAAATTTGCTTCGTTTCTTTTTCTTAATGACTTACTGGAGTTAGTTGTTTGGATACTGTGTATAGACCTTTGTGGATAGACATATTGAAGATCCCTCCCTCCATCCTGGTCTGTAGTGTGTGTTCTCACTCTCCTAAAGGTGATGAAAAGAAGTTCTTCATTTTAATGATGCCTACTTTATCAACCTTTTATGGTTTGTAAGTTCTGTGTCATGCTTAAGTAACCTTGGCTTACCTCTGGAAGCATTTCTCACTGGGAATTTTCTCCTGCAGCGCTGGGAATGGCCATGTGGAACAGGCCATGCCAGAGGCTGCCTCAGCAGCCTCTGGTAGCTGAGCCCACTGCAGAGGGGGAGCCACACCTGCCCACGGGCCGGGAGCTGACTGAGGCCAACCGCTTCGCCTATGCTGCCCTCTGTGGCATCTCCCTGTCCCAGTTATTTCCTGAACCCGAACACAGGTGAGTTCTTCTGTCTTGCAGTGGGAAGGTCATGCTTCTTCAGGGGAACAACTACGGACAGCCAAACAGCCTGCCAGGCACGATGAGGCAATGCAGAGAGGGGCAAGTCATTGTCCTTGCCTCTAACGCAGGGGTCTCTAACCTCCAGGCCGTGGACCAGTACTGGTCTGTAGCCTGTTAGGAACCTGGCCGCACAGCAGGAGGTGAGTGGTGGGTGAATGAGAATTACTGCCTGACCTCTGCCTCCTGTTCTAAGCATTTTATGAATACTAAGCCACATGGGCTGTGTCCTTTGCTACTGACACAGCTCTTCCAGGTCCACACTGTATGGTCCCATCTGTAGATGAAGAAATCTAAGTGCAGAGAGGTTGAGTTGTGGCAGCATTAGATTCTCATAGAAGCTCAAACCCTATCGTGAACTGCGCACGCGAGGGATCTAGGTGGCACGCTTCTTATGAGAATCTAACTAACGCCTGATGATCTGAGGTGGAACAGTTTCATCCTGAACCCTACCTGCGCCGGGTCCCTGGAAAAATTGTCTTCCCTGAAACCAGTCCCTGGTGCCAAAAAGGTTGGGGACTGCTGCTCTAAGGAACTCACAATCTGGTGGGGGGATAAGACATCCCCTCATTCAGTTATTCACTCATTTATACCTTCACCGAACATTTTTTGAGCACTTACTGTATTCCAGGTATGATTTGAAGTACATGGAGGGTAAATGTGAATGAGACAGATACCATCCCCCAATCAAGTAGGACACCGTCCAGGAACGGATAAGATATTAATATTTATTCATTCATGAAACATGCATTTGTTGAGCCCCTACTATGTGCTGGGTGTAGCACATGGCCCTGTGGAGGAAACAAAGACGAGCAAGGCCCAGCTCCTGCCCTCAAGGTGCTTACATCTAGGTAGGGGTGCCCAGGTGGCTGATTGTAACAGGGGACAGATACAGATGAGTGAGTGCTGTGATGAGTTTAAACGGGGTCGTGGGAGCAAAAGAATGACATCGTTATATTTCATCTCTATCATTGACAGTACCTCCCATGTGTGTGTTTAAATCACATATTTGGAGTCAGAATAGCAGAACTGTTAAGAGCATGGGCTTTGACCTTAAAAAATTCTAGAGGGGAGAGTATGGAGGCAGGAGGGGGCCAGTTAGGAGGCCAACGGAGTCATCCAGGGGAATGAGGACAATGACCGAGTGGTGGACAGAGGACACAGATGGGACAGACTTTTCTCAGGGAGAATGGAGTTGACTTGGGAAGAGGTTGAGTGTTGCGGGTGAGGCAGAGGCAGGAGCTCACTATGGCTCCAAAGGTTCAGAGGGGGAAGAGAGCGTAGGAGCACTGAGATACCGTTACTAGGACAGGGAGCACAAGACTTGGGCCAGGAGATGGTGAGAAGCTCTTGCATCTGCAGTGTTTTCAAGACACGGCCCCCACATACACTCAGTGGTCCCCCATGAGTAAACTTCCTTCATGCCTTGGGTCTTAGCTGTTTGGGGTTTTTGTTTTTCTGTCTTTGTCTGTCCACTGGACTGAACAGTTGAACATACTCAACTCCTTGGGGGTTACCGCCAGGAAGCCTTCCCTTATCTGTCCTCCAGACCAGGGCATTGTTCCACCTGTATGCCCAGCGACCCATCTCTGCAACCACCACACTGTGCAGGAACTCTCCATACCTGCTACCCCTCCAGTCTGAGCTCGGGAGGGCAGGGGCTACCTTGTTCATCTCAGAGTTCCCAGTGCCTTGCACACAGCTCAGTATAGCAAAGATACCTGGTAAAGGTTCGTGAAAAGAAGAGGTAGGTTAATGCTGGCTTTGTCAACAAGGAGATGGTCCATAGGCTCTGGACTCAGATCTGGGTTCAAATCTTAACTCTGCCACTTTCCAGTCTCATGTGACCTCGAGCAGTTTATTTAACTTCCCTAAGCCTCAGTTTATTTATCTGTAGAATGGGGCTAATGATACCCATGCTGCAGGGTGATTGCAGGAATTAAATGAGATGATGTAGCCGGGTGCAGTGGCTCACGCCTGTAATCCTACCACTTTTGGCAGGTGGATCGCCTGTGCTCAGGAGTTTGAGACCAGCCTGGTCAACATGGTGAAACCCCATCTCTACTAAAAATACAAAAATTAGCCAGGCATGGTGGTGCACACCTGTGGTCCCAGCCACTCAGGAGGCTGAGGCAGGAGAATCGCTTGAACCCGGGAGGCAGAGGTTGCAATGAGCCAAGATCGTGCTACTGCACTCCAGCCTGGGCAACAGAGCAAGACTCTGTCTCAAAAATAAATAAATAAATAAATAAATAAATAAATAAATAAATAAATATAAATAATGAGATGATGTAGACAAAGCACACAGCACAGTGCCTAGCACATAGTAGGCACTCAATAAATGGTAGTGGTTGCTTGCTGAATCTCTGAGTTACTTTCTTTGCCCTAGTTGTTTCTTCATCCAGAAAATGAAGATAATACCACACTTACTCCTACCACTTAGGATATTTTTGTGGTTTTTTGGTTGTTTAATTTTTGTTTTTTAGAGATGGGGTCTCAGTCACCCAGGCTGGAGTACAGTGATACAGACATAGCTCACTGTAACCTCAAACTCCTGGGCCCAAGTGGTCTTCCCCCACCCCAGCCTTCTGAGTAGCTGGGACTACAGATGCATGCCACCATGCCTGGCTAACTTTTTATTCTTCTAGAGACAGAGTCTCACAATGCTGCCTGGGCTGGCCTCAAGCAGTCCTCCCATCTCAGCCTCCCAAGTAGCTGAGATTACAGGTTCAAGCCACTATGCCCAGCAGTCAGGCTACAAGTAATAGAACACAGTACTAAGAGAGATTTAAACAACAGGAGATTTGTTTTTTTCACTTAACAAGAAATCCCAAGGTTCCAGGGTTGATTCAGTGCCTCAAGAGGTTTTTGGCGCTGGGCGCAGTGGCTTACGCTGTAATCCCAACACTTTGGGAGGCCGAGGCATGTAGATCACATGAGGCCAAGAGTTCAAGACCAGCCTGGCCAACATGGCAGAACCCCGAATCTATTAAAAATATAAAAATTAGCCAGACGTGAGTGGTACACACTGACAATCCCAGCTACTAGGTAGGATGAGGCACAAGAATCACTTGAACCTGGGAAGCAGAGGTTGCAGTGAGCTGTGATCGTGCCACTGCACTCCTGCCTGGGTGACAGGGTGAGACTCTGTCTCAAAAAAAAAAAAAAAAAAGGCCTTTGGGTTGGCTTCTGAACAGTTCTGTTGGCCTTCCCCTCCTGATCACAAAATAGCTGCTGCAGCTCCATACATCACACCCTCACAGGACAAGGCCCAAGGCAGGAAGGAAGAGGGCAGAGGGCAGGGATTCTCCCCAAGTCTCCCGTCAGGGAGGACATCTTTCCCAAAATACCCCGAGAAGCCAAGAAGCCTTCCTTTGGTGTCATTGGCTAGATCCTGTCACGTGCCCAACCTGCAGGTACAGGTACAGGGAAGCCTGGGAACAAATAGAGGCTTTTGCTGTTTTCTTTTCTTTTTTTTTTTTTTTTTTTTTTTGAGACAGTGTCTCGTTCTGTGGCCCAGGCTGGAGTGCAGTGGTGTGATCTTGGCTCACTGCAACCTCTGCCTCCTGGATTCAAGCAATTCTCTTGCCTCAGCTTCTTGAATAGCTGGGATTACAGGCGCACGCCACCATGCCTGGCTAATTTTCGTATTTTTAGTACAGACGGGGTTTCACCGTGTTGGCCAGGCTAGTCTTGAACTCCTGACTTCAAGTGATCTGCCCACCTTGGCCTCCAAAGTGCTGGGATTACAGGCGTGAGCCACCGCGGCCGCCTGGCTTTTGCTGTTTTCAACCTCCATCATGGGAGATGAGTTCTGCCAGCCAGGAAGAAGGGGCTGGGGAATTACTGTTTCAGAGAAGCTGTTGGCAACACCATCCAAGAGGGTGATTGTAAGGAGGGTATGTGTTGATGGCCCTTGCAGAACCTGACACCAAACTACTACCAAGCAAATATTGGTTGGTCTTGTTGTTAATAATGAAACTCCTACCTGATAAACCAGTACCTAGCCAAGGAAGAGCTTTGTGTACTTTGTTTCCATGAACAAATGTTTATGAATCTGGACTGTGTGCCAGGCCCATACTAGGCGCTACTTAGGAGGGCACATAAGGCAGCGAGTTACTGTCCTGTGTCTCCCACCCCCACTCCACAATATCCAAGCGTTGTTATAAACACAGGTGGCTGTTGCCTGGCCATAAGCATTTGCCGTGGAGTGTTTCCTTCTCGAATGTTTCCCGTTCAGTATGCCGGTTGTTTCCACATGGTTGCTCTGTTTTCTGATGCACAAAACATGTTTTTTAAAAACCTCAATATTGGCCGAGTGTGGTGGTTCATGCCTGTAATCCCAGCACTCTGGGATGCTGAGGCGGGCAGATCACTTGAGGTTAGGAGTTTGAGACCAGCCTGGCCAACATGGTGAAACCCTGTCTCTACTAAAAATACAAAGATTAGCCGGATGTGGTGGTATATGCCTGTAATCCTAGCTACTTGGGTGGCTGAGGTAGAAGAATCGCTTGAATCCGGGAGGTGGGGGTTGCAGTGAGTCGAGATCATGCCACAGCCTGGGCGACAGAGCGATACTCCATCTCAAAAAATAAAACTAATAAACAAAATAAATAAATACCTCAATATTTTTAAAGCCCAGATATGCTCTTGGTTTTAGTAATCTTTAGAAAACACTGTGTGGCCGTTCTTGATCCCACAGGATATAAAAGCAACCCTCTAAAACATTTATTTCTTTTCCATGCTGTGAACATCACAGATGCTGTTCCCTTTAATTAATTCCATTGATCAAACATGGAGAAATTAATGGGGTACAGCAGGGATGGACAGACGTCTTCTGCCAAGGGCCAGTTATTTTAGGCATGCAGGCCTGGCAGTCTCTGTCACAGTTACTCATACCTTTCCCGTGATAGCACAAAAGCAGCCACAGACAGTAGGTGAAATAATGCATGTGGCTGTGTTTCAATAAAACTTTACTCACAAATAAGGGCTGCAGGCAAGATATGGCTGGTTAGCTGTAGTTTTCTAAGCCCTGGTGAGTGGGAGGAGCTTTGGACTAGGAATCAGGAAGCCTGGATTCCAGGGAAGGCTTTGTCCTGTCCCTGCTGTAAGAACTTTGAGAAGACATTTAACCAGCAGTCCTGGCCAGGCGCGGTGCCTCATGCCTGTAGTCCCAGCACTTTGGGAGGCCGAGGCGGGTGGATCACCTGAGGTCAGGAGTTCAAGACCAGCCTGGCCAACATGGTGAAATCTCATGGCGAAACCTTGTCTCTACTAAAATTACAAAATTAGATGGGTGTGGTGGTGCACATCTGTAATCCCAGCTACTTGGGAGGCTGAGGCAGGAGAATCGCTTGAACCTGGGAGGCAGAGGATGCAGTGAGCCAAGATCGTGCCATTACACTCCAGCCTGGGCAACAAGAGTGAAATTCTGTCTCAAAAACAAACAAACAAACAAACCAAACCCAGCAGGCCAGGTGCGCCCTGTGTAAGATGGGGTAGGATGAAAGGGGATGTTTGATGCCCTTGCTCAGTGAGTGGCCCGTGCATGGTGGGTGCTCAGGGACATAACCACTGGAGTGGGGTAACCTCTGCAGCTGGTATGCATAGCCTCTGGGGTCCCAGAGATGTAGGCGTGAATCTGGAGCTGTCACTTAACCTCTCTGGATCTAGGATTCCTTATCTCTAGAGTAGTGTAAACTAGTACCTCCCTTAACTAGTACCTCCCTTCCTCATGGGGTCATGGTGAGAATTAAGTAACTCAAGGTGTACGAAGCTCTCAGCACAGGGACTGACGGACAGTTGCTCTACAATTGTTATCTGCTGTCATTGTTGCTGTTGATTTTCCTGTATTTCCACCAGACCAACAAACACATTAGTAGCAATTATCAAGGCCCTGCCGATCTAAAATGCTACTTGTTATTTGGTAAATTGCTGTGCTGGCACTTTGCATATATATTTTTTTTAATTCATTTGTCTATGGAAAGAAACACATTACTCTCTAGTGCTTTGTAGGTGCCAGGTATTGTTCTAAGCACATGACAAATACTTACTTAGTTAATCCTTTCAACAACCCTATGAAATACCTTTCATCATCTCCACTGTTTTACAGATAAGGAAACTAAGGCCCAGAGAGGTGAAGTCACTTGTCCAAGATCACACAGCTCATGGTAGAGCTGGGATTTGAACCAGTCTGTGCTCTTTGCCCCTGCACTCTCGTTAAGAGTTGCTTCTCCATATCCAAAACTTTCTTCGTGGACAGCAGGACCAGGCCATGCTGTAGTCCTTGGCCCTGAGCCCTTTCTGTATATAAATTTGCTTCTAAGTAACGTTTGGTTTACTTAGCCATCCCCTCCCCAAATACATACCTCATTACCACCCCAAGGTAATCCCAGTAAATTGCAGTGGGGCAAATTATAATCACTGTGGTAGCAGTAGCTAACATTTATCCAGGGTTCACTGGTGCCAGACAGTGTTACCATGCCATTTAACCTGCCCAACTCACCTGTGAGGCAGGTCCTGTTATTATCCACATGTTATCTCAGAGGGAAATGAAGCTGAGAGGTAAAGTGAGGACACAAAGCCAATTTCCAGGGGAACCAGGACTCCCCCAGGTGGTTGGACTTCAGAGTCCAACTCTTAACCCCATCCTCCACTGCCTCCCTCTGCCACCTTGTAAATCAAAATAACGATACTAGCTAACATCGTTTTTAGTCTCATGTAGTTGAGCCTCTACTACATGCCAGGCTCACTTTCGGCCCTTTATATTTATCATCTCACTTCATCCTCAACCAACCTTATGAAGTTGGTCTCTTGAACCCATTTTGCAGATAAGGACACTGAGGCACAGAGAGGCCATTACACTTTCCCAAGATGCTCTCTGCTAAGATTCCTCTTCAAGAATGAAGGCCTTTCACCCCCAGCTGCTGGCAAGGCTGCCAGCACAGCCCTGAGCTGTCTGTACCTTTTTGGGCCTGCCTCAGCTGAAGGGAGCCACGTTGCCTGAGGTTCTGTCCCCTCCCTGGGGCACCTGCATCCGGTAACTGGCTGATGCACAGCTGTAAAGGCCTGGCCCTCTCACCCCGCTGGAGACAGTTCCGAAGTGTCATCCCATCTTTAGAACTCCCTGCAGGGGCTGCTGAGACCTCCCTTGAGACTGTATCATAGCTCAGCTGCCTCCTCTGCCCAACCCTGCTTCCTCCCTTCCCTCCCCAGGGTGTTGATCCCAAGGGGAGCCCTAATCATCTCATTTCAGGGCAGCTTCCCAGGAACCCGACCGTAACAGTGGTGAGGCCGGGATTTAGTTTACTTTTTTATTTTTATTTATTTTTGAGACAGAGTCTCACTCTGTCACCCAGGCTGGAGTGCAGTGGTGCGATGTCAGTTCACTGCAACCGCCGCCCCTGGGTTCAAGCGACTCTTGTGCCTCAGCCTCCTGAATATATGGGACTACAGGTACATGCCACCACGCCCAGCTAATTTTTGTACTTTTAGTAGAGGCGGGATTTCACCATGTTGGCCAGGCTGGTCTCGAACTCCTGACCTCAGGTGATCCACCCAGCCCCACTTCTCAAAGCGTTGGGATTACAGGCGTGAGCCACTGCGCCCGGCTGAGGCTAGGATTTAAACCCAAGTTCCTCACAACTCCCATCAAGGTCTCGGTCCCACTCTAAGGAATGTGATAGCTGGGTCATGTGGTGCAAGGGCAGGGGGCTCCTGACATTGCCTCTACCACCTGGGAGCTCTGCTTGTTTCTGAGAGGCCTGAGTGCAGCCTCTGCCCTACAGGGCAGAACCCAGTGTTGGAGTCCCAAGGCAATGTGGTTTGAGGCAGGCTGGGACTCTGATTTTGGAGACAGACCTGGCTTCTGGGTGTCAGCCCTTTCCCGGGAGTGGTATAATCGACTTCTAAGTGACTCTCCTGGCCCACCTGCCACCCGGCTCACACCTGCTCCACAGAGGTGGCTGTGTCAGAAGTCTGGTGTGGACTCTGCCATCATCCCCCCAAATGCTCTGGGCTCCCCACCTCTGTGTCTCAGCTCAAAGGCTTCCTTCTCCCCTAGAGCGGCCCCATCCCATCCTCCCCTGGGGACTCCTGTAGGACTGCACTCAGATGCCCACTATGGACAGAGACTGGCGGTGGCAGTGCACGTGGAGGGCACTCTTCCCTTCACTTCTTCCACTTTTGCAGCAGCCAGCGTTTTCCAGAAAGCACGTCCTTGGCAGCATCCAGGAGAGCAGATGGCCTTCTCTGGGAAGCCTTTTCTGGTGGCTGCCGTCACTTCTGCAGGTGGATCCGGGGCTCCCTCTGTGGGCTGCACTGAACTGATCTCCACCTCTGTCCTAGGGTACCACACGGCTCTAGAGTCACTTGGTTACTTGAGCATCCACCCTGCTGTGAGCTTCCTCAGATACCAGGTTTTTCACCTTTATTCGTCGCCCCTGGCACAGCCCAGGCCCAAGGCATGCAACCAGTCACCATCCATTGCTGTCATTGCTGTGGCTTATCAGCCTCTTTGATAAACATTTTGGTGAGAGAAGAAACCAAAATCCACATCACCCAGGCTGGGCACGGTGTCTCACGCTTGTAATCCCAGCACTTTGGGAGGCCGGGGCGGGTGGATCACCTGAGGTCAGGAGTTCAAGACCAGCCTGGCCAACATGGTGAAATCCTGTCTCTACTAAAAATACAAAAAAATAGCCAAGCGTGGTGGCGGGCACCTATAGTCCCAGCTACTCGGGAGGCTGAGGCAGGAGAATCACTTGAACCCGGGAGGCAGAGGTTGGGATGAGCCAAGATTGCACGACTGAACTCCAGCCTGGGCAACAAGAGCGAAACTCCATCTCAAAACAAAAACAAAAAACAAAATTTACATCACCCAAGATGAGGTCTTTGACTGCCTCTGTATTTGAGGGATCACAGTCAGTAAGTCAGGCACGTGCCAGCTGTTCACATCCGTGACCACAACTAATCTACACTGCCCAGTGGAGGCTGAGCTCTGAGGATCCTGGAGAACTAAGCCATGTCTGCCTTTCAGCTCCTTCTGCACAGAGTTCATGGCAGGCCTGGTGCAGTGGCTGGAGTTGTCTGAAGCTGTCTTGCCAACCATGACTGCTTTTGCGAGCGGCCTGGGAGGTGAAGGAGCAGATGTGTTTGTTCAAATTTTACTGAAGGACCCCATCTTGAAGGACGACCCGACGGTGATCACTCAGGTACACCCAACACCTGGTGGTGGCTGCTGGGGACAGTAGAACAAATCATTTTCTTTCAATGTTAGCCTAAAAAATCACTTCTAGTGGGGTGGAGCAGTTGGAAGATAAAATATGTCATCATAATATCATATCATGATCATAGCTGATGTTGAATTATCATTATTGAATATTTACTCTTAATGCTGATTACGTGCTGGTTCCTTTTCAAAAACTAACTCATCTAATTCTTGAAGTGACTTTATGAGGTAAGTGGTAGGGCCATCCCCATTTCATAGTTGAGGAAACTGAGACACAGAGAGGTTAAGTAACTTGCCCAAGGTCACACAGCTGATAAGTGGTGGAGCCAGGATTTGAACCTTGGTAGTCTGACTCCAGAGCCCGCATTCTTCTAAGCTGTGGCACCTCTTTTCAGAAGCAGAAGCTTCACTGTATGCCCTTGAGCATGTCACTCACCAGCTATGCCTGCAGTTAAAGCAGATAGAAGCTTGTGACGCAGACTGTTGGTAGGGAAAGTAAGTGGATTTAAAATAGCCCCTTCCCCTCCTTATCTCACTACCTGAAGTCCTCATGTATTTCTTTCTTCGCTTGCCTGTTTATCATCTGGCTCACGTCTAGAATCTAGGGCAGTGGCTTTTTGTCTGTCTTGTTCTGCCACTTGGTAGGAGTCAATATTTGTCAAATGAGCGCGCTGTATCGTATATCAGCTTTGTCATTGATGCCTGTTGTCTTCTCCCTCAGGACCTTCTGAGCTTCTCACTCAAGGATGGTAAGTTGATTTTCTAAGCTCTGTAAATGGTGGGTACCCATCTGCACCCTTGGCTAGCAAAGCCAGTGAGAGGTGCCACCACCTGGGGCCGGGTCCCCCGTGGTCTTTTGACTTCAGGAAGGAAAGGAACCTGATGTCATTGGTGAGCTGGTGAGCCCTTCATTCATGCCAGGACTGTGTGGTGCTTCTCAGAGTTTATTTCACTTATTCCTCACAATAGGCCTATGGTTTTACCTCCTAAGTAACTCTCGAATCTGGTTCCTTCCCCTCTCCACCCAGGCCCCTGGTCTAAGCCACTGTCGCCCCTCCTGGATAACAGCAGGGCCTTCTCACTGGCCTTCCTGCCACCACTCTGGCCAGCAGTTTTCTCCCCACTCTGCAGCTAGAGTGTTCTTTTCAAAGGCCCACCTGACCACGCCACCTCCCTGCTAACTGCCTCGAAGTGGCTCCCTCTGCACTCAGGAGAAAAAAATCAGCCCCTCTGGTGTGGCTCTCAGGCCCTGGTGGGCTGACCCTTGTCCTGCTCCAGCCTCACCTCTGCTTTCAGTCCCCTTGCCGTGGGGCTTTCAGCCATGCCGGCCTCCGGCAGCTCCCTAAGCACGTGTGCTTTGTGGCTTTGCACGCACCCCAGGGCACGTATGCTTTGCGGCTTGCATCCCCGGCCCCCACACTGGTCCATGGTAAAACTGTCTTCCCCAAAACTGGTCCCTAGTGCCAAAAAGGTTGGAGACCACTGCTGTCTACCATTCCAGGATGCCTGCATTAAGCCACTATGCGGGCTGCCTCCTGAGCTCCTCCCCACCCCCACAGCTCCCGTCCAACTTCTTCCCACCAGCTCCTCTCTGCCAGGGCTTCCCTCTTATTGCATAAGTGGCTTCTTCTGTTCTCTAAACTGGGGAGACGCTTTTATGCAGTGACCTCTGATGTTTATTCTGATGGCAAGCAGGGAGGAAACACAACATAGAAGAAATTGCCAGCATCCTCCAAACCCTGTAATAGGGAAACTTTTGCCTGGCTCCCCACTGGAACCCTCCTAGTGGAAGGAGGAGGAGGAAGAGCAGAATTTCATAGTGGGAAGGAGCCACAGGGGAAGGTCAGCAGGGCAGCAGTGCAGTGGGCGGGCTTTGGGCCAGTTGGAAGCCTGAGGAGGGAGAGTGGGATGGATTTCACCTGGGCAGGTATGCAGATGGCCGGCTTCAGCAAGGAGAGCAGAGAGAGGAGGGGTGAGGGGCTGCCCCCGGTACCATTCTTCATGCTGCAGAACTGCTGCAGACCAGGTACAGAGAGTAGAAGGGAGAGGGCTCAGAAGTGACATCTCAGCCCTCAGATTCTAGTGGTCTGGCGCCAGCTGCAAGGGGACTGGGACTCTGTCTCAGGAATCCTAGCGTTTGTCTCCAGTGACCCTTTCAGGGCAGGTGGTAGTCAGGAACCCTAAAAGAGGAGGGTGCTGAGGCTTGCTGAAGCCCACGCAGCAGGGCGGATGAGCTGCTTTCTCATGCGTGCTTGGCCATGCACGTGTGTTTAGTGCAGTCAGTGCCTGCCGGGGTGGCAGGACATGTAGGTCACCCTACCTTGGGGATTCTTGTTATTAGCATAATAAACTTTCTTTACTGTTTTTTAAAAAAGGCCTCTAAGCCCTTGCTACTCTCAGTGTGGTATGTGGACCCAGCAGCATCGGCACTGCTGGGAGGTTTGTGAGAAATACAGAGTCTCAGCCCCCGCCCAGACCCGCTGATTGGGATCTGCGTGGAATCCAGGCAATTCCTGAGTGCTTTCTACTTAGAGGAGCGCTGCTCTAAGGCTCCAAAGAGTGTGTTTGGGCCTAGTGTATCCAAAGTATTTTAATTCCATATCGTGGAGCTGAAAGGGCTCTCCACGGGTGACCAGGCCAGCCTCTGCTTTGAGGCAGGCGAGGCCTTCGGTAATACTTTATGTAGCAGAGACAGCCAGGCGGCCCCCAAGGGAGTGGCAGGGTTGGCCTGAGAACATTGCTTCGGTCACTGGACTCTGAGTTTGGGGCATTTTCTCTCTGCACCCCCTGGAGCTTACATTTCCAGGGCCAGGCAGTCTCAGGAGTTGTCATATATTTCATTACAGAGTGATTGTGTCACTTTATTTTTTTAACAGAAGTGAGGGAAGAATAATAGTATCTGATCCTCCTGGACTCCCTTGGAGAGAAAGGCTGAGTTGCATGGTGGTCTGAGACTCGGGCTGCTGGAGATCAGGGCAGCAGCTCAGCACATAGAATCTAATATTGGAATCAGTGTAATGGCAAAGCCGCCATGTGCCAAGTCCTAGCTGCGCGGCAGGCATGGCGCTAAGGGCTTGTGCTGGCATTTCATCTCGTCCTCCAGTGAGGTGGTTAAGGCCATTGCCCCCATCTTGCAGACCTGAATCTCACACATCAAGGTCAACTTGGATGATCCTCTTTTTTTTTTTTTTTTTTTTGAGATGAAGTTTCGCTCTTGTCCGCCAGGCTGGAGTACAGGTGGCATGATCTTAGCTCACTGCAACCTCTGCCTCCCGGGTTCAAGTGATTCTCTTGTCTCAGCCTCCTGAGTAGCTGGGATTACAGGCATGTGCCATCACGCCTGGCTAATTTTTGTATTTTTAGTAGAGATGGGGTTTCACCATGTCGGCCAGGCTGGTCTCGAACTCCTGACCACAAGTGATCCACCCACCTCGGCCTCCCAAAGTGTTGAGATTACAGGCATGAGCCACCATGCCCGGCGATCCTCTCATTTTCACAGGTGGAGAGACTGAGGCCCAGAGAGGGGAAGGGGCTTCCTTGCAGACACACAGCAGCAGAGGTAGACTGGGAGTCAGAAGCAGTTCTCCAGCCTCCTGGGTCAGCCCTTCCTTTCTCTCATTGCTTCTTCATCAAGTAGAAAGAGAAGCAGCCTTGGCCCCGGAATCTAACTTTCCCTCTTTCCTCACCCAGAGAGAGTCATATGCATCCCACCACCTCTTTCTGCACCCCACCCCTGCAAACCCCAAACCATCTTGGGCACCTAAGACATCTCCACTGACTCTTCTCTGCTGTTTGTGACCTTGGAGCTGGCTCTGGCAGAATTGAGTGGGTTTAAAACAGCCTGTCTTATGTCATTGCCTGGTGCTTCATGCCCACCCAGGCACGTTCTCATTATAGGCAACATCTAAACCAGCATCGCCCTTAAAATTTCCATTGAGAATGACTACCACTTATTCAGCACTCGTTAAATGCTGGTGACCTTACCTGGCTCTTGTCAATCACTGTTTCATTTCATCCTCACAGCCATCCTTTAAATGTAGGCGTTCCCACTTTACAGATGAACAAACCGAGGCCCATAGAAGTGAAGTAATTGCCTAAGCTAGTAAGTGGCAGAGCTGGACACTCTAAAACAACTGCTGTTAGTCAAAACGTTGGCAGATTTTACCCTCAGGAATTAGGGAATTGAAGCATCCCCATGGGAATATAATAATACCTCATATCTAAATAATACCAGGCTTTGATAATGCCTGGGAGGTGCCTTTGGTTTATCTGATAGCCTCAACAGGTGCCAGCAGGTAAGAGGAACAGCTTCAGTGGCACACTGGGACCCAATGGGAGCAGGTGCCAGGGCCCCAAAGGTCCCCAGAGATCAGAGGTAGGTAGACCCTCAAATCACCTAGACCACCCTCTTATGTAGATGGGGAAACTGAGGCCTAGAGGGGGAAGTGGTTTGCTGACGGTTGTCATGTCCAACCTCTTTATCTGTTCTAACGAATAACCAGGGACCAAGAATGGGGAGTATTTTGGGGATTGATTGTATTACAGTTCAAGCCCCACCTTGGCAAGTTACTGAATGTCTCTGTGCCTTGGTTTCCCCAGGCATCCAAGGGAGTAACAGTAGTCTCTACCTTGTAGGGTGGCGGTGAGGATTACATGAGCGAATCCATGTAGAGTGCCCAGCATGGAGCTGGCAGGCAGGGCACGGGCTGTGAGTGTTGCTGGGGTGATGGTGGCCATGGTGAAATGGGAAAACCCTGGAGTCAGGGAACCTGGATTTTCATCCTGTCTCTTGAGACTCTTGCGTGTGACCTTGATCAAGTCGCTTAACCTCTCTGAACTCCAATTTCAAGTACAAATAAGGGGCAAGAGCCAAATGTTCCATAAAAACACTATTTTTAAAAACTGTCTTGGGTTCTAAGAACATGATCTTGTAAAGCATGTCAAGATCCTTACAAGGATCTTGTAAGGAAAAGGTTGGTGTCGTGGATGGGCCAGTTGTCCAGGTCCTTCCTCGTGAGCTCCATGAGGGCAGTGCCCTTGTTGGGCCTGTTTACCTTTGCATCCCAGCAAGTGCAACACGGATGGACGCATGGTGGGCATTAGTATTTGTTGGATGGAGGGAAAAAAGGAGGGTGCAATAGAAAGATGGGTGGGCGACACTTCTTTGGAGAATGAGCTTAGATGCTGAGCAGCATGATTTGCTGAATGTCTTCTGACGGATGCATGGTGGACACTTGGTACTTGTTGGATGGAGAGAAGGAGGGCGAGAGCAATAGAAGGATGGGTGGGCGACCCTTCTTTGGAGAATGAGCTTAGATGCTGAGCAGCATGATTTGCTGAATGTCTTCCTTCTACAGAGATTGATGGGGGCAGAGGAGGAGGCTATCTGTGCTGCAGGATTTCTCCCTGGGTGTGAGACGGGCTGATTAGTCACGGAGTCAGCCCAGGAAATTAGCATGAAAAGCTGCATTTCTCAGAACTTCCTGGAAGGTTGACCTTTACTGAGAGTTTTGGGATGTTAGTCACCGAACGGTGCCATATTGGCAGCTGGGCGGAATTTTTTGTGCATGCTAATCATTTCCTTCTCCTCATCTAGTAGCAACCCACGAAGCGCTTTGCCCACACAACCGAAAAAATAAGTCTTTTACGTGATGAAAGTTAAACTAAATCTGAGCTGATAACTCTCAACCTCCACACAATTGATGTTTGAGGCTGGATCATTCTGTTGTGGGGGGCTATTCTGTGTGCCATGGGCTGCTTAGCCACATCCCTGGCCTCTACCCACTAGGTGCCAGTAGACATTCCTGAGCTGCGATAACCAGAAATGGCTCCAATGTCCTCTAGGTTGCCAATGTCCTCTAGGTTGCAAAACTGAAAATACGGCCATCTCAGGTGGGGCTGGTTTACTTGCATTTGGTAATCTTCCTAAGTTCTTCTAGTTGCTCTTCTAGGCCGCTTACATAGATTCTGAGTTATTGCAGAGTAGATGATCATCAGATCTGCTGCTGAGACTGGTACTGTTAACCTGCTCTTACAGGGGAGAAAATGAAGGTTCTGCAGGTTAAGTGAGTAGCCCAGGATTACATTTCAAAGTAAGTTTCAAAACTCCATTTAAGGCCAAGTGAATCTCACCGTGAACTCTGTATTGGTCCCTGGGAGACTTAAACTGCGTCATGATTTTTGCCCTCTGATCTCTGAATCCAAAGGGAGGATCACCTCTAGGCCCTGGAACTGCAGGAGGCACACACACTTGAGCCACGGCACTCTCTACCGCAGACGTGGCTCTGCTTTCTGGCCTGGTATTTATTACTGGATTGCAAACCCTGCCTCCCTGATGAATCAGAAAGACTTGAGGTGTTAGTCTTAGGTTGTGGTAAAATGCAAATATTGTCACCTGGCTGCTGGGTTCTCCATCAACATCCTTTTTTTTTTTTTTTTTTTTTTTTTTGAGACAGAGTTTCACTCTTGAGTGCAATGGCGCAATCTTGGCTCACTGCAACCTCCACCTCCCGGGTTCAAGCAATTCTCCTGCCTCAGCCTCCCGACTAGCCGGGATTACAGGCATGTGCCACCACGCCTGGCTAATTTTTGTGTATTTTTAGTAGAGACAGGGTTTCTCCATGTTGGTCAGGCTGGTCTCGAACTCCTGACCTGCCTGCCTCGGCCTCCCAAAGTGCTGGGATTACAGGCGTGAGCCACCACCACGCCCAGCCCAACATCCTTGAGACTCATACAGTTTATAATCCGTATCCAAACAGCCTGGTCCATCTATTCCGCAAATAAGAACTGACACCTGCTGTGTATGCCCGGCCCCGTGTGAGGCACTGAGAGTAACTCTAATAGCACATGCTCGTTGAGTGCCTACTGTATGCCTGGCTCTGAGCTAAGTGCTTTCTTTATAGGAACCAATTCGTTGAAACCCCACAATGACCCTTGGAGGTAGATGCTGTTACTGTTCCCATTTTACAGCAGAGGAAACTGCAGCGCAGAGAATGAAATGCCTGCCCAAGCTGGAAAGTGAGAAGTTAGGATTCCAGACAGGCCCCGGGGCTCCTGAGTCCACCTCTTACCTGCTGTTCCACCTCCCACATGGAGATAAGTGGAGACTTCACCCCTGAAGCTGACTTTAAGAGGGTTGGATGAGGCCTGAATGAAGGGCGGGTGCCCATGCGGCAGGAACCAAAGGAGCTGCTTCTCTTACTGATCCTACATCCAAGAAGGTGGAGATGGGAGGGTCTCAGAAGCAACCCCTCCTCTCTCCCCTCTGCTCCAAGACCACTGGTCTTGAAGTAAGCTTGTCACTGCCTTAATGCCCTTAATCGTCCTAAGCCATGAGGACAAAAGGCAAGAATCATCCCCAAGATGTCCTGAGTTAGACTGCCCTGTGAGGGCTCTGCAGCCAGGCTCAGCCTCTCAAAATCGGGACCCTGGGCACACAACGGGGCTTCAACCCAGTGCTCAGCAATGGACAGGGTGTATGGTACTGGAATACTGTGTAGTTTCTTCTTTATATGGGAAATAATTCATTTAGGGTAAAAATGGGGCTACGTAATAAATATTCTAGAAAAAGTATGTAATTAGAAAAGTTGGTGAATCAAGGGATAGTAGGGTGGTGGGTGAGGTTAGCAGTTATATGAATGTGACCTGTGAGGTGTGTCCTCAGACCCAGGGAGAAGAGAGACAAAGGGCCCCTGCCCTGGCACAGCAGCAGGCAGCCCACAGCCTCACCCTGGCACCCTGGCTCAGAGAGTGGCTTCTTAACAGGTACAGGAAGGAGGAAACATGACAATTTCCCATGAAGTAATATCAGCCACCCTGTATCGGGCACTTACTGTGTCCCAGGTGCCAGCCAAGCTCACCACATCCATCCTCTTATTGTCCCTCAACAAAAGCCAGATCAAAAAGATATTCTTGGCCCGGCGTGGTGGCTCACGCCTGTAACAATCCCAGCACTTGGGAGGCCGAGGCAGGCAGATCACTTGAGGTCAGGAGTTCGAGACCAGCCTGGGCAACATGGTGAAACCCCATCAGTACTAAAAATACAAAAAGTTACCAGGCATGGTGGTGGGTACCTGTGATCCCAGCTACCCGGGAGGCTGAGGAACAAGAATCGCTTGAACCCTGGAGACGGAGATTACAGTGAGCCAAGATCGTGCCACTGCACTCCAGCCTGGGTGACAGAGTGAAACTCCATCTCAAAAAAAAAAAGAAAAAAAGAAAAAGATATTCTTATTCCCCTTTTGCAGATGAAGAAACTGAGGCTCAGAGAGGTTAAGAGACTTACTGAACCCATTCAGCTAGTAGGAACTTAGATCAAGATTTAAACCCAGGTCTGTTTGACAAAGGCTGAAGTTTCTGCCTCTGGGTTCCTTCGCTTTGGTCTGGAGGGCAGCCCCCAAAGGGCGGGGATTGACCATGATCTCTTCCCAAAGGTGTGGGCTCTCCCAGCAGGTACGAGGTCAGCCCCGACCCACCATCCCTACCTCCATGCTCAGAGATGGAGCCATTACTGGGAACAGGCTGTTTCAGTGCCTTACAACAGGAGGCTGTCCTGCCCCCCGCTCCTGATTTGGGGGATTTGGAAATGTGGGGAGAGTCAGGATTGTTATCACAACCTGTGTGGGTGCAACTGGCATTTAGGGCCAAGTTCCCAGGGTGCTGCTATTCTTTGATGCATAAGAGTGTTCGATAATGAAGTACGAAACGCAGCTGCTTCTGTATTGAGAAATGCTGGTGGGCGAAGGAGTCCCATCATGAACACACAGCCTGGCTCTGGACATGCCCCTTGCTCTTGTTGAAGCAGGGGGACCAGTTGGCTCCAGGGGCTCCCACAGTATGTGGTTGTGTGTCTGGGGTGGGCACCAGGGCTAATCCCGCAGTTCTGGGTGTCTGGCACACTTCTGCCCTCTGGTGGCAGAGCCGAGATCCCTCGGTCACCCTCCCCAATCCCCCATCTTTCCAAAGAACTGTTATCCCGTGATACGTAACTTTTAGGTGTGCCTGTGGCCCATGATCTAGGGCTGCCCCTGAGATTGTATGTATACCCCATGTGCATAAAATATAGGATTCACAGCTGGCCAAACGAGATTGTCCTAGGACACCAAACTCACTCAAGAGTAAGGCATTTGCCTTTAAAAGGCACTCATAGTGGAATGAGCAGAAATGTTGGCATCACATAATTTGGATTATAATCCAAGCTCCAGCACTCTCTGACCTGTGTGGCTTTGAGAAAGTTTCTTATCCACTCTGCACCTGTTCTTTCTTCATTTGCAAAATGCGGCATCATAGTGACAACCTCCTAGGACCATTGGGAGGATCAGCAATCACAAATGCAAGCTCCTGCCATGATGCCTGCTGCTTAGGAGCAGGCCAGGGATGCCGGGTTCCCTTCCCTGCAGAGGTGGCAGGAGGAGCATCACGCTCTGCCTCCAGGCATGAGCACATCCAGACTATCTCAGACTGGGAGGAGCTCATTTGCAAGAGGGGAGCCCACTGCTCTGTTTCCTGGGGTAGGAATCATCTGTTTCAGAATCACTGGGAGTGGGGAGTGTTGTTAAAAGTACAGATTCCTAAGCCCTACCCCAGATCTCCTGCATGTGGGACCGAGGAAGCTGTAATTCCACAAGCTCTCTGGGACCTTGATGTTCCCTAAACTCTAAGAACCACTGTCCCGCTGTGACTGTCAAGTCTCCACATGACCCTGTTGCTGTTGGGCTGTTTCAAGTTCATTTGACCTTGGGCTTTAAAGGTCTCTCCTTGTGAGGAGGAACAGGTACCCTGAGGCTGACCCTCAGATCTCTGAGCTGGAAAGGACCTCTGGATACCAGCTCCTTTGGTCCTTCCGGCAGGATCCAAAAGTCTGGGCCTGGGCACTGGACTGGAATCTGCACATCTATCAGGAGCAATGGGGGGATGTTGCAGCACCCATTGATCATGGGCTGATTTAGAAGGAGGCCGTGAGGAAGGGGTGCAGGCTGGAAGCATGGGCGGGCTTCGGGGAGAGGTGTGTGGCTGGAAGACAGTGTTCTGCTAGCTCGTGGCCCTCCTTCCCACTTCATGGTGCGGGGAATGGGTGGCGGTCAGGTGCACAGCATCTGCACCCAGGCTGCCACTTTACTACTCGCTGTCCAGGTGAACCTGGCCACTGGCCTAAGCTCTCTGCACCTCACTTTCCTCTTTGAGAAGATGGAGTTTCTATAGTACCCGCCACTTCAGAGGGTCATAAGGATTCAATAAGCCAATACGTGCAGAGAGTGTAGTGCAGAATCTGATCTAGATGAGTAGGTGATAAATGAAGCTTCCAGATTAATAGGATTATTGGTCATAGGATGTTTCTGCCGAAAGGGGATATACATCTCATCCAGCAGAACTGTCCCCTGCATTTGGATCTCTCCCAACAGAGTTCCAGCCACTCAGTCATTCATTCATTTCTACAAATATTCCATTCCTCTTACGTACAAAGATTATTAAACCTCTGCTTTGTTTTTGGCATGGGCCGAGGTACTAGGGATGCACAGTGGATTTGGAGCTTAAATTTTATATTCTAGAAGAAGAGGAGACAAAATAAACAAGTAGGCAAATAAAATATATATATAGTTGTTTTAAATGGTGATAAGAAGAAATGGCTGGTCACAGTGGCTCATGCCTTTAATCCCACCACGTACTTTGGGAGGCAAAGGTGTGTGGATTGCTGGAGATATATATATATTATCAGAGCATGGAAGCACATGCCTGTAGTCCCAACTGCTCAGGAGGCTGAGGTGAGGGCTCACTTGAGCCCAGGAGGTTGAGGCTGCAGTGAGCCAAGATCATACCACTGCACTCCATCCTGGGTGACAGTGAGACCCTGTCTCAAAAAGAAAAGAAAAGAAAAAGATACGGAGAAATAACTCATGGTAAGAGACTAGGAAGGAGTGGACTGGGTCAGGGAGGGCTTCTCCAAGAAGGTGACATTTGAGGAAGGAACTGAGTGTTCCAGGCATAGTCAAGCCTCTGATATTTGTGGCATGTGCCTGTAGTCCCAGCTACTTGGGAGGCCAAGGTGGGAGGATTGCTTGAGGCTAGGAGTTTGAGACCAGCCTGGGCAACATAGCAAGATCCCCATCTCTTAAAAAAGAAAAAAAAAAGACTATATGACATTTAAGAATAATTCACCACTGTAAGAGAAGACCCCACTGAGAGGAGGAGAGAGGCCTTAACCCATTAATCCACTCTCCCCTAGTCCCCTGGGGGAGCAGGACTTGGAGGGTACTAGAGAGGGAGAGGGAGTCTCAGTGGAGGTGGGAGGCAGAGAAAGGTCTTTTGTGCTGCTTGGGGCAGGTGGCCACAGCACAGAACCCTGGCAGGCAAGAGAGAACTTTGGTCAGCTCATGACTCAACACATCTTAACTATGCACCTACTAACTGCCAGGCATTGTCCCAAGCACTGGGAGAACAGCAAGGAACAAAGTAAATGTCGCTGCCCTTGTGGGACAGACATTCCAATGGGGAAAGCCAGACAATAAACCTATACAGGGAAATGGGGTAATGGAGATGGGGTGACTGGGGGCTGAGCTGTTCTGATTCAGGAGCCGCTGGCTTCTCTAAGGAAGTGATATTTAAGTGGAGACCTGACTGATGGGAAAGGGCAGCTGAGCAGAGATCTGGGGCAGGAACTTCCCAGATATCAAGAACAGCGAGTGCAAAGGCCCCGAGGCAGCCGTGAGCTTGGCTTCTTGAGCTGCTGGTGCCTGAAGCAGGGCCGGGTAGAAGGTGAGGTCGGAGAGGATGGCAGGAAGGGGCTGGATAATGTGCAGTCTTGCAGACCATGGAAAGAAATGTGGACTTTATTCTAAGTGCACTGGGGAGCTGTCAGAGAGCTCTAAGCCAGGGAGAGAACATGACCGGATTGATGATTTTAAAGAAGCTCAGTGGCTGCTGTTTGGCAAATGGAGTGCAGAGGCAAGAGTGAAAGATGAGAGCAGTGAGGCGGCTGGTGGTTGGAGAGCGAGGGCTGTGGCTGTGGCGGTGGCAGTGGAGAAGGAGTGAAGTGGTCAAACCCAGGATATGTTTTGCAGGTGCAGCTGTCAGCATCAGCTGTTGGGTTACATGTCGGGACAGGGAAACAAGAACTAAGAGCAATGCCCAGGCTTGTGGTCTGAGCCCCAGGGTGGATGGAGCACTTTTTTTTTTTTTTTTTTTTTTTTTTTTGAGACCGAGTCTCTCTCTGTTGCCCAGGCTGGAGTGCAGTGGCATGATCTTGGCTCACTACAACCTCTGCCTCCCAGGTTCAAGCAATTCTCCTGCCTTAGCCTCCCGAGTAGCTGGGATTACAAACGTGTGCCACCATACCTGGCTAATTTTTGTATTTTGTAGTAGAGAAGGGGTTTCACCATGTTGGCCATGCTGGTCTTGAACTCCTGACCTCAAGTGATTGGCCCACCTCGGCCTCCCAAAGTGCTGGAATTACAGGCACAGGCATGAGCCACCACGCCTGGCCTGTGGGGCACCTTTCATTGGGACAGGCTCTCAAGGAGCAAGTTGGCCCCTGGCAAGTTGGCAGTAGAGCCTGGGCCAGAGAATGCCAATATCCTGGGTAGCCCAGGACTCTGCCCCTCCCTACTGCCTTCTAGACGAGGAGATTTGCTCCTAGAGCTTCCAGAAGGAACATGCCTTAAACTACGAACCCTGGCTCCAAGACCAGCATCCCTGCCACCAAGTCCTTGAAATGACCTATACACAAGGCTAAGATACAAAAGCCCCGTGCCTGAGATTACCACAGGAATGTTAATCACACATGCACCCAGCAGCCTGCATGCTGGAAGGTGAATCACTGCAGCCTTGACCAGTGGAGTATGTATTAGCAACTAATTATCATTGCCACCAATTAATCATCATGGCCAAAGCTTGATTTCTACAACCCGATTATCACGTGGGCACAGTAGTCTTTGCTCCTATGGGGGAAGGAAGGAGCTCCTTTTTTCCATGGAAGTTTACTGAATCTAATAACCCCAAGCCACAGCATGTGGTGTCTGTCCCCAGCACGTAGACAGCTCCTCATCCTGGGAGACAGCAGGGCAGCCCCAAGAGACCCTGTTTCACTCTGGGGACCCTGGGTCAAGGAAGGAACTGATTTCTTTTGCAGAAGCCGAAACCTCAAACTTCAAGACTTCAGGGACTGTGTCATGGTAAATGGTCCCTCACATGGAAACATGAGGCCAGGGAAAGGAGGGTCCCCTATACCAGAACTCAGGAAACCCTATTTTTGGCAAGCTTCTCAGGTCATGCTAATAGGCAGCTGGACTGGGGAATTAGCGTTTTAGACAACTTGTGTCTTCACAGGGCCAGGGCACACAGGGAAGGTGAGTGCGGAGTAGCTGAATGCCAGGTCCTTGTGATTTTCTCTGTCAAAAACATTCAATTTGGAAGCATGTCATAGTACTTGAGTCACAAAGAATTTGACCTAAAATTCGGAAGAGTTTATTCATTGGTTCATTCACTGCATAAACATTTTTTGAGTTCTTATTGTCACACCCCAGGTAGGTACAGCAGTTGGAAAAACAGATGACTAAGCTTACAGTCTAGTAAGATATGATGAGTACAATCAAATGGGGAAGATACTGAGAGAGAGGTCTGTGTAAGCGATCACAGACCCCCAAAGGAAGGAGTGATGCAGAGAGGGTTCAGAGAGGAGGTGATGGTTGAGCCAGGTCAAGGGTTAAGTGATGGAATAATGGCCCCCAAAGATGTTCACATCCTAATCCCTGGCAACTGTGAATATGTTACCCTACATGGCAAAAGGGACTTTGCAGGTGTGATTACATTAAGAATCTTGGGATGGGGAAGCTATCCTGGGCTTTCCAGATAGGCCTAATGCAATCACAAGGTCTTCATAAAAGGGAGACATGAGGATCTAAGTCAGAGCAGGACATGTGACCATGGGAGCAGAGGCTGGAGTGACTGGAGGGAGGGGCCACAAGCCAAGGAAAGCAGGCTGGGAAAAGCAAGAAAACAGATTCTCTCCTTGCTAACACTGTGATTTTAGAATATCCGGCCTTCAGAACCGTAAGATGCTAAATTTGAATTGTCAGCCAGGTGCAGTGGCTCATGCCTCAGCCTCCCAAGTTGCTGGAAATTACAGGCGCCCCCCCCCGCCACCACGCCTGGCTAATTTTTGTATTTTTAGTAGAGATGGAGTTTCACCATGTTGGCCAGGCTGGTCTCGAACTCCTGGCTTCAAGTGATCTGCCCACCTCAGTGTCCCAAAGTGCTGGGATTACAGGCGCCCGACCTCCTTCACTTTTTTTTCCTGTGTGGTATTTGTTTTTTGTTTTGTTTCTTAGTTGGGACCCCATGACGTATTATCAAGTCACTCTTCTATGCATTAAAAATTTTGTTTCATTATATAAGCATTTATTTTCCCTTTTTTCTTTATTTATAATATGCAAACAGAACTGTGTCTTTTTTATTCCTTTTTTTCAATTACTGAGATGAGATCTTGCTATGTTGCCCAGGCTGATCTCGAGCTCCTGCGCTCAAGTGATCCTCCCCCATCAGCTTCCAAAGTAGCTGGGATTATAGGCACGCACCACCACTTAGCCATAAATTATCTTAGCCATAAATTCTTCTGGGTAAGAACTTATTTTTGAAAGTTATTACATACTTTTCTTAGGAATCACTTTTTATGGCCCCTTGGTTTTCGGCTGGATGGGTGTGGGTTATTCAACTAATTTCCTGATGTTGGAAATCTCCAGGTTGTTTCCAATTTCATATTATAAATACAGCATACTGCCTTTATTTACTAAATATCATCTGCATTTACGGTTGTTTTCTTAAGATTACAATTCCAGAAATGGAATTCCTGGGGCAAAGGGGATTATTTTTTTTTAAGTTGTTGATACTTATTGTCCAGTTGCCCTCCAGAAAGTTTATACCAGTGCATGCTTCCACCAGCAATGTCTTTGGGCATCCATTTTTATCATCTCCTTCACAGCTGTGAAATTTTAAAAACTGATCTTTGCGCATTTGACTGGTGAGAAATACCACCTTCCTTTTTTCTTTTTTGAGACAGGGTCTCACTCTGTCGCCCAGGCTAGAGTGCAGTGACATGATCACGGCTCACTGCAGCCTCAACCTCCTAGGCTCATGATCCTCCTACATCAGCCCCCTGAGTAGCTAGGACCACAGGCATGCACCACAATGCCTGGCTAAGTTTTGTATTTTTTTGTAGAGGTGAGGGGGTCTCACTGTGTTGCCCAGGCTGGTCTTGAACTCCTGGACTCAAGCGATCTGCCTGCCTCAGCCCCCCGAAGTGCTGGGATTACAGGAGTGAGCCACCGTACCCAGCCCCACCTTGCTTTTGCTGAATATTTTAATAGTTGTATAGTATTCTGTCCAGGCAACTGTGTCATTTTTTTCATTGACTGGCTCCCATGGGGTTGTACATTTAGGCTGTTTCTAGTGTGGGTTTTATCAGTTACACTGCTAACATCACTGTTCTTAAAACCTAAACTGATTCTTTTCCGGTGTTGTTTCTGTCTTTCGAGGGCACTATGACGCCCGGGCCAGAGTCCTCGTTTGCCACATGACCTCCCTGCTCCAAGTGCCCTTGGAGGAGCTGGATGTCCTTGAAGAGATGTTCCTGGAGAGCCTGAAGGAAATCAAAGAAGAGGAATCTGAGTAAGAGAGCCCCGCGACCCCCATCAGGATCCAAGGATTTCCACTTCAGTGTACTTTGCAGATAACAGAGTCCCCTTCTCCCTTTAAGAGATGGTGTAGTGAGGTGGAAGGAGCCCTGGACAGAGTCCCAGCTGTAGCCCTGACTCGCTGTGTGGCCTTAGCAAGCTACTTGCCCTCTCTGGGCCTCTGACTTCATTTGCAAGAAGAAAAGATGAAATGTGCCAGGCATGGTGGCTTACGCCTGTAATCCCAGCACCCTGCAGGCGGATCACTTGAGGTCAGGAGTTCGAGACCAGCCTGACCAACATGATAAAACCCCATCTCTACTAAAAATACAAAAATTAGCCGGGCACGCTGGCATGTGCCTGTAATCCCAGCTACTCGGGAGGCTGAGCCAGGAGAATCACTTGAAACAGGGAGGTGGAGGTTGCAGTGAGCCAAGATTGTGCCACTGCACTCCAGTGTGGGTGACAGAGTGAGACTCTTGTCTCAAAAAAGAAAAGAAAAGAAAAGATGGAATGAATGATTGCTAAGGGCCTTGAATCTGTGACTTTAACATCCTGGGGCCCTGACACCCTGTTCCACCTCAGGCTCTTATGACACCTGGTTCACGGGCACAATTGACCTGGATTCAATTCCCGTTTCTGATACCTGTCCACTGCTTGACATTGGGCGGGTGGCCTTGCTTTTTTAAGCTGCAATGTTCTTATCTGTGAAACAGGAATAAGGATAGTGCCCTCCCAGGATCATTAGGAAGAATGAATGTCTGCGCATTATAAAATGCCCGGCCCAGGGCTGGCACACAGCAAGTGCTTGGTAGATGTGAATCCTCCCCTTCCCCGACGTGTCCCGGACCCATCAGTTGTAGAGTTGCTTTGCTGTCTATATATGGTCAAGAATGTGTAGAAGGAAATAATTCTGGTAACCTGGCCGGTGCTCAGCTCTTTGCAGAACGCTTTACACAGGATCTAATCCCAGAGCAATAAATCAATTTCAGTCACAGCCTAATCCCAGGCTCCTGGCACCAGGCACGTCTCCCAGGTCTGGGTTTTTTTTAGCTGCCGTGGTGTTCTTTGACCAGCCAGGTTACCCGAGGTCAGCCCACCTGGGAATTTAATCCTAAAGCCAAATTGAGACCCAGAGCCACCCTCATGCCACGGTTAGTGGAGCAAAGAAAAGGGGTATTTCCTTGAGAAAGGGGGAAACTTGGTTTGTTGAAATAACCTGTAGACATACTAGCTTTGACTCCCAGAGTTGTGTCAGTATAGAAATACCTGGATCCATGCCAATTACCATAATCACGAGGGCATCCTAGGTTCTTTGGATATGTCGGGAATTTATAGGATCTTATATGCCTTGAAATTAAGGAACCTCTCAGTTATTATTTGGAAATCTTATTATCAGAGAGAAACGTATTACCCGGAGCGATTTGTTCTGATAATACCGGTAACCCCAGGTCAGGGAAGATATAAACCAGAAGGTCTAATACAGGCCAGTTCTGCCACTTACCAGCCATGTGAATCTGGGCATTATTTAACTTCTCTGAGCTTCAACTTCCTCACCTGTAAAATGGGGATAATAGTAGCGCCCTCCTCACAGAGTTCCTGTGGGGCCCAGATGAGTTCATATATATGTGAAGTGTTTCAAGTGAGCCTGGGACAGAGTAACTAGTCCATAAATATTATTTGCTGTTGTTAACAATACTGTTCTAATTGTGTTATTATAGACCCTTTTATAAACTATTATAGACCCTATTGTAGTCTATATGTAGACTCTTTCCCCAGGAAAAGGCTTCACACATGTAATTGTTTATGCAGCGTTAGGGACTCTCAGATTCTGTGGTCTCTGGAAGGATCTGAGACCCAGGGAAGCCATAGCAACTGTTCAGCCAGGAGACCTGGCTCTCAGTTTGATTCTGCTACTAACCCTCTGTGTGGCCTTGGGCACGTGTCTTTCCCTCCCTGGACACCAGCACACATTTTCTTTTTTTACCTATACAATTAAGGGATTGAATGATACGTAAATTTCTCTTGACTGTAAGGTTTTGTGTTTCTGGGAGGTGAGTTCATCACTGGGCCGACCAAGGTGACTCTTTGCAGCTGAGGTCTAGAGTGTGACGTACCACCCCTCTGCTCCTGGGTCCCTGTCTGAGCCCTAAGGCCACCCGGCTTCCCTCACTTGTTTAGTGACTTCACCTCTCCTCTCTGTGCCTCATTTCTTCATCTCTCACATGAGGATAATGGTAGTATCGCCATCAGCATTGAGAGGATTAAATTACTTAACACATATCAAAAGCTGGGACCCGTGCTTGGCACATAGTAGAGTCTCAGAAGATGTGAGCTCATGAGCTGCTGGGGTTGATACTGCTCACATAGGCCAGGCGCAGTGGCTCACACCTGTAATCCCAGCACTTTGGGAGGCTGAGGCGGGTGGATCACCAGAGGTCAGGAGTTCGAGACCAGCCTGACCAACATGGTGAAACCCCGTCTCTACTAAAAATACAAAAATTAGCTGGGTGTGATGGCGTATGCCTGTAATCCCAGCTACATGGGAGGCTGAGGCAGGAGAATTGCTTGAACCCAGGAGGCGGAGGTTGCAGTGAGCCGAGATCATGCCATTGCACTCCAGCCTGGGCAACAAGAGTGAAACTCCATCTCAAAAAAAAAAAATTACAATTAAAAATAAAGAAAGAAAGATACCGCTCACATCGTAAGAACGTTGCCAGCATCAGATTTTTCCTGAATGCCTACTAGATGCAGGCACAAGATGCCATCTCACTCGATCCTCATAACAGCCCCCTAAGTGTTTCACAAATAAAGAAATAAAGTCAGAGGGGTGGCATAACTCAGCCAAGGTCGCATGGCTGGCCAGCAGCATCTGATTTGACCACGATGTCCAGTCTGAATGGCTCTCACTGTGTCCTTCAAGGCCTGGCTGGCAGTGGCAGGGTTTCTCCTTAATTCTGAAGAAAACAAGAAAGATAATGATTTTATGGGGTCATCCAGGCCATTACTAGGAAAGTGTCTGTAGACCTCTCAGTGATAAGCTCTCTCTATCTGTCAGCACAAAAAAAAGTGATTTAAAAACAGAAGGTGGTGGTGAGGATAAGGACAGAAAACACCCTCTTATGGGAGATAAGATGACAGAGAGTAAGACCGATTTATGGATCTATGAGATGGGCAATGCGGGCGTCTTGCTCTTCAGGAGGTATCTCTGGCTTCAGCCTGGGATTTGGCCCAAATCTGCATGTGGTTTCAGCCTTTGTCTTTGGGCAGCTCAGGTTCGCTTCTGCCTTTTCAGCATGACCGTGACTACGACGGTGTGGGTTGCTGTCATATCTAATCAGCAGGCAGTCAGTGATGACAACAAGGCTGTCATTCGGATTTAGTGTTGTTCTCTGAGTGTTCACTTCCAAGGAAAGGGAAGGAGGCATTGTAAATGTGACTCAGAGCAAACATCTCCCCTTTGCTTTCAATGTTGAGATTCAATCAGACAACTGAAGTAATTGCAAGAGTATAGTGCTGCAATAATGAACGATGTCTGGGAAAGCTATTTTATGTACAAAAAAAAAATTTTTTTTTTTTTTGAGACAAAGTCTTACTGTGTCACCCAGGCTGGAGTGCAGTGGCGCCATCTCGGCTCACTGCAAGCTCCGCCTCCTGGGTTCACGCCATTCTCCTGCCTCAGCCTCCCAAGTAGCTGGGACTACAGATGCCCGCCACCACGCCCAGCTAATTTTTTGTATTTTTAGTAGAGACTGGGTTTCATCATGTTAGCCAGGATGGTCTCGATCTCCTGACCTCGTGATCCACCCGCCTTGGCCTCCCAAAGTGCTGGGACCACAGGCGCGAGCCACCACGCCCGGCCCCCAAAACAATTATTAAGAACATGCAAATACTTAAACAGGGAAATAGATTGGCCATTCAGCTGAACGTTAGGAGAGAGTGCCTTAGCCAAGTAACTTTAGGAAAAAATATCTTCTTTTCAAATCAACAAATGCTTACAAACTTTTTGTGAGGGAGATGGGGGAGACAGAGTCTTACTCTGTCACCCAGACTGGAGTGCAGTGGCATGATCACTGCAGCAGAGGCTCACTGCAGCCTTGACCTCGCAGGTTCAAGCGATCCTCCCACCTCAACCTTCCAAGTAGCGTGGACCACAGGTGTGCACCACCATGCCCGGCTAATTTTTTTATTTTTCTAGGGACAGCATTTCACCCTGTTGCCCAGGCTGTTCTGGAACTCCTGGGCTGAAGGGATCCTCCCACCACAGCCTCCCGAAGTGCTAGGATTACAGGCATGAGCCACCATGCCCAGCCTATATATTTTTATTTAGCCAACATGTCCATCCTGTACCTCTCTGGTTTTCAGAGATGTGGACAGTGAGTAGGGGAGTATATCACCGCAGCAAGGTGGTCACCTCCAATTCTTGTTGGAATAATTAGGCTCTTTACAAGAAAGATTTCCTGAGTACCCTCCAGTTTCCAAGCCCAGGGCAAGCTGCTGAGGATGGGGAGTTGGAAATGGCTTGGTCCGTGCTGTGAGAGCTTAGCTCAGCAATTTTCAAACTTGAGTTACAGCAGAATCCCTGGAGGAGGAACTTGTTAACGATACAGAATCTTTGTCCTTAGACCCAGAGATTCTGCCCCAGGAAGCTGTGTTTTTAACAAGTACCTCCTGGTGATTCTGGTGCCCACCCTCTGAAAATCACTGGTGTAGAATTCCAGGATAATGTGGCACAGAGGGTTAAGGGGCCCAGAGTCAGGGCATCTCAGCAACCTTGGGGTTTTGGCCAGTCTTCCTGGAGGATATGTCCCATCTCGGCTGACTCCTGAAGGTTGAGTGATGTTGAACTAGTCACAGGAAGGTGGGAAGGTCCTTGATGGCCAGGGGCCAGAAGGTGACTGGAGACAGCTCAGTATTTCCCAAGGGTGATGTGTCAGTGAGGAAGTGATGAGTGTTAGAGGGGGAGAGAGGGATCAGGACACAGAGGGCGTAAGTGTCACATCGGGGAGAGATGACAGTGTCCTGAAGGCAGCCAGGCAGGCAAGGAGGGAAGAGGAGAGAGAGGCAGGTAGTCATGGTTATATTTTTCTATTAATACTTGGCATTGGCTGCTGCGGTGGTGCCGTCTCATCATCTGTCCATGGGTCATTTGATAGTTACATTTCCTAAGCGAGAAAATCAACACTCAGAAAAATTAGATGATCCAGCAAGTTCATGGCAGAGCTGAGCTCAAACACCTCTTCCCCAAATTTCCAGACTATTTCCAGGCCGTGTTTGTTGAATCAAGATGCCGCTGACTCAGCGCCACATCGCTTGTCTAGTTGCACGTTCCCGTCGTATATCGTCAGTGACTTGAATGTTTTCTTCGGCCTTGAACTCTGCCCAAAGTCAGTAATCTTCAGCCTTCCACTTGGAACTGACTTAAGAGTTATCAATTAAGGGTCAAGGCAGTTCAGGGTCAAAGTATATCTCCAGCCTGTGTTGAGGAGGAAATTATTACAATAATAATGAAAAGAGTGATAATAGCAATAAACATATTGAATAATTACAGGATGGTAGTCACTATGTCTCAGTGTCTCTGTCTCATTTAGTCCTCACAATACCCCTGGAAATTCAGTACTGTTTTTATCCCCATTTGTAGGTTGAGGAAACTCAGATGTGACAAATAATTTGTGCATAGTCACAAAGGTATTAAGTGGTTCTGTCCACTGTGGGGATAGGCTAGGTTTTGCTGCCATAACAAGTGACCCCCAAATAAGTCTCAGCAGCTTACAGGATTAAAGGTGTATTTCTTGTTCATACTTTGTGTCCATTGCAGATTGGCTGTAGCTTGAATTCACATTGTACTGGTTCTGGGTCCCAGGCTGACAGAGTGACCCTATCTAGATTATCGCTGGTTTTGGGGCATAGAGAAAGAAGATGAATCACTTTCCTGCACTGGCTTTAAAGATTCTACCAGTTGTCCCGGCACGGTGGCTCACACCTGTAGTCCCAGCACTTTGGGAGGCTGAGGCAGGTGGATCACTTGAGCCCAGGAGTTTGAGACCAGCCTGGGCAACGTGGCAAAACCCCATGTCTACAAAAAGTACAAAAATTACCCAAGCGTGGTGGTGCATATCTATAATCCCAGCTACATGGGAGGCCGAGGTGGGAGGACCACTTGAACCTGAGAGGTGGAGGTTGCAGTGAGCCAAGATCCCACCAGTGCACTCCAGCTTGGGTGACAGAGCCAGGCCTTGTCTCAAAAAAAGAAAGGGAAAAAAAAAAAGATTCTGCCAGAAGTGACACATATCACCTCCACCTACATTTGGCTAAAGCTGGTCCTATGACCACTCAGTTTGACAGGGCAGGGATGCATAATCTTTCTGCAGAGAGGGATAACTGAATATGTGGTGAATCGTGATACAGCTACCACAACAGCAGAGCTAGGATTCATGCCTACATCCACAGAGTTTGAATCCTGACATTAGAACCCTCGATCTTGATGGCCCTCCTGCCTCCCACTGTGCTAGATGCACATGGTTCAGCCTCATCCCACACCACTGATGACATGAATTTCAGTTGTGGAAAACCAGTATCATGATATGCACAGAGATTTTTACTGTTGCTTTCTGCTTCTGTGTAATGAAGTGACTGAGAAACACTGGGCTTTACACCCAGGAGATGCTTAGGAAAAAAACCTGTTGAGGTGAACGGGCAGGGAACCAAAAAGCACAGCAGGTCCCCAGATGCCCAACTGAAATCCCATTTTGTTTACTTATGTATTTTATTTCATTCATTCATTCATTCATTCACTCATTCATTCGAGACAGGGTCTCACTCTGTTCCCAAGCTGGAGTGCAGTGGTGGGATCTCAGCTCTCTGCAACCTCCTCCTCCTGGGTTCAAGTAATTCTCCTGCCTCAGCCTCCTGAGTAGCTGGAATTACAGGCGCCTGCCCCCACGCCTGGCTAATTTTTGTGTTTTTAGTAGAGATGGGGTTTCACCATATTGGCCAGGCTGGTCTCAAACTCCTGACCTCAGGTGATCCACCTGCCTCGGCCTCCCAAAGTGCTGGGTTTACAGGTGTGAGCCACCATACCTGGCCAAATCCCATTTCTTTTAGATGACTGGAGAAGAAGCTATTTCTCAATAAAATGTATGGTTCACAAGGAGGGAGATGGGAAGGAAACAGGTACTGGTTGAGCACATACATTTTTCTGCTCAAGGAGATGGGAAAGCACAGCATGCCATCCATTCTCAATATAACTTTATTGACTGAATGGACGAAGAACGAATGAATTTAATCCTTACAAGCCAACAACTTTATGAGGTAGAAATTAGTGTCCGCCTTTTGACAAAAGAGGAAACTGAGGCTTGGGGAGATGCAGCATCGTGATGACATCAGCCCCAGTTGCGCTGAGCACTTGCAGTGTGCCCGCCGCCATGCTAAATGCTTTACAGATAATCTATTTCTGGATCCTCACAGTTCATGGGGAGGTAGTGACTGTTATCCCTTAATTCATCTATAATATGGGTACAATAACCATACTGCTTCTTAGGATAAGATTAATCCTGTGAAGTGCAAAGCCCAGTGGCTGAGATATAAGAAGCCCTTGGTAAAGATTAACCATTTTTCTTCTTTGATTATCACCATGCTTTGCTATCACTCCACACTGAGTTATTGTTCAGACTCCAACCTCAGTTCAGAGTTCCTACTTAATAACCTCTCCATCCCAGCCGCAGCAAAGGGGCTCAGGGCTGAATGTCCAATAGGAAAATTGGGCTTCCTGACTCTTGAGTGCTCACAACAGCAGTTCTCAGGGCACACCTGACCCCAATTCACTCTAAATGTTTTCCTTTTGCTAGATTTTCTAGCATTTCCATTTCAAGTCTGAACAAGTCTAGCTACTGCTCCAAGGCCAAGGTCTCCCATCTTCAAAATGATCATTTTGGAGGAAATTGGTTTCCAAATATCCCAGAGGGAGGTGGGATCAGATGGCAGGTTGGGGAAGAAGGGAGGGGAGGAGGGAGGTGATGGAGTCTGTGATTATCTATTTTGTGCTTCTTCTGGGTCCATCTGTTTAAAGATCTTTTTTGTGCTTCTCTTGCTATTATTATTTTTTGTCTTTTTATTATTCAAATTGCAACCCTGTTAGGATGGATCCATTGGGTAAGTAGTACATCCCATACACTGAGATTCCCCGGCTGGGTTTTAGAATGTTTTCAGCTTTTTAAACCATCAGTGGGCTCAAGGTGACTTTGGTGCCTTACTCTGAGTGGCAGAGTAGCTACCCAGCATTGGCCCCTGTTTGAGGGTTGGTGTGGTGGGGATGTCTCAAGGGATCCTGGGCACAGCTGGCCCTAAAGACCAGCCTCTTTTCCCTCAGAATGGCCGAGGCATCCCGAAAGAAGAAAGAAAACCGGAGGAAATGGAAGCGTTATCTCCTGATAGGCCTGGCGACTGTCGGAGGCGGAACGGTGATCGGTGAGTCCAGCTAGAGATGGTGGCACACGTCTGGGTTTTGTAGACAGAGAAATGATGCCAGGCTGTGGGTGAGAGTGGAGAGTGCAGGGGCTCAGCTGGGAGGTGGCCCCTGGCATGTGGTAGGTAGTCAGTGAGTAGTCGGTGTGCTCATCAGCACTGTCAGAAACTTCCATGGGAGGCAGTAGGTAGCTGAGGGGTAAAAACTCATCAAGCCACGTTTTTTTTTTTTTTTTTTTTTTGAGACAGTATCTTGCTCTGTCGCCCAGGCTGGAGTGCAGTGGCATGATCTCGGCTCACTGCAAGCTCCGCCTCCGAGGTTCATGCCATTCTTCTGCCTCAGCCTCCCGAGTAGCTGGGATTACAGGCGCCTGCCACCATGCCCGGCTAATTTTTTGTGTTTTTAGTAGAGATGAGGTTTCACCGTGTTAGCCAGGATAGTCTCGATCTCCTGACCTCGTGATCCGCCCACCTCGGCCTCCCAAAGTGCTGGGATTACAGGCGTGAGCCACCGCGTCCAGCCACCACATTTTTACTCCCACCTGAAACTGCTGCTTTTCCCACAGGTGTGACTGGAGGTCTAGCTGCACCCCTTGTTGCCGCTGGAGCAGCGACGATTATTGGCAGCGCCGGGGCAGCGGCTCTGGGCTCAGCAGCCGGCATAGCCATCATGACCTCGCTGTTTGGTGCAGCTGGAGCTGGCCTGACAGGTAAGGTTCAAAAGGAATGATGGGTTCAGAGGAATTTTCAGCCAGGGTGGCCCAGTTCCTAAAAGGACATGCCTGGATCCTCACCAGCAGTGACTCCCTGGGAGACAGAGGAGACGTGGCTTTTCTCACTCTGGGTCCCAGCCTTCCCAGAGCTCGCGTGGGTCAGGGTAAGGGCTGAGTTTGAGAAGCTGGCTTTTTCCCCATGCACCTTGTGTGTAGTTCCTGAGAAAGGCCCCAGTGGAACCTGCTTCCACCATCCAGAAGTTTCCATGCTTGGGCTTCCTCATGTTTGGAGGGAACATGGCTGCCCTTCCCTGAGCAGCATCACCTGGGGGAGTTTTTCCAAATGATATCTGTCAGCAGCAGCCCCCCTCCCACTCCTCCAACCTCGTCATGCACAGACATTCCTGTTCAACTCCCCAAGAGAAGTTTGCTCCCCTGATGAGACTCTTGGTCTGTTTGATTCACTGTTACTAAGTGGAGTGTGTTCTACCCCTGCGGTGTGTGGGCAGGAGAAAAGAAACAGAACCAGGGCAGAGCAATGGGTGAGAGCCTGGGCTCTGAGGTCCAAACCAGCTCTACCGCTCGGGGGCTGGCCAGCCTCAGAAGCAGCTTCTTGCTTTCGTCTGTAATCAGGGACAATAGTGGCACCTACCTTAATGAGTTCAAACACAAAATGTGTTTTTCCAGGGGCAGGGCACACAGATGGTGCTCACTGTGTGCATGTGTGAGAACATACAGCCACCCTGATGTTCCCCGGGGCCCCAGTCACCTCCATTCTCTTTCTCGGATCTGGGTCTTTAGGATACAAGATGAAGAAGCGAGTGGGAGCCATTGAAGAGTTCACGTTTCTGCCTCTGACGGAGGGCAGGCAGCTGCACATCACCATCGCCGTCACGGGGTGGCTCGCTTCTGGCAAATACCGTGAGGACCAGGAGGACCAGAAGTGGAGGGGGGTGGGCAGTGGTGGCCTGGGCCAGACCCTGGGCTAGGTTTTTACCTGCACTAGGGAGCAGGTATAGGGAGCCCCATTTCGCAGAGGAAGAAACTGAGGCTCAGAGAGGTGAGGCAACTTCATCTCACATCTGTCCACCTGCCCATCATCTCGCCATCCATCTATCCACCTACCCACCTGTCCATCCACCCATCCACCTACCCACCCACCCACCCTTTTACCTGTTTACCCATCCATCCACCCACCTGTTCATCCATCTACCCACCCACTTAACCACCCTTCTATCTATCCATCCATCCATCTACTCTTCTACCTGTCTACCTGTCCACCCACTCACCTGTCTACCCACCCATGAACCCATGCATCCATCCACACTTCTACCTATCTATCCATGCACCCACCCATCCATTCATCCATCCACCCTTCTACCTATCCACCCATCCACCCACCCACCTGTCTGTCCATTCACCCACCCATCTGCCCACCCATCTGTTCATCCATCCACCCATCCACCTCTCTGTCCATGTAGCGGTATTTATAAAGTGCTGTACTTACCATGTGTCATATACTGAACCAGGTCTTAGGAATTCAGTGGTGAGCAGCACAGCCATGGCCTCTACTCCCACAGAACATACAGCCCAAGATAGAAGACAGACCGAGTAACTAAATGGGAGCTTTATGGATGGCACAATAGGGGAAGCACAGGGTGTTTCTGGGGAAGGTTCTGAAGGAAGTGACATTAGGCTAAGGGCTAGCTGGGAGTTAGCCCGATAAACCAGGAGCAGAAAGTGTATTCCAAGCAAAGGGACAGCAGGTGCAAAGGCCCAGCGGTTTGAAAGAACCAAAAGAGCACAGGATGGCTGCAGCAGGGAGGCAGAAGGCAGGAATGTGGGTGGAGCCAGACCACACAGGGGCATGTGAGCTGTGGCAAGAAGTTTGAATTTGTCCTCAGAGCAAGTGGAAGAGAGCAAAGGACTTTCAGCATGTGAGTGAGAGATCAGTATGTGTTGGCTACATGACCTCAGCAAGTTACATAACTTCTCTGTATCTCAGCTACTTCATTTGTAAAGTGGAACAAATTACTGCCACCTTTTCAGGATGCTGCAAAGATTAAGTGAGGAACATCACGTGGTTTCTCGTTGGCATGAAGCAAACATTAGTTCCCTTTGCTGTTCTCATTTGAACATGCATATTTTGGGGGATTCTAGCCAGGGTGGCATTGAGGACTCACACCATGGTCCACTTGTTACTTGACCCCTGCAAGTGCCCAGCGAGAGGCTCAACAAACAACAAACAGTGCATCCCTTAGAAAAAGAGCAGGGTGGGTGCGGGAATCCTAAACGTCCCAACCTGACCACTCAGGCACGCCTGCCCAGAGCCTCCTGGGTTCCCAAGTCTCTGACCTAAGGGCAGAAGTCACAGATCTGCCAAACCACACAGAAGAAAGCCAGTGAGAAACATTTAGAGGTGTCACCAGGCGCCAGGGTCTTATTGGTGTGTGACCGCCGGGCACCACCCATGCACAGAGGTCACTAGCGTTCAGTGAGCGCCTCGTTCACACCTACCTTGAGTCTGGCATTTTACCAGCATAGTAGGAACTTGGTATGGTTACCTCCTAGAAACTTCACTTCCACCCTCCAAGGTGGGGCTGTTCTGACCCTGATCTGTTGGAAGAGGAACCCTGGCAGGGGAGTAGCAGATGCACAATTCAAACCCAGGTCTCCTGATCCAATGCCCAGGGTTTTTCATTTGTTTTCATTTTACCGTGCTACAGGAAGGAGCAAGAACAAGAGCCCAGGTAAAGGAATTTGCAAGTCTGGCCGGCATGGAAAGCAAACTCCTTTCTTCATTTTGCCCCCACTTGTTCAGTTTGCCCCTATTTGTTCAGTTTGCCCCGGGTTAAAGGTCAAGTTCATTTGGGGATGAGGAAAGTCTTCACTGATCTCCAGCTGTCTAGTGTGGGACACTCAGGGAAAGGGCTGGGTAAAAGAAATACAACCAAGCTAGAGAAAGTTTCAGAAGGAAAAAATATCACATATTCCTACCTCCTCGAGAGCCAGGAAAAGAAGCCTTATCATCACCTGATTGCTTTTTCCATGTGATAGGAATGACCGGACTTTCTTTGGACCACCCCTTTATTAATCTTGATTATGTACAATAAAGATAAAAACTTTGTAGCCAACCACCAAGCCCTTCCTATGCACTGGCTCATTTAGCTCCTCACTTCAGTCCAGGGAAGTGGCTGTCATTCGCACTCCCCTTTTCCAGATGAGGAAACTGAGGCTTATAAGGGGTGCCCAGGGTCACCCAGCTAGTCAGGGGCAGGGGCAGGATTCACCCCCATTCTATCTGGCTCCAGCCCATATTCTTGGCCATAGGACAGCACAATGCAGTAGAGCACTTTACAGTTTATACAACGCCTTTTTATTTTTTTTATTTTTATTTTCTTTTGGAGACGGAGTCTTGCTGTATCACCAGGCTGGAGTGCAGTGGCGCGATCTTGGCTCACTGCAACCTCCGCCTCCCGGGTTCTAGCGATTCTCCTGCCTCAGCCTCGAGAGTAGCTGGGATTACAGGCATGTGCCACCACGCCCGGCTAGTTTTTGTAATTTTAGTAGAGACGGGGTTTCACCATGTTGGCCAGGATGGTCTTGATCCCTTCACCTCATGATCCACCCGCCTCGGCCTCCCAAAGTATACAACACCTTTTATGCAGCATCTCCTGTGATCCCCACCACACCTGAGTCAGATGTTATTATTCCATCCTTACAAATGTGGAAACCAAGGGTCAGAAGGGCATGGTGCCTTGCTGTGGGTCACACCCGTGGAAGCCATCGAGCTGGGTTTGGAACCCAGGCTGACATCAAGCCTGTGCTTCTCGCTGTCCTGTGCCCATCTCCTCTCTTGGGGCTGACTATCACCTTATCCATAATTAGAGGCAGTTGATCCCCAAGTTGTTGCAGAGCTGAGACAGGGTCCCCCCAGAGGGAGGGGGGCAGCTGTAGTATTGTCCTTGTGCGGACGTGGTACCCTGCAGGTAAGGATGAGCTTTGGAGCAGGCAGGTAGAGGCCTGAGGTTGATGCTCAGAACCTGCAGGCTGCCCCGGGAAGCTGTCTCCACCCCTCCATTCCCACATGGTGTTTAATGAGCACTTACTGTACATCACATCACCAGGCTTTGGGAATACAGTGCTTGGCAAAGCAGACTGTAGGAGAGGCACACGTCAAACAGGATGCATAAATAGCGAATAATTGCAGACTGTGATAAGAACTTATGGGGAAAAGTGGAGGGTGCATTTGTTTTGTCAGAGGAGCCGGGAAGGCTTCCCCGTGGAAGAGGCGATTGGACTGGAATCTCAAGGGCAAGTGGTAGTGATCTAGGGGAACTGATGTACGATCTGGGAGCTCATGAAGGGTTTTAGGCAGGAATGGGAGAAGATTTGTGTTTTGAAAAAGTCACTTTCGCCGGGCGCAGTGGTTCACGCCTATAATTCCAGCACTTGGGAGGCCGAGGCGGGTGGATCACTTGAGGTCAGGAGTTCGAGACCAGCCTGGCCAATATGATGAAACCCCGTCTCTACTGAAAATACACAAAAATTAGCCAGGTTTGGTGGTGGGTGCCTGTAATTCCAGCTACTCAGGAGGCTGAGGCAGGAGAATCACTTGAACCTGGGAGGCGGAGGTTGCAGTGAACCGAGATCGTGCCACTACACTCCAGCCTGGGAAACAAAGCAAAACTCTGTCTCAAAAAAAAAAAAGAAAGAAAGAAAGAAAAGAAAAGCCACTTGGGCCACAAGCAGAAATACGTGGGGGCCAGATTAGGTGCCCCTCTGTGCTCCTATACTGAAGGCAGCCAGGTGGGCAAGGAAGGAGGGGATGAGGGAGGCAGGTGTCATGGTTATACTTTCCGACTTGGCATCGGCCGCTACAGTGGTGCTGTCTCATCCTCCTTCCGTGGGTCATTTGATATATTTCCTCAGTGAGAAAATTGAGGCTCAGAAAAATTGAATGACCCCGCAAGATCATAACAGAGCCGGGCTCAAACATCTCTTCCCCAAATTTCTAGCTATCTCCCAGGCCATGTTTGTTAAATCAAGATGCAGCAGACTCACAGCGCTGTGCTGCTTGTCCCATTGTATGCTCTCGTTGTATGTCATTAGCAGCTTAATGCCAGAATTATTTCAGCATTAGAGAAAATAACCCTTTACATATATCATAGTTCAAACACATTTCATTCTTATACCTACCCTATGAAGGGAGATAAACCATCTCCCCACTTCACATAGAAGCAAAGTGAGGCACAAGGTGGGATAGTGATGTGCCCAGGGTCACCTGGCTTCTAGTGAATGCAGGAGCTGGGATTCCAGCCCAGCCTGCTGACTCACTGGGCTGCACAGAGCTCCGCTAGCTCTGCTGACAGCTGCCACTCATTGGCAGGGGGTGGGCCTCTTGTCTTCCACACAAGGGTGAGTGGTCCTGGTGCTCCTTGTCTGGGGTACTGGGGTGGGGCATCCTCTGCCATAGACAAGAGAGACTTCACCTACCTGTGATCTCCCCAGGCACCTTCAGTGCCCCGTGGGCTGCCCTGGCCCACAGCCGTGAGCAGTACTGCCTGGCCTGGGAAGCCAAGTACCTGATGGAGCTCGGCAATGCCCTGGAGACCATCCTCAGTGGTCTCGCCAACATGGTGGCCCAGGAGGCCCTAAAGTACACAGTGTTGTCTGGTAAGTGCCCCCACCTGCCCCCCAACAACAGCATGCCCACTGCCTTCATCCCAACACAGTGGTACCATAGTTTTGCATGCCCAAAGCCCCCAGGGCAGGCACCGTGCTGGACCCTAGGAACACAGAGAGGTTAAGGCCGCATTCCTGTCTGGGGGAAGTTTATGATCCCTATGGAGAGAAGACAGGTAAACAGCCAATCACATGATCAGTCCGTTAGCTATTGCTGTGGGACAAGCCACCCCAAAACTCCATGGGATGTTTACTGTAATAGCTCAGGAGGCTGGAGTTGGTGGATCTTAGCTAGGCCTGTGGGTCAGCCAACCATCCACCGATCAATGCTAGCCTTGTCTGGGGCAACTCAGCTCTGCTCCATTTGTCTCTCATCCTCCTGGGATGAGCAGGCAAGCCCATGTCAATGATAGAAGCGCAAGAGGCTAGCCCTGGTGCACAAATCCATTTCAAGCCTCACATCTATTAATGTCTTTGGCAAAAGCAAGTCACATGGCTGAGTCTAGAGGGGATGGGCAGGGCAGGGGTCCCCACTGCAGAGTTATGAAGCAAAGTGGGAGGGTACAGGGTGTGGAGACGAATTGGGGCCATCTCACACGTGACAAGGGCTTGAGCAGAAGGGATTGAGTCCATATATCAGAAATTCATGAGTTTCGGATTTCTTTGTTCTTTAGCAGTTTGATTGGCAAACTTGCAGGTCCAAGTTGGAGACTGCATGCATTTATTTGAGCATCTGTTAGCCAGTCACTTCCCTAGTAGGACCCTAGGACAGGGGCCATTCCCTTCATCACTATCTCACCTCCCCAGGCATTGTGGCTGCCCTGACCTGGCCAGCCTCACTCCTCAGTGTCGCCAATGTCATCGACAACCCCTGGGGGGTGTGTCTCCATCGATCAGCAGAGGTTGGCAAGCACCTGGCCCACATCCTGCTCTCCCGGCAGCAGGTACCTGGGAATGGCTGTGTGGGCGTGGCATTGAGCAAGAGGGGAAGTCAGGTGCTGACTTGTTCACAGATATCAGCCTTAGAGGCAAGGCTACTTGGAGATAACTCAATGGTTTTGGGGGTGTGGGCAGTCCTTGCTGCCTCTCCAGTTCAAGTAATGAATGTGTCCTAGGATGAACAGTAAAAATTATAGACTCTGCAGCTCTAGCAGGTATTTAGGTAAGGACTGAATAACAGGGCATCTGCAGGTAGGAACAAGTCTGGGGGACTCTGGCAGAAGCAAAAGTGGCTCCTATGTATCAGCTCTTCATTCAAGTGTTTAGGATAATCACTGGGCTCATTTGGGTGATATTTCAGTGGAAACCTCTGACGCAGTTTGCAGTGAAGCCAGTAAAGTGAATGAGACCAGGTGCTTCAGCTGGCCACCAATGGAATTCCCACATGCTGGTGGCCTGGTGTTCCTTCCCAGAAGTATAAAGCTACTTTGTGAGGTCATCTTTGGTGGTCTAAATACCATGTAAAATGGTTAGGAAGAGACATCATCATAATACTTTTAAAATTTGAATCTAGTAAAGATGTACTTACCAAGAGAATAAAACCATCCCCTTCAGAATAAAACTTGAGTGAATGGAGACAAAAGCTTGAGAAGCAGTACCAGAAATGACTGCATTGTCAGGATTTGTTTTGGCTGGAAGTGGGAGAAAACCCAAAATAACAGTGGCTTAAACAAGGTAGAAATTTATTTTCCTGGAGAAGCCTAGCAAGGTTGTCTAATAGCCTTCCATGGTGCAGAGGCCCAGGTTCCTGCTACCTTGTTGCTCTGGGGTCTTGACCTTGTATCAAAGATGGCATCATCCGAGCTCCAGGGAGCAGGAGAAAGGAAGAACTGAAGAAGAAACAGCAAAGCCTTACAACATTTCAGTTGGTGTCTCACTGGCCAGAGCCTAGTCACATGACCATTCCTAGCTGCCACAGAAGCTGGGAAATATAGTATTTATTCTGAGTGATGATGAACCCAGCTGAAATTCAATTACTATGGAAAAAAGGGAGGATGGATATTGAGGGATGACAACTAGCAGTTTCTGCCATGCAGCTAAACTGCTTGAGCAACTGGCCACCCCCTTCAATCCCTGCGTCTTTGTCAAAAGAAACAGAAAATCCTTCGGCAGGCTTGACTCTAAGGCAAAGGCCAAAGTGGCATTGGCTTAGACAAGATAGAATTTTGTTCTCTCCCAAGTAAGAGTCTGGGTGTCAATATCTGGAGCAAGATGATGTGTTAGTTTCCTGCTGCCACTGTTACAAATTACCACAAATTTACCAGCTGAAAACAAATGTACTATTTTACAGCTCTGGAGGTCAAAAGGCAAAAATGCATGCCTTAGGGAGGATCCCCTTTCCTTGCCCTGTGCTAAGTCTCAGCCCTGTGGCCACCTCAAGCTACGGAGGAGTCAGGGAAACTTCGTCTTTGGCTGGGTGGCCGTGTGCCCAGTCAAACTCAGGAGTAAAGGACAAAGGGGAGAATGATATTGGGCAGTGGCCAGCAGGGTTGGCACAAAGCTCCTGCAGGATTCGAATACTGTTTAACAGAGGATTTTCTACTGTGGTAAGTGGAGTGGTGTGGGGATGTGGAATACGTGTATTGGCACAAAACCAAGGAAAAGGAATAGACTGGTAAAACCAGGCTGGGCCTCCAGAGCTCATCCACTCCCCTCCTCTCCTTCCATGTAAGCTTGTACCCAAACACCCCCAGATAACTTTCATTTTCTTTAGAGTCTTGACATGATCAGTTACCTTTTCTTACAAGTCCTTGAGTCAGAAAATTCCTCTTTCCATCTGACTTACTACCTTATCTTATCACTTAGAGCCAATATTTTGTGCCCCACCTTCCTATCTAGAAACTGAACTGTTGTCCCTCCCTTGTCACTCTTGCCTTTTTACCCCTCACACCTGGGGGTGCCTTCTGTCTAATCTCCCCAGCTCCGGAAGGGGTCCCGCAGCACTGCAGCCATTTGCCGCAAGGCAGATCAGTGCAAGGGAAGTTGCTCTTGTAATTGACTAGCCCTGTCTCCTGGGGAAGATGAGACGGTGGCTGGATAATGATTTGAGATGAAAGGGAATTAACCCAGCCGGGGGCTGCCTGTTGGCCTTGGAGGAAGCCAATTCCAGCAGCAGGTGCACTCCTGCATAAATGAGGGTCCTGACTCTGCTGATTAAGACATCAGCGCTCAGGGACCGGAACAGCACATGCATGATTCATTAGATGAGAATCAGGTGGTAAGGAATGTGCAAAGGCTGCCCTCCTCAGGCCTGATGTTTTGCTAGAACTGGCAGTATTCCTTCCAGACACCTGTGTCCTTTTTCCCTTCAGGGGCGACGACCTGTCACCTTGATTGGCTTCAGCCTGGGAGCCAGAGTCATCTACTTCTGTCTGCAGGAGATGGCTCAAGAGAAAGGTGAGCATGGATTATTGTCACAGACGGAAACCCTTCACAAGCTTGTTCCCAGGGACAGATGTTCTGGGCCAGGGGCCATGAGCCTTGCAAAATGTGTTCCCAGTTCTTAGAAATAATAGTTAAAAGTTAAAAATAGTTTAAAAATCAAGAAAAATCGTCATCAACCTTGGGGAAATGATTTTATATACATACATTAGAGTAGATGCAAGATGGACCATCCTGTAATAATGACACTGGCTTTTGTGTTCTAATGCACTTTCCCAAGTGGGAATGAAGGGGACAAGAAATTCAAAATTAAGGTGTTGGCAGGTGCACTTTCCCTCTGAAGGCTCTAGTGGAGGATTTTTCCTGTCTCTTCCAACTTCTTGTGGCTGCCAGCAGTCCTTAGCATTCCTTGGCTTGTAGACATGTCATTCCAGTCTCTGCCTGTTGTCTTCTCTCATAAGGACAGACAGAGTCATTGGATTTAGGGCCCACTCTCATCCAGGGTGATCCCATGTCAAGATCATTTACTTAATTATATCTGCAACGACCCTTTTACCAGATGAGGTCGCATTCACAGGTTCTGGGTGGACATATCTTCTGGGGGTTCACCATTCAACCACACACAGACACCTTTGGGAGTGTGTCATGCCTCCAGTGTCATCCTTTCTGTGCAAGGCAGTGAAAAGCTTGAGGGCTGCTGCTCCTGGCCTTGGGTAGGTGAGGTCTCCAGGGCAGAATGCTGGTTTTGGACAGATCTGTCAGCAGGGGCTGCCTGTGGAGGGGCTGGTTGGGAGAGTGAGTTGCCGAGCCTGGGGCACTTGGAGTGGTTCACTGCTCCTGGAACATGGGCTCACCTCCTCTCAGTGGAAGGTAGCAGCGGCAGGACTCTGAAGGCAAGAGGAGGAACTCAGAGAGAAATTGTTGAACCTGGGAGTGGAGGGTGGATGGGAGAGAAGGATTGGAGCTTAATATGATTTGGTTGTGTCCTCACCCAAATCTCATCTTGAATTGTGGCTCCCACAATCCACATGGGTCATGGGAGGGACCCGGTGGGAGGTAATTGAATCAGGGGGGTGGGTTTTCCCCATGCTGTTTCCATGATAGTGAATAAGTCTCATGAGAGCTGATGGTTTTATAAAGGGCAGTTCCCCTGCACGCGTTCTCTTGCCTGCCACCATGTACGACGTGCCTTTACTTCTCCTTTGCCCTCCACCATGATTGTTATTTGTTGCTGCAAAACGGCCTCTCCAAACACGGTGGCCAAAAGCAGCAATAACTGATCATTTCTCACGATTCTATGAGTTGGCAAGACCATTTGCCTCTCCTGCCTGGGCTTAGTCATGCAGTTGTAGTCAGAGCTGGAACACCCAGGAGGTCCAAGTTGACCTCATTCGTGTATCTGGCCATCGGTGCTGGTTGTCGGCCAATGCAGACTCCTCCCTGCTCTCCAAATCTACTTTTCCCAGGGAAGCCTTTGAAAAGTTGCCATCCTCTCTGCTGTCATCATTTTGCTTCTTTCCTTGTCATCTTTCCCTCTCTGGCAGCAAACCGTCTATCTGCCAGGCTCGTTACCTAGAGAGATGTAGTCTTATTAATAGAACCAATTCTTCATTCAGAGGGCATGTCTCTGCCTCCAGTTAGCATAAATGCTATGTTAACTTAAGATCGTTAGTACAGGCAAGACTTTAATTCCCCTGCCAAACAAATTGAATTAATTACCATGAACCATTTGGCTGTGGTAACCGGAAGTGAGGTCGACTCTCAGCTGTCCCCAGAATGTGAGGCTGGAAACTGGAAAGAGGGAAGAGGGAGGCAGGTGGCTTCTTGGTGACAGGGCTGGTTTGTGTGACACTGGGAAGTTCCTGCACTACAGCCTTTTGGGGGATGGTTCCCAAAGCAGCTTCCTTCCAGCATCTTTCCTGCTCGCTGCTCCCACCCCTGGATCCTCATGGCCCATAGCTGAGATTTTGGGTTTTGATATTAGGCAGACCTGGATTTGGCTCCTAGCTTTGCCACTGACTGGCTGTCGGACCTTGGGCTAGTCACTTAACCTCTCTGGGCCTCAGCTTCCTCAAAGGATATGAGCTTTGTACACTTATCTCAAAGGATCATGGGGGGATGACATAACGAATGTGAGAATTCCTGGCCCCAGTTTGGGTACACTCAGTAAATGTCCTCTGAATTCCAACCTGAGGACCTACTGTGCACAGGGAACTGTGGTGAGTGTTGTGTAGATGTCAGAACTTGTCATTTTGTGTCCGCTCTCCAGCCTCACATTAGATGTGAAGTCCAGGTAGGCAGGGTCTGCCTTGAGCCCTGCCGCCCCCCTAGTGCCCAGCACAGTGCCCAGTGCACTGTGAGTGGTCAGGAAGATGAAGGAGCTGGACTTTGGGTGAGGGAATCAGGCACATGCTGCTGTGCCCACGAGCTAGTGCAGATCCACCGGGTGCCAGGCTGTGTTCCAAGCACTTGCAAGTGTGATCACATTCCTCCCTCACTGCAGCCACAGGAGGGAGGTTCCACCAGTCTCCCTGCTTCAGATGAGAAAACTGAGGCTGAGAGGTGAAGCCACAAGAATCCTAAGTGCCAGAGCCAGGATTCAGGCCCAGGGAGTCTGGCCCTGGAGCCCTCACTCCTAACCACTATGCTGTATTTGGCAGACGGCAGCTGGACTAGGGCAGGGCATTCCAGAGGGTCGGCCAGCATGGGCAAAGGCGGGGCTCTCAGGGGTGTCTAGAAACGGTGGCATCTGGTGTCTCTGCAGCCCACGTAAGAGGCCCCCCAGGTGGGTTGGTGGGAAATGCTAATAGGTCAGGGTGGGAGCCTGGCACTGTGCCAGGCTAAGGAGTTGGAAACAACTGGTTCAACGCTGGGGAAAGATTGAGGTCTTTAAACTGTGGAGTGAATGAGTAACTGAGTGGATCCTGCCAAGGAGGACCCGGGGGCACTGGTGCTGGGCACCCTACAGTTCACACACATGCGCACATATGCACACTCACACACACACCTGCACACATTCATACACGCATCTGCACACACTCACACGGCAGCAACTCGGCAGACCCCAAGGGCCTCTAATGCCCCTGCTGTTCTCTAGATCAGTGTGGATGTCCCAGCATGACTCACAGGGCCCCACTCATGATCTGCCTTCAGCACCTTCCCCCGCCTCTCTCCACCTCACATGCCGGGCTCCAGCAGACCAAGCTCTATTTCCATTGTTCCCTCTTGGTCCGTCCTCTCTGTCTCCTTTTCTAGATAATTCCTACTCATTTCTCAGGTCTCACTGTGTCTGGAAGCTTTCCCTCCAATAATAATGATGATAATAGTAGTAGTAGTAACCACACAGCACACACTTATGGAATACACTGCGTTTTCATGCACCAGACACAATTCTAAGCTCATCATATGTATTATTTCATGGAGTCCTTCCAACAGCTCTGTGAAGTAGGTACAATTATCACATCCATTTTACAGAGGAGGAAAGAGAAATGCAGAGTGTAGGGATTTGCCTGAATCACACGGCTAGGAGGTGGCAGAGCAGGCAGTCTGGCTGGAGATTGTGCGATCTTCACCCTACGCTAGACTGTCTCTCCAAGCCACACTCCATTCTTCCTTGAACATCTTTCCCAGCGCTGGCCTGTCTCCCTGTTATACCTCCCTGCTTGCTCATCTGTCTTTCCAGTCTACCAGTAATTGTCACCTGGAGGTACACATCAGCAGCACGTGGGCAATTGTTTTCCCAAAATATATATATGAGGCCCCTATATGGAAGGGATCAGGCACCCCTATTTTGGAAATAGCTCCCCTGGGCAATTCTGGTGTGCAGCCCAGCCCACGCACAGGGTGAAGGTGGGCAGGGGCCCTGTTTCTCCTTCTTGTCACTGTATCCCTAGCCTGTCACAGTGCCTGGCACATACTAGGTGCTTGATGGACACATGACCCATGAGCCAAGTAAAGGAATCGATTCTGTGTGTCAGGGGCAGTGCATGCCCTGCTCAGCCGTGTGTGTCCCCAGTGCTTGGCACAGATGTAGACAAACATTTGAGGGTAGAAGGGAGTCCTTTTAACATGGGCACCACAGGTCTTCAATATTTTATTAAGAAAAAAAATTTTTTTTTTTGAGACGGAGTTTCGCTCTGTCACCCAGACTGGAGTGCAGTGGTGCCATCTCAGCTCACTGCAACTTCTGCCTCCCAGGTTCAAGCAATTCTCCTGCCTCAGCCTCCCAAGTAGCTGGGATTACACGTGCCCGCAACATTGCCCAGCAAATTTTTTGTATTTTTAGTAGAGTCGGGGTTTCACCATGTTGGCCAGGCTGGTCCCAAACTCCCGACCTCAAGTGATCCACCCACCTCGGCCTCCCAAAGTGCTGGCATTACAGGCGTGAGCCACCGTGCCCGGCCTAGAAAACTTCTATATTGACAGATGAGTAGGTAGTCAGCAAAAAAGAAAAACGAGAAGAAAGAAAAAAAGAAAACCTCTACATTTTAAAAGAAGAAGAAACTAGGATCCGAAGCCTTCCAAATAACAAGAATCTGATAGGAATCTGACTCCAAGATGAACCCGGTGGACAAAAGTGCAGCTGGCATTTTCCCCCTGTAGTCACCTTCAGAAAAAAGAACTTGGGCCCAGAAAACTCTAAACACATTCTTCATTTTTTTAAAGACAGGGTCTCCCTGTGTTGCCGAGGCTGGTCTCGAACTCCTGGTCTCAAGCAATCCTCCTGCCTCAGCTTCCCACAGCACTGGGGTTACAGGCATGAGCCACCATGCCCAGCCCCCACTGTCTTTGTTATTAATCAGCCTGATAGTTTCCCTCCTTATTTCATAACATCCCATCCCTGCCTCATTGATCATCTAGAGAGGAGGTGAGAAAGGACGCTGGTCATCCTGTGCCTTGACTTTGGTCAAGAACACACTGAGGCCAGGTCCAGTGGCTCATGCCTGTAATCCCAACACTTTGGGAGGCTGAGGTGGGAGGATTGCTTGAGCCCAGGAGTTCAAGACCAGCCTGGGCAACATAATTTGCCTCTACAAAAAATTTTAAAATTAGCCAGGCATGGTGGCACGTGCATGTAGCCCCAGCTACTTGGGAGGCTGAGGCAGGAGGATCACTTGAGCCCAGGAGGTTGAAGATGCAGTGAGCCATGATCGTGCCACTGCACTCCAGCCTGGGTGACAGAGCAAAAGCCACACTGAGAGGGGTCTGTCCCTTAGTTAGCCATAGCTTATTCCAAATGTGAGCAGCAGGTGTGCGCACATTCACAGACATGTAGCCAGCTCTCTCTGTGGGACAGAAGGCAGCTCCTCCCATGCAGCTGGGTGCACAGGCCCCGCTCAGTTTAAAACCCCCGCTGTCCATGCCGGCCTTCACAGCAGCTCCAGCTGGACGGGAGATCTCTCTGATGCAAGATCTCAAAGCCATTTATATCCCCAGTTTTCCTTTTTCTTTCCAGAGTGTAAGGGAATTCCTGATGGTTCATAGAAATGGGGAGTTGGAAACAAAAGATCACCCACTGCAGAGGGGAACAGAAAGGTCCTGATCCCGAGAGCCAAGCACTCGAGTGTGACCTCCCTGCTTTGGGGACCTGAGGCCAAGGAAGCTGGTGGGGACCAGAGCAGAGCCCTTCTCGCCAGACTGCTTTAACTCACCCCAGAAAGCACAAAGCAGAACAAATCAAAACAGGGACATAGGGACATACTTGTGATCACAAAAATACACACACACTCAGGGCCTGGCCCAGCACCAGGCGCTTGCAGGACGCGGCAAGGTACAGGCCTCTGCCATCACAGATGATGGGCCACAGGGCTCTTCTCCGCTGAGAAGCTGCCAGCTTAGTTGCTACAAGTGTGTGAGCTCTGGAGTCAGGGCCTCTGGTTTGAATTCCAAACCCACCACGCACCCAGTCATGTAACCTCTCTGAACTCCACTTATGTGAGACATAGCCAATAATAGTATCTACAACAGGTTTTTAGGAGGATTACGTTATAGGCAATAATGCATATAAATGCTGGCCTGTAATAAGAACCCAGAAGTACTCGCTGAGCATTGATAATTTCCTAGAAACTGTTAATAAATGGGAGTAGGCATGTCATATTATAGCAATCCCTCCCTGATGGATGGCATGGACCCTGGACCTAGTTGAGGAATAATTGGCCTCCCACAGGGTCAGAACCTCCAGTTTCCACTCCTTCCCATGGCCACAGCGCCTCCTACCCTCTTCCTCAACCATTCCCCTCCCAAGTCCTTGCCCTTGTATTACCAATGGGGCATCTTCACACCTCCAGATGGTCGAGATCGTCAATGAATTCTTCACCCTTTGCCCAGGGCTGCTGTTTCACATCTCATTCCTCCCAGCTGCACTGCCTGCTTTCAGGCAGCCCTGCTGTTTAACACCCAATTAATCTGCACACTGAGAAGACCCTCTCCTAATTGCAGGATAGCTGTCATTATCTGAGTTAAGGGATGTAAAAGAGGAATTACCCTAATGCATTTGAATCCACTAATTGTTTTCTGGAGTCCCCTGAGAGCTAGTAACAAAATAGAGCAGTAAATCCTAGAGTCACCCAGAGCACATAATCCTTCCACCAGCCTCCCCTCTCCACTGCCCCTAACAAAACTTGTCATTCCTTCCCCTTCCCCAGGAAAAGCTGCCTGTAGAATTAACTGTCTTCACAGCTTCCACTCCCTTTTGGGGTGATTCTGCAAACACCAGGGGTGGCTCCTCTAGGGATCACCACCCTTCCCAAGGTGCCCCTTACAGCCCAGCCTGCCCTTCCCTCAAGCTCAGTGTGGTCAACTTCCTTTCAAATAAGTGTTGAGACTGCAAGCCCCTTGAGGGCAGGGATTGTGTGTGACTCACCTCTGTGCTTCCTGTACCTGGAATAATGCCAACAGAGAGTACATGCTCTAGAAGTAAATGGAACTTGAAGTTGAATGTTATCAGCATTCACAGTGTATCAGTCAGGACAGCCTAGGTTATGCCGCAGTGACAAACATCCCCAATATTGCAGAGGTGTGATACAACAAAGGTTCATTTCTCACTCATGCTGTCTGGGTACCCAGGGGAACTCTGGTTGTTGTAGATGCCCAGGTCGAGGGAGCTCCATATCAACGTATGTTTCCTCAGTAGGAGACAGAATGTGGTGACTTATGCACTGGCCCTTAAAGCACCTTCACCCATAAGTAACACATGTGACTTTTACAAACATTTCATTGGCCAAAGCAAGGCATGGAGACATTCCTCACATGAAGGAGGGGCCAGTAAATGCCTTCCTACCATGTGGTCAGAGACAGAGAGCTAGAACCATTTGGTAAACAGCTTATTACCTTTTTCTCTCCATGCTAAACATTTTTACTGGCATTATTTTGTTTAATTCTCACAAGAGCCCGTGAAGTAGGCACTATTTTTTGCTTGTGGTTTTTGTGTGTATGTGTATGGGTACATAGTAGGCAAATATATTTATGGGATATGTGGGATATTTTAATACAGGCATGCAATGCATAATAATCACATCACGGAAAATGGGGTATCTATCACCTCAAGCTTTTATCCTTTGTGTTATGAACAATAAAATCATACTCTTATTTTTTATTTATTTATTTGTTTATTTATTTATTTTTTGAGACAGTCTCACCCTGTCACCCTAGCTGGAGTGCAGTGGTGCAATCTCAGCTTACTGCAACCTCCACCTCCCGGTTCAAGCAATTCTCATACCTCAGCCTCCCAAATAGCTGGGATTACAGGTGCACACCACCACACCCAGCTAATTTTTGTATTTTTGGTAGAGACGGGGTTTCACCATGTTGGCCAGGCTGGTCTCAAACTCCTGACCTCAGGTGATCTGCCCACCTTAGCCTCCCAAAGTGCTGGGATTACAGGTGTGAGCCACTGCGCCAGGGCTTTTTTAGTTATTTCTAAATGTACAATTAAATTATTGGCTGGGCACTGTGGCTCACACCTATAATCCCAGCACTTTGGGAGGCCAAGGTGGGCAGATCACTTGAGGCCAGGAGTTTGAGACCAGCCTGGACAACATGGCAAAACCCCATCTCTACTAAAAATACAAAAATTAGCCAGGCGTGGTGGCACGCCTGTATTCCCCGCTACTTGGCAGGCGGAGGCATGAGAATCGCTTGAACCCAGGAGGCAGAGGTTGCAGTGAGCCGAGATTGGGCCACTGTACTCTAGCCTAGGCGACACAGCAAGATTCTGTCTCAAAAAAAAACAAAATTATTATTGACTGTAGTCACCCTGTTGTGCTATCAAATACTAGGTCTTATTCACTCTTTCTGACTACTTGTACCTAGTAACTATCCCCACAGCTTATTCTATATCCACTATGGGGCCTCATGGTTCCCTAAGGATACCACTAAATGGCAGCTTCTACTTCCTGAACACATATTAGAACTTCACGGTCAATTAGCAGCCAGAAGGCCATATTTGGATTCTGGCCTCTGTAATTAATCCTCAGCTAAGATCTCAGCCAAGGCACCATTCTCACTGACCCTGTCTCCTTATCTGCAAAACAGGGACATTCCTCTCTTCCCCTACTTTCCCTCACATTACTGCTTGGAGGCTGGAAGTACATCTTGATGGAAAGGCAGAGTGGGGCAGGCTCTGAGGGTGCTTGGGTGAGAACCCCAGTGTTGGATGGTGCCCGGGAACCCAGGAGCTTCGCCAAGGGGCCTTCATGCAGACGGAGGTAGGAATGGCACCCAGCACGTTTCCCAGCAAATCAACAGAGCCAAGGCCAGTACAGAGCCCTGGATCCAGCCAGGCAGGGAGCAGGGCCCAAGCAGATCTGGGCCAAAGCTCTGGGCTCCTTGACAGCAATTGGCCTCAGACCTTGCCCAGTGCCCAGAGAGTCAGAGGAGATGACCTGGTGAAAATGCCTTGAAAATCAGAGCTGCCTGTAAATGGGAATGACATAATAATCATTGTCACAGCAATAGCAGCATAGCAATAGCCACCATCTATGAAGGCCTAGCTCTCTGCCCAGTTTTTGCACAGTTTTATGTACATTCTCTTCCACCCTCACAACCACCCCATGGGGCCAGTAGTTCTGCCTCCAGTTTCAGATGAGAAGAGTGGATTTAGAGAAAGGTGGAGTAGCTCTCCCTAGAATGAGGATTTTGACATATCTTTTTCCAACTCCAGAGCTCCTACTTAAAACCTTTTATTTTAGGTTCTGGGGTACATGTGCAGGCTTGTTATGTAGGTAAACTCATGTTACTGGAGTTTGTTGTGCAGATTATTTTATCACCCAGCTACTAAGCCTAGTACAATAGTTACTGTTTCTGATCCTTTCCCTCCTCTCATCCTCCACCTTCGAGTAAGCACCAGTGTCTGTTGTTCCCCTCTTTGTGTTTATGCGTTCTCATCATTTAGCTCCCACTTATAAATGAGAACGTATGGTATTTGGTTTTCTGTACCTGCATTAGTTTGCTAAGGATAATGGCTTCCGGTTCCTTCCATGTTTCTGCAGAGGGCATGATCTCATTCATTTTTATGGCTGCATCATATTCCATGGTATATATGTACCACATTTTCTTTATCCAGTCTACCATTGATGGGCATTTAGGTTGACTCCATGTCTTTGCTATTGTGAATAGTGCTGCAGTGAACATACAGATGTATGTATCTTTAACACGATTTATCTTCCTTTGGGTATATACCCTTTAATGGGATTAATGGGTTGAATGGTAGTTCTATTTTTAGCAGAGCTCCTATTTTTATCTTACAATATTTCAGCCCCTCCTGGTTGGATGTTTTCAATCAAAGCAATATACCATATGAGACCTTCTAAAGAGAGAATTATTCAAAATCAAATTCACTCCACTAGCTCGTATTTGTTAAGCACTTACTGTGTGCTAAGCACTAGACTAGGCTTTAGGGAGTTGACAGCTAATAGATATAGCACCAACCTCACAGAGCTTATGTTGAAGAAACTACCCTTCCAAAGACATGAGTTGGGTTTTGCAGAGTGGTGTGGGGATCAGCAGTGGTGTACATCAGTCATCCCACGGAGCACCTGGCACATAGTAGGTGCTTGGTAAAGGAAGTTCTTACTGCTCTTTCATGCCAGGTTCAAGGGCAGCCCCCTGGGTGGCACTGACATCCCTTTGTCTGCACGTCCTGTCCTAACATGGAGACCATCTCTACCACTCCAAACCCGAGAGCACTTGGCTTAGGAAACAGAAGGAGTCGCAGAAGCTGACCCACCAGGACATAGAGGCAGATGCTCAGCAAGCCTCCCAGCCTCCTCTGCTCCTCCCACGCCTCCAGGCAGGCAGTTTGGGTTTGCAGAAACCCATCCGGGGCTGAACCCACCAGCTCTACCATGCGTCATCCTAGAGATCTGTAAGGCGTCTGAGGAGATTTTCCCAACTGTTATTGAGATTCTCAGAGCAGTCCCGCCACATGTTCAGATGCACCCCACAGGAGGGGGAAGGGCTGATCTCCCGTGGGAATCCCTGGCCTTCTGGATGAGTATTTTAAATCCATCATGTAGCCGAGGAATCTTCTCTTCAGACACAAACAGGCCCAAATTCAACTGGCATTTACTGAGATCCCTACTACCTGCTTGTAAGATCAACTGATTCCTTATCTTCATCCTCCTCCTCCTCTGGCCAGCTCACAATTATTGGTTTCTGCAAACCCAGACCACCTGCGTGGAGGTGTGGGAGGAGCAGAGGAGGCTGGGAGCCTTGCTGAGCACTTAGTGTGTGCCAGGCACAGTTAAACACTTCACATGCCTTATTTAATCCTTGCAATAATCCTCTGAGGTTTTAATTATCCCCATTTTACAGATGAGGAAACTAAGGCTTACAGAGGTGAAATAACTAGTGCATGGTTACAGGACTAGCATGATGAAGCTGGAATGTGGAGCTGCAATGGCTGACCCGTGTTTTTTTTTTTTTAAGACAGAGTCTCGCTCTGTCCCCTAAGCTGGAGTGCGGTGGCACGACCTCGGCTCACTGCAACCTCCACCTCCCAGGTTTAAGCTCAGAGAGCCGAAGGGATTTGCCCAGAGTCAGAGCTGGAAGGTGGCCGAGCCAGGCATCACACCCAGGGCCATCACCCACACCTGGGTCATGGCACTGTGTTCAGCTGCCTCCCTGCTCCCTCTCAGTGCTTTGCCCATCTTTGTTTCCAAGCTCACCACGTTGGGTTACAATGCATCTGCCCACAGGTCTCTCTCCCCTGCTAGAATGTGGCTGATGCTTAAAGGGAAAACACACACTCACGATCACCAGGCACTGTCTGTTTTGTCCCCTCTGTGTCACCAGCCCCTGGCTCAGGCCTTGGCATGTAGAGGTGCCCAGTACATGTTAGGAGCTGATTCACTCGTGAGGGACACAAAGGCAGCCATGAAGTTTGCTGTGAGGGCTTCTTGCAGGGGACCATGCTCGAGGCCTTTGGGTGCGGCAAGGCTCGAACTGCCTTGGCAAAGTGGACTCCTCAGCCCCCAAGGCCTGGGCCAGCTGGTTGATCTATTGCCCAGACTTCCCAGTGACCACGCTGTGCTCGGCCCGCTCCATTCCAGACTGTCCATCGGGCTTGATCGGCTGGCACACACACACAGCCTGGGTAACGACTCTGCCCACTCAAAACCAAGACAAAACATGCACCTGCCAAATGATTGTGCCTTTGGTCAGGAAACCAGCATAGTCAGAATTCCTAGCAATGAACAATCCCCCTCTAGCAACAGTCCAAGTCCCAGCATAGGGCATGAATTTGCTTTGGGAGTGACTGACCCTGTCCCCAAGGGTATTTCTGACCCCAGTGCGTGCCAAGGGCAGGGAGGTGGTGCCTGCTGCCAGGAACAGCCAGCATCTGAGCACTCACTATGGGACCCTGGGCCCTGATCACAAGGGGGCATTCATCTTTTCTATATTTTTGCTTTTAAAAGTCTTTGAAAAATTAAGTAGTTGGAAAGCAAACTCAATTCCAACTGACTTGTAGTAGCTGGCTGAGCTGAGAAATGGCCATAGGAAATCAATTGCTGCTTCAGGTTATTTATGCATTTATTCTCCTCTGCATCCAAAAGGCTTTGAAGGGAATTAATTCAACATATTGCATATTGCCTGTGACCTGTGGGCCTGTCCATGCAGTTGACAAGACACGCTGAGCTGAGCCAGCCTGCCTGCAGGTGTCTTCATTCAGCACCATAGAGGCTGCAGGACCTGCTTCACTCTGGGCCCTAGGGTCCATTAGTCAATCCTGGCTTCCCCATCTGTTTGCCATCTGTAAGCGGGCTCAATTTGATCACTTTTCCTAGTGTCTTCAAGATGCAAGGATCATTGCAACCAGCTGAGAATGACATGAAAGAAGGAGCACTCACACCTGTAATCCCAGCACTTTGGGAGGCCGAGGCGGGTGCATCACGAGGTCAGGAGATTGAGACCATCCTGGCCAACATGGTGAAACCCCGTCTCTACTTAAAATACAAAAATTAGCTGGGTATTGTGGTGTGCGCCTGTAGTCCCAGCTACTCAGGAGGCTGAGGCAGGAGAATTGCTTGAACCTGGGAGGCGGAGGTTGCAGTGAGCAGAGATTGTGCCACTGCACTCCAGCCTGGGTGACAGAGCAAGACTCCATCTCAAAAAAGAAAAAAGAAAAACAAAAGAAGGAGCACTGAACTTAGAGTCTAGAAACATCAGTTCAAACCCAGACTCCACTAGTTACTGTCTGGGTACCCTTGGGCAAGTCACTTCACCTGTCTGGGCTTCAGACTAATTAGTAAAATTGGGATATTGATCCCTCTGGGGGTTATTCTAGGATTTAATAACTACCATTTATTGAACACCTACTATATGCCAAGTGATATGCTAAGGGCTTTGCCTGTTTTCCCTCATCTAATATACAAACAACTCTAAGATATAGTTATTGATTTTCCCATTTTGCCTATAAGGAGATTGATGGCAGGGACTGTGTCCATTTCATTCTGCCCTCTGTCATCGGCACCTAGCATGGGACTTGGCACAGCAAAGAGCTGCAGCAATTTACAAATAGTGAACCTGGGTTCAACTCCAGCCTGTCCAACCACAAAGCTGGCCTTTTTATATGGTGGATGTAACAGCACAATGCTTGGCACATAGTAGACTCCCAACAAGTAAGTGTTCCTTTCTTATTCTCCATTAGTTTATCCAAATGGATTTTTCCAAGGCTATGGTACTCACTGTCTCTGAGCTCACTAATGTAGCAGTAATGTCTTTAGCCCAACTGGCAGCTCTCAGGGGAGTGAGTTACAGAAGTGGGATTCATTTAATCTGTGCTTTAATCTAAACTAAAGGCCGACCAGCCCCCAGGCTCTTTCCAAGACTCTTAGCCTGCCGACTGCCTTTCAAAGACATTTGCTTCCCTCTGGGAATGCAGGCACCCTTGACCTTAGCAGTTGCCACCGGCTAAAATGCATTTGATCTCACCTTGAATGTGGGTTGTCTCTGTTATTTAAAGAAGGCAGGAATTTGGGGGCTTGCTCCAGCCTCGCCTCTGGGGTCAGACCTCTCTGCTTCACTGTTAACCCACAGGGCATTGTCACCAGGTGACCCGCTTCACCCTCCTCTCACAGATTGGCCACCAGCCCCCATTGTCTACTAGATAAATCCACTTAGCTTCCAGGGCCCCAGCTCAGAGCTGGAAGAGCCTCCAGAAATCACATTGTCCAAACCTTCAATTTACAGGTGAGGAAAGGAGACCAAGAGGGTCTGCACCCTGAAACGCAGTGATGATTGGTGTTGGTGTTGGAAGTTGGTTGCTGTGACTGGAGGAATCCAGAAATGCCCAAATACTAGCCTTGGAAATTACTTCCTTCTTCCCACAGGGTCCCTGAGAGAGCTGAGCATGCAGACTTTAGCTACATGATGACTGGGGCACCCATCACTTCAACGCCACCTAAGCTAGGACCCAGTAACCCCCAGGGAAGAAGCTGTGCTGGTCACACAGCAGGCTCAGCCACCCAAAAGCTCCAGCCCTGGATCTGGGGGCCTATGGGGTCCTGGCCAGTGGCATCGAAGGAGAAAGGAGGCAGGAAGACAAAGAAGAGACTATCCCCCATATGAGATGAATACAAGTTGGGCATCCCAAATCCAAAAATTCAAAATCCAAAATGCTCCAGATTCCAAAACTTTTTGAGCAGCAACATGATACTCCGAGGAAATGCTCAATGCAGCATTTCAGATTTTCGGATTTGGGATGCTCAACCAATAAGAATAATGCAAATATTCCAAAATCTGAAATCCAAAATACTTCTGGTCCCACGCATTTCAGATAAGGGCCAGAGAGAGAGAAGGTGGCCCTAACCTCCTCCAGCGACTTGCCTTGCTCAGAGGAGGGAGGAGAGCCTGCAGTCCGGCTTCCTGATGTACAGCAACCTGCCCACTAGTACATGTGTCCCATCAGTGTCCTCACGCTTGACTAATGAGGCCAGCACCCCCTCTTCCCATAGGAGCAATAGGAGGAGGCCTGGGAAGAAGGTGGGCAGAGAGAAACACAGGCACGGAAGGAGGAGAGGCTGAGGATCACAGTGTTCCTGCCGCTGACACTGGATGCACCCCCCAGCCCCCTTGCCCCAGGGTCAGAGCTTGTGCCAGACATCCCACCACCTCCAGACCAGCAGCGCTCCCTTGGAACCAGGGAAACCCTTGTACAAAAGTGCCCCAGGGGTTCTTTCTTCCAGGACTGTGTCTCCCTAGCCTGTCTTTCCTACCACCTGCTGTAGCCATTTGCAGACACACTTTCTACTCCTAAACTATAAAGTATATGCAGAGTAAAGAGTTGGGTGCTCATAATTACCCAGAAGGCCACAATTCTCCATGCCATGAGGTTAAGATCATGGGAACGGTATGACCCTGTGCAAGTCCCCTACATTCTTCAAGTTTTCCTTATTATTAATGTAGATCAAACGATACCCACCTCTTAAGGAAAATAAAATAGCGCATCTAAGCTCTTAGCACAGAGCCTGGCACATAGTACATACTGAGTGATTGGCTAAGACTGTTGTACAGTAGGTGGCTTGCAGCCTTGAGAGCATTGACTCCTGTAAAGGGCACTTAACACTCAGTTGAAGGATAATGATCCAGAAGGCACTGCTAGAACATCTTATCGAGGCTGATATGCTGGGCCTCATTTCATTCTTTCGTCCCATGAGCATGTGATTGTGGACTCCTAGACTCAGGGTTCCAAAAGACGTTTGAAATCGTCTGGTTCAAACAAACCTCCACACTGTACAGGATCCCCTTGACATCATCCATCTGTCTACTAGCCTCTGCTTAGTTGCTTCTAGTGATAGGAAACGGACTACTCTGCGAAGGGTAGTAAGTCAGGAATTTAGAGGACTGATCAATTTAATCATGGAGTCAGTTGCTTGTAAATTGTGAAACATCAAGCCCTGCCCAGAGAATCTGTTAAGGCTATTGGTGTTTGAATGTGCAATGAGATGAGCCATGTCCAGGGAGGCCGCTGGCCCCTCAGATAGAGTCCCAAGGTTAGTAGTACCTGGAAGGTCAGTATATTTCCAGGTTTGGCCCTGGACTTTTCCAAAACGTGTGTGTGTGTGTGTTGTGTTTTGTTTTGTTTTGTTTTGTTTTGTTTGAGACAGGGTCTCCCTCTGTCACCCAGGCTGGAGTGCGGTGGCACAATTTCAACTCACTGCAGCCTCTTTCCCCTGGGCCCAAGCCATCCTCCCACCTCAGCCTCCCAAGTAGCTGGGACTACAGGCATGTGCCACCATGCCTGACTCATTTTTGCATTTTTTGAAGAGACAGGGTTTCGCCATGTTGCCTAGACTGGTCTCGAACTCCTGAGCTTGAGCGATCCACTCACCTCGGCCTCCCAAAGTGCTAGGATTACAGGCATGAGCCCCCGCGCCTGGCCACTAAATATAATTTTTATCTATTTTGCACCCAGAGCTGAGCAGTCCCACTAGGAAAACTCACAGGAGACAGTGTTGCAAACTGAATCCTGCTTTCTCGAGGTCCAGCACTAACTGCCACTCTCAAGCAATGGAGCACGTGCCCACACTGTCTGCCTAAGCTCCAGGGAAACAAATTCTCTGCTGAAGTTTCTGTGGTGAGCACAGGTGTATATGGAGAGAATAGTCTGCAGGAGCGTATCTTTTCCTGGCCCTCACAGTGAGCCCTGATGGCTGTCTGAGTCTCAGAAGGAGATCCCCTCTCTGGGGACCATTCTCAGTTTCCTTCCCTCCCAGGCCTCCCCCTCACTCAGAATTTTGCATAACCAGGTCCCATGCGTGAGTCTCAGTCCATAACAACAACAGAAGAATCCAGACCCTCTGCAGCAAAGGAGCATTCCTCTGAGGTTGGAGAGAATTCCAACCGGAGAAGAAAACACCCCAAAGTCTCATTAACTTACATGTTAATTAATCATCTCAGTTCCCAGCACTCTGTAATGGAAACTGTTTTTTTTTTCTTTCCTCGTATCTAAGATTCCCTGATCATCAAGCCTGCATTGTCAGTGTTGTCAAAACTTGTCTTTTAGAAAATTGCCAGGCCTGTTTTGCAGAGCAGAAGATAAAAATGTTTCTGCCTGTGGGTCAGTGCATACCCAGTACCTGTGATTTAATGACAGACCCTGAGTTTTGGGGACCCTGTCTTTGCCACCCCAGCACAGGGTGTTCATGTGTGAACTCTGACCTTTCGGGTCTCTACTAGGCCTTCATTGTTCTTTATTTTTTCGATCTTTTGTTAACTCGTTTTCTTAGACACGTATTTATTTATTTATTTATGCAAAGCCCCATCATTCTTCCCCCAAAAGATTTGCAGGCATTTCAGGAAATACAGCCACTAAAGCAACAACTTATGGGCAAATATAAAACATTAGGACCCAGAGAAAAACAAATAGGAACAGGAGCTCTAAGTCCATTGGGAAGATCCAATGCAAGGGAGGCAGGCCTGGAGCAGAAGGCACCTGCAGCCAGGCCTGGATCTGAATTCCAGCTCTGCCACTTACCAGCTGAGCAAACAGACCCCATGTACTTAGTCTCTACACCTCAGTCCTCTCGCCTGAGAAATGGGTCTAGTAATACTTTCTTCATAGGACAATTGAAAGAATTAAGTGGAGCCAGGTGTGGTGGCTCACACATGTAATCCCGGCACTTTGGAAGGCCGAGGCGGGAGGACTCCTTGAGGTCAGAAGTTTGAGACCACCATGGCCAGCATAGCAAGATCCCTATCTCTATTAAATAAATAAATAAAATGTAAAAATTTAATCAGGGCCAGACCTGGTAGTTCATACCTGTAATCCCAGTGCCTTGGGAGGCCAAGGCAGGAGGATTGATCGCTTGAGCCTAGGAGTTTAAGACCAGCCTGGACAACAAAACAAGACGCCATCTCTACAAAAAAAAAAAAAAAAAAAATTATTTTCCTTTTTGAGAAGGAATCTCTCTCTGTCGTCCAGGCTGGAGTGCAGTGGTGTGATCTTGGCTCACTGCATCTCCACCTCCTGGGTTCAAACGATTCTACTGCCTCAGCCTCCCAAGTAGCTGGGACTACAGGTGCCTGCCACCAAACCTGGCTAATTTTTGTAGTTTTAGTAGGGACGGGGTTTTGCCATGTTAGCCAGGCTGGTCTTGAACTCCTGACTTAAGTGATCCATCTGCCTCGGCCTCCCAAAATGCTGGGATTACAGGTGTGAGCCACTGCACCCAGCCAAAATTTTTTTTTTAATTAGCCAGACATGGTGGTATACATCTGTAGCCCCAGCTGCTTGGGAGACTGAGTCCAGAGGATCATTTGAGCCCAGGAGCTCAAGGTTGCAGCAGGCTATGATCGCACCACTGTACTCTAGCCTGGGTGACAGAGGGAGACCCTGTCTCTAAATCAATCAATCAATAAATAAAGCACTTAGCAGAATGGCTCACAAGTAATAGGCATTCAGTAGCCACTGTTTTGTTACTGTTATGGTTATTATGTTTATCTGTTATTACCCAGTGCTGTAACTGAACTATTAGCTTCCCAGCAATCAAAGCAAAAACAGAAAAAGTTGACTGCATATTTCTCCTGTCTGTGAGGGTATATAGTGATGCCAGCTGCACCTGTAGTGAGACCTTCCATCTCAACCTGACTTCTTCTGTCTGAGAGTTGCACCCTCTCATTTTGAGAAGTGAACTCAGGTTCAAACATAATTAGCCAACAGAGCCTCGGATGTCTCTGCCTTGGGCTAGCTGGAAGGGTCAGGGCTAGAGCTTACAAACCCGGACCATGAGGAGAATGCCATGGCTGGGAATAATCTTTATAAGGTGCCTGCCTGATTGAACAGAGATGTGTCAGGAAGGCTGCAGCAGCGACTTCTTCAGAACCCAGATTGGAGCTAATGATCTCTTCAGCTTTGATGAGTACCGGGGTACTTGGAAGTTACAACTAGGTGGCGAGTCTCAAGTTGGATTTTCGTTTGAGTGGTTTTACGTTGTGTGTAGTTAGCAGTTGCTTCATGGGATTGTTGTTGTACCTGGATCTCAGGCTCAGGGAGCAATGGGAAGCATGATTTTTAGTTGGTGCCGCCGCATTCCTCGGCAGAAATTTGGTGGAGAATACCTGCTCCTCTCCAAACTAAGAAATACACCAGGGAGCTGGTGTGTATTGAGCACCTACTGTGTGCCAGACTGGAACAGAGTCCGTCTCGTTCTTCTTCCCAGTCACCTTGGAAGGTGTGGGCATTATGACACTGGCAACCAGGTGTTGCATTTTCTCTCTCTCTTTTTTTTTTTTTTTTGAGAGACGGTCTCATTCTGTTACCCAGGCTGGAGTGCAGTGGCACCATCATAGCTCACTGCAGTCTCAGACTCCTGGGCTCAAATGCCTCCCACTGCAGCCTCCCAAATAGCTGGGAATACAGGCGCATGCCACCACACCTGGCTAATTTTTTAATTTTTTGTAGAAACAGGGCCTTGCTATGTTGTGCAGGCTAGTCTCAAACTCCTGGCCTCAAGCGATCCTCCCACCTCGACCTCCCAAAGTGCTGGGATAAGACACTGCACATGGCTTCATTTTCCATTTTTATTTTTATTATTTATTTATTTATTTATTTTGAGATGGAGTCTCACTCTGTTGCCCAGGCTGGAGTGCAGTGGTGTGATCTTGGCTCACTGCAACCTCCGCCTCCTGAGTTCAAGCGATTCTCCTGCCTCAGCCTCTCAAGTAGCTGGGATTACAGGTGCCCACCACCATGCCCAGTTAATTTTTTTGTATTTTTAGTAGAGACGGGGTTTCACCATGTTGGCCAGGCTGGTCTTGAACTCCTGACCTCAGGTGATCCACCTGCCTTAGCATCCCTAAGTGCTACAATTATAGGCATGAGTCACTGCGCCTGGCCCATTTTCCACTTTTGAAAATGGGAAACCTGAAGCCCAGGGAGGTTAGGTGACTTCTCCAAGGGCACCCAGCCAGTAATTAGCAAGCCTGGGATTCTAATTCATGTATGTCTAAACCATTTCCTGTTAACCCTTCTTTTATGCTGCCTTTTCCGACAAGCTTGCTGCCCTCAAAGAGCCTACAACCTAGTTAAGAAAATAAGATGCCAGGCTTAAAGCAGGTGAATAACAGAACCAAATGCTGCATCTCAAGGGCCTAGACTTTAAGGGCTGCAGCAGTTCAAAGGAGGAGCCTTTCCTTCCAGAAGGCAGGGAGGGCGCCAGGGAGGAGAGGGCAGGCTTTGAAGGACAGGTAAGCCTCGAGAGGCTTCGAGGCAGGCAGAAGGCCGGAGGGCGCAGGACTGGCAATACCCAAAGTCCAGAGGCAGGAAGGTGCATGTGCTGGGAAGGGCCAGTGACTGCAGCCAAGGTTTCTGCCAGGAAGTTGTGAGAAACAAGGCTGGAGAGATGAACAGGGTCCAAAATGCAGGGCTTGGCCCGTCCAGCAGAAAGCAGAGACCTGGACTCAGGCCCTGACTTGAACCTTCAGTAGTAGCATTTTCACTTGATGTAGTTAATTGATCTATCAGCCAGCAAATGTCTCCTGTGACCTACGCCATGACATCCCAGGACCTGTGCAGGGCGCAGAGGGAACAGCAATCAGGCAGACCCCATTTCCACCAGGTGTGATCTCAGAGGGGAAGGGACCTCCTCCTGAACACCCCATCCTTCAGCCAGTCCTCCCTGCAGCTGGGGAAGCCACACACCCTCTAGTCCTGGATTCCTCTTTTTAAAAATTTAATTTCATTAATTAATTTTATTTATTTGAGATGGAGTTTCGCTCATGTTGCCCAGGCTGGAGTGCAATGGCACAATCTCGGGTCACTGCAACCTCTGCCTCCCAAGTTCAAGCCATTCTCCTGCCTCAGCTTCCCAAGTAGTTGGGATTACAGGCGCCTACTACCATCCCAGCTGATTTTTGTATTTTTAGTAGAGATGGGGTTTCACCATGTTGGCCAGGCTGGTCTCGAACTCCTGGCCTCAGGTGATCCACCCACCTCGGCCTCCAGTGTGCTGGGATTATAGGCTTGAGCCACCGCGCCCGGCCCTGGATTCCTCTTTTCTCACCCGCTCAGCTTCCTTGAGGCTGGCGGCTCCAGCATGGATGCCCAGGGACAGGGCCTCCATGGATACCTGTTGAACTGCACCAAGAGAAGGATGAAGTACCATTTTCAGGTCGGGCCCTTTGCAAGTGGTGTCTCCTCCATCTGCACGGCCAGCCTGGAGGGAGGACACCAGAACAGTCCCTGTTTTTCGAGAGAGCAGGTGCAGGGAGCCCAGGAGATTTATTCATGGTCACACAGCTTGTAAGTGATGGAGCCAAGGGAGGGCCGCTTACCTGTCTGACACCCACACCAGGGTTCTTTCTACTGACCCTTTATCTGTCCCTTTAATTAAAAAAAACAAAACAAAACAAAAAAATTGGCCAAGAGTGGTGGCTCACGCCTGTAATCCCAGCACTTTGGGAGGCCGAGGAAGGCAAATCACGAGGTCGGGAGTTCAAGGCCAGCCTGGCTGACATAGTGAAACCCCATCTCTACTAAAAATGCAAAAACAAAAAAAAAAAAAAAAGAAAGAAAAAAGAAAAAAAAAATAGCCGGGCGTAGTGGCAGGCACCTGTAATCCCTGTAATCCCAGCTACTGAGGAGGCTGAGGCAGGAGAATCGCTTGAACCCAGGAGGCAGAGGTTGCAGTGAGCAGAGATTGTGCCACTGCGCTCCAGCCTGGACAACAGTGTGAGACTCCATCTCAAAAAAATAAATAAATTAATAATAATAATAATAATAAAATAAAAATAAAATAGAGAAGAGGTCTCACTATTTTGCCCAGGCTGGTCTCAAACTCCTGGGCTCAAACAATCCTCCCGCCTCGGCCTCCCATAATGCTGTGATTCCAGGTATGATCCAGTGCACCCGGCCTGTCCCTTTAATTCTATAGTTGAGGGTTTACCCAAATGGCCTTGCCCTCCAGGCAGGGCTAAGCCCAGAGTCCCATACTCATGGCTCCATCTCAGGGACTCCAGGGAGGGGCAGGCTTTCTAGGATGTGATCAGACCCCACTCCCAGGGCGCTCCCTCCGTCTCTAATGGGAATGGCATTGTAGGAAGCTCTTGGGGTAGGGTTCTGCCAGGGAGATGCCCGGGGCTTACATGGTCACCACAGCACCACCTGGTGGCAGCTCTCTGGTGTGCACACTTTCATAGAGGAAAAGGCCACTTCACAGCCATTTCTGCAGCCATCCCTCCTCCAATCCCAGCCCAGGGGGCGTGTCCAGAGGGTGCTTGCTGGGGAGAGTTACCGACTGCCTTTCCTTGAGGGCTCGTGCAGAACTTGGCAGCTGCTCCTATATCCTGAGAAATTTTCATGTCGTCAGTTATATCCGTCTTGTTTTCATTTGACTTGATAAGCATTTATTAGGCACCAAATATACAAAGAGTGGAAGGAACTAATATTTATCAGATACTCGCTGTGACAGGTGATTCTAGACATCATCTCACAGAACCTTCCCAATGAAAACCAGTCTCTAAAAACAATTGTTTTTAATTAGCCATGACTGGTAACCTGTGCCTGTAATCCCAGCAACTTGGGAGGCTGAGGTGGAAGGATCACTTGAGCCCAGGAGTTCAAGGCTGCAGTGAGCTATGATTGTGCCACTGTACTACAGCCTGGGTTATATACAGTGAGACCCTGTCTCTAACATGAATAAATAAATAATTTGTTTTGAGACAGTCTCATTCTGTCACCCAGGATGGAGTACAGTGACACGAACACCACCCTCCGCAGCCTCGACCCCCTCCGGGCTGAAGTGATCCCACCTCAGCACCCCCAAGTAGCTGGAACTGTAGGTGTGCCTGGCTAATTTTCAAATTCTTTTTGTAGAGGTGGGGACTTCCTACATTGCCCAGGCTGGTCTCATGCTCCTGGCTCAAGTGATCCTGCCACCTCGGCCTCCAAAAGTGCTGGGGTTACATGCATGAGCCACTGCACCTGGCCATACTTTTTATTTTTTATTTATTTATTTATTTATTTTGAGATGAAGTTTCACTCTTGTCACCCAGGCTGGAGTGCAGTGGCGCGATCTGGGCTTACTGCAACCTCCACCTCCTGGGTTCAAGCGATTCTCCTCCCTCAGCTTCCTGAGTAACTGGAATTACAGGTGCCCACCACCACGCCCAGCTAATTTTTGTATTTTTAATAGAGACGGGGTTTCACCATGTTGGTCAGGCTGGTCCCGAACTCCTGGCCTCAGGTGACCCGCTCGCCTCAGCCACCCAAAGTGGTGGGATTACAGGCGTGAGCCACTGCACCCAGCCTAAATGATTTTTTAAAAGAGAAAACTGCTCTGGAGAAAATAGGTTCTCAATCTAGGCTACACAGATTCCCATGTATGAGTAGCTGTAAAGATGAGTTTTCAATCCAGTCTTATAAAACCACCATGAAGAAAGGTTGCAGAAACAACACAATCAGAATTAGACCGTTAGTGCCCAGCAGAATGGTCTGAAGAAGCCCTCCCCACCCGCTAAGTATGTTACAGTTTTTAAAGACATAAATTTAAACTTTGAAAATAAGTGGAAGGAACAAGACATTGAAAAAAAGAATACGGAGATCTGAAAATAAATCAAATGTAACTTGTAGAAATAAAAAAATAGAGTCATTACAATGAATACTGGATAAATTAAAGTGGTTTAGACAAAACTAAAGAGAAAAATAATGAACTGGCTGGGTGTGGTGGCTCACACCTGTAATCCCAGCACTTTGGGAGGCCAAGGTGGGTGGATCAGTTGAGGCCAGGAGTTTGAGACCACGCTGGCCAACATGGTGAAAACCCGTTTCTACTAAAAATATAAAAATTAGTTAGATGTGGTGGTGTATGCCTGTAATCCCAACTACTTGGGAGGCTGAGGCACAAGAGTCACTTGAACCTGGGAGGTAGAAGTTGCAGTGAGCTGAGATCACACCACTGCACTCCAGTCTGGGTGACAGAGAGAGACTCTGTCTCAAAAATAATAATAATAATAATGAACTGGAAGATTGATTTGAAGAAATTAACCACAATGCATCATGGAGAGATAAAGAGATGGAAAATAGGAATTAAATTAAAGTTTGACATTTGCTTATAGAAATCCCCAAGAAAAAGAGAATAGGGGAGAGAGATAATTTATTGGCTGAGAATTTTCCAGAATGAATCTCTGCGCTTCAAGGAGCATGTTTTTTTTGTTTTTGTTGTTGTTGTTGTTGTTGTTGATATATTTTTAGAGACAGGGTCTTACTCTGTCATCCAGGCTGGAGTGCAGTGGTACAACCATAGCTCACTACAGCCTTGAACTCCTGGGCTCAAGCCATCCTCCTGCCTCAACCTCCTGAGTAGCTGGGACCACAGGTGCACACCACCATGCCCACCTGGATCTTGCCTAAAGGATTCTACCTGGGCTCACTCCTCCAGTTCTTTATGTGGATCCTGCCTTAGCCCAGGACTCCCAAAACCACATCCCCAAAAGCCAGCCACTTGCCAACAGCCTGCCATCATTCCCAGTGTTTCCCCCACCCCTTCCCCTTCTTCCTGGGTGAGAATTTGGAGAAAGATTCATCCTGAACTAGTGTCTTAATGGATTTAACCTGTTGCCCACTACACATGAGCCATCAGTATGTTGCAGTGTTTCAGACATATTGTGTACATCTGTGGTAGACTGATGGCAAAAAACGGCCATAATTCCCACCCCTGCCTGTATCCACATACTTTACAATGTGACCTTGAAACCCCTCCCATCAAGAAGTGTAGTCTGTTTCCCCACCCCTTGAATCTGGGCTGGCCTTGTGACTTGCATTGGCCCATAGAAGGCACAGGAAATCGCATCATGCCATTTTCAAACCTAGGCCTCAGGAGGCCTTGCACGTGAATTCCACTCTCTCCTAGAACCTCACCATAAGAATGGGTCCAAGTTAGTTCCTGGGGGGATGAGAGACCCCACCGAGCAAAGCTGGCTCATCCCACCCAGCCTCAGCCTAGCTGCCAGCTGGCTGCAGACACATGAGTGCACCCAGTGGGATCAGCCATGCCTGGATGATTTTAGCAGAATTGCCCGGCCAATTTGTAGGCTCATGGGAAATAATCACTGATTATTTTAAGCCACTGAGTTCTGGGATGGTTTGTCACACGCCAATAGCTAACTGATAGAAGACATATGGCCTTCTATGTCCCTGTGTCACATTTTGATAATTCTTGCAATATTTCAAACCTTTTCACTAGTACATGTGCTCACCTTAAGCCTCTGTGACACATTTGGTAATTCTCACAATATTTCAAGCCTTTTCTTTTTTCTTTTTTTTTTTTTTTGAGACGGAGTCTCGCTCTGTTGCCCAGGCTGGAGTGCAGTGGCATGGTCTCAGCTCACTGCAACCTCTGCATCTCAGGTTCAAGCGATTCTCCTGCCTCAGCCTCCCGAGTAGCTGGGATTACAGGCACCTGCCACCACGCCTGGCTAATTTTTTGTATTTTTAGTAGAGACAGGGTTTCACCATGTTGGCCAGGCTGGTCTCGAACTCCTGACCTCATGATCCACCTGCCTCAGCCTCCCAAAGTGCTGGGATTACAGGTGAGAGCCACTGCACCCAGCCAAGCCTTTTCATTATTATTGTATCTGTTATGGTGATCAGTGATGTTTGATGTTACTATTGTAATTGTTTTGGGGCACCACAAACATTGTCCATATAAGACGGTGAACTTAGTAAATGTTGTGTGTGTTCCGATGCTCCACCAGCTGGCTGTTCCCCACCTCTCTCCCTCTCCTCCAGCCTTCCTATTCCCTGAGACACAACAGTATTGAAATTAGGCCAATTAATAGCCCTACATGATGGATAGCTGGGCCCAGTGGCTCATGCCTGTAATCCCAGCGCTTTGGGATGCAGAGGTGGGAGGATTGCTTGAGCCAAGGAGTGTGAGACCAGCCTGGGCCACATGGCGAAACCCTGTCTCTACCAAAAAAACTAGCAAAAACTTTACCGGGCACCATGGCTCATGCCTGTAATCCCAGGACTTTTGGAGGCCAAGGTGGGTGGATCACCTGAGGTCGGAAGTTCGAGACCAGCCTGACCAACATGGAGAAACCCCATCTCTACTAAAAATACAAAATTAGCCAGGCATGGTGGCGCATGCCTGTAATCCCAGCTACTCAGGAGGCTGAGGCAGGAGAATCACTTGAAACCAGGAGGTGAAGGTTGCAGTGAGCTGAGATCACGCCATTGCAATCCAGCCTGGGCAACAAGAGCAAAACTCTGTCTCAAAAAAAAAAAGCAAAAAATTAGCCCAGCATGGTGGTGTGTGTCTGTAATCCCAGCTTCTCAGGAGGCTGAGGTGGGAGAATCACTTGAGCCTGGGAAGTCGAGGCTGCAGTGAGCCGTGATTGCGCCATTGCACTCCAGCCTGGGTGACAGAGCGAGACCCTGTCTGAAAAACAAGCAAATAAATCTCCCTACAATGACCTCTAAGTGTTCAAGTGAAAGGAAACATCACACATTTCTCACTTTAAATCAAAAGCTAGAAATGATTAAGCTGAGTAAGAAAGGCATGTTGAAAGTGAGACAAACCAAAAGCCAGGCGTCTTGCATCAAACAGCCAAATTGTGAATGCAAAGGAAAGCTTCTTGTAGGAAATTAAAAGTGCTGCTCCAGTGATCTCAGAGTGTGGGAAAATAGCACCAACAGACTTAGTTGAAGCAGGGCTGCCACAAACCTTCAATTTGTAAGACACGTAATATCTGTGAAGTGCAGTAAAGCAAAATGCAATAAAATGAGGCATGTGTGGTACACGTAGAATGAAACTTCTTGTTCTCTACTGGCTCACCGCCTGCAGCTTACCAGCAGCTATATTTCTCAAAGTTCTATTGTTAACTCAAACTCATCTTTCTGATGGGAAAATTGAGTTCCCGTAGCAGGATGTGGGCCAATTGCCTAACTCTCCATCAAAGACTAGAAAGTGTGTCGTGTTTCACATGGCCCCTGTTCTTTTTCATAGCAGTATCTGTTCACCCACCTCCACTTTGGCACATGTGCTAGAGATTACCAAAGCAAAAGGCCACATGCTCTTGGCCGGGTCTATACATCGGGATATTAATCTTTTAGGAAATTCTAGCCTGCTAGTTGTCCCTTGAATCAACAAAATCTGAAATGTTCACCTTCACAGGTGTGTGTGTTCTGGCTTTCATACACAATTTTGAAAGATGTCAGGTGTCAGAAGACATGTATTTTGGTTCAAGGTTTTATTTGATTGCAAAGGGAAGTGGGACAGGAGAGTAGGAGGGAAAATATAAGAATAACCAAATTCCACCATGCCACTTACTTACTGTGTGATCTTGGACAAATTACTTGGCGTGTCGGAGGCTAGGCTTCCCATCGTTAAATGGAAGTGGTCATGCTTACCTCCTAGGATTGTTGTGAAGAGTAAAGGAAATTAATTGATGTATGAAGCACTTAGTCCTGAGCCTACCCTGAAATAAACTGAGATGATGATGATAAAGAAGAGGAAGAGGAGGACGAGGATTAAGAAATGGAATTCCAGCCAGGTGCGATGGAATCCCAGCACTTTGGGAGGCTGAGGCAGGAAGATTGCTTGAGCTCAGGAGTTCGATACCCACCTGGGCAACATAGTGAGATCCCATCTCTACTAAAAATCCAAAAAAAAAAAAAATGGGGGCATGGTAACACACACCTGTAGTCCCAGTTACTTGGGACGCTGAGGCAGGAGGGTGGCTTGAGCCTGGGAGGTTGAGGCTGCAGTGAGCTATGATCACACCACTTGCACTCCATCCTGGGCAACAGAGCAAGACCTGGTCTCAAAATATAAAAAATAAAATAAATTTTTAAAAAATAGAATTCCAGGCTGGGCACGGTGGCTCACACCTGTAATCCTAGCACTTTGGGAGGCTGAAGCGGGCAGAACACCTGAGGTCGAGAATTCAAGACCAGCCTGACCAACATGGAGAAACCCCATCTGTACTAAAAATACAAAATTAACTGGGCATGGTGGCTGTAATCCCAGCTACTCGGGAGGCTGAGGCAGGAGAATCACGTGAACCCAGGAGGTGGAGGTTGCAGTGTACTGAGACCACGCCATTGCACTCCAGCCTGGGCAACAAGAGCGAGATTCTGTCTAAAAAAAAAAAAGAAAGAAAAGAAAAAAAAATAGAATTCCAGAGCTTTTTTTGTTTGTTTGTTTTTATACAAAAAAAAAACAAACAGAAACAAAAAAGCCTTGCAGCACAATCTCCGGTTTCATTCCCTGCCCCTGTGAAGTTAGGCCAACATTATTGCCCATGATGTTTGCAAGATAAAACCAAAGCCAAAGAGTTTGTCAATGTGCTCACAAAGATACATTTAAACATCCTGACCCTTGAGTCCCCAAATTCTTACTTGGCTGAAAATTATGTCTGGGCTGTCACTAGATATCAGCTGAAATGCAGAAGAGACTGTCACTCGGTCAGCTGGCTCTTTCATCTCCATGATAGCAGACAGCAGACATTACATTTGATGTGATTTATTTCCCTTCCATGGATTGTATCCACCAGTTGCTTTATTCTCAGACAAACCCAGCTTTAGTCCCCCTGGGGTGGGGGGAGGGGAGAAGGAGGGGAGGTCAGGCAGTGCAGATTAATTTTTAGGGTCCCCCCCCCCCGCCGGGATGTTAGTAATAGCCTTATCACTTTGCATGACCAAATAAAAGAGATGGGAATCAAAGAGGAGAGATGAAGGTTTAGTCATTCCCTTAAAGAATTCATCCCAAATCCTGGTATATGTCCAAACAGGCTCCTTTAAGCGATTCTTTCCAGTGTGAACCTCATTCCACTGCGGGGCTTGGGGGTACAGTCAAAGCCGCCCTTTCTCCTTTCTTGGTCCCCCCTCCCTTCTGTGGCCTCTCTCTACGTGTCTATCATGTGCACGTGTGTATCTTTGGAATGGATTTCATTTGTGTTAGTGCAGTTCATAGTGTTTCCTTCAAGGTCTTTTTACTGGACCCGCAGTCAGGAAATAAATTCCTCCTTGGTTTCTACCTTATCACTCGCTGCACACATGAACCCCCACCAGGAGGGAGAAAATCCTTCTTTTTTGCTTCTTGAACTTGTGATTCTTTGGTCTTTGCAGCCCAGCAGAATCTCTTTACTGACAGCGTGACAGGCATGTGGGAGTGAGAGGTGCTGCCTTCCCAGCTGTTTGATGAGATTTCTGAGTGGCAGCTAAAGGAGCAGGCCCTGGGATAACAGAAAGCTCTGTGAGGGTTTGCCTCACTTTAAGGAAGCTCACTGTGTGGAAAGGGGGAAATGACAAAGGTGAAGCTGGGACCTTCACCTGATTCCCGCTGGCAAAGGCCCCACACTGTCCGAAAGTGTTCTCTGTGGGGCCCTTTGGAAGGGCTGGCCCCGCTTTGTGCATTTTAAGAATGTTTAGTTTCACAAAAAACTTAATTTAAACACAGTTTTTGAGATCAAGGCTCTAGTGTGAGCTGAAGTTTGCTGCTGTGATGACGCTGTCCATTCTCAGCTCTTGGGTTTTTTTTTTTTTATTTATGTATTTTTTTTTTAAAAAGCTAAGATAATTTCCAGACTTTTAGGGGTACCAAGTGGTAAAGCACCGTCTCAGGAGTCCAGTGTGAGCTGCTGAAAACATGACAAGAGCAATTCACAAGATAGAAACAGAAATTATCTAAATTCTGGGGGTCTTTGACCTTTGAACTTTCTGTTTCCTCTTCTGAGGATGCTGTCTGGAAGCATTCAGAATGGTTCAGCATGTGACAGTACCATCGTAGGCTTCCCTACAATAGCCTCTAACAAAACTAGGCTGTCCCAAACCCCCAGAGTAGAATTGTTTACCCTTATACAAGTGATATGGTTTGGCTCTGTGTCCCCACCCAAATCTCATGTGGCGTTGTAATCCCGCTGTGTTGAAGGAGAGGCCTGGTGGGAGGCGATTGGTGATTGGATTATAGTGACAGATTTCCCCATGCTGTTCTCATGATAGTGAGTTCTCACGAGATCTGGTTGCTTAAAGGTGTGTCACACTTCCCCTTCACTCTCTCTCCTGCTCCACCATGGGAAGACAAGCTTGCTTCCCCTTCACCTTCCGCCATGATTGTAAGTTTCCTGAGGCCTCCCAGTCATGCTTCCTGTTAAGCCTGTGGATCTGTGAGTCAATTAAACCTCTCTTCTTCATAAATTACCCAGTCTCAGGTAGGTCTTTCTAGCAGTGTGAAAATGGACTAATACAACCGAGAAGGCTAGGCGTGCACCTAAACCTGCATGTGGCATGTGCCCAGGCAGACTTCAAGGGGTTATATATTTTTTGAGATAGAGTTTCACTCTTGTTGCCCAGGCTGGAGTACAGTGGTGCGATCTCTGCTCACTGCAATCTCCTCCTCCCAGGTTCAAGTGATTCTCCTGCCTCAGCCTCCCAAGAAGTTGGGATTACAGGCATGTGCCACCACCCCGGGATAATTTTTGTGTTTTTAGTAGAGACTGGGTTTTGCCATGTTGGCCAGACTGGTCTCAAACTGCTGGCCTCAAGCAATCCACCGACCTTGGCCTCCCAAAGCACTGGGAATACAGGTGTGAGCCACCGTGCCCAGCTGCCAGTCTCTAAGTAATCAGATCTTTCATGAACTAATAAACTGAGATCTCACCCATCACCAAGAGAAGGGCACCAAGCCATTTATGAAGGATCCACCCCCATGACCCAAACAGCTCCCACCAGGCCCCACATCACATTTCAGCATGAAATCTGGAGGGGACAAACGTCCAAACCATTTCAAAGAGGGAACAGCAAGGCCAGTGTGGCTGGAGCACAGAGAATGAAGGGAAGGTCAGGCAGGGCTTCGAGGCCATTGCAATGACTTTAACTTTGACTCCATGAGAGATGGGTCCCCTGGGAGGTTTTTAAGCACAAAGGTGACATGATCTGACTTCACTGCAGTATAATTTATGTACCACAAGACCCACCCATTTTAAATGCACAATTTAATGATTTTTAGGACATATATAGAGCTGTGCAATCATCACCAAATCCAATTTTAGAACATTTCCATCAATCTAAAAAGACATCTCATGCCTATGACTGAGAATGTAAAGTGATCAGCTGGGCTCCTGTGTTTAAAATAGCAATAAGAGGTAGAGGCAAAGAAAGTGTTGGAAAGAAACATTTTTTTTCACGGCACATGTGAATGACAATAAGTTCTAAGAGCTGAGGGGTAAAGACATGACTGATGAAGCTTTTCCAACTACTGCAGGTTTGGAACTGCCTTAATGCCAAAGTTATAATAGGATGAAAGGCCTTCAGCTCTCACAGTAAAAATAGGATATTAATAACTTAGCGAGAACTGTTTAAAAATGAGAAATGCAAGCATAAACGCTCTACATGTCTATGACTCGACTCCTGAACTTGAAGTTAATCCCTGCCCTCTTTTACATAAAAAGTCTGAATATTTCTAAAGCTATATAGGGCTCTCCTAATGTCTTGAAAATTTACAAGAAGAAAAGCTGATGGTAGCGGTAGGAATAAATCCCAAACATGTTTCAGCAAACACTCATTGTCCATGCAGTGAAAGGGCAGTGAGGTCTTCTCATATCCATTATTATTGAAATGTTTAAATCTCAGTTTCTTTTGTCGGTCTTGAAAACCGGGGGCATTCTACACTGAATCCACATGATGATCTGAAGGATTTTCTGTCCCTGTGGAAGGGACTTGCTTGACACTGCAAGTGGTACCTGGGCCAGATGCGGTGGCTCACTCTTATAAATCCCAGCACTTTAGGAGGCTAAGGTGGGAGGATTACCTGAGTCCAGGAGTTTGAGACCAGCCTGGGCAACATAGCAAGACCTCATCTCTACTAAAATTTAACAAATCAGCCAGGTGTGATGATGACAGACACCTGTAGTCCCAGCTACTTGGGAGGCAGAGGTAGGAGAATCACTTGAGCCTGTGAGGTCGAGGCTGCAGTGAGCCACAATTGCGCCACAGCACTCCAGCCTGGGCAACAGAGGGAGACCCTGTCTCAAAATTTAAATTAAATTAAAAAGTGGTACCCGAGTGAGGATTTTCCGTAGTTTACCTGGAAGGCTGAATTATTCTAGTATTATAAGGTTTTGAACCAAACAGTGGATTTTGACTGTTTTTTTTTTTCCTTTCCAGCAGCTATGACAGCAGCCAGTATCGTCTTTTTCCTAACCTAAATAGGTTTCCCCTCCTACACCATCCCGTTCTAGGAACAGTCAGGTGGTAATGGGCTCTGACTGCCTATCCATATCTACCTTGGGTGGGTCTAAGGCAAGCTTGTCCAACCAGTGGCCTGCTGGCCACATGCCACCCAGGATGGCTTTGAATGCAGCTCAACACAAATTAGTAACGTTCCTAAAACATGAGTTGTTTTTTTTTTTGCAATTCTTTTTTTTATTTTTTTATCTCATCGACTATTGTGTTAATTTATTTTTATTTATTTGTTTATTTATTTATTTATTTATTTTTGAGATGGAGTCTGTCTCTGTCGCCCAGGCTGGAGTGCAGTGGTACCATCTTAGCTCACTGCAATCTCCGCCTCCTGGGTTCAAGCGATTCCCCTACCTCAGCCTTCCGAGTAGCTGGGACTACAGGCACCCACCACCACGCCTGGCTAATTTTTGTATTTTTAGTAGAGACAGGTTTTTGCCATGTTGGCCAGGCTGGTCTCAAACTCCTGACCTCAGGTGATCCATCCGCCTCAGCCTCCCAAAGTGCTGGGATTACAGGTGTGAGCCACGGTGCCCGCCTAGTGTTAGTGTATTTTATGTGTGGCTCAAGTCAGTTCTTCCAATGTGGCCCACGGAAGCCAAAAGATTGGACACCCCTGGTCTAAGGTGGTTCTTGCCAACCGCCCTTAGCTAACACCATGCATTGCTGAGAGCCTGCCACGTAGCTTATCTCCAGGTCAGCAGCGACAAAGAGAGCAAATCTTTAAAATCTAAGGGTACATCTGGGCATGGCAGTGGTCTAAGGAGGAAAGGGGGAGGGTCCCAGCTAGGCAGCTGCCAGCCCAGCTTCAGAGATGGGTAAATGTGTTGCCAGCTTGGTTTGGCTGTGCTCAGGACTATTTTATGGGGTTCAACTACGAGTCTCAGTTCAAGGTCACAGGCGGCTCCCTTTTTAGGTTTTCCTGAAGCTCAGCTGTCCGTGGATCCTGACTGTGGCTCAGGAATGCTGCTATTACCACCGCTGGCCACAAGGGGTCCCAGCCCTGCAGGCAGCCGCACCAAGGCTCGAAAAGCAGTCCCAGCTCTTAGCAGGGCAGACTCTGCCAGGCAGAGAAGGCGCCCTGAATGGCCGGCCCCCAGAGAAAGCTGCTGAGCTCATGGTTATCCCTGGGTCCACAACCATTTGGCACTGTAGGAGCAACGATAACCCGCATATGATCACTGTGCACGTTGTTATTGCAGACAGCAGAGAGAAAGGCCCCAGGGACCAGCAGCTCTGCGTGCAGTCTGCGTTCTGCTCCCAGGCTTATTCTCATTGGCTGTGTGACCTTGGGCAAGCCCCATCCCCTCTCTGACCCTGTTTCCTCGTCTTCCAAGGGAAATCGCGTTGATCTCTAAGGGCCTTCTCAGCAACAGCCTTGCCAACAACAAAAGCACCTGAAGTAGCCTTTATGTTGGAGGGATATCTGAGCCATCCTTGCTATTCACCACAAACTGTCAGCTTACTGAAGTTTTAAATTCTTCTGCCAGATTGTCATTGTCCTGGAAACAAAAGGAGCAAAATCAGAGTTCTGTGCTATGGAGTCTTTTAACCTCAGAGCCAGAGGGGAACTCAGAGAGCTTGGTACTACAAGGGTTTTCAAACTGTTATCAGCCTGGAACCCTGTATTCAGACAAACTCTGACATGGAAGCCCAAAAGGAAAACCACTGAAAGCACTCTGGTTAGAAACTGGAGCCCAGAGAGAGGAAGCTGTCTCTGTCTGTGTCTGTCTGTCCTGTGTCGCTCAGCAAAAGAGTAGCAGAACTGGTTGAAGCTGTCCCAGCCGGGAACATTTCCCAGCAAGGAACTGAGTGTGCGGCTTCCTGGTGTGTGAGGGAACTCAGACCATAAGAAAGAGCTGGACGGGCGTGGTGGTTCATGCCTGTAATCCCAGCACTTTGGGAGGCCGAGGCAGATGGATCACCTGAGGTCGGGAGTTTGAGACCAGCCTGGCCAACGTGGTGAAACCCCATCTCTACTAAAAATACAAAAATTAGCCAGGCATGGTGGTGCATGCCTGTAGTCCCAGCTACTTGGGAGGCTGAGGCAGGAGGATCGCTTGAACCTGGGGGGTGGAATTTGCAGTGAGCCAAGATTGCACCACTGCACTCTAGCCTGGGTGAGAGTGAGACTCTGTCAAAAAAAAAAAAAGAGGAAGAAAAGAAAAAGAAAGAAAAGAAAAGAAGGAGGGAGGGAGAAAGGAAAGAAAGGAGAGAAGGAGGGAAGGAAGGAAGGAGGGAAGGAAGGAAGGCAGGGAAGGGAAGGGAAGGGAAAGAAAAAGGGAAGGGAAAGGAAGAGAGTGCCACAAGGGGGAGGCAGGGGGCTAGACAGGCCAGTGGGGCGCACGAACTCCCACTGTGCATTCACTATGCTGGGGTTTTTCCCATGTGACTTAATCCTCATAAAGACCCTATAAGGCCAGCATCATCATCCTCTTTTAGGCTTGGAGAAGTTACATGATTTGGTTCAAGTCACATAGCTCGGAAGTGGCTAAGCTGGGATTTGAACCTGATGTCAAAGCCTGTAAACTGGTTTTCCTGATAGAGACAGACATTTATTTACTGATTCATTCATTCATTCAAATCTTTATTGAGCACCAAATCTGTAACCGGTGCTGTTCTGGGCCCTGCCACACTGCTGTGAATAAGGCACTGGAGTGCCTGCCCTCATTGAACCTCCATGTTAGAGGAGGAGACAGATGATAGACAATAATCTGTGACAAGGAGAAAAATAAAGCAGAGGATTGGATAGAGGCTGAGGGAGGGGTGCATTTGCACCTCTTGTTTGTCCAGAGCAGTGTTTCTCCAAGCCTGGTCCACATGCCCATCTGGGAACTACTGGTTTCCAATCTGCAGCAAGATTTTAAAAGACATGTTGGCTTCTCTATTTCTGTACTTACAGAACAATTGGATTGCACTTTGGTGTTTGTTTGCTTGTTTGTTTTGAGACAAGGTCTGCCTCTGTCACCCAGGCTGGTGTGCAGTGGTGTGATCATAGCTCACTGTGGCCTCAAACTCCTGGGCTCAAGCAATCTCCCTGCCTCAGCCTCCCAAGTAGCTGTAGCTGGGACTATAGGTGTGCACCACCACACCCAGCTAAATTTTCTTTCTTTTTGAGACAGAATCTCAATCTGTGGCCCAGGCTGGAGTGCAGTGGCCCATTCTCAGCTCACTGCAACCTCTGCCTCCGGGCTCAAGCAATTTTCGCGCCTCAGCCTCCCAAATAGCTGGGATTACAGGCTTTTGCCACCACCACACCCAGCTAATTTTTGTATTTTTAGTAGAGACAGGATTTTGCCATGCTGGCAAGGCTAGTCTCTAAATCCTGGCCTTCAGTGATCCACCCACCTTGGCTTCCCAAAATGCTGGGATTACAGGCATAAGCGACTGTGCCGGGCCCTGACTTTTTTTTTTTTTTTTTTTGTAAAGACAAGAGTCTCGGCCAGGCACGGTGGCTCACGCCTGTAATCCCAGCACTTTGGGAGGCTGAGGCAGGCGGATCACGAGGTCAGGAGATCAGGACCATCCTGGCTAACACAGTGAAACCCTGTCTCTACTAAAAATACTAAAGATTAGCCGGGTGTGGTGGCGGGCACCTATAGTCCCAGCTACTTGGGAGACTGAGGCAGGAGAATGGTGTGAACCCAGGAGGCGGAGCTTGCAGTGAGCCGAGATTGCGCCACTGCACTCCAGCCTGGGCTACAGAGCGAGACTCTGTCTCAAAGAAATAAATAAATAAAAGACAAGGGTCTCACTATGTTGCCCAAGCTGGTCTTGAACTCCTGGGCTGAAGCGATCCTTATGCCTCGGCTTCCCAAAATGCTGAGATTACCAACACTAGGTGAACCACCGCCCCCAGCCCAGACTGCACTTTGAATAGCCCTGACCTGAAATATTTCCTAAATCATTAGATCGATGCAGCGGACGAGTGCACTCCCTGACCCCAGGACCTACTCGCCCCCTCTCCTCTTCACCCCCCACTTCCCACCAGTCTGCACAGGTCCCAGGGAACCTTTTGCAGAGGAAGATATTGGTGTCTCCCACCTGGCATGCAAGATGATGCGGGGCCCGTTAGTCTCTTCTAAAGGAAGACATCCATCCATAGTCCACGGCTGGTGTGAGCTTTGTGGGTGGTGGAGAGAGACCTGGGTTCCAACCCAGGCTGTGTTGGAACTTATTAGCCATGTGATCTTGCAGATATCTTTGGTTTTCCTTAACTCTAAAATGGGGAAAATGAGACTGGCTGCGGTGGCTCACGCTTGTAATCCCAGTACTTTGGGAGGCCAAGGCGGGTGGATCACCTGAGGTCAGGAGTTGGAGACCAGACTGGCCAACATGGTAAAACCCCATCTCTACTAAAAATACAAAAAATTAGCCGGGCATGGTGGCACGTGTCTGTAATCCCAGCTACTTGGGAGACTGAGACAGGAGAATCGCTTGAACCCAGGAGGCGGAGGTTGCAGTGAGCTGAGATCATGCCACTGCACTCCAGCCGGGGCAACAGAGTGAGACTCCACCTCAAAAAATAAATAATTAATAAAATAAAATAGATAAAATGGTGTAATGATCCTTTGAAGGAATAGATTAGACATATAAGAGGCTTGATTCAGGTTCTGGAACTCAGTAGGTAGAAGCCTCCATGCCTATCCATGCATGTTTGCGTGTTTGCATGTGTGTACATGCACATTTGCACATGATTGTCCACGTTCACGTGTGTGCATGTGTATGTGTGTGACATTCATCTCCTCCACTGCTGTTGGAGTCCCTCCCAGCACCCAATGTGGCCAGGGACACTGACGGCCTTTTCTGGGGTCTTTTGCCAGATTGCCAAGGAATCATCGAGGACGTCATCCTGCTGGGTGCGCCTGTGGAGGGAGAAGCCAAGCATTGGGAGCCTTTCCGGAAGGTGGTGTCCGGGAGGATCATCAACGGCTACTGCAGGTCTGTCCAAACCTCGTGCCAGCGGGGAAGTGACAATGCTTACGGAGCACTTAGTATGCCCAGGCTCTGTGTTGGGGACACATATTTGAGACCTAATCCCTGTCCTGGAAGATCCCAGGAACCGGCCGGGCACCGGCCCTGTTAGGAGCAGGCCCAGGCCTGGTGATCTGATCTGGGAAGCGGCCCTCCAGTAGCATGATGGACAGAAGGGTGGATTCTGAGAAGATGTTTCTGTGTCAGGCCTGAGAGCAGCAGGATGACAGGAGAGGCTGGGGCGGCTTGGCCTGGTTGGAGCTGGGGGAAGGGACATGGGCGAGTGGAACACAGACTGAAAAACAAAGATTGGGCCACAGGGAGGTGTTTGAACAAGGTCTGAGAGGCTTCTGTGTTAGTCTTTGGTGGTGGAGGGAGGGGCTGGAGGGGCCTAGGCTGAGCTTTCTGAGTGCTGCCTTGGAGACAGGGCAGGGTGCTAGAACAGGAGGCCGCCAGCGTGCAGGAGCCTATACCCAAACAGGGTGACAGACCCTCCAGCCAGAGGAGGGGGCCCGTGAAGGCTGGCGGCTGCAGGGCTAGAAAGGAAGCAACCCTTTGGGGTTTGAGAAGGAGGACCTGCGGGGTTTCAGCCAAAGCTGTGACTCAGACTTTGGGGCAGGAGGGAAGATTAAACCCAAAACTGAGCCCTCTAAGATTGGCCTGAGTAGAAGCCCCATCCATCCAGCCTCTGGATGAAGCAAACGTGTTTTCAGAGCAACAGTGTTTAAGGCTCTTGATTTGGAAGCACACAGGCCTGGGTTCTGAGGCCCACCTTCGTTTCTCCATCAGTAAAAGAGGGATACTGGTAGCAACTGCCCTCAGAGTTGTGATGATGCTTGAAGGATTTACAGAGCTGAACGTGTGTGTGTTTGCATGTATGTACATGCTCGTGCACATGATTGTCCATGTGTACATGTGTGTATGTGTGTGCATGGTACATACATGCTTTGTGAATGACAGGTGATGTCACCATTTTTTTCATTCATCATTGTCAATCACTTGGGATATTCATTCAGCAAATTCAGTGAGCACCAAACGTAGGCCAGGCAGCATGGTGGGAGGCTGAGGCAGGACAATCACTTGAACCTGGGAGGCGGAGGTTGCAGTGAGCTAAGATCGCACCACTGTACTCCAGGTGGCAGTTGTTCAGCCTGGGGCTTGCACATCAGCATTGGCTGGAGGGCCTGGGAGAGAGTGGCAGCGAGCAAGACTCCATCTCAATATATATATATATATATATATATATATGTATATGAAAAAGATAAGGAATGGACAAAGACTTTGATGCAAGACAGTCCTAGGTTAAAATCTTGCCTCTGCCATTTACCTTTTGAATGGGTTTAGACAAACAACTTCCCTGAATTCAGTGTCCCCACCTATAAAATAGGAATAATAGTCCCTCCTGTACAGAGGTTCTGGGAAGATTAAATGACATTATGAAGCAGAAGAACTGGCACTTAGTAGGTGCCCAATAAATGATAACAGTTATAATGTTTATTACTTGGCATACTCACATAGCACATGCCTTTTTTTTTTTTTGAAACGGAGTCTCACATTGTCACCCAGGCTGGAGTGCAGTGTTGCAATCTCAGCTCACTGCAAGCTCCACCCCCCAGGTTCATGCCATTCTCCTGCCTCAGCCTCCCGAGTAGCTGGGACTACAGGCACACGCCACCACGCCCGGCTAATTTATTGTATTTTTAGTAGAGATGGGGTTTCACCGTGTTAGCCAGGATGGTCTCAATCTCCTGACCTCGTGATCCACCCGTCTCAGCCTCCCAAAGTGCTGGGATTACAGGCGTGAGCCACTGCACCCCGCCGCACATGATTTTTTGGTACTTTTTGTAAACAGCAAAGGGAAAGAATTAAAATTGCATGTGTGCAGTGGGAACACAGCAAAATCTTATTAAACCCATCTGTTCTGTTGAGAACCTGAGGTACATAACTTGGTTTTCAATTATTTTGTGAGACCCTGGGCCATCTCTTTATGGAGAGAAAGGAGAAAGAGAAGGAAGAAGAAAGGGAAGGAGGGAAGGGGAGAGAGAGTGTAGATCAAAACAACTGTAGTTCTTTGGTTAAATTAAGCATCAGCCAGGAGTTCAGATTCTTGGCCTCCAAAGGCCTTTTAGCTGCTGAGAACATAAACATGGAGGGTAAGAGGGATGGGGATTCAGGCCAACCCTACCCAACTACACAAGTTTACTCATGTGTAATTTACATGAATAAAGCTCTTTGTAAATCCACTCCCTTACCTGGGCTATTCACGAACCTTCTGGAAGCTAGCTGAGGTGATAGCACTGCTGCCTGTCACATCCCTGAGGAAGTGAAACTCAAAAAGGGGCAAGTGACTTGCCCAGGGACCCACAGGCAGACCCAGGATATGAGCTCAGGCCTGTCTCACCCCACCGTGAGAGGGCCACATTCTGAGTCCTCAGGCGGGCTCCTTGTAACCCAGGACAAGAGGCCACCCTGTGGGCTCTGCCCCAGGTGCCATGTGAGGAAGGGATGACAGAAGAAGGAGCAGGGAGGACCCCTGCCCACAGGTGGCTCGAGGCCTTGTGAGTGAGCCATGTCTGCCTTCAGCAGGTGGCAGTTGTTCAGCCTGGGGCTTGCACATCAGCATTGGCTGGAGGGCCTGGGAGAGAGTGGCAGCGAGTTCCCGGTTCAGCTCAGGATACAGGGATGACTAAGGCACAGACCTGCCCTCAGGGAGCTCTCTGCTTTTCTAGAAAAGGGGAAACACAGGAGATGTGTGGCAAACATCATAAAAGGAAGAAGTACCAGGCACACAAGGGGTGAATGATTAATCATTTCGGATGGAGGACAGGCGCAGTGGCTCACACCTGTAATCCCAGCACTTTGGGAGGCCAAGGCAGGAGGATCGCTTGAGCCCAGGAAGGAGTTCAAGACCAGCCTGAACAACATGGCAAAACCTGTGTCCACAAAAAAAAAAAAAAAAAATACAAAAATTAGCCAGGCATGGTGGCGCACACCTGTAGTCCCAGCTACTTGGGAAGCTGAGGTGGGAGGATGGCTTGAGCCCAGGAGGCAGAGGGTACAATGAGCCAAGATCATGCAACTGCACTCCAGCCTGAGCAACAGAGCGAGACTATGTCTCAAAAAAAATACAAAAGTTAACCAGGCATGGTGGCTCATGCCTGTAGTCCCAGCTACTTGGGAGGCTGAGATGGGAGGATGGCTTGACCCTAGGAGGCAGAGGCTGCAGTGAGCCAAGATCGTGCCACTGCATTCCAGCCTGGGCAACAGAGCGAGACTATGTCTCAAAAACAAAAGCAAAAAAATACAAAAATTAGCCAGGCATGGTGATGCACACCTGTAGTCCCAGCTACTTGGGAGGCTGAGGTGGGAGAATGGCTTGAGCCCAGGAGGCAGAGGCTGCAATGAGCCAAGATCGTGCCACTGCACTCCAGCCTGAGCAACAGAGCAAGACCCTGTCTCAAAACGTATATATATAGTACTGGGTGGAGAGGCCCAGGGCACTCCCTGGAGGAGGGGATGTCCAAGGTGAATTTTGAAAGGATGGCTATAGGAACCCATCAGAGACCGGAAGCACAGACTGAACCAGAGAGAGGCGGCACAGCACACACACGTCCAGCACAGGCGCTAATAGTCATGCCCGCGGCTCCCTGAACACCTGTGTATACATGTCCCCCCTCAGTTAATGCTCCCGCCAATGCTGAAAGCTAAGATAACCTGAGGAGACTGAGGCTCAGAAAGGTCAAGCAACCTGTCCAAGGTCACACAGCTCATAATTGACAAGGCAGGAAATGAACCTGGCTCTGTATGGTCCAGAGCCGGGTGGAGAAGGTCTTGAATGCCAGTGAAGGCCCATGGTTTGCTCAGCACAGTGAGAGGGTACAGAACCTTCTAATCTGTGTTCCTGCTCTGCCCCTACATGTGTATAAATACATGTAATTCACATTTTAACTAAAATGTTGTCATAATTACAACAGAAATAATTTTGGAGGAATGATGCTGTCTTTGCTCATTTATACCCAGCTGTATTGGAAACATTTCCTGACCATCCTCATATCCAGTATTTGATGCACTGGATTCTTATAAATAGTTCAATAAAATAACTTGAATTGATCTCCCTTTTCTCCCTCTAGCCATCCTTTTTTTTTTTAATTTTTTTTATTTTAGTTTTTTGTTTTTTGTTTTTTGAGACAAGGTCTCACTCTGTTGCCCAGGCTGAAGTGCAGTGGTACAACCATGGCTCACTGCAGCCTCAACTGCCTTGGGCTTAGATGATCCTCCTGCCTCAGCCTCCCAAGTAGCTGGGACCACAGGCACACACCACCATGCCCAGCTAATTTTTGTGTGTTTTGTAGAGATGGGGTCTCCCTGTGTTGCCTAGGCTGGTCTCAAATGCCTGGGCCCGAGCAATCCTCCCACCTCAGCCTCCCAAAATGCTGGGATTACAGGCGTGAGCCACCGCGCCCTGCAACCGTCCATTCTTAGACAGTGCTTCTTGGACCCTCAATATTAGGATAATCATCGGTACCTGAAAGCATTGCTCTCTGGAGAGACTGAAGGAATTGTCTAGATGAGAAAGCCCATAGGTAATGGAGAGCTATGGTCTGCTTATAAGGGAGCACAGTGGTCAGATGGGTGTTCTAGGAAGACTCCAGTGGCTCAAGGTAGGTGAGGCCAGGAGCAGGGAGTGCGGTGCAGAGGCCGTCGCATTCATCCATGGGGCGGGGAGGGAGGATTGCCTGCTCTCAGGGCTTGACCACAAGGGGCAGGTATTGGAGGGGAGAGGGGAGGAAGAACTGGGAGGACTCTGATACGTTGGCCATAGGGAGGAGGCACCCAAGACATTGGTTTCTACTTGAAGGACTGGGCAGATTACAGTGGGGAAGGAGTTAGGGACGGATGATCTCACTTCGGGACACAGCAGGAGAGTCTGTAGAGGACCCCTTAGCTCAGGGACCCAGTCCTCCTGGGGGTTTTCAGAGTGGTACCCACTCACAAACCCAGGTGCTCAGAGACCACAGAGGGTCAGAGCTTGGAGGAGCCTAGAGAGCACCACCATGCCCTGTGTCCCAGACAGGTGGGGGACTTGCCTGTGGTCACACAGCAGGGCACATAGACAGGGCCACCAGGATTCCAACCCCAGCCTCCTATCTCTCAGCCATTCTTATCCCTCTACAGTGAGGGAGGACCCTTCTTTCAGATCAACCAGTGTGCAAAAATAACACCATGTATTTAGTCCACATAAAAGACAGCAGAATGGGCTGAGTTGGATCTGAGCCTGGGGTGCAGAGGGGAGAACAGAAGCTTGCCTGTGCGCAGACTTGCTGGGCGGCAAGGCCCGAGGGCATGGCTCTGGGATGGCCCAGCTGCATCCCAAGACAGTTCAAGGGTTTGCGAGGGAAGGCTGCTTCAAGGGGCCCCTCAGACCATGTCCTCTGTAGACAGTGCTCATTGCACCTGAAGCAATGGGCAGCAGAGGGTCCGAGGTCATTTCTTCTGGATAGTGTAGGGGCAGTGTTTGGCTGGGGCCAGGTTCACGGAGTGGGGTCACAGCACCCCTGAAAGTAGAGGAATGTTCCCAGCGCTGTGACTGCCTGGACAACCACCCTCGCCTCCTCTGCTGCCTGAGGGCAGGGAGACCTGCAGCCTGGGCTGAGCCTGTCCTGGGAAGGCCAAGCTGGTCCCTTCAGCTCACAGATAGGTCGCCTAGACCCCAGAGTTCCTCCCCTCCTCACAGGTGGACCTTCTCTGCTTTTCTTTTTCCAGGGAGCCCTGGACAAGCCACCTTTCCCGAGCTGGGAGTAGCTCTCCTGAGCCACATGGTGACTTTTTGAGAACTTTATCCAGATTCCTCATTCATTCATTCATTCAGCAGATATTCCTCTATTGCATGCCAGACACTGTTCTTAGCTCTGGAGACCCAGCTGGGAACAAAGCAGGCCGCCTTCATGGAGCTACCTGGTGCTTGTGCATAGCCCTGCACACCATGCCTGGCACCCAGGCCAGGCTCCAAAAGCATCAGCTGTGGCTGCTTCATCTTCCATCCCCACCGTGCAATCAGGGGCCCTGTTTTCCCCCAGAAGCTCCATTCCCACCTGGCTTCCCCAGGAGGCAGCCTGGCCCGTCCTGTCCTTGGGCTGTCCGAGGCTGGTGCTAATGTTCACATGCTTCTCTACCCTCCCACAGGGGAGACTGGCTGCTGAGTTTCGTGTACCGCACATCCTCGGTGCAGCTCCGTGTCGCCGGCCTACAGCCCGTGCTGCTGCAGGACAGGAGGGTGGAGAACGTGGACCTGACCTCTGTGGTGAGTGTCGGCCTGTTCCTCCTGGGGCTTTGCGTTTGCTTAGTTGCTCCAGCCCAGCCACCCCTGTCCCCTGGAGACAGTGGCCCCAGCCTGGTCCACGCCACAGGAGAAAGATCATAAGAATTTATTTGGAGCCAGGTGCAGTGGCTCATGCCTGTAATCCCGGCACTTCGGGAGGCCCAGGAGGGCAGATCCCTTGAGCCCAGGAATTTGAGACCAGCCTGGGCGACATGGCAAAACCCTATCTCTATAAAAAATTTTTAAATTATCTGGGCATGGTTGTGCGTGCCTGTAGTCCCAGCTTCTTGGGAGGCTGAGGTGGGAGGATCACTTGAGCCCAGGAGATGGAGGCTGCAGTGAGCTGTGATCGTGCCATTGCATTGCAGCCTAGGCATCAGAGCACAACCCTGTCTCTAAAAAGCAAAAACACACATAGATATACAACTAGCAATTAACAGGAACAGGATTGGATTTGAACCTCCAGAGCCCTCACTCTTGCTCCTGTATTACTGCCGTTCCCCACTCCCGAGTCCCCCCCACCCAGGGCTCCCCAACAGCCCCATCTCAGCTCACTAGTCAGGACTGTATGTTTCTGCGAGAAGCAGCTGGAGCAAGCAGGGGACACAGGTGGAGGGCTTTAGGCTAGACCAAAAGCAGAAGCACCTGCCTGCTAGGCTGTGGAAAGATGGGATGCAGAGCGGGACATCTGGGGAATCTTTAAAATGCAGAGCCCAGGGCCCCACTGCCCAAAACTTCTACATCAGTCTCTAGGGGCAGAGCCATGAGTCCACATTTTAAACATACTCCTAAGGGTTCCCATGCAGCTAAAACTAGGCTGGGGTGCAGGGGCAGATGGTCAGAAAGAATTCTTGCAGTGAATGGAGTGGGAGGGCACCTGCTGGGCAGCCACACAAACCCAACTTGAATTTCTTTTCTTTTTCTTTTTGTTTTTGTTTGAGATGGGGTCTCACTCTGTTGCCCAGTCTGGAGTGCAATGGTGTGAGCTCACTGCAACCTCCACCTCCCCAGTTCAAGCCATTCTCCTGCCTCAGTGTCCCGAGTAGCGGGGATTACAGGAGCCTGCCACTATGCCCGGCTAATTTTTGTATTTTTAGTAGAGATGGGGTTTCACCATATTACTCAGGCTGGTCTTGAACTCCTGACCTCAGGTGATCTGCCTGCCTCAGCCTCCCAAAGTGCTGGGATTATAGGCATGAGCCACCGTGCCTGGCCTTTTTTTTTTTTTTTTTTTTTTTTTTTTTTTTTTTTGAGATGGGGTCTCGCTCAGGCTGGAGTGCAGTGGCACAGTCTCGGCTCACTGCAACCTCTGCCTCCCAGGCTCTAGTGATCTTCCTGCCCCAGCCTCCTGAGTAGCTGGGACCACAGGTGTGCACCACCACATCTAGCTAATTTTTTGTAGTTTTGGTAGAAACAAGATTTCACCATGTTGCCCAGGCTGGTTTTGAACCCCTGAGCTCAAGCAATCCACCCACCTTGGCCTCCCAGAGTGCTGGGATTACAGGCGTGAGCCACCGTGCCTGACCAACTTCAGTTTTTTTAGACTTGAAAGAACCTCGTTCACCTGCCACATGCTATCCTAGGGAATTAATAGCTTCCCATGTGGACACTCACTCTATGTCCCGCTCTGCCCTAAGCCTATTTATTTATTTGTTTATTTATATTTTTGAGGTGGAGTTTCACTCCTGTTGCCCAGTCTGGAGTGCAATGGCGCGATCTCGGCTCACTGCAACCTCCGCCTCCCAGGTTCAAGCGATTCTCCTGCCTCAGCCTCCCAAATAGCTGGGATTATAGGCGCCTGCCACCACGCCCATCTAATTCTTTTTTTTTTTTTTTTTTTGTATTTTTAATAGAGATATGGTTTCGCCATATTGGTCAGGCTGTTCTCAAACTCCTGACCTCAGGTGATCCACCTGCCTTGGCCTCCCAAAGTGCTGGGATTATAGGCATGAGCCACCACACCCGGCCTGCCCTAAGCCTTTTACAGACATTACTGTCCCCATTGTACAGACAAGGTCACTGAGGCTTAGAGACATTCCAGGGTCACACCGCTGAAACATGGCAAAGCAGGACTCAAACCCAGGTCTGAAGCCAATAGATGTAGCCCCAGCCCAGGTAGATATGAGAACCAGTGGGAGAGGTGCTCCATAGGGGGAGGCGGGGAGGGGAGGAATAAGGAATAAGCTGTAACTACAAGCACAAGCCGACTTCAGCAATCAGGGGACCCTGAGAACAAAATCTTTGGTTTCTAGTTATTATGTTGCTGGCTGCCATTTATCAAGTGCCAAGTGCTTCCCACATGTAACCCAGTGTATTAGTCCATTTTCACGCTGCTGATAAAGACATACCAAGACTGGGTAATTTATAAAGAAAAAGAGGTTTAATGGACTCAATTTCACGTGGCTGGGGAGGCCTCACAATCATGGCGGAAGGTGAAAGGCACGTCTTACATGGCAGCAGGCAAGACAGAGAAGAGAACCAAGTGAAAGGGGTTTCTCCTTATAAAACCATTGGATCTCAGGAGACGTATTCACTACCATGAGAACAGGTTGGGGGAAACCACCCCTATGATTCAATTATCTCCCACTGGGTCCCTCCCACAACACATAGGATTTATGAGAGTACAATTCAAGATGAGATTTGGGTGGGGACACAGTTAAACCATATCACCCAGTTTCCACTCATGGTTGTTTGAGCAGCTGCTTCCTGCAGACAGACTAGACTCCTTTCTGGGCATCTAAAAATCCCCTGGTTTGAGGGGCATTCTGGCTTCCCCATTCAGGATCAGCAGCTGCCTGTTCTGATCACTCCACCACTGCATCTCAATGGCCAATGAAGCTAGGCCTCAGACCCACCCGTGCCACCACAGTGTGGCTCACACTGGGCTGCATGTGTTTTGAGACTTGACTGAGCATTTGATAACATGGGGGAATTATTGCACAAAAAAACAAAATCAAAACTTCACCAGGTGCTGCTGTCCATAAAGTCTGTCAGCCATGTCCCTGCCCAGAGGTCACCTGGGCCTCTCACCTGGCCTGACACCAGGTCGCTGGGGCCAGTTCACTTGTATCTTCACCCCTAAACTTCCAGGGCCTTAAGACAAAATTCCTAACCCACCAGAGGATCACAAATGAAGCCACCCTGTGCCTTCCTAACTGGGAGCTTTGGGGACTGGGGTAGAATAAGAGTCATTTCTAGGCTCATCCATTTATGAAACTGGTTGCTCCTGGTTAAAGAGTCTTCACAGGGGCCGGGTGCAGTGACTCACGCCTGTAATCCCAGCACTTTGGGAGGCCAAGGCGGGCAGATCACGAGGTCAGGAGATCGAGACCATCCTGGCTAACACAGTGAAACTCCGTCTCTACTAAAAATACAAAAAATTAGCCAGGTGTGGCGGTGGGCACCTGTAGTCCCAGCTACTCGGGAGGCTGAGGCAGGAGAATGGCATGACCCCAGGAGGTGGAGCTTGCAGTGAGCCGAGAGGGTACCACTGCACTCCAGCCTAGGTGACAGAGCAAGACTCTGTTTCAAAAAAAAAAAAAAAAAAAAGAGTCTTCACAGATAGACTTGGCTCACATGCTGTAAACCTCGCAACTCCCTAGAGGAGGTATTAAGCATCCCCAGATCATAGATTGGGAAACTGAGACTTGGGAGCATGGAGTCATAGCCAGAGTTGTAGGTCTGGACTCTGAGCCCAGCTTGGAAGCTGTGCTGCCCACTTCTCTGTGGGAATGAGGTAAGCTGAGTCACAAGACCAGCAAACCACAGTGACAGGAATTTTCTCTCAGCCCCTTGGCCACACTTGCAGCAGGGGCACCCCATCTACTCGGTCCACCACACTCAGCCCCTTGCAGGAGGAAGCACATGAATGAGCAAGTGTGGGCTCTGGCTGACCACTCCAAACACCGACACAAGAGCAAGCTCCATGCTGGGCCTGTGGCCAGACCAGGCGTGTTGCCTCGAGGGGAAAGTGGCAGCACCTGGGCAGGGGTACCCACAACCCTGAAGCCCCAGAGGGGGCGTTAGTGTGCTAATTAGCTGTTTTAGTTCCACCATTGACGGCCCAATAGACGGTGGTGTATTAACAGCTCAGTCGGCCCCTGACCCCATCACGTGGGGCAGCTGCCCTCCACTGATGAGGGCAAAAGGCCAGTATGACAGCCTTTCTGGGTACCCACACTCAGTGGGTCCCAAGCTCTTGTCCAGCATCCAAGAAGAATGAGGACACGCTGATAATTGAAGAGTGAGCAAGGCGAGGAGTTTTATTGAGTGATGAAACAGCTTTTTGCAGAGAGGGGATGAGTGGATGGTTCCCCTACCCAAAGGCAGGAAAGTCCCCACAATGTGGCTGAGTCTGGGGCTTTTATGGGCTCAGAATAGGGGAAGTGTGGGCAAACAGGAACAGAAGTTCTCACTCTGGGTCACAGGTTTCATGTGGGACCAGCAGTCCAGTCTTTCAGCCTTCAGGCTGTTTTTTTGGCTTGAAGGTGGGGTTTCACCAGGGACCCACCCCGTCTGCCTAGGCATTTGGCTGCCTCCTGTCACCATCAACAGGGCTCAGAGCTGATGCCTCCTGACCCATGTCCAGGGCTCTCTGTCCTATTCAAGGTGCCTGCACCCTGAATGGGGTGAAAGGGAGCAGGGACTTTGTGCCTCAGCACCCCAGGAGTCTCCCTTTGCCAGAAGAATCAGAGATAAAAAGCATCTGCTGAAGAAAGTAGCTTTTAATGCTGCAAAGCCCTCACAAGATCTGATTTCTACTGGGAATGGGATATGGTAGGAAGAGCACAGCCTTTGGCACCAGAGAGGCATGGCTTAGAATCCTGGCTCTGCCACTGGTTTACTGGCTGTGTGACCTTGGGCCAGTTACTTAACCTCTCTGTGTCTCAGTGTCCTCATCTAGGAAATGGTGGAAACGCCTAACTTCCAGGGCAGCGCATGTAAGATGCTTGGTGCATAGTAGGCCCTCCTTTAATCCTAGTCCCTCCCGGCCTGCCCCTGCCACCACCCCCAGTTTGTTTGCCTCTGGGACCAGCAGTTTTGGAGACTCCGCTCCCTCCTCAGGCTGTCTTCGTGGCAGCTTCCCAGCTCCTGCCTAATAATAGCTCTTTATCACATTAGGAGTACATCACAAAAAACAGTGCTTTCCTCTTCTGGGTAATTAGAGGTAATTAGCACTGCCTTTGTGCTGGCCTCCTGTTTTCCTTGAAAATGCTTTGCTGGAGAAGTTGCTGGCAAGGGAGGTTTCATTACTGCTGTTGGGGAAATGCTGGCCACCCTCTGCTCCCAACAGAGACCCACAGGACCTGTCTTCTCCCTGCTGGGCCAACCACGCAGCAGGGCCCTTTGTGATCATCCCACTGGGCTGGCCCTGTTGCAGGCAGGGCGCATCTCTGGGGTGAATGAAGCTGCCCTCCTGCCCCTCAGTCTCTCCTCACAGGGACAAGGTTACAGTGGGTGGGGGATTTGCCACCCCAGGGACCAACTCATGAGGCTTCTGGGGCACAGAGATCCAACCCACGGCAAGATTCTCCATGTCCCAGCAGAAATGCCAGGTGGCCTAGAACTTAGCAAAAGGCTTGGCACAAAGTAGATACTTGATAATAACCGCAGTAGCCAACAACTCACATGTTTTACGGGGTAAGTCATTTGATCCTCATAGAGGTCCTGCATAGTGGTAGTAACCCGTTGTACAGGTGTGAAAACTGAGGCTGCAGGCGGTGCCACGGCATGTGAGTGGTAGAGCCGGATGAACCTGGGCTGTTAACCACTGCTTCAGTACTGCCTGCATTCACACATCTCTGTAGCTTCTGGTAGTGGCCTCTAACCCTGTGCCAATAAGCCTGTTACATGTATTATCAAAGCCACACAGCCAGCCCACGTGGTATAGGTCTCTTTATTAGCCTCATTTTATACATGAGGAAATTGAGGTCCAAGAAGTGAAAGAACCCAAAGGGGCCTGATGGGCTTGGAAGGAGTCACTGGGGCAGATGGAGGTGGGTGATGGCAGCCTCTGTTTGGGTAAGTTGGGGTGTCTTTTGAGGCAGGAAACAGGAAGGGCTGGGCCCCATTTGTACCTGCAGGGATCTGGTTCCCACGGAAACCCCACGATGTGCGGGGCTGGCTGTGGGGCACAGAGGTGAGTGAGAAGTGGTCTCTGCTCCCCTGCGCTCAGTTTATCAGGGAACGCAACCTCATGAGCATGTGACGATGACAGGTTATGAGTGCCATCACAGGGTGTCCACAGAGGCCCCTGCCAACACGGGAAGCCACGGAAGGCTTCTGCACGCCAGTCACATCCGGCGTGTATCCAGGCAGCTGGCAGATTCAATCAAGACAGCCTGGGAGATGGTCAGGGGCTGAATCTTCACGCAGTATCGGCTACACCAGAACTTTCTGGTGCTGAGAAGAGGCTCTTTCCCGACCTGCCTCACCCCTCTTCTCTCATCTCTCCAGCTAACTGTAAAACCAGAGCTCTGCCCAGCAACTGCTCCCCTGGGTCTTTGCAGAGGGGTGGCTCAGGGACTAGGGTTGCCTGAGACCCAGACCAACTTGTAGTCGAGGAGGGCCAGAGCTGTGTGTTCTAGGACAGCTCTCAGTGGAATTTCCATCTGGTATCAGCTGCAGCCAGTGGGTACCAACACCTCCCTTCCTTCCTGGCCTGTTTCTACCCAGCACTGGCACCAGCCATCTACAACATTAAAAAGGTATAGGGAGGCAGTTCTTGTTTGTCCTTAGAGAGGCAGTTATCACTTGTCCCTGTGGGTCTGAAGTTTCTGCTGGCTGGAATTCAGATGTGATGGCTGGAGCTTGAGCAGCCATCTTGGGCTCCCAAATGGATCAGCCCAGCTAACTCCCTACTCTCCATCCCCCACTCGTAGGAAACTAAGGTAAGGGAACTCATATTTACAGAGTACCTCCTGGGGTGCCAGGCACTGTGCTTCATGGTTTGTATTATTTCTTCCCAGCAACTCCTTTAGGTAGGTATCACTAACTCAAATTGCATGATGTCTCTTTAAAAGTGTTTGGGGCAGGGCATCGTGGCTCATGCCTATAGTCTCAGCAATTTAGGACGCTGAAGCAGGAGGATCTCTTGAGCCCAGGAGTTTGAGACCAGCCTGGAGAACATAAGAAGTCCCCATCTCTACATTTAAAATTTAAAAGGCCAGGTGCAGTGGCTCACGCCTGTAATCCCAAGCACTTTGGGAGGCCAAGGAAGGCGGATCACCTGAGGTTGGGAGTCCGAGACCAGCCCGGCCAACATGGTGAAATACTGTCTCTACTAAAAATACAAAAATTAGCCAGGTGTGGTGGTGCACATCTGTAATCCCAGCTACTTGGGAGGCTGAGGCACGAAAATAGCTTGCACCTGGAAGGCAGAGGTTGCAGTAATCCAAGATCATGCCATTGCACTCCAGCCTGGGCAACAGAGCAAGACTCCGTCTCAAAAAAAAAAAAAATTAAGAAAAACAAAAAGTGTTTTGGATCATATAGGAACATAATATCAAAAGCTAGCATTCTCTGAGTTCCTATGAAGTGCCAGGCCCTTGAACTCCTTATAGCAATCATTCAAGGTCATGACTCTCATTTTACAGATGGGGAAGCTGTGGTTCAGGAAATTGTGAGGACTGGCCCAGTTACTGGTAAGAGACAGAGCCAAGGCTGGTACCCCAGCTTTTCAGAGAGTCCAAACTTAGGTTCCTTCTCAGGCCCTGCAGCCACTAAATATGTGTCCTGCTGCAGAGGGGCACTGGCTGTGCCTTGACAACCACCCTGAGCCCAGGGCCCTGAAAACCACTTAGATGTGTGAATACACGTGTGTGTATTTTCCCTGGAATCTGTTTAAAAGCATTCGTGAGGAAAGGAACGAGAGGTGGGCAGATTCTAGTGGTGAGAAAATAACAAAACTGTACAGGGAATTGTCTTTTCGTGTTTTTGAAAAATCATTTGATTAATACAGTGTGATTTGCAATTCAAATGGAAATGCAGATGTTACCAGCAGTGTCTTTGTGCTGTTTTCTGAGATTCCCAACAACAGCCTCCCTGGTGTTTTTCCTGTCCTTTTTTTAAAAAGAAAGCCTTCCCCTTCAGCCTTAAAGGAAAGTCCGGTCTCATGCGCATCTTTGGCACTAAAGCAGGCCCCCTCGACTGGCTGGGTATAACGTGAGACTCCATCTCAGGGGCAGATCCAGGCTGAGCAGCTTCTGCAGGCAGCATCTCAGGCTCAGCACCAGACTGTGCTGTTCATGCGCTGTGTGTCATTAAGCAAACCGCCACCCCTCTCTGGGCTTTGCTGCCCTTCTCTGTAAAGTGAGGATGATTTTTAACCTTCCTTCCTTCCCCAGCTGATTTTCTCTGAAGAGAACAGGCTTTAGAAACAGGCCTGGATGGCCGGGCGCAGTGGCTCACGCCTGTAATCCCAGCACTTTGGGAGGCCGAGGTGGGTGGATCATGAGGTCAGGAGATCAAGACCATCCTGGCTAACACAGTGAAACCCTGTCTCTACTAAAAATACAAAAAAAATTAGCCGGGCATGGTAGCGGGCACCGTGGCAGATGCCTGTAGTCCCTGCTACTCGGGAGGCTGAGACAGGAGAATGGCATGAACCTAGGAGGCAGAGCTTAAAGTGAGCCAAGACTGCACCATTGCACTCCAGCCTGGGCAACAGAGCGAGACTCTGTCTCAAAAAAAAAAAAAAAAAAAAAGAAACAGGCCTGGATTCAAATCCCAGCCCTGCCAAGTTCTAGCTGTGTGACCTTGGGTAAGTCACTTTACCTCCGTGTGGCTCAATTTCATCTACAGTGAGCAGCCGACACCTAGCAAAGGAGTATATCCAAGAAGCTTATTTGCTGCAATGTATTAAGGACCTACTACGTGTCAGGCATTGTCCATTATTACATCTAGGCATCAGGCATTTCAATCACACCCCTACTTGTTGCTCACCAACATATCCCAACACAAAAATGGGATGAACGTATGACTCTGACGAAGGGGGTGGCCACTTCTGAGTTCTTGGCCTTTGTCTTAGTTAAGATGCAGACCCATATAACAGAGGCCCTGCTAATGTTTTTTGTCTGTTTGTTTTTTCTGGAGACAGGGTCTTGCTCTGTCGCCCAAACTGGAGTGCAGCGGCACAATCAGGGCTCACTGCAGCCTCAGCCTCCCAGGCTCAAGCCATCCTCCTACCCCAGCCTACATAGTCACTGGAATTACAGGCACACGCCACCATGCCCAGCTAATTTTTGTATTTTTTTGTAGAGACAGGGTTTCCCCATGTTGCCCAGGCTGGTCTCAAACTCCTGGGCTCAAGTGATTTTCCCACCTTGGCCTCCCAAAGTGCTGGGATTATAGAGGTGAGACACTGTGCCTGGCCTAATTGTCTTAAATACACTAGGGTTGATTCTGTCACATAAAAGAAATCAGAATAGGCCATTTAGGGCTGATGTGCCACTCCACAGTCTTCAAGGACCAAATTTCCCTCTTGCTGCTTGTTCTGCCTTCCTTAGTGGGCTGACTCATGGCCCAAGATGGCTGCTCAAGCTCTGGCCATCTCGTCTGAATTCCAGCCAGCAGGAAAGAGGACATGAGGGAAGAAGAGCACTCCTCCTCTTAAAGAGAATTCCAAGGAACACCACATCACACTACCGCTTCAACTCATGGGCCAAAACTAGTCACAGTGCTATTCCTAGCTGCAAGGAAGCCTGGGGAGTGTGCCCAGCTATAAATGTGAGTCCTTGTGACTAAAGAATAAACGGCAGAGTGAGTTGTAGCCAGCACCTTGCAGTCTATGCTGTAGCTTTCTTTCCAATTTGAGGACTTTTCCAGGGAAAATCCTCACAGCCAACCTCTGGTGAAACTACCCTTGTGTTCCCCTTTTTACAGCGGAGGAAGTTGAGAGCCAGAGGGGTAGAGGGGTAGAGGGGCTTGACCAAGGTGTCACAACTAGTGAACAGCAGAGCCCTTCTGGAGTAGCCTAGAGCTGCAGGCATCAGCTGGGCACAGTGCCTCAGGCCTGTAATCCCAGCACTTTGGGAGGCTGAGACAGCAGGATTTCTTGAGGCCAAGAGTTCAAGACCTGGGCAACATAGGAGACCCCATCTCTACAACATTTAAAAATTAGCCAGTCATGGTAGCATGCACGTGTAATCCCAGCTACTCAGGAGGCTGAGGTGGGAGAATCACTAGAGCCCAAGAGGTCAAGGCTGCAGTGAGCTATGGTTGTACCACTGCACTCCAGCCTGGACGAGAGAGAGAGAACCCATCTCTCTCTCTCTCTGTTTTCATTTTTCTTTTTTCTCATGCTATTTTAACAAAAAGCCCATCCCTTAAAAAAAAAAAAAAAAAAAAAAAAAGCTGCCGGGCACAGTGGCTCACGCCTGTAATCCCAACACTTTGGGAGGCTAAGGCCAGTGGATCACTTGAGGCCAGGAGTTCGAGACCAGCCTGGCCAATATGGTGAAACCCCTTCTCTACTAAAGATACAAAAAATTACTGGCATGGTGGCACACGCCTGTAATCCCAGCTACTCAGGAGGCTGAGGCAAGAAGATCACTTGAACCTGGGAGGTGGAGGTTGCAGTGAGCCAAGATTGCGCCACGGCACTCCAGCCTGGGCAAGAGCCTGTCTCAAAAAAAAAAAAAAAAAAAAAAAAAAAAAAGCTTCAGACAAAGAACGAGAGCTTCTACTCCACCTTTCTGTTTATCAGGAGATTCCTTCCTGCCCCAAAAGGATCCAGATTTTTTAGAGAAACATCCTTCATCTTTATTTAATAAATTCTAGAACAGCTTTGAACATAGAGCCTTCCCACCCACTCTGGATTTGAGAGCCACTGAGGGATGGAGTCATGGGTTTGGTGATTCGTTGGCTGTGGATGCTCAGGGCAAGGCTGAGGCCCAGAAGTTTGGCCGGAGGTCCCTGGGGAGGGCTGGGCTCTGCACACCCACGGTGGTGCTCACTCACTGTCTCCTGCAGGTCAGCGGCCACCTGGACTATGCCAAGCAGATGGATGCCATCCTGAAGGCCGTGGGCATCCGCACCAAGCCAGGCTGGGACGAGAAGGGGCTCTTGCTGGCCCCAGGCTGCCTGCCCTCCGAGGAGCCTCGCCAGGCAGCAGCTGCCGCCTCATCAGGCGAGACCCCCCACCAGGTTGGGCAAACCCAGGGTCCCATATCCGGAGACACCTCCAAATTGGCCATGTCCACAGACCCCAGCCAAGCCCAGGTGCCAGTAGGGCTGGACCAGTCTGAAGGGGCCTCCCTTCCTGCTGCTGCCAGCCCTGAAAGGCCCCCCATCTGCAGCCATGGCATGGACCCCAACCCACTGGGCTGCCCCGATTGTGCCTGCAAGACCCAGGGCCCCAGCACGGGGCTGGACTGACCACAGCAGGGGACCTGAGCCGTCTTCCCCAGTCTCCATATGCAGCTCTCTCTTATACCCTCGGGTTCCTCCCAGGAGCTCTGGAGGTACAGGATTTCCACAGGCCTCTTTCCTAAATGGAAGGAATTGGAACTGAAAGGGAAAGGAAATGGAAGGAAGGGGAATTTGGAGGAGAGAACACGCCCACCCTTGGGAAGCTGCCTGTCCCCAGAGGAGCCCCACCAGGGAGCAGCTGCCCCCTCATCAGAGACCTGCAGAGTCAACCAAGCACAGGTTAGAGTCCCAGGACCGGAAACCAACTGTGGGCTTTCTGTACTTCTCATAGCTTTGGAGTCTGGCTGTCCATCAGGAGGTCCCGAGGGCTCTCTGGGGCCTGAGGCTCCCACACCAGCTCTCCCCTGGCCTCAATAAAACCAGGTGCATGCCTGTTCTTCCATCCACACTCCAGGGCTGCCCACCAGCTGACAGGCACCATCAACTGGCAGCAACAGAGCAGGCGCAGGTACAAAGAAGGCAGCTCACTCCTGCTCTTAGGAGATCCAATCAGATCTGCCCTGTACAGCCATGTAGGCTGTGCGCTGCATAACTCCAGGGACATGAGTCACACAGACACAATGTGAGTGTGCTCCCCCGTCATGCAACATCTGGACACCACTAACAGAGCATGGTGAATACATGCTGAATTGCATTCAGTATGGCTGTGAACTAGGCCTGGGGACAAGAATGAATTTTACATGGAAAGAATTTCCTGTAGCAGGAACAGAGGGGATAACAACAGCAATAAATAATAATAAGAAGAAGCTACCACTTCTTGAGCATGTACCACATACCAAGTGGTTGCCTGGGTTGTGTCAGTTGGAATTCACAGCAATCCTATGAGGTAGGGACTATTATTATCTTCATTTTATATTTGGGGAAACTGAGGCTCAGAGGGATCAGGTAACCTGCTGAAGGCCAAACAGCTGGTTAACGATGGAGCCAAGTTCCAGGCCCCTGTATGTCAGACTCTAATGCCCAAGTCCCAAGCCACTGGGTCTGCATCCGTGAGAGCTTTCCTCTTTGTTCCTCCCACAGTCCCTGAATGGCAGGGCCAGAGATAATGCACCCTTGTTGTGCAGATGGAGAAATCAAGGCCCAGGCAGAGGAAGGATTGACAAGCTCTGGGGGAGGTGGGAGGAGGGCAGCAAAAATTAGAGTCGTAGAACATAGGAGCCAGATCCCTGCTCAGGTGCGTGTGTATTCATTTGTTCATTCGACACACATTTATGGCTCACGCCTGTAATCTCAGCACTTTGGGAGGCCAAAGTGGGAGGATTGCTTGAGGCCAGGAGTTGGAGATCAGCCTGGGCAACATAGCGAGACCCAGTCTTGACAAAAAATTAAAATAAAAAAATTAGCCACTGCCAACTACTCAGGAGACTGAGGCAGGAGGATTACCTGAGCCCAGGAGCTCGAGGCTGCAGTGAGCTATGATTGTGCTGCAGCACTCCAGCCTGGGTGACAGAGTGAGACTCTGACTCTTTTTTTTTTTTTTTTTTGAGACGGAGTCTTGTCTTGTCACCAGGCTAGAGTGCAATGGCATGATCTCAGCTCACTGCAACCTCCACCTGCCAGGTTCAAGGGATTCTCCTGCCTCAGCCTCCTGAGTAGCTGGGATTAAGGCACTTGCCACCACGCCTAGCTAATTTTTTGTATTTTTAGTAGAGATGGGGTTTCACCATATTGGCCATACTGGTCTCCAACTCCTGACCTCAGATGATCCACCCACCTCAGCCTTCCAAAGTGCTGGGATTACAGGCATGAGCCACCATGCCCAGCCAACTCCAACTCTTAAAACACAAAATTTAAAAACAAGTATTTATGCAACTCTTGTTGCTTTTAAACTAAGCTGCTCATGTCATACATGGGAAATGGAGGCTCTGAAAGGGGAAAGGATTTTTCTGGGGTCCCAGATTGAAGGGGCAGAATCTGGACCAGAACCCAGGACACCTACACCCAGGCCTCCCCACGACACCAGCTGCTTCTCAAGCCCCGAGTGGCCCCTCAGTTGAATCCAGTCCACACCACAGCCACTGCCTTCAGCTAGAGTTTATTGAGAGTCCCCTTGGGCAGACCTGGGGGATAGGGGAAGCCCCGCAAGCACCATGGCCCCTCAGAGGCCAGCCGCCGGGGCCAGAGTTGTGTCTCATCAGCACCAAGGAGAGGGCCAGGCCAGGCATGGAGGACCCCCTGGGAGTTTGTGTTGATGGAACTTGGGGGAGGCAGGGCTGAAAAGGGACCTATGGCAGGTAAACTGGCGACCAAGAGTTCCCCAACCCCCTGCCCCCAGAAACCAAGGCCCCTGTGCCAGAGTCCACCTGCCTGCCTCGTGGGCCCCACCTCACACCAGGAACAGCTCTTTGACTCTACTCTGCTGACCCAAGTAGCTACCATTCCCATTTCTCTCACTGACCCCAGGGAAGGCCAGAGGCAGGTGGGCAAGGGGCTGGGTTTATCCCCATCAGTTGTTCCCTTCTAGGTCCAAGGACCCCCCAGGATTGAGGAAAACCAGTTCTGAGGCTGAAAAAGAAACTGCCACCTGCCCCTTTTGCCCCCAGGAAAGGCAGGGCAGCAGCTTGGGAGCTGGGAGGGTCCCTGAGAGATGGGGTCCCCACCCAGGAGCCAGAACAGGGAGTTGGGGAACCAGAGTCAGGCTTTGGGAGGCTAGGCCAGGGCTGAAGAGGGGGAGGCAAATGGAAAGAGAACAACGGGAGCAAAGAGCCCTTCCTGACACACAGCCGGAGAGGCCAGGGGGCTGGATAGCCGGGGGTCGTAACAACAGAACGTACCAATTAACTGACCGTGTACTGGGTGCTGGGCACACATTGTCTTAATTCTCAAGACAACCTGCAAGATAGGCATCATTTCTCTACCTTACACATGGGATAACCGAGGCTCGGAGAGGTTAAATAACTCGTGTCAGGCCCCAGAGCTCATAGGTGGTAGAGCAGAGGCCCACATGCATGCCTGCCTGCCTCCCAGGTGCAGCTGCTGCCACATATATACCAGGGAGGGGAGACTGACAGGTCCAAAAACCATCCAGCAAATCATTCTGAGGGTTAAAGATGATCTAAGGCAGCACATCTCAAACTGTAATGGGCACATGATTCACCTGGGATCTTGGTAACATGCAGTTCTGACTCAGCAGGTCTGGGCAGGGGCAGAGATGTGCATTTTTCACAAACTCCCAAAGGTGACGGCAATGCCGATTGTCCATGGACTACACTGTGAGTAGCAAGGGGTTCAGCCCAGCATTAATCCATGCCTGCAGGTGGGGGCATTCCCTCCCGTCCAGCCTGACAGAATGGGCAAAGGTCATGATTGTTTTCATCCTAACCTGAACCAAGAGGTCCTTCTCCCCAACATCCAGAGTCCTCCAGCCCATCCTCTGCACACACAAGTTACACTCAACAGTGGAGCATCCTTCAGAACACGATATCTGAGTCAGCTATGATCCCTGCAGGTAAGGGGCCTGGAGATGGCAGCAGGGGGTCAGCTCTGCGCACCCCTCTGGAGCTCAGAGGGCTTCTAGGAGACTTGCAGCCTCCTGGTCTTAGCCAAGAGCTGGCCCAAGGACTCAGGGTCTGGGTTCTGCTCAATCCAGCTCCCCATTGGCCAGCCCCAAGCCCGGGTCAGTTCGTGGGGATGCCAAGTGGATGCGGCCGCAGCTCGGGCTCCGCGGGGTCGATGTTGAAGAAATTGACGGCGGCAGCGGCCCTGGTGGGCAGCGGGGGGTCCTGGGTGGCCTCGCCAGGAAGCAGCAGCTGGGCCGTGAGCCGCAGGCCCGAGGAGCCGCCTGAGCCTGCGTCTGAGTCCGAATCTGAGTCCGGCGGCAGGGGCAGCGGCAGCACCTGCTGTAGGCTAAGGCCGGGCCGGGGGCCGCTGTGAGAGGTGCGCAGTGATGGCGAGGCCAGGCTGGCCTGGCGCTCCCGGGGACAGCGTGGACATGGCAGGAACCTGCCCAGCGCCCGCTTGAAGTCCCGCATGAAGAGTGGGTAGATGATGGGGTTCATGGTGCTGTTACAGTAACCCAGCCATGTGAGGACATCGAAGAGGCCTGGGGAGATGCAGTCGCACACGGCCTGGGGGGAGGGGATGCATCATGCCTGGTCCCAGGGCAGGGACCCAGGCCACCCTTCCCAGCATGTATGGAGCAGACACACACACACACGCACCACGAGAGGCAGCCTACCCTCCCCTGTCCCCATGCCTGGGCTGGGATCCAGGGCCTCTCCTGCAAGGGCCGGACTCACCTGCCCCCTGCCGTGGCATTACCTGGACTATGTTGGCCACAAAGAAGGGCAACCAGGTCACAAAGAACATGCCCAGCAGGATGCCCAGCGTCAGGCTGGCCTTCAGGGCCTTCCTGCTGTGCTTCGTGGCTAGACGCCTGCTGTCAGCAGACTCCACCCCTGGGCGTGGGGTCCTGGGCACCTGCGGAAAGGAAGGCCACATGAGTCCGTTGAGAAAGGGCCCCCGTCTGACCCTGATCCTAGCCACAGACTGAGCTTCAATCCTAATTCTAGACTGAGCCCTAGTGCCAGGATTAAACTGGGCCCTGTTCCTTGACTGAGTCCCAACTAGAGTCCTAGACTGAGCCCTGACCCTGACTCCAGGCCAAGCCCTGACATCAGCAATAAACCAAGCCCTGACCTTGGCCCCCCACTGAACCCTGACACCTACCATAAAGCCCTACATAACCAAGTTCTCAAACCAAGCCTCAACTGTGGACCTAGACTGAGCTCTGATCCTGGTCCCACACTGAGCCCTGACCCTGACCCAGAATTTCATAAGGAGCTCTAGGAAGTGCAGTGAGACAGAGCAATACCTGAAACACAAATCAGATGGTTCAGAAGAACAACCATCCCTGCAAAGACAATACGTGACACAGGCCAACACACACATTACAATGAGCCCAGCACCTTCCAAAGCCTTTAGCGCTACAGAAATCAATTGCAATTGACTGGGCACAGTGGCTCACGCCTGTAATCCCAGCACTTTGGGAGGCCGAGGCAGGCAGATCACTTGAGGTCAGGAGTTTGAGACCAGCCTGGCCAACAGGGTGAAACCTTGCCTCTACTAAAAATACAAAAATTAGCCAGGCGTGGTGGCAGGCACCTGTAATCCCAGCTACTCAGGAGACTGAGGCAGGAGAATTGCTTGAACCCAGGAGGTGGAGGTTGCAGTGTGCCAAGCTCACATCACTGCACTCCAAGCCTGGGTGACAGAGCGAGACTCTGTCACACACACAGACACACACAAAATCAATTGCAATTGAACAGTACTTGAAAAAGAGGACCTGTTACTGTCCAGAGCTTGGCAATTGCTTTGTATGTGGATTGTCTTCACATTTGGGAGCAATAGTCTTGCCTGGGCAATTACTCTTGAGCCCCACAAAATAGAAAGGCTTTTTTGAGAATGTGTGCACAGAGCCAATGTTTGCAGCTAAATCTCTTAATAGGCTCCTAAGGATGCTGGTTACCTTGGCATTTTATAGCTCAATTATACTGCGAACTGGCAGGCATCTCCATTCTCAAAAGTGGACAGGAAGAGGAGGAAGGGGTAGGAGGGAGGAAGAGAAAGAAGCTACTTCCCAGCAGCCACTGAAAGGAAGGCATGGGCCCGGGGAGGTTAGAATTTGACTTTGCAAACTGGCCCCCACAGTCCCAAAGGGCTCTCTGAGCTGGATCATTCTTTAGCTCAGCAGTGCTCTTCACTTGTTAAACTTCATGAGCCTTTTGAAAATCTAATGAAATCTCACACACACACACACACACACACAAACCTCTCCCCAGAAAATAAAAGGCTTGTAAATTTTTACACACACACACACAGACAAGAAAACAACGTTTCACACTTCCAGAAGGTTCAGAGATGACCTTGAAGTCTCTAGGTTTCCACCAGAAACCCCTAGGAGTCCGTGAAAGCTGGGATGTGAAGCCCTCCTCTAAACCATGTGTTTCTGTAATCAACGTGGATTTTCATATATTAGATTTACACAAAATTAGGCCCACCTCTATTTACTATTTAATGCCCGTGGGCAGTGGTGTGCACAATTCATCATGAGCTACGCAAAGGGTGTGTTTGCGGTCTGTGAATACATCTGGGCTTTGACAGCCAGGGATTTTCCCGGCACTGGGATTTGTCCAGTTCCTAAATTGCGTGAGAGCCCTGCTTAGTTCTCGAGGCCAGAGGTGGGTTGGATATGGGGAGATGAGGTCAGAAGGAGGCAGGAGCAGAGCCAGATTCCCAGGCAACCTTCCGCAGATGGAAAGGCGGAGGAGGCAAAGCCAAGATGTGTCAACTCCAGGGAGCACCAAAGCCAACACCCCACCCCACTCTGCTGCGCATGCCCTCTCCTCCAGCCCCGGCTCTTTCTAGGCCTCCAGAGTTGGTGTCTTGTCCATGGTGCTGAAACCCCAACTACACGCGGTCTTTTCATAGAAGCTGGAATTCTAATTCTGAAATGGCAAGGAGGTTGCTGGGGCAGGGAGACGAAGCACATCGTAATCCCCACCCCTCAACGTGTTTCTTCACATGAAATCTGGTTGTACAAATATCAAGGTTATACAAATTCACAACAGAGGCCTTGGTTTCTCCCTTCTGTCTTGGTGAGACAGCATTGTACAGAGGCAAAACCTGGGCTTTTAAGACAGGTGATCTGGCTTCAAATCAAAGTGGCCTCTACCACTTACTCGCTCTGTGATCTTGAGAGAGCCTCTGTTTCCACATCTGCAAAATGGGAGAAATGATACTCAGCTTACGGCGTCGCTGTGAAGCTATGGATAATAAATGCATGCACAGAGTCTGACGTTGAGTAGGTGCTAAATACCTGGTAGCCATGTTGCTGTTTCAGTGATATGTGTTGTGAGGTTGGGGTGATTTTGAGCACTGTTGGGGAGCCTGTCCTTCTGCCAGCAGCTCTGGCCTCCCCAAAGCAGCACAGACACCAAGACAAATGCTCTGAGTCACCACGCTGCGGCTCAGATGCTATGACTAGAGGATGCTCTCCTCCGACTCCACCCCATCATACACGAGTCTGCTCCAAAGTCATTCCAAGTTAGCAAGGGAGTAAAAGAGGGTTTTACTCTCCTCTCTCCTCTTCTAGTTTTCTCTCCTCCAGAGTGGACTCTATATGGCTTTTGTGACCACACCATGGTCAGCCTGGAGGAAGAGGCTCCTGCTTCCCCAAAAGAATCTCCTAAGACCTGCCACACCTTCAAATTGCTGCCATCAATGGGAATAGACGGCATGGAGAGGGATGAGACACTGTCTCATCCAGGCATCGCTCTGACCCTTAGTGACCTGAGGAGGGCAGGGGAGAGGAGGTAGCCCTGATCTTATCACAGCTCTAGGGCATGGGGGAAACTGAGGCACTAGGGGGAATATCTCAGGTCAATCATTGGGGGAAGGAGCTCCAGAGAATGGGGTGAAGATGAACTGAGATTCCCTTTCTAGTCTCCCTGGGAACAACTCCAGGTTTTTCTTTCTCCTCTGCTTTCCAGAGAGTTGACTCAAGAACACAGGGAAGAGGAAAGAGAGAAGGAAACTGAGGCTCAGAAAGGGTAGAGGACACTCTACCCTTCCCAAGGTCACACTGTTCCAGTACAAGGCCTCCAACCAAAACCTGAGTGGCCCTGAACAAATCAGCATTATCATCCCCATTTCTCGAGCACTTACTACACATCAGCATTTGATAGTCATTAGGTCATTCAGTCTTTATGAGAGGTAGGCATTGTCATCCCCATTTTGCAGATGAGACAACTGAGGCTCGGAGAGGCAAAATGACTTGCCAGAAGTCACACAGCAGTTAAGAGTTGAGTTAGGGATTCCATCATTTCTGGCCTCAGGAACACCACTCTGCCCACTTCACCAAGCTGCTTCCACCTTTGGAGACGGCATCCATGGGCCCAGTCAGGTGGGGTTACAGAAACCCCACCACTGTCAGCAAGAGGCCCTCATGGAGCAGAAGCCAATGGCTGTCACTAGTCCACACCCCGGCATCTGGCTGATGCTGGCATCACCCTTCTGGATTCTCTCTCCCCCATAAGCACCTCGCAGCCCCTTGGGGCCATGTCCTGTCGTTTGCATCTCCCTTCTGTATCAGTGTCAGAGGGCAGCTTCCTGAAGGACAATCCAGGGCCCTTCCAGCCAACAATCACACATACAGCTTCCAGCCAACACCTACATTCATGTCTGCACGCTTCACATATCCAAGAATGTGTCCCACAGCACTACTTGTGATAGGAAAAAATTGGAAACAGCCTTAATGTCCATCAAAAGAAGAGTGGTTTAGGCTGGGCACAGTGGCTCACGCCTATAATCTCAGCCCTTTGGGAGGCCAAGGTGGGCAGATCACTTGAGGTCAGTAGTTCGAGACCAGCCTGGCCAACATGGCAAAACCCTGTCTCTGCTAAAAATAAAAAAATTAGCCAGGTGTGGTGGTGCATGCCTGTAGTCCCACTACTCAGGAGGCTGAGGCAGGAGAATCACTTGAACCCAGGAGGTGGAGGCTGCAGTGAGCCGAGATCACACCACCACACTCCAGCCTGGGTGACAGAGTGAGAGTTTGTCTCAAAAAAAAAAAAAAAAAAGAGAAGAGTGGCTTAAATAAACCACGGTGAATTCCCACTACAGAATACTACACAGATGTTTTAAAAGAATGAATCAATCAAATGAAAAGATCTCCATGATTATTAAATTATAATAGCAGGTTGCAAAGTAATAGATACAGCATGATCCTATTTGTTTAAAAAACAATATCCAACACAAAGCACCAAGTTTCTTTAAGTACCTGTATAAATACATAAGCACATAGAAAATGACCCGGAAGGGCTAGGTGCAGTGGCTCACACCTGTAATCCCAGCACTTTGGGAGGCCGAGGCAGGTGGATTGCTTGAGTCCAGGAGTTCAAGACCAGCCTGGGCAGCATGGTGAAACCCCATCTCTACAAAAAATACAAAAATTAGCCAGGCATGGTGATGTGCGTCTGTAGCCCCAGCTACTCCGGAGGTTGACGTGGGAGGATCACCTGAGTCAGAAGAGGTCAAGGCTGCAGTGAGCCGTGGTTGTACCACTGCACTCCAGCCTGGGTGACAGAGTGACACTCTGTCCTAACAGAAAAAAAAAAAAAAAAAAAGACCTAGAAGGACATATCCTAAATTGATGCATGTCCCTGGGAGTGAAAGGTGATTAGCTGGAATTTGGAGGTCTTTTCCTTCATCCCTATTGTTGAATTTTTAAAGTGTATTTATGTATTCCTTTGTGCAATTAATTTTATTTATTTATTTATTTATTTTTTGAGACGAAGTCTCGCTCTTGTTGCCCAGGCTGGAGTGCAATGGCGCGATCTCGGCTCACCACAACCTCTGCCTCCCGGGTTCAAGCGATTCTCCTGCCTCAGCCTCCCAAGTAGCTGGGACTACAGGTGTGCACCACCATGCCCATCTAATTTTGTACCTTAGTAGAGATGGGGTTTCTCCATGTTAGTCTCAAACTCCCGATCTCAGGTGATCCACCCACCTCGGCCTCCCAAAGTGCTGGGATTACAGGCGTGAGCCACCACGCCCAGCCCACAATTAAATTTTGTTACCATCATCTGATCATAGTGTGAGAGTTACAAGACAGACTCTGGAGCCAGACTGCCTGGTTTCAAATCCTGGCTCTGTTACAAACTAGTGGAGTGACCTTAAGCAAGTTACTTCATCTATGCTTCCACTTTCTGTTCTGTAAAATGGCACTAAAATAGCATCTACCTCATAGGATTATAATAAGGATAAAATAAAATAATACACTGAAAGTTAGAACAGTGCCAGCACATAGGAAGTCCCATAGAAGTGTTAGCTATTGTTGTCATTATTATTAGTCTCTGGCTCAGCTGTTTGATAATGATGGTGATGGTGCTGGTGACAGCAGTGATGTTTTTCCCTAGAAAGGGTCAAGGTGGTGAGCTCCCCAGAAACATATTTTACCAACAACAGGAAAAGAGAGGCACGAACAACTATTGTTGTTGTTTTAAAGATGGGGTCTTGCTCTGTTGCCTGGGCTCAAGCAATCCTCTCACCTCAGCCTCTTCGAATAGCTGTAACTAAAGGTATGTGCCACCAGGCCTGGCTAATTTTTTATATATATTTTTAGAGACAGGAGCTCGCTATGTTGCCCAGGCTGGTCTCGAACTCCTAGCTTCAAAGAATCCTCCTGCCTTGGCCTCCCAAAGTGTTGGGATTACAGTTGTGAGTCACTGCCTAGCTGAAATTTGTTGAGCACTTACTATGTGCCTGGTATTTTATGTATATTATCTAATTGACTCTTCAAACAGACTTGTGTGATAGATGTCATGACCCCTGGAGCATAAGGAGGTAAAATGCCTTGCCCAAGATCGTCCAGCTATGAGGCAAAAGAGGCAGGGCTTGAACCCTAACCAGCCAGACCCCCAAGCTCCTGCTCCAGCCCTGGCTGCACCAGGCTGCCTGGCTCTGAGCAGCAGCCAAGCCTGCCATGCTCGGCAGTGTCACTCTGCCAGCCTCTCCCTGGCTCGGCCCCCTCCTCCCCCTCACAGATATTTCTGTGATCACAGCCTCCTCCTCTGAGGAGGAGGAAAGACAGAGATGGAAGGGAAGATGGATCACTAAGACAGAATGACGCTTAGTTGGGTGAGAGAGGGTGAAAAAAGGAGGGGGAGGAGGAAAAGCGGGAGAAATTGATGGGACAGGAGAAGGGGGAGGGGAAGACGGGGCACACAGAAGGAAGACATGGGAACTGAAGGAGAGAAGGATGGATGGGAGTGGGGAGGAAGGTGAGGTGTAGAGATGGGATGAGGTTATGGACCACAGAGACCCAGAAATCCTGCCAGGAAGAGGAGGAGGCTGGGCCTCTCCTGCTGGGCTCTCCCTCAAGCCAGTGGCCCATGCTGCATCTCTGAAACTGCCCCTAACACCCTGGACCCTCCACAATCTCCCAAGGATGGCTCAGTGCCACCCACATCCAGGCCCCCACCTTCCACCCTGCTCCCAACACACACACTCCCCTGCCCTGGTAGCTCCTCACTCTGCCCCACGGCTCTTCCTCCATCCCCAGCCCACACTCCCAGCCACAGTGCTAAGCAGGACCCCTTCCTCCCAGCCCTGAGGTGGTGGGAAGACCTAGTGGAAATCACTAAGCCAACCAGTGGCCTTTTAAAAGCCCATTTCCATAAATAGACATATGGAGAGGGGATGAAATGCTCAAGGCTGACCAGCTCCCATGTTCTGACCCCAGAGGAACTGGGGCCTCGAGACCTATGCCCAGCTCCTTTCCCTCTGCAGGGAAGCTAGAGAGTGGAATGGGGCAGGAAGCCAAGGCTAAGTGGGGCTGGGCACAGGAAAAGGGAAGGGGTCCAAGACACCCACATCTGATTCATTCTCATCACTTCCTTTAGGTCCAAACATTGAGGGGGCCTCCACCTCCAGGCCAGCTCTGGTGGGAAGAAAGAGGCGGTGACCCAGGAGGGCCAATGCAATTTCTCAGATGCATTTTCCCAAAGTGCAGGCCGTTCACCAGGCAATCAGGAAAACGGCCTGCAGGAGGCTTACTTAAGGAGCCGAGTGGATTTGAAAGCAGGAACAGAGGCAGAATTTGCACACGTCACGTTCAAACCAAGAGAATGGGCTTTCCAGAAAGCGGGGGGATTAGAACAGACACATTTCTGGCTTGAGAGGCCCCTGAGTCACTCTGCCTTAGAAGTAAGGCGCTGGCCTAACCAACCCATGAAGACCCCTCCAGCCTTTCACTTTAGGGCTTGGTGTGAGTGCTTTGCTTTCATCTTCAAACATACACAGTGAATAATAGATTTTGAATGTTTGCTGGGTGAAGCATCCCTCCTATAAGCTCCATAATCCTCATCGTGGTACAGTTTGATGATTAATGTCTGTACTCCTAACTAGAACAGATTTCAAGAGGGCAGGCACTGTTGGTCTCGTTCACCACTACATACACAGCCTAGAACAGCTGCTGTGCAAAGCAGGTGTCAATACATGTCACCAAGCAAATGAATTCACACGATAAAAAGTTCAGGATCATGACACTCAAGAAGTGACTCTGAAAGGCATGAGAAAACAGGCAACCGCACAAACAGGGCTGGAATACCAGGCTCCCTGAAGCACTGTGTACACTGCATTCCTTCCATCAATACATACTGAGCACCCATGATGTGCCAGGTGCCCCTAATTCCTGGGACCATGGGGGAAAACAGAAAGACAGGCCAGGCATGGTAGCTCACGCCTGTAATCCTAGCACTTTGGAAAGCCAAGGCGGGTGGATTGCCTGAGCTCAGGGTTTCAAGACCAGCCTGGGCAACACAGTGAAACCCCATCTCTACTAAAATACAAAAAATTAGCCCGGTGTGGCGATGTGCACCTATAGCCCAGCTACTCCGGAGGCTGAGGCAGGAGAATTGCTTGAACCTGGGAAGCGGAGGTTGCAGTGGGCCAAGATCACGCCACTGCACTCCAGCCTGGGCGAGAAAGTGAGACTCTGTCTCAAAAAAAAAAAAAAAGGCAGAAAAACAAGTTCCCCACCCTCATAGGCCTAAATTCTAGAAGAAGGAAATAAACAGTAAATAAATAAAAATGGGTAGGTATAGAACACGTCAGGGGGTAGGAGGTGCTGCTGAGAGAAATAACTTAGGAAATGAGGACTGGAGAGGACCTGGGGAGGGTGAGAGGTGCTACTCTTGAGAGAGGGATTAGGGGAGGCAATTCAACAGAGGCTGGAAGGAAATGATGGAAATTAGTGGGAGAACAGGGTGGAGACCTGAAGAAAGGGCACTCCAAGCAGAAGGAACCGCAAGTGAGGCAGAATGGGCTTGGTGTGTTCAAGGAACAGCAAGGAGGCCAGTATGGCTGAAAGAGAAGAAACAAGCAGGATTATAGAAGGAGAGGAGGCCAGATAGGGTCAGAGGGCCAGGTGATGTGAGACACAAGGCTGCCAGAGCAGAGGAATGATGCAGCAGGAACTGCATTGTAAAGGGGATCATTGGGGCCACTGCGGAAGGTTGAAAGGGAGGAAGAGCGGAATCAGGAAGTCAGGGCCAGGCGCAGTGGCTCACGCCTGTAATCCCAGCACTTTGGGAGGCCGAGGCTAGCAGATCACGTAAGGTCAGGAGTTCGAGACCAGCCTGGCCAACATGGTGAAACCCTGTCTCTACTAAAAATACAAAAATTAGCTGGGCGTGGCAGCACGTGCCTGTAAGCAGCCCAGGTAGGAAGTCATCAGCGTGTGGGTGGTATTTTCAGTTACGAGACAAGATGAGGTCACTAACGGGGCAAATGTGGAAAAAGGACGAGATGCTCCGAGGACTGAGGACTAGGGATGCCATGGCTCAGGCGGATCAGGAGGACCCAACAGAGAAGACCAGAAGGCACAGAGAAGAAAAGGGGCAAGGTGTGGGGTCCCCGAGCAAAGCATTTCAAGAGCATCACTGCCCACAGGCAGCACACCAGCACAGGGCGATGGCACCAGCCAGATCCGAGCTTAAACCTCACTTACCAACTGTGCAATCTTGGGCAAGTCACCTCTCGCTCTGAGCCTCAGTTTCCCCACCTGTCTAACAGGGGTGCTGGTAGTACTTGACTCATTGGGTGTTTGGGGAATTAATAAGTTTAGCTCAGTGCCTGGTACAGAGTGAGTGCTCACAGATTGTGGGGCTGCAGCTGTTAGCACCTGGGAGACTCCTGCCCAGGTTCCAAGACCACAGACTCAGGTTCAATCCTAGTACCAGCCAGCGAGATTCATGGAAAGAAAATCTGTGTGGTACTGGCACCGCTGCAACTAGGAATCCTGATCTCTCCCGCCCCAACCTCACCCAGACCAGCCAACTTCTCACATCCTTAGTCACGAGAGCAGAGCTTCCTGAACTGTGGGAATGGAGATGATTTTAGATGGTAAAGGGACACCCCATAAAATGAGTGAATCACAGAGTGAGCACGTCAGCCCATTACAGCTGTCTTCCAGCTCTTCTAGGTGCGTCAAGAGAAAGTCCCACGTTGATGCTACCATGTTTGTAATACCTTCTAGCACGCTACAAAGAGAAAGCAGGCCCTAGGCTCATCACCTCAACCACACCAAGCTGCATTTCAGTGATAGGGCTGGAGCTTCTTCAGTTTCACTGAAGTGGTGTTTGTGATCACCTTCTATTTATGGCAAAGGATACAGATTTTCCATTTCTAGAGGAGATACGAAGTTTTCTTTCTACACAAATTTGTGGAAGTAAAAATATAAAAGAGATGATTTAAAGAAAATGTCAAGAATGCCAGGCACGGGGGCATGCACCTGCAATTCCAGCTACTCGGGAGGCTGAAGTGGGAGCTCGAGGCCAGCCTGGGCAATATAGTGAGACCCTGTGTCTAATAAATAAATAAATAAAATGCCAAGTGCATGTGAATTAAGTGGCTTAAGGTGTGGAGGTGGTGGTGGAAGAGGCATTAAGGAAGATATCCGCAGGCAGTTCTTGAATGCCTGAAGCTTGTGAAACACTCCTTTTCAAGAACCCAGGGAAGCCTGTAACCCTAGCACTTTGGGAGGCCAAGACAGGAGGATCGCTTGAGCCCAAGAGTTCAGTGAGTTATGATCGGGCCAGTGCATACCAGCTCTTCAGGCTGGAATGAGCTATGATCAATTCTAAGCTGCAGTGAGCTATAATCACGCCACTACATTCCAGCCCTCCAGCCTGGGTGACAGAGCAAGACCCTGTCTCTTAAAAAACAACAATAACAACAACAAAAAGCAAGAACCCAGGGTATATGGCCTAAGGCAGCCATCCCACCCCTGAAGAAGCAAGTCAGAGTCCCAGCCACCTGCCAAGACTCAAGAATGTTCTACAGGGAGCAGGGATAGGGAGAAGGAGCTGGGCGGCAGCCAGGACTCCCAGTCCATGTGGGGCCCTGCCCCCACCCCAGGTGATAGGCAGGGGCAACTTTGGGCCTCACCCACCTGGGTGGGACAGGCAAGCTTGTCTGGGGGACTGCCAAGGAGGGTGTTAGCCTTTCACCCCTCTGCCAAGTCCCCATGTGCCCAGTGACCTCCAATGCAACCCCCACCCTCCTAGAGCTTTCACCACTCAGGGCTACACCAAAAGAGCCCAGCTGGGACTTTCCTCAAGACCTGCGACCTAAGTCACTGGGTCTCAGGCCTGGTCGGTCTACACACCCACCCCTCCAGGGGGTCAATAGGAGTCAGGTGCACTGTGGCCTGGATGGCAAGAGCAGGCACTCACTTATAGACAATGCAAGGCCTTGAGCTAAGAGCACCTACCCCATTCCCAGGCACTGAAACAAGATGGGACCTACTATGCACAGTGGGGATCAAAACTGACCTCGATCAGGAGTTCAAGACCAACCTGGCCAATATGGTGAAACCCCATCTCTACCAAAAATACAAAAGTTAGCCTGGTATAGTGGTGGGTGCCTGTAATCCCAGCTACTCAGGAGGCTGAGGCAGAAGAATCGCTTAAACCCATGAGGCAGAGGTTGCAGTGAGCCAAGATCGCACCACTGCCCTCCAGCCTGGGCAACAGAGCGAGACTCCGTCTCAAAAAAAACAAAAACAAAAACAAAAAAAAAAGCAAAAAAACTGATCTCAATATGTGTGACCCTCCTGGAGCTTATATTCAAGTCAGGGAGGCAAAATGAACAAGTCATTTTTATGACTTGTTCTTATGGAGAATAACAGGGATGGAGAGTGCAGATGGGCCTGCAGATAGGGTGGTCAAAGATGGCCCCTGGGAAGAAGGCAGCCGGGGGAAGAACATTCCAGGCACAGGGAACAGCAAGTGCAAAGACCTGGGCACAGAAGTAAGCCCAGTGCCTTCTAGAACCGTGAGAAAGGCCACAAGGCTGTTGCAGAGTAAGAGAGAGGGAGAGGGGAGGTGACACTGGAGAGGATGGCAGTGTGGGATCCTGAGGCCAGATCCTGAGACAGGTTTTCTTTATCTGGAGCACGGTGGGAAGCCTGAAGAGTCTGAAGCAGGGGAGTGACATGATCACTTCTTTTTTAAGTGCTCCAGCTTCTATGCAGAAGATGGAGAGTACTGGGTCTGCGGCAGAAGCAGGGGAGCCAGGAGAAGTCTACACAGCCTCCCCGGTAGGAAGTGGCAGGGGAGATGGCACCTGTTTAGAGCAGCGCCAACAGGTCTCGCTAATGAATGGCATGAGGGTGAGGGAGAAAAGTATTCCTAAGTTCCTGGCATGTGATGCCGCAATGGTGCCATTTGCCATGATGGGGAAGACCAGGGAGGCAAAGATGGGGAGAGTTGGGCCACCATAAATTCCCTGTTGTACATGGTACCTGGGAGAAGCCTGCCCCCAAATCCTGACGGAGCTATCCTGTGGTGGGTGGGTCAGGCATTGGCTCTGGAGTTCAGAAGAAAGGTGGGCGCTCACAACAGCCACGCAGGGCCATGAGCAAATGTGTGCTAAGTGGGGATGCCCAGGGGGTCCCCAGGGGCTGCTCATTCCTCTCTATCCCACAGCCCGGGTCTCCCTGCGCACCCCAGGTACCTGCAGCGTCTCCGAGGCCTGACTGGCCATGCCGGTGGTGAGGGAGGCCACCTGCACGGCCTGCTTGCGGGCAGCTAGCAGGATCCTGCAGTAGGTGAAGCATATGGCACCCGAGGGCAGGAAGAAGGTGAGGCCCGACGCCACAAGGACAAAAGGCAGGCTGGCCAGCAGGCGGCACTGGCCAGGGACGGGTGGCCGTGCGTGGCCCAGCTCGTGCCAGCCCAGCAGCAGGGGCAGGAAGGAGGCGAGAGCGGCGAGGCTCCAGGCGCCCAGGACTAGGGCCAGGGCACGCAGGGGCGTCATGCGCAGCTTGTAGCGCAGCGGCGAGAGGATGAGCAGGTAGCGGTCCAGGCTGATGAGGCAGAGGTTGAGGATGGAGGCGCTGCAGCACATCACGTCGAAGGCGGTCCAGAGCAGGCAGAGGCCGCGCGCCAGCACCCAGCGCCCGTACAGCGCGTTCAGCATGGCCGGCGGCATCACCACCAGCCCCACCATCAGGTCAGACGTGAAGAGCGACACCAGGAAGAAGTTGGACGTGTTGCGCAGCGCGGGCTGAGTGCAGATGAGCGCGATCAGCAGCGAGTTGGCCGCCGCCGTCAGCGCGATGACCACGCACAGCGCGGCCGCCACCCAGCCGCTGCCCCCCGGGGCCGACGGCGGCCCTGCCCCCCAGGCCGGGGTGCTATTGGCGGTTGGGCCCGGCTCTGGGACCATGAGGACCGAGGGTGGACGGCAAGGGAGTGATAGGGTGGCGGGAAAGCAGATGAGGGCCCCGGCGAAGCGCAGGCTGGACGGGGACCGTCCGTGAGAACAGACCGCGACTCACCACGCCCCCCGGGGGAGGTGAGTGGGGGGACATGGGCGGGGGCGCTGGGTCGCGCTAGGTCAGGGGGCAGCGACTACAGGAGGACACAGTGTGGCTATTTGGGCGCCCTCGGGGATGGGGCAGGAACTCCTGGAGCAAACGGGTTGGAAGTTTGGGGAGGGGCACCCGATGAGCCGAGGCCCCTGAAGGAAGCGGCGGGAAGTCAAGCAGAGGTCGGATGGGCTCCCTGGGGTGGGAGCAGAGCCCCCTGGAGGGGGCGGGCGGCAAGATAGGGGAGGGGCGTCCGGCCGGGTCAGAGTGCGGGGAAGTGGGAACGCGGGGAGGTGGGTGAGGGGGGTGAATGGGCGCTCTCGGGCCGGAGCAGGCTCCCCGCGGCCGGTGGGCGTGTGGGGTACCAGGGCGGGGGCCTAGGGGCCGGAGCAAAGCCGCCCCTGGGAAAGGCAGGTCTCAGCTGGCGCGGAGGCACCGGGATCCGGCGCACACGGCCTGTGCGGCGCGGGGGTTCGCCGGGGCCGCCAGGCCCCGCGGGAAGAGGAGGGCAGCGGCCGCGCGGCGCCCCCTCCCCACCCGGCAGCAGGGTCGCCTCCGTCTCCCGCCCGCACTGGTACCTGGGGCGCTCTGGCTGCTCCGCCGCCTGCGACTGCGGCAAGCGCCGCGGGGCTGCGAGAGGAAGAGGCGGCCGCGGGCCGGGCGGGCGGCGGGACCGGGTCTCCCGAGCCCGGGAGGCGCCGCGAGGGGCCCGCACGCGCGGAGGAGAGGCCGGGTGCAGCCTGGAGCGCGCGGTCCCCGCGCCGCGGAGCGTGCGCCCCGCCTCGCGGTGGGCGGGGAGAGCCGAGCCCTGGCCCTGCAGGAGGGCGGGGTCCCGGCACCCCGGGCCTGTGGGCCGAAGATCAGAGCGCCCCAGCTGCGAGGGGTCACCTCCCGGGCTGTGGCAGCCCCCACACCCTCAGATGCCCCTCCCAACCCACACGTGGCGGCGGCGCAGGCGGAACTGGGAGCAGGGGGCTGTGACCTGCCCTTATCCAGGGGCTGCTCTCTAATGGGTGCCTGCCCACTCACAACGGGGTCACCGGGCTTTCAGGGGAGCCAGGAGTTGGGAAATATTGGACAAATCGCCTGACACCCCTCTGGGCCTCAGTTGCCATATCTGTAAAATGGGTTAGTAATTCTGGGCATTCTTCACCGTTAGTTTGAGCAAGAAGCTAACCTTCCCCAGGGCCTTTCCCGCAGAAACCATCCCGATCCCCAAAGGGGCCAGGTACTAAGGATGAAGTCCCTGAGCTGTTGGCGCTCCTAGTCTAACAGAGCGTGAACAGATTTGAGAATCCCCAGGCCAGGTGTGTTAAGAGTCGCTGCAGGCAGAGGCGTGGGGTGTGGTTTCCCCTGGGTGTGACCTCCCTCTGTACGTCTCCCCTCTGGCTGAGAAGAGTCTCTGCCTAACACTGCTGTGCAGGTTAATACTGTTATTCATTCATTCATTGAACAGATACTTCAATGCATCTTTTAAGGCGCATCCACTAGATGTCAGGCACTGTTCTGACCCATCAGGACACTACAGTGGCCAAAACAAAGATCCGCACCTCCATGGAGCTTACATTCTAGTGGAAGAAACAGACAATAAACAATAAGCATAATCAACAGAGAAAGTGGGCCCAGCGAGGTGGCTCACGCCTGTAATCCCAGCACTTTGGGAGGCGGAGGTGGGCAGATCACCTGAGGTCAGGAGTTCGAGACCAGCCTGACCAACATGGTAAAACCCCGTCTCTATCAAAAATACAAAAATTAGCTGGGCGTGGTGGCGGGAGCCTGTAATCCCAGCTATTCGGGAGGCTGAGGCAGGAGAATTGCTTGAACCTGGGAGGCAGAGGTTCCAGTGAGCCAAGATTGTGCCACTGCACACTCCAGCCTGGGTGACAGAGCAAGACTCTGTCAAAAAAAAAAAAAAAAAAAAAAAAAAAAAGGAAAGAAAGAAAGAGAGAAAGGAAAGAAAGAGAAAGAAAGAAGAGAAAGAGAAAAAGAAAATGTAGTATAAAGAGAACGGGGTGGGATCATTTTTTCTCCACAGAAACAGAAAAATAATACTTTCCAAATCGAAGGCTCCTGCGCTGTCCCCAGGGGCTTTGTTGTACGGTTCCTACTCCTCCAGTTATTTATTCCGACCCCTACAATAATGCTGAGAGGTAGACGTTAAACTGGGGTTCAGAGAGGCCAAGGGCCTTGCCCCAGATCACCAGCAGCAAGTGGTGAAGTGGACCTGAAACCCAGATCTGCTCGATGCCCATGGCAAAGAGAGCCCATTACAGATGGTCAAAAACCTCCCCTCAGGCACCTCAGAGCCTGCAGCACCCACCCGCCAACTCTAAGCTGCTATTTGGTGCTCAGAGCCCCAGCCTTGCCCACAGAAGCATCTTTTAAGCAGATAGAGGAGGCCTGTCCTTCCTCCTTGCCACCACACTGCACCACTGTGACGATTTCTGCCATGCCCCCAAGGAACAGAACGTAGTACAGCAAGCCTGGGCAGAGAGTCAGAAACACATGGCTTGGGATCCCCGCTCCATCCCAGCTCTGGGATTACAGGGCCAGTGGCTCCATCTCCTTGGGTCACAGCTTTCTCTTCTGTAATAGTTAGCAGAACAATATGGCACCCACCTCACAGAGTAGCTGAGGGGATTAAATGACACTGATGTAATCTGTGTCTTTGATACTATGTTAACACTAGCTGGCCGGGCACAGTGGCTCACGCCTGTAATCCCAACACTTTGGGAGGCCAAGGCGGGCAGATCACCTGAGGTCAGGAGTTCGAGACCAGCCTGGTCAATATGATGAAACCCCGTCTCTACTAAAAATACAAAATTAGCCAGGTGTAGTGATGCACGCCCATAATCCCAGCTACTCAGGAGGCTGAGGCAGGAGAATCACTTGAACCCACAAGGCAGAGGTTGCAGTGAGCTGAGATCACACCACTGCACTCTAGCCTGGGCAAAAACAGCGAAACTCCATCTAAAAAAAAAAAAAACAAAAAAACAAAAAAACAAAAAAAAAACCTAGCTCTTGGCTTTAGTGTTCCCATCAGCACAATCGTAATGCATTCAGCTCTGTGCTAACTCCTTGAGCCCAGGGATTTCTGACGTGAACAGCTGCAACCCTGAGAGGTGCTGTGTGGAAGGATTTTGGAGCCCAGCATCCTGGGTTCATCATCCAGAGTCTGCCACTTGCTCTGTGAAGTTGTGCAAAGCCTCTTAAATTCTCTGCTGCTATGAAACCAAGGCAGTGGAGCTGTGAATGAGATGAGTAAAAAATTTTGCCTGATAAATGTTGCTTTGTAAAAATCTGTAGGTAGTGCATAGAATATTAGTCTTTCTGCTTTCACTTTTCCCACAATACTTGATATCTTTTATTTTAAAAAAAAGACCTAAAGATTAGCTGAGCGTGGTGGTGCACGACTCTAGTTTCAGCTACTTGTGAGACTGAGGTGAGAGGATTGCTTGAGGCCAAGTGTTCAAGGCTGCAGTGAGCTATGATCACACGTGTGAATAGCCACTGAACTTCAGCCTCGGTGACAGTGTCTCAAACAAACAAACTAACTAAAGAAAACCTGGCAATAACTTTAACATTTGTTCATTCTGGGTGATGGATCCGCTGATGTTTGTTATAATGCGCTCTGTGCTAAAATTTAAAATTTTATTTTAAGATTGGGCCAGGGTTATGGTGCCACCTTGTGGCCATACTGTTATTATCTTGAACTTGAGACTTTTTTTTTCTTTTTTAGAGACAAGAGTCTCGTTCTGTGGCCCAGGCTGGAGGCAGTGATGCTATCATAGCTCAGTGTAACCTCGCACTCCTGTGTTCAAGCTACCTTCCCACCTCAGCCTCCCAAGTAGGTAGGACTAGAGGTGTGCGCTACCACACCCAGCTAAATTTTTTAAGTTTTTTGTAGAGACAAGGTCTTGCTGTATTGCCCAGGCTGGTCTCAAACTCCTGGCCTCAAGTGATCCTCCTGCCTCAGCCTCTCAAAGCACTAGAGTTACAGGCATGAGGCCCGCACCTGGCTGGGACCTTTATAGACGCTTCATGTGTGCTCTCCTATAACTGTCATTTGGGTCATGAAATAACGAAGTCCTAGACCTCTTAACATTTCAGGGTTGGCCAGGCGCGGTGGCTCACGCCTGTAATCCCAGGACTTTGGGAGGCTGAGGTGGGCGGATCATGAGGTCAGGAGATCAAGACCATCCTGGCTAACACAGTGAAACCCCATCTCTACTAAAAATGCAAAAAAATTAGCCGGGTATGGTGGCGGGCGCCTGTAGTCCCAGCTACTCAGGAGGCTGAGGCAGGAGAATGGCGTGAACCCGGGAGGCGGAGCTTGCAGTGAGCCGAGATTGCACCACTGCACTCCAGCCTGGCCGACAGCGCAAGACTCCGTCTCAAAAACAAAACAAAACAAAAAACAAACAAAAAAAAATTTCAGGGTAAAGAGGGACTTTCAAGAATACTCGGCTTTTGCTTGTTTACTTCTAGCTATGAGAGCTTCCTCCCCAGAGGAGATAGCAGGTGCCACTATGGAACAGCTGAGTTTTAGGGAGTCATCTGCCCCAGACCTCCATGCCCGTCAGTTCACAGGGGACCGGGGCAAGCTCCTCATGACAGAGGTGGAGAAATCAAGGCCCCAGGGAGGTTGCCAGCCTGCCCAAAGCTGCTCTGTGCCAGAAGGCAACTGAACAACTGGGCAAACTCCCTGAAGGCAGGCAGGGATTTGTCTGTCTGGTTCACGCTGGATCTCTGGCACATATTAGGCTCTCAATAAATATCTGTTCAGTGAATGAATAAATGAACAAAACTATCAGTGCAACACCCTGCAGCGTGGGCCAATCATTCATTCTCAATCATAATAACAGCTGACATCCACTGAGGTCTTACTAAAGCCAGGCATGTCCCGAGCTCTACACACGCGCTGACTCACATAACGCTCACTGCCACTCTAGGAGTGAGGTAGGTGTGACCATTATTCCCCATTTTGCACATAGGAAAAGTGAGTCTTGGAGATCTTATGTGACTTGCTCAAGACTATAGTTAGGCAGTGGTCCAGCTAAGATTTGAACCCAAGCAGACTCAATCTCCTCAGAGGCTTGGAGCAGAGGAAGAAAACCAGTTGAGAGCTGGCTCCATACAGGCAAACAAAGTGGAAAGAGAGGGACCTGTGTTGCTATCTGCGCTGCTATCAGTGTTAATCCCTTGTAAAGACTTTAAGTCCCAGGCCAGGCGCGGTGGCTCACTCCTGTAACCCCAGCATTTTGGGAGGCCGAGGCAGGCAGATCACGAGGTCAAGAAATGGAGACCATCCTGGCCAACATGGTGAAACCCCGTCTTTACTAAAAATACAAAAATTAGCTGGGCGTGGTGGCGTACGCCTGTAGTCCCAGCTACTCAGGAGGCTGAGGCAGGAGAATCACTTGAACCCGCAAGGCGGAGGTTGCAGTGATCCGAGATCGCGCCACTGCACTCCAGCCTGGCGACATAGCCAGACTCCGTCTCAAAACAAAAACAAAAACAAAAACAAAAACAAAAACAAAAACTTTTAAGTCCCTCCTCACTGCGGGGAGGATGCAGGATGCAACTCCCTCCATCCCCGGAAGGTGGCACACCAAGGGATGCTTCTCAATTGACGTCTCTCAAGCCAGGCTACTCCCTCTCTGGGATCCCACATCCAATCAGCAGCGCTTCTCACGGCCCTGCCTCTCCAACCCCACGGCCTGACACAACTGGCCCCATCCTCTCCCGCCTGCAGCCTTGCAGTCCCCGCTGATAGCCCCAGCATCTCCCTCCTCCAACCTAGCTTAGTCTCCTGAAACTCAGCTTTGCAGACGCCTCTAGGGCGCCTCAGCGCAATGAGAATGAAGTCTGAACTCTGGCTAGCATTCCAGGCTGCGCCAGCCAGGCCAACTCACCTTCTTGCTTTATTGCTTTATTTCCAGCAGACCCTTACAAGCTTCTTTTTTCTTCCTTCCTTTCTCTTCTTCCCCTTCCCCTTCCTTTCCTCCCCCCTTTTCTTTCTTTTTTTTTTTTTTTTTTTTTTTTTTTTTGAGACAGGTTCTCACTCTATCGCCCAGGCTGGAGTGTAGTGACACGAACATGACTCACTGCAGCCTCGACCTCCAGAGATCAAGCAGTCCTCCCACCTCAACCTCCCATGTAGCTGGGAATACAGACGCGTACCACCACACCTGGCTAATTTTTTGATTTTTTATAGAGACAGGGTCTCACTTTTTGTTGCTCAGGCAATCCTCCTGCCTCGGCCTCCCAAAGTGCTAGGATAACAGGCGTGAGCCACTGTGCCCAGCCCTTATTTATCTATGAATGTACACCCAGCTTCGTTCCAGACACAGGATGAAGGCAGGTCCTGCCCAAGACTGTGCCGCCATTAAGTGTCCAGGTGTGAGGTCAGGAGTCAAGGGAACTGCGAGTTTATACGAGTCACCTGTGCTTCCAGACCCCCAGTTTCCCACTCGGTAGAACAAAGGTGAAATGTCCTACTATGGACTTGTTCAATGATCAAATGAGTGCTGGCATGCCCAAACTTGGTGTGGGCCCTGAGCCGATGCCTGGGTTCCAGTCCTGCTGACATTTCTTCACTGCATAACCCTGGGAAACTTACTAGCACCTGCTCTTCAGATGCCTCATCTACAAATTGAGGACAATATCCGCATCACTGGGAGGTGGTGCGGACTGGGCGAGGACCCTGCACAGGGCCCAGCCTTATATATTAATCTGTAACCAATACTTTTGTCTGTTTCCCCTTCTCCCAGGGGGCCAGGCAGGCCAGGCCCAGGCAAGGGCTGATCCTGGGCCATTGTGTGGGTGAAGAGATGGCATGAGGCAAGCCCACAAGACCAGGGGCCAAAATCCATGAAGCCCAGTTCTGGAGGCCCACCCAAGGTGTATGCGAGGCCAGAAACTGGCACCCAAGGAAAGACATGAAAGCTGGGGAGACAGAGGATCAGGAGCCAGGGGTGCACAGGGCAAGACAGGGAGAGGGCCACAAGGATGCAGAGACAGTGGTGCCGCGTGGGGGCCAGGCAGGCCTGCTCAGCACCCCACTGCCCGAGCCCAGGCCCTGCTGCCTCTGGGCCTCGCTGCCGGCACTTCTGGAGAACCTGGGTCGGCAGAGCCAGTCAGTGAGGAGGAGAACACAGGCGTTGAAGGAATTTATTCATGAGAAGACTGAGGGTCCATCAGGGAGACTGTCCAATGGTGACAAGCTCCAGAAGCCCGCGTCGCAACAGCCAGGAGGGCCAGGCCACCCCAGGCAGGAGGCAGTGGGCTGGCAGCCACCCTGGGCACAGAAGAGCAGACGCAGACAGTGCTGGGCAACGAGGGGCTTTCTTCATGGGCCCGCCTGCCCTGTCCCTCCCCCCAGGTCCCCACCTTCTAGGGTTAAAGTGCAGCTGGGAGGGAGGAGGCAGGCAGAATTGGGGAGCTAGAGAGAGCCCAAGTGAACCCTGACTGTCCACGCAAGTCCCATGTCCTCCTCGTCCTGGAGTTCCTCGAGGTTCAGCGAGCCCATCCCGCCTAGGGCCTCTGGAACCTTGGGGCGAGGGAGGTAACCCCTCACTCCCACACCCATCCGATATTTACAAAGAGCATCCCTGGGAGAGGGGAGAAGGCGGCCGGCTCTGGCAGCTTTCTGGGGGGCCTAGAACTTGGGGCACAGTGCGGGGCACTAACATTTCTAACAGGGAGAGGAGGGGGATGCTCGTCTTCAGGGATGGTCTTGGGGGGTTGTCCCCCTCCTTCTGGCCTTGGAAGACTCTTCCCTTTCCTTCTTCCCCTCCTCCCCTTCCCCCACCAGGCAAGCCAAGGAAGCCAGAGAAAGGCCCGGAGAGCCTGGCTCCCAGCTCCCGCGCCACGAGTCAGCAGGGTCCTGCCCAGGCCTGACTCCCAAACCCCTCCGCTGAGGGAGGGCCACTTCAGTGCCACTGGGGCGACGCTTCCCTGGAGATGGGAAGTGGGGTGAGAGGCCTTGGGGAAACCTGTGGGCCGGAGCCTCCTGTTTCTGCCAGTGGTCTTTCTAGCCCAGCCCTCCCTCAAGCCTGAGGCTGGCAAGATGCTCACACTAAGCCCGGGACCTCAGCAGTACCATCTGCACCCCCAGGGACCTTAGCCCGATTCATGCCATCTTGGATGGCCTCCCCCAGCACTCAATGGCTCAGCCAACTTCCTCCCCCTCCCACAGGCACATCTCTAGAAGCCAGACAGGAAGAGACCACCCCCCCCAAAAAAAGAGCCCTGAAGACCTCTGCTTCCTCCCCCCACTCTTGAATATATTAAATTGTGCAGCTTGGCTCTAACCCCGCCCCTTCAGATCTCCATGGCAACCGGGCAGCATTCAAGTCCGAGTCTGAAGCCAAGTCCATCCAGTGCCAAAGGGGGGCTTCAGCTTCTCCCCTGACTTCCCCAGAGAGTGAGACCCAACATTCCACAGGGGGATGAGAGGGGAGGAAGAGTTGGGGGGGCCTCAGTCCTCAGCCCCCTCTTCCTCTGTGTGGGGGGCCCCAGGGGGGTCCTCGGGCTCAGGGGTCTGCCCGCCAGGATGGGGGTGGGGATGGGGGTGAGGGTGGGTGCCGGGCTGGGATCCCGGCCCGTCCTCGCCCTGCACATAGACGCTCAGCCCCTCGTGACTAGGCTCCTTGCCGCAGGCCTGGCAGCTACAGTGCAGGATCTTCTCCACCAGCTTGTCCACCCTGGGCACCTCCTCGTGGCCCGGGCACTCCAGCGTCACCTGCAGAGGGCAAGAGAGAAGCAGAGGCATGTTCCCAAAGGTCTGGGGCAGGCAAGGCAGCCCCTAGGGTAATACTTCCTCATGGGATCAAGAATCCCAGAGCCCACCTGTGATGCCCAGTTAGCTCTGGGGTCCCATGGGGAGGGGGAAATTGAACCCCTGCACAAGCCACCAGAGCTGTCTCCTCACATCCAGTCCTGCCACCTTCCCACCCATTCCCCACCAGCAGCCACCAGTGTGGCCTGCCCCTGCTAAAATCGCCCCCACCGCCGCGATCCCCCTGCACTTGGAGACAAACCCTGACCCCTCACTAAGGCCACCCAGGACCTTCAGGTGCCACCAGCTGGCTGGCCCCCCTACCCCTGACCCTGCACCACTCTTACCAATCCTGTGCTTGGGCTCTGCCTCAGGGACTCCGCACATGCTGTTCCCTTTGCCTGGAAGGTTCCCCCCACCCACCCCCCTATCCCCGCCGACTACCACATGCCCTAAACTGCGCCTTTGGGTCTGAGCTCAGACTTCACTTCCTCAAAAGAGCCCCACCCCAAAGCCCAGCCCAGCTGAGGCTCACCCTGCAGGAACCCCATCTACCTCCTACTCTGCCCCTATCATCACCCATCTAAGTACCTTTTTTCCTTCTCCCTCCCTTCCTCTCTTCCTTCCTCCCTTCCACAGAGCGCCTACCCTGTGCCAGCTCTGGGGACACAAAGACACATTTCCTTCAAGGAAATCAGAGTCTAGTGGGGGAAACAGATCTGTCAAAATCACCCGGATGCAGGTGGAAGACTGCAGGTGTGAAAGGTGCTTGAAGCGGAGGCATACTGTGCTCTGAGAGCCAACGGTACCAGGGTGTGCCCCAGTCAGGGGGCCTGGAAAGGGGCCCTGAGGAAACGCTGCTTGGGCCAAGGGCAGAAGAATGAATAGAAGTGAACTAGAGAAAGGGGACAGAGGTGGTGTTCCAAGCAGGGAAAAGAACAGGTGCAAGGGCCCTGGGGTAGAAGCGAACGGAGCAGGTGCGAGGCACTGAAAGAAGGTGGCTGTGTTAAGCGTCAAGCTACTAAGGAAGGCAGGAAGCAGGAGGAGGCTGGAAAGGCCACTGAGCCAGGCCATGCCAGGTTCTCGGGACAGGGCAAAGATTTTGGTCTCATCCTATAACAACAGGAAGCCCCTGAAAGGACTTCAGCCCATGAGAGACATCAGAATGGAACTTCGGGAACATCCCTGTCCTGTACAAGTTGGTGTCAGACTTCTGAGCCATCCTGTGGGGAGGCCCACATTTGTATCCCCAGCACAAGCCCTTCACCCTGCACACAGTGGGGCCTTTCTAAGGCCCTGTGGCCATCTGCTGGAATACAGGAGCCTGGGGAGAAAGGCCAAGGCTGGGGCAGGCTCCGGGCCGAGACTGGGTGGGGCAGGCAGGCAGTACTCACAATCTCCCACATGGACTGGGCTGGCATGCAGGAGTCACAGTGAACCAGGGACTCTGTGGACTGTGGGAAGGTGTTGGGGACGCTGTAGCTGAAGCACTGTCCTAGGCACGCCCTGTGGGAGGAGAGGTCACCATGCCTGTGTCACTGTTGGGGAGGCAGGGATGGGCAGCCCTGGTCCTCTTCCTCCCTCCTTGGACCCCTGTCCGCATCCCCCCACCCACCCCTTGGGTCCCACCTGTTCTGGATGGACTTGGCCTCACAGCCGCTGTGGCCCACGATCTGGGTGATGTTCTTGGCTTCGCACCAGGCACTCTTATCTGGGAACAGTGCCAGCTTGTTGATGGGTGGTGGGGCAGCCAGTAGCATGGCAGGGAGGACAGCCCCCACCAGGACCCGAAGCATCATGCCCGTGGCCTCCAGAGCCCTAGAACGGAGCACAGGTGCCAGGTGAGGCACAGCAAGGTGCAGGGGGCCGGGTAGTGGTGTTACAGCATGGACTCTGGCATCCGACTCCTTGGCGCAACCCCAGCTCTCCCACTTACTAACCAAGTGCAACTTTGGACAAGTTATTTCTCCCCTCTGAATCTCACAATTGGAGCTGGGAGTGGTACCTACATCAGATGGGTATCTGGAAGGTCAGATGAGATATTAAATGAGCCTAGCAGATAATACACATTCCATATGTGTTGGTTGGTTTTACAACTTCCTAAATTGCCTTGAGCAAGTTACTTTTTATCTCGGTGCCTCGGTTTCTTCATCTAAAAAGGGGAGATGGTGCCACTGCCTGGCACAGGATTGCGATTACGAAGTGTTCAAGCACATGTCAAGTGCTGAACAATTACTACCTCCTTTCTCCCTTTGATGCTGTGAGTCACCCAGGAAAATACACAAAAAGCTGTCCACACAGCCCTGGAGGGGCTGGCCACACACCATGTCTCCTTGAAAGCTACTGCAACCATTGTCAGGATTCTGATGTTTGAAAAGTTAGCCTTAACCTTCACGTTGCTGTGATTTCTTTTTGGTTTTGTTTTTTGAGAAAAGATCTCACTCGGTCACCCACGCTGGAGTGCAGTGGCATGATCACGGCTCACTGAAGCCTCGACTTCCCTGGGCTCAGGTGATCCTCCCACCTCAGCCTCCCGAGTTGCTGGGACTACAGGCGTCCGCCACCACACCTGGCTAATTTCTGTAAAGACCAGGTTTCGCCGTGTTGCCCAGGCTGGTCTCAAACTCCTGGGGCTCAAGCGATCTTCCTGCTTCAGCATTCCAAAGTGCTGGGATTACAGGCGTGAGCCACCGCACCTGGCCTGCAGTGAATTCCTGGGCCACCTTGGCTGGCCAGACCTCAGGCAAAAAAACTGACCCTGAACCAGACAGTATTGTTCTCTAAGATGCCTCACCAGAAACTCGAATCCACAAGGGCTCTACACAGATCACTGTCCCCAGCCCCATTCTAACACGTGAGTCAAGCGGGAGCCAATCAAAGCTAAGCACTTGGCCATTTGCAAATTCCCCTGCTATAGGATGGAGTGAGATACTAAAACAATACCAGGATCTGCCAAAAGGTGGCGCTGCAGGGCAGTCTGTGTCAAAGGATTCCGCTTTCAGGAGACTCGCCCCAGGTAAGTTTCACCCATGCCCCCCAGTGCAAAAAGCACGGGAGAGGGAGGCTTCAGAGATGAGGGCAGTGCCTTCTTCAAGGAGGCCCCCAAACCCTCGGAGGACGGCACAGCCGAGAAAGGGCATGGGTCCACGTGTGCTGGGTGACCGGGACACTCAGACCTGTTTCCCCACCACCTGTAAAATGAGTGCAGTGAGCCAGGCCAGTGGTTCCCAAACCTGAAATTTGATCAGAATTCCCTAGGAACTTGTGGAGTAAAAGTTCTAGGGTGGGTAGGAGTCTGCGTTTTGATCAGGCTTCCTAGGCAGCTATGCGCTCAGTCAGGGATTCTTTACCTTGGGACAGTCCCTAGAGGGGCCTGGATGAGGCTAAATCAGGAGGAAGAGGGGACAAGTCCTGGTCCCAGTGGCCCCACAGAAGCCCAGCACCAGGAGTCAGGTGGCTTGGGACTGGGCATCCCATTTAGGACAATCCTACCATGGGCCATGGAGATGGCAAAGCCAGGTACTTTTTTTTTTTTTTTTTTTTTGAGACGGAGTCTCGCTCTGTTGCCCAGGCTGGAGTGCAGTGGCACGATCTCTGCTCACTGCAAGCTCCGCCTCCTGGGTTCACGCCTTCTCCTGCCTCAGCCTCCCGTGTAGCTGGGACTGCAGGCGCCCACCACCATGCCCCACTAATTTTTTGTATTTTCAGTAGAGACGGGGTTTCACCGTGTTAGCCAGGATGGTCTCGATCTCCTGACCTCGTGATCCGCCCGCCTCAGCCTCCCAAAGTGCTGGGATTACAGGTGTGAGCCACTGCGCCCGGCCTTACTTATCTATTTTTTTGAGACAGAGTCTCACTCTGTCGCCCAGGCTGGAGTGTCATGGCATGATCTTGGCTCACTGCAACCTCCGCCTCCCGGGTTCAAGTGATTCTCCTGCCTCAGCCTCCAGAATAGCTGGAATTACAGGCATTCGCCACCACACCTGGCTGATTTTTGTATTTTTAGTAGAGATGGGGTTTCACCAGGTTGGCCAGGCTGGTCTCAAACTCCTGACCTCAAGTGATCTGCCCACCTCGGCCTCCCAAGGTGCTGGGATTACAGGTGTGAGCCACTGCACCCAGCCCAGAGCCAAGTACTTTATAAAGTGTCTGGGGAGCACGGGTCTAGAGGTGGGCTGGCTGAGTGGGGCTCCTGCAGGGCTGTGAACCCCTCCAAGCACTCCGCTCCCCATCCAGCAAGTTCCCCCAGCTCCTGCCCCTCTCCTGCAGGTCTCCATCTCAGGGGACCCCAATGCCGGGATAAGCCCCACTCCCAGCCCACTGGGGAGGAAGGGCAGCTGGAAGTGAGGTCGGACAGGCTGCCCCCCCGCCGCCTCCCAAATGAGTTCCTGTCACGATCCAGGCCCTCACCCACGCATTTCCGGTCTTGCTGACAAAGCCCATGTTTCCAGTACAACCACATCCTAACAAAATAGAATGGATTCCTCCCTAACTGGCAACCCAGTGAATTTTTCAACAAGCCTGGCATGCAGGCGGCTTCCTCACTCCTGAGTCAGGTCTGCCCACAGCACACCTGAAGGGTCCTGGAGGTCCATTTAAGGCCAGGGCTCCCTGGGCTGGACTGGCCCCCTAGACCCTTAGGAGAGGTCCAGGGACTCTTGTCCTCCTATATCTGACCCCATCTTGCTTCCTCAGGAACAACAGGTCACAGGGGGCCAGGGAGGTGACTGGGGCAGAAAGTGATGTGGATTTGGAATTGAGACTGGGGTTGTAATGCAAGTAGCCTGGGCCAGGCATGGTGGCTCACACCTGTAATTCTAGCACTTTGGGAGGCCAAAGCGGGAGGACCACTTGAACTCAGGAGTCCAAGACTAGCCTGGGAAGCAAAGTGAGACTTGGTCTCAAAATAAAATAAAATAAAATAAAATATTTTTTTATTATCACACTGTGATAACACATTTTTTATTATCACATTATGCATTGTGATGTGCACCTGTAGTCCAGCTATGTGGGAAGCTGAGGCGGGAGGATGGCTTGAGACCAGGCTTGGGGCTGCAGTGAGCCATGATTGCGTCCCTGCACTCCAGACTGGGTGACAGAGCAAGAACCTGTCAAAAAGGAAAGGGAAAAAAAGGACAGGAAAGAAAAGAGGGAGGGAGGCAGGGAGGGAGGGACAGAGGGAGGGAGGGAGGCTGGGGTGAGCACTTGGAGTTGGAATTAGGAGAGGTCACAACCGAGGCTGTGGGTCACAACTAGGCTGAAGCCGAGTGTTGAGACTGGGGTTGAGGCTAATGGAGGCTTACTGGGAAATGGGGTAATGGTGACTTTTTGGAAGAGGTTGCAGGCCCAGAGATCAGGAACTGGTTATCAGCGTCAGGCTGGGACAGAGGTTAGGAGAAATGAGACGAACTGAGGCAGAAGGCCCCCTCCTTACCTTCCACCCTTTCCAGTGCACAGCTGAGGTTATCACAGGGCCAGCTGTGTCCACAGAGGGGTGCTATAACCCAACCCACCAGGCCCTAGCAGGCTCTCCGCAGGGCGCTGGGGCCTCGGCCTCCCCGGGCCAGCAGCGTGGAGCTCCAGCATTTTCCCCGGGCTCCCCCTGGAAGCGTGGACCCTGGAGTCCCCAGTGTTTGAACTGCAGCCCCTCCCCTTAGGAGCTGTGTGACTCCAGAAATAAGTTCACTCCTCAGAAACTGCCTTTCTCAACCCTAACATGGGAAGCATTGCACCTTCCCTGGAGAAGAATTGGGAGGAGTAAATGAAGGTACTCAGCACCTAGGAGGCACCCACTAAGGTCAGCTCTCTTCCCCCCAGGGGATCATGGGAAAGGCTGGGCCAGCATCAGAGCCAAGGCTGGGCTGGAACAGGAGGCAGCGAGGATGCCAGATGAAGTCTCTCCCACACACGGCTGTCATCCAGACACACCTGCCTCCGCCCACCCTCCTGCCCAGCCCCGAAGAGCCCAGGCTGCCCCCACCGGTGGGGTGGGCTCTTGGCTAGCAGGTTTTCTTTTTTTGTTGGTTTATGCTTTTTTGTTGGTTTACGCTTTTTTGTTTTTTCAAGCAGCAACTAATCTATTTTTTTTTTTTAAGCAGCGATCGTACTTTCCTTCCTGAGCCTTGAGAGCCTCACCCAGATTCTCAACCCTTCCTCCCGCCCTGAAGGTCACACAGCAAGTCATGGGACTCCCCAAAAGCGAGGGCGGGAAGGAAAGTTGGAGATCTCCCAGCCAAGTCTCCCTGCTCTGCAAGGGGCTGTCCCAAGGCCCCCAGCAAGTCAGGCAAAGCAATGCCCTGCCCTGGGCCGTTCAGGGCCCTGCAGTTCCACACTCACTCACTTCTAGGAGGGTGGGGAGAAAGGCAAGGGTGAGGGCAGGGAGCTGGGGGCACAGACCCTATGCCCACTCAGACACTCCCCTGAGGGGAGGTCCAGGGATGTGGGTAAATAGGGGGCAGTTGTTTTGAGTTGGCACAGTCAGAGATGGCTCTCAGGAGGGAAGCAGAGGTTCTGAATTCTGAACTAAATATAAGAGCGCAACTATAGTCATGCGTCAGTTAGCCATGGGGATGCACTCTGAGAAATGTGCCATTAGGTGATAGAGTGAACTCAAACCTGAATAGTCTAGGCTATTACAAACCTAGGCTATATGGCATAGCCCATTGCTCCTAGGCTACAAATCTGGACCACATGTGACTGTACTAAATACTGTAGGTCACTGTAACACACACGGAGGCTGAGGCAGGAGAATGGCGTGAACCCGGGAGGCGGAGCTTGCAGTGAGCCGAGATCACGCCACTGCACTCCAGCCTGGGCGACAAAGCGAGACTCTGTCTCAAAGAAAAGAAAAGAAAAGAAAACGTAAAGTAGGCTAAGCATGGTGGCTCACACCTGTAATCCCAGCACTTTGGGAGGCCAAGGTGAGAGAATTGCTTGAGCTCAGGAATTCAAGACCAGCCTGGGCAACATAAGACGATCCCATCTCTACAAAAATTTAAAAACTAGCCAGGTGTGGTGGTGCATGCCTGTGGTCCCAGCTACTTGGGAGGCTGAGGTGAGAGGATCACTCGGTCCTGGGAGGTTGAGGCTGCAGTGAGCCAGGATCATGCCACTACACAATCATGAAAGAAAGAAAAGGTGTAGTAAAAATACAGTATTATAATTCTATGGGAGGCCAGGCGCAGTGGCTCACGCCTGTAATCCCAGCATTTTGGGAGATCGAGGTGGCAGATCACTTGAGGTCAGGAGTTCGAGACCAGCCTGGCCAACATGGCGAAACCCCGTCTCTACTAAAAATACAAAAACTAGCCGGGTGTGGTGGCACATGCCTGTAGTCCCAGCTACTCAGGAGGCTGAGGCAGGAGAATCACTTGAACCCGGGAGGCAGAGGTTGCAGTGAGCCAAGATTGCACCACTGCACTCCAGCCTGGGGGACAGAGCGAGACTTCATCTCAAAATAATAATAATAATAATAATAATAATTTTATGGCAGCACCATTGTGTACGTGGTTCATCATTGTGTGGTGTGTGACTGGATATTAATTTATTCTGTCCTATGATAACTGCCTGATCCTATTCTTTCCCCCATTTTTAGATGAAGAAACTGAGGCACAGAGAGGCCAAGAAATCTGCTTGGGCTTACACTGTTAGTAAACAGGAGAACCGGGATTTGAACCTGGAGGGTAGCAGGTTAACCCCCAGCTACCCTTGCAGGTCAAAAGGTTCACCGAAGAGAAAGAAGCAAGAAACGATGGAATCTGGAGTCAGGATGAGGCCTGGAGCTCCCACCACTGCCCCAGCCGACTGCGCCTCTCATTCCTGTTAACACCCTAGCGTTCAGCCACTGCCTGGACTGGAAGCTTGGGGGCTCCACAGACCAGAGTTCAAATCCCATTCCTGACTCCCTAGCCAACCGTCTTGTGGCCATGGCTGACCCTGGCTCTTGGAGCCCTGGTAAAGGTATGTGTGACACGATCCTCCCTCATGGGGGCGCCGTGAGGCTTTAAAGGAGGTGTCCTTGGCACAGGTGAGTGTCTTCCCAACCCCACCCACCCGCCACTCCCAAATCCAAGCCCTCCACTTCCTCAGCGGCCCTCTGCCAATGCCTGGTACATTCTGAGCTGCCGCCCACACAGAAAGGAAATTCCCCAGGAGGTGACAACAGCAGACCCATTTTGGCACCGTGGAAACTGAGGCACAGGTCAAGGAAGTGACCCACCCGTAGCTCCCACTCCGGGGAAGAGGGCAGGGAACAAACACAGCAGCCCTGCCCTGGTTGCTTTCCTGAAAGTCTTGGTCCAGAGGGTCCCCCAGGAAGGCCAGCTCCGGGGTCAGGCCTGTGACACCTCTTTCCTGAGATGCCTGCCAAAACTGAGACGCCGGGGCCCGGCCCTCCTCGTGTGACCCCGCCAGGTATGAGGCACGGCCTGGGCACCTGAATGTGCTCCCCACGGGACTCTGAGGCCCAGCCAGGCCAGGAGCAACGGCCTCCCAGCCCCCAGGAAAGGGGCTTCGATTAACAACGCTGCCACTGAGGCCCCCCAGCCCACTGCCTGGATTCCGGTACCTGGAAAGGCATCCTAAATGCACCCTAAATACACAGGAGTGGCCTAGATTTCAAGGAACACTTACTTCTTCCTGACTCCCGCCCACCGTGAAACCCTTTGTAGAGTGGATTAGCTTTGGTATAACAAGTGAACCATCCTCCCCAATTCCTCTTCTGGGTTAAGTCTGAATATTCAAGGTCACTCAAGGCCAGATATACCAGGATTTTCAAGGTAGAGTGTATCCACTCACCCCAGACCCACACACACACAAAAGCAGGCATACCCCAAACCACCTGTGCCCCCTATGAACGCAGAACACACAGACGCATATATAAGCATGCCTATATATGCACAAGAAAATGTACATCCGCACAAGCACGCACACACACGCGCGCACACGCACACACACACACACACGCACACACACACACACCAGGCCTTTCCTGTTACCGGTTCCAGCAACCACTCGGTGCAGAGCCGTGGAGGGCAGGGCTGACAAATCCTCGGTGGAAAGGGCAGGGCTCTCCCTCCCCATCTTCACCTCCTGCTTCCAGAACCTCCTCGGGGAACCTCCCCACACTTGGCCCCAGCTGATGGAGACGGACGATTCTACCTGTGGGCTCAGCATTCAGGTGACACCACAGTCCGCATGCACAACGAGCACGCAGCGTTTGTGGCTGGTGGCTTTCAAACCAGATGCTCCCCCTCCCCTGCCTCTCCCACCTTTCCTCTCCCCCCACACTCACTAAGGGCAGGGTCTGGCTCTCCTCCTCCATTCTCCACAATTATGACAGACTGGGGTTCAAATCTTAGCTCAGCCATTCTAATCTTTCTCTTTTTATCTTTATGTTTTTATTTGTAACAGGATCTCACTCTGTTACCCAGGCTGGAGCGCGGTGGCACAATCATAGCTCACATCAGCCTCAAACTCTGGGGCTCAAGTGATCCTCCCACCTCAGCCTCCAGAATAGCTGGTGGTACAGGCATACACCACCATGCCCAGCTAATTTTTTTGTATTTTTTGAAGAGACAAGGTCTCCCTTTGTTGACCAGGCTGGTCTTGAACTCCCACTTCAGCCTCCCAAAGCACTAGGATCACTTGGCCCCATTCTAACCTTTCTGTACCTCAGTTTCCTCATCTGCAAAGTGGGGACAGTGCTAATATCCAGCTCACAGGACAGCTGTGACAATTAAACTGAAGAATACATGGAAATCTCTGGAGAGATCGCCCATCATAGTTAATTCCTCAGTCCATGTCACTTTAAGTGCTAGCTTGGGCCTCTTATCCTCCCTGGCCTCTGCCTGCTCCCTTCTGCCCCTCGCTCCCACAGGATCCTCGGCAGGTCCTGAGGCTATTTCAGTCTGAGCTGCATCTGCCCCAGTGAAACTGGATTTAGGGAAAACCTTGAGGTGAAACTCCAGCAAGTGGGATGACAGCTGGGAATGGATTTTAGAAATTGTCAAGGGCCACCCAACATGATTCCCTATCTAAGGTGGGAACTGAGAGGAAGATCCCACTCAGACTCTAAGACAGGGTCGTGGAGACACCAGCCTCCTCCAGAATCCAACTTCAAGAAAACAGGCTGTGCCCCACTGCCAGGCTGAGCATGCTGCTGGGTGCAGAGGGTGTGGAGGGTGGCTGGGCTGCAGCCCTAGGCTTGGGGCTTGGCAAGGGCGGGGCGATCGCTCCAGGTCTTGAAATGAGCACAGGGACTTCCTTGAATGGTGCAACTGAAATTGTTGCTCTGTGAAGGGGCAAGGCAGTGTCAGGCTTGGGGCTCCCTGCTCACCCAGGTCAGGCCCCGGCTCTGGTCAGCCCAACCGGGTTTCCTGGGCTCACTCTGGGGTTTGAGGATGAGTTCTGGCCAAAGCTCATACATTGGCTTTCTGTGTGCCTGGAGTCAGGAGAGTCTAATGGTTATAGCTCGAGCCACTGACCATTTGCTTCCCCCCTCAGCTTCACGTTTGCATCTGTAAAATGGGCAGCCTGGCCTGGGAACGTCCATTTCAGCAGATCCCCCAGGGAGGAGCCTGGCTCCAGCATACTGCTTAAGGCCGCTGTGATTCCACGACCCCAGTCTCACGGCAGGGTGGCTTTTCCTTCCTTCCTTCAGCACTGGGGAGAGCATGAGTCAACTGTCCAGAGGGCGGACACACAGGGCCGACCCCGTGCCACCCAGGCCTGCCTGCATCTTCCAGCCCTGACCACCTCTGTGCCAGCCCCCAAACCCAGGCCACGGCCCTCCTTACCGCAGACCCTCCTGCCCGCAAACGAAAAACAGTCTCCAAAACAAATCCATGCTAATGAGCTGCTGCAGGGCCAGGCTGCACATCTGCTCAGCAGAAGTTCCACTGCAGACCTCACCAACAACCCTGCCCGCTCCGGCAGCCTCCGACCCTTGAGGTTGTGGGTGGGGGGAAGCAGCTAAACTCAGCCTGAAATTTCACTTTAAAATAATGAGGCGATATCCCTGGCCGATGCAGAACACCTACTCCCCTGTCCACCCCTCCAAAACACAGGCCCGGGAGAGAGGTCCAGCTTGCAGGGGTGGGTGGAGAGGGGTAGGGGTCACCGAGGAAACGCTGCAGCCTCGCCTTTTCTTTGGCCCCAACTCAAGGCAAACCACGCCCAAGCAGCCCCAGCATCTGGGGGAGTCTAGGGAGGCCCCATTCCGCAGTAACAAAGGGTGAGGGGCTCCTTGTTGACAAATTGCTTCCCCGCCAGCGCCCGGTCTTTGGCCTCCAGCCCTGACCTCTGTTTTCCTGGGGTGCCCCTAGTTACAGGCTGGTGGCGTCCAGCTTGGGGAGCGAGGGCCTCCGAAAGCCTGGAAGTGTGGCTTTCTCCCTTGATGCCCGCCAACCTCCGGCCACGCCAAGGCAGGCGGCTGCCCCCTTTGCCGCCGCTTGTAAACGATCAGAATCGCCCCGCCCTGGGAGCGGGCCGGGCAGGTGGCCCGCAGCAGGGCCTGTCGTCCAGCCGGCCTCGCGGGGGTGGAATTCTTAAGAAAACTGAGCCCCCGGAAAGGCTGGCTCTCCCTGCCCCAGACTCAATTCCAGGGAGATGACCCGGGCCAGGCCTCGGGGCCGGCGGGAGGCAGGGGGAGGGTTTGCCGCACCCGGTCTAGGAAACTATTCGTGAACCCCGCTGGGGGAAGGCGAGCCTCCGACACTGGGGGATTGTCTGGATCGGAGGGCGGGGGATCAGGGAGAGGCGCAGACACAGGGCGAGACCCCCACAGAGGGCAGCGCAGAGACAGAGAGAGGGAGAGAAAAGCCAGAGGCAGAGACACAAACGCGGGCAGCCGAACACGGAGGCAGGCGGGGAACGGAAAGAGACGGGCAGACCAGGGGAAAGTGAGCGGCGGAAACGGAGCGACGGAGAGACAGACACACGGACGTGGGGACCGAAGCAGAGGGGGCCGCGGGAGGCGGAAACGTCCAGAGCCGAGAGGCGCGGCGCGGCGAGGCCCGGGCACGGCCGGGGGACATGCGAGCCCGGCCCGCCCGGCCACGCATCTCCCTCCCTCGCTCCCTCTCTCCCCCGGCCGCGGAAACTCCGATCCAGAAACGGAACCCTGGGGCGAGTCTGGGGACGGGCTCCGGACGCGGCGGTGCCCCCCGGCCACCCCGTGCCGCGCCCACGTCCCCAGCGCCGGCGTCCGGAGGCGCCCGCCAGGTCCCCCAGGGCTCCTGAGCTCGGCGGCGGCGCCTCCACCCGGTGCCCGCGGCCGCCGGACGCGCCGGGGGACGCAGCTCCGGGCTGGGGGCGCGGCACTGCCCCCGCGGCCGAAGCCTCTGGAAGCCGGGCGCCCGCGTGCCGACCCGGGCGGGACTTACCGCGCGCGCCCGCCGGTCCTGCGGAGCTGGGTGCGGGGGTCGCGGGCCCGGGCGCCCCAGGAGGCTCGGCGAGGCGGCCGGCAGGGCGGGGGGCGGCCCCGCGACGCTCGGCTGGGCTGCGCTGCGCGCTGTCTGCGGCCCCGGGCGGGCGCGCGGCGCGGGGGAGCGGCTCCGACGTCAGGGTGGCTCCCTCCAAACAGGGCGCGAGGGCGGGGGCAGCGGGGAGGGCCGCGCGCAGAAAGAGCGGGCGGGCGCGCGCGGCCTCTCCCTCCGGGTGCGCAGGAGGGGGCGCCGCGGCGGCAGGGGCCCCGGGCCCTCTCCTGGCCCGCCCGCCCCGGGCTGAGCTTCGGCGCGCTCCGACGGCGTGGTGGGGCGGCCGGGACGCCTGGCCGGCGCCCGAGAGGCAGGGCAGCCCAGCCGGGCGCCCTGGCCCGTTCTTAAGCGCCCTCCCCGGGTTTCTCTGCGCTTCCACTCTCTCCGCCCGACTTTTACCGAGCCTGGGCCGTCAGGCCGTGCCAGGCCTCGGGGTGACAAAGATGGATGTGTCCTTTTTGTGGGCACCGGGCATTGCAGACTTGCCCCGAGAGTGGGGCGCCCCAGCCCGCCGCGTCCCGGCACCAGGAGTCCCCAGTTCTGCGGTGCACCTCATCCCGTCCGCTCCGGCATGCGACCCGGTTCAAGTCCGTGCTGTTGGTAGCCTGGGTTGCTCAGCCTTGCCTAGTGTTATCCTAGTGTCGCTCTCGGCCCCACGCCCTTGGCTTAAGCATCCCGAAAAGCCCCAGGGACTTATTAGGAACTAAAAAGCCAGCAAATGAACTCACTTCTCTGACTCCTGGGAAGAGTGGAGCTCCTGGCCCCAGCTTCCAGCCTCACCTCGGGGGTTCCTATCTAATCAGTGGGCACTTGGGTGGATTGCGGCCGTACCTTCTCTATTCTGTGTGCTTAACAACGGGGTGAGAAAATAACTTTGCTTCTGGAAAGTGGTGGCCCAGGGACACCACTGGGACACGATTGTAGGACTTGGGGATTTTGCTTTACAGCATAGTTACCTGTGTCCATGTGTTTTACCTAGCTTGGCTGGAAACTTCCAGATAGACACAGCCCTGCTTGTCTGACTCATGAGGTTGCCGGGCATCCTGGGTGGCTCCTAGTGGCCTGCTGGGAACTCCCTGGTGTACTCCAGCCTACTCGCACCCTCCACACCCAGCCTGCATCTGCGCCTCCTAGCTGTTGCCTGCGCCCTTCCCTCTGCCCGGAATTCCCTTCCCCTCCTTTCATCTCTGGCAAACATTCTTCCAGCTCCAGATTGGAAAGCCTTCCCAAGACCCTTTGGGAGCATCTCCCTCCTCCAGTGTGATCCTGGAGCACAGGATGAGAACTTCTGTTCATGTCAATTTCCCTCTAGAATAACTGTGTACATCTCTTGGGCAAACATTCTTCCAGCTCCAGATTGGAAAGCCTTCCCAAGACCCTCTGGGAGCATCTCCCTCCTCCAGTGTGATCCTGGAGCACAGGATGAGAACTTCTGTTCATGTCAATTTCCCTCTAGAATAGCTGTGTACATCTCTTTCCTCCATTAGACCTTGAGGGCAGGAATCGTGTTTATTTCAGTGTCTCCATTGCTTATGGGCAGGCCAGGTGAGATGTACAATGTATTTGGTTGAATGAAGTTGTTGTTGTTGTTGTTGTTGTTGTTATTATTATTATTATTAGAGACAGAATTTTGCTCTTGTTGCCCTGGCTGAAATGCAATGGCGTGATCTCGGCTCACTGCAACCTCTGCCTCCCAGGTTCCAGCAATTCTCAGCCTCCCGAGTAGCTGGGATTACAGACGCCCACCACCACGCCCAGCTAGTTTTTGTATTTTTAGTAGAGATGGGGTTTTGCCATGTTGCCCAGGCTGGTCTCCAACTCCTGGCCTCAAGTGATCCTCCCGCCTCAGCCTCCCAAAGTGTTGGGATTATAGGCATGAACCACCACGCCCAGCGAATAAAGTAATTATTATCCCCCATTAATGTAGCACAGATAGGTCTTCCCTTAATGGTAACTATGACCGTTATAATAGTTCACACATATTGAGCACCTTACCATGTGCCTCATCCCATTGCAAGCTGTTGCCACTCTCACAATAAACCTATGAGGTAAGTATTGTCTCTGTTTTAAAAGTGCCAGGCGCAGTGGCTCATGCTTGTAATCCCAGCACTTTGGGAGGCCAAGGCAGGAGGATCACTTGAGGTCAGGAGTTCGAGACCAGCCTGGCCAATATGGCGAAACCCTCTCTCTACTAAAAATACAAAAATCAGCCAGGTGTGGTGGCGTGTGCCTGTAGTCCCAGCTACTCGGGAGGCTGAGGCAGGAGAATCACTTGAACCTGAGAGGCGGAGGTTGCAGTGAGCCGAGATCGCACCACTGCACTCCAGCCTGGGAGGCAGAGTGAGACTCCATCTCAAATAAATAAATAAATAAACAAACAAACAAATAAAATAATAAAAGTGAAAAAAATCCCGAGGCTGGAGGATCACTTGATCCCAGGAGTTTGAGGCTGCAGTGAGCTATGATTGTGCCACTGTACTCCAGCCTGGACAACATTGCAGAAGGCTAATTGTGGAACCTAATGAGCTTGTCACTCCAGCAAGGCCTTGTCTCAAAAAAAAAAAAAAAAAGTGAAAAAAGGAACGTCAAGAGAAAGGTTAAGTAACTCGCCTAAAGTCACACAGTAAGAGCCCATGCCAGCTAGTGTCTGTTGGATAACTATATACCATGTACGGCAGAAACCAGCCTCACTGCACTGTACACAGTAGACACTCAGGAAATATTTACCATTTTGCAGCCAAAGCTTACCCCCGCCATCTTTCATGCAGACCCCGAGCAGGGTAGAAAGTAGAGTTCTACATTTTGTAAGAATCCACTCCCACATTGCAGAAAGCTAATTGTGGAGCCTGATGAGCTGGTCAGATCACACATAGAGCCAGGAGTAGAAGCCACAACTTCCAGCCAGTGCCCTTGACAGGGCAGCCCACCATCTCTCAAACACCGGGAGGTTCAAGAACAACACCAACCCCCTAATCAGGGACAAAGGGTTTGGAGTTGAGTCACCATCTGTCTGGTGACGGGAAAGCTACAGTGTGGGCAGGGGGCCTGGGAAGTAACTTGGTAGTAATATCTACCCATTTTGTGCCAGGCATTATGCTGGTCACTCTGTCTGCTTCATCTCCTCTAATCCTTACCACAGTCCCATCATTGTTCCCATTTTACAGGTAAGAAAAATCGAGGCACCAAAATGTGTCATTACCTGCTCAAGACCACATTGCTAGTGATTAACAAAGCCTGGACTTGAGCCCAGACCTGTCAACACCAAAGTCCATGCTTCCTTGCCCACCACACCCTCTCCACCCTCTCGGCTGCCTCAGTGCTCCTCCCCATCAGGCTGCAGCAGGGATGCTGCACTGAAGATGGACCCCAGGGGCCCCAGCGGGAAAGGCAGAACCTGTCACGTCAGAGTGTCCCAGCTCGAGCAGATGCACCTGGTTGGCAGTGGTGTTCCAGCTGCCCCTACAGGCCTGGCTGGCACAGGGCATGGGCCTGAGGCCAGAGCCTCCTGGCCCTGGGCCAGCCTCTTGGGGCCGAGGTAATGTGGGGCCCAGAGCTGGGGCTCAGGGCTAAAAGCCCCTCTCCCCAGCTCATTAGCAAACATCTGGGCTCAGGAAAATGACCGACCTGGAATGTGACTGAGCTGTGGGGAGCTGCTCTCTCCCAGAGTCCGGGAATGTGAGCTCCCTCCTGCAGGGCACGGACTCAGCCCAGCTGTTTCCTCTAATCCTGTCAGTCTGGCCTCAACGGGGGTCCAAACCTCTGCACTCTCGCTGGAGAAATAGAATGAAAACAAGCAAAAGGCCTGTCTTCCCAGTCCAGCCCACTGAACAGAGGGTTGGTACACAGTCCCTCTCTTTTTATGATAAAGATGAGAGCGTTCACACCTCCAGGTATGGAGCTGGGAGGAGCCATTCGGACTCATCAGGGGAGGCTCAGGGTTTACATTGTTCCTGCATCGCCCTCTGACTCTGTGCTAGTTGTTTCACACCTGGGCCTTGGTTTCCTTATCTGTAAAATGCAGTTAGTAGTGCTATGTACTCCATAGATTTGTTGTCTGGAGTCATTCATTTATCCAACAAATACTTATTGTGCCTGTTATGTGCCAGACATGCACAGAGGTGTTGAGGACACAACAACAGACTAGACCAATAAGGTCCCAGCCTCCAAGGAGCTTATGTTCTGCCACACCCAGGCAGATTGTGCAACAGATAAACAGATGAGTGGATCTCACATAACCAATGTGTTCTGAAGGTTCCAGGTTCAGTTGTTTAATATTTATTTAAAAGAGCCAGGCGTGATGGCTCACGCCTGCAATCCCAGCACTTTAGGAGGCCGAGTTGGGTGGATCATTTGAGGTCAGGAGTTCAAGACCAGCCTGGCCAACATGGTGAAACCCCGTCTCTAATAAAAAGACAAAAATTAGCCCGGTGTGGTGGTACGTGCCTGTAATCCCAGCTATTTGGGAGGCTAAGGCAGGATAATTGCTTGAACCTGGGAGGCGGAGGTTGCAGTGAACCGAGATCATGCCAGAGCACTCCAGCCTGGGTGATGGAGTGAGATTCTGTCTCGAAAAATAATCATCATAATAATATTTATTTAAAAGAAAAAAAGGAGAGGCCAGGCGTGGTGGCTCATGCCTGTAATCTCAGCACTTTGGGAGGCTGAGGCAGGTGGATCACCTGAGGTCAGGAGTTCAAGACCAGCCTGGCCAACACGGTGAAACCCCATCTCTACCAAAAATACAAAATTAGCTGGGTGTGGTGGTGCGTGCCTGTAATCCCAGCTACCTGGGAGGCAGAGGTTGCAGCGAGCTGAGATCGCACCATTGCACTCCAGCCTGGGTGACAGAGCGAGACTCTGTCTCCAGAAAAAAAAAAAGAAAAAAAGGAGAAAAAGTATTATGAACGAACTAAGCCAGAGGGGGCGATGTGATGGGGGAGGTATGAACTCACTGAGAAGCCTCAGAAAACGTCGCAAAGAGGTGACACTTAAGGTGAGATTATAATGAGATGGAGCAAGGATTCAAGGAGATAAATGGATGCAAAGCTCTCGGCACAGTTCCTGGAAAATAGCACGTGCTCCATAAAATGAAAGCTATTTCAGGGAGGTTTCATATATATAGCTCAGGAAAGGTGCTGGAGTCAGATGCCCTGGATCAAATCCAGGATTCAGCACAAAGCTTTCTCACCTTACTCCAGTAATGCATCTCTTGAGCCTCAGTTTCCTCATCTGGAAAACAGGAATTGTAATAGGACCCATCCCCAGGATCACCCAGAATTCACTGAGAGACGTGAATGTGAGGCACAGAGCCGGCACACGCTTGGCTCTCAGGAAGTGGTAGTTACTATGGTGGGTTGTTTGTTTGTCTGAGGTGGACTCTCGCTCTGTCACCCAGGTTGGAGTGCAGTGGCGCGATCTCCGCCCACTGCAACCTCCACCTCCCAGGCTCATGAGATCCTCCCACCTCAGCCTCCTGAATAGCTGGGACTACAGGCATGTGCCACTACGCTCGGCTAATTTTTGTATTTTTAGTAGAGATGGGGTTTTACCATGTTGGCCAGGCTGGTCTCAAACTCCTGACCTCAGGCAATCTGCCCACCTCGGCCACCCAAAGTGCTGGGATTATAGTCATGAGCCACTGAGCTCAGCTATATTATCCTTTTTCATAGAGGAAAAAAGGATTTGCCCAGATCCACTCAGCAAGTCAGCAGAACATCCAGGACCAGAAACAGGTGTTCTGACTTTGAGCCCATCCACCTGGGCTGTGTCCTCTAGCCTCTTCCTCCCTGCTGGTGGGCTCAGGAAACCTTGGGCCCCATTTTGGACTCAGAAGACTCAGAAGGAGAAGGTGGCCATGCACTGTGAGTTCCACAGTACGGAGCCTGTGCTGTCAAGGATTGCAGAGGGTCTTGGCCTGGACGGGAGAGCAGGAATGAGGCCCCAAGGACTCCATGGGTCCTTGGCCCCATGGAAAAATGTCAAATGTTCTTTGTAGGGTCAGATACAGTGGCTCATGCCTATAATCCCAGCACTTTGGGAGGTCGAGGCAGGAGGATCACTTGAATCCAAGAGTTCGAGACCAGCCTGGACAACATAGCAAGACCCTGTCTCTAAGAAAAAAAAGAAAAAAACTAAAAATTAGCCAGGTGTGGCGGCATGTGCCTGTAGTCCCAGCTACGTGGGAGGCTGAGGTTGGAGGATCTCTTGAGCCCAGGAGTTAGAGGCTGCAGTGAGCTATGATTTTACCACTGCACTCCAGCCTGGGTGACAGAGAAAGAACCTATCTCAATAAATAAATAAATAAACAAACAAAATAAAATAAAATAATAAAATACTATTTGTAGGTAGGGTGAGACACCAAGAATCAAGAAGGGAAATCAAGGCACTTCACTCCTCACTTGTTTTCTTCTTTCCTGTGACGCCCCACATGCTGCCGAGCTGAATTCACTGTTTCCTTCAGCTGTGGTTGTCTGACCCCACGGTAACAGACACAGCCTCCGTGTGACAGCACCGGGACGGGGCTCTCAGGAAAGGGCCTGGCGCCTGCAGGTCCTCCACAAAGCTGTTGCCAGCACCCTGGCCCCCATGGTAAATATGGTGAACAAGGCTGCCATGGTGATGGGCAGCCCTGGGTTCTCTTCTTAATTGATACATAGGGCTAGAGGTTAGGCAAATCAATTCTTTTTCTTTTTCTTTTTTTTCTTGAGACGGAGTCTCGCTCTGTTGCCCAGGGTGGAGTGCAGTGGCGCGATCTCGGCTCACTGCAAGCTCTACCTCCCGGGTTCACACCATTCTCCTGCCTCAGCCTCCCGAGTAGCTGGGACTACAGGCGCCCGCCACCGCGCCCGGCTAATTTTTTGTATTTTTAGTAGAGACAGGGTTTCACCTTGTTAGCCAGGATGGTCTCGATCTCCTGACCTCATGATCCACCCGCCTCGGCCTCCCGAAGTGCTGGGATTACAGGCATAAACCACCACGCCCGGCCTTTTTTTTTTTTTTTTTTTTTTTTTTTTAAGATGGAGTTTTGCTCTTGTTGCCCAGGCTGGAGAGCAATGATGTGATCTCAGCTTGCTGCAACCTCCGCCTTCCAGGTTCAAGCGATTCTCCTGCCTCAGCCTCCTGAGTAGCTGGAATTACAGGTGCGCGCCACCACACCCGGCTAATTTTTGTATTTTTAGTAGAGACAGGGTTTCACCATGTTGGCCAGGCTGGTCTCGAACTCCTGACCTCATGATCCACCCACCTCGGCCTCCCAAAGTGCTGGGATCACAGGCGTGAGCCACCGTGCCCGGCCTTGGCAAATCAATTATATTACAATGTCATGGTTCCAGGTTTTTTTTTCCCCTATATTGTTCCTTCCATTTCTCAGCTCCCCGTGGCCCACACATATCCACAGTGAGTGGGAGAAGAATTTTTCTCCCTCTTCAAGAGCAGCCCTCCCCAGCTTTTTGTTTTTGACAGAGTTGCACTCTTTCACCTAGGCTGGAATGCAGTGGTGCGATCTCAGCTCACTGCAACCTCCGCCTCCCGGGTTCAAGCCATTCTCATGCCTCAGCCTCCTGAGTAACTGAGATTACAGGCACTCGCCACCATGCCTGGCTAATTTTTGTATTTTTAGTAGAGACGGGGTTTCACCATGTTGGCCAGGCTGGTCTGGAACTCCTGACCTTAGGTGATCCTCCCGCCTAGGCCTCCCAAAGTGCTGGAATTACAGGCATGAGCCACTGCGCCTGGCCAAGAGTGGGCCCTTCTGTGAATATTTAATATGGCACAGATATGAAAATTGTAATAGGTTTTTCTATTCAGTAGCAGAATTGATAGGTTTATCCTCTTCTATAGCAATATTTTTCTTGAGATTTTTGTGCTCCAGATACATTCGTTGAAAAAAATCACGTTTTTAGGAACATGGGAGTTGGAGAAAAAGAAGGCACAAAAGAATCTCTGTATCTGCCCAGCCGTTCTACTAGAGAGCCAGTCTCCAACCACATGCACAGATACACACAGATACACACAGGGCATCCAGCAGCCATGCTTGTTCTCCAAGAACCTGCCCTCCTGGACAAAGGGGATTGGAACAGAGAGGACGCCTGACCCAGGCTGAGCCTATCAAACTGTCTTTCTGAACTAAGGGGCATAGCGCCCATGTGGGAGGACTGCAACCCATAAAGGCAGAATTTTCGAGAACTCTGGCTGCTGAAGGAGCTGACAAGGGCTTGGTTCTTGCCAGTGTATCCTCAATGTTCTGCTTTACCTTGGATTCTATGAGCTTCTCCAGGATCTCACCATCTCAAGCTGACTTGAAGGAGTGTGTTACTTGCCTCCTAAAACATTTTGACTAAAGCAACAGTGATTTTTAGACTACTTGCTAAGTGTCCAGCACAGTGCAAGCTATTACAGATAGGATAAGGCATATGAGCTGCCCTTTAAGGGAAAAGGACCAGCATATGACTCAGCAAAGGGAAGGCTTATTGCCAAGGAGGGTGCCCAGGCATGAGGGCCATGCGGGCTCAGAGAAGGAAGAACTCCCAGGGGGCTGGCATGGCTAGAGAAGGCTTGCTGGGCCGGGCACGGTGGCTCACATCTGTAATCCCAGCACTTTGGGAGTCCAAGGCGGGCAGATCACTTGAAGTCAGGAGTTCAAGACCAGCCTGGCCAATTCTACTAAAAATACAAAAATACAAATAATAATAATAATAATAATAATAATAAATAAATAAATAAAAATTAACCGGGCGTGGTGGTGCATGCCTGTAGTCTCAGCTACTTGAGAGGCTGAGGCAGGAGAATCACTTGAACCAGGGACAGGGAGGTTGCAGTGAGCCAAAATTGTACCACTGCACTCCAGCCTGGGTGACAGAGCAAGACTCTGTCTCAAAAAAAGAAAAGAAAAGAAAAGAAAAAGCTTGCTGGAGGAGGTGTTATGTGAGCAGGGGCTTGAGATATGAGCAAGACTTGGCACGTCAAGAAAGCAGCCCACGCTAAGAAATGGAACTTCCACAGGTATGGTGGCTCATGCCTGTAATCCCAGCACTCTGGGAGGCCGAAGCGGGCAGATCACCTGAGGTCAGGAGTTTGAGACCAGCCTGGCCAATATGGTGAAACCCTGTCTCTACTAAAAATACGAAAATTAGCCGGGCGTGGTGGCACATGCCTATAATACCAGCTACTTGGGAGGCTGAGGCAGGAGAATTGCTTGAGCCCGGGAGATGGAAGTTGCAGTGGGCCGAGATGGTACCACTGCACTCTAGCCTGGCCAACAGAGTGAGACTCTGTCTCAAAAGCAAAAAAAAAAAAAAAAAGGAACTTCCTTGTTTGAATGCATTTGTCACCCCTAGGAAAGGGATGTTTCATAAATCAATAAGTAGTTTGATTGAAATAGAGTTGGCCGGGCACAGTGGCTCACGCCTGTAATCCTAGCACTTTGGGAGGCCAAGGCAGGCAGATCACGAAGTCAGGAGATAGAGACCATCCTGGCTAACACAGTGAAACCCCATCTCTACTAAAAATACAAAAAATTAGCCAGGCATGGTGGCAGGCGCCTGTAGTCCCAGCTACTCAGGAGGCTGAGGCAAGAGAATTGTTTGAACCAGGGAGTTGGAGGTTACAGTGAGTCGAGATTTAACCACTGCACTCCAGCCTGGTGACAGAGTGAGACTCTGTCTCAAAATAAAAAGAAAAGAAAAGAAAAGAAAGAAATAAAGAAAGAAAAGCAAGTACAAAGGAGGCCCGGGGGTGGGAATGGGCCCGTGTGTGCAGGAACAGCAATGACAGGAGGACGGGAGCGGAGGAGCAAGGGAGGGGTGGGTGGGAGACGAGGTCAGAGACGTACCAAGAAGGCCAGGTCTTGTAGAGTCCTACAGTCCACTGTATCGACTTTGACTTTTTCTCCAAATGGGATGAGAAGCCATTGGGGAATTCTGAGCAGAGAAATTATATAATCCAATTTATGTTTAACACTGGCTGCCGTGTGGAGACTAGATTAAAAAGGGAGTATCGGGGAGCAATGGTCTAACATTACTATATGTCAAGTACTGATGAAGGGGCCTTTTTATATATTAATTAATTATCATGTAGGTAATAACCTTTTGAGGTAGGTATTATTAACATTGTTCCCATTTGTGGATGAGGAAACTGAGGCATGGACAGAGTAAACAACTTCCAAGGCCCCACAGATAATAAGTGGAAGAATTGGAATTCAAACCCTGCAGATCTATTCCAGAGCCCCCTGCTCTTAGCCCCTATCCTGCTCCACATGGGATGGGTGGAGATAGGAGTTAAGCGGCTTTGAAGGCTAGGCTAAGAAATTGGGACCTATATTATGTGCTTATTGGGGAGCTACTGAAGATTTCTGAGCAGAAAACAACATGCATAAAATATTGTTAAGACTGGTTGGAGAGGGAGAGATGGAAAGCCGGGAGTCCATTTGGAAGACTTGCAGAGATTCTGGCAAGGTCAAAGAAATTCCCCAAGGTTCCCCATCCTCAATCAAACTGAGGCTTTACAGATAACAGGTCCAGACCAGAAAGAAGTTTTATGGTTGGTTTTGGGGACCCAGGGAGAGGATTCAGGAAACCCTAATAGATGTGGCTCCTGACTGACAAATTCTAGTGTTATCTTCTGTGACTTTATCTCCTAATCTTCAAGAGAGGTATCCAAATTGATGAAGAGAAGATCTATAATCATCTTTCTATTCCTTGACAGGAAGACTTCTCCTATAAACCGAGTAGGATTTGGGTTTTATCCATGAAGTCTGCTTCCATGGGGAGAAGAGGAAGTCATGTCTGGAACAGTGGCGAGTCTTTAATTTCTGTGGTATGAAGAGTCTATCATGTGGTATTATAATGGATATACTCCCATGTAGACGGGAGATGATTCTTTCCATCATAATTTATTATATAATTGATTATGTTAAAAAATGAACTCTTTAGCTGGTTTTCCTTCTCTCCTCAATAACAGTGTGCCTGACCTCACATCTGGACCATGTGGCAGGAAGGGAAAAGGATCATTAAAACCATCTTACAATGAGGCCCAGAGAGATCAAGTGACTTTCTCATGATTACACAGTGACCCAGGGATGCTCCGATGAGAACAGTGGATGCTCTATAGTAAGAATTTGGGGAAGCCTTTCTTCTGATTGAAAGTCACTGACCCATGGAAGGATCAGTCAGTCAGAGGCACCCACTTAAAAAGCAAGTTAATTTAAGGGCTTTAAAAATATAGCAAACATTACTTATAATAACTAATAAAAAATAAAAATATAGAAAACATTAAACTCAACTACCTAACTGAAAAATAGTAAGAATAAAACTATTCCATAACTATTATAATAAAAATGTACTCTAGGCTGGGTGAGGTGGCTCATGCCTGTAATCCCAGCACTTCAGGAGGCCGAGGCGGGTGGATTACCTGAGGCTGGGAGTTCAAGATCAGCCTGGCCAACATGGCAAAACCCCGTTTCTACTAAAAATACAAAAATTAGCCAGGTGTGGTGGCAGGCGCCTGTAATTCCAGCTACTTGGGAGGCTGAGGCAGGGGAATCGCTTGAACCCGAGAGGCGGAGTTTGCAGTGAGCTGGGATCACGCCACTGCCCTCCAGCCTAAGTGACGTGGCGAGACTCTGTCTCAAAAAAAAAAAAAAAAAAAGTTAGTGGGTGCAGCGCACCAGCATGGCACATGTATACATATGTAACTAACCTGCACATTGTGCACATGTACCCTAAAACTTAAAGTATAATAATAATAAAAAATAATAAAAAACACCAGGCAAACAAACAAACAAAAAAAAGTACTCTAGGTCTTGATCACAATCAGAGATACAGACAGCAGAAAAACTAGAGGGCAAAGAGTGATGGAATCTGGAAGACATATACATGTGCAGATAGACAAAGACGGAGAGACTGGAGAGGGAATCACAGCACATTTATACTCATATACACACACACAGAAGCCAAGTAGACCTAATTTATAGATACTGCTCCTTCAAAATCAAATCCCTAGAGCCACATTTCTCACTATTAGATAAGGGAGTTACAAATATGGATGGAAGGAAGGCATGAACTCAAGGTCACATACACACACACACACACACACACACACACACACGTATTTTCTAGTATGTTGGCTAAGAGGTGGACAAAGCTTTTGGTGTGTCTAAGCAATGGCACACCAACAGCAGCAAGCACACCTAGAGAGCTTGGTTTCTAACTACCACTCCCCACTCAATGGAACCAGGGCTCCTTGGAGAAATTGCTGATTCCAGGGCTGGGTGGGGCAAATACAAGAAGAGTCTGCAATAGCTCGTGTTCAAAGAATGGAATGGATATGTCAAAGGGATACAGATACCATTTGAAAGAGACCCTACTGGACAAATCTAGACAATTTGAGTTAAATATTAATAATAATGGATTGTAATCAGTTGAATAAAATGAGAATCCATGAGTCCATACTGATATAGATAAATGACTAAATAAATGAGGGAGAAGGGAAAGTTCCACGTAATAAGAAATTATTATGCCACATAATAAGAAATAATAAATTTAGGACCAGATGCAGTTGTTCATGCCTGTAATCCCAGCACTTTGGGAGGCTGAGGCAGGTGGATTGCTTGAGCCCAGGAGTTCAAGACCAGCCTGGGCAACATAGTGAAACCCCATCTCTACAAAAAATACAAAAATTAGCCAGGCATGGTGGCATGCAGCTGTAGTCCCAGCTACTCAGGAGGCTGAGGTGGGAGAAACACCTGAGTCCTGGATATCAAGGCTGCAGTGAGCCAAAATTGTACACCACTGCACTCTAACATGGGCAACAGAGTAAGACCCTGTCTCAAAAAAAAAAAAAAAAGACAAAAAGAAAAAGAAATCTAATTATCTAATTGAAAAGTGTATAGATTTTAAGATGCCTACTGCAATAAAATGTCATGATGCTTTATTACATTTGCAAGGACTTAGCCAAACTTATCAGCAACGCTGACCCAAAGCTCTGATTGATAATTATGTTTCTGATTAATAGAAAATAGACATAGGAATTACTTTTTTAAACAAATACAGCTGACTTCAAATTGGATCAACTTATTCTTACTAATTTAAACTCAGTGAAACTGGCTCTGATCCATTTCAACTAGTTTAAGTATCTCAAATCAGGTTTAAACTGGATCAAACTGCTTTCCTTTGAAATGACCCTCCCCACTTTAAACAGCTTTCGACCAGCATAGAAAGTAGGTAAGAGTCTGGCCTCCGGAATCAGGTTCAGATTCCACCTGCATTGTTTTCACCTACTTGTCCTTGGGCAAGTTAATTTGCCCTTCCAAAAACTGTTTCTTCATCCATAAAATGAGGATAATAGTACTTTTATCATAAGCTTGTAAAAAGTAAGCCTCGTGATATATGTTCTGCCTAGCTCAAACTGGATGGACCGGGAATAAAGATGACTTGATTGACAGTTGATAATGAGCTCTTTTTTTCTAGCCCCAGTTTCTTCCCCGTAAAGATTCATCACCTGCCCACTCCTCCTTCAAGAATTCTTGACATCTTCCTCCACCTCCACTTTCTGGCTCTGAACTCCTTAAGTGAGGGTCAAACAATTGAAGCCAATTATCCTGAATGCAAATGCCCAGTAATAGTTCTATGTTCCTACCTGGGCGGAAGCTCCTAGAGTTCTCTTTCTTCAGTGTCTTTTCCCCTTCTCCCCTCCTAGCCTAGCTCAAAGACCATGTGCTCCGTAAATAAGTGTGTGTGTGTGTGTGTGTGTGTGTGTGTGTGTGGTTTTTAATTTTTTTTAAGACAGGGTCTCACTCTGTCACCCAGGCTGAAGTGTAGTGTCATGATCATGGCTCACTGCAGCCTCAACCTCCTGAGCTCAAGTGATCTTCCCTCCTCAGCCTCCCAAGTAGCTGGGACAACAGGTGCATGCCACCATCCCTGGCTAATTTTTGTGTTTTTTGTAGAGATGGGGTCCTGCTATGTTGCCCAGGCTGGTCTGGAACTCCTGGGCTCAAGCAATCCACCTGCCTCAGCCTCCCAAAGTGCTGGGGTTACAGGTGTGATCCACTGTGCCCAGCCTGCAACAACCCCTTAGGTTAAGGCAACTCCCCGTGGTCACCTGGCAAATAAGTGGTAGAGTGGGAACTTAGATCCAGTCCCCTGACTCCAAATCATTTACAGCCCTGCCTCTCCCTTGGTTCTTCTTTGTCAGGGCACTTGACAGCAGAACAGTTGTCACTCTTGATCCACACAGAGGCCGCTCATTAGACATGGGGCTTCTCCCCTGCTCCTGCCCAAGTCTGTCTTTACCCCAATACCATGATTTGGTGTCCAAGGGGAAGCGATGCTTGCAGCGCACTTTAAGAAAAAAGTGGTGATAGCTTCCAGATGAGCTTATTATTCTAAATTTAACATTCCTTTTGGTACTTAGAATTTCCACTTTCTCCCTTCCACCCCGTTTGCATTTAGGTAATTAGAAAGCACGCAACAGGAAAACATTTGTGTCTCAGTACCATTCAGGATAAAGGCTGTCCAAGCGCCATGGAGTCACATCCTTGTGGAAATACTTTGCAGAGTTTATTTGGACAGGTTCAAAAATAGTCCTTCGACAATACAATCAGATCGAACCACGACAAGTAAAATGCAATTATGGGTTGGTTACATTTTTAAAAAATGTAAACAGGTTTGGGAAAACTAAAAGCAAAACTACATCGTCATCTCCTCCATTCCCAACCCCTGCATTTCTTACAAGCAGGACTTCAAGACGGCATCTGCAATCTTTTGAAATGGATGAGAGGATGACACTCACTAAAGGAGACAGCTCAACAGTGTGTTCTGAGGCCATTTCTCAGAACAAAGGCATACTTCTGCATAAGGCAAATGCAGCCTGATAAAGCTTCCCCTAGTGGGTACATGGAATGCCAAAGTCATTCACCTAAATGAGCTCAAAATACATATTGTTCTGGGCCAAATTATACAGTGTCAAGCTCAGACTGTATGTATTTATGTATGTTGGCAGAGCAGGCCACTTTTGGGGCGCCACAGCTTTATCCTAGCATCCTGTGCCCTGCTGGGTTCCCATCGCTGTCTCCCCAAACCCATGAATTTCCTTGGATTTGGTTCCAGAAAGGCAGACAAGAAACAAAGTCAGTTGCACAAGCCCACAAGGGAACAGGGCCCCAGAGGACTTGAATTTCTAATGAAACTTAAGAGTAACACAGAATGTGTGCCTTTGCCAACAAGCCGGGACTTTCTGAAGGTTGATCTGAGATGGGGGCAGGGAGTGGGGACAAGATCAAGTGTGCTTTGGGCCAGCCTCCGCTAAGGGCAACAAGGCGGGAATACAAAGCTATCTAGAACTAAAGCAACTGGCCAGTGCTTCCTGTGGCCTCTATCCAGAACTATTCCCTCAGACAGCTGACCCCTTTCTCAGAGCACTTCAGTGGTGCTTCCAAGGTGCCAAAGGGATCCATCCAAATAAATGCCTAAAGCCTAACAGCTAATGAGATAGAGAACTTTCATTCCAATGCCCCTCTCCACTCCCTATTTTTCTAATGTGTCTAGGGAATTTGTGGCTACCTTGTGTTTTGTCTTTTTTGGAAGGGGGCATGTTATTCTTCTCTCTGCCTGAATGAGGATGGGAAAATGACAGAAAAATTGGGGAAGGAAAATGCTTTTTTTTTTTTTTTTTTTTTGAGACAGATTCTCGCTCTGTCGCCGGGCTGGAGTGCAGTGGCGCGATCTCAGCTCACCGCAACCTCTGCCTCCCGGGTTCAAATGATTCTCCTGCCTCAACCTCCTGAGTAGCTGGGACTACAGGTGTGCGCCACCATGCCCAGCTGATTTTTATATTTTTAGTAGAGACAGGGTTTTACAATGTTGGCCAGGATGGTCTTGATCTCTTGACCTCATGATCCACCTGCCTTGGCCTCCCAAAGTGCTGGGATTACAGGTGTGAGCCACCGCATCCGGCCAGGAAATTACTTTTAAAGCAAATAGGAGGCTGGGTGCGGTGGCTCACGCCTGTAATCCCAGCACTTTGGGAGGCCGAGGCGGGAGGATCACCTGAGGTCGGGAGTTGGAGACCAGCATGACCAAGGAGAAACACCGTCTCTACTAAAAATACAAAATTAGCCAGGTGTGATGGCGCATGCCTGTAATCCCAGCTACTCGGGAGGCTGAGGCAGGAGAAGCGCTTGAACCCAGGAAGCGGAGGTTGCAGCAGGCCGAGATCGCCACCATTGCACTCCAGCCTGGGCAACAAGAGCAAAATTCCATCTCAGAAATAAATAAATAAATAGTAAGAAAACAAGTGGAAGGGATGAAACAGGCTGCACATTATTTTTCTTTCAATTATATGGGTTGCCTTAATCATAGAATGAAGAGGACCAAGTGAAAAACAGCCAAGTAGCAATAAAGAGGAAAACAAGCCCAGAGGGCAGAGGAGCCTGGACAGTTTGCAGGGCAGAGCCTAGCAGACCTTTCTGGAAAAGGGAGTGGGGAGGCTGAGGGAGGGTATTTGCTACCCTGAATGTACTCACTATAGCACTTGCAAGAACTAAGGTCTAATCAATGTTCCAGAACTGGAGTCAGACATGAGTTGTACCCTATTGCCCAGCCTCCCCCTCCATGCCTTTCCCCTGCCCCTACACACCCTGGCTATGCTGAACTACTTGCGATTTCCCAGCTATAATATGCATTACATGATCCTGAGCAAACACAGAGGCTACCCTCCTTCTGTCTGGGATTCCCAGTCAACTTCGGGTCCCAGCGCAGGCATTCCGTCGCCTGTGGGGCCATCCTAGGGAGACATAGTTGCTCCTTCTCCTTTGTTCTCAGTGTACTTTGCCTACACCTCTCTTCTCCATTAAAACACTTCTTTCAGAGTTGTGTTTGCACGTCTGTCTTTCCATCAGACTCTAAGCTCCTTGAAGGCAGAAGCCTGTGTCTATTTATCCATTTATCTCTGCTGCTTACAACAGTGCCTCGCTTACAGTAGATGATAAATCAACATTTACAGGATACAGGGGCAAGTGGGATCGGGCTCTCCCTATCTTAATTCTACGATAAGGAAAAAGAAATAAGAACGGCTGAGCGCTGGGGTTCTGTATATCGTCTGAAGAAATTGCTAAAATATGACTTTTGCATCTAGCATCCCTGGTTCAAGTGAAACCACAGGAACAAACTCAGAGGGGCATCAGAAGTGGCCCTTTTGTCCTCAAACTTCAGCTGCTACGTGAAGATAAAATTAACCCCAATCGGGCTCCTCCGGCCAGGTGGGTATGCCATGAGCTTTCCTCCGCCCTCCAGAGCTGAAGCTTGGACTGTCTCAAGCTCTATGAAGCTGCAGGACTTGACTTCAATGGAGTGGGCCATCCACACAGCCAGGATTCTTCCCCTGCTAATACAGCAGCAGTGGGACCGCCTTGCAGTAGGCACAGCGGAGATGTGCCCTGCCAGGTCCCCAGGTGAGAACACACGAAGAGGTGCCACAGAAGGAAAGGCGCCTTAAGACATCAGTCATCTCCATCAGGCCACGCAGCAGCAATCTTCAACTTCTGATTACGAGGTGGAAGCAGTTCTGAAAACTACGCCTGAGGGGGCAAATGGGAAGGATACCCAACAACTGGTTTCAGGGGGTTCTCAGAGAGGCTGTGAGCAGGTGGCTACAGCTGCTGGCAGTTCACACACAGTCCTCCTCATGCTCAGAGACCAAAGGTGAAGAAACAAAGGCCATGCAATGGACTTCCTCTTTTTGTTTAATTTATTTAAGACCACCTCCTTACAACTTCCAGAGAGAAAATACAAAACAAGAAACAGACTTGGTTTCAAATGCATAACCAGGTGCTGGAGTTTAAAGCATTACTGATAACATTGTTACAGAAGAATGGCAGCTTACTCCAGGGCACTTCAGTATTCCTGAGGAATAAACATGATTTCTCTTGTCCTCCCGCTGGGATGTTCTCAGGTGAAGTCACTGCTCCTGCTCCTGTAAAGCAAGGACATTCAGCTTAAAACTGTGCAGACGGCATTCTGACAACCCTCTCTAATTGCTGTATCAGGTCAGACCCAAAGGGCCAGAAGCCAAAACCTTATCACACTGTTTACGTTAAAACTGTCTCACAACAGGACTATGTACACCCTACCTAGGTTCCTAAGAGTGCCATCCAGCCCCAATCTTCCAGGGAGAAGAGTGGGAAACGAGTGGAACAGGGCCAAACCATCATGACCTGGATAACAATTCCTAAAACCTGTCGAAGGCGTCCCAGGGGAGTGGGGAGAGCATGGTTCTCATCAGCCTACGAACTACATGGCCTTGCCAAGTTTCTCAACCCCGGTAAGAGTCTGCTTTCTCATCAGCTGAATGAGGATAGTAACATCTCTCACAAATCAACTGGCAGGTCTAGAGGGAAAGATTATTAAAGATAAAGCACCCAGGATGGTCCTGGGGGCAGATTGGGCACTCAGGAGGCAGTTATTACAATAGGACTACACTGAATAAGCCCAGGTTGGGATTTTGCTCCATTTTTCAGGGAATGGAGGATGACAACATCGAGGCACAGACTCAAGTCCAGATAAAGTTACAAGGCCATTTTGGAGCAGGACACACAAATGTAAAAAATGGAACAATATTTTCCACAGGAACTCCCAGCCATTAAATACATAATATGCATATAATCACCCCTGAGCCATTATCCCTGACAACTCAGTTTGGAACAATGGAAATGTTTTAAGCAAAAGACCTGAAGCTTCTCTGTCTGCTCCTTTCGGTTCTCCCCACAATCAGCTCTGATGCCAGGAAAGCGAGGAGCCAGGGAGTGGTGGAAAAGGCCGGCTGCCGGCTTCAGTGCCACACAGCTGCGCCTCTTCTTGCATGGTCCCTGTGATGACCTCACTCTTGCTTTGGTGCAGAGATGGCTCCCCTACTCCCATCTCTCCAGCAGACATGGGCTGGCTGCAGGCAGCTGACGGTTTCAGCAGGTTCTAAAATGGCAGGTGCAGGGCCGTGGCAGGATACTGCTACTTTGGATTTGGTGGCCCTTGTGGCCACAGCTCCTGACTAGAATTAGGACATGCATTTGTACCACATTTTCCACTCTACTTGTTGTTACAGTGGAACAATGGACAAGTCAATCACCCTTTTTGGGCTGGCCTCATCTATAATAACCAATGTTTTTATATATTTCGTACTTCACAGCTTAAAAACATTTTGTGTCTAAATCTCACAACAACACTATAGGTAGAAATTATTACCCTCATTTTATGGAGGAAAATGGAAGCTCAGAAGTGAAACAACTTAAGATCACACAGGAAGCAAGTGACAGGCTTGCACCTAGGTCTCCTGGCTTCTGTGCCCTTTCCACTAGCCCCACTGCAGCCCCGTTCACAGTGATTCTAGCCCAAGAGTAACCTGGAAAGCTGAGGCTTCTGTGCATGCAGGGAATGTGAAGTTGTTCACTGAAAATTGTGCTGCTACAAAGGTTATGCCTTAGTAAGCCTGAGGCCATCGGCACTTACCTCTAATAGAATAATTTACCTCATTCATTCATTTTACATTTATTTGAGTGCTATTTTGTTTCAGGCCCTGGGAATACAAAATAAGTGCCACCTCTGTCCTTGGGCACCCAGCCTCCAATGTTCCTGTCACTTAAACCCCACAGTAACTAATCATCAAGTAAGGAAAATACTGCTACACACGAAGCCCTGAGGAAGCCTGCTGCCCTCTTCCCTTTGGAGGTGTGGGTAAGAAGTTTCCAGCTTGTGTGCAGCATTAAAAATCCACCTGAAGGCCAGGCACAGTGGCTCACACCTATAATCCCAGCACTTTGGGAGGCCGAGACGGGTGGATCACCTGAGGTCAGGAGTTCAAGACCAGCCTGGCCAACATGGTGAAACCCCACCTCTACTAAAAATACGAAAATTAGCCGGGCGTGAGTGGCTCGTGCCTGTAATCCCAGCTACTCGGGAGGCTGAGGCAGAAGAATCGCTTGAACCCGGGAGGCAGAGGTCGCAGTGAGCCAAGATTGTGCCACTGCACTCCCACCTTGGTGGCAGAGTGATACTCCATCCCCACAAAATAAATAAAATAAAATAAAAATAAAAATCCACCTGAAGACAGGACTTCAGTAGAATGTGAGACTTACAGTCCAGACTGCCTTCTTCAATTAAAAAGCAGAACCACGGCCTGGCCAACATGGTGAAGCTCCGTCTCTACTAAAATACAAAAATCAGCCAGGCGTGGTGGCAGGTGCCTGTAATCCCAGCTACTCAGGAAGCTGAGGCAGGAGAATCACTTGAACCCGGTTGCAGTGAGCCAAGATGGCACCACTGCACTCCTGCCTGGGCGACAAAGCAAGACTCCGTCTCAAAAAAATGAAACAAATTAATAAAAAGCAGAATCATGGCTGAGTCCCGGAAGTCTTTGGGTTTAGCTTAAGTATATGTGAGATGTTTACAGGGCACTCTGAGCTCTTAAATGAAAAGTGCTACTTACAGATAGTTAACACAATCTACCTTACCATTGATGATAAACATTCAAGCAGGCTCCTTAATTCCAATCGGCTAGCACATGAGTATATATCTGAACGTACATACGCATCTGAAGGCACAGGGGAGACTTTAGCACCAAAGCAGTGATGACATCACTGAAGGCCAAAGAGCAATTAGTATCTGAGAGTGGTGCCACAATGACACACATGGTTTACTCATTACAAACAGTCTAAAGAATTCTTCAGGGCTCAGGAGAAATCTTTTTCTTCTGAAGGAAAGAGAAATATATATTCTGTACATACTTTGACATATTTTCCATGTAGAAGATATGGAGCCTGGAAATCATGCTGACAGTTGGAATAAGCCATTCCTAATCCCATGCCAGAACCGAAGGCTAATGGCCACATTCTTCCTAGTGAGCAAAAAAGGGAAAATCCCAATAGGGAATTATTAAGAGAAGATAAAGCTCCCCATCCTCTTAAATACATTTACTTAGGGTTCAATAAATATTCAACGTGCATCATACTAATGACTATAATAACCATACATTTTTATCAATGTTTCACAATGGCCCCAAAAAAGAGGTGTAAATTAGTGAAGTTATTAATTTAGCAAATACTTGTTAAGTGCCTATGCTGATAAGTTTGAGGAAAATAAGTAGTAAAGGCCAGGCGCGGTGGCTCACAACTGTAATCCCCGCACTCTGGGAGGCGTAGGCGGGCGGATCACGAGGTCAGGAGATCGAGACCATCTTAGCCAACATGGTGAAACCCTGTCTCTACTAAAATACAAAAAAATTAGCCAGGCATGGTGGCGTGTGCCTGTAATCCCAGCTACTTGGGAGGCTGAGGCAGGGGAATCGCTTGAACCAGGGAGGCGGAGGTTGCAGTGAGCTGAGATCGCACCACTGCACTCCAGCCTGGCGACAGAGCAAGACTCCGTTTCAAAAAAAAAAAAAAAAAAAAGTAGTAAAATATGAAAACACTAGATAAACCTTTTAACTTCTCTATATCAGTTCTAATCATCTGCTCAGTTTAACTAATATCTTAGCCAGTAAGATGCATGAATTCTAAAAAGATGTAAGCATTTTACCGATATTTACATGCTTTGATTGTAGTAGTAAGTCATGGGGTTTATTTAAGCCACTCTGTAAGTGATTCTTTCATATCAGCACTATGTGTTAATTATGATTCTCTAGTCAAGTATTTCCCACTGGTTCTTCACGGAAAGAGGTCAAAAGGATCCCTCTGGCATCTATTCGGTATCCAAACTTCAGAAGTTCTTCCACAGAATGAAAAGAATATTGCCTGCCCTTTGCTTAGGATAATTTTTGACCAAGAAGTATGTGTATTTCTGGTCTACTTGTTTCTATTACCAGCAGGATTCTCATTTTCAATTCCTCTAGAAAAAATCACAATTAATTAGAAATATCTGAGCGTGTAGACTTGGCCAAATGACTCACTGGCATCAAGTACAGGCTTTTGCAATGATATCATATTTAGGATAACAGGCACCCTGCCTCAGTGCCCAGGGGAATGCTGGAGATGCCCAACCCATTTTGACCTCTTTCAAGTCCACATTCTTTATCTAATTCATTTTATAATGGGCTACCTAACCCCATAAATGGATGGGTTGGCAACCCACAAATTGATGGGTTCCAATGTGTCCTCTGGAAGTGTCCCTGCTACGTATATGTATACACTATGACATTATGTTGAAAAGACAGAGTGACACTTACTTTTAAAGAAGGTAAGTGAGAAAACAATTCCTAATCCAAAACCAGTACCTACAAAGAGGGAGAAAAAACATGCTAAATCTCATAGCAGTAACTTCACAAAGATAACATTAACATTTCTTAAATGTGAACATCATTAAACAGATTTTTTTTCATAATTTGGTAGAGAATTAATTTTCTAATTTCTAACCGTCTTTATTTGTCAGAGGTTTTACAGATGCCTTTGGTTCTCCTGCCCAACATGAAATAAAAACTTGACTCCCTGTTCTCTCTAGACAAGTTGCGGGGTGTGGGGCAGGGGAACAAGCCAGGAGACTGTTCTAGAGTGGACCCTCTCTACACTGCTGGCAAGGAGCCTCCAGCATCCTGGGCTCTCCTACCCACCTCAAAGAGGGATACCACAGCCAAAACATGAGATAGTGCCAACAGGACGCTCCCCTTGTCACCTCAGCACTTGGAGTGATGGCTACTTTTTGAGGAAGATAAAAAGCAGTAATCCAGAACAATTCCTAAAGGCTGAGCTATCACACAAGCCAGAATATCTAGGCAGAGGAAAAAGACGGCCCTCCAGAGCCCCAGATGAAGAAAATGACTTGCCCAAGGATATTGTTTAGTTAGTTGCGGAACAGTCATCTGGGCTCAAGTCTGCCAGACTCCAATGCTACTGTACCTGCCATGTCCAGATGTTGGATTCCTCTCCAGTTTCAACCCCTAAACAATTACTACCCCTCAAGGGAAATTGGAATGTCAAGATTTCTACTGCCAGTGAAATACAGCCAAAATATGACTGTGCTCCCCATACAGCTCAGAATGCTAGACAACCTGGGTAGTAACAAGTCTTCACAAAGCCAAAAGGGCCTGTTAGATTCATTCCCAGACCAATCCTACCGCACAAGTCACAGACACAAGAAGTTGACCTGGTAGGTGTGATTCAAGAACCTCAGGGACATGGAAGCCATTGATACTGATATTCCTTGGCAAGACTCTGCTGTTGCTTGGTTTATAAAATGGTACAGGGTTCAATTTTAAGGCGACTTGCCTCACTCCTTGCAGCTGGAAGATGAGTAAGACAGTAAATTGGTACTAGAAAATGAGGTAAAGGATTTGGACTAGCTTACAGATTCCAAACCAGGCAACGGAATGGGGAGATAAGCCAGTAAAAACATAATGGCTTACAATCAGAGCTTTTGCTCTTCTCCATCTGGAGGCAATTTTTTGGCAAAGAAATCAAAAGCCCCAAAGGAAAATATTTCAGCATTTTTCTTGTCCCTCTGACTCCATGCCTGTCTCTTCTATTTTCCCCCAAGGAGAAAAAGCTCTCTGATGCTCAACTTTTCCTAGCAGTAGACCAAGAATGATGCCGACTCCATTGCTAACCGTACCACTCAATCAAAAAGATGAGCAATGCTTCCACATCCATCAATATCAAGTAGAAAATCTTAATCTCTAGAATTCAGATATATGCCCAACCACCCAGTTTTGCTCCTATTATAGGCATTTATCTGCAAGTATAAATATGAAGTAAGAATCAACAGTTCAGACCAGCAAAAAGGAGTTATCAAAGAATGTGCTCTATGGTCTTAGTTCAACTGGGCTGCTGTATCTTCAATTCTTAAAGGTGATTTTTCCCTCATTTCTGTATTTTTAAGACAAAAAGTAATAAGGCTATTCTCTTTGGAAAAAAAATAATTCAGAAAACGATTTTTAATTGCAATGTTTTACTTAAAGTTAGCTATCTCAGTTACTTAAAAGATAAACAATGGTGGAACTGCTGATGAGTTTTACAGATTCAAGTTCTCACATGCACAATTCTCTTTTAAAAGGCAACATGTTGCTTCAAAGAAGTCCCACCTGATCGGGGGACACCAACTCTGCAGCTGTTTCCACTAAAGATTGGCACCTCTAGGCCAGGTTTAAACTTCATAACAATAAAACATGAAAGGTTTGTCTTACAATAAAAACAAACCAACATGGAAAAGAGAAGAGTTTTCTCTGCCTTTGGCCACTTTTTGTTGCTGTTGCATGACAAGCTCTTTTGAGGGAAAAAAGCCAAAGGAAAAAGTACAAAGCATTTTTCACCTTCCCTGGAAGCAAATATTTAACAATGAATACAGTTTATATAACTTTGCCTTCCCTAGCTTAAGCCTGTTCTCAAAAGTCCATGCTGTCTGACATGACAAATAACCCTAAAGTAAAGAAATGCCTGATTATAGGTACACATCTTCCTCATGGCAAAGGCCAGTTGCGGGTGTGTGGTAGGGGGTGGGGAGCATAACAAAGGAGCCTTATGGAATTAACATTAGGCACAGGGCCATGCTCTGAAACCATGCCTTTTGGAGAGGAAAAAGAATTGGCACATACTCCTCTAAAATGAAATTACTCTGAATCAATCTAACCATGCAATTTAATGCATGCCTAGTGCCCAACAGAACATCATAAAACCGGCTAGTAGATAAACACACATTTCTAAGAAGGAGCAATTCCTTAACATTTCATCGGATGATATTTTAACAGTAAAAAGAACAGAAAACTCTGCGCCCATGAACTATAAATACAATACTGATCAGATACATAAAATAATAGGCCTTATCTTATGCCTAAGAGGATTTTACAACAAATTTAAAAGGAGAACAACCAATGGAGGTGCAGCAATGTACACCTTAAGCCACCTTTTGGTAATAAAAGGGGGAAAATGTATGTTGTTGTCCATTACAGTTATGGACAATTTCTAGTTGCTCAATGCAACTGTATTTTACTTTTAAAAAAATCTTTGTTCTCACCATGCCACAGATCATAAAGCTTTACCTCACTGCAAATAATTAGAAGCAAACATAATCAGCAGGAATTAACAAGTAGGCTATATAATCTGATTGCAGTCTTTGGGCAGCAATGTATTTTGGATGTTAGCCCCTAACAGAATGAGCTGTAGTCATATATGCTCCTGTACGACCAACTTCACAAAAGTTCCAATTGCCTATGGACTTTCAATGAAGGAAGAACAACTCACTGAAGAGGAACAGAAACAGAAATTCACTTTGAAATATTTCTATAATAGATCATAGGGGAAAAAAGACTATAGACCCATTTCATCTATCAATAACTTATGGCAATTATTAAGACCTCACTCCAGCTTACATGTAACATTTTCAACAAGGCTCCTATATTCATAAGCCTAAGGTATAGTTGTCAGTGCTACATTTTATCTACATCTAAAAGATTAGTTAAAATAGCAAAGTAACTCCATTTTATTTTGTATAACTTACATCAAGATGCATGAGCAAAAACTTAAGTACCATATTCAACTGGCAGTTCACAAATATGAGAAGCTACAGGAATTACCAGTCTTTAAGATCCTAGAAGCCTTGTGCCAGACAACTTCTTCATTCTTACATGTCTGAAAGAAAGGATCCAATTTCTAAATAAATGCTGGATGTACTCTCCTGCTGAGTGAGTGGTTAGAGCACTGATGCTGCAGCAAGACAGGCCGGGCCCAAACCGCTGCTCCAGTCCCTACAAGTCAGCTCTCTGACCCCAGGCCAATTAGTCAACCCTACCCAGCCTCAACCTGCTCATCTGTAGAGTGAAAACAACCTTACAGGGTTGCTACATTAGAAAAATGGAAAGTCTCTAATAGTGTCTGACATGGAATACACTAAGTGGTAGTAAGTTCTGCCACCTCCCTGATAAAAGATTTCAGAGGTGTAATACAGGCTGCGTGCAGCAGCTCATGCCTGTAATCCCAGCACGTTAGGAGGCCAAGATGGGAGGATCGCTTGAGCCTAGGAGTTTGAAACCAGCCTGGGCAACACAGTCAGACTGCATCTCTACAAAAACAAAAACAAAACAAAATAATAATAATAATAATAAATAAATAAAAATCAGCCAGGCATGATGGTGCATGCCTGTGCTCCCAGCTACTCAGGAGGCTTGGGTGGGAGGATCACTTTAGCCTGGGAGTTGAGGCTGCAGTGAGCCATGATCATACCACTGTATTGCAGCCTGGACAACAGAGTGAGACCTTGCCAAAAAAAAAAAAAAGTGTAGTATAATAGCTAATCCTTTATTAAAATACAACTCACTGGCTACGTAGGATCACACTGTGGATAAGCCACAGCTGAAAATCAGAACCAGTTTTTTCCTACCCTTTGCACAGTTGACTGTATTTCATTGACATCAGTAATTGTTTATATGACACATCGGGCTTTGCTGTGTGTGTATGTGTATATATATACATATATATATATTTTTTAATAGAGGATCCTTTCAGACTTGCTGCTTAACTAGACCATTTTGCTTTAAAATGTAATCAATATTTTCCTAGAGTTGTCTTGTGTCTAATAAAGCTGTATTTGTGCTTTGAACATGAATTTATATCAAACTGACCTATTTATAATGGCCGTGCTTCCTGTTCAATCGTGTTTCTGTCAATGCTATTACAATCATCAAATGCATGTGTTATGACAGAACAAACAAGAATGTGCTTTTATAGAAAATACCCTTGGAACTGAGTTTAGTGAGAATTACATTTCCAAGACACATTCCTGATTTATGAAAGATGCTCAGGGCCCCATTAATGACGGAAAAAATAGTTTAAAGTCAGCTTCAAACTGTGTTACTTAATCCTTTGAGGACAAGACAGATTGTCCCAGGTGTCCACATGTAAATGCCATTCATGTGAATTAACCAGGAAAGTGCCAGACCAAGGACCCAGAGATGGTGAATTTAGTCTGTATTAATCAGCTTCTCAAAAGTCAACACTGACAAAGAGCATTTAGGAAACATACTAAGAAGGTGGCTATTTTACAAGACCTTACCCTTCCTGTGGCTATCTGGACTAGACAGAGGCTGGAACATCTGCAGGGATTTCTCGGGTGGACATCAATTACCAGGATTCTGATTAGAACAAGCAAACAAACCAGGCAATGGAAAGAAACAAAGGTATGAAAGGTAAATGTGGAGTCATTACTGGTGTGCTCTGCTTCAAGAAAAGCCAAACTCAAAAAGGGGTCCTTTTAAATGAGTGTGTACAGCACTTAGTTCAACTTCCAGAATGCTGACAGCCATACAGCTCCCAAGAATGCATAAAACAAGAAACATAGCTGGAGACATTTTACCAAAATATAATTAGTTAATGCACATGTGGATACAGTATGTAGGAAAATGAGAAGCAGCTCTGAAGATTAATTATTAAAGGGAAGCTGAGAAAAAAAGATACAAAATTGCCAAGTTTATATAAACACATTAAAGACAGATCACATTTATGGGGGGTGTGCTTTGGAGGTACTAACATCTACAAAGCGTTAGGCAGTGTACCACATTATAAAGTTTATTATGAAAACCTCATATTATGATGAAACCTTATGAAAACCTATAAAAAGTAGAATTCAAACCCAGGCTGTCTGACTCTGAGTCATGGCTCTTTCCTACACAAAGGGATAGACCTCATGGAGAGGTCAGCAGAGCAGCAAGGTGACTGTCTCTTGTTACATACAACAACGTGTTTTTCTGGATTTTAACACTATCCATGGTTAATTTATGACTATGTTACTCTGCAGCCCCTCAAGGAAACAGAAACCATAGATGTTTGACTTACAGGAGTGGTAACAAAAACCTGAATTACTTAGAATCAATGAGAAATTGTCAACAAATCAAGCCAGAAAATACTTTCCTTCCCTCTGTGCACTGGCTGGAGATACAATGAATCCAAATGCGCTGAGGCCTATAAACTGCTGAAAAGGGTATTTCTATGGACTCCTTTTCCCTAACATCTCCAATATCTCCAGCTCTTCCTCATCTGTACCAACAGTAACTGGATTCTCATCCTTGTGAAATTAAATATAAGAATCGGGGATTCATTATATCCTATTTATACATCATTATAGCTATTGTGTTGCTGCCTATTCCTATGATTCAAATAAAAAATTCAATGGAAAGTGGCCGGGTGCAGCAGCTCACACCTATAATCCCAGCACTTTGGGAGGCCGAGGCAGGCGGATCACCTGAGGTCAGGAGTTCGAGACCAGCCTGGCCAACGTGGTGAACCCCATCTCCACTAAAAATACAAAAATTAGCTGGGCGGTGGCACGCGCCTGTAGTCCCAGCTACTCGGGAGGCTGAGGCAGGAGAATCACTTGAACCTGGGAGGCGAAGATTGCAGTAAACGAAGATCACGCCAACTGCACTCCAGCCTGGGCGACAGAGCAAGACTCCGTCTAAAAAATAAAAATTAAAAAAAAAAATTCAATGGAGAAACAGTATCATTAATGTATTTCCCTTACACACACTGACTTGATCAACATTTATTAACATTTATTAAGTAAAAGGCACCGGGGAAGATTTCCTTTATCCTTGGAGAATCTCAGTCCAGTATAGAGTGTTTATTCTTTGAAAAATGGAAAGTTCAGCAGGGTGTGGTGGCATATGCCTGTAGTCCCAGCTCTACTCGGGGGCGGTGGGGGGCTGAGGTGGGAGGATCGCTTGAGCCTGGGAGGTCAAGGCTGCAGTGACCCCTGATTGTGCCACTGCACTCCAGCCTGGGCAACAAAGCGAGACTCTGTCTTGGGGGGAAAAAAAGGAAAGTGTTGTACAATGATTATTCTTCAGTTTTGAGGTTATGTGGATTTGGGGTAAGACAGGTTAAAACGATTGTGAATACTATTAGATTATTTACTAGCTGTGTGTCTCAGTCCTTGGGCAAACTATATAACTTCTCTATGTTTCAGTTTCTGCATATGGCAAAGAAGAATACTAACAGTGCCTTTCTGCAACTGGGGAATAGTGAGGATGAAACCCATGAGATGTGTAAAACACTTGGAAGACTAGTACAGTGCACATAGTAACTGTGGTTCACCTTCTTCCTCCACAAAAAAACATTTCAAGAACAAATCGAAAGTCCAAATATTTACTGAGCACTAAAGGGCAAGAGTACTGGCTTCAGCAAGGGTCAGAGAGAAATAAGACAGTCTCTTCCCTGGGGAGCTTGTGATCAAGAAGGGTAAGAAGTCAGAAAGAAGTCCATTTTACCCAGAAAACTGTCCAAAAGCAGAACCTCAGTGCCATGAAAGGACAGTGTTCTGTGGGTCCAGAGAAGGAGGATGGGAATACATTTGGCTAGGAAGATTTTTTTTAAGTTTTCAAGAAGGTGGCACCTGAGTTGTCTCAGAAAGGCAGACATTTAACAGCCAGAGTTTGTGGAGACGGGAACGCACTCCACTCAGTGGCAGAAAAGCAGGGCTGTGCAGGGAACTGAGGAGTGGCCCAATCCAGCTGAAGCATAAGGCACATCCAGGAGGACAGCAGGAGAGGAGGCTACAAAGGAATCTTGGGCCATTCTGCAGAAGGCACCAGAAGCTGGGTCTGCAGCACTTCACTCAGTCAGCAGTTGGCTTCCCTGAAGAATGTTTTAGAAGGAATAACATGACTGAAGCTCTGCTCTAGGAAGACTCTTCTAAGGTGTGTAGGATTGCTTGGAAAGGAAGAGCATTTTGCTGGCAGAATTCACAGGACTTAACAATTGATTAAGAGAGTGAGTGGTGGCTGGGCGCGGTAGCTCACACCTGTAATCCCAGCACTTTGGGAGGCCGAGGCGGGCGGATCACGAGGTCAGGAGATCGAGACCATCCTGGCTAACACGGTGAAACCCCGTCTCTACTAAAAATAAAAAAAATAAAAAAAAATTAAAGTGAGTGAGTGGTGTGTGTGTCTAAGAGAGAGAGGAGAGTGAATGTGTGTGTGTGAAAGTGTGTGTGTGAGAGTGTGTGTGTGTGAAAGAGAGAGTGGGTGTGTATGTGTGCAGGTGTGTGTGTATCTGGGCTTTTTTTTTTTTATAAGGGAGGTGAATGGGGGAAGGCTGCCAAAGAAAAAGCTGAGAACTTCTACCTGGATAATTATAAAACAATGATGCTACTTATAACAGGCATCAGATAATCTTTTAACACTAAATTCCCTTAATCAATCTAAAATATAACTTGATTCTTGAACCCGGGAGGCGGAGGTTGCAGTGAGCTGACATCACGCCACCACACTCCAGCCTGAGTGACAGAGCAGGACTCTGTCTCAAAAATAAATAAATAAATAAAATATAATTTAACTTGATTTATAAAAACATCTACATTGTTTTCTGGAATAGTAAATAAAGGGAATAGCATTCACTAAGCACTTATGCTCAAGGATTAAATTTTCTCATCTAATCTTCACAATAAACTTATTTTATGAGCTCCATTTTATAGAGATACTGAGGCACAGAAAGGTGAAGTCACTTGCCTCAGGTCAGACATGTGAGATGTGAGCCATGGAGCCTGACTCCAGAGGCGTGGTGCTTCATCCCCACACTATACTGCTCCCAGTGCAGCCTCCTCACAGACGTAGGAAGCTATTATAATACATTTTAAACCCACCACAGGAAAACTAAACATCTTCCAAACTTCTTTCTGGCCAACATTATGTGTGGGCATTTCCTTAGTTATACAAACCGTGTACCCACTGTGTGCCAGGTACTATGCCACGCCCTGGGGAATGATAAGTTCCCGCACTATGTTCACTGTTCCAGTGTTGGAGCCAACTGATAATCAGACCCACAAAGTACAGGGTACAATGACAGAAACAGGATGTACTAGGAGCACTGAGGATACCCAAACTGTCCAGGAGGGTTAGAGAAGGAAGTGGGAGGTAAGGTGGCAAGAGATAGGAGCTACAGCAAGCTCCTTGCTGCCAAATTATCAAGTGTAAGGTAGGAGATAAAGAACGACAACCTTTTATGCCATCCATGCTAAGGATCGTGGCCTCTACCCTGTAAGCAATAAGGAAGCAACAGACGGAATTAAGTAGAGAAGCTATATATCAGATGTGTACTTTATGTAGTTCACTCTGGCAGCAATGAGGACAGATCTGAAGAAGCCGCCATCAGAGGTGAAAATACCAGTTGGCTTCTGCAGCCCCAAAGCAACTGCAAGTGGGAGCTAAGGTCCAGACTTCAGACCCTTCTCGGCTCAACTGACTGGTAATGTTACCACCTTGCATCCTGTGATCTCTCAACAGCCCTCCCTCCACCTTTCCTGTATTCCATGATAGGCAGAAATGAAAGAGATGGTATGGAAGACAACCAGTACAGGCAAAGGCAAGGGTTTGACCAGGACTAGGAACTTCTGAGAAGGGGGAAGTGACCACACTTAACGACAATTCATAGGTCAGGGATCCGTAGGAAAGAGTATATTAAAAAGCCTCACGGACAAAGATAAACAGAAAAGGCAGTCAAATATTTTTAAGTACACCCATGTTTCTGCATTTAGGATGTGTTGATACAAATGATGATATCCGAAGTCAGCATCTGAAAAGGTGTTGAAAGAATGTGCCTGAGTTTCAGGCCTTCTGAGAGCCTGCTAAAATCTGGCAAGGACAGTAAGGCCAGGAAGCACCACCCAGCTGACATGATAGTACAGCGGCACTGTGTGGCCCAGGCTGGAGTGCAGTGGAGCTACCTTGGCTCACTGCAACATCTGTTTCCTGGGTTCAAGTCATTCTCGTGCCTCAGCCTCCCAAGTAGCTGGGATTACAGGCACATACCCCCACACCCAGTTAATTTTTGTATTTTTAATGGAGGTGGGGTTCCACCACGTTGGCCAGGCTGGTCTCGAATTCCTGACCTCAGGTGATCCACCTGCCTCAGCCTCCCAAAGTGCTGGGATTACAGACATGATCCACCACGCCTGGCTAGAGTCTTTCTTAAAGGCTGCACTACTCTACCAAGCCCCATAAAAAACCTCTCCAAATCCCTGGACTTGCATACATTATAAAACTAAGAATTGGCTTGGCACGTGGCTCACACCTACAGCACTTTGGGAGGCTGAGGCAGGCGGATCACGAGGTCAGGAGATGGAGACCATCCTGGCTAACATGGTGAAACCCCGTCTCTACTAAAAATTAAAAAAAAATTAAAAAAAAAATTAGCCAGGCATGGTGGTGGGCGCCTGTAGTCCCAATTACTTGGGAGGCTGAGGCAGGAGAATGGCGTGAACCCAGAAGGCAGAGCTTGCAGTGAGTGGAGATCGCGCCACTGCACTCCATCCTGGGTGACAGAGTGAGACTCCGTCTCAAATAAATAAATGAATAATAAAATTAAAAAACCTAAGAATTTAGCTTTCATAAAATGAGTGAAGAAAAAAAAATCTTTTTTTTTTTTTTTGAGATGGAGCCTCACTCTGTCACCAGACTACAATACACTGGCGCGATCTTGGCTCACTGCAACCTCTACCTTCCAGGTTCAAGCGATTCTCCTGCCTCAGCCTCCCAAATAGCTGGGACTACAGGCGCATGCCACCACGCCCAGCTAATTTTTGTATTTTTAGTAGAGACAGGGTTTCACCATGTTGGCCAGGCTGGTCTTGAACTCCTGACCTCAAGTGATCCGCCTGCCTCAGCCTCCCAAAGTGCTGGGATTATAGGTGTGAGCCATCGCGCCTGGCCTTAAAACATCTTCTAAAGTAGAAGTTATGAGCTAAAATAAATTTCAAGTTGAGACCAGGTATGGTGGCTCACACCTGTAATTCCAGCACTTTGAGAGGCCCAGGCAGGACGTCACTGGAGTCCAGGAGGTCAAGGCTGCAGTGAGATGTGATTGTGCCACGGTACCCCAGCCTGGGTGACAAAGGAAGACCCTGTCTCAAAAAAAAAAAAAAAAAAAAAATCAAGTTGCAACTGGAATAAAGAGAAAGATAAGTTCTTCATAATCTTTTCTGGGAATACATAGAATTAGTAGCATTTATTTTAGTGTCAAGACAAAATATGTGATTGAAACAGTAATATGTTTTTGCATCTAATCAGAATAGGATATTTATAAGCTAACAAGCTCATGGTTTCTCACATACAGGACTATGCTGAAATGGTAAAGAAATTAAAAATTTTGACCAGGCGCAGTGGCTTGCACCTGTAATCCCAGCGCTTTGGGAAGCTGAAGTTGGGGGATCACTTGAGGTCAGGAGTTTGAGACCAGCCTGGCCAATATGGTGAAACCCTGTCTCTACTAAAAATACAAAAAGTGGCCAGGTGTGGTGGTGGGCGCCTGTAATCCCAGCTACTTGGGAGGCTGAGGAAGGAGAATTGCTTGAACCCGGGAGGTGGAGGTGGCAGTGAGCCAAGATCGTGCCACTGCACTCCAGCCTTCCAGCCTGGGCGACAGTGAGACCCTGTCTCAAAAAAAAAAAGAGAAATAAATAAAAAATTCCTACAGCAAATGAATTTCAATTTAGTCATCTGAAATGATGCCAAGAAACTAGCAGCTTTCTTAAGACTACCTTCCTAGTAAAAAGTGAATTATGTTGCTTAAATCAGTTGCTTTAGTTAATCATTTAAAATCTATCAAACAGGAATTCTGAGTGGTTTATATGTGCAGGTTCTGACAATCAGAAACGTTTGTTCTAACTTGTAAACATTTATCAAAGTAAGGTAAGTCTACAAATCTGTCGACAATTATGTCAGAGTGTTACAATAACTATAAATTATCCTAAGCATCCTAATGGCTTAGATTGGATAAAGAAAATTGAAGTAAATGCACTAGATTTCGACTCCTCCCAAATATACCTTGTCTCTCAGTATCCGTTAAGATCAATCTGTTAGTGGGCATGGTGGTACGAGCCTGTAATCCCAGCTGCTCAGGAGGCTGAGGCAGCAAGATCGCTTGAGCCCAGGAGGCAGAAGATGCAGTGAGCCACGATTGTGTCACTGTACTCCAGCCTGGGCAAGAGTAAGGCCTTGTCTCCAAAAAAAAAAAAAAAAAAAAAAAAAAAAAAGCCGGGGGGTGGGGGGTGGGGTGACTTTGATTTGCTGTCTTCTTAGACCACCTCCTCATTTATCTAGAGCCTCCAACATTTTTTCTGATTTGTACTCATTTATCCTTTCTTTCCCTTTCATACTGTCTATCTAAAGAGCATTTTAAAACAATCTCTGCCTTCTATTTTTAAAAATGACAAGTTTACAAGACCTAAGAATTATGGGCTATGCTTTTTTTCTTCTTTTTGAAATGGAGTCTCACTCTGTCCCCAGGCTGGAGTGCAGTGGAGCGATCTCAGCTAACTGCAACCTCTGCCTCCCGAGTTCAAGAGATTCTCCTGCCTCACCCTCCCGAGTAGCTGGGATTACAGGTGAGCACCACCACACCCAGCTAATATTTTTATTTTTAGTAGAGACGGGGTTTCCCCATGTTGGCCAGGATGGTCTCATCTCTTGACCTCGTGATCTGCCCACCTCGGCTACCCAAAGTGCTGGGATTACAGGCATGAGCCACCGTGCCCAGCCAGGCTATGCTTTCTTTAGTCATTTTAATTATTCTGTTTTTCCCCCCTTTCCTTCAACTTCATTAGATTGGTTTGTATTTCCTAGAAATTCGTATGTAAATATGTAAATAGGATCATAAAGTATGTATTCTTTTGTGTACAGCTTCTATCACTCAACAAAATGATTCTGAAATGTATTCATGTTGTTTTATATAACAATAGTTGGTTTCCTTTTATTACAGATACTCCACTTTAAGGACAGTCCACATTTTGTTTTTCCATTAACCAACTGATGGATATCTCAGTTGTTTCCAGTTTTTTAACTCTTACAAATAAAGCTGCTATGAACACGCATGTGTAAGTCTTTGTGTGGACACGTTTTCATTTCTCTTTGGTAAATATCTAGGAGTAGAATGGCTATATCATATGTTTAACTTTATAATAAATGGCCAAACAGTGTTCCAAAGTGGTTCTACCATTTCCCATTCCAATGAACGGTGTATAAGAGTCCCAGTTGTTCCACAGCTTAATTAACACTTAGTATTGGCAGTTTTTAAAAATTTTAGCTATTTTAATGGGTGTGTAGGTATATCTCATGATTTTAATTCGCTTTTCCCTAACAGCCACTGATGTTAAGTATCTTTTCATGTGCCTATCTGCCACTGGTATAATTTTACCCATGTGTTGTCTTCCTATGATTAAAAAAAAAATTTTTTTTTAATTAGCCTGATGCGGTAGCACGCACCTGTAGTCCTAGCTACTTAGGAGGCTGATGTGGGAGGATCATGAGTCCAGGAGGCTGAGGCTCCCGTGACTGTGCCACTGCACTCCAGCCAGAGCGACAGAGTGAGATCCCATCTCAAAAAAAAAAAAAAAAAAAAAAAAAAAAAGCTGGGAAAAGTGGCTCACATCTTAAATTGCAGAATTTTCGGACACTGGGGCAGGAGGATTGCTTGAGGCCAGAAGTAGTAGCCTGAGCAACATGTGAGACCCTGAGTCTATGGGTGGGGGGGAACCTTAAAATTAAGAGATCTTTATGTATTCTAAGCCCTTTATCAGATATGTGTATTACAAATATTTCCTCCCATTCTGCGGCTTGCCTTTTTGTTTTCTTAATGGTGCCATTCAAAGAGCAAAAGTTTTTAATTTTTATCAAATCCAGTATATCAGTTTTCTTTGAAACTTGCTTTTTGTATTCCCCAAAATCTTTTCTGACTCCAAGGTCACAAAGGATTTTCTCTTACAGGTTTCACTTTTTTTATTTATTTTTTACATGAAGGCAATTTATTAACAGAAAATATTTTGAGGAATCTTGTTCACAGACGGCGACCACGGTGACCCCCTTCCTGAGAGTGCTGTCAGAGGGGATGGGGGTGACGTCCTCAATCCTCCCGATCTTCATACCCGAGCAGGCAAGGGCTCTGAGGGCCGACTGGGCCCCAGGTCCAAGGGTCTTGGTCCTATTTCCTCCTGTGGCCCGGAGTTGGATGTGTAGGGCAATGATACCCAGCTCCTTGCACCTCTGGGCCACATCCTGGGTGGTCAACATAGCAGCATATGGCGAGGATTCATCTCGGTCTGCCTTCACCTTCATCCCACCAGTCACACGGCAGATGGTTTGTTTGCCAGAAAGATCCGTGACATGGACAAAAGTGTCATTGAAGGATGCAAAGATATGGCAGACACCAAATACATTCTCCCCTTCAGCCACCTGAGGTCCGAGGTTGATGACCTGTTCTTCCTTCTTTTCCTTCCCCTTTCCAGGTGCCATTTCTGCACGTCGTCTCCAGACTCCACACGGGAAAGCTCTTATAGGTTTTATAGTTTTAGCTTTTATATTTAGGTCTACGACCCTTTTAAGCGAGGCTCATTTTTTTCTCTATATGGAAACCTAGTCGTTTTAGCATGGTTTGTTGAAAAGATTTTCCTTTCTCCATTAAATTGCCTTGTCAAAAACGAATTGACCATGTATGTATGGGTCTATTTCTGGACTTTATCCTACTCTACTGATTTATATGTCCAGCTCTTCTCCAACACCACACTGTCTTGTAGCTTTACTGCAAGCCTTAAAATCAGCTAATACAAGAATCTCAACTTTGTTCTTTTTAAAAATTGGTTTGACTATTTTGGATTGTTTACATTTTCAGAGTTTAAAAATCAACTTCTCAATTTCTATAAATTTCTTTGAGAGCTACTTTTCTTGCTGGAAAAACAGAGATAATATAAACTTCCCGAGTTGCTGGGAAAGCAAAAAAGAGATAATAGTGTACCAAATATGATGGCACATTAATAGGCATTCAATTAATGTTAGCTTTCTCTTTCTCTCGGCCCTTAAATAAACAGGATCCAATCTAGCAATGCCCTAACATTTCACTAGTGGGTCAGTGGCCATAGTAAAAATATTACTACACCAAATGACTTTTATAAGTAAATATTTGTGTTTTTACTTGGATTCAATACTGAAATGCACTTGCCAAAGAAAGCAATTCAGCATATTTACTAATAAACTGTTACAGGCCACATTTTAGGAAAGCATAAAACCACAGCCAGAACAAAAATTTAAGTATGTTTTCAAGTTCCACATAGCGCCTAATTACATTATTCTGTAATACTAACAGAATCTAGAAGGTCACAATGTTCCATTATTCACATTGCTGCCGCAAATGGAAAAAGTATTTTTGGTCACATTGTTTAAATATACATAAAACAAACAAAATGTGGCTACCCAATTCAACAATTAACGTGTACTAATTTAAAACCCAAACCAATAGACAACCAAAAGCATTTGAAGTATTTAAGTATAACCTAATTGATATCACTCCATGAAATAGAGAGGTATCAGTTTGCAAACACAGGCTACCAACAGGCAATTTTTGGTGAGCCACCAATGCTTTGTGGTAACCCACATCTATCAGATGAACTGATACTTAAAGAAAAACAATAATTTGCTTTCTTTTTCCATGACTATTCAATGGCCTCTTTTAGTATTTTTTTAAACATTAAAATGGCTTCAAACAATTTAACTAGACTTGATTATTGAATGAATACACAAAATCTGCTGGTTAACTTTAATTCTAAGGCAAGTCAGCTTCTAAGTCTTTTACTGTCCTACTTTTTTTCTTTCTTTTTTTTTTTGGAGACAGAGCCTTCTTGTTCTGTCGCCCAGGTTGGAGTGCAATGGCCTGATCTTGGCTCACTGCAACCTCACCTTCCCAGGTTCAAGTGATTCTCCTGCCTCAGCCTCCTGAGTAGCTGGGATTACAGGCATGCGCCACCACACTCAGCCAATTTTTATATTTTTAGTAGAGATGGGGTTTCACCATATTGGCCAGGCTGGTCTCAAACTCCTGACCTCAGGTGACCCACCCTCCTCAGCCTCCCAAAGCGCTGGGATTACAGGTGTGAGCCACCGTGCCCAGCCCTGGCCATACTTTCGTAACAAGGAAGAAGCAAGGCCGAATCCTTTCTTTTCATAAAGATGAATGCATGATAAACCAATAACTTTCATCTGTTAACTGAGCTGCATATAATTAGAGACCTATCTCAAGACATACTAGAAATTAAGAAACTACAAAATGTTATTCCCCTCTCTGCCTCTCCTATTTGTCAAAAGCAACACCATGCTCATTTATGTAGGCTTGGCACCACCTGACTCCTCCCACTCCTGAGCCTGCATTTCAAGTTCTGTAAATATAAACTCTGTACTAGCATCATTATATCTCTCTTTTCCACTCCTGCTGCTCCCCTCTTAGTTCATGCTTCCTCTCATTTGATCAGCTCATCTTTGGCAAGATTTTGCAATAATATACTAAGCTAGCTCCCTGCCCCCACATCCTAGCACTCCAGAGAGTTATTCATTCTCATCACATCAGTGATCTTTCTGAAATCAGAAATTCAACCACGTCACTTTTCAGCTTACCATTCAATGAATTTCTTCGAATGCTAAACATAGAATTGCCACACAACCAAGCAATTCCACTCCTAGGTATATATCCAAGAGAGATGAAAACATGTCCACATAAAAACTGGGGGGCTGAGCACCATGGCATGCACCTGTAATCCAAGCTACTCAGGAGGCTGAGGCAGGAGGATCACTTGAGCCCAGGAATTTGAGACCAGCCTGGGCAAAACAGACCCCATCTCAAAACAAAACAAAAATGTGTACACTTGATCACAGCAGCATTATTCATAAAATTTAAAAGCGTAAACAAACTAAATGTCCACCAACTGACAAATGGATAAACAAGATGTAGTACAAATACACCACACAACATTATTTGGTAACAAAAAAGAATGATGAACAGATAAATGCAACAGCATGGATGAATACTGAAAACACTACCTAAGTCAAAGAAGCCGATACAAAAGACTACATATTATATAACTCTTTATGTAAAATGTCCAGCATAGGAGACTCCACAGAGACAAAAAGTAAATTGGTGGTTGCCTGGGGCTAAGGTTGGGGTGAGAGTTTGGGAATAGGAGCAGCTGCATCCAGTGTTTCTTTTGGGGGAAGCTAAAAATATTCTAAAATTAGATTGTGATAATTGCACAATTTGGTGAAAAAACTAAAATTGTACACTTTAAATAGGAAAATGTATGCCATGAAATATATCTCAACAAAGTAGTTTAAAAAATCTCCACAACTTCCTACACCCTTCCACCTTTCCTGCCTCATCTTTTGTCCCTCCCCACATAAATCCTTTAACCCCAAAGGATAAAATCTCCTGCATTAACATGTGATAGCTACAAGAATGGGGTTCACCTTCCTACCCTTGCAGCTGTAGCCTGTGATCCTAAAGGAGGGATTCTGCCACCATGAGCTTCCATTGTAAAAATGGAGAAATATCTTACAAGGATATGAGATAATGATGTAAAATATAACATGCTCAGCACCGTGCCTGGCATGCGGTTAAGTGCTCAATAAGTGATGGTCATTCTCATCATTCCCAGAAGGAACCAAAGTATCCCTCTCCTTTGGGACACCTTCAAGGAGTGAAACACACTCCCCCACCTGGTCCACCTATTAAATATCTGCATATTTTCCAAAATGGGGGTCAAATGTCCCTCATCCTTTTCACATTCCTCAAGGCAGTAAGCCCCTCGAGGGTAGGGCCAGTGCCTATTCACCTGTGTGCCACCCCCTGCCAAGGCTTACCACAATACCTGGTACTAAATTGTTTCAAGAAGTACACATTAATGATTACTATTACATATATAAACATGAATATTGATTATCAGACCTACAATAGCCACGACCCACAATAAGACCCACCTACGACCCACAATAGCCAAGATCAGGGTAAATGTGTTAATCATTTTAACTCTTTTACCTCTACTCTTCAGCGACAGCCTCCAGTTTTTATTTATTTATTTGAGACCAAGTCTCACTCTGTTGCCCAGGCTGGAGTGCAGTGGCTGCATCTTAGCTCACTGCAACTTGCTACTCCCGGGTTCCAGCGATTCTCATGCCTCAGCTTCTCGAGTAGCTGGGACTACAGGTGCGTACCACCACACCTGGCTAATTTTTTGTATGTCTAGTAGAGACTGGGTTTCACCATTGTTGGCCAGGCTGGTCTCAAACTCCTGGCCTCAAGCGATCCACCCACCTCAGCCTCCCAAAGTGTTGGGACTATAGGCATGAGCCACCACACTCAGCCTCCAGTTAATAATATTTAGTAAGTACAGGCAACGTCCTAACTGCTCTAGAGATTATCTCATTTTATCCTCACTTGCAACTACCCTCTGGGGCAAGTACTATCATTTTATAGATAAGAAAACTGAGGCTGGGAGGTATTTACTGGTACATTTATTTTGAATGAAAAAAATGAGGAAAAGAAAAACAAAATGACTGTGTATGCCACTACAGTTCACTGAATTGAATACATTCTAGGGGCTCCTTGTAAATGTCCATGGCTTGCCTTTTTTCTTGCTACTAACGGAAATCACTGTTGTGCTTGACACACCTGGCTTGCCAGGACAGTCTTTTCCAGGAAACTCTCCAGCTTTGGGACCTCTCCCTCCACCATGACATCTCCTCCCTGCCTTCATCCCAGCCAGCCCTCTGATTCATTCTCATCAATGATTTTTCTGAAATCAAAAATTCAACCATGTCACTCTTCAGCTAACCATTCAATGAATTTCTTCAAATGCTAAAATACAGAGTTGCCATACAACCTGACTTCTATTAGAATAAACTAGAATTCTAAACCAATACATGGATTAGTAAGACTAGATATTCCTTACTCTGGTCTCACATTGGAGCAAAACAAAGAGAAAAGGGACACAGCCAATTTTAAAGCTATCCAAGTCACACTAGGGATTCCCAGGACCTCCGTATGAATCCAGGAAGTGCCAGAATCAGATTTTCCTCAAAGCGTCCTCTGGCAAATCCATAGTCTGAGGACAGGCCACTGTCACACAAGCAACATCAACTTGGTCAAAAGGTCCACAGCCTGCTGGTGCAAGCCTTCGGCATTCAAGAAGAGTAAGTTGTAACAGAATTCTGAGGCAATGACAGTGTTTCTGCTTCTGTTTGTTTGTTTGTTTGTTTTGAGATGGAGTTTCAATCTTGTTGCCCAAGCTGGGGTGCAATGGCAGGATATTGGCTCACTGCAACCTCTACCTCCCGGGTTCAAGCTATTCTCCTGCCTCAGCCTCCCAGTAGCTGAGATTACAGGCATGCACCACCATGCCCGGCTAATTTTTTGTATTTTTAGTAGAGATGGGGTTTCGCCATGTTGTCCAGGCTGGTCTCGAACTCCTGACCTCAGGGGATCTGCCTAACTCGGCCTCCCAAAGTGCTGGGATTACAGGTGTGAGCCAGCGAGCCCGGCCTAGTGCTTCTGTGACCCACACCTGTAGGGCTCATAAATTCTCAAACCACAGGGAAGCAGCCCCTGGAAGTCTATGACTTTTCTCATCTCCTAAAATCTTATTTTCCTTGGGAAATTGAAAACAGACATAACCTCTCATCCAGTCCAGGGTGACAAGCCCAAGCTGAGGACATCGGCTCTGTGGAGACCAGAACGATTTAAAGTCTCCTAGGTTGATAAGACACTATGCCTTCTAGCCTCACTAATAAGAAATGTGTGACTTATTCATGCTCATGGGTACTAAGACAGATTACCCATACATACAAGGAAAATAAACACCACAGCCCTTGAACTGAGTGGATAAAGAAAGCCAGAGCATTTAATAAATCTGATAAAACTTAAAAATAAATCCATAAAATAAGCAAAACCCATTAATGACGCATTCACATAAAACTAACGGAACATGCCATTCATAAAATGTAATATTCTTCACTCCTTTTTAATTTCCTGCAATAAGGCTTTGGCACTACCACTTAAACCAACATCATCCCTCTACTTGTTTAAATACAAAAGTGCTCTCTGGTTTATGTTTCTCAGTTGACTATTCCCAAACATTTTTAATACTACTTTATTATTAAGATCTACTGACAGTTAATTTACATTCCCAGATGAAATTAAAAGTTGGTATAAGTCCCAAGAACACAAGGATACATGATCAAACATGTGAACGGGCAGAAATCTACTTTACTTGGAGTTTTTCAGTTAAATACTAATTCATTCAGTTAATAAACACACTCTGAGAAGCAAATATGGGCAGAGAACGGTCTACAAAATTCTCAGCAATACATGTCATTCATTTAACAATAATTATTGTACGCCTCCTCTAAACCAGGCGTTAGGGGATCAACAGTGAACACAACAGCCTCTGGTTCTTATGAAGTTTACATTCCAGGGAGAAGAAACAATCAAGTAAAGAAACCAATTACAAATTTCAAATGGTGAAACATGCTATTAAGAAAAATGATGTGATAAAGAATAAATAGAATACCTAGGAACTTCTTAAATGCTAACAGGGTTACTAAGGAAAAAAGACCTATCAATGTCAAACTTTATAGATGAACTAGGCAATGTATGTAGTGGCAGTGGCAGGAATAAGAATAGAGGTCAAAAAGAAGTGTAAAAATGTGACAGGAATAAAGAAAAAGAAAGCAACAAGGGCTAAAAAAGTGGAAAAAAGAGAAGTGGATGTGTAACAAGTAAGGGCCCACTGTGCCCATCACTCAGAGCTCCCTTCCAAGAGAAAGATGGGTTTTAATTTTTGCTATTGTTTTTAGATCCATGGGCTTAATTTATCAGTTCAAACCATACTAGAAATCACCTATTCTTCCACACTATTTGATACAAAATAAATAGAGGTTTTAAAACCCGAATAAGCAGGTAAAATATAACTGCTTTTCTTTTTTTTCCTTTTTCTTTTCTTTTTTTTTTTTTTTGAGAAAGGGTCTTGCTCTGTCGTCTGGGCTGGAGTGCAGTGGTGCGATCACAGCACACTGCAGCCTCAACCTCTAGGCTCAAGAGATCCTCCCACCTCAGCCTCCCAAGTAGCTGGTACCATAGGCGTATGCCACCACACCCAGCTAATATATATATTTTTTGCTGCAATGGGTCTAACTATGTTGCCCAGGCTGGTCTCGACCTCTTGGGCTCAAGTGATCCTCCCACCTTAGACTCCCAAAGTGCTGGGATTATAGGCATGAGCCACTGTGCCTGGCCTAGAACTGCTTTTCTTAAGATAGTAATGGGGGCAAGGGTATTTATAAATAAATGCCTCTTCCTACAGGACAAAATCATATGATAATTTTCTATTAAGATATTATTCAAGCCTCAGGGTGAAAAGATCCTTGAAGATTACTTTTTTAAAGGACCACTGCCTAAAGTACAGGCTTAAGAAAGCTATTTAACTCAGCTATACAACACCTATGCTAAACACGAGTGATTATAATAGTCATCGTACAGCAAACAGGTGGGAAAATAACCCTGGTGAACCCTGGAAGCAAAACACTTTAGGTATAAGACAACCAAACAGAGAAGGACTCACAGAAGTTGCTGTGCATTCACCATGGCTTCCCTTCAGTCTTTGCCAAGCCAGAGTATGAAATTATCAAGATGGACCAGGTGTGGTGGCTCATGCCTGTAATCCTGGCACGTTGGGAGGCCAAGGTAGGTGGATCGTTTGGACCCTGAGTTCAAGACCAGCCTGGGCAACATGGTGAAACCCCATCTCTACAAAAAATACAAAAGTTAGATGGGTATGGTGGTGCGTACCCACAGTCCCAGCTACTCAGGAGGCTGAGGTGGGAGGATCACCTGAGCTCTGGAGGTCAAGGCTGTGGTGAGCTGTGATTGCACCACTGCACTCCAGACTGGGTGACAGAGTGAGACCTTGTCTTAAAAACAACAAAAACCCACAGTGAAATTATCAAGATGGAGCTGAAAGCCTGCATTGGCCTTTTCTTCCTGTCTATGTCTTCCACCAAACCTCTTACCTATCTTATGACAGGCTGCCATTCCCTGAGTCTCCATCTCCATTTTGAAATACCAGAAAAGCAAGCAGCCAATGAGGTTTAAAGAGTTCCAGAACCTCACTACCCAGAGAAAACAGGAAGCAACACGCTCACTATAGAAGAGCGTACACCTTCATGGTTTCAAAGACGACTCAGACTAAAGCCTCCCTTACTTCTTCTCTCTTCCGCCCTCTCTCTCAGCCCATCACCAACAGGACAACTCCCTTATTTCACAGATGGGAAAAAGTTTGAAATTTCTCAAATATGCCCATTTATTCCAGTCTAACAGGTCAGACTTTTATCACCTCACAATCACAGTACTGCTAGTTTCCTCTGCTCCAAATTCATTCTGCCAGAACAATCATACTAAAATTTCATTTACTAGGTTGGTGCAAAAGTAACTGTGGTCTTTGCCAATTTTTTTTTTAATGGCAACCTAATATATTACGTCAATTCCCTGTTGAGGGCAGTGAAATGTCTTATGCTTCTCTATTTGCCCGCTGACTGACCCACAGCTCAATAAATATTTGTTGCTTGAAACCATCCCATGATTACCCACCAGCCTATGCCTAGTGAGCCCTGGAAGCAATAGATTTTTAAGGCAGAGGTGCTGAATACGCAGAAAGCATGTGAAAAAGTCAACAGGCAACTCAAACACCTCCAAGATAAAATGGAATCTCTCTAAGACATTTCACAGTTCTGACTCCACCTAAACCAGCCTCTCTGCACTGAAATTAGGATGCCTGGGTTCTAATCCCAGCTCCTCCACTTCTGGATATTTAACCTCTCTGCGCTTCGATTTACTCCTCATAAAAATCCAACTTGACCTTTGCTTAAGTTCTTCTTCCATCCTACCTGACTATTCAATCCCAAGCCATTCTACAAAGGTCAGTTGAAGGCCCTTCCACACTCTTATTGAATGACCTCAGCCCATCCCTTCAGTCACTTAATATACAACCCTACAGCAAAAGAGTCTGAATCACTCATTTTAACTTATACCTGAGATCGTACATCACCTTGCCTCATTTAATTACTCCACATGTATATGCTGCACCCCTATCAACGTTCTACGCATGAGAGACAGAGTGACACTATTCACTGCCTCACGTGGTCTTCAGTAGCACAATAATATTAATATCAACAACTATTGGCTGGGTGCAGTGGCTCAAGCTTGTAATGCCAGCACTTTGGGAGGCTGAGGATGATGGATCACTTAAGCCCAGAAGTTTGAGACCGGCCTGAGGAATATGGCAAAACACCGTCTCTACCAAAAAATACAAAAATAGTTGAGCATGGTGGCACACACCTATAGTCCCAGCTACTCAGGAGGCTGAGGTGGGAGGATCACTTGAGCCCAAGGAGACAGAAGTTGCAGTGAGCCGAGATCCCACCACTACACTCCAGCCTGGGTGACAGAGCGAGACCCTATTTCAAAAAATAAAAAACAACTACTATGAGTGTGGCGCATTGGCTCATGCCTGTAATCCTGGCATTTTGGGAGGCTGAGGCAGGAGGATCGCTTGAGCCCAGGAGTTAAAAGACCAACCTGGGCAACATAGGGAGACCCTGCCTGTATAAAAAAAATAAGTTAATTAAAAATAAATATAAATAAAATACATTAAAAAATTTTAAAAGCCAGTTATTATGACTACCATTACTGTATACATAAAGCACCAGGCACTGTGCTAAGTAGCTTATGTATTTTTCTGTCCTTTACTTTTTTTAATACTTTCAGGTAAATCTCTTTTGATCACCATTTCGTAGTTGAGAAAGAGACTTTACCCAAAGCTACAAAATTAGTAAGGATGGGCGAGAAGAGTGAGAGTGGATGATTCGAACTCAGCTCTGTCTACCTCCAAAGCCCCTTCTTCTTCTTCTCCTTTTTTTTTTTTTTAAGGGAAGGGTCTCACTTTGTTTCCCAGGCTGGTCTCCAACTCCTGATCTCAGGCGATCCTCCCGCCTCGGCCTCCCAAAGTGCTGGGATTACAGGCCTGAGCCACTTCGCCCAGCTCAAAGCCCTTTCTTAACTATATGACATTGCCTAGTAACTACTTTGGTCATTTCATAGCTAGGTGTTAAGTCTTCTCTCTGAACTGCAAGCTGTTAACAGTAACAAAACAAAAGTGACTGTTTAGTCGCTTCCAAAATAACCCATTCCTAAGTGATCCATATTCAAGCCTTTAAACAAACTAACTCATTTAATCCTCCCAACGACTCCATGAGATAGTAATAATTATTACTGCCGATTTCCAAATAGGAATCAGGCACAGAAAAGTTAAATAACTTGCCCCAAATCACTTGACTGTAAGTGCTGAATTCAGAGGTGAAATGGTAACTTATAAACTGTTTCATTTATTGACTCACTCTCAACAATTTTTATTAAGCACTCTTTTAGGGGCTGGGGATGGGGCAGTGACTAAACCAGAAAACATCCCTGCTCTCATGGAGCTTACAATCTTATTCCTCAATGTTTTCATTCAAAGACACAATCCTAAATCCTCTTAAATACCCTAAGATTACCACACAAAAATATCACATTTGGGTAACAAAAATTAGCATCGAAGAAGGAACATGGGACTTGACCCCAGAAAAGCTGGGTAAAATCCCTAATTTTGCCATTTGTTAGCTGTGACCGTGGGCAAATTCCTTCACCTGACTCTCCATTTCACGGCCTGTAAAAAGATTATTTCGCACAATGAAGACAATATACGCTCAATAAACGAGTTTCCTTTCTCCTCCCCACCATACAGTGACTTCATAATTTGTGCCGTCACTGAGCACGTGTTAAAGGACTACGCAGAAAAACTTAACGTGAACAACTTCTTACTTTCCAGCGCAATTCTCATTCCAGATCATCACCCCTCTAAGTTCAGGCCCCAGACTACTCTGATTCAAATAAATCAGGTGGCAAGTCGGGAATGACAGCAACTCGCATCAGGGCCTGGCGGTGTCTATGAAATGCTCCAGGTGACCTTCTCCAGAAGGCACTTTGGTTTCCGCCGGGGAGCAGCGTGGCCTCCTGAGCCGGTTCCCCGCCGCGTGCCGGGGAATGCACCACCCGGGAGGAGAACCCCGCGGCTCCGGCACGAGGGTGTGCCCCGACACTGTCTTCCACTCAAGAGCTCTGCGACTCTCCTGCCACCTGCCAACCCCGACCACCTCCTCCGGGCTGCAACTCCACCCCGCACCCGGGCTGCTGCTCCGGCTCCTCGGGTCTGTGCCCGCCGCCCGAGTGACCTCCCGCCGGGGCCCGGGCGGCTCGCCCTGGCCGGAGGGGCCGGAAAAGGCCGAGAGGCCTGACCTCCCGTGGGGCTTCCCTTCCTTCCTCCTGGGCAGCGCAGCCTGGAGCCAGCAGCTCTGCACCGGCCGGGCCTGCTGGGGCGAAAAGCCCCTTACCTATCTTCACGACCGCATCCGCCAGACACCGGTCCCACTTCCTGCCGAGCTCCGACTCAGACATGTTCCCCACCCGCGCCTCCAGCTTTCCTCTCGGCCGGCCCCCGCGCTCCGACCCCTGAAAGTCTCGCGAGAGCTGGAAACAAGTCCCAGGTCAGGAAGGCAGGCGCAGACGCTCCAGATATCGCGAGATGATCCGCTGCTTCCATCCCTTCCGGTTTTTTCAGTTGGTCGTCAAGGTGACGAGTTGTCTGGAGGCTCGAGGTGACCCTGACCTTGGGGCTGCGCCTATGGGTTTGCGAGGCTGACAGTTTCCTAGGCGTCACCCCAAGCCGTGACCAGGCCTTTCCTCCTCACCAAAGTGCGACATTGGCCCTGGAAATCCCCCGGGCAAGAGAGGGTACAGACTTGATTTATTCATTCATTAACGTACTCACCTTCACTTTCCCTACTCACTCTCTCATTCGTTCACTGGTTTCTTGCATTGGAATTCCCGCCTGAACCACTAACACCGAAACTGCTCTGGGAAAGATTACCTACCGCCAAATCAAATGGACTCTTTTCTGACCTCTGTACCGCATTCCACACAATTTTCCCTCCCTCTGATCCTCCCTGGCTCCTCTATTCGTTTCACTCCCGGTAACGCCACTCTTTCCTCTTCTCCCCATCTGCTGTTGTCTGTTGGTTTCCTCCAGGGCTGCCTTTTCTCTGCCAGCTGTTTAAGGACTGTTGGTTCGCAAGCTTCCATCAATTCTCTTTTCACTGTACAGACTCTCCCTGAGTAATTGCAAACACTGCCAAATTATATCTCCAGGTAAAACGTCTACCTCAGGCCTCCTATCCATGTATATATTTACACACCCACCCACACACACACACACATACACATACATACACAGGGTGCCCTCTGTATCTGTGGGTTTTGCATCCATGGATTTAACCAACCATGGACCAGAAACATTTTTGAATCAAATAAAAAATAATGCAAAATTTAAAATACAGTACAACTATTTACCTAGGATTTACATTGTATTAGGTATTATAAGTAACCTAGAGATGATTTAAAGTATATGGGAGCCAGCGCAGTGGCATGCGACCGTAGTCCCAGCTACTTGGGAGGCTGAGATGGGAGGATTGCTTGAGACTAGGAGTTCGACTTCATCTCTTTAAAAAAAAATAAGTAATTTTAAAAAAGGATATGTAAGCATGTGTGTAGGTTGTATGCAAATACCACGCCATTTTATATATGGGACTTGAGCATCCTGCATTTTGGTAACTGCGAGATCCTGAAACCAAATGCCCACAGCTATCAAGAGAGATTGTATATCCAGCCTACTGGCTAGTGTCATTGATTTTAGTCTTCCATCCTACCAACAAATAGAAATCTGACCACGTTATGCCTCTGATTAGAAGCTGTCAATGAAGGCCGAGAGCAGTGGCTCACACCTGTAATCCCAACACTCTGGGAGGCTGAGGCGGGAGGATTGTTTGAGGCCAGTAGTTCAAGACCAGCCTAGGCAGCATAGTGAGACTCCTGTCTCTACAAAAAATTTAAAAAATTAGCCAGGCTAATGTGATGTGTGCCTTTAGTCCCAGCTACTTAGGAGGCTGAGGTAGGAGGATCACTTGAGCCTGGGAAGTGGAGGCTACACTGAGCCATGTTCATGCCACTGCACTCCAGCCTGGGCATCAGAGTGATACCCTATCACAAAAGAAAAAAAAAAAAAGCTGTCAATGACTCCCATTCATACACTGGATCTATCCAAGCTTCAACACTGCACTGATTCTAGGAAGCCTAGTCAGATAGAGCTTAGAGCTGCCTTCCCCTTCTCATTGTCCCACTACCCTGCCTACCCGCATTGATTTCTCTATCTAGTACTGAAACATCTGGTTGTAGATATTATCTGCTAGTAGAACTAGAAGTTGCCCCTTCGTCTTCATACTTCCAGTCAGAGCACAATGCCTTGGATAGTAGGGTCTTCTATGAAATATTTGTTGAACTGAATTGAATTTATTCACCTATTTATTTGTTTATTTATTTATTGAGAGAGAGTCGCGCTCTGTTGCCCAGGCTGGAGTGCAGTGGCACGATCTCGGCTCACTGCAACCTCTGCCTACTGGGTTTGAGCAATTCTTCTGCCTCAGCCTCCAAAATAGCTGGGATTACAGGCGCCCACCACCACGCCTGGCTAACTTTTTGTATTTTTTTAGTAGAGATGGGGTTTCGCCATATTGGCCAGGCTGGTCTTGACTCCTGGCCTCAAGTGATCCACCCACCTTGGCCTCCCAAAGTGCTGGGATTACAGGCATCGTTCAACTATTTATTTGCAACTATGACAGCAAAACTCTGTTGTATCAGATCTTGCTACGACAGCCTCTTCCTTCAAGATAACTTCTATGACCACCCTTCCCTTCTCCTAGTTCTCTATTTTTTTAAATTATTCTTTCTTTTTTTTTTTTTTTTTGAGACAGAGTCTTGCTCTGTCACCCAGGCTGGAGTGCAGTGGCATGATCTTGGCTCACTGCAACCTCTGCCTCCCAGGTTCAAGAGATTCTCCTGTCTCAGCCACCTGAGTAGTTGGGATTACAAGCACGTGCCACCACCCCCAGCTAATTTTTGTATTTTTAGTAGAGATGGGGTTTCACCATGTTGGCCAAGCTGGTCTTGAACTCCTGACCTCAGGTGAACCACCCACCTCAGCCTCCCAAAGTGCTGGGATTACAGGCTTGAGCCATCATGCCCAGCCCTATTTTTCCTATTCTTTAAATTTTTCTTTGCTTTTCCTTTTTTATAGAGGTGAGGTTTTGCTATGCTGCCCAGGCTGGTCTCGAACTCCTGGGCTCAAGCCATCCTCCCACTTTGTCCTCCCAAAGTACTAGGATTATAGGCCTGAACCACCATGCCCAGCCCCTTCTAATTCTCATCACAGCTACTTATCAGATGATTTGTGTTTTTAATAATTGTTTGTAATTTTAACAATTATTTGTGTGTCTTTTGGATTTTGACTGTGAGCAAATTGAGAATGGAGGCCGTGCCATTTCTGTATCCCTAATGCTTAGCAGAGAGCTTGGTATATATCGGATTCTCAATAAATGCTTGTCGAATGGACATAAAAATTAATAAATAAGGCCGGGCACGGTGGCTCACGCCTGTAACCCAGCACTTTGGGAGGCCGAGGCGGGTGGCTCACAAGGTCAGGAGATCGAGACCATCCTGGCTAACACGGTGAAATCTTGTCTCTACTAAAAATACAAAAAATTAGCTGGGCATGGTGGCGGGCGCCTGTAGTCCCAGCTACTCGGGAGGCTGAGGAAGGAGAATGGCGTGAACCAGGGAGGCAGAGCTGGCAGTGAGCCAAGATGGCGCCACTGCACTCTGGCCTGGGCGACAGGGCAAGGATCTGTCTCAAAAAAAAAAAAAAAAAAGAATAAATATATGAACAAATGATTTAATTAATCAGAAAGAGAAAAAGTCCCTGTTCTGGGGAAACTGTGTAGTGTAACATTTCTGTTGAAAAAGAAAGAAAATAAACTTCACTAAAATACCTATCACATGGCTGGGTGCAGTGGCTCATTCCTGTAATCCACTTTGGGAGGCCGAGGCAAGAGGATCACTTGAGCCCAGGAGGTCAAGGCTGTAGTGACCGTGATGGTGCCACTGCACTCCAGCCTGGGTGACAGAGCGAGACCCTGTCTCTAAATAAATAATACCTATGGTGTGTCATAAATAGCTGCAGGCACTTCGCATAATTTCATTTATTCTCACAGCAGGTCAAGATTAGCATCTTCGTTTTCAGATTTGGAAACTGAGTCTCCGAGAAGTTAAGCAACACAGAAGATGCACAAAGCTCCACGTTGTGTAGATTTAAAATTGACAAAGGCATTTTTATTGGATTCAAGAGAGTTGTAAACTCTTGCAAAAGGTAGAGAGCAAATTACAAAAGCAATCAGAGGCAGATGTGATAGCATGAATCTGGAGCCAGGCTCTCTGGGTGCAGATCCCAGCTTTCCCATTTCCTAGCCTTCTTTCTATTGTTCTGTTTTCCCACCATTCCTTCCCCAATACAATGTTTTGTTCACTGCTATATCCCTAGCCCTATAAGATTATCTCACACATAGTGTCTGCTTGATAAATATTTGTTGGTTGAATGAATAAGATGAATGAAAACTCTGGAGTTTTTGTACTTCTTGAAGAACAAAGATTAATACAAGTGGGGAAAAATATTTTTTTAAAAACTCAGCAATACACTCATTATAAACTTAGTTACATTCAAAATGATTAAAAATAGGTTTCTCATTGCTGGGGTTACAAACATGGAAAGGAGGAAAGCTGCAAAGAACTCTATGCTGTTGGATTGGAATTGAAGGTGTCAGTATGACCTCATAGTGTTTAATATAATAAAGATAAGAAAGTACTCAGAGGATGATAGTGACATGTCGAAGTATTTTATTTACTTATGTTATTTAGAGACAAAATATCATTCTGTTGCTCAGACTGGAGTGCAGTGACACTATCATAGATCACTGCAGCCTCGAACTCCTGGGCTCAAGCAATCCTCCCACCTCAGCCTCCCAAGTAGTTAGGACAACAAGCACATACCACCTGGCCTGCTATTTTATTTTATCATTATCATTATTATTATTATTATTTGAGACAGAGTCTGTCTCTGTCACCCAGGCTGGAATGCAGTGACGTAATCTCGCTCACTGCAAGTTCTACCTCCCAGGCTCAAGTGATCCTCCTAGCTCAGCCTCCCAAGTAGCTGGGACTACAGGTGCACACCATCACATCTGGCTGATTTTTGTATGTTTTGTAGAGATGGGGTTTCACCATATTGCCCAGGCTGGTCTCGAACTCCTGAGCTCAAGCAGTCTTCTCACCTTGGCCTTCCAAACTGCTGAGGTTATAGGTGTGAGCCACTGCGCCCAGCCCAAACTGATTTAGTAACTACAAACTGCCTAAAATAGTGCTTGGCTCCTAATTGGAATTCTGTAATTCATTATTATTATAGCACTGCTCTTAATTGTCTGGAACAGGTTTCACAAAGATAGAAGTTTACATTTCAAATGAATAAAGACAGACTCCTGTAAGAGGAAGAGAGCCAACATCTTTTTACACTGTATTGAAGAAAAATAAAAAACCAAAGTCTGTCACTTGAATAGGCTAGACTTTAGCCTCAACTGGTTAATCAACTAAACATAAACTCTTTGTTTGGTTTACTAGGTTGTAAATTCAGCTTCCTTAACGTCGCAGATTAGAATGTTCTACACCACAGCACCTGCATAAATAAAGGTCTTTTAGATGCCAGTGATTTTCTTCATGGTTTCTCTTCAATTAAAAACTAATGTCTTAGGCTGGGTGCAGTGGCTCACACCTGTAATCTGAGCGCTTTGGGAGGCCAAGGTGGGAGGATCGGTTGAGCCCAGGAGTTCAACACCGACCTGGGCAACATAGGGAGACTCTGTCTCTACAAATAATAAAAACATATAGCTGAGTGTGGTAGTGCACACCTAGAGTCCCAGCTAGTTGGGAGGCTGAGGCAGGAGGATCACTTGAGCCCAGGAGGTCTGGGTTGTAGTGAGCTGTGATCATGCCACAGCATTCCAGCCTGGGTGACAGAGCAAGACCCTGTCAAAAAAAAAAAAAAAAAAAGAGAAAAGAAAAGGAAAAAAAAACCTCTAATTCCTTTCTTAAAGAAGAGTCACATTTTTTTGTTGTATTTCATATCTTCTTTTTCCAAGAGGGGTCCTATATCATTTTGTCCCTTCAGGAATGTGTTCAGAGTCAAAATCTACTACATAGCTGCTTTGTTTGGTTCCAAAGCCCAGGGACCCCCTCCCCTTTTTAATGTATGTGTATGTATGAAATATTCCAAGCATTCGGAAAAGTGCTAAGAACATGGCCAGGTGCGGTGGCTCACGCCTGTAATCCCAACACTTTGGGAGGCCAAAGTTGGAAGATCTCTTGAGTCCAGGAGTTTGAGACCAGCCTGAGCAACATAGTGAGACCTTGTCTCTACAAAAAAATCAAAAAAAGAGGCGGGAGGATAGCTTGGAGAAGGGAGGATAGCTTGAACCGGAGGTTGAGGCTGCAATAAGCCGTGATCACATCACATCACAGCACTCCTGCCTGGGTGACAGAATGAGACCCTGCCTCAAAAAATAATAATAATAAATACATTAATTAATTAAAAATTAGTCAGGTGTGGTGACGAGTTGCTGTAGTCTCAGCTACTTGGGAGGCTGAGTCCAGAGGATTGCTTGAGTAAAAGAGTTCAAGGTTGCAATGAGTTATGATCACGCCACTGCACTTCAGCCTGAGCAACAGAGCTTGACCCCATCTCAAAAGAAAACATAAATACAGCTTAACAAATTGTTGTAAAATGAACATGACTAGCACCCCAGAAGACCCTTCTCTGCATTTCCTTCAGCAGATCCAAACTGCTCCCTCCTTGCCAAGGCAGGATAGCATAACCACTATCTCGACTTTTTTTTTTTCCCCAGACAGAGTATCACTCTGTTGCCCAGGTTGGAATGCAGTGGTGCAATCAAGGCTCACTGCAGCCTCGAAGCCTCCTGCCTCCAACTCCCAAGTAGCTGGGGCTACAGGCACGTGCCAGCATGCCTGGCTAATTTTTTGCTTTTTACTTTTTGTAGAGACAGGGACTTGCTGTATTGCCCAGGCTGGTCATGAATTCCCGGGCTCAAGTGATCCTCCCATTTCAACCTCCCAAAGTGCTGGGATTATAGAAGTAATCCACAGCACCTGGTATATCTTGACTTCTATGTTATTCATTTCCTTGTTTTTCTTTAAGTGTTGCTACCTGGTTATATATCCTTAAACAATATAGTTTAATTTTGCCTAATTTTGAACTTTGCTTAACTGGAATCATACAGTCTGTATGTTATGGTATTCAGCTTCTTTTCCTCATTAGTATCCATGCTTCTGTATGTAACTATAGTTCGTTCTTTTTCGTTGCTATATCATATTCCATTATATGCTGTCCACAATGTATTTAGTCTATTGTCCATGGATATTTGGGTTGTTTCCAGCTTGAGGCTTCTTTTTTTTTTTTTTTTTTTTGAGACTGAGTCTCCTTCTGTTGCCCAGGCTGGAGTGCAGTGGCGTGACCTCGGCTCACTACAACCTCCGCCTCCCAGGTTCAAGTGATTCTCCTGCCTCAGCCTCCTGAATAGCTGGGACTACAGGTGCCCACCACCACACCCAGCTAATTTTTGTATTTTTAGTAGAGACACCGTTCAGCTATGTTGGCCAGGCTGGTCTCAAACTCCTGACCTCAAGTGATCTGCCCGCCTCGGCCTCCCAAAGTGCTGGAATTACAGACATGAGCCACTGTGCCTGGTCTCAGCTTGAGACTGTTGCCAACAAGTCTTCTCATTCTTCTATGAATATCCTGATATACACTGGCATTTATATACATATAGGCAGGATCTCATTCTGTTACCCATGCTGCAGTGCAGTGGCATAGTAGGCTTACTGCAGCTTCAACCCCTCAGGCTCAGGCAATCCTCCTGCCTCAGCCTCCCAAGTAGCTGGAACCACAGGTGGTGCATGCCACCATCCCTGGCTAATTTTTATATTTTTTTTGTGTGGAGACATGGTTTTGCTATGTTGCCCAGGCTGGTCTCGAATTCCTGGGCTCAAGGGATCCACCATTCTCAGCCTCCCAAAATGCTGGGATTACAGGTGTGAGCCACCACGCCCGGCTCAATGGGCATATATTTTTATAGAATATGTAAGTCAGGAGGGCGATAGGGTATGTATACCTTCAGCTTCACTTGATACTGCCAAACTTTATCCCAAAGTGATTGTACCAATTTACATTGTCCCCAGCAGCATATGACCATTCCTGTTACTCCATGTCCTCACCAACAGTTAGGCTGTAATGATACTTTAGTATTGTTGCCAGTCTGGTAGGTGTCTGCTAGTATCTCATTGGGGTAGTGCTTGCTCTTTCCTGTGAGTGAGCTACTAGTCATGTACTCTGAATATATAATGTAGCAGGACTGGGGGATTCCAATCAAATCAAAGAGGCCCTGAAAGAGAAGGGAAATTGACAGAGACATTTTGCTAAAGTGATGCCTTGCCAACTTGAAGAAGGTGTGCTGGGTTCAATAGTGTCCCCCCAAATTGATGTCCTTCCTAGAACCTCACAGTGTGGCCTCATTTGGAAATAGGGTTGTTGAAAATGTAATTAGTTGGCTGGGTGCGATGGCTCATGCCTGTAATCCCAGCACTTTGAGAGGCCGAGGCGGGCAGATCACCTGAGGTCAGGAGTTCGAGACCAGCCTGGCCAACATGATGAAACTCCTCTCTACTAAAAATAGAAAAATTAGCTTGGCATGGTGGCTTAGCTTGGCATGGTGGCAGGCGCCTGTAATCCCAGCTACTAGGGAGGCTGAGACAGAAGAATCACATGAACCCAGGAGGCAGAGGTTGTAGTGAGCCGAAATTGCACCACTGCACTCCATCCTGGATGACAAAAGCAAAACTCTGTGTCAAAAAAAAAAAAGTAATTAGTTAAAATTAGGCCAGGTGCTGTGGCTCACACCTATAATCCCAGCACTTTGGAAGGCCGAAGTGGGAGGATCACTTGAGTCCAGGAGTTTGAGACCAGCCTGGGCAATATAGTGAGACCTTGTTTGTACAAAAAATGTTAAAAATTAGCCAGGCGTGGTGGTGCATGCCTATAGTCCCAGCTTCTTGGGAAGCTGAGGTGGGAGGATCACTGGAGCCCAGGAGGCAAGGGCTGCAGTGAGCTAAGATCACACCACTACTACTGCACTCCAGCCTGGCGATAGTGAGACCCTGTCTCAAAAAAAAAAAAAAAAAAAAAAAGATTAGCTCATACTGGAGTGAGATGCACACTAAACCAAAAAGACTGGTGTCCCCATAAGAAAAGAAGAAGAAACACAAAAACAGAGAAGATGACCCTGTGACAACACAGGCAGATAATTTGGCTTATGTGGATATAAGCCAAGGAAGACCACGGATCGCCAGCAAGCACCAGGCGCCAGAAGAAAGGCATGGAACGGATGCTCTCTCTGAGTCCCCTGAAAGGAATCAGTCCTGCTGACGCCTTGACTTTGGCCTTCCAGTCTTTGGAACTGAGAAACACTATAATTCTGTTGTTTCAAAGCCACCAGTTTGTGGTCCTTTGTTATGACATCGTGAGAGAACTAACACAGCAGGGAGCACACTGGATTGAAGATCATGAGAGCTGCACCCCAGTCTCCACTCTGCCGTTAACTGCTGGTTCTGCACATGTAGTCATGCCTGTCTTACCAGGTGGGCCTTTCTGTGGACTCACCTCTTTAGATTCGTTCTTTCTTTTTTTTTTTTTAAGTCAGAGTCTCACTCTGTTGCTCAGGCTGGAGTGCAGTGGCATGATCTTGGCTCTCTGCAACCTCCGCTTTCCAAGCTCAAGCAATTCTCCCACCTCAGCCTCCTGAGTAGCTGGGATTACAGGCATAAGCCACCATCACACCTGATTTTTTTGTGTGTGTGTGGAGACCGTATTTTGTCATGTTGCCCAGGCTGGGCTCAAGTGATCCCCTGCCTCAGCCTTCCAAAGTGCTGGGATTATAGGCATGAGCCACCAAGCCCAGCCTCTTCAGATTCCTGTATAGTAAGTCATGTACCGCATAATGCCGTTTCTGTCATCTGCAATCTAATGGTGGTCCCATAAGATTATAATACTGTATTTGTACTGTACTTTTTCTGTGTTTATATATGTTTATGGCCAAGCGTGGTGGCTCACGCCTGTAATCCCAGCACTTTGGGAGGCCATGGCGGGTGGATCACCTGAGGTCAGGAATTCAAGACCAGCCTGGTCAACATGGTGAAAACCCGTCTTTACTAAAAATACAAAAATTAGCCAGTCGTGGTGGTGCATGCCTATAATCCCAGCTACTCGGGAGGCTGAGGCAGGAGAATCACTTGAACCCAGGAGGTGGAGGTTGCAGTGAGTAGAGATGGTGCCACTGTACTCCAGCCTGGGCGACAGAGTGAGACTCTGTCTCAAAACAAACAAAAAAACAAACAAAACTGTATTTTTACTGTACTTTTTCTATGTTTAGATATGTTTAGGTACACACTTTCTATTGTGCTACTATTGCCTGCAGTATTCAGTACAGTAACACGTTGTACCGGTTTGCAGCCTAGGAGCAATAGGCTCTGCCATAGTCTGGGTGTGTAGTAGGCTGGAGCATGAAGTACACTCCATGATGTTTGCATGACGACAAGGTCGCCTAACAGCGTGTTTCTCAGCATATATCCCTGTGTTTAAGTGACTCATGAATGTGCTTGCTGCCTCCCCTTGGACCTTCGGGCCTAAGGCTGGGAAGGGCTCCCACTGTTACTAACTCTAGGGTACTGCACCATTCCTCGCTGCTTGTAAATAGCCCTTTTATTAAACTCTCATCCATTTTTCACCTTTATTTATCTTTTTTTTTTTTTTTGAGATGGAGTCTTACTTCATCACCCAGGCTGAAGTGCAGTGGCACCAGTGGCACCATCTTGGCCACTGCAACCTCCACCTCCCAAGTTCAAACGATTCTCCTGCCTCAGCCTCCCGAGTAGCTGGGACTGCAGGTGCACGCCACCATGCCTGGCTAATTTTTTTTGAATTTTTAGTAAAGACAGGGTTTCACCATGTTGGCCAGGCTTGTCTTAAACTCCTGACCTCAGTTGATCTGCCCGCCTTGGCCTCCCAAAGTGCTGGAATTACAGGTGTGAGCCACCGTACCCGGCCTATCTATCTATCTATCTATCTATCTATCTATCTATATCTATATCTATTGAGACAGGGTCTCACTCTATCTACCCAGATTGGAGTGCAGTGGTGCAATCTTGGCTCACTGCAGCCTCAACCTCCCTGGCTCAATGATCCTCCCACTTCAGCCTTCTGAGTAGCTGGGACCACAGGTGCAAGCCACCACCCCAGGCTAATTTTTTTATTTTTATTTTTTTGTAGAGGCTGGGTCTCCCTATGTTGCCCAGACTGGTCTCGAATTCCTGGACTCAAGTGATCCTCCTGCCTTGGCCTCCCAAAGTGCCAGGATTACAAGTGTGAGCCACTGTGCCCTGCCTCTCCTCCATTTCCTTTGTGTTTTTAAATATTTATTAATGTATGTATTTATGTTTCTTCTCCCATGCCCTTCAGGGATGAATACTTCCCAGTTTGAATGTGCCACCTGTTTCCTGCCAGGACCCTGACTGCTACATCTATGAGAGGTCCTTGCCCTGCCCCATTCCCTCCCTAGCCCCACTCCCCTCTGTTTCCTTCATGTTACATACCACAATTTCCAATTATCTCCTCTATTTGTTATTCCTCCCACACCCGCTGTTTCTCCCACTAGACTGTAAGCTCCATGAAGGCAGGGACTTCATCAGTTCTGTTATCATTATATTCCTAGTTCCTTGCAGTGTCTGGTACATTGTAGGCATTTAATCAATATTTCTTGAATGAATGAATTGGGAGCAGGAATTCTATATTTTTTACATCTTTAGTATTAGCCATGGCAAGTATTCAGTGGTGCATAACTGATGTGGTTTTTTGGTTTGTTTGTTTGTTTGTTTAGACAGTCTTGCTTTGTCACCCAGGCTGGAGTGTAGTGGTGTGATCTCAGCTCACTGCAACCTCCGCTTCCTGGGTTCAAGCAGTTCTCCTGCCTCAGCCTCCCAAGTCGCTGGGATTACAGGTGCACACCACCACAGCCGGCTAATTTTTGTATTTTTAGTAGAGATGGGGTTTCTCCATGTTGGTCAGGCTGGTCTTAAACTCCTGACCTCAAGAGATCCACCCATCTCGGCCTCCCAAAGTGCTGGGATTACAGGCATGAGCCATTGTGCCCAGCTTCAACTGATGTTCTATGTTCTCACATGGCCCTACCCTTGAGGCCAGAAGGTCTCAGTGTAGGACACAAGCTTGAGTTAGAACCAAAGTGGGTTTAAATGTGGCCTCATGTACAGTATGTGTTTAAATTAACCTTAGAGAGAGTTTGAGCTGAGGAAATGCTTGGAAAGGTGTGTTTGAAGGTGGAATTTCTCATTTCCCACATTTAAAGGTGCACATAAATAGATTTGTGAGACAGCATGAGTTTGACGCAAATAGCATCACTGAATTAGTTTAGATTTAAGTATGTGAGCTTTAGAGTGAGTCAGTGAAAGTTTAAACATTATACCTTGAGGCCAGGTGCAGTGGCTCACGCCTGTAATCCCAGCACTTTGGGAGGCCGAGGCAGGAGGATTGCTTGAGTTCACGAGTTCCAGATCAGCCTGAGCAAGATGACAAAACCCCATCTCTACAAAAAAGCACAAAAATTAGCCAGGCATGGTGGTGTGCACCTGTACTCTCAACTACTTGGGAGGCTGTGGGAGGATCGCTTCAGCCCAGGAGGCAGAGGTTGAAGTGAGCTGAAATGGTGCCACTGCACAAACAAACAAACAAACAACATTAAAGCTTGAGTATGAATACTTCAAAGTCCAGCCCAAACCCTGTATATGTGTCTACAACAGAGCAATCCTAGGCTTTTTTTTTTTTTTAAAGATGGTCTCACTGTGTTGCCCAGGCTGGAGTGCAGTGGCACAATCACAGCTCACCGCAGCCCTGACCTCCCAGGCTCAGATGATCCTCCTGCCTCAACCCCTCAAGTAGCTGGAACTACAGGTACGTGCCATCATACCTGGCTAATTTTTGTATTTTTTGTAGAGACAGGGTTTCTCCATGTTGCCCAGGCTGGTGTCAAACTCCTGGGCTCAAGGGATCCTCCCACCTCAGCCTCCCAAAGTGCTGAGATTACAGGCATGAGCCACTGCAGTCAAGTTAGCTTTGATTTTTACCTGGATTATATGAACTCAGCCTTGATGGAGTAACTGGCTATTGCTTGCCTGGTTCTGTTTGGTTAATTAAAAATTAGAGGCTCTGCTTGGTGACTCACGCTTGTATCCCAGCACTTTGGGAAGCCAAGGTGGGTGGATCACTTGAGGTCGGGAGTTCCAGACCAGCCTGGCCAACATGGTGAAACCTCATCTCTACTAAAAATAAAAATATTAGCCGGGCATGGTCGTGCATGCCTGTAATACCAGCTACTTGGGAGGCTGAGGCAGGAGAACTGCTTGAACTTGGGAGGCGGAGGTTGCAGTGAGCTGAGATCGTGCCACTGCACTCCAGCCTGGCTAAAAGTACAAGACTCGCATTAAAAAAAAAAAAAAAAATTAGAGGTTGGGCTCGGTGGCTCATGCCTGTAATCCCAGCACTTTGACAGGCTAAGGTGGGCAGATTGCTTGAGCCCAGGAATCCAAGACCAGCCTGGGCAACATGAGAAACCCTGTCCCTACAAAAAATAAAAAGTATTAGCTGGGAGTGGTGGCACGTGCCTGTGGTCCCAGTTATGCAGGAGGCTGAGGTGGGAGGATTGCTTGAGCCTAGGAGGTGGAAGCTGCAGTGAGCTATGATGGCACCACTGCACTTCAGCCTGGGTGATAGACCAAGACACTGTCTCAACAACAACAACAACAAATTAGAAAGCCAGCACAGTGGCATGTGTCTGTAGTCCTAGCTACTCAGGAAACTGAGAGACAGGAGGATTGCTTGAGCCCAGGAGTTTTAGGCTGTAGGGAACTTCGATCCCATCTGTGAATAACTACTGCGCTCCAGCCTCAGCAACACAGCAAGATTCCGTCTCTAAAAATAAATAAATACATACATAAATACATAAAATAAATAAACAAAAATTAGAGCGGCCAGGCACAGTGGCTCACACCTGTAATCCCAGCACTTTGGGAGGCCAAGGCAGGCGGGTCACTTGAGGTCAGGAGTTTGAGACCAGCCTGGCCAAGGTGGTGAAACCCCATCTCTATTAAAAATACAAAAATTAGCCAGGTGTGGTGGCACGTGCCTGCAATCCCAGCTAACTTGGGTGGCTGAGGCCGGAGAATCACTTGAATCTAGGAGGCAGAGGTTGCAGTGAGCCAAGATTGCACCACTGCACTCCATAAAATATATATATGTATATTTGGGACAGAGTCTCACTCTGTCTCCCAGGCTGGAGTGCAGTAGCACATTCTCAGCTCACTGTAGCCTCAACTTCCTGGGCTTAAGGGATCCTCCCACCTCAGGCTCCTGAGTAGCGGGGACTACAGGTGCACACCCCATATGTGGCTAATTTTTGTATTTTTTTTTATAGGGACAGGGTTTCGCTTTGTTGCCCAGGCTGGTCTCGAATTCCTAAGCCCTAGTGATCATCCCACCTCAGCCTCCCAAACTGCTGAGGCTACAGGTATAGAAAATATTTCTAAACATGGGGTTCAAGTAGGAGGAAGGGCATTCTTGGCAAGAAATAGGTTGGGTAGCCTCTTCTTGATTTTTTTCTGTCTTACAGAGGAAGGGTAGGTATCTCAGTTCTGAAGTGGCACTTAGGTCTATCTGCTTCTAAAGCCACACCTTTACCTGGGAGGTGGATGGATGGGTTTCAGAGGGTCTGTCTGTGAATCCCTGAAACTCCACACAAATCTTATACATGAGCGCATATTGTTTTTGCTTTGACTCCATAGCTTTCTTCAGCTTCTCAAAGGGACGCAGGTACAAAGGTAAAGACACATTGACCAGGAGCCAAATACAGGTCTTGGGAGGATGCCAGTCCCTCCAGCAGAGGGCAGTGGCGCCCACATTCACCGACCTCCTTGACCTTGTAATACTGGTTATCAAGAGCTTGGAGAGGTTGAGCCAGGTAGACCTGACCCAAGGGCACCAAAAGACAACTCAGACCTTCCCCTGCCCTTCCTGTTGGGTTGGTTTTGAGATCCCATTTTCAACCCCAGTTACCACACCATGGGATGCATAAGCGCTCAAGCAGTGGCTCTGAGAAAGACCACCTTCTCCCTTCAACTTCCTGAAAGGGCCTGGAAGATTCTTCCCAGAGACAAATATCTTTCCAAGCTTTGTTGCTCCTTCGTCAATCTTGATTTCTCTTGCTTCTTTCAAGAACATGTTTAGACCACCAGGACTACCATTGATCCAGAGGTCCTGGTTGGAAGACATTTTTTCAGTGGAAATTTGAGTGAACTAACTTTGATTCTCAGTTGGATAACCCATACCCATAGAATAAACACCCTAGCTCTTCAACATTTTTTTTCTTTTGAGGTGGAGTTTTGCTCTTGTTGCCCAGGCTGGAGTGCAGTGGCACGATCTCGGCTCACCGCAACCTCTGCCTCCCTGGTTCAAGCAATTCTCTTGCCTCAGCCTCCCGAGTAGCTGGGATTACAGACATGTGCCACTGTGCCCAACTAATTTTGTATTTTTAGTAGAGACGGAGTTTCTCCATGTTGGTCAGGCTGATCTCGAACTCCTGACCCCAGGTGATCCACCTGCCTCAGCCTCCCAAAGCACTGGGATTACAGGCATGAGCCACCGCGCCCGGCACTTTTAAGAATGGTTTCACTTTCTTCTTATCTCTTTTGTTACTCTCCCACTCATAAAGTCTCCATCTTGGCGAAACTGTTTCTGGAAAGCTTTGGGCTTTCCAAAAAGCTCTTGAAGAGGTTACTCCTTCCTTCCTGTTTTCATTCTCTTTCCCATCCTTCAGTTTCTTCTTCCGCCATTGAGCCTTTTCTGACTGAAAAGAAGCAGTGGAGGGCTGGTTATGATGGCTCATGCCTGTAATCCCAGCACTTTGGGAGATGAAGGTGGGCAGATCACTTGAGGTCAGGAGATTGAGACCAGCCTGGCTAACATGATGAAGCCCCGTCTCTACTAAAAATACAAAAAAGCAGCCAGGCATGATGGCGTGCACCTGTAGCCCCAGCTACTCTGGAGACTAAGGCAGGAGAATCGCTTGAGCCCGGGAGGCAGAGGTTGCATTGAGCCGAGATTGCACCATTGCATTCCAGCCTGGGCAACAGAGCAAGACTCTGTCTCAAAAAAAAAAAAAAAAGCATTGAAGCATAGAGGTTAAGCGCTCAGAAGGATTAAGGAAGCAAGCCTTGTAGCTAACTGGAGAGACAGTCTTGCAGGCACAGAGAGGAACAAGTGCAATGGCCCTTGGGTGGGAGGCTGTTTGGCCCTTTAGAGGCACAGTGGATGGACAGAGTGCGCCAGCAGGAGATAAAGTTAGAGGTGTGATGGACTCAGATAGTGTAGGGCCTTGTAGGCCATGCCAAAGACTTTGGTTTAACTCTGAGTGAGAGGGGAAGGCCCTAGAGTGTTTCAGGAGGGGGAGTAACACCATCTCTCTTATTTTTTTTTTTTACAAGAACCGCTCTGACCATGGCATTGAGAATAGAATGTTGGGGGCAAAGGCAAGAGAGCCAAATAGAAGACCCTTATAATGATCCAAGAATGATGGGAAAGGAGATGGTGAGGAGAGGCTGGCTTCTGGATATACTTTGAAGGTAGAGCTGATGGGATTTGCTGATACATTGGATGTGAGGTTTAAGAATAAAGAAAGAGGAGTTAAGGATGATTTTAAGGTTTTTGGTGTGAGACAATGGAAAGATGGAGTTGACACTGAGATGGGAAAAACTAGGAGAAAAAAGTTTGGATGGGAGGGGTTGGAATCAGTTCAATTTTAGGTAGGTTAAGTTTGGAGATGCCTGTTAGACCCAGTTTATATGCTACCCCATCTTCCCTCAATCCTCTCTGCTGCCCCAAGCCTGGACTCTCCCTTGACTGTTTACTCAAAGAAGAGCCCTGAGGCCGGGCATGGTGGCTCACGCCTGTAATTCCAGCACATTGGGAAGCTGAGGCAAATGGATCACCTGAGGTCAGGAGTTCAAGACCAGCCTGGCCAATATGGTGAAACCCCATCTCTACTAAAAATACAAAAATTAGACAGGTGTGGTGGCACATCCCTGTAATTCCAGCTACTCGGGAGGCTGAGACAGGAGAATCGCTGGAACCCAGGAGGCAGAGATTGCGGTGAGACAAGATTGCGCCATTGCACTCCAGCCTGAGAAACAAGAGCAAAACTCTGTCTCAAAAAAAAAAAAAAAAACGGAAGAAGAAGAAGAAGAAGAGCTGTGGCCACCACAGTCAAGTGCCTCCTCTGCTGAGATGGAAGGCTGCCTCAGTCTTTCCCAGGGTGGGCGCCAGACCCAGCTTGACCCCATCATAAGCTGCAACAGGAAGTGCATAACGCTCCGGGGATTAGATTGCAAAGGCTACAGGTCTTCCCACTGTTTCTGAGCCCAGATTAAATTCTCAGCCAGGGCTGAGGGAGCTGTTATCCCCAGTGCAGCCCAAAGAGGCCAGAGAACACAACTTAGAAGTGCAGAGATAAACTTCTAACATTGAAAGACAGGAGAGGAGGAGTCAACAGATGAATTCCATTTTCTTCTGCAGGCCAGAAACCAACTTTCTCCTTCCCAAGATGCAGCAGCATGGAGGTGTTATGGTTCCACTCGCCTCTCTAGAGATGTTCCTGTGTGACGAAGTGACTAGCTGTGTTTTCTTGTGAATGTTTGGCTCGCTCAACAATGCACCTTACTTTCCCTCACTCCCTGCCTTCTTTCCTTTTCTCTCCTTCTTCTCCAATAGAGCAAGAGTGTGTAAGCTTTGCCTCAGGCTCTGATGTCTAAGGAACCCAGGCTAAGCCAACATTCAGGTGGAAATGCAGAGTAAATAGGGAGGTCAAATGGAAGTTAAAAGCATTGCTAAAACCACCTAACATTTAGAGGCTAGGGAGATCAGGGTAAATCAGCAAAGAAAAATGAGAAGGAAGGAACATGGACGGGAGGAAAACCAAGAAAAAATGGTCTCCTGGAAGCCAAATGAAGTGTTTCAAGAAAGACAACATGATTAACTGGGCCAAATGAAAGAGGGTGGAGAAGTGGCCATTGGTCTTAACATCAGAAAGGTAATTTTAGAGACATTGACAAGGACGGTCTCCATGGAGTAGTTGGAGCCAAAGTCCAAATGCAGTGTGTTTGAGAGAGACTAGGAGGAGAGGGGCTGGAGGCAGCAAGTGCACACAATCTTTTCTAGAAGTTTATTTCCAAAGAGGGACGAAAAAGGGCAATAGTTTGAGAAGGGGTGGGTTTGACAGTGGGTTTTTTTAGAATGGGAGAACTTGCTCATGTTTGTATGTGGATGGGAATGATTCAGTAAAGAGGGTAAAACTGATGATGCAAGAAGAGAGAGGAGGGCCAGGCACTGTGGCTCATGCCTGTAATCCCAGCACCTTGGGAGGCCGAGGTGGGTGGATCACTTGAGGTCAGGAGTTCGAGACCAGCCTGGCCAACATGGTGACACCCCGTCTCTACTAATAATACAAAAATGAGCTGAGCGTGGTGGCAAGTGCCTGTAATCCCAGCTACTTGGGAGGCTGAGGCAGGAGAATCACTTGAACCCAGAAGGCAGAGGCTGCAGTGAGCTGAGATCGCACCACTGCACTCCAGCCTGGGCGATAGAGGAAGACTCTGTCTCAAAAAAACAAACAAACAAACAAAAAAAGGATAAAAGAGGCCGGGCCTGGTGGCTCACGCCTGTAATCCCAGCACTTTGGGAGGCCAAGGTGGGTGGATCATGAGGTCAAGAGTTTGAGACCAGCCTGGCCAACATGGTGAAACCCCATCTCTACTAAAAATACAAAAATTAGCCGGGCATGGTGGTGCATGCTTGTAGTCCCAGCTACTTGGGAGGCTGAGGAAGGAGAATGGCTTGAACCTGGGAGGTGGAGGTTGCAGTGAGCCGAGATCGTGCCACTGCACTCCAGCCTGGGCGACAGAGTGAGACTCCATCTCAAAAAATAAATAAATAAAATAAAAGAGAAAAGAAATGCCGAGACTTTCTATTCCAGAGGGCTAGAAGTAGAAGGTTTATTTCTAAGAAAAGGGAGAATGCTAGACATCTGGAATTTCCTCTCCATGGATGCCTGGGTCTCTGGGGCCCAACTTTTAAAGTTGAACACTTATTTTTTGATGTGGTTAGAATCCCTGAGCCCAAAATATGTTCCCAAGAGTATTTAATTAAATGGGAATCTGGTGTGCATCTGTGACTAATTAATGCTGATCAAAAACAATTAAATATTAAATGTCAGTGGTTTCTTACCTGGTTTCTTACCAATAATTGCAAAGGGCTGAATGCAATTATCAAGTCCTGACCTCCATAAGAGCCAAGTTCACATTAAAATAATGAACGACTGAAACAGAGCCAATGAAAGAGCAGATTTTGTGAATGTTTTAAAAATTGAAGCAATGAAATGCTAATCATCAGGGCAAAGGTATTAGTCAGAGTTCTCTTCCTCAGCCTATGGATGTAGAAGGGTCCTCTCTCCAAGAGAAAGAACGGAAGCCCCGCTTAGCAATGTAGCAAACATTTCTAACAGTTCTCCTTATAGTAAAATGTTTTCATGTGCTGATAACTGTTATAGGATATAAATATATATAATGATGTAATTCACTCAACAAGTATTTGATGAGGACTTGATTTGGCCAGGTTCTATGCTAAGCTCTGGGAATAAAGAAACACTGAAGAACTCTCTATCTTCAAGGTCTAGTCTAAATACCCTAACACCCACCATTATCAGAACCACCTGGTGTGTGTTGCCCTTTCCCTCTCTGGTTCAATTAGTATGATTAGGGGCTGCTGTTGTCTCCTGGTTTCCTAAATAATATACATATTTTTAAATTTATTGTACTGCTTATTTTGGAGTGATTTTAAAAGATGGTAGCAGAAATGCCTTTATTGTGCCATCTTGAAGCTGGCAGGCCCCCACGCCCCTCGTGGTCCTGGTGAAAGGTGAGACACATCAAGTGGATCCCACAGATGAACTGCTTCTTCCCTTTGGGAGCAATGTGGGGGATTGAAGAACAAAGACCAAAGGCAGTGGCGTGGATCCATATGGTTGTTGAGAGCCAGAAGAATGAGTCAAGCCCAGCAGATCATCCAGCAAAGACATGGGTGGAGGATAGAAACCGTAATGTAAAGCCAAAACAAAGTCAGCTGAGAACCAAGAAATTTATGAACAAGGAGTAGCAGAGTGGAAAAACGAGGTAGTCTGGGAGGATTCCAGAGACAAACTGGGGATGTTGTGGCAACTTTATTTTTTTATTTTTTTGAAATGAAATCTCACTCTGTCACCCAGACTGGAGTGCAGTGGTGCAATCTCGGCTCACTGCAATCTCTGCCTCCCGGGTTCAAGCAATTCTCCTGCCTCAGTTTCCCGAGTAGCTGGGGCTACATGCGCGCGCTACCACGCCCGACTATTTTTTTTTATTTTTTGTATTTTTAGTAGAGATGGGGTTTTGCCATGTTGACCAGGCTGGTCTTGAACTCCTGGCCTCAGGTGATCCTCCTGACTCGGCCTCCCAAAGTGCTGGGATTACAGGCATGAGCCACAGTTCTGGGTCTCTTGTGGCAACTTTAAATCTCACCCCTGCGCTGACTTGAATATGCTGCTCAGGTCATTTCAGGGGATTGTGGTGGTCGAACGGCCTGATGCTATATCCTCCACTGGCCATTTCTAAAGTGAGGAGTAAGCCCCCTTCAGGAAAGCCTGAGTTCAGAGCCTTTGTAAACTGTAAAGCTATAGGAAGTACTCATTTGATGTTCTTGCGATGGTGCTTGGTACTTCAAATTCTTTATCTGTAAAGAGAAGACAACTTCAATTCTCTCCACCTATTTTACAGCTGCATAGGGATGCTGTGTGGATTAATGAGACCTTCAGCCTGACTTTCCCCCTTGGCTGTGCAGGATGCTCCTAAAAGGGACTGTTTATCCTGAGGTTCAGACACATCTGTCTTTAGCTTAAAGCTGAATGCAAGAAGCTTAAATGCTTATTACTAAATGAAAGAAGCCAATCTGCAAAAGTTGCATAGTATATGATTTCAACTATATGATATCCTGGAAAAGGCAAAAAAACTACAGAGGCAGGCTGGGCACAGTGGCTCATGCCTATAATTCCAGCACTTTGGGAGGCTGAAGTGGGTGGATCACCTGAGATCAGGAGTCCAAGACCAGCCTGGCCAACATGGCGAAATCCCATCTCTACTAAAAAATACAACATTTAGCCAGGCATGGTGGCAGGCGCCTGTAATCCCAGTGACTCAGGAGACTGAGGCAGGAAGAATTGCTTGAACACTGGAGGTGGAGATTGCAGTGAGCCGAGATCGTGCCACTGTACTCCAGCCTGGGCAACAGAGTGAGACTCTGTCTCAAAAACAAAACAAAAACAAAAACAAAAAAACGACAGAGGCAGTAAAAATATCAGTGGTGTCCAGATGTTGCGGGGAGGGAGGGAAGAATCGGCAGAGCACAGAGGATTTTAGGACAGTGAAAATGGTCTGTATGATACTTTTATGGTGGATACATTTCATTATACTTTTTTTTTTTTTTTTAGACAGAGTCTCACTCTGTTGCCGAGGCTGGAGTGCAGTGGTGCCATCTCGGCTCACTGCAACCTCTGTCTCCTGGGTTTGAGTGATTCTCCTGCCTTAGCCTCCCAAGCAGCTGGGATTACAGGCACGCACCACCACACCCGGCTAATTTTTGTAGTTTTTAGTAGAGATGGATTTTGCCATGTTGCCCAGGCTGGTCTCGAACTCCTGGGCTCAAGTGATCCACCGACCTTGGCCTCCCAAACTGCTGGGATTACAGGTGTGAGCCACTGCATCTGGCCGTCATTATACAGTTGTCCAAACCCACAGAATGTACAACATCTAGAGTTAATCCAAATGTGACCTATGGACTTTGGGTGATAATGATGTGTCAACGTGGATTCATCAATTGTAGCATATGTACTGCTCTGGTGGCGGATATTGATAATGGGGAGCACTGTGTATGAGTTGGGGAAGGGGGTATATGGGAAATCTCAGTTTCTTCTGTTTTTTTTGGTTTGTTTTTTAAAATTATTTTTTAAAATTTTGAGACAGGGTCTCACTCTGTAGCCCAGGCTGTAGTTCAATGGCACAATCTTGGGATCTTGGCTCACTGCAGCCTCAACCAGGATCCTGGGTTCAAGTGATCCTCCTGCCTCAGTCTCCCGTGTAGCTGGGACTACAGGCATGTGCCACCACAGCTGGATAACTTTTTGATTTTTTGTAGAGACTGGGTCTCACTTTGTTGTCCAGGCTGGTCTCGAACTTCTGGGCTCAAGCAAGCCTCCCGTCTCAGCCTCCCGAAGTGCTGGGATTGCAGGCATGAGCCACTGTGCCTGGCCATCTTCTGCTTAATTTTCCTGTGAACCCCAAACTGCTCTTTAAAAATATTTTAGGCCAGGCGCCTGGCTTACGCTAGTAATCCCAGCACTTTGGGAGGCCGAGACAGGTGGATCACGAGGTCAGGAGATCGAGACCAGCCTGGCCAACATAGTGAAACTCCGTCTCTACTAAAAATACAAAAATTAGCCAAGTGTGGTGGCACACACCTGTAGTCCCAGCTACTCAGGAGGCTGAGGTGGGAGAACTGCTTGAACCCGGGAGGCAGAGGTTGCAGTGAGCTGAGACCATGCCATCACACTCCAGCTTGAATGACAGAGTGAGACTCCGTCTCAAAATAATAATAATAATAAAATGATAAAGTAAAAACTAAAGTATTTTTTTTTAAAATGGTCACTAGCATTCACAGGAGAGGTCAGGGATGGATTTACTAATAGGGAAATCACCCACCTAGAGGGACTGAAATTTTGAGAATTTCTCAGAGACGATGGAGTTTTGAGGGATAAAAAGAAAGACAAGCATAGTCTTAAATTTCACCGATTGTTAGGAGCTGCAAGAGAAAGTTAAGCCAGGAAAGCCCTAGGGGTGAAAGAGGAGGAAGAGATAAAAGAAGAAAAAGCAAACAAGGGTAATAAGTTCAGAAAGGGCACTGCACACAGAGTTGCAAGAAAGGGAGATGGTCGAATGTGCCCCATACTGCAGACAGGGAGAGATGAAGGAGAATTCTTTTAAAGCCATGGAATAAGAATATTAAGAGGGTGCAATTCTCTGCAGATGTAGTATCTTAAGACAGTGGTGAAGCAGAAACCAGAGAGCAGAGGGTTCAAGACAAGTACAGAAAACTGGTTCATAACACAGGAAAAGAGAAGAAAATTGGCTAACACCCACATTCAAAGTGGGCTCCAGAAGGATTAAAGACCTAAATGTGAAAGGTAAAAATGTGTTCAAAGCAAGGACATAATGTAGGAGGATATATTTGTGGCCTAAAGAATGGAGATGGATTTTTTTTTTTTTTTTTGGAAACAGAGTCTCCCTCTGTCACCCAGGCTGGAGTGCAGAGGCTTGATCTCAGCTCACTGCAACCTCCACCTCCTGGGTTCAAGGGATTCTCCTGCCTTAGCCTCCAGAGTAGCTAAGATTACAAACACCAACCACCATGTCTGGCTAATTTTTGTATTTTAGTAGAGACAGGGTTTCACCATGTTGGTCAGGCTGGTCTCAAACTCCTGACCTCAAATGATCCACCCACCTCGGCCTCCCGCATGTTGGGATTACAGGCGTGAGCCACCACACCTGGCCGGAGATGGATCTTTTAAACAAACCTCTCAAAGCATAAATCCTTAAGGAGGAAAATTTATTAACTTGGCTACATCAAAATTAAGGAATTCTGTTCCAAGAAATAACACTAAGAGAAAGCTAACAGGCTGATGATAGATTGAAGGAGGATATTCACAATGTCTAAAACTGACAAGAAGCTAATATTTAAAATGCATAGGGGTCTGGGCACGGTGGCTCACACCTGTAATCCCAGCACTTTGGGAGGCCAAGGCAGGCAGATCGTCTGAAGTCAGGAGTTCAAGACCAGCCTGGCCATCATAGAGAAATCCCATCCCTACTAAAAATACAAAAAATTAGCTGGGCATGGTGGCGGGCGCCTGTAATCCCAGCTCCTCAGGAGGCCGAGGCAGAAGAATTGCTTGAACCCGGGAGGCAGAGGTTGCAGTGAGCCGAGATTACGCCATTGCACTCTAGCCTTGGGAATAAGAGCGAAACTCCATCTCAAAAAAATAAATAAATAAATAAATAAATAAAATGTATAGGGAATGCCTGCACATCACTACGAAAAAGACAGACTCTGTGGAGGATGCTGTGATAGTCTCGCAGATCCCTTGTCAGCGGCTGAGGCACTCACTACCCCAGCTCAGCCAAAGAGTGTTGCTTTGTCCAAGATCGAGTGCCCTTCCCAAAGGCATCCTACATCCAATGACTGGTCCAAGAGGGAGTATAAATGCCTCGCTTGCTAGCCTAGAGGCAAGATGTATTAGTCCATTTTCACCCTGCTGATAAAGACACACCCGAGATTGGGCAATTTACAAAAGAAAGGGGTTTATTGGACTAACAGCTCCGTGTGGCTGGGGAGGCCTCACAATCATGGTGGAAGGTGAAAGGCACGTCTCACATGGTGGCAGACAAGAGAAGAGAGAGCTTGTGCAGGGCAACTCCCCCTTATAGAACCATCAGATCTCATGAGATGTATTCACTATAACGAGAACAGCACAGGAAAGACATGCTTCTTTGATTCAATTACCTGCTACCAGGTCTCTCCCACAACATGTGGGAATTCAAGATGAGATTTGGGTGGGAACACAGCCAAACCATATCACAAGACAACTCCAAAAAATCCATCTCAGGCTGGGCACAGTGGCTCACACCTGTAATCCTAGTACTTTGAGGGGCCAAGGTGGGTGGTGACAGAAGTTCGAGATCAGCCTGGCCAACATGGTGAAACCCCATCTCTACTAAAAATACAAAAATTAGTCCAGCATGGTGGTGTGTGCCTGTAATCCCAGCTACTTGGGAGGCTGAGGCAGGCAAATCGCTTGAACCCGGGAGGCAGAGGTTGCAGTGAGCCGAGGCAATGCCACTGCACTCTAGCCTGGGTGACACAGCAAGATTCTGTCTCAAAACAAACAAACAAAAACAACAACAACAAAAAACAAAAAAAAAATCTATCCCAGCTCCAGAGCACCCCATGTTTCTGTCTGAAGCCTTCAGAGCAACTTCATCACAGTTCAGCTTCTCCGTCTGTCCAATTCTGCTTCTCTCACTCACTTGTTCACAGGCGTCAGTCCCTGGCATACTACCTCCCCATTAAACTGCTTGCCTGCAGATTTCAGACTCAGAATCTGTTTCACAGATGTCTTAGTCCATCCAGGCTGCTATAACAAAATATCTTAGGCTGGGGAATCAACAAACAACAGAAATCAATGGCTCATAGTTCTGAAGGCTTGCAAGTACAGGATGAAGGTGCCAGCAGAATTGGTGTCTGGCGAGGGTCTACTCCCCATACCTGGCACCCTCTTCCTGTGTCTTCTTATGGTAGAAGGGCGAACAAGCTCCCTTCGGCTCCTTTTAGAAAAGCACTAATCCCAGACCTAATTACTTCCCAAAGGTGCCACCTCTTAGCCCTACCACACTGGAGATTAAGTTTCAACATATGAATTGAGGTGGGTGACACAAACATTCACATCATAGCAGCAGAGAACTCAACCTAGGTCAGCTGACACTCAAAGTAGTCTTAGGAAGCAAACTAAAATGAGATCTCAGAGCTGGATCACCTGCCATTTAGCTGGCAACAAAGACCCTGTCACTGGTCATTTGTGGAGTACCAATAGCCTCTGGCACGCAATTGTGTGAGAATTGTTAAGATTTTCACTGATGGTGGACTAGAGTGGGATATGAGAGAAATAAACTGATGAGTGCAATCTACCAGGTGTTTGAGAGTTTTAAAGACTTTGGAATTGGATAGTGTCTTGCTTCCTTTAGGCTGCTATATCAAAATACCTTAGACTTGCTAATTTATAAATAATAAAAAATTATTTCTCACAGTTCTGGAGGCTGGGAAGTCCAAAATCAAGGCACCAGCAGATTCAGTGTCTAGTGAAGGGTTCCTGTCTGTTTCCAAGGTGGCAGCTTCTTGCTGTATCCTCACATGGTGGAAGGAACACATACCATGTCCTCACATAGTGGAAGGGATGGAAGGGCAAAATAGGTTTCTTCAAGCCGTTTCATAAGGGCACTAATCTCATTCACAAGGGTGGAGTTCTCATGACCTTAGCACCTCCTAAAGACTCTACCTCTTTTTCTTTTTTTTTTTTTTTGAGACAGGGTCTCACCTCATCACCCAGGCTAGAGTGCAGTGGCACAATCTCAGCTCATTACAACCTCCACCTCCTGGGCTCAAGTGATCCTCCCACCTCAGCCTCCCAAGTAGCTGGGACTACAGGTGCATGCTACCGTGCCCAGTTAATTTTTGTATTTTTCATAGAGATGGGGTCTTACCATGTTGCCCAGGCTGCTCTTGAACTCCTGGGCTCCAGTGATTTGCCTGCTTCGGCCTCCCAAAGTGCTGGGATTGTGGGTGTGAGCCACCACACCTGGCCCCACCTCTTAATACTATTGCATTGGGAATTAATTTTCAACATGAATTTTGGAAGGACACATTCAAACCATAGCAGATGACAATTGTTGGAGGCTATCAGTGCAATGGAGAACAATGTAAGGCTGAGGGTGAATAATCACCAACAGAAGGTGAATTCCTCAGTGTGATTCCTGGAAAAATCAGTATGTTGATATGAAGTCCTTATTGTCAAATATTAATTTGATTCTCTCCAGATCAGCAAAAGGGACTGAAGTGAAGCAGAATATCTAGTGTTTAGGATATCAGCTTCTTGCTAGGCAGGCTGAGGTGGGAGGATCACCTGAACTTGGGAGGTTGAGGCTGGAGTGAGCTCTGATTGTACCACTGCACTCCAGCCTCGATGACAGAATGAAATCCTGTCTCAAAAAAAAAAAAAGAAAAAAAAAGAAGGCGGGGCGCGGTAATCTCAGCACCTTGGGATGCCGAGGTGGGCGGATCACTTGAGGTCAGAAGTTTGAGACCAGCCTGGCCAACTTGGCAAAACCCCATCTCTACTAAAAAATACAAAAATTAGCTGGGTGTGGTGGTGCGCACCTGTAATCCCAGTTACTCTGAAGGTGGAGGTAGGAGAATCGCTTGAACCCAGGAGGCGGAGGTTGCAGTAAGCAGAGATTGCGCCATTGCATTCCAGCCTGGGTGACAACAGTGAAACTCCATCTCAAAAAAAAAGTAAAGAAAAGAAAAAAAGAATATCAGAGTCTTGTGGGCAGAGATTTGTGGCTTTTGTTCACTGATACTTCCAGATGTCCAGAACAGTGTCTGGCATATGGTAAGAGCTAAGTAAATATTTGGGTAATAAATGTCTGAATATAACCTTAATAATTTGATTAGACATTCCATGAAATCCCCAAGAGTAAGGAAATAGGGCTAAGAAAGCCTTAACAGAAAGAAAGACAAGAACTAGAGAAATGGATGGGGCTTAAATAAGAGAGCAACAGATAATAATAATTAATGCTAACACATTGAGCATGTATCTCTTTAGGGATTGCTTATACTAGTCAGTAAGTATCTGAGGCTCTTGTATTGATTATCTCATTTGATCCTTTCCACCACCCTAGGAAGTAGGTATTATGGTCTCCACTTACAGATGAGGACACTGAAGCAAAGAGAGGTTAAATGAGTTGCCCAAGATCACACAGTAAAAAGTTATGCTGACCTTCAAACCCAATCTGTTTTTCTCTGGAGCCAGAGCTCTCAACAAAAATAAATGCAAGCGGCTGGGCGCGGTGGCTCACGCCTGTAATCCCAGCACACTGGGAGGCCGAGGCGGGCGGATCGCGAGGTCAGGAGATCAAGACCATCCTGGCTAACTCGGTGAAACCCCGTCTCTACTAAAAATACAAAAAAAACTTAGCCGGGTGTGGTGGCGGGCGCCTGTAGTCCCATCGGGAGGCTGAGGCAGGAGAATGGCGTGAACCCGGGAGGCGGAGCTTGCAGTGAGCCGAGATGGCGCCACTGCACTCCAGCCTGGTGACAGAGCAAGACTCTGTCTCAAACAAACAAACAAACAAAAAAACAAAAATGTAAGCACCTTCTATAATCCAGGTACTATTCTTTTTTTTTTTTGAGACAGGGCCTCACTCTGATGCCCAGGTGGAGTGCAGTGGTGAAATCTTGGCTCACTGCAGCCTTGGCCTCCTCTCTCAGCCTCCCTAGTAACTGGGACTACCGTCATCTGCCAACACACCTGGCTAATTTTTGTATTTTTTGTGGAGGCAAGGTCTTGCTATGTTGCCCAGGCTGGTCTTGAATTCCTGGGCTCAAGTGATCCTCCTGCCTTGGCCTCTCAAAGTCCTGGGATTACAGGTGTGAGCCACCCTGCCAGGCCCAGGTACTGGTCTAAGCGTCACACACTTGCTACCCTACAACACATCTATGCTGGCAATATTATTGTCACCATCATGCCTGTGTTATAGACCAGGAAACAAAGACATGGAGAGGTTAAGTGATTTACTTAAAGCCACATATAAATAAGCAGAAAGGCTAGATTTGAGATCGGACAGTCTAGCCCCAGCTTCCAAGCTCATAACTAATAAATACTACCCTGCTGCTTGGCTAAGTGAGGGGCAAGGCTGATTATCGGCATTTAGGTTGCAACATATGATCCAGTTTGATTTGGTGAAATAAACACAGACTTTAGGAATAGATAGCCCTGAGTTTGAACATCTGATTTTCCAGTGACTTGCTGGGTGACTTTCCCCAATTGTAAAATGCAAAGAAAAACCATATCCAGGCCGGGCGTGGTGGCTCAGGCCGGTAATCCCAGCACTTTGGGAGGCCTAGGTGGGTGGATCATCTGAGGTCAGGAGTTTGAGACCAGCCCAGCCAACATGGTGAAACCCCGTCTCTACTAAAAATACAAAAATTAGCTGGGTGTGGTGGCACACGCCTGTAAATCCCAGTTATTTGGGAGGCTGAGGCAGGGAATTGCTTGAACCCAGGAGGCGCAGGTTGCAGTGAGCCAAGATCGCACCACTGCACTCCACCTGGGCAAAAAGAACAAAACTCCGTCTCAAAAAAAAAAAATTCATATCCACTTTGCAATTGTGAGGAGTAATGAGGTCATGAATATAAAGTTCCTGGCAGAGTTCCTGGCATGATCAAGACATTTTAATGACTTTTTTTTCCCTCCCATCTTGCTGAAGATATTTAGCTTAGATCAGGGGTCTTAACTCTTTTGCGCCACAGACCCCCTTTAGCAGTCTGGGGAAGCTGATGAGGCCTTTCTCAGAATATTTATTTTATTTTTATTATTATTATTATTGTTGTTTTTGAGACAGGGACTCACTCTGTTGCCCAGGGTGGAGCATGGTAGTGCCATCACGGTTCACTGCAGCCTCAACCTCTCCTGAGTCAGGTGATCCTCCCACCTCAGCCTCCCAAGTAGCTGGGACTACAGGCGAGCGCCACCACACCCAGCTACTTTTTGTATTTTTTTTTTTTTTTGTAGAGACGGGGTTTCACCATGTGGCCCAGGGTGGTAACTCCTGGGCTCAAGCACTCCACTCACCTTGGTCTCCCAACATGCTGAGATTACAGGGGTGAGGCACCGCACCCAGCCTCAGAATAATGATTTTACATACAAACAATAAAATGCATAGGACTACAAGGGAGGTCAAATATAGTGAAATACCATTATCAAAAATGTTTCAAATTTAAATTTATGATATAATAATTTATGAGCTTGTTAATGCGTTAAGTAATAAGACTTAATGGCAGATCCAAAAAGACCAAAAATTCAAAGAAGTGATGAGGGTGAAAGATATTTGGGGATAATCCAGAGCACCCGTTGTGTGAGATGAAAATAGCAATGGTTTCTATCAGTGACAGGAGCCAGTCCTGCTAAGTCTGCAGGGGTTTGTTGCCTACAATCACAATGGAAGAAAATGCTAAATTCCAGCATGAGGTCAGTGAAGGGAAAAGAAAAAAAGGTGTAATTTTTTTTCCATCCAAGTTCACAGACCCCTGGGTTAAGAACAGCTGGTGTAGAGGAAGGCAGTGGAGAGGAAACTCTGGAACTAGCCAGTTTGTTTGGAAGCGCTTCGTATATGGGCCTCTTCAGTCATCTTTTTGGATGTTATTGATTTGGCCCTGTATGGAGAGCAGTGATACACGTCAGATTCACAATTCTCAAAGCATAACTGCTGATCTTCCCTCCACCCCCAGACCTGCCACACCCGAAGCCTTCTTCAGCTCCATGGATGGCTCTCTTCTTCCAATTGCCCAACAAAAACCCTGGCGTTGCCTTGAAGCACCCCACATTGAATCCATTGGAAAATCCTACTGGCTCTGCCTTCCTGACTCTGCCCACCGCTGCCTGCCTCCACTGCTCCCAACCTTGTCTGAGCCACAGTGACTTCTCACCTGGTTACTGCAATGGCCCCATCTACTCCCCCAGCTTCCTCCTTGTCCCCCTGAAGTTCATTTATTTTTATTTTTATTTTTAAATTAAGTAGAGACATAGTCTCACTATGGTGTCCAGGCTGGTCTTGAACTCCTGAGCTCAAGTGATCCTCCCGTCTCAGCCTCCCAAAGTGCTAGGATTACAGGCATGAGCCACCATGCCTGGCCATCCCTGCAGTTCATTTTTTTTTTTTTTTTTTTGAGACGGTGTCTGGCTCTGTCACCCAGGCTGCACAATCTCAGCTCACTGCAACCTCCACCTCCCAGGCTCAAGCCATCCTTCCGCCTCAGCCTCCCACGTAGGTGGGACTATGGGTGCACGCCACCACGCCCGGCTAATTTTTGTGTTTTTTGTAGAGATGGGGTTTCACCATGTTGCCCAGGATGGTCTTGAACTCTTGGCCTCAAGCAATCTACCCACCTTGGCCTCCCAAAGTGCCAGGATTACAGGTGTGAGCCACTGCACCCGGCCATCCCTGCTGTTTATTTTTAACACAGCAGGCAGAGTGACCCTTTATGTGCCGGCTCCTTGCTCACTTTGCTACAGGCACTTTGGTCTCCTTGCTGCTCCTCAAACATGATAGGCACACTCCTACCTTAGGGCCTTTGCACTGACTTGACTGTTCCCTTTGACAGCAGTAATCTTCCCTCCAACAGCAGCATTTCTAATTCTCACATCTCTTTGAACTCTTCATGCAAATGTCATCTCTTCTATGAGGCCTACCCTGATTACCTTATGTATTTGAGAATAAATAAATAAAGCTGGAATGCAGCAGCGTGATCTCAGCTCACTGCAACCTCTGCCTCCCAGGCTCAAGTGATCCTCCTACCTCAGCCTCCCAAGTAGCTGGGACTACAGATGCATGCCACCATACCTGGCTAACTTTTGTATTTTTAGTGGAGACAGCGTTTCACTATGTTGGCCAGGCTGGTCTCGAACTCCTGACCTCAAGTGATCCTCCCACCTAGGCCTCCCAAAGTGCTGGGATTACAGACGTGAGCCACTGTGCCTGGCCCCTCATTCCCCTCTTTAAATGTGAAACATCTATCTTCAGCCCTCCCAATCCCCTTACCCTGTTCTAATCTTTCTTTCGTTTTTGGCGCTTAAGATCTTACAGCATGTTATATAATTTACCTATTTATTTTCTGTCTTCCTCCTTTTTCCACCCACCTCCAACTAGAAAATAAACTCCATATGAAAAAGAATCTTTGTTTTGCTTACTGTTATCTTTATAGTACGTAATAGGTACTCGGTACATGGAGTAAGTCAAGGACGAAAGCATAGCTGGTGGGTTACATGTTGTAGTGAAACAACTCAGACCCCAGAACCAGAGCTGGACTCTGTTCCCAGCTCTAGCACCAACAAGCTGTGCTACCCTGAGGAACTCACTGCATCTCTCTGAGCTTCCGGGTCCCAGTCTGTAACAAGGAAGTTACAGAAGCTAACCCGCAAAGTTGTGAGGATTAAGAGAGCTAGTTAGAGGCCAGGTGAGGTGGCTCATGCCTGTAATCCCAGCACTTTGGGAGGCCGAGGTGGGCAGATCATGAGGTCAGGAGTTCGAGACCAGCCTGACCAACATGGTGAAACCCCATCTCTACTAAAAATACAAAAATTAGCCAGGTGTGGTGGCGCATGCCTGTAATCCCAGGTACTCAGGAGGCTGAGGCAGGAGAATCGCTTGAATCCAGGAGGCAGAGTTTGCAGTGAGCTGAGATTGCGCCACTGCACTCCAGCCTGGGCGACAGAGCAAGACTCCATCTCGAAAAAAAAAAAAAGAGAGACAGTTACTTGGGGCCAGGCATGGTGGCTCATGCCTGTAATTCCAGCACTTTGGGAGGCCGAGGTGAGTGGGCAAATCACTTGAGCTCAGGAATTGGAGACCAGCCTCGGCAATATGATGAAACCCCATCTCTACAAAAAATACAAAAAAATTAGCCAGGCACAGTGGCACATGCCTGTAGTCTCAGCTACACGGGAGGCTGAGGTGGGAGGATTGCTTGAGCCTGGGAGGCAGAGACTGCAGTGAGCTGTGATTGCGCTACTGCACTTCAGCCTGGGTGACAGAGCAAGATCCCATTTCAAAAAAAAAAAAGAAAAAAGAAAAAAAGAGCTAGTTGGTCAAGGGCGTGGCGCTTTGCAGGTGTTTAATAAATGCCAGTTCCTGGTCCCCTTCTGATCCGGAATAAGTAACTTCCTCCTGTTGGCATGGAGTCCCTGGACTCCAGTAAAAGAGCCAAGTTTGTGTCCCTCCCCCTCGTCATGTTCTCAGAAAGGCTCAGAATAGAACCCAAATCTCCTGGCTCCACTTGGAGCTGTAGCCAACAGACCACACGACCACTTTTTTCCTGTCCACTACTTTCTTTTGAGGTGGAAAGTAGTCAGTTGGAATAACTTACCCAGGGGCAGGGAAAGGAAAAAACAGCAAAAATTGTTTTAAAAGGGAGTTATACAAGCATTTGCAGGAAAACCCCATTGAGGGGCATTAATGCTGATTCAAAGGAGGAGGAAATATGAAATCTGACAGTTTTCCAGGCCTCTGGTCCTGAATTTCCTCTCTTCCATCACACGTTTTTCTCACCCACAAAATGGGCCTTAAAAAAAGGATGACAGGTTAGAAAATAGACCATGTCAAAAAAAGTGGGGAGTCTTGAGGTTGTTGTTCCGCAAGAGCATAAATGCTGCTCCCCATTATGACCGGCCAGTTCCCTAAGTAATAATGGGGAAAGGCAGGCTCAGGCAGAAGCTGATGTCTCCCCGGGGAAGGAGAATGAATTCTGGATTACGAATGGAGACCATTTTCCAGGGCTGCTTTGATCTCTTGCCAGATCCAGGGCTGGAGACCAGCAAGTTGGGACTCCAAGGAAAACCGGACTTCGCAGCAGTCTCTAGCAGCTGTCTTCCCAAACGGGTGTGTGCCTGCAAAGCCGGGGCGGCCCTACGGTCCAGCCCAGCTTCTGCCCAGCGCCTGTGCCCTTGCGCTTCTGCCCCTGGGAGTCCTGCCTCCCGCTTTTCCTCCCCACCCAAAACAGAGCTGAGTTGGCGGCCGAAAATGAGTAAGTGTGAAGTGAGACTGCACACTAGTCTTTGTTGAGGGTTTGTTTTTGCCAAGCAGCTTGGTGGAGAAGATTGCATTGCTTGGTTATTTTTAAACCTGGATTTCTGGAATTTTATTTGGAAAAAAACAAAACAGAAACTCAAGTCTTGAGAGGCTAGTGGCTCCAGGCATCCTCTCTAGGAGGCTTGATATTGCCTAGAGCTGCCAGGAGCCTGGGGGAGTTTTGGGCCGTCAGAGGATGGAGGAGCAGAGGGTTTCCAGTCAGTTCTGGAAAGCAGCCCTGCTCCCCATCCCCAGGGGAGAGAACACCACACCTATATGAGGCCTCACTTCTGGTGTTTCTACTTGCTGTGTGCCAGGCTGGGTGGCAATCAAGACAGTTTCGGTCCTTGGTTGTGTGTGGCTCATGGCTTAGATGAAGATGATTTTCTTTTTTTATTTTTTAGAGGTGGGGTCTCACTATCCTGCCCAGACTGGTCTCAAACTCCTGGCCTCAAACCATCCTCCTACCTCGGCCTCCCAAAGTGCTGGGATTACAGGCATGAGCCAGTAGTTCACCTGGCCTAGATGAAGAAATTGATAGTTGCAATATATTTACAATACCAGCTTCACAGGGGAAGACACAAAGGTTGGGGTTGGGGCTGCTAACCTAGCCTAGAAGGATCCAGAATGAAACCCAAAGAATGTGTAGGGTCAGCAAAGCACAGCCAGAGAGGACTGTGGGTAGGAGAGGGGTGGGGCGGGGGTGGCAGCAAGAAAGCAGGGGCTTGATAGCAGAGACTTGGCTTCTAGCTCCTGCTCCATCTCCAGCAAGCAGTGCCATTTAAGCAAATGTGCTTGTCTCCTCTGCACTTCATTCTGTTCATCTATAAAACAAGGGATGTTATTAATCCGTTACTTACAAAAGCTAACATTTACTGAGTCCATACTTGGTGCCAGACCCTATTCTAAGCACCTTATATATATTAAGTCCAGGGGTAATTTTCAAAAACAATAAAATTATGACTTTCATACAGATATTAAATGAACCCATATCAAAGATTTTGTGGAACACATTAAGTAATGAGGGAATTGATAAGATGTTACGACTAGTTCAAAATATCTCACAGTTATAGTCGCGTAAGGAACAGGGAAGTGAACTTACAGATTAGGTACGAAACTGGCAAAGTTGGTTGATATCCACAAGGCAATAATTAATTTCATTCTACCGGACACAAGTTGCATTTCTATGGACAAGAACCAGGCCGGGCACAGTGACTCATGCCTGTAATCCCAGCACTATGGGAGGCCGAGGCAGCAGATCACTTGAGGTCAGGAGTTCGAGACTAGCCTGACCAACATGATGAAACCCTGTCTCTACTAAAAACACAAAAATTAGCTGGGTGTGGTGGTGCATGCCTGTAATCCCAGCTACTCGGGAGGTTGAGGCAGCAGAATCGCTTGAACCCGGGTGGTGGAGGTTGCGGTGAGCCAAGATCGCACCATTACACTCCAGCCTGGGCAACAAGAGTGAAACTCCCATCTCAAAAAAAAAAAAAAAAAAAAAAAAGAACAATTTGTTTTACTGACAGCTTTCTACAAGATACAGAGCTATAAAGTAGCTCAAAGACAATGAAGGGCCAAAAATAATCCTATGGGTTGAGCTAGTCAGGACACCCACTGAATGTCGAGGTTTTTCTAATTTGTCCCTATGATCTCCCCAACCCCTTAGGATCATTATAATCTTAAAGAAAAATGACTCTTGATTTAAAAATTGACTGTTCTCATTAGATGTGGTCTGATTGTTTATGTAGGTACAGCAAGAGAGTTAATTTGTCAGCTAGACATGGTGGCTCATGCCTGTAACCTCAGCACTTTTGGGAGGCCGAGGTGGATGGATCACTTGAGCCCAGGAGGTCCAGACTAGCTTGGGCAACATCGTGAAACCCCTTCTCTACAAAAAATACAAAAAATTAGCTGGGCATGGTGGCACACACCTGTAGTCTCAGCTACTAAGGAGGCTAAGGTGGGAGGATTACCTGAGCCTAGGAGGTTGAGGCTGCAGTGAGCCATGATTGCGCCACTGCACTCCAGCCTGGGCGACAGAATGACACATTGTCTCAAAGAAAAAAAAATATTAATTTGTCGTATAGGCCTCCTAAATGTGCTTCACAAAATTTACAGCCATGTCGTTTCAAACAATTACAAAATTAGCTTTTGTCTAGAAGTTTTCATAAGGAATCTCCAATTGGAATCTTTATTCTTTTCCCAGCTGGAATCGTAAAAGGCTCTATTATTTGTTATTTCAAAGTTAAGACACCCAGCTCAAGACGCTTCCCACAAAATTTCTTTCACCTGTCAAACCTGTATATCTGAGTGAATTCTTCTCTTTTTTTGTTCTCTGAATATCATAAAGTTCCTGGCCTTCCAGGAAGTGACTGTCTTTAATATCTGTAAATCAGGTACCAAGTCACTTTTGTTTTTTTTGTTTGTTCTTTTTTTTTTTTTTTTTTTTTTTTTGAGACTGAGTTTCGCTGTTGTTGCCCGGGCTGGAGTGCAATGGCACGATCTTGGCTCACCACAACCTCCGCCTCCCAGATTCAAGCAGTTATCCTGCCTCGGCCTCCAGAGTAGCTGAGATTACAGGCATGCGCCACCATGCCCGGCTAATTTTTTTTTTTGTATTTTTAGTAGAGATGGTGTTTCTCCATGTTGGTCAGGCTGGTCTCGAACTCCTGACCTCAGGTGATTCATCCGCCTCAGCCTTCCAAACTGCTGGGATTACAGGCGTGAGCCACCGCGCCCGGCCCTTTTTTTTTTTTTTTTTTAAGACAGAGTCTGGTTCTATCATACAGGCTGGAGTGCAGTGGTGCGACCTCAGCTCCTGCAACTTTCGCCTCCCCGGTTCAGGCTATTCTCCTGCCTCAGCCTGCCCAGTAGCTGGGACTACAGATTACCGCCACCACAGCTGGCTAATTTTTATATTTTTAGTAGAAATGAGGTTTCACCATGTTGGCCATACTGTTCTCAAACTCCTGACCTCAGGTGATCTGCCTGCCTTGGCCTCCCAAAGTGGTGGGATTACAGGTGTGAGCCACCGCACCTGGCCCCAAGCCAGTTTTCATGGAGACCTTTGTAGGCGTGTGTTCCGTAAGTATTAACACAAATTTTATCCCTTAAAATGCCCTGTCACACCTGATTTAGTGAGCACCATTCTCAGATATGATGCTCCAAGTGAGGCCTTGGCTACAATTAATCCATTTGTCCTGGTAAGAAGGAGGACATAGTCCTGCTGAACATGTGCAAATAACTATTACCATGAAAAGTAAAAAGACTTTTTTTTTTTTTTTAGGTGGAGTTTCGCTCTTGTTGCCCAGGCTGGAGTGCAATCGCGCAATCTCGGCTCACCGCAACCTCCACCTCCCGGGTTCAAGAGAGTCTCCTGCCTCAGCCTCCCGAGTAGCTAGAATTACAGGTGCCCACCACCAAGCCCGGCTAGTTTTGTATTTTTAGTAGAGACGAGGTTTCTCCATGTTGGTCAGGCTGGTCTCGAACTCCTGACCTCAGATGATCTGCCCGCCTCGGCCTCCCAAAGTGCTGGGATTACAGGCATGAGCCACCACGGCTGGCCAAAAAGTAAAAAGACTTTATAAGAGTTTCTGAATTCTAGAAGGCCAGGGAGAATCAGATATCATTTTTAAATGGTTTCTTTCCGTTTATAAAAGCAGAGATGACAAAATTGTTATGGTTACAGATGGATTAAGAAGAGAGAGAAAGGACATTTCTTCTTTAATAAATAAGGACAATAGAACGTTGAAACAACACCAGCAGTTTTCTAAACATATTTGTTTAGAAAAATACAATAAAATTTCCCTCATCAGTTCACTCAGTCCTATGTAATTAATTCTTATTCTGCTGTCTTCTGAGTTAAACATGAAACTATTTGCTTCTAACCCTCAACAGCCCTGGAAATCCTGACTCATTCCATTGATAATAGTCTAAGAATTTTCTAAGTAATGTCAGCTCAGCTCAGTTTGAAGTACCTGGTACAGTCCTTTCCCATACAGCTCTGAGACTGTCCTTGGTTCGAAACACCAAATCCAGCCTGTAGCTTATAGCAGTAAACCTCTGAGGCATTGCAGATGACAGAGAGTTAATATGGCTTTGGTTAATTTATTATAGATCATCTTAAAATGTGAAAGGTCTGGCCGGGCTCGGTGGCTCACACCTGTAATCCCAGCACTTTGGGAGGCCGAGGGGGGCAGCTCACCTGAGGTCAGGAGTTCGAGACCAGCCTGGCCAACATGATGACACCCTGTCTCTATTAAAAATACAAAAAATTAGCTGGGCATGGTGGCACACGCCTGTAATACAGTTACTCAGGAGGCTGAGGCAGGGGAATCGCTTGAACCCAGGAAGCAGAGGTTGTAGTGAGCCGAGATTGTGCCACTGCACTCCAGCCTGGGCAACAGAGCGAGAGTCCATCTTAAAATACAATACAATACAATACAATATAAAATAAAATAAAATAAGAAAGATCTGATGAAGGTTCATAACAGGAGCCAGGAAACAAGGAAATGTGGTTGTTTCTGTGGCATGCAAAACAGAGATAATAAAACCACATCCAAAATTTTGACAAAATACCTCTAAAGATAATTGATTACATCTATCTGCACAGAAATCAGTAAATATTACATCTGATTCATAGAAATGTATGAACATAATTTGTACAGAGGAAAGAAAATCTTGAGATTGAACATATGATAATACAGAAACATTTTTTTTTTTTTTGAGACAGGTTCTGACTCCGTCGCCCAGGCTGGAGCGCAGTGGCATGATCATGGCTCACCACCGCCTCAACTTCTTGAGCTCAAGTGATCCTCCTGCCTCAGTCTCCCAAGTAGCTTGGACTACAGGCATGCACCACCATGCCTAGCTAATTTTATTTTTATTTTTTATAGAGATGGGATCCCACTATATTGCCCAAGCTGGTCTCAAACTCCTGGGCTCAAGCAATCCTCTCACCTCAACCTCCCAAAATGTTGGGATTACAGACATGAGCCACTGCTCCTGGACATAATTTTTGTTTTTATGAGCCCAGGAGTTTGGTACCAAGAATATCAACTAAAGAGATTCAGGCCAGGAGTGGCGGCTTCATGCCTATAATCCTAGCACTTTGGGAGGCTGAGACAGATGGATTACCTGAGCTCAGGAGTTTGAGACCAGCCTGGCTGACATGGTGAAACTCCGTCTCTACTAAAATACCAAAAATCAGCTGGGCGTGATGGCATGCACCTGTAATCCCAGCTACTCAGAGGCTGAGGCAGCAGAATTGCTCAAACCCAGGAGGTGGAGGTTGCAGTGAGCCGAGATTGCGCCACTGCACTCCAGCCTGGGCAACAAAGCAAAACTGTTTAAAAAAAAGAAGAAAGATTCAGTAACAGTAGAGTAGAGCCTAGACACCTTACAAATGTTTACAGCTCTCTGTTCCATGACGAGTCTGATGTGCATCCTAACCAAGACACACTGGCTTTGACCATGATAGATTCAAATTAAAGAAGGAAGGTTGTGGCAAGTAAACATTTTAAATAACTGAACTTGGCCGGGTGTGGTAGCTCACGCCTATAATCCCAGCTCTTTGGGAGGCCAAGACAGGCAGATCTCTTGAGCCCAGGAGTTCAAGACTAGCCTGGGCAATATGTAGAAATCCCATCTCTAGAAAAATACAAAATTGCCAGGCATGGTGGTGCCTGCTTGTGGTCCCAGCTACTAAGGAAGGCTGAGGTGGGAGGATCATCTGAGCCCGGGGAGGTTGAGCCTGCAGTGAGCCATGATTGCATCACTGCACTCCAGCCTGGGTGACAGATACCCTGTCTCAACAAAATAAAAAAAAGAAAGGAAAGGAAAGGAAAGTGAAAGGGGAAGGGGAAGGGGAAGGGAATGGGAAGAGGTAGGGAAGGGGAAGAGGAAGGGAAGGGGAACAGAAGGGGAAGGGGAAGGGAAGGCAAAGGGGAAAGGGAATTGAAGGGGAAGGGGAAGGGGAAGGGAAGGGAAGTGAAGGGAAGGGAAGAGAAGGGAAGGGAAGGGAAGGGAAGGGAAGAGAAGGGAAGGGAAGGGAAAGGAAAGGAAGGAAGAAAGAAAACTGAACTCATAGCTGATAACACTGTACTGTTGTTGCCAATATCATCAGGCAAAGCATGACCAGGACTTTGATAAAAGTCGGAAAACTCGACAGATCTGTTTCAGGAGTTCTAGTTCATAAGAGAACTAGCTCATGGGAGCGTTCTCCTTAAGGATAAAAACATACAAGGGACAGCCGGGAGCAGGAGTTCACGCCTGTAATCCCAGCACTTTGGGAGGCTGAGGCAGTGGATTCCTTGAGTCCAGGAGTTTGAGACCAGCCTAGGCAACATGGTGAAAACCCTGTCTCTACTTTAAAAATAAAGAAATTAGCTGGGCATGGTGGCGTGCGCCTATAGTTCCAGCTACTTGGGAGGCTGAGGTGGAAGAATCACCTGAACCTGGGAGGTTGAGGCTGCTGTGAGCCGAGATCGCGCCACTGCACTCCAGCCAGGACCACCCCAAACCCCCCAAAAAAACAAAACAAAAATATAAGGGACAAGGCCATTGTCTCAGGGGCTTCCCATAAAGCATGCAATTTTAAAATATTTATGTGAATAATATTTTAATTACACAAATTTAACCTGAGCATCTCTTCTGAATTGACAACTCTTCCCGTCCAACTTTTTAATTAAACCTAATTATTTCTTGCATTTTTCATCTAAAGTGAAAGAACAAATCTTTGTGATTTTCCAGGGTTACTTGGGAAATCTCAAAGATCATTTTAGGTGAAGAACATATTTTGAAAGTTTTATTTTATTTTTTTCTATTTAAGGATTCAATTTAGGAAGGCAAAAATCAAAACAGTTGTCAAGGAGATTTGGACATTTGATTAAGATAGGATCTTGGGTGCCTGTAATTGTGACAAGAAGCACTTAAAAATAAGCATAGAAGGTAACAAAAATGGTAAAGAACATTAGCTTCTTCATAAGTGAGAATTCCTGAAGTAAATTGATTATTTAGGGGGAAAAAAGAATTTATTAAGACCTGGAGTCTTTGTTCTCTGTGTAATTATATAGTAAAGAATAACCTTTTATATTGCGGTAAATCAAGCCCATCAAGATTGAGCAAACTTTGATACAATTTCAATGTATTTCATAGCTCCTTTTCAGACTCAGATATGGACAAACCAAGAGAAGTGAAATTCACTTTTGAGTTTTGTCTTTTTTAATGCTCTTTTATATTCTGGGCCACATTAATGCTTTACTTGAGTACAATGTTTCTCTTTCAGTGGGTCTATGAGGTCAAAACAATTTTCATATTAATAGTAAAATGTTATTTATATTAGCATACAATGTGTTCATAATTCTTAGCTTTAAATGAGTCACTCATTAAGTATTTTAGGCCAATCATGGTGGCTCACACTTGTAATCCTAGCACTTCGGGAGGCTGAGGATCACTTGTGGCCAGGAGTTCAAGACCAGCCTGGGCAGCATAAATAAAAAGTTTTTAAAAAAAGTAGCCAGGCATGGGTTGGGTGCAGTGGCTCACGCCTGTAATCCCAGCACTTTGGGAGGCCGAGGCGGGTGGATCACGAGGTCAGGAGACGGTGACCCCCCTGGCTAACACGGTGAAGCCCCATCTCTACTAAAAACACAAAAAATTAGCTGGGGGTGGTGGCGGGCGCCTGTAGTCCCAGCTACTCAGGAGGCTGAGGCAGGAGAATGGCGTGAACCCGGGAGGCAGAGCTTGCAGTGAGCCAAGATCGTGCCACTGCCCTCCAGCCTGGGCAACAGAGTGAGACCCTGTCTCAAAAAAAAAAAAAAAAAAATAGCCAAGCATGGTGGCAAGCACCTGTAGTACTAGCTATTTGGGAAGCTGAGGTGGGAGGATCACTTGAGCCCAGGAGTTCGAGGTTACAGTGAGCTGTGATCATGCCACTGCACTCCAACCTGGGTGATAGTGCAAGACCCTGTCTTGAAAAAAAATAATTCTTTTTAATTAAATATTGATTAAATATTGATAGCTATAATTCACATAAACAAAAACTGTTGTGGATCTTCATGAAGTCCCAAGAGTGGAAAGGATTCAAGAGACCAAAACAAAAAAAAACAAAACAAAAACCTGAGAAACTCTGCTTACATAAAGATGGATCTCTTGGTCACTGTTGCTTCTAGTGTAATCTCAACCACTCATATTAATTTTTATTTGATACCAAAGTTTTACTTTTTACCAAAGTAATGGACTTCTATTTTGCAGGTCAAGCTAGGGGGTGGAGAGAGGGTAAGTAATTAAGGCCGGTCTGCTTTATCCAGCATGGGAGCTGACTAACAAAGATAACAGTACAACTTTATACAGCCACACATCCTTTTTTACACCTTTAAAAAATGTCCATTAACATAACCCCAAATATTTTAAATAGTACATATACTATTTTATAAATATTTTATATAGCATATGAGCAGAAGTATATAAACTTTAAATTATGTTTAGTAAGCATTGTTTCTATCTTTAGTTAGCAATCATTTAGGTATCAATGATTATTCATTAAATAACTCATTTTAGTATCAGTTCAGGTTTTGTAGAGACAGAGTTTTGTTCTGTCTCCCAGGCTGGAGTGCCGTGGTGCAATCATGGCTCACCCCAGCCTCAAACTCCCGACTCAAGCGATCCTCCCATCTCAGCGTCTAGAGTAGCTAGGACTACTGCAGGCACATGCCACAGTGCCTAGCTAATTAAAAACATTTTTTTTTGTAAGGACAAGGTCATACTTTGTTGGCCAGGCTGGTTTCAAACTCCTGAGCTCAAGTGATCCTCCCGCCTCTGCCTCTCAAAGTGCTGGGATTCCAGGTGTGAGCCGCTGTGTATGCCCTTAGTTCAAAGATTTTTTGTTTTGTTTTGTTTGTTTTTGGAAACGGAGTTTCTCACCTGTTGCCCAGGCTGGAGTGCAATAGAGCAATCCTGGCTCGCTGCAACCTCCGCCTCCTGGGTTCAAGCAATTCTCCTGCCTTAGTTTCCTGAGTAGCTGGGATTACAGGCACCCGCCACCAGGCCCAGCCAGTTTTTTGTATTTTTTAGTAGAGATGGGGTTTTGCCATGTTGGCCAGGCTGGTCTTGAATTCCTGATCTCAGGTAATCCACCCACCTCAGCCTCCCAAAGTGCTGGGATTATAGGTGTGAGCCACCGTGCCAGCCTGATCTTTTCCCTTCTTGAGCCAGTTATTTTGACTTTGAGCAGGAAGTGTTTTTGTGTCCTATTTCAGGGTTTGATGTCTGACCTAAAGACACACTCTCACTAGCAGAAGAGGAGTTAGAGGGAACAAATGAATGAACAGTGAGTTGGGAGGAAAGAGTAGATGAATAAGTAAAGATCCCTTGGTGGCAAGTAACAGAAATGAAACTCAAACCATCTTAGGCAATATGTCTCTGAAAATCCCATTGGCTTCAGGTATGGCTGGATCCAGGGACTCAAGGTTATCAGGACCTATCTCTCTTTGTCTTTTTATTGTGGAATGTTATATAGGAAGGCTTATTGAAAGCTCTGGCACTGGCACCAACAACTCCAGGCTTACACCTTATCTTCTCTTAAAACCAGCAGGAAGATGCCCTAATGCCCCTGGAGCTCATTGGCCTACATTGGTCCTGACTCTCTTCTGTTTGAATGGGGTCACATGGCCATATTCAAAGCAGTCACTGTGGCCAGGGGTAAAATAGATTGACTAGTGTAGACCTGATCTGCATGCCCATTCCTGGAGCATGGTAAGTTATTCCAACCAAGTCACATGGACTGAGAGTGGAGAAGGGGTAGTATCCCTAAAGAAAAATCAGAAGAAGGAGATTTGAGAAAGAAAAGACATAAAATAAAGGGACAGCCAAGTGGCTGGATGAGGCTTCAGCTCCATTTCAAATAGTGACAAATCTACAAAGAAAAATAAAGCAGGGCCAGGCACTATGGCTCACACCTGTAATCTCAGCACTTTGGGAGGCCGGGGTGGGAGGAACACCTGAGCCCAGGAGTTTGAGACCAGTCTGGGCAACATGGTGAGACTCCATCTCTACAAAAAGATCCAAAAATTAGGCCGGGCACAGTGGCTCACACCTGTAACCCCAGCACTTTGGGAGGCTGAGGCGGGCAGATCATGAGGTCAAGAGATCGAGACCATCCTGGCCAACATGGTGAAACCCCATCTCTACTAAAAATACAAAAATTAGCTGGGCATGGTGGCACGAGCCTGTAGTCCCAGCTACTTGGGAGGCTGAGGCAGGAAAATCACTTGAACCCGGGAGGCGGAGGTTGCAGCGAGCCAAGATCACACCACTGTACTCCAGCCTGGTGACAGAGGGAGACTTGGTCTCAACAACAACAACAACAACAACAAAAAGGTACAAAAATTAGCCAGGCATGGTGGTGCATGCCTGTCATCCCCTGCTACTCAGGAGGCTGAGGTGGGAGGAGAGCTTGAGCCTGGAGGTCTAGGCTGCAGTGAGATGTGATGGCACCACTGCACTCCAGTCTGGGCAACAAAGTGAGACCCTGCCTCAAAAAAAAAAAAAAAAAATTAAGCAGGATAATGGGGACAAAAAAAAGAGAGAAAATCTTCACTGCTCTGAAACTAATACCTCTTTTGAAGCTGCTCTTGCAGCATTTTTGGAGCTTGAAAGGTCAATGCCTTCAGCTTTTAGCTTTGCACTCTGGAGATTCTTTGAGGTGAAGTGAAGGAATTCATTAACAACTTTCTGAGGGTGGGAAAAGATGTTCAATTACAAGCTGCAGGGGTTTCAGGGTCTTGATCTTCCCTTGTGTTTGAGTGAAGCCACACCTCTTCCTGGGTCAGGAGTCTTTCACTTAGCAGTTAATCATTAAGTGCCTTCTCTGCTTCATGCAGAGTTCACAGTGATACAGCAGCAAGCGAGAGTTCCTGTCCTCATGGAGTTTACTCTCTAAGACAGGGCACAGAATGACCAATGAAACAGGCATGTGTGGCATGTCCAGTGGTGAGAGATGCAGCGAGGAATGATGAAACAGGCTGAGGGGTAGAGGGTCACCAGGTGGCCGAGGAAGTCCTCTCTGTTGAGAAGACGTTTGAACAAAGACTGAAGGGTGTGATGGGTGAAGCCGTGCAATTGTCTGGGGAGTAGAATTCCAGGCAGAGAGAAATGCAAGATCAAAGGCCTTGTGGCAAGAGATGCCTGCCTCATTGGAGGAGCAGCCAGAAGGCTGGTGTGGCTGGAACAGAGTGAGTGAAAGGGAGAATGGTAGGAGGTGAGGTCAGAGAGATAAAAGGAGGTCACCTTGGTAACAATGTTGGCTTTACTCTGAGTGAGACAGGAAGACAGTGGGCATGGTGAGCATTATCTGACTTTGGGTGTTAAGGAATCACACAATGATATAGTTTTGGAGACGGAGTCTTGCTCTGTTGCCAGGCTGGAGTGCAGTGGCACGATCTCAGATCACTGCAACCTCCGCCTTGGGTTCAAGCAATTCTCCTGCCTCAGGCTGGGATTACAGGCACCTGGCACCATGCCCAGCTAATTTTTGTATTTTTAGCACAGACAGGGTTTCACCATGTTGGCCAGGCTTGTCTTGAACTCCTGACCTCATGTGATCCGCCTATCTCGGCCTCCCAAAGTGCTGGGATTATAGGCATGAGCCAGCGCGCCTGGCCTCATGTTCAGCTGTAATCCTCAATGTTGGAGGTGGGGCCTGGTGGGAGGGGATCGGATCATGGGGGTTTTTTCTCATGGTTTAACACCATCCCACTTGGTGCTGTCATCACGATAGTGAGTTCTCATGAGATCTGGTTGTTTAAAGTTGTGTGGCACTTCCCACCTTGCTCTCTTCCTCCTACTCCAGCCATGTGAAGATGCCTGCTCCAGCTTTGCCTTCCACCATGAGTAAAAGATCCTTGAGGCCTTCCAAGAAGCAGATGCTGCCATGCTTCCTATATAGCCTGAAGAACCATGAACCAATTAAACCTCTTTTTTTTCTTTTTTTTTTTTTTTTTTGAGATGTAGTCTTCCTCTGTCACCCAGGCTGGAGTGCAGTGGTGCAATCTGGGCTCACTGCAACCTCCACCTCCCAGATTCAAGTGATTCTCCTGTCTCAGCCTCTTGAGTAGCTGGGATTACAGGTGCACACCACCATACTCAGCTATTTTTTGTATTTTAGTGGAGACAGGGTTTCACCATGTTTCCCAGGCTGGTCTTGAACCCCTGAACTCAGGCAATCCACCTGCCTCGGCCTCCCAAAGTGCTAGGATTACAGACATGAGCCACTGTGCCCATACCTCTTTTCTTATAAATTACTCAGTCTCAGGTGTTTCTTTATAGCAATGTGAGAACAGACTAATACACCCCACAAACCAAAAAACCAACACACAGACAACAGAAGAAGTACTTTGGCAGCTGTGTGAAGAACAGACTGCAGTAAGCAAAGGTGGAAGCATGGAGATGGGTATTAGGCATCTGCTGCAATAATACCGGTGAGAGATGGAGTTGGCTGGGACTAGGGTGCAGGTGCAGGACTAGGGTGCAGCAGTGCAGGTGGTGAGAAGTGGCCAGATGCTGGAGGAAAGACACTGTTGTGGGAAGTCAGGGACCCCGAATGGAGGGACCTTCTGGAGCCAAGGTAGAAGAACATAAATTGTGAAGATTTCATGGACATTTATCAGTTCCCAAAATTAATAGTTTTATAATTTCTTACTCCTGTCTTTACTGCAATCTCTGAACATAAATTGTGAAGATTTCATGGACATTTATCACTTCCCTAATAATACTCTTATACTTTCTTATGCCTGTCTTTATCTCTTAATCCTGTTACCTTCATAAGCTGAGAATGTACATCACCTCAGGACCACTATTGTACAAATGGATTGTAAAACATGTGTGCTTGAACAATAATGAAATCAGCGCACCCTGAAAAAGAACAGAATAACAGCGATTTTCAGGGAACAAGGGAAGATAACCATAAGGTCTGACTGCCTGTGGGGTAGGGCAGAATAGAGCCATATTTTTCTTCTTGCAGAAAGCAAGTAGGAGAAATATTGCTGAACTCTTTTCCCGCAAGGAATAACCCTGGGGAAGGAATGCATTCCTGGGGGTAGGTCTATAGACGGCCGCTCTGGGAGTGTCTGTCTTATGCGGTTGAGATAAGGACTGAAATAGATCTTGGTCTCCTGCAGTACCCTCAGGCTTACCAGGATTGGGAAATTCCAGCCTGGTAAATTCTAGTCAGACCGGTTGTCTGCTCTTGAACCCTGTTTCCTGTTAAGATGTTTATCAAGACAATGCATGCACAGTGGGACATAGACCCTCATCAGTAATTCTAATTTTGCCTTTGCCTTGTGATCTTTATAGCCCTTTGAAGCATGTGATCCTTGTGACCCACTCCCTGTTCATACATCCCCTCCCCTTTTAAAATCCCTCATAAAAACTTGCTGGTTTTGCGGCTCAGGGTTGCCATCACGGTCCTACCAATATGTGATGACACCCCTGGAGGCCCAGCTGTAAAATTTCTCTCTTTGTATTCTTTCTCTTTATTTCTCAGACTGGCCGACACTTAGGGAAAATAGAAAGAACCTACACTGAAATATTGGGGGCTGGTTCCCCCAATAGGACATGAATGAAGGAGCCACCTAGATCTACCTGGAAGGGTCATATAACAGCAGTGGTGATATTTGTAAGCATTTGTGAAGGCATCTATAGACTTTTGGCCAGTCAGCATCCATCGCCTTCTTTCTTCCTGTTAATACCCCAGTCCACCTCTACAGGAACACACTTGGAGTCTTGATGTGAGGGCAGTTCTGGCACCCTTTACCACCCTTGTAAAGGAAACCAAGTGGACCAGATCTTTTCACCTTCTGTCCCATAGAATAGCCAGGGCTGGACATTGGACTTAAGCTCAACCCATGGACTCTCTAAAGACAGAGAACAGGAAAAGAGATTGGAAACCCCAGCTTCATCACTGAGAAAGCACATAAACCTCACCTGTCCTGCAGCATGCAGTTTTGCCTGCTCAGCCTCCCTCCAGACAAGGCCAGCTGTATACTGCACAACTCCAGGAGGAGTGCCATTTCCATTCTATTCTATGTTAAGCAATGACAGGGGTCAGGAAACATTTTCTGTAAATATTTTAGGCTTTGCAGGCCACATGGTCTCTGTCAAGTGTGAAGGAAGCCATAGGCAGCAACTGATGAACATTCTGGTGGACAGTTATTGTTCATTGCAGACTGGATTGAAGAAATCAGCTATGTTATCAGAAAGAAGTAGTTCCAACAAAACTTTATATTTATTTATTTTTTTTTTTTTTTTAAATTAATTTTTTTCTTGAGACTGATGCTCACACTGTCACCCAGGCTAGAGTGCAATGGCATGATCTCGCCTCACTGCAACATCTGCCTCCTGGGTTCAAGCAGTTCTCCAGCCTCAGCCTTCCAAGTAGCTGGGATTACAGGTGCCCACCACCACACCTGGCTAATTTTTGTATTTTTAGTAGAGACAGGGTTTTGCCATATTGGCCAGGTTGGTCTCAAACTCATGACCTCAGGTGATTCACCTGCCTCGGCCTCCCAAAGTGCTGGGATTACAGGTGTGAGCCACCACGCCTGACCTAAAACTTTATTTATAAAAACATGTAGTGGGCTGGAATTGGCCAGTGGGCCATAGTTTGCTAATCCCTGGACTTTGAGAGTAGCCCCTAGAGTGGTGCAAACATAGCTGCCAGGCCTCCAGAGCTCTGTTTGTTCCTCCTGATTTTCCACGCCTGGCCCCACAGCTTCCTCTTGATTATATGAGCCCCTACATTCTTCTAATAAATTTTGGTTTTGCTTAAAGTAGAGTCAGTTTCTGTGGCCTGCAACCAAGAACCCTGATTGATGCAGCACTTACTCAATCTCATTTAATTCTCTGTGGCTCTTAGGAAAGAAAGTTAGAAGGGAGAGTAGGGATGGCTCAAAGTCCCTCTTTCCCACTGCTGGAGAAACAGCTCAAGGCAGATTACAACTCACATAACTCATTAGTGTCAACTTGACTCACAATACAACCATGTCTTTAAAAGTTTCCTCACTGCATAGTTTATTTTTATTTTTATTTTTTATTTTTTTGAGACAGGATCTCACTATGTTGCCCAGGCTGGAGTGCAGTGGTATGATCTCAGCTCACTGCAGCCTCAACCTCCTGGGCTCAAGCCATCTTCCTACCTCAGCCTCCCAAATAGCTGAGACTACAGACACGTGCCACCACACTGGGCTAATTTTTGTATTCTTTTGTAGAGATGAGGTTTTGCCATGTTATCCAGGCTGGTTTCAAACGCCTGAGCTCAAGCAATCCACCCATCTGGGCCTCCCAAAGTGCTAGGATTACAGATGTGAGCCACCATACCCAGCCTGCAATATATATATATATTTAAAGATGAATATTTTAGCTGGGCAAAATCCCAGCTACTCAGGAGGCTGAAGGAGAAGAATCACTTGAACCCAGGAGGCGGAGGTTGCAGTGAGCCGAGATCACACCACTGCCCCTGCACTCCAGCCTGGGTAACAGAGCAAGACTCTGTCTTGAAAAAAAAAAATGAAGTTGGAACTAATCAAAAATTGGGGAAAGAAAAAAGATGAGATGAATTAAGAGACAAATTAAAACAGTTGTTGAAACATCTCTTGCCTTAAGCACCATGTAAATATTAGAGATGTACTCAAATCTTGTTCTGAGCTTCCTGGTTTGCAAAGCAAACAGGAAAACACTTTTGATGTGTGAGTCACAGTGTCATTAAGATTGAAAACAAACTAATTGCTCCGACAACATGGCTGTTTCTAATTCTTTTTTTTTTTTTCACATGATAAATGCTAGGTGAATAGTTGTATTTTGTCTGGGCTCAGAAAATGGCAACTTTTTGAATCTCAAGAAATGCTATACATTTGATTACCTTAAGAAAACCCAGCCAGGTTCAGTGGCTCATGCTTGTAATCCCAGCACTTTGGGAGGCTGAGGTGGGAGGATCACTTGAGCCCAGGAGTTCAAGACCTACCTGGGCAACATAGTGGACCAAGGCCAGCTCAGTCATGGAGACCCTAACCCATAGGCACTAGAGGACTTAAAGACCCACACACAGAAGTATAGAGTGTGCAGTGGGAAATCAGGAGGCTGACAGCCTTCAGAGCCGAGAGCCCCAAACAGAGTTTTATCCACGTATTTATGGACAGCAAGCCAGTGATAAGCATTGTTTCTACAGATTATAGATGAACTAAAAGTATTCCTCACAGGAAACAAAGGGATGGGCTGAAACAAAGGGATGGGCTCTGGCTAGTGATCTGTAGCAGGAACATGTCCTCACGGCACAGATCGCTTATGCTATTGTTTGTGGTTTAGGAACGCCTTTAAGTGGTTTTCCACCCTGGGTGGGCCAGGTGTTCCTTGCCCTCATTCTGGTAAACCCACAACCTTCAGCATTGTGTCATGGCCATCATGAATATGTCACAGTGCTGCAGAGATTTTGTTAATGGCCAGTTTTGGGGCCAGTTTATGTCCAGATTTGGGGGCCTGTTCCCAACATGTTCCCCCTTTTTGTTTTTGTAAGACAGTAAAAGCAAAGGTGGCTTTATCACAGTGAGCTACTTCTCACAGGAATCGGGATCCCCATCTGCAAACTATATAAAGATAAACAACACAGATTAAAAGCACAATCATCATTGAAATCACAGACCTTCCAAGTGTTTGTATCCATTTTGATGGGTTACTAGCTGCTAATCTGTCTGCAGCTCCTTCAAGCACTCCAGTTCCTGGCATTAAGGTCAGGTGTGCCTGGGATGCTTTACATATTTGTTCTTTTAATTTTGCAATATCCAAAGACAAGTTTGTACAGTGTCCTTCTGGATGCTTTTTCATTCTTTCCCAAATTTTGGTCTTATTAAGAGCCATTAATAGTTTCCACAAATCCTTATGTTTAGCTCCTAAAGTGGGCCATATCATTTGAGGTTGAGGTGCCACTATACCTCCATGTTTCCAGACAATAGGAACTCTTGCAGTATTTTTTTTTTTTTTACCATTTCTACTATCTGACCGTTTTGTTCAGACCAGCTGAACACAGTGTGGCCATGGCATGCAGACTGAGAGGTGCAATTCAAGCTAAACATCCCCTTAGGGGGACCAATCAATAATGATTCCATAGGAATCATTGTGCAGCACCTCTGCCTGTTCTGCAATGTAATCTTCCCAAACAAGTACGTTCACTATGTCTGGCCAGGTCCAATTCTGTTTACAAATAGGTTCTTGAGGGCAGTATGCCTCAACTATAGGAGCAGATTCATTATGGTAAATACTGAGATCGGGAAGCATGTGTAACTGTGTCATAGAGTGATTGCATCCAGGCATTATTGCCAGCCAAGATTGATAAATATGCCCAATAAGTATAATTGTTCTTTGTGTGTGCGCTTGCTAAAGGGATACTCATGGCAATGGTGATCACCGCTATCACAGCTATCATTAAATTACTCATTGCTACTGGTTGTCCCACTTTTCTCAGGTTTTCTTCTGCCATCTGCAACAGCTTCTTGATCTGTCTCCAGGTGGGTGGCTGTGTTCCACGGATGTTGCTCATGACAGTTGGGGTCCTCCTCAGCGTCAGTCTCGACATGGCTGCAACTAGGGGGTCCTTGGGATCCTCCTGGAATCTCTTCCTCAGCATCTGGCTCATGACAAGGTTTCAGGTATCTTGCTGGTACCCAAATTGGCTGCTGGTTTTGGCCTGAGAAACACAAGCATAACCTCTACCCCAAGTTATTATTTTACCTATTTCTCAACTTTTTGTTATCGGATCTCTCCACCAAACCAGTTGTTCTGCTTATGTCTTTGCAGCTGGTTTCTGTAGATGCTGTTCAGCTGCTGATAGCATCTGGCCTTTAGGCAGGCTCAAAAAATTTAAAGTCAATAATGCTAGATTCAATTGCATATGGGGTGTCCTGTAGTCCCTGTTCCCTGCCCTCCCCCCCGACCTCTGCTTTTGCAATTTTTGTTTTAGGGAGAGATTCATTCTTTCCACTATGGCTTGTCCTTGAGAATTATATGAGATACCAGTAATGTGTTTAATATTCCATATAGAGAAAAATGTAGCTAGAGCTTGGCTAGTATAGCCTGGGGCATTATCTGTTTTCATAGAAGCTGGAATGCCCATCACGGCAAAACACTGCAAAAGGTGACGTTTAACACAGGCAGAAGACTCTCCTGATTGGCATGTAGCCCAGACAAAGTGAGAAAAGGTGACCACACATACATGTACATAAGCTAGTCCCCCAAATGCGGGAACATGTGTGACGTCCATTTGTCAAAGAGAATTAGGTTCTAATCCTTGAGGATTTACTCCTCCTGTAAAAGATGAGGAATGTACCATTTGGCAAGTTGGGCATCGCTGGATAACAGCTTTAGCTTCTTTCCAGGTAATGTTGTATCTGCATTTGAGACCAGAGGCATCAACATGGGTTAAATTGTGAAAGGGTCTGGCATTAGACATTGCAGTAGCAACTAGGCGATCATTGATTCCCTGCAGTCAAAGGTCCTGGAAGAGGTGTATGAGCCCTAATGTGAGTGATGAAAAATGGGTGTATTCTACCCCTAACTGCTGTCTGTAATTGAGTAAATAAAGTCATAAGTTGTTCATCTGTATAGAATCACAGCTGAGCATTTTCAACTAACTGTGTAGGATGAACCACATATAAAGAATCAGAAATTACATTAATAGGCATATCAAAAGCAGTCAATACCTTAATTACAGCTACAAGTTCTGCTTTTTGAGCTGAAGTATAGGGCGTCTGAAAAACTTTACCTTTTGAGCCAGAGTAAGAAGCTTTACCGTTACTAGACCCATCTGTGAAGACATTTTCAGCACCTTCAATTGGTTTAAATTTAGTTATTTTAGGGAGAATCCAATTAGGTAATTTCAAAAATTGAAACAGTTTCATTTTAGGAAAATGGTTATCGAGAATACCCACAAAGTCAGCTAAATGGGTTTGCCAAGTAAGACTATTTATAAAAACTTGCTGTATTTGTGCCTTCGTGAGAGGGACAATGATTTTTCCAGGATCATATTCATGCAGTTTAACTATCCGAGTTCTCCCATTTCCTATCATAGTAGTGATTTGATCCAAATAAGGAGTTAGAGTCTGTGAATTAGTATGTGGAAGAAAAAGTCATTCTACAAGATCTTGCTCTTGAACAGTAACACCAGTAGGTGAATGCTGAGTTGAAAAAATTAGCAAATCTAGAGTCTTCTCTGGATTTATTCTATTTATTTGAGCCTTATGGACTTGCTTCTCTATTAGCTGTAACTCTGCCTCAGCCCCCTTTGTTAACTGTCGAGGGCTAGTGAGACTAGGAGCTCCTCTAAGGATAAAAAATAGATTACTCATGGCATAGGTAGGAATGCCTAGAGCAGGTCGTATCCAATTAATGTCCCCTAGTAATTTTTGAAAGTCATTTAATGTTTACAATTGATCCCTACATATGGTTACTTTCTGTGGTACAATGATAGTGTCATTTACTAAGGTCCCTAAGTAGGAGTAAGGAGTGTTAGTCTGAATTTTGTCAGGAGCTATAATTAAACCAGCATGAGAAATTGAATTTTCCAAGCGATCATAACATTGGAGTAATATTTCCCGAGTTGAGGCAGCACAAAGAATATCATCCATATAATGAATAATGTAACACTGTGAAAATTTTTTACAAGTAGGTTCAATTGCTTGCCCTACATAAGTCTGGCAAATTGGTGGACTATTTAACATGCCTTGTGGCAACACTTTCCAATGAAAACACTTAGCAGGCTGCAGGTTGTTTATTGCAGGAATTGTAAATGCAAACTGTTCACAGTCTTGTTCAGCTAAGGGGACAGTAAAGTAACAGTCTTTTAAATCTATGACTATTAAAGGCCAATTTTTTGGAATCATAGCAGGAGAAGGCAATCCTGGCTGTAATGTCTCCATAGGTTGTATAACTGAATTCATGGCCCTTAAGTCAGTTAACATTCTCCATTTACCTGATTTTTTCTTCATTACAAAAACTCGAGAATTCCAGGGGAAAATGTTGGAGCTATGTGTCCTTTTTCTAATTGTTCAGTAACTAAGTCCTCTAAAGCCTCCAGTTTCTCTTTACTTAGTGGCCATTGTTCTATCCAAATTGGCTTATCTGTTAACCATTTTAAAGGTATAGGTTCTGGAGGCTTAACAATGGCCACCATGAAAAATGATATCCTAAACCTTGGCGGGAACTTTGTCTTCCCACTTGAAGCGGTTCCTTTGAAACTTGCAAATTTTTTCCTAGTGCCCTACCAGGGACATACCCCATTTCATGCATCATATGTTGACTTTGAGGGCTATATAATTGCTCTGGAATTAGAACTTGTGCTCCCCATTGTTGTAATAAATCTCTCCATCATAAATTTACAGATACAGAAGTTATAATTGGTGGAATAGTCCCAGGTTGTCCATCAGGCCCTTCACAATGCAAAATATAACTACTTTGATATACTTCAGGGGCTTTACCAACTCCAACTATGTTAAATTGAGTGGGTTGAATTGGCCACGCGGATGGCCAGTGCTGTAGAGAAATGATTGAAATGTCTGCTCCTGTATCTACCAAACCTTTAAATTTCTGTCCCTGAATAGTTATTTCACAGGTAGGACGTTTATCAGTAATTTGATTCACCCAGTAAGCTGCTTTGCCTTGTTTATTTGTGCTTCCAAATCCTCCTGTTCATTTAATTTCACTTTTCCCCATTTCCACATACAGTACCATCAGGAGCTGTGCTATATGCTCTCCTGGCTCTGCTTTCCAGGGAACAGAAGTAGATATAACAATTTGAATTTTCCCATTGTAATCTGAATCAATGACTCCTATATGTACTTGTACTCCTTTTAAATTTAAACTAGATCTACCTAGAAGTAATCCTGTTGTCCCTGCTGGCAAGGGTCCACAGACTCCTGTTGGGACCTTTTGTGGGGGTTCCCCAGGCAGAAGACTCACAGCTTTTGTGTAGCATAAATCTGTGGCACTACTGGCTGTGGTGTGGGACAGACTTTGTACAGGAGTGAAGGAGTGGCCTGAGCCAGAAATGCCCTGGTTTGGAACAGGTCCCAGGTCAGGCCCCTGATGGCGTTTCTTGAAATCAGGTTCCCATCTTTATCAAACTTAGAGTGATGCTGATTAGCCTAATGTTTTCCTTTTTTTGCATTTTGGACATATTCTAGGCTCACACTGATTGATAGCTTGTTTAAATTCGAGTAATTTAAAAGGAAAAGGCTCAAATGTAGCTATAATATTTCCCTGTTGATCTGGGGGGTGTATCCTAACAGGGAACTGCCAAGCCTCTAAGTCACCCTCTCATCTAGCTTGCTGGATTCCTGCCTGAATAGATCTGAGAGTGATCGCTTAAGGCACTCCTCAAACAGTCACTGGGGCAACTACTTTTCACCTAGTGTCCTCCAAAAAAGAAAGATCTGGAGGGTCAGGCCACTCTCTTCAAAATAAGGAGGGGGTGCAGAAGAGTAGGCATTAACCTCTTCCTTCTTTGCCGCTTTAGCTTTAGCTGGCAAACAAACCTGCTCTGTCACCTCTTCTGTTACTTCGTCATACTTTCCTTCCTCCTCATCGTTAGTGTGAAAAGGTTCCAAGGTGGAATGAACCAGATCCCACAGCTTAGTTCCACGTTCTCCAACCATCGCTCCAGCAACCCTTCGACCCAGGTTCAATCCCCACATATGGGCGCTACTTGCCGAGGCCAGCTCAGTCGTGGAGACCCTAACCCAGTGGTGCTTGAGGACTTAAAGACCCACACACAGAAATATGGAGTGTGCAGTGGGAAATCAGGGGGCTGACAGCCTTCAGAGCTGAGAGCCCCAAACAGAGTTTTACCCACATATTTATTGACAGCAAGCCAGTGATAAGCATTGTTTCTATAGATTATAGATTAACTAAAAGTATTCCTTACAGGAAACAAAGGGATGGGCTGAAACAAAGGGATGGGCTCTGGCTAGTTATCTGCAGCAGGAACATGTCCTTAAGGCACAGATCGCTCATGCTATTGTTTGTGGTTTAGGAATGCCTTTAAGCGGTTTTCTACCCTGGGTGGGCCAGGTGTTCCTTGCCCTCATTCCAGTAAACCCACAACCTTCAGCGTGGTGTCGTGGCCATCACGAATATGTCACAGTGCCGCAGAGATTTTGTTAATGGCCAGTTTTGGGGCCAGTTTATGGCCAGATTTGGGGCATGTTCCCAACAATAGTGACATCTCTACAAAATAATTGTGACAACCCCATCTCTACAAAATAATTAAAAAATTAACCAGGCATTGTGATGTGTGCCTATAGTCGCAGCTACTTGGGAGACTGAGGTGGGAGGATTGCTTGAGCCCAGGAGTTGAGGCTGCAGTGAGCTATGATCAAGCTATTGCACTCCAGCCTAAGTGACAAAGAAAGACTGACTCACTCTCTCTCTCTCTCTCTCTCTCTCTCTCTCTCTCTCTCTCTCTATATATATATATATATATATATATATATATTAGAAAATAAAAAATAAAAGGCTCATGCCTATAGACCCAGCACTTTGGGAGGCTGAGGCAGGTGGATCACTTGAATCCAGGAGTTCAAGACCAACCTGGGCAACATGGGGAAATCCCGTCTCTACAAAAAAAAAAAAAAAATTTAGCCAAGCATGGTGGCACATGTCTGTACTACCAGCTACTTGGGGGGCCGAGGCAGGAGGATCACCTGAGCTGGGGGAAGTCGAGGCTGCAGTGAGCTATGATCATGTCACTTCATTCCAGCCTTGTGACAGAGTGAGACCCTGTCTCAAAAAAATAAAAATTAAATAATAATAATTTGAATAATTTTAATTTTATAATTTAACATTTATATTACCACCAAAAAACACATTTAGGTATAATCTAAAAAAATATGTACAAGATCTACAGGAGGAAAACTATAAAACTCTGAAGAAAGAAATCAAAGAAGGTCTAAATAAATTGGCTAGGCACAGCGGCTCATGCCTGTAATCCCAGCACTTTGGAAGGCCAAGGCCGGCAGATCACCTGAGGTCAGGAGTTTGAGACCAGCCTGGCCAACATGGCGAAACCCTGTCTCTACTAAAACTGCAAAAACTAGCTGGGCATGGTGGTGGGTGCCTGTAATCCCAGCTACTCAGGAGGCTGAGGCAGGAGAATCACTTGAACCTGGGAGGCAGAGGTTGCAGTGAGCTGAGATCATACCACTGCACTCCAGCCTGGGCGACAGAGCAAGACTCTGTCTCAAAATAAATAAATAAATAAATAGACATTCCATGTTCATTGATAGGAAGACTCAATATTATCAAGATGCCAGTCATCCCAACTTGATCTATGGATTCAATACAATCCCAATCAAAATTCCAGCAAGTTATTTTGTGGATACTGACAAACTAATTCTAAAGTTTTTGTGGAGAGGCAAAAGATTCAAAATAGCCAAGACAATATTAGTAAAAAAGAACAAAGACAGAAGACTAACATTACTCATCTTTACTATACACTGCAATAATCAAGACATGTGACACTGGTAAAAGAATAGATACTTTAAAAAAAAGAAACAAAGAATAGACAATTAGATCAATGAAATACAAGAGAAACCTAGCCAGGTGCAGTGGCTCATGCCTGTAATCCCAGCACTTTGGGAGGCCAAGGTGGGTGGATCACCTGAGGTCAGGAGTTCCAGACCAGCCTCAACATGGAGAAACCCCGTCTCTACTAAAAATACAAAATTAGCCAGGTGTGGTGGTGCATGCCTGTAATCCCAGCTACTCGAGAGGCTGAGGCAGGAGACTTGCTTGAACCTGGGAGGCGGAGGTTGCAGTGAGCTGGGATTGTGCCATTGCACTCCAGCCTGGGCAACAAGAGTGAAACTCTGTCTCAAAAAAAAAAAGAAAAGAAATACAAGAGAAAGCCTAGAAATAGACCTACATAAATATAATCAACTGATCTTTGAAAGAGGAACAAAGAAAATTCAATGGAGAAAGAAGAATTTTTTGTTTTTGTTGTTGTTTGAGACAGAGTTTTGCTCTTGCTGCCCAGGCTGGAATGCAATGGTGCAATCTCGGCTCATCTCAACCCCCATCTCCCAGGTTCAATCAATTCTCCTGCCTCAGCCTCCTGAGTACCTAGGACTACAGGTGTGGCTCACCACACCCAGCTAATTCTTGTATTTTTAGTAGAGATGGGGTTTCACCATGTTGGCCAGGATGGTCTCGAACTCCTGACCTCAGGTGATCCACCCACCTTGTCCTCCCAAAGTGTTGGGATTACAGGCGTGAGCCACTGCACCTGGCCAGAACTTTTTTTCTTTATTTTTCAGAGACAGGGTCTTACTCTATTGCCTAGGCTGGAGTGCAGTGGCATGGTCTTGGCTCACTATATCCTGGACCTCCTGGGCTGAAGCTATCCTCCCGCCTCAGTCTCCAGAGTAGCTGGGACCACAGGCACATAATCCCATATGCCCAGCTTATTTTTTGATTTTTTTTTTTTTTTTTTGGTAGAGATGGAGTCTAGAGATAGGGTTTCGCTATGTGGCCCAGGCTGGCCTTGAACTCCTGGCCTCAAATGATCCTCCTGCCTCAGTCTCCCAAAGTGCTGGGATTACAGGCGTGAACCACTGCACCTGGCCGTATACAAAGAACTCTTGAAACTGAATAAGAAAATAAACAACCAAAGCAAAAAGTGGGCAAAAAATCTGAAGAGACACCTCACCAAAGAAGATATACAGATGGATGGCTGGGTATGGTGGCTCTCAGCACTTTGGGAGGCCGAGGCATGTAGATCACTTGAGCCCAGGAGTTTCAGACCAGCCTGGGCAACATGGTGAAACCTCATCTCTACAAAATACAAAAAATTAGTCAGGCGTGATGGTGCATGCCAGTAGTCCCAGCTACTCAGGAGGCTGAGGTGGGAGGATCACTTGCTGAGCCCAGGAAGTTGACGCTGCAGTGGGCTGTGATCATGCCACTGTACTCTGGCCTGGGCAACAGAGCAAGACTCTGTCTCAAAAAAAAAAAAAAAAGAAAAGAAAAGAAAAAAGAAGAGGCCAGGCAAGGTGGCTCACATCTGTAATCCCACCACTTTGGGAGGCCGAGGCAGGAGGGTCGCTTGAGCTCAGGAGTTCGAGACCAGCTTGGGCAACACAGCGAAAACCTATCTTTACTAAAACTTCAATAGAAATACAAAAATTAGCCAGGCATAGTGACGTGCGCCTACAGTCCCAGCTACTCAGGAGGCTGAGGCTGGAGAATTGCTTGAGTCCGGGAGGTGGAGGTTGCAGTGCGCTGAGATCCCACAACTGCACTCCAGCCTAGGTGATGGGAGTGAAACCTTGTCTCAAATAAAAAAAATTTTTAAAAAAAGGGAGAAGAAGAAAGACAATAGCAAATAAGCAAATGAAAAGATGTTCATCATTGTATGTCATCAGGGAATTGCAAATCAAAACAACAATGAGATATCACTACATATCTGTGAAAACAGCTAAAATCCGAAGCACTGATAATGCAAGTGAGGACGCAGAGCAACAAAAACTTTTTTTTTGAGATGGAGTCTCGCTCTGTCGCCCAGGCTGGAATGCAGTGGCACCATCTGGGCTCACTGCAACCTCTGCTTCCTGGGTTCAAGCGATTCTCCTGCCTCAGCCTCCTGAGTAGCTGGGATTACAGGCGTGCACCACCATGCCTGACTAATTTTTGTATTTTTAGTAGAGATGGGGTTTCACCATGTTGGTCAGGCTGGTCTCGAACTCCTGACCTCATGATCCACCCGCCTTGGCCTCCCAAAGTGCTGGGATGACAGGCATGAGCCATTGCACCTGACCTCAAAAATTTTCATTCATTGCTGTTGGGTATACAAATGGTACAGACAATTTGGAGGACAACTTGGCAGTTTCTTACAAAGCTAAACATAGTCTTACCATATGATACAGCAATCACACTGCTAGGTATTTACTCAAATATGGTGAAAACATGTCCACACAAAAACCTGCACATGAATAGCAGCTTTATTCATAATCGCCAAAACTCGGAAGCAACCAAGATGTCCTTTGACAGGTAAAGAGATGAACAAACTGGCACATCCACACAATGGAATATTAATTCAGTGATAAAAATAAATGAGCTACTGGCCGGGCGCAGTGGCTCATGCCTGTAATCCCAGAGCTTTGGGAGGCCAAGGTGGGCGGATCACCTGAAGTCAGAAGTTCGAGACCAGCCTGGGTAACATGGCAAAACACTGTCTCTACAAAAAATACAAAAACTAGCCAGATATGGTGGTGTGCACCTATAGCCCCAGCTACTTGGGAGGTCGAGGTGGGAGAATGGCTTGAGCCCAGGAGGCGGAGGTTGCAGTGAGCTGAGATCTCACCACTGCACTCCTGTCTGGGTGACAGAGCAAGACCTTGTCCCGCTGGGTGCGGTGGCTCACGCCTGTAATTCCAGCACTTTGGGAGGCCAAGGCCGGGGTGGGGAGGGGCGGATCACCTGAGTTCGGAAGTTCGAGACCAGCCTGACCAACATGGAGAAACCCCATCTCTACTAAAAATACAAAATTAGCCGAGCGTGATGGTACACACCTGTAATCTCAGCTACTCGGGAGGCTGAGGCAGGAGAATATCTTGAACCCAGGAGGCAGAGGTTGCAGTGAGCAGAGATCACGCCACTGCACTCCAGCCTGGGCAACAAGAGCAAGACTCCGTCTCAAAAAAAAAAAAAAATATATATATATATATATACACACACATATTATATATAAAATTAGCTGAGAGTGGTGGTGCGTGCCTGTAATACCAGCAATTCGGGAGGCTGAGGCAAGAGAATCGCTTGAACCCAGGAGGCGGAGGTTGCTGTGAGCCGAGATCGCACCACTGCACTCCAGCCTAGGCGATAGAGTGAGACTGTCTCAAAAAATAAAAAGAAAGAAAGAAAAAAAGAAATTATGTTCCTTCTGCCTCACATCCAATTGATAGCTTGGCTGGGAATAAAATTCTATGTTAATGATATTTTTCACTCTTAATAAATTCCCTTTCTAATTAAGTCAACTAGAGCTGACTTTTGAGTATTTTGAAGATACCATTTGTTGTTGTTTTTTGCCTTCTAGTTTCTAATGTTATTATTTAGAAGTTCAAGGCCATTCTAATTCACATATTTTTTAAAAAACAATTTTATTGATGTATAATTAATACACCCCAAGTCTTTTTTTTTTTTTTTTTTTTTTTTTGAGACAGGATCTCACTGTGTTACCCAGGCTGGAGTGCAGTGGTGCAATCACAGCTCAACTGCATCCTCCACCTCCCAGGCTCAAGTGATCCTCCCATCTCAGCCTCCCCAGTAGTTGTGACCACAGGTGTGAGCTACCATGCTTGGCTAATTTTTGTTTTTGTTTTTGTAGAGATGGGGTTTCCCCATGTTGCCCGGTCTGATGTTTGAAGTCCTAGGCTCAAGCGATCCACCTACCACGGCCCAAAGTGCCAGGATTATAGGCATAAGTCAGCGCACCTAGCCATACCCCAAGTCTTTAGATGTGGCATTCTTTTAGGTTTCCTCCTCTCTCTCTCTGAAATCTTGTTAGGTTCTTCTCTACCTCTCCTACCTCTAGCCCAATGGCCACAAGTTTCCTGGGGCTATTCCTCCCACATCAAAACACAGTTCTCCATACTCCGTAAGGTTTAAGGAATCATAATTATAGAATGTCCCTGCTTCTTTCATTCAGCCAGTGATTTATTGAGCATGTACTGGACAATTGCTGGACAATTGGCTGAACTGTCTTCTAAGTCTGGGTTTATAATGGGTCAAAAACACAGGGCTCCTAACCTCAGTGGAGCTTATATTACAGCAAAGAAATTTTGCTACTTTTTTTTCTTTTTTTTGCGATAGAGTTTCATTCTTGTTGCCCAGGCTGGAGTGCAGTGGCACAATCATGGCTCACTACAGCTTTGATCTCCTGGGCTCAAGTGATTCTCCCATCTCAGCCTCCTGTGTAGCTTGGACTACAGGTGTGCACCCCACAGGCCTGGCTAATTTTGTTCATTTTTTTTTTGTAAAGATGGGGTCTCACTATGTTGCCCAGGCTGGTCTTGAACTCCTGGACTCAAGTGATTCTCAAGCCTTGGCCTCCCAAAGTGCTGGGATTACAGGCGTAAGCCACCACATCTGGCCTGACATACTATATTTGTTTACTTGTCATGTTTACGGTCTGTCTTTCTTCATTAGCATGTAAGTTTCCCAGTGGCAGGGATTTGCATGCCTTTCATTCCTGTCTCTTCAGCACCAAGTACGGTGTGTGGCACATAGTAGGTGTTTCATAAGCACTTGCTGAGTGAATAGGTAGCTCTGTGTGGGAAATAGTTTGGTATATTTGTGCAACAGTAGAAGGCCAGTGGATGGGACAAGGGAGCAAGTCAGTGGGGCAGGAGGGGAGCTTGGAGGGGTGGTCAGGGGGCAGACACACAGGCTGCTAGGCCATGGAAATGAGGGTGGATTTAAACAATAATAGAAGACCTTGCAGGGGTTTTAAGTAGCAGAGTGACATTATCTAATTTGTATTTTTAAAGGGTCACAATGGCTGCCTTGTTAGGCCCGAATGTAGGGGTCCAGAGTAGTAAGTAAGGGGTAGAAAAGAATCAACCAGCCAGGCATGGTGGCTCACACCTGTAATCCCAGCTACTCAGGAGACCAAGGTGGGAGGATCGTTTGAGGCTGAGAGTTTGAGAACAGCCTAGGCAACACAGTGACACCTTGTTTCTAAAAAAAAAAATAATAATTAAAATATTAGCCAGGCATGGTGGTGGCATGCACTTGTAGTCCCAACTACTCAAGAGGTTGAAGTGGGAGAATCGCTTGAGTCTAGGAGCTCAAGGCTGCAGTGAGCCATGATTGCACCACTGTACTCCAGCCTGGGTGCCAGAGTAAGACCCTGTCTCAAAAAAAAAAAAAAAAAAGAAAGGAAAGGAAAAGGGCAGGCACAATGGCTCACACCTGTAATCCTAGCACTTTGGGAGGCCAAGAAGGGAGGATTACTTCGGCCAAAGAAGGAGGATCATTTGAGCCCAGGAGTTCAATACCAGCCTGGGCAACATAGTAAGACCTTGTCTCTGTAAGATAAAATAAAATAAAAAAAGAAAGAGAAATTAAAAGAAAAGAGCCACCCAGTTAGGAAGCTACTGCAGTAGTCTAGGCAAGAAAAGATGTTGGCTGAGATCCAGGTGAGGGCAAGAGCAGATGGAGAGAAGCAGCCAGAATGCAGACTCCACAAGAAATCTGCACTTCATCCTGTCGCGGGATCCTCGCCACACACTGGGTGTGGGTTTATAGACCTCTTTTAGTGATACCTCTTCTAATATCAAATCCAGTTTGGCAGTTAGTGTTCCAGCTAGACTCTACAAGGGATCGGAGGAGGCTAAATTAGATCCTGCCAGCCAGGTCTCAGAAGCTATGACCAAGAATGCAGAGGAATCCCTGCCCCAGCCTTCAAAGTCCTCCAGCCAGGAAATACCCTTCCCTGTACTTGGCTCCTGGCTGATAAGCCTTGTTATTCCCTGGATCTATCCCATCCTCTCCATCTCCAAGGCCACTTCCAGACCCTCATCACACTTGGCTGCACAAGTGATGGCAGCGTCCCTCTTCACTGGCCTCTCTGCTTCCAGTCTTCAAATCCACCCTCCCCAGGGTTGACTGAATGAACATCCTAAAACCCAAACCTAATGGAGTCCCTTTTCTGCTCAAAACCTTTCAGTGACTGCCCATCACGTCCAAGATGAAACGCTAGCTCTGTATCGTGGGATGCAAGACTCTCCTCCGCTGGACACTTCCTTCTCCTCCAGCTACGCTTCCTGCCCCTCCCACTTCACTCCCACTTGACCCCCAGCCTCACCCAGCACTTGGTGCTCCTCCTTCCACTTCCTGCCTTGCTGGTGAGGCCTGGCTTAGTCTCTTCCCTCTGCCTAGGTAACTGTTCCCAGCCTCTGTTGTGTGGTTACTTCTCTCGCCTCACAATTAGCTCAGGAAACACTGCCTCCAAGAGTCCAGGAACCCTCCCTTGGCCTCCCCTGTCTTGTGCCCCCAGTTCACCTGGCGTGGCAGTACACCTCTGCTGCTGCTCTGGGGTTTTTTTGTTTTTTATTTTTTTGAGACAGGTTCTCATTCTGGTCGCCCTGGCTGGAGTGCAGTGGTGCAATCTCAGCTCACCTCAGCCTTGACCTCCCGGGCTCAAGCGATCCTCCTCAGCCTCCCAAGTAGCTGGGACTACAGGCGTGTGCCACCATGCCCAACTAATTTCTGTATTTTTTTTTTTTGAGACAGGGTCTTGCCATGTTGCCCAGGCTGGTCTCAAACTCCTGGGCTCAAGCAATCTGCCCGCATCAGCCTCCCAAAGTGCTGGGATTACAGGCAAGAGCCGCTGCACCTGGCCAAGTGAATGCAGCAGCTACTGCTCTGAACTGTTGTTACTAATTGGTTTGCTTGTCTTCCCCAACTGGACCATGAACTCCCCAAGGGCAAGGACCTTGGCTACTCATCTTTGTGTGCTGGCCTTGTCTACAGTGACTGGTGCATAGCACATGCTTGGTTAAAGACTGTTGAACTGGCTGGCCTTAGCCACACCGCCATACCCTTAGGACAGCCTGGCTAAGGTCCTCGTGGTGAAACAGAGAGAGCTAGCCAGCCCATCTTATTTATTTATTTATTTTATTTTTATTACAGATGGGGTTTCACCATGTTGGTCAAGCTGGTCTCAAACTCCTGGCCTCAAGTGATCCGCCTGTCTTGGCCTCCCAAAGTGCTGGGATTACAGGCATGAGCCACTGCACCTGGCCAGCTTGTCTTTTTCAGCCCTGAGCTGATGAGGCTGTCAAATGTCAACCTCAACGCTCTTCCCAGCCTCTCTTTTCCACCTCAGGCAGAGTTTGTCTTCAGATGCAAAGGCCTATAAGTCTTCTCTCCAGTTAGTGCTGAGACTTCGCCAGCCACAGAAGGGATTCTGACATCGCATCCAAATAAGGTGAAAGGATTAGCTGTTGTTAAAACAGTGTGAGAGCTGTGAGTAAGGAAATATTCTCTCTGAGATGGGCCCTGCTGAAATATACAACACGAGCCTTCCAAATATGAGCTACTGACTGGAAAGAAGCCTGCTTGTTATGGAGCCTGAATCTTCCTCCCCAGCCAGGGATCTGGTGATGCCAATCCCGCTGAGGTCTGGTGTTCATCGGAGGTCAGGATGCAGCCCACCTGAGACCTTAAGGGGTAGGGGGTCCTTCATTAGTTAGCAGGCATGGTTTAGTAACAGTAACATCACCAATAATGTGTGGGATTCAGGGTTTCTGAATAGTGCTAACATAATATGGAGAATGAACAGTCCGAAGTCTCCATGAGGAAGGATTGATAGAAAAGAATTCGTTCAACAACCTTTTATCAAGAATAGTCATATAAGATCCTTTTGCAGTTCATGAGCATGATGATTGGGTGTTTATGTGTATGTGTGAGATCTGCCACTCTCTGAACCTTGTTACAACATTGTCACATTACCCGTCTAACCTGAAAAAAAAAAAAAAGTCATATATGGGCCAGGCATGGTGGCTCACACCTGTAATCCCAGCACTTTGGGAGGCCAAGGTGGGCAGATTGCTTGAGTTCAGGAGTTCAAGACCAGTCTGGGCAACATAAGGAGACCCTGTCTCTACCAAAAAATATAAAAAATTAGCCACGGGTAGTGGTGCACAACTGTGGTCCCAGCTACTCAGGTGGCTGAGGCAAGAGTATCGCTTGAACCTGGGAGGTTGAGGCTGCAGTGAGCTGTGATCATGCCACTGCACTCCAACCTGGGTGGCAGAGTGAGACCCTGTCTCAAAAAGAAAAAAAAAAGTCATACAAAATGTATAACTTATCTATTGCTGTGTAACAAATTATCCCTAAGCACAGCAGCTTAAAGCAATATTTATTTATCTCACAGTTTCTGTGGGTCAGGAAATTGGGAGTGGTTCTGCTGAGTGGTTCTTATTCCTGGTTGCATGAGAGTTTGCAGTCAAATCATCAGCTGGGGCTGCCATCATCTGAAGGCTTGACTGGGGCTGGAGGACCTGCCTCCATGATGGCTCATTCACACAGCTATTGGCAGAAGGTCTCAGTTCCTCATGACATGACCCCTCGCTAGAGCTGCTTGAGAGTGCTCATGACATGGCAGCAGCCCTCTGCAGGAGCAGGCAATCTGAGAGAGAGAGAGAGAGACCAAGACAGAAGCCTCAAGGTCTTTTGTGACCTTGGTCTTGGAAGTTGTACACTGTCACTTCCACTTTATTCTGTTTGTTACAAATGAGTTACTAAATTCAGTTCACAGTCAAGAGGAAGGGAAATAGGGTCCACCTTTTGAAGGAAGTGTCAAATTGTGGACATATCTTAAACCACCTCATCAAATCAAAAAGAAACAAGAAACCTGAAAGTCTTGAGGCTGCTAAAACTCCTGCTGCCATTAGGACAATGGGAATTTAGTATGAAGAAAAGAGTCCTAGATTGACAGTGATAGCAAGATTCATTCACTAATTCATCCATCCATTCATTCATCCACTCATTCAACAGCTATTAATTGACCATTACTGTGTGCAGTTGGAAAACTCTATTATATGCTACAGGGCTCAAGAACAAACACCATTATAATTAAAATAACCATTGCTAGCTGGGCACAGTGGTTCATGTCTGTAATCCCAGCACTGGGAGGCCAAGGCGGAAGGATCGCTTGAGCTCAGGAGTTTGCGACCAGCCTGGGCAACATGGTGAAATCCTATCTCTACAAAAAATAAAAAAATTACCCAGATGTAGTGGTGTGTGCCTGTAGTCCCAGCTACTAGGGAGACTGAGGTGGGAGGACCATGAGCCTCGGAGGCAGAGGCTTCAGTGAGCCAAGATTGCATCACTGCACTCCAGCCTGGGTGACAAAGTGAGATCCTGTCTCAATAATAATAATAATAATAATAACAACAACAATTGCTGGCCTTTATCTAGCACTTACTGTGTGCCCAGTACTACAAAGATCTTTGGATTTAATTATCTCATTTAATTATCCCAATAACCCTTTGAGGTGGGGGCTGTTATTATTCCCCATTTACAAATGAGAAACCTTAGAAAGGGAAGGTCATGTACTTTCAAGGGGTAGAACCCGTGATGTGAATCTTAGTCTGTTTGGGCTGCTATAACAAAAAAACACCATCAACTGCATGGCTTATAATCAACAACCACTTACTTCTCACAGTTCCAGTGGCTGTGACATCAGCAAATTCAGTATCTGATAAGGGCCTACTTTCTGGTTCACAGATAGCATCTCCTCACTGTGTCCTCACGTAGTAGAAGGGGTGAGGGGTCTCTCTAGAGCCTCTTTTACAAAGGTACTAATCACATTCATGAGGGCTCACCCTTATGACCTGTCACCTCCAAAAGGCCCCACCTCCTAATACCATCACTTTGGGGGTTAGGATTTCAATGTATGAATTTGGGAGGGGTGCAGATCACAGACATCCAGGCCATGGCAGAACCAAAGGACTCTGACCTGAAAGTCTGTATGCTTACACCATAGAGTGTTCTAGTAATAACAGTGACAGTTATTATTACTGTTTTAATGATGGATTCCTGTTACCTAGCTGACAACTCTGAGGCTCAGAGAGCATGAGTGAATTGTCCAACGTTGTTTTTGGCAGAGCCGAGCTGCAAAGCCAGGTCCCAAGAGTGCCGAGTCTGTGCTCTTTCTTCTACACTTGCTTAAAATGGAATCCTTTTTGTCCTGCTTCCTGCAGAAACAGAGCTAGATGGAAAAGGGCCCAGGAGACTGGGGAGGAGCGTGGGAAGGGGGGAAATTATTGCTGGTGCCTGGAAGTTTTCACAAGCGTGGATTTCCCCTGGTTGGTTGAAGACTAGATCAGAATCTCTCCAGAGTCTGCTGTGAAGATGCTGTGGAATTCCTGGTGTGTCTGATGAGGTGTTGCTGCGCCGAGGCTGTCAGACAGCTGGCTCTCTGAGAAAACCTCCAGACCCTGTTGCTGCCCCAAGGAATGAGGTCAGATGTAGCTAAATGTTATGGAGCCTTTGCTGAGCGTCAGGCACGGGGTTTAGGTGTGCACATTTACTCAGTGTCTTCATGGCCATACACAAGTCAATACTCTTTATTATTCCCATCTTACAGAGGGGGAAACTGAGACACAAAAAGGACAACTTGGGCCAGGCGCAGTGGCTCACGCCTGTAATCCCAGCACTTTGGAAGTCCGAGGTGGGTGGATCACTTGAGATCAGGTGTTCGAGAACAGCCTGGCCAACATGGTGAAACCCCATCTCTACCAAAAATACAAATATTAGCCAGGCATGGTGGCGCATGCCTACAATCCCAGCTACTTGGGAGGCTGAGACAGGAGAATCACTTGCACCTGGGAGGCAGAGGTTGCAGTGAGTCGAGATCGCGTCACTGCACTCCAGCCTGGTCTCTGTCTCAAAAAAAAAAAAAAAAAAAAGAGAGAGAAAATACAAAACGGACGACTTGTCTGGGTGCGCATAGATATATGGTCTTCAAGCAGGTTTGCTGGGGTGCGGAGAGCTGGTAAACTGTAACAGTTTAAGCCCGGGGCCTGCAGTGAGGGGGCCTGATTTCATGGACCCTAGGCAATCTTGCCTCTGTGGGCCCCTTCCCTCCATAAAAAAATTTAACTTTATATTTCACGACTATGTTGGAATGAAGTTAAATCTAATCCAGACTGAAGTCACTATTTTTAAAATGTATTTTTTTATTTTTTAATTTTAAAAAATGTAATAATAGAGATGAGGTTTCACTATGTTGCCCAGGCTGGTCTCAACCTCCTGGACTCAAGTGATCCTTCTGCTTTGGTTTCCCAAAGTGCTGGGATTATGGGTGTGAGCCACTGTGCCTTGCTGAATTCATTATTATATGCTCATTATTATTATATTTATGTTTTTCTTCCAAGTTTAAAACAAATTAAAATAAAACAATGTTATTAGAATAAAATAAAGCCTCATGGGCCCTGTGCTTGCGGTGTCTGATGGGGAAGTTGGCTTTGTGGGATGAGTCCTGCTTCTCCCACGTGCTGACTGTGTGACCTTAGCCAACTTCACCTCTCTGTGCCTCACTTTATGTAATGTGGGAATAAATGGTAGACTATATGGTATGGGGTGATTATGAGGATGAAATGAACAATGTATGTAAAATGCTCAGTACAGTGCCTGCCATAAATGAAAATGCTCAATCAATTAATAAATATTAGTTGATATTTTTTGTTTTTTAGTAACTTGTATTGGTCCCACAGCTAGCAAGTGGTAGAGCTAAGAGTGTACCCTAGGTTTAACTGACTATCAAATCTCTGATCTAACCTCCTCAAAGCGGTGACAGAATAAGTGGCAGAACAGAGCTGAGAATTGCGCTACAGTGAATCTGTTCCCCAACTAAAATACAGTCAACACATTGTAAATTTTCCAGTAGGGTCTTCATATATATATATATATATATATATATATATATATATATATATATGCATACACATATGCACATACACACACATATCTCTCCCTATGAAGTAGACATTATTTATTTAAATTTTATGTAACATATATTTTACCACTATATATATGACCACTATTTTATATATATATATATACCCACTATATATATTTTTTCATATTTTTTATTTTATTTTTTGTGACAAAGTCTTGCACTGTCACCCAGGCTGGAGTGCAGTGGCACAATCTCAGCTCACTGCAACCTCCACCTCCTGGGTTCATGCGATTCTCCTCCCTCAGCCTCCCGAGTAGCTGGGATTATAGGTGCACACCACCAAACCTGGCTAATTTTTTGTATTTTTTTTTTTTTTTTTTTTTTAGTAGAGACGAGGTTTCACTATGTTGGCCAGACTGGTCTCAAACTCCTGATCTCAGGTGATCCATCCACCTCAGCCTCCCAAAGTACTGGGATTACAGGCATGAACCACTGCTCCCGGCCCACTGTATATATTTTACCATTGTATATATACACCACATACACACACATATATCTCCCCATGAAGTAGACATTATTTATTTAAATTTTGTTATATTTATTTTATGACTATATATACAGCCACCTTTTAATATATATAAGTATATATTTTACCACTATATATTTATATATAAACATACATATACCTAGTGATAAAAATATAATAATATAATATGTATAAATATATACATGTTATATATAATATGTATACATATATAATATGTGTATATACACATTATGTGTATATATAATATATAATGCATAATACATAGTCTGTATATATACATATTATATATACATTATATACATATCAATTATATAATATTCATGTAATATAATTTATATTTATTATTGAATAATATGTATTAATTTATGATATGTACATATTAATATGTATACTAATATGTATATACATTGCATAAATACATAATATGTATATATTATAATATGTGTATATCTACATATGTGTATATGTATTTACATATATGCGTAAAATATTTATATATCATGAATATTTTAATATGTATATATTAATATATGTATGCTATAATACCAAAATTATTTATAAATCTATATTTATATAATCTATAACATAAAATTTACTATTTCAACCATTTTTTAGTGTATAATTCAGTGGTATTAAGTAGATTCACATTGCTTGCACTATTTATCTCCAGAACTTTTTTATCTTTCAAAACTGAAACTCTGTACCCATTAAAAAATAATTCCTCATTCCATCCTCCCTTCAGCCCCTAGTAACTGCTCTTCTAGTTTGTCTCTATGAGTTTGACTGATCCAAGTACATCATATAAGTTTCATCCTAAGTCATCAAAATCTGTTGTGTATTTTACACTTACAGCATATCTCAGTTTGGCCTCACCATATATTTTGAGTGCTCAGTAGCCACATGTGGCCACCATATTGGACAGCACAGGGCTATAGGTTGGGTGATCAGGATTCTGGGGACACTCCATATCCAGGATAACCTTTACTACTACAATTCTCTCCCATATTCCCCGTGAATATGTGAGTTGAGGTTAGAAAAATATACTCCTCCTGAGATTATGGTGTAGGAGTAGAGTCAAAAGCCTGAAATAAGAGTCCATGGGTTTTAGTTGAAGTGGACTGGAGTGAGCTGCCTGGACTTAGACTTATCGAGGATCTGCAGAAGACATGCCCTCTCCATCGCTCTTCCTACCACCACTCTCACTTGCACCCATGCATGGAGTGCTGGAGGCTGGACAGTGGGATTTCGATTGAGGATGTCTACTATGCTGAAATAAACAAGCAACACACCAGACTATTACTCATAGGCTGACACACTTGAAGACTGAAGGGTATCTTAGGCATCATCCAGCGGAGTGGCTTTGAGCTGGTTTGTGGAGTCACTGGGCTTTAAAAAGATAGAGACGTGGATCCTGGAGTTGAGTGTCTGGGTTTGAATCTTGGCTCTGTGACTTACGAGCTGTGTGACCTTCAGCAAGTTGCTCAACTCCATTGGGCTTCAACTCCCTCATGGAAATTGTGGATCATTATAATGCCCACTTCACAGGGTTACTAAGAAGATTTAAGTAAAATATTAAATTAATGCATGTAATACACTTAGAGCTGAGCTTAAAGTAAATACAATTTAAGTGTTTGTTAAAGAATGACTCAGTGGCTCTACTGAGGGAAAGGCCAGGTCCCTGTTCTCACTACAAGCAGAGAAGCTTTGCTTTTATCTGCTTTTATGTTGGGCTTCCTTGTAAAATGTCATTAAAAGGAAGAACAATGGGTGAACACTCACTCGTGTTGTAATGTAAGCCTGTACTTTACAAATGGGAAACACAACCAGGACAGCTATGTGCTCTGCCTGAGGTCCCACAACTGAGAGGTGGGTAGAACAGGTGCAGAAACCAGGGAAGGGCTGCTTCACTACACTGCGCTGTCTATACTGTGCTGAAAGACTGGAATTTTGGGGTCTTGTTTTCCTAGGGAAGTCTCATACATCACTGGTAACAGCTCAGCTCCATGCCAGCTTGAAAAAAGATGGTATAAATGAGCTTTTTGGCTGGGTGCAGTGGCTCACATCTATAATCCCAGCATTTTGGGAGATTGAGGCAGGCAGATCCCTTGAGTCCAGGAGTTTGAGATCAGCCTGGGCAACATGGTGAAACCCCATCTCTACACAAAAAAAATACAAAAATTAGCCAGGCGTGATGATGTGCGCCTGTAGTTACAGCTACTCAGGAGGCTGAGGTGGAAGAATTGCTTGATCCCAGGAGGTCGAGGCTGCAGTGAGCTGTGATCACACCACTGTGTTCCAGCTTGGGTGACAGAGGGAGAACCTCTCGAAAAAAAAAAAAAAGAAGGAAAAAAAAAAGAGCTCTTTGCTTCTTCATGGCAAAGGTCATTGAAGGTGGTCCCTGGAGGAGTTGCGCTTTCTTGTCCCATGAATGGTGGAGAAGTTTTGTTGTTCTTTTGAGACAAGGCCTCGCTCTGTCACTCAGGCTGGAGTGCAATGGCATGACTACGGCTCACTGCAGCCTCAACCTCATGGGCTCAGGTCAAGCCATCCTCCCACCACAGCATCCTGAATAGCTGGGAGTACAGGGGCGCACCACCACACCTGGCTGATTTTTAAAAATTTTTTTTGTAGAGGTGGGGTCTTGCTGTGCTGCCCAGGCTGGTCTCAAACTCCTGGGCTCCAGTGATCCTCCCGTTTCAACCTCCTAAGGTGCTGGGATTACAGGCATGAGCCACTGCACCCAGCTGGTGGAGAAGATTTTGAGCCTGCTGGATGGTATTTCTGGGTGCTAGAACCTTCCCTAAAGTAGATGACTTTGGGCTCGGCACTCAACATCCTCTCCATCTCTCCTCCGCAGAATAATGGCTGAGAGGCTCAAGGAATTGATGCCACCTCTAGGCCTCTGATTAGTCTAATCAATCACCCACCTTTTTTTTCTTTTTTTTTTTTTTGCTAATGTTTGGTTCAGGGATGGCAGGTCGAGGCCAATGTGGGCCAAAGAGATACTGGAAAATTTTGCTAAGTTCTCAGTCTTTTTGAATGTAAACTAGAAACACATTGTTCTAGTTTCTATGGGAAGTCCTTCTGCAGTCATGAAAAAGACATCCTGAGAACTAGACAATATTTGAAGTAAGAAAGAGAATATCTGGCCTGGTGCGGTGACTGACACCTACAATCCCAGAGCTTTGAGAGACCGAGGGAGGAGGATCCTTTGGGGCTAGGTGTTCGAGACCAACCTAGGCCAACAGAGTGATACCCCTATCTCTAAAAATAAAAATAAAAACAAAAAATTAGCTAGGAGTGATGGTGTGTGCCTGTAGTCCTAGTTACTCAGGAGGCTAAGGCAGGAAGGTTGCTTGGAGTCCAGGAGTTTGAGGCTGTAATGAGCTATAATTGTGTCACTGCACTCTAGCCTGGACAACAGAGCAAGACCCTGTCTCTAAAAAAAATTAAAAAATAAAAAGAGAAAATCCCCCAAAATAGTGTTTCCAGAGTCCTTATCAACCAACTGTAGCCCTGTGCTGTTCAATACGGTGGCCACATGTGGCTACTGAGCACTCAAAATATATGGTGAGGCCAAATTGAGATATGCTGTAAGTGTATAATACACAACAGATTTCAAAAACTTAGGATGAAAAAAGCCAAAATATTTCAATACTTTTTTATGTTGATTACATATTGAAATAATCTTTTGAATATATTGGGTTAGAAGAATTTGTATTAGGCTGGGCGTGGTGGCTCACGCCTGTAATCCCAGCACTTCGGGAGACTGAGGCGGGTGGATCACTTGAGTCAGGAGTTCAAGACCAGCCTGGCCAATATGGTGAAACCCCGTCTCTACCAAAAATACAAAAATTAGCTGGGTGCCGTGGCAGGCGCCTGTAATCCCAGCCACTGGGGAGGCTGAGGCAGGAGAAGCGCTTGAACCCAGGAGGTGGAGGTTGCAGTGAGCCGATATCATGCCATTGCACTCCAGCCTGGGCATCACAGTGAAACTCTGTCTCAAAATAATAATAATAATTAATACTGATTACTAATTTTACTTGTTTCATTTCTTTTCTTCTTCTTCTTCTTTTTATTTTATTTTATTTATTTATTTTTGAGACAGGGTCTCACTCTGTTGCCCTAGCTGGAGTGCAGTGGGGAGAACATGGCTCACTGCAGCCTTGACCTCCTGGGTCAAGCGATCCTTCTGCCTCAGCCTCCTGAGTAGATGAGACCACAGGCGCACACCACTACACCTGGCTAATTTTTAAAATTTTGTAGAGATGGGTTCTTACCATGTTGCCTAGGCTGGTCTCAAACTTCTGGGCTCAAGCAATCCTCCAACCCTGGTCTCCCAAATGCTGGGATTACAGGCATAAGCCACCTCGCCCAGGCTGTTTCTTTTACTTTCATTAATGTGACCTAGAAAATTTTAAATTACATATGCTGCTTTCATTCCAGATTTGTAGTTATGCAAGCCAGGAGAATCCCACTGATTTGCTCTTTTACAGGTAAGTGTGACTTTGAGAACACAGAATTTCCATGCCCTGAAACCAATGTGCTTGGTTATACTAAAGCAAAGCTCAGACATCAAATCTTCCCATTTGCAAATGTGTCACAATGTATTTTTGTGTGTATGTGAGACAGGGTCTCACTGTGTCGCCCAGTCTGGAGTGCAGTGGCACGATCATAGCTCACTGCAGCCTTGACCTCCCAGGCTCAAACAATCCTCCCACCTCAGCCTCCCGAGTAGCTGGAACCACCACTCCTGGCTAATTTTTGTATTTTTCATAGAGATGGGATTTTGCCATGTTGCCCAAGCTGGTCTTGAATTCCTGGGCTCAAGCTATCTGCCTCCCTCAGCCTCCCAAAGTATTGTGGTTGTAAGTGTGAGACGCTGTGCCTGCCCTCTCACCATGCATTTTTAAGAAACAAGATCAGCCAGGCATGGTGGCTCATGCCTGTAATTCCAGCACTCCGGGAGGCCAAGTTGGGTGGATCACCTGAGGTCAGAAGTTCGAGATCAGCCTGGTCCACATGGTGAAACCCTGTCTCTACCAAAAATACAAAAATTAGCCAGGAGTGGTGGTGCACACCTGTAATCCCAGCTACTCTGGAGGCTCAGGCAGGAGAATCGCTGGAACCCAGGAAGCAGAGGTTGCAGTCAGTGAGACTGCACAACTGCACTCCAGCCTGTGAGTCAGAGCAAGACTCCTCTCAAAAAAAAAGAAAAGAAAAAAAAAAGAAACAAGATCCTTTGTTTTAAAAAATAAAAAATAAAACTATGATACCATTAACATATGAAAAAATTCTTAATATCCACTAATGTCTAGTTAGTGTTCAGATTTCTCTGATATTCTTATAAATGTCTCTGTAGGGTTGTTTTGTTCAAATCAGGATACAAACAAAGAATCACTTTTCATCTATCATGATTCCTCTATTTTTTAATGCCATTCATTTATCATGTAGAGGATTGACTAATCTCCTCCTCATGGTGTCTTTTTTTTTTTTTTTGAGACAGAGTCTCGCTCTGTCGCCTGGGCTGGAGTGCAGTGGCGTGATCTCAGCTCACTGCAAGCTCCGCCTCCCAGGTTCACGCCATTCTCCTGCCTCAGCCTCCCAAGTAGCTGGGACTACAGGCACCCGCCACCACACCCAGCTAACTTTTGTATTTTTGTAGAGATGGGGTTTCACCATGGTGGCTAGGCTGGTCTTGAACTCCTGACCTTAGGTGATCCGCCCGCCTTGGCCTCCCAAAGTGCTGGGATTACAGGTGTGAGCCACTGCACCTGGCCTCTCATGGTGTCTTTTAACATGCTCCTCTATCCCCTGTTGTTCATCACATTATCTGATAATTACATTGACAAGATTAATGAGATTCAGCTAGATTTATATTTTTGGCAGGAATACTTTACTGGTGGTGCTGTCTGTAATGGTTAATTTTATCTGTCAACTTGGAGGGCGTGTTTGGATGAGATCAACATTTAAATCTTTGAGTAAGCAGGCGGCCTTCCATAATGTGAGTGGGCCTCATCCAATTAGATGAAGGCCTGAATAGAACAAAAACTCTGGCCTCTGTGAGCAAGGAGGAATTTTCCAGAAGACTGCCTTTGTACTGAAACTATACCACCAGTTCTCCTAGGTCTACAGCCTGCCAGCCCACATTGCAGATTTGGGACTTGCCAGCCTCCATAATTGTATGAGCCAATTTCTTATAATGAATTTCTCTCTCACCCTCTCTTTTTCTCTCTGTTAACATTTGGGTATGTTTCCTTCCCACTTTAAAAAAATTTAACACCGTTGAGATCACTTTACATAATTTTGTCTTCTGCCTTTTAAATTTAATATTATAACAAATTGCATTTCCTCATATTATAAACCTTGTAACCATTATTCCTCTTTTCTAATCATAAAAGTAGGATTATTGTAGGACATTTGACAAATACAAAAAATTGGCTGGATGCAGTGGCTCATGCCGGTAATCCCAGCACTTTAGGAGGCCAAGGTGGGAGGATCACTTGAGCCCGGGAGTTTGAGACCAGCCTGGGCAGCACAGTAAGACCCTATCTCAATTTAAAAAAAAATAAAGAAAAGAAAAAGGAAGAAAAATGTTTAAAAATTTAAGAATGAATAAAAACTCTTCTATAATCCCATCATATATTAATATGTTTTTGTAATACATTGTAGTCTGTGTTCTCTTTGTGGAAATTATATTATAGTATAGCTGGGCATGGTGGGTCATGCTTGTAACCTCAGCACCTCAGGAGACTGAGGTGGGCGGATTGCTTGAGTCCAGGAGGCTGAGGCTGCAGTGAGCTAAGATCATGCCACCGTACTTCAGCCTGGGTAACAGAGCAAGATCTTTCTCAAAAAAATAAAAAAAATTAAAAAAATTAAAAACAAAAATCGGCTGGGCGTAGTGGCTCACGCCTGTAATCCCAGCACTTTGGCAGGCCAAAGCAGGCGGATGACCTGAGGTCAGGAGTTCGAGACCAACCTGGATAACATGGTGAAACCCCATCTCTACTAAAAAATACAAAAAATTTAGCCGGGTGCAGTGGCGCGTGCCTGTAGCCCCAGCTACTTGGGAGGCTGAGTCACGAGAATTGCTTGAACTTGGGAGGCAGAGGTTGCAGTGAGCCAAGATTGTGCCACTGCACTCCAGCCTGGGTGGCAGAGGGAGATTCTGTCTCAAAAAAAAAAAAAAAATGATAGTATAAGAATAAATTTATTCTACTTTTTTCACTGTAACATTATATTAATATGTTGAGCATTTTATACTCCCATATTTTTCCAATTTGATTTTTAGAAGTCTTAATAATAAAGTATTATATTAATATACCATGGATTCTATTAGTACACATATAACCCTATTTTTGAAGTGTGAATGCAATTTTTTAAAGGGTCTATAACATATCATAAGTAGTGGTTCCATAAATCACTTGACCATTCCCTTTAGGAAGACATAATAAATATTAGAAATACCAAATTATTTCTCTTTTCCGCCAATTTCCTGCAAAACTGGCCCATTTATTCAGTTTACCCCCAACCTCTTTCCTTCTAACCCAACATTCCATACTTGCTTGGCTGCGCTTGTCTTAGTGTATAGGATGTATGAACAATCATAGCAGAAGATAAATTGCAAGCTTGCCTAAGACTCTTGAATCTTGGATTTTGTTTTATAGACAATGGAGAATGAGCAAAGACTTGAGTAGCAGAGGGCCTTAAGTAGATTAGATCAGTTTTATCAGAAACATCACTGTGGTAGGAACTGAACAGTAAGTGCAGATGGAGGGCAATAAAGGCAGGAAGTCTAGGTAAAAAGTTTTTCCAACAGTTCAATCAAGAGTTGATGAGGCAGGGCACAGTGGCTCATACTTGTAATCCCAGCACTTTGGGAGGCCAGGTTGGGAGGATTGCTTGATCCCAGGAGTTCGAGACCAGCCTGGGCAACATAGCAGGACCCCATCTCGAAAAGAAAGAAAAGAAAACAAAAAGAGTTGATAAGCAGGAGCATTGAAAATAAAAACGAGGAAGCAGATGAGAGAAAGACCTTGCTGAGAAAGAATGCACAAGGCCGGTCATTGCAATCGTCTGAATGTTTGTGTCATCCCCAAATTAATAGATTGAAATCCTCATCTCCAAGGTGATGGTATTAGGAGGTAGAGCCTTTGGGAGGTGATAAGATAATTAGGGTGGGGGCGCTCATGAATGGGAATGGTACGCTTATAAAAGAGGCCCCAGAGAAACCCCTCACCCCTTCAACCATGTAAAGACACAGTGAGAAGGTGCCTTCTATGAACCAGAAAGTGGGTGCTCACCAGACATTTTGGGATGACATAAACATTCAGATATAGCAATGACCAGCCTTGTGCATTCTTTCTCTGCCAAGATCTTTCTCTCATCTGCTTCCTCGTTTCTATTTTCAATCCTCCTGCTCATCAACTCTTTTTTTTTTTTTTTGAGATGGGTCCCACTATGTTGCCCAGGCTGGTCTCAAACTCCTGCACTAAAGCAATCCTCCCATCTCGGCCTCCCAAAGTGCTGGCATTAAAGGCATGAGCCACTGGACCCAGCCTCATCAACTCTTAATTGAACTGTTGGAAAAACTTCTTACCTAGACTTCCTGCCTTGATTGCCCTCCTACTGTTCAGTTCCTACCAGAGCGATGTTTCTGAATCTGTTGGTACTTTGATCTTCAACTTCCCAGCATTCAGAACTGTGAGAAACACTTTCTATTATAAGCCACCCAGTCTATGGTATTCTGTTATAGCAGCCCAAATAGACAAAGGCAGAAATCAACGAGGAGAGAGGAACGCAGTAGAGAGGTCAACAGTGACTGAGGATGGTTAGGCTCTTCAAGAAAAACCCTGCCCTTACTCCCAGCAACCTCCAGAAAGGCAAACAGGCAGCCTCCACTCCCAGGAAGGTTCCCATCTTATTACAGCAATGGCGCAATCTCGGTTCACTGCAACCTCTGCGTCTCGGGTTCAAGTCATTCTCATGCCTCAGCCTCCCAAGTAGCTGGGATTACAGGTGCCCAATCCTCCCACCTTGGCCTCCCAAAGTGCTGGGATTACAAGTGTAATCAATTTTTGTATTTTTAGTAGAGACGGGGTTTCACCAGGTTGGGCAGGCTGGTCTCAAACTCCTGACCTCAGCTTATCCACCAGCTTCGGCCTCCCAAAGTGCTGGGATTACAGGTGTCAGCCACCATGCCCGGCCTCCCGGCTAATTTCTTAATTTTTTTATAGAGATGGGGTTTTGCCATGTTGCTCAGGCTGGTCTCAAACTCCTACGCTCAAGTGATCTGCCCGCCTCGGCCTGCCAAAGTGCTGGGATTACAGGCATGAGCCACCTTGCCCAGCCCCTCTTTCATTTTCTACCCCTCGACCCTCCTCCAGAGTCTCTGGCTCCATCCAACCACAATCTCAGCCTTTGTGATTGAGGCTAAAGAGATATACTTACATCTTAATAATATGAATAGGTTCTTGTAGATCTTTGGGGAATTATTATGTTGAAAGATCTGCCCTCTCATCTCCTTCCAGGTAGAGGTACCAGAAAAACCCAATCTGCCACATAACCAGAGGGGAAACATATAAAGAATCAGGTTTGAAATTCATGATGCTAATTTCCACCTGACTAGGGCACAGCCTGGTCTGCCCCAGTCACGAAGGGAGGCATGGTTGGACAGGGAGTGGAGTGTTCTTGGCAAAGGGAGATGATGTCAATTGTGGTGATTGGATCTGGAGGCAATACTCTCAGAGTCTGTCTTCCTACCTATAAAGGGGTCTGATATGGTTTGGCTGTGTCCCCACCCAAACGTCATCTTGAATTGTAGCTCCCACAATTTCCATGTGTCTTGGGAAGGACGTGGTGGGAGGTAATTGAATGATGGGACAGGTCTTTCCTGTGCTGTTCTCATGATAGTGAATAAGTCTCACGAGATCTGATAGTTTTATAAAGGGAAGTTTCCCTGCACAAGTTCTCTCTCTTGCCTACCACCATGTAAGACGTCCCTTGCTCTTCTGCTATGATTGTGAGGCCTCCTCAGCCATGTGGAACTGTGAGTCAATTAAACCTCTTTCCTTTATAAATTACCCAGCCTTGGGTATGTCTTTATTAGCAGTGTGAGAACTGACTAATACAGGGTCTAAGTATTACCAGTATTGGAACTATTCCTGAAGGCAAACTTCCTTTTCAAGGTCAAGTTCTTCTTGGGTAGAGTGTAGTGGTATAATGATAGCTCACTCTACAGCCTTGACCTCCTGGGCTCAAGCACTCCTCCCACCTCAGCCTCCCAAGTAGATAGGACTACAGCTGTGCACTACCACACCTAGCTATATTTTTATTTTTTGTAGAGATGAGGTCTTGCTATGCTGCCCAGGCTGATGTTTAATTATTGGCCTCAAGCAATCCCTTGGCCTCCCAACATGTTGGGATTACAGATGTGAGCCACCACACCCAGCCTAGTTCTGCTTTCTGATTCAAGCAGTTGTCATCTTCTTTGCCAAGAAGCTGTGTCTGGGTTCCTTGGCCAGGCCTCTCCTTTGCTTCATTCTTCATCAAGGTGTCTATTGGTGGCAAACTTCCTTTGCTCTGGCTTCAAGTTTCCATGTGGCAGGAGGTCCATCAGAGTAACATATTAGCTGCTCTTGGTCCCCTCCCTTACTGTTTCCCATGGGAGGAAGAATAACACTCTGGTGGGTGTGGGAGAAGGAACTGGGCATGCTCCACTGAGTTCCTTCTTTCTGTTCTTTTTGCCAACACACCTTCTCTTCTGTTCCTCCATGCCTTAAGTCCTACAGGGCCAGGCTCTACCTCTGAAGCATAGGTCTGCTCACTTCAGTGCTGGGTAGTAAAGCACCAAGCACTCAAACAGGGTGGCTAAGTCTGCTTAACTCTAGGGTGAGGAATTAGAAGCTCCTTAGTTGACTGGATGCAGTGGCTGTAATCCCAGCATGTTGGGAGGCTGAGGTGAGAGGATTGTTTGAGCCCAAGAGTTCAAGACCAGCCTGGGCAACATAGTGAGAGCCCACCTGATATGGTTTGGATTTGTGTCCCCACCCAAATCTCATGTGGAATTGTAATCCCCAGTGTTGGAGGAGGGGCCTGGTGGGAGGGTGAGTGGATCCTGGGGGCGAAGTTCCCCCTTGTTGTTCTTGTGATAGTGAGCGAGTTCTTATGAGATTTGGTTGTTTAAAAGGTGTGTAGCACTTCCTGCTTTGCCCTCTTCCTCCTACTCCAGCCATGTAAGACTTGCCTGCTTTCCCTCACCTTCCTGAGGCCTCCCCAGCCATGGTTCCTGGTCAGCCTGTGGAACCATGAACCAATTAAACCTCTTTTCTTAAGGCTGGGCACAGTGGCTCATATCTGCATTCTCAACACTTTGGGAAGCCGAGGCAGGTGGATCACTTGAGGCCAGGAGTTTGAGACCAGCCTGGCCAACATGGTAAAACCCCATCTGTACTAAAAATACAAAGATTAGCCAGGTGTGGCAGTGCGCACCTGTAGTCCCAGCTACTCAGGAGGCTGAGGCAGGAGAATCTCTTGAACCTGGGAAGCTAGGGTTGCAGTGAGCCGAGATCACGCCATTGCACTTCAGCCTGGGTGACAGAACGCGACTCCTCTCAAAAAATAAAATAAAATAAAATAAAATAAAACTTGTTAAAAAATAAATTACGCAGTCTCAGGTAGTTTTTTGTTTTTTTTTTTTTTTTTTTTTTTTTTTTTTGGAGATGGAGTGTCGCTCTGTCACCCAGGCTGGAGTGCAGTGGCATGATCTCAGCTCACTGCAACCTCTGCCTCCTGAGTTCAAGTGATTCTCCTGTCTCAGCCTCCAAAGTAGCTGGGACTACAGGCACCCACCTGGCTAATTTTTGTATTTTTAGTAGAGATGGGGTTTCACCATATTGGTCAGTCTGGTCTCGAATTCCTGACCTCAGGTGATCTGCCCACCTCAGCCTCCCAAAACTTGAATTACATGCGTGAGCCACCGCACCCAGCCCAGTAGTTCTTTATAGCAGTGCAAGAACAAACTAATATGCCATCTCTACCAAGAATAATTTTTAAAATTAGCTGGGCATGGTGGCATGTGCTTGTGGTCCAAGCTACTTGGGAGGCTGAGATGGGAGGATTGCTTGAGCCTGGGAGGTCAAGGCGGCAGTGAGCCATTATCACACCACTGCACTCCAGCTTGGGCAACAGAGCCAGACTCTGTCTCAAAAAAAAAAAAAAAAGAAGAGGAAGAAGCAGCAGCAGCAGCTCTTTACCACACACCTAAAACAAATCAAATATCTCCAAAATCAGTTCACTGGAAATCAAGTGATATTATCATCCCCACCTACTTGGTTCTTGTGTCTTCCTTTCATTTTGTGCCAAATTCAAGCAGGAAAAAGTGGCATGTTCCTTTTTTTTTTGAGACAAGTCTCGCTCTTATCCCCCAGGCTTGAGTGCAATGGCTCGATCTCAGCTCACTGCAACCTCCGCCTCCCAGGTTCAAACAATTCTCCTGCCTCTGCCTCCCAAGTAGCTGGGATTAAGGCGCCTGCCACCACGCCCAGCTAATTTTTGTATTTTTTAATAGAGACAGGGTTTCACCATGTTGGCCAGGCTGGTCTCGAACTCCTGACCTCAGGTGATCTGCCCGCCTTGGCCTCCCAAAGTGCTGGGATTACAGGCGTGAGCCACTGCGCCCGGCCAAAAGTGGCATGTTCTTTACTGTGCTTTCCCCAAACCCTAGCAGTCTCAGTAGAGGCACATCTAAGCAGCCTACAATTAAATTAGAGAACTGGACCTCCCAACAAATAGAAATAACACATAATTCATTTTAAGTCTAACAGCAAATAGAGACAACACATAATTCATTATAAGTCTAGCAGTGAAGTGATGGGATTTCAAAAAAAGTTATGTTCTTTCCATCTGTAGCTAAAATATTTACACGGGGCCCTGGTCATATGCAAGTGGTGGTTTACAGAGCACAGCTTGTTCAAACCAAACAGTTGCTCTGTTCCCACTTTTGGAAACTTGTCAAGGAATCAGTGTTTACTTAGACAACTCGGGCCCCAAGAGGCCCTTGTGTAGACTGAATTCAATCCAAGGAGAAACCAAGGCCCGGGAACATTCCTCCTTCTCCCCTGACCATTGAACCGCAGACCTCTCAGTTCTCCAGGGCCCTCTCGAAGGCATCCGGTTGAGCCTCTGGTCAACTGTCCAGTGCCCAGCCTAGACAACGGAGACTAAGTCCTTTTTTAGAATTCCCAGGCTGGGCACAGTGGCTCACACCTGTAATCCCAGCACTTTGGAAGGCCAAGGCGGATGAATCATGAGGTCCGGAGTTCAAGACCAGCCTGGCCAAGATGATGAAACCCAGTCTCTACCAAAAATACAAAAATTAGCCGGGCGTGGGGGTGGGCGCCTGTAATACCAGCTCCTCAGGAGACTGAGGCAGAGAATTGCTTGAACCCAGGAGACAGAGGTTGCAGTGAGCCAAAATCGTGTCACTGCACTCCAGTCTGGGCGACAGAGCGAGACTCAGTCTCAAAAAACAAAAAACAAAACAAAACAAAAAAACACTGAGCACGGTGGCTCACGCCTGTAATCCCAGCACTTTGGGAGGCCGAGGCGGGCGGATCACAAGGTCAGGAGATCACCATCCTGGCTAACATGGTGAAACCCCGTCTCTACTAAAAATACAAAAAATTAGCCGGGAGTCCCAGCTACTTGGGAGGCTGAGGCAGGAGAATAGTGTGAACCCGGGAGGCGGAGCTTGCAGTGAGCCGAGATTGCGCCACTGCACTCCAGCCTGGGCTACAGAGCGAGACTCTGTCTCAACAACAACAACAACGACAACAAGAAGAATTGGCCCCTTCGCGCCCAACCTTTTGAGTAATTGTGTGCGTGAACATCTCATTTATTTAACTCCCAAAGAGAGAGCTTTGGCTTCAGGGCAAAGGATTTGATGTTTAATATGTGGGTGACTTGAATTAGTCTAGAGCATAATTCAGGACATGGGCCCGCTGTGGGAAACTGGCCACAGAGAACCTAGGAAGGTGAAGTCTGAGTGTTCAGGAAACACGATCTGCTATTTCTACCCAAAGCAAGAAAACAAGCCCTATGTTATTGAAGAACAGTGGAGGTCCAAGTGTGAATATCAACAATTGTGCACATAAAAAGCACTTACGGCTGGGCGCGGTGGCTCACACCTGTAATCCCAGCACTTTAGGAGGCCGAGGCAGGTGGATCACTGGAGTTCAGGAGTTGAAGACCAGCCTGAGCAACAAGGTGAAACTGCATCTCTATAAAAAATACAAAAATTAGCCGGGTGTGGTGGCGTGATCCTGTAGTGCCAGCTACTCAGGAGGGAAGATTGTTTGTGCCTCGTAGGTCAAGGCTGTAGTGAGCCATAATTGCACCACTTCACTCCAGCCTGGGTGACAGAGCAAGACCCTATTTCACAAGAAAAAAAAAAAAAAAAAAAGCACATGCCACAGTACCTAGGCTCTGAATAAAATGTAGTAGTAATCGTTATTATTGTTCTCGTTGAGATAACTTGGAAAATTAATGTATTAGTCCATTTTCACACTGCTGTGAAGAACCACTTGAGACTGGGTAATTTTTGAAGAAAAGGGGTTTAATTGACTCACAGTTCTGCAGGCTTAACAGGAATCATGGCTTGGAGGCCTCAGGAAACTTACAATCATGGTGGAAGGTGAAGGGTAAGCAAAGACCCTCTTCGCATGCTGGCAGAAGAGAGAGAACAAAGGGGAAAAGGCCACACACTTTTAAAAATCAGATCTCATAAGAATTCACCCACTATCACAAGAACAGCAAGGGGGAATTCCACCCCCATGATCCAATCACCTCCCACCAGGTCCCTCCCCTGACACGTGGGGATTACAATTCGACATGAGATGTGGGGGAGGACACAGAGCCAAATCATATCAACTAATGAAATTGGCATGTGGGTAGGCCCAGTGGGAATTATACTGACAGAATTAAAGCAGTTAATAGTAGTTTCTGTCTGTCCTATCCTTTTACTTGGTGATTGCCTTTCTCTGATCTTAGGTGGTTTTTTGTTTTGTTTTGTTTTGTTTTGTTTTGTTTTTGAGACAGAGCCTTGCTCTGTCACCCAGGCTGGAGTGCAATGGCGCGATCTCGACTCACTGCAACCTCCGCCTCCTCGGTTCAAGCAATTCTCCTGCCTCAGCCTCCCAAGTAGCTGGGATTACAGGAGCCTGCCACCATGCCCAGGTAATTTTTGTAATTTTAGTAGAGACGGGGTTTCACTATGTTGGCTAGGCTGGTCTCGAATTCCTGACCTCGTGATCTGCCCACCTTGGCCTCCCAAAGTGCTGGGATTACAGGCGTGAGCCACCATGCCTGGCCTGATCTTAGGTGGTTCTAAGGGGACTGAAATTTACAATCTTGAAGAACAATGGAGGTACAAGTGAGAACATCAACCAATAGTGCACATAAAAAGCACATGAGGCTGGGCTTGGCAGCTCACACCCATAATCCTAGCACTTTAGGAGGCCGAGGCAGGTGGATCGCTGGAGTCCATCCCCATCCAAATCTCATGTTGGTCTCCTGGACTCCAACAATCCACCTGCCTTGACCTCTCAAAGAATTATAGGCATCAGCCACCAAGCCCAGCTGTGTGTGCTTTTTATGCTATTGTTGATGTTCACACTTGTACCTCCATTGTTCTTCAAGATTGTAAGTTTCCTGAGTCACTGTCTACCAGTACAGTGGTGGACAGTGACCTGGGACAGACCAATCATAGTAGCCAAACTTTTCATCCAATATGGCTGGTCCTAGGGATAGGCTTGTTACTCAAGAAGGGCCAATCAGAATCCTTCTATGAGATTTGGAATCTCTCAGGAGGCAAGTTAGTATAATAGAGAAAGCATGAGCTTTGGTAACTGGAGCTATGGATTCTGGCTCATGGAGTTGGGCAAGTTTGTTTACTTCTTTAAGGATTAACTGAGACAAAATGGAGTACCTGGCACAGAGTAGATATCAGTAAGTGGCTTCTGTTGATAACCTTTATAATAAAAAACACTACTCTAATTAACCTTCCTCACTGTTCCACCCTGCTTGATCAACCTTTGCTCTGTAAAGCTCTTCTAAAAAGCTATAATTGGGAGACCTACCTTTTAGTGGGGAGGGCCATACTTAATTTTCCATGACCCTTGAGCTTTCCAGAGAGTAGAGAAAGGATGAGAGAGTAAAATCTCAGAATGGAAAGGTCATTGTCCAGTCCATCCACTGAGTACAAGGAACTGGGGAATCTTTCATTCAGCTAGAGTTCTAAAAATGGTCTTCAGCCTAGATGCTAGATCATTGCTGCCTCACAGAACTTCCTTCTCTGATGGAAATATTTATATCTGTGCTGTCTACCAGAGTAACCACAAGCTACATGTGACTACTGAGCACTTGGAAGAGGACTAGTGGAACTGAGGTACTGAATTATTTATTGATTTAAATTAATTTAAATTTACATATCCACATGGGGCAATGGCTACCATATTGAATAGAGCAGCTCCAGATTGGAGCATGGCATTAGCAGACAGGCACAGAAGTAGATGAGAATAATAGCCAGTGCTTACTTGGGCAGGAAAAGTTACTACGGCTTAGAAGCAGGTGAGTCTCCAGGTTTAGAGAGGTACTAAAGAAAAGTCATCTGGACAGGCGCAGTGGCTCATGCCTGTAATCCCAACACTTTGGGAGGTCAAGGCAGGCCGATTATTTGAGGTCAGGAGTTTGAGACCAGCTTGGTCAACACAGTGAAACCCCATTTCTGCAAAAATACAAAAATTAGCCAGGCATGGTGGCACGTGCCTATAATCCCAGCTGCTCAGGAGGCTGAGGCAGGAGAATCGCTTGAACCGGGAGGTGGAGGTTGCAGTGAGCCGGGATTGCACCATTGCACTCCAGCCTGGGCAACAAGAGTGAAACTCTGTCTCAAAAAAAAAAAAAATTGCCAATGCTGAATATGTTGCAAGTTGTCATGGTGGGGTATTGGGTAAAGTTTTCAATTAGCAATAATTGTGCCTTGGATAAACTTCATCGGCTATGATACTGCCACAGCACAAAACTTCTTAGCTTTTCTGTTTGTTTTTGTTTTGTTTTATTTTGTTTTGTTTTGAGACAGAGTCTTGCTCTGTCGCCCAGGCTGGAGTGCAGTGGTGCGATCTTGGCTCACTGCAACCTCCACCTCCTGGGTTCAAGCAATTCTCCTGCTTCAGCCTCCCGAATAGCTGGGATTACAGGTGCCCACTACCATGCCTGGCTAATTTTTTTGTATTTTTGGTAGAGATGAGGCTTCACCATGTTGGCCAGGCTGGTCTTGAACTCTTGACCTCAGGTGATCCACCCACCTCAGCGTCTCAAAGTGCTAGGATTATAGGCATGAGCCACCATGCCCGGCCCCTTGCATCGTTTTTAGTCATTGCAATAGTCTACTGACTACACTCACTATAAATCACATAACCATCCTCAATTTTTGTATTTTTTAGGATGTTTCCAATTTTTTTCAGAGTGACGCTAGGATGGGTGCCACATAACTTCCCCTGCACCCCCCACCATTTTTGTAAGGCAGAAGGAGCATGAGTTTTGAGGGCAGATAGACCGGGTTTAAATCTCAGCATTCATTACTTAGTAGCCACATGACCTCTGACAAGATCATTCATTTTCTTTCCCTCCCTCCCTCCCTCTCTTTCTCTCTTTCTTTCTTTCTTTTTTCTCTCGTACTGTCGCCCAGGCTGGAGTCCAGTGATACGATCTCGGCTCACTGCAATCTTCACTTCCCAGGTTCAAGCGATTCTCCTGCCTCAGCCTCCTGAGTAATTGGGACTACAGGCACGTGCCACCATGCCCAACTGATTTTTGTATTTTTAGTAGAGATGGGGTTTCACTATGTTGGCAGGCTTGTGTGGAACTCCTGACCTCAAGTGATCCACCCGCTTCAGCCTCCCAAAGTGCTGGGATTACAGGCATAAGCCACCATGCCCGGCCCACAAGATCATTCATTTTCCAGAGCCTCAACTTTTTCATCTATAAAATAGGAATAATACTACCTGCCTTTCCTGGTTGTTATCAGAGCTGGACATTTATAAATTGCCTCTCACACTACCCAGCACCATGGAAATATTTAATGAATTACAGCTAACGCTATTATAGTTTTCGTTTTGTTTGTTTTCTTTAGACATGCTGTCACCCAGGCTGGAGTGCAGTAGTGCCATCACTGCTAAGTGCAGCCTCAAACTCCTGGACTCAAGCAATCCTCCTGCCTCAACCTCCCCAATGGCTGGGACTGTAGGCATGCCACCATGCCCAGCTAATTTTAAAATTTTTATTTTGTATGGATGGTGTCTCACTATGTTGCCCAGGTTGGTCTTGAACTCCTAGTGTCAGAGGCATTTGAACCAGAGCAACTCAATCTTGAATAGGGGCTGGGTAAAATAACTGAGACCTCCTGGGCTGCGTTCCCAGGTTAGGCATTCTTAGTCACAGGATGAGATAGGAGGCCGGCACAAGATACAGGTCACAAAGACCTTGCTGATAAAACAGGATGTGGTAAAGAAGCCGGCCAAAACCCACCAAAACCAAAATGATGATGAAAGTGACCTCTTGTTGACCTCACTGCTCATGATATGCTAATTAGAATGCATTAGCATGCTAAAAGACACTCCCACCAGCTCCATGACAGTTTACAAATGCCGTGGCAATGTTCTGAAGTTATCCTTTATGGTCTAAAACGGGAAGGAACGCTCAATTCCTGGAAATCCCCATCCCTTTCCCAGAAAACTCATGAATAATCCACCCCTTGTTTAGCGTATAGTCAAGAAATAACTATAAGTACATTCAGGTGGGCAGCACATACCATTGCTCTGCCTATGGAGTAGCCATTCTTTTTTTTTTTTTTTTTTTTTTTTTTTTTTTGAGACAGAGTCTCGCTCTGTCGCCCAGGCCGGACTGCGGACTGCAGTGGCGCAATCTCGGCTCACTGCAAGCTCCGCTTCCCGGGTTCACGCCATTCTCCTGCCTCAGCCTCCCGAGTAGCTGGGACTACAGGCGCCCGCCACCGCGCCCGGCTAATTTTTTGTATTTTTAGTAGAGACGGGGTTTCACCTTGTTAGCCAGGATGGTCTCGATCTCCTGACCTCATGATCCACCCGCCTCGGCCTCCCAAAGTGCTGGGATTACAGGCGTGAGCCACCGCGCCCGGCCAACCATTCTTTTATTCTTTTACTTTCTTAATAAAGTTGCTTTCACTTCACTCTATGGACTTGCCCTGAATTCTTTATTGCACAAGATCCAAGAACCCTCTCTTGGGGTCTGGATTGGGACCCCTTTCCAGTAACACTGGCCTCAAGTGATCCTCCTGCCTCAGCCTCCCAAAGTGTTGGGATTATACGTGTGAGCCACCGCACCTGGCCTACTTTTTAAAAAAATCATAATCATTTTTGGCCAGGCGCAGTGGCTCATGCCTGTAATCCTAGCACTTTGGGAGGCTGAGGCGGGCAGATCATGAGGTCAGGAGATCAAGATCATCCTGGGTAACACGGTGAAACCCATCTCTACTAAAAAAAATACAAAAAAATTAGCCGGGCATGGTGGCGGGCACCGGTAGTCCCAGCTACTCGGGAGGCTGAGGCAGGAGAATGGCGTGAACCCGGGAGGCGGAGCTTGCAGTGAGCCGAGATTGGCCACTGCACTCCAGCCTGGGTGACAGAGCGAGACTCTGTCTCCAAAAAAAAAAAAAAAAAAAAAAAAAAACCATAATCATTTTTAGGAAGTTCAATTTCAAGGACCTCTCTGTTTCAAGAAGATTTCCCGATCTGTTTATGCTAACAGGTCTCATAGCCCATCTCTTCTGATTGGATCAGAATCCCCGACAGCTTAGAGGCTGGCAGGCTGAGGGTCCCCAAGGCATGAGAGAAGAGGGGGCTGTGGGGAACTTGGAGGAAGCATCACAGGAAGCTGCAGGTGGGCGGGAGGGGGATTCGTCCTGCTCCTACTAACCAAATGCACAGTCTTCCCCTCAAGCTTGCTTCTCCTCTGAGCTCTTTTGTGCCCTTGGTGATGGGTGGGGTAGACTGAGAATGGAGAACAACACAATGGTGGGAGAGGATGGGGTGGTGGAGTCGGGGGTTGGAAGAATCAGGAGGCACCCTTGTGTTTTCCCTCCAGAGGTGGCACCCCTGGGGTGGTAGATAAGGCATTGTGTTTGGAATTCAGCCCCATGGGTGTATGTAGCTGGGGTTCTAGTCCCTCCTGAGCTACCCTCGGCAAATTAGTATACCCCCGTTAGTCCTGTTTTCTGTGTCAGTTAAATGGCCAAGCTAATAATAAAGTCCACACAGAATTGGGACGCTCAAATAATAAACAATAGCACTGTCCCCAGGCATGGAGCAAATACTGCTTGCCAGGTTCTGGGCTGAGTAATTCCCACCCATTACTTCATCCGATCCTCACAACAGGCCCCAAAGGTAGGTGTTATTGTTTCTATTTTACAAGAAGGAACCCAGGACTCAAGAGAGGCGAAGGCTCCTTCCCATGCACCTCCCTCCTTTGTAATCTGGAAAGTCCTGGGTAGTTGTAATTTGTAGTTATGAATTTCTGGAGTTCTCAGCTCATTCCCTGGAGATTTGTGCTAGAAAGTTCTAGAAGATTGCAGAGTTTATTAAATAAATTGATTTGACAGGTATTTGTTGAACACTTTGCTATGGTCTGAATGTTTTTGTGTCCCTAATATTCATATGTAAAATCTTCACTTCCAAGGTATTAGGAGGTGGGCATTTGGGGAAGTGATCAGGGCATGAGAGTGGTGACCTCAGGATTGGGATCAGTGTGCTTATGAAAGAGACCATAGGGCACTAGCCAGCCCCTTCCACCATGTGGGGACACAGTGAGAAGGCACCACCTGTGAACCAGGAATAGGGCGTTCACCAGACACCAAATCTGCTGGCGCCATGATCTTGGACTTGCCAGCCTCCAGAACGGTGAGAAGTAAATTTCTGCTGTTTATAAAATGCTCAGTCCATGGTAGTTTGTTATAACAGCCCAAATAGACCAACACACCTGCTGGATGCTAGAAGTGGTTCTAGGTGCTTGGGATTCAGCAATGAACATCATAAAGCACCCTCAAAGAGGATACATTTTTGCATGCAAAGACTGAAAGATCAGCAACAAAGAAATATAAAATAAGACAAGGTAAGTGGGGAGTGCAATTTTTTGTCCAATGGTCAGAGAAGTAGGTTGTGCTCACCACTGTGACAAGATGGAAGCTGTGCTCACCACTTGCATTACAGTGTACAAGAATGTAATCTCCATAAGGACAGGGCCCTGGAATCTTGTTTCCCTTACAGCTCCAGTCCCTAGCACAAATTCTGGTTTCTAGTAGGTGCTCAATAAATATTTGTTGAATGAATGAACAAATAGCCTCAGTCTCAGATCTGCCGGAGAAATGTCCATTTTAGGGTAGGCATGGGATTTTGAATTCACCTCCTATGAGCTGACATTTATGGAGAAACTTGCGTGCCCCAGGCACTGTGCCAGCCTCCATGGCTGAGTACAGCCCTTCCCTTGAGCATCTTCATTGGAGAAGATAGCGGCGCTTGCAATTTAGTGGTCTAGAAGAGAAGGCAGCAAAGAGAATAAAGGAAGAACAGGAGTTAAGTGCAAAGAGGAAGCGTTTCAGGGTCAGCAAAGAATTCGGCAAGTGTATTGCCTGACATCTTTTTCTTGATGCAAAAAATAGCTAGTTCTGCTTTTTGGACTGGGGCTCGCTGAGTCAGGGGTTCAAAGAGAATAGCATGAGGATAGGAGCAGTAAATGTCATCTGCAGCAGATGGTGATGCCCCAGAGACAGACCGTGGCCTTGAAGATGCTTCCCTCCACCGACTCTGGCCCAAGAATCAAGGTCAAGGGCAGGCAACCGAGCTCAGCAACCTGGGGTCCCGATCCCAGCCTCTCAACTGGGCCAACCCTACCCAAGAACATCACCGTTGTTCCACCCGCTTGGACTCCACACCAGGCTCAGTGGAGTCTCAGAGTCCATGGGTGTGAGAAGAATAATTCCAGCATCTGTTATTAACCATCATTTCCATTGTTTTGGCTTCACTTTCTCTTTGGCCCTGAGAACACTGGGTCAGTGCTTCTTTGAGCACAAAACGACTGATTTGCCAGGTCTTTGTTCAGCCTCACAAAAGAAGGGGATGATTATTACAAGAACAGATTTTGCATTCCATATTTACCCCAGATGACACTGCCTTGATCCCTAAAATAACTCCAGATCGCCTGGGTGGAACTTGCTTGTTCCTTTTCATCTTGCTATTTTGCAATTGTTTATGGAGAACATCACCATAGTGATATTATCAGAGCAGGGCAGAATGAAACTCCAAACTCTGGGTTGTTATTGGTTTTTCCTTTGTACCTCGGAACATGACTTTTTCACCTCAAACCTTCTCTATTATTTCTTATAAGCATTACAGTTCTCAGTTCCAACTCAGCCAGCATCACTTTCTGACTCATCCCCAGCAGTTAAAACCACAGAGGTGGTCCACACTGGGATGAGGGATGGAAGTGCTTGGGTTGAGTTTCCAAATTGGAAACTATTTACCAGAAATCCTCTTTCCTTCAGATAAGACTGGGGTCAAAGTACTAGAGTGTTGAAAGAGGCACTAAATAAACTAAGAATCTAAAGGACCTTCAGTGTTTGGGCCAAGGAACATGGTGATAGAGTTCAACAAATAAACACAGCTGGCGTAGGGTGAGCCTTTAGCAAACACTTATCTTCTTGATTTTGTTTTTTTTTTTTTTTTTTTTTGCTCATAATTGTCAACTTGGCCCAAAGCCTTTATTATAGCATTCTCATACACTGCTGCCAGTGGTGTGTATTTGTACAACTTTTTAATGAAATTTGGCAATGAATAGCAAAAGTCTTGACAATGTAGCTCTTCCTTAGATGCAAAATTCTACTTGTGAGTGCTAAAAAAATAATTAGGGATATGAGCAGAAGGATACATACAAAGATGTTTATTGCTATTGATGGTGAAAAACTGGAAACAACCAAACTGTACAACATTAGGGGGTTACTTAAAAAAAATCAAAATACAGGACTGGCGCAGTGGCTCATGCCTATAATCCCAGCACTTTGGGAGGCTGAGGTGGGAGGAGCACTTGAACCTAGCAGTTTGAGACCAGCTTAGGCAACACAGTGGGACGCTGTCTCTACAAACAATTTTTAAAAAGTAAAACAACAAAAAAAATCATGACCCCCACTCCATGCAATGGATACTGAGCCACTATTAAAAATTATGCCGGTTGGGCGCGGTGGCTCATGCCTGTAATCCCAGCACTTTTGGAGGCCAAGGCTGGCAGATCACTTGAGATCAGGAGTTCGAGACTAGCCTGGCCAACATGGTGAAACTCTGTCTCTACTAAAAATACAAAAATTAGCCAGGTACAGGGGTGGGCATCTGTAATCCCAGCTACTTGGGGGGCTGCGGCAGGGGAATCGCTTGAACCCAGGAGGTAGAGGTTGCAATGAGCCGAAATCACACCACTGCACTCCAGCCTGGGTGATAAAGCGAGACTCCATCTCAAGAAAAAAAAAGACCAGGCGCGGTGGCTCATGCCTGCAATCCCAGCACTTTGGGAGGCCGAGGTGGGCAGATCGCAAGGTCAGGAGTTCGAGACCAGCCTGGCCAATATGGTGAAACCCCGTCTCTACTAAAAATACAAAAATTAGCCCGGCATGGTGATGGGCGCCTGTAGTCCTAGCTACTTGGGAGGCTGAGGCAGGATAATTGCTTGGACCTGGGAGGTGGAGGTTGCAGTGAGCCGAGATGGCACCACTGCACTCCAACCTGGTGACAATAAAAAAGATTAGAAGGATAAATTCAAAAAGATGAAAGTATTTCTTGGGAATTTTCTTTTCTGGTGCTTTTGTTTATAATTTTTCTACAATGGGCATGCATTTCTTTTCTTTTTTTTTTTTGAAACGGAATCTTGCTCTATCACCTAGGCTGGAGTGCAGTGGTGAGATCTTGGCTCACTGCAACCTCTGCCTCCTGGGTTCAAGCGATTTTCCCATCTCAGCCTCCTGAGTAGCTGGGATTACAGGTGCACGCCACCACACCTGGCTAATTTTTGTATTTTTAGTAGAGATAGGGTTTCCCCATGTTGGCCAAGCTGGTCTTGATCTCCTGACCTCAGGTGATCACCTGCCTGCCCCAGCCTCCCAAAGTACTGAGATTACAGGCATGAGCCACCGTGCCCGGCATTGTTTTTTTTTTTTTTTTTTTTTTTTTTTTTTTTTTGAGAACGAGTTTCCCTCTGTTGCCCAGGCTGGAGCACAGGGCATGATCTCAGCTCACTACAACCTCTGCCTCCTGGCTTCAAGCAATTCTCTGCCTCTGCCTCCTGAGTAGTTGGGACTACAGGCATGTGCCACCATGCCTGGCTAATTTTTGTATTTTTAGTAGAGATGGAGTTTCACCATGTTGACAAGGCTGGTCTCGAACTCCTGGCCTCAAGTAATCCACTACTTTGGCCTCCCAAAGTGCTGGGATTACAGGCATAAGCCACCACACCTGGCCACTACAATGAGCATGTATTTCTGTAGTCAGATGTTTAAAACGCTATTTTTTCAGAAAAATAATAAGCTGCCAAGCTTTTTTTTTTCCCCCATAAAGAAAGAGCTTAACAGACACAAGGCTGACCACGCCATGTGGGAGATGGAGTTAGCACTCAAATCATCTCCTCCAAAGTTCCTAGGTTAGGAGTTTTTCAAAGGCAGTTTGGGGAAAGAGGGGGGAGGTCAGGTAACTGGGGCTTGCTGCTGATTGATTGGGGCGGATGAAATCATAGGGAGTCTAAACTGCCCTCCTGTGAGCTGAATTCCTTCTGGGTGGGGCCACAGGAGTGGGGTTGGGAGGTCCAGGTGGAGCCATGGGGGTCAGACATGCAAAACCCCACAGATCAGGAACCCTATACAGGGACTGGGTAGACAAGGTATAAGGCCAGCTTTCCTGAGGAGTTTTATTGGCCCTATAAGTCAACTTTGGTTTCTTAGAACAGTCTGTTTGTATCTGAAAGCATGCCATTCTAGTCAAAACCTTGATAAAATAACCAGTGTCTTCAATTGCATCAGTTCCACAGGCTTAACAGGAAGCATGACTAGGAGGCCTCAGGAAACTTACAATCATAGCGGAAGGTGAAGGGGAAGCAAGCACGTCTTACCATGGTGGAGCACGAGAGACAGTGTGTCATGCCTTTTAAAATAATCTTGGCCGGGAGCAGTGGCTCATACCAGTAATCCCAGCACTTTGGGAGGCCAAGATGGGCGGATCATTTGAGGTCAGGAGTTTGAGACCAACCTGGCCAACATGGCGAAACCTTGTCTGTACTAAAAATACAAAAATCAGCCAGGCATGGTGGCACAAGCCTGTAGTCCTAGGTACTCAGGAGGCTGAGGCATGAGAATCACTTGAACCCGGGAGGTAGAGGTTGCAGGGAGCTGAGATCGCACCTTTGCATTCCAGCCCAGGCCAACAACAGTGAGACTCTGTCTCAAAAAAAAAAAAAAAAAAGGCCCAGCGTGATGGCTCATGCCTGTAATCCCAGCACTTTGGGAGGCTGAGGCAGGTGGATCACCTGAGGTCAGGTGTTCGAGGCCAGCCTGACCAACATGGTGAAGCCCTGTCTCTACTAAAAAATCCAAAAATTAGCCAGGCATGGTGGCGGGTGCCTGTAATCTCAGCTACTCAGGAGACTGAGGCAGAAGAATTACTGGCACTTGGGAGGCAGAGGTTGCAGTGAGCCGATATTGTGCCATTGCACTCCAGCCCTGGCCAACAACGGCAAGACTCCATCTCAAAACACACACACACACACACACACACACACACACACACACAAAACACAAAAACCTCACAGCAATTGTATGAGATAGGTATCATGCTCTCCATTTATAGAAGGGAAAAGTAGGTATAGAAGGAGGTTTTAGTCTCCCGCTCCTTCAACATTTCAGGGAGGAGGTAGATGCAGTTATTCAGGTAAGAGAGGGATAGAGCTTCTGAGACTAAATAGTTAAGATAGGAAGGTACAAGTGGATGGAGAACGAAGACCTACAAAAGCCTTTTACCTAGACTGGTAAACATTCAGGTTGCAAGCTGGAGAAAATAATAATTTTAACTACCCTGCTTTGAGCGCTTGGGGATGATGTTGACATAAAAATGAGGATTACAGAGTGTCATTATATTCAACCTCACTGGCTAGTGGGAAATGGTGGAAGTTCTGTAGGAATATATAGCGCCGATGCACCAGAGAGTAAATTACACAGAAGCCCAGAGTCTATTATCGTTGTGATCATCACTCAAAACATATAAACACCTCCTTGTTTGGGGTAAGGTAGAGGAGTGAAAGTGCATAGGCTGTGGGACCAGACAGACCTCCACTGAAATCCTGCCTTACCATCCACGTATTAATAGCTATGTGATCTTTGTCCCACTTCACCAGCTTGGCCTTGAGATCCCTGTGGCACCTTCACACTTTTATGGAAATCCTGCTTCGATTTTTTTTTTTTTTTTTTTTGAGACGGAGTCTCGCTCTGTCACCCAGGCTGGAGTGCAATGACATGATCTCGGCTCACTGCAAGCTCTGCCTTCCGGGTTCACGTCATTCTCCCGCCTAGCTGGGACTACAGGCGCCCGCCACCAGGCCCAGCTAATTTTTTTTTTTTTTTTTTAAGTAGAAACGGGGTTTCACAGTGTTAGCCAGGATGGTCTCGATCTCCTGACCTCATGATCCGCCCACTTCGGCCTCCCAAAGTGCTGGGATTAGAGGCGTGAGCCACCGCACCTGGCTGGAAATCCTGCTTCGATTTATCATCCCAAACACTTCCTGCTATATTGAAAGCTATCATAGGAGCTCTTCAGACCTGAAGTCGTTGGGGGTAATGCTAGCTGATGGAACAAAGAACTCCCAACTTTGAGTGGCTTACTGCTATGATAAAGGTTTACTTGCCCCCAAAGGCACAGTCTGGTTGGGTGTTTTCAGCGACTACCATGGAAACAGATACAGGCTTCTTCCATCTTGGAGTCCTCCCTTAGGTCCTCTGCATTCAGTTTATTGATGAACAAAGAAAGAGTGTGCGACAGGACACAAGGGCCATTTTATCGCCATGCCTGGAGATGGCACATGTCACTTCCGCCCACATTCCATTAGTTAAAACACAGTCACATGACCATATGACTATGTTTGTGCCCAGAAAGACGAAATGGAAAAGGTAATCATGCAGCTTATTAATGCTAGCATACCTGTATCAGTTGTAGGTAATGTGGGGTAGAGAATGAATGGTCATTAAGGTTAAAGCTCTTGCTGTGCACCGTGGCTCATGCCTGTAATCCCAACACTTCAGGAGGCCGAGGTAGGAGGCTTGCTTGAGTCCAGGAGTTTGAGACCAGCTTGGGCAACATAGGGAGATCCTGTCTCTACAAAAAATTAAAAGATTAGTAGGGTGTGGTGGTGCATGCCTGTCGTCCCAGCTACTCTGGAGGCTGAGGCAGAAGGATTGCTTCAGTCAGGAGGTCAAGGCTGCAGTGAGCTATGTTCATGCCACTGTACTCCAGCCTGGGCAACAGAGCAAGACCCTGTCTCAAAAAAAAAAAAATAGAAAAGATTAAAGCCCAAGAGAACTGCAATGGCAGTTGTCCAAGCAATGGTGTGTGACAGACAGAAATCACTGGCAGTCAGTTTTTCTTGACAGATACAGATTTTAAGCTGAGCCAGATCTTATAGGATCTTAGGTCACATATGTCTGATCCAGTGTGGCAGTTTTAAGCTGCAAAGAGGCAGCAGCTATGAAATAGGCCCTATCACCATTGACATTGCTCTGGGACTCTCTGCTCAATCATCCTAACTCTCTGTGCCCCTCAGTTTCCCCCTTTACATTTTGTTCCCAATCTGCCAAGCCTCAGGCTTGGTGATTCATTTTCCCCACTTATAGTCTCACTTTACACAGCTGGACCAGATACTCAACATCGTTTCTCTGACCTCTGTTTTTCTTTCAGACCATAATCTGGAGTCTTTCTGACTATAATGCCATTGATTGCCTTACTGATTGCTTCAGATAAATAGGTCATCAGGTCTAGTCTGGTCTTGGGAGTTAAGAATCTCAACAAAGGTCCTTTTATGCTATACACTCCATTTTTTCACTTAAACAAAAATATTAAGCTGATATGTATGTTTATTTACTTGGAAGGATTGAAACTTATAGACAGAATGCCTTTTCTTATAAAAAATTTAATGTCCTGTGTATGTTTAAATAATGCTTTACATAGCTCTGAAATCTTTTTCTTAAATGGTATCTTTGGAAGGGCAGAATTTTCTTGTTTTCATCAAATCCAATTTATCATTTTTTTCTTTTTTAGTTAGTGCTCTTTGTATCTTAAGAAATCTTTGCCAACTCAATGTTCTGAAGATTTCTCATCTGTTTTCTTTTAGAAGTTTTAGCTCTTCATGTTTATGTCTATGATCCATTGAGTTAATGTTTATCTATGGTGTGAGGTAAGGGTCAAGATTCATTTTTTTCTAAATGGATCTTGGGAGGAGAAGACAGAAGGATCCCTTGAGCCCAGGGGTTCAAAACCAGCACGGGCAACATAGTGAGACCTCGTCTCTATAAAAAATGCAAAAAAAAAAAAAAAAAAAACAATAGGCACTGTGGTGGCTCATGCTTGTAATCCCAGCACATTGGGAGGCCGAGGCGGACAGATTGCTTGAGTCCAGGAGTTTGAGACCAGCCTGGGCAATATGGTGAAACCCTGTCTCTACAAAAAATACAAAAATCAGCCAGGAGTGGTGGCATGCACCTGTAGTCCCAGTGCTACTCAGGGGCTGAGGTGGGAGGTCCGCTTGTGCCCAGGAGGTCGAGGCTGCAGTGAGCCAAGATCACACCACTGAACTCCAGCCTGGGTGACAAAGTGAGATCCTGTCCCAAAAACAAACAAACAAACAAAAATAGCCAGGCATGGTGGAGCACTCCTGTAGTTTCAGCAACTTGGGAGACTGAGGTGGGAGGATTGCTTGAGCCCAGTTGAGGTCAAGGCTGCAGCGAGCTGAGCTCATACCACTGCACTCCAGTCTGGGTGACAGAGCAAGACCCTGTCTCTAAACAAGTAAATAAACAAACAAACAATCTCCAGTTGTCCCAGAATTTTTGTTAAACACTGTTCTTCACCACATTGTTACATTGGTGCCTTTGTCAAAAATTATTTTACTGTATATACATGTGGGTCTATTTTTGGACTATTATGTTCCATTCATGTATGTGTCTATCCTTCTGTCAATGCCACATTGGGTTGATAGCTTTATAGCTACGTCTTGAAGTCAGGTAGTGTAGGCCCTCTAACTTTTTCCCTCTTTTTAAAGATTGTTCTAAATATTCTGGGATTTCCATATACCTTTTTAAAAGATTGTTCTTTTTTAAAGATTGCTCTTTTTTAAAAAAAGATTGTTGTCTCGGCACGGTGGCTCACGCCTGTAATCCCAGCACTTTGGGAGGCCGAGGCAGGTAGATCACGAGGTCAGGAGTTCAAGACCAGCCTGGCCAAGATGATGAAACCCCGTGTCTACTAAAAATACAAAAATTAGCCAGGCGTGGTGGCAGGTGCCTGTAATCCCAGCTACTCGGGAGGCTGAGGCAGAGAATTGCTTGAACCCAGGAGGTGGAGGTTGCAATGAGCCAAGATTGCACCACTGCACTCCAGACTGGGCAACAGAGCGAGACTCCATCCCAAAAAAAAAAAAAAAAAAAAGATTGTTCTACTATCATGGGATTTCCGTATACATTTTAGAATCAGGCCAGGCACAGTGGCTCATACCTGTAATCCCAGCACTCTGGGAGGCTGAGGATTGCTTGAGCCCAAGAGTTCAAGACCAGCCTGGGTAACATAGTGAGACCTCATCTTTACTAAAAATAATTGTAAAAATTAGCCACGTGTGGTGCCATGTGCCTGTAGTCCCAGCTGTTTGGGAGGCTGAGGTGAGACGATTGCTTGAGCCTGGGAGGTCAAGGCTGTAGTGAGCAATGATTGCACCACTGCTCTCCAGCCTGGGTGACAGAGTGAGACACTGACTCAAAAAAAAAAAAAAAAAAAAGAATCAGTTTGTGAGTTTATATACAAAAACTTGCCGGGATTGTGATTTTAATTGCATTGAATTTATGGTACATTTTCAGGAGAATGAACATCTTGATGATATTGAATCTTCCAATCCATAAATAGGGTACATCTTATTGATCTAGATTTTTAATTTATCTTGGCAATGTTTTCTTGTTTTCAGGCCTTGTACATCTTTCATTAAATATATCCTGAGTGGCCGGGCACGGTGGTTCACGCCTGTAATCCCAGCACTTTGGGAGGCCGAGGTGGGCGGATCAACTGAGGTCGGGAGTTCAAGACCAGCCTGACCAACATGGAGAAACCCCGTCTCTACTAAAAATACAAAATTAGCCGGGCATGGTGGCACATGCCTATAATCCCAGCTACTAGGGAGGCTGAGGCAGGAGAAATCATTTGAACCTGGGAGGCGGAGGTTGCGGTGAGCCGAGATCATGCCATTGCACTCCAGCCTGGGCAACAAGAGTGAAACTCCATCTCAAAAAAAAAAAATATATATATATCTATATCTCCTGAGTATTTTATATTTTTTGATATTATTATAAAGATATTTAAATTTATTTTACAATTGTTCATTGCTCTGATCTTTTATTCCAGCCTTTCACTAGATTTTTCTCAAGTCCTACCACTTTATCAGGTCCTATGTCAGTTCTGCATGTAGTTTAGCTTCATTTGGAACACTGCAGTGTCTGACTGGAATGAGAGATGAGGATTTTGGAGAAGTAGAGGATGGCTGAGGTTTGCATCCTGGATGACTGGAGGTTCTCTGGCTCACAATTTGACAGGCTTCATTCATATTGTGCCATATCCCAGGTTCCATGCTAATTGTTAGTGATATGACTCACAGTCCCTGCCTCAAGGAGCCATAGCGCAGTAGGGACCAAGTGAAAAGTGATCTGATAAGGTACACAAAGTAGAAGTTTCCATGGCAACACAGAACAGGGGGTCCCAAACCCAGCTTTTGAGGGGACTGTCAGAGATATTACCAGGATAAGAGGGTGATTATGCTGAATCTAAAGGAAGAGTCAGCATTAGACACATTGTAGAGTCCAGCCCAACCCTGGTGGGTGACTGGCTGGCCAGCTTAATACACTAAACGTGAAGTTTCCCAAATATGCATATAAAAACTCCAACAGCTGGCCTGCATGTGAGAGGCCCTTCCATAACTCTGACCAAGACCCCGTAGATGGTCAGGATACAAATACTTCTGGTCCAGCAGAAGGCAGCTGTGAGTTCTCCCAGGTACCTATTAGAAAAGCAAAAGCAAAAACCCTGAGATGATTGTGTCTAACCTCAGAGTAAAGTATCCTCTTGGCACTGAAGACTTTGGGGATGCATTAAAAAGAAGTGGATTGCTAGTGGTCTGTCCACCTCCCTGCTCCCTGCTACATGTACTTTCAAGATGCTGAAGGCTGGAAAAAGTTGATCTAAGCTGTCTAGCTGAGGCTGCCTCCTCTACAAACCACACAATTTTCTGTCTTCAAAGGAAATCAGCATTTTTTTTTTTTGGCCTGTACTCAGTCCTGCTTAAGGTTTCAATGACTAGAAATTTCTGAGACCACAAATAAGTCTGTTTCATTCACTTGCCAGAGCTTACTCAGGATGCCCGTAATGCCCATCTGTTTCTTTCTTTCCTTCTCTCTACTTTTCAGCAGCCCTTCTCCTTCTTTTGGTAACAGTATCCTGATTTCCCCCATCATCAGGGAAACAGTTTCCCTCCCTGATCATCAGGTCCCCATCTGCCAGCTCCAGGGCTGAGGCCACTGGTAACTGAAGAAATGAACATGGCTGAAATTGCCTAAGGAAAAAGGGCAAAGTTAGAGAAGGAAAGAACCTGCTACCAAATCTCAAGGAACTCCATCGTTTAGTAGGTGTGTGGAGGAGAAGGAGTCTCCAGAGAACCCAGAGAAGGAGCGTAGAGGTAGGATTAAGACTAGGAGAGTCACATGATGTCATGGAAGCCAATGGGAAAGAGTGCTTCAAGGAGGGAGGACGTGGCCAAAGCACCAGAGGCTACTGGGAAGTTACAGGAGGTGAAGTTTGAAAACTGTGCATGTGGCCCGGCAAGGTGGCTCATGCCTGTGATCCCAGCACTATGGGAGGCTGGGAAGGGAGGAGTGCTTCGTGCTTCAGCCCAGGAGTTTGAGACCAGCCCGGGCAACAAAACGAGACCCTGTCTCAAAAAAAAAAAAAAAAAAAAATTTAAAAGAAAGTTGTGCATGTGACCTTCAACATGAAGGTTATGGGTGACCTCAGAGCTATTTCAGTGGAGGAGTTACGTAAGCGAATGGGAGGTTAGGAAGTGGAAGGAGGAAACACAGACAATTCTCCAGCTGGGAAAGGGAGGAGGTGGCGGTAAGCTGGAGAAGATGAGGAATTCACGTAGGTTTCTTTCTTTAAAAAAAAAAAAATCAGAACACTTAGGCATGTTTAAAACCACAGTAATCATTAGTTGAACAATCTGGGGAGAGACAGGATAATTGAAGTGTAAGGTTCTTGAGAAAATAAAATCCCCAAGAGGGAATATTGTTTACAGGATTTCCCAAACTTACTTGGTGAACTGCCCCTCTTCAGGCCGAGTTCATTTTGATTACTGTTCCGCAGAAAGCACCCTGGCCCAAATTAGGTCAGGGGCTGATCTGCAAACCAATTAGCATGGCCAAGGCTATACTTTGACTTTGGTCAATCAGAATCCTCTCTTCTAGAGCTGGGGGTGGGCTGAACCCCACCCAAACTAAATGTCTGAAAATGAGACAGGGTTAAGTTGTAGGAAAGAGACGGTATTCATACCTGGGAGGTACCCCAGCAGTGACCTCGAAGCCAACTGAATGATGGTGCAGATGGCCTTGCCATGTGGTGTTCCCTCCCTCTTGGAACTCTTGGTAACAAAGATTCTTTTTTTTTTTTTTGAGACAGAGTCTCTGTGGTCACCCAGGCTGGAGTGCAGTGGCGTGATCTCAGCTCACTGAAACCTCTGCCTCACAGGTTCAAGCAATTCTCATGCCTCGACCTCCTGAGTAGCTGAGATTACAGGTGCACACCACTACGCTCAGCTAGTTTAAGTATTTTAGTAGAGATGGGGTTTCACCATGTTGGCCAGGCTGGTCTCGAACTCATGACCTCAGGTGATCCGCCCACCTCAGCCTTCCAAAGTTCTGGGATTATAGGCATGAGCCACCATGCCCGGCCGGTAACAAAGATTCTTAAATTGAATCCCATTGAAACTTCAGTATATGGAGTTAGGATGTTCAGGCAATACGGCTAGCTGTAGAATTCAGTGTATTGAGGGGTTAAAATCTGGCTTATTCTAAGGGTTCTCAGGCATTTCTAAAGACACGGTAAAACACCTAAAACCGTGTTAGTAACTTGAGAAGATGCCCAACTTAGGAAACAGGCCCAGACCTGTTAGACGGGAGGTAATTTAGGAGCTAGGCAATCCCCAGCTCCTGGGATAACTGTGCATTTATTAACCCAATTAATAGATGTAATTGAAGAAGGAAAGACAGATGTTGGGCAACTTCTGGGCAATGTCTGCTTTAATGGGTCCTGTATGAGCTGATTTGGCATAGGGTAGAAGGCTGTCTTTCAAGGACCTCAAGGTTGCTGCTTCCTTCCTCAGGTGATGGTATTATATGGCTTGGGGCTTCCCTTCCACCTTGCCTCAATTCAGAAAATGCTTATGGGCACCTACTATGTGTAATTGCCATTCTATGTGCCGGGATGTGGTAGCACTGCCTTTTGCAGCTTACAAAGCCCTTTCCTACCTATGATCTCAATCTGGTGATTCTGAGAACAGATTTTGAGTCAGGAAGACCAAAGTGAGAATAAATCCATCCACGTATTATGTGTGACTTTAGGCAAGTCATTTCATCTAAGACCCAACTTCTTCTATAAATTGGTAATAATAAAAGTTCTGGCCAGGCATGGTGGCTCACACCTATAATCCCAGCACTTTGGGAGGCTGAGGTGGGGGGATCGCTTGAGCCCAGGAGTTTGAGAGCAGCCTGGGCAACATGGCAAAAATCTGTCTCTACAAAAAATATAAAAATTAGCCAGCAGTGGTGGCTCACACCTGTGGTACCAGCTACATAGGTGGCTGAGTTGGGAGGATTGCTTGAGCCTGGGAGGCGGAGGTTGCAGTAAGTCGAGATTGTGCCATTGCATTCCAACCTGAGACCCTGTCTCCAAAAAAAAAAAAAAAAAAAAAAAAAGTTCCTAACTCAAAGGATGGTTGGGAGGAGTCTATAATACACAAAAAGTGCTTAGCACATAGCAAGTACTCATGAAAAAGTAGCTGTATTATTCATTCTTTGTTTATTCACACAATAATCTTATCCTGTTGATACTATTATCTTCATTCACATACCTTCATTGAGCACTGATTATGTTCTAGGTGAACACCTAGGTCCATAATGACCAAAAGAGGACTCAGATGCAGAAGAACAAGGGTCCCAGAACTAAGCCTTCAGGAAAGGAAGAACCATCAAAGGAAACTCAGGGGAAACTTGAGCACCAGGAGAAGGCTTCCTTTCCACCTTGCCTCCAATCAGGAAATGCTTATGGGCCCCTACTATGTGTAACTGCCATGCTATGTGCTGGGATGTGGTAGCCTTACTGATCTCAGGCAAGCCAAGAGAGGTACATGAAGGAGGAGAAGCCAGGAGTAAGATGAGTCCCCAAAGTGAGCACTGGCTTCTGCAACATCGAGTTCCCAGGTCAGCTTGAGGAGAGCAATGTCTCTTCCTGGGCAGGTGGGGGCAGAGGCCTGATCAGACTGACTGGAGGAGAAAATGGAGCAGGTGTGGAATCAACAACTGCAAAGAATTTACAAGGTTTTGGTGTGAATGAGAGCAGAAAAATGGGGGAAGTGGCTACAGGGAGACGCAGGATCCAGGAGTTTTGAGTGGTGGTTCTTAAAACTTTTTTTTTTTTATGATAGGAGCTATTAGAGCATGTTTTCTGAAGCAGATAGGAATGATCCAGTACCAAGGGAGAAACTGGTGACTAAGGAAGGAAGGATCCAGAGAACAAGTGGAGGGGTGACTCTGATAGGAACAAAAACGCTTCATTTATTGTAAAATCTGGGGAGTCAAAGATTGCGGGGAAGGTGCAGAGATGTTGGTAGATGATAAGCTCCTGTCTGGTTCCATTATTTCTGTGAAGTGTGAGGCAAGGCCATCTGCTTAGAGAGAAGGATGCAAAGGGGACAAAGGAAGCTTGAGGAGGAAGAAGGATGAAAAATCACCATTTAAGAGTGTGAGCAGGGGGCTACAGTGGAGTAATACAGTAGAATTGCTAGGCAGGCTTGAGGGCTCGTTTGAAATTTGTGGACCTCACCTTAAAGGAAGAGCAATCACTTTCAACTTTCCAGCAATGTTCAGATGGTTTTGTTGTTGTTGTTGTTTTGTTTTTTGAGACGGAGTTTCACTATGTCACCCCGGCTGGAGTGCAGTGGCGTGATATTGGCTCACTGCAACCTCTGCCTCCCGGGTTCAAGCGATTCTCCTGTCTCAGCTTCCTGAGTAGCTGAGATTACAGGCGCCCACCACCATGCCTGGATGATTTTGTATGTTTAGTAAAGATAGTGTTTCCCCATATTGGCCAGGCTGGTCTCAAACTCTTGGCCTCAAGTGATCTGCCCATCTCAGCCTCCCAAAGCGCTGGGATTACAGACATGAGCCACCTTGCCCAGCCAATGTTCAGATGTTCTGATGAAAAAAGGTGGAGGTAAAAGGGTTCTGGGCTTTTGTAAGGGAGTTAGTATCATACTCATTACTAAGCTGGGTCAGGTGGGATGTGAGCATGAAGGGGAAGGTAATTGTGAAAATCTGGCAGGGACAAAGGTTTGCAGGTCTTGATGAGGTTGAAGAAATAATGAGGTTGAGGAAATGCTTTTGTGGTGATACTATGGTAAGCGGGTTAGACTCAGATTTGAGATCTTTGTGACTGTGATTTCTTTTCTTTTTTGGAGACTGGGTCTCACTCTGTTGCCCAGGCTGGAGTGCAGTGGCACAAACACAGCTTACTGCAGCCTCAACCTCCTGGGCTCAAGAGGTTCTCCCACCTCAGCCTTCCAAGTAGCTGGGACCACAGGTACATGACACCATGCCTGGCTAATTAAAAAAAAAAATCTTTATAGAAATGGGGTCTTGCCATGTTGCCCATGCTGGTCTCAAAATCCTGGGCTTAGCCTCCCAAAGTGTTAGGATTATAGGTATGAGCCACCATGCCTGGCCAGTGTGATTGTGATTTCTGAGATAGTGCAGTTAAAGGCGAGAACAGGCCAGGGTAAGACCACAGGAGTGGGACCTGGAGAGAGGCAAAGGAAACTGATTGGTAGGGAAGAAATCAGGGAGAAGTCAGTAAGATTTCTGGTGGATTATGCTTATGGATGCTGAAGTCCTAAAGAAAGTGTAGAAGGGGAGATGGAGGTAAGTTCATGAAAGCTAAAAAAAAAAAAAAAAGGGTGTGGCAGGTGGAAAAATATCACAGTATGAACTTCAAGGGGGTTAGGGTCTTTAAAAGAGGATGAGACGAGAAACATTGCTAAAGATATTTATGGCCTGGATGTTGTGGCTCACACCTGATATCCCAACACTTTGGGAGGCCAAGGCAGGAGAATCACTTGGGCCCAGGAGTTCAAGATCAGTCTGACCAACATGGTGAGATCCCGTCCCTATTTAAATTATAAAGTTATTATTTATTTATTTATTTATTTATTTATTTATTTATTTATTTGGATACGAGGGTCTCACTCTGTTGTGCAGGTTGGAATGCAGTGGTGCAATCATGGCTCACTGCAGCCTTAATCTCCTGGGCTGAAGGAATCTTCCTGCCTCAGCCTCCTGTGTAGCTGGGACCAGTGGCATGTGCCACCATGCCTAATTATTTGACTTTTTTATAGAGACGGGGTCTCACTTTGTCAGTGAGGTCTCGAACTCCTGGGTTTAAGCAATACTCCCACCTAGGCTTCCAAAGTGCTGGGATTACAGGCGTGAGCTACCATGCTTGGCCAAAAAATTTTAAAATAAACAAAATTTATAGTGCCTGCATACCAATTCACAACCCCTTGTAGATGACCATGTTTAATGCCATGTGTCTCCATGCTCATAGCAATAGCTGATGGATCTAGGGGCAGGATCTGAGCAGTGGGCAGCCAATCTGTGGAGTGACCTGTCCAGTGAATGAACTTTCCTTCAGGCTTGGCCTCCATCCCTTGGTATCCAAGAAGGACACCACCTTTTCTTGGTCCTGTTCCTGCCTCGCGGGTCATTCCTTCTCAGTCTTTCTGCTGGTTCCTCTTTATCTTCATGACCTCTTCTCTCTACATTCACCCACAAAGTGAGTTCACCAAGATGTCTGTGCTTTCAAGTATCTTTACATGCCATTTACTAGCTGACAGTTCTCATAAGTTTATCACAGCTCTAACTTCTTCCCCCAACTCCAAACTTCCATATCTAATTACTTATTTGATATCTCCATTTATTTATTTTTATTTTTATTTTTTGAGATGGAGTATCACTCTGTTACCCAGCCTGGAGTGCAGTGGTGCAATCTCTGCTCACTGCATCCTCCACCTCTGGGTTCAAGTGATTCTCCTGGCTCAGCCTCCTGAGTAGCTGGGATTACAGGCATGTGCCACCATGCCCACCTAATTTTGGTATTTTTAGTAGAGACAGGGTTTCACCATGTTGGCCAGGCTGGTTTTGAACTCCTGACCTCAGGTGATCCACTTGTCTCCCCAAAGTGCTAGAATTACAGGTGTGAGCCACCACGCCCACCTGACATCTCCATTTAAATCTCCAGTAGGAGGGGCCTGGCGCGGTGGCTCACGCCTGTAATCCCAGCACTTTGGGAGGCCGAGGTGGGCGGATCATGAGGTCAGGAGATCAAGACCATCTTGGCTAACATGGTGAAACCCCATCTCTACTAAAAATACAAAAAAAAATTAGCCAGGTGTAGTGGCGGGCACCTGTAGTCCCAGCTACTCGGGAGGCTGAGGCAGGAGAATGGCGTGAACCCGGGAGGCGGAGCTTGCAGTGAGCCGAGATTGTGCCACTGCACTCCAGCCTGGGCGACACAGCCAGACTCCGTCTCAAAAAAAATAAAATAAAATAAAAAATCTCCAGTAGGAGGCCAGGCATGGTGGCTCACATCTGTAATCCTAGAACTTTGGGAGGCCAAGGCGGGCAGATCATTTGAGGTCAGGAGTTCAAGACCAGCCTGGCCAACATGGTGAAATCCTGTCTCTGCTAAAAATTCAAAAATCAGCCAGGCGTGGTGGCGCACGCCTGCAGTCCCAGCTCCTTGGGAGGCTGAGGTGGGAGAATTGCTTGAATCCAGGAGACGGAGGCTGCAGTGAGCCGAGATCGCACCACTGCACTCCAGCCTGGGCGACAGAGTGAGACTCCATCTCAAAAACAAAAACAAAAAAATCTCCAATAGGCATCTCAAACATAACTTGCTCCCTCTTATCCACAACCCTCTCCTCAGAAAAACCCTGCTCCTCCTACAGTCTTCCCCAGATCAATAAATGGTAAATCCTTCCAGTGTTAAGCCAAAAACCTTAGCATCAGGCAAAACTATGGAGTAAAAAGATCAGTGGTTGCCAGGAGCTGGGGGAAAGGGGATGAAGAGGTGGAACACGGGGGATTTTTAGGGCAGTGAAAATATTCCGTATGATGGTTCTAACGGTGGCTAGATGTAATTATCCACTTCTCCAAGCCCATAGATTGTATAAGTGAACCCTAATGTAAACTATTGGGTGATCACGATGTATGAATGCAGGTTATTTGCAACAGATGTACCACACTAGTGGGGAATGGGGACAATTCAGGGAGGCTCTGCATATGTGGGGCAGGGGGGTATATATGGATTGTCTCTGTACCTTCCTCTCAATTTTCTTGTGAAACTAAAACTGCTCTAAAAAACAAAGTCTTGGCCGGGTGCAGTGGCTCATGCCTGTAATCCCAGCACTTTAGGAGGCTGAGGTGGGAGGATTGCTTAAGCCCAGGAGTTCGAGACCAGCCTGGGTAATACAGTGCGACTCAGTCTCTACAAAAAAATTAGCCTGGCACGGTGATGCACGCCTGTAGTCCCAGCTACTCAGGGCGGGGGTGGGGAGGGGCTGAGGTGGGAGGATCACTTGAGTCCGGGGGTGTTGAGGCTGCAGTGAGCTATGATTGCGCCACTGCACTCCAGTCTGGGCAACAGAACTGAGACACTGTCTCAAAACAAAAAACAACAGAAGACAAAGTCTTTAAATATGAAAAAAAAAATCTTAGCATCATCCTTGATTCCTTTCTTCTCATGCCTACCACCAATACATCAGGAAATACCTAGAATACTATCTACTTCTTGCCATCTCCAATGCTACTACCCTGGTCTAAGCCAGCTTCATCTCTCTGCTGTGTGACCTTGGGCAAGCTCCTTACCTTTTCAGGCTTCTGTCATGAGGATTAAATGGCTTATTATCTGTAAGGTGCTTAACAGTGTTCATCACATAGGATGTGCCATATCAGTGCTTTTTAAATAAATAAATGTCCTCAATATAGAAATGGCTTTCTAAGGCCCTAGTCCCCCTACAGTCCATTCAGAACACAGCAGCCTCATGATCCTTTTAAAGCCTAGGTCAAATCTTGTCATTGCCCTGTCCTTCAGCTCCTGCTCGACCTAGGCTAGCCACACTGGCCTCCTGTCTGGCCCTTGAAAACACACCAGTGCTGATGCAGCACTGTCACCTTCAGGGTTTTTACCCTTGCTGCTCCTTGTGCCTCTGCTATCCACACGGCTTGCTCCCTCCTTCCCTTCAGCTATATGATCAAATATTGCTAAGTTAGGCCTTGCCTGCCTACCTGTTTGCTTGAATTTTTCTCATTATCTCTAATCACTACCCGACACTGTATTATTATTATTACTATTTTATTTTTGAGACGAAGTCTCTCTCTGTCGCCCAGGCTGGAGTGCAGTGGCGCGATCTCGGCTCACTGCAAGCTCCGCCTCCCGGGTTCACGCCATTCTCCTGCCTCAGCCTCCCGAGTAGCTGGGACTACAGGCGCCCGTCATCCCGCCCAGCTAATTTTTTTATTTTTAGTAGAGACGGAGTTTCACCGTGTTAGCCAAGATGGTCTCGATCTCCTGACCCCGTGATCCGCCCACCTCGGCCTCCCAAAGTGCTAGGATTACAGGCGTGAGCCACTGCGCCCGGCCTCGGCTAACTTTGTGTATTTTTAGTAGACGGGGTTTCGCCATGTTAGCCAGGCTGATCTGGAACTCCTGACTTCAAGCGATTGCCCACCTCGGCCTCCCAAAGTGCTGAGATTACAGGCGTGAGCCACTGTGCCTGGCCTTGGACACTGTATTTGCCTGGTGGCCGACTGTCTCCCTGACAACACTCAAGCTCCACAACCATGTGGGTTATTTTGCTCATTGCTCTATTTCCAGAGCCTAGCACAGTGCTTGGCACATAGCAGATGCTCAATAAGTATCTACTGCGTGTGCCATTCTCTTCCTTGAATTTCTGTAATACTCATCCAATACCATTCTTGCGAGACTTACCCGTATGCTTTTTCTGCCAGTGGCTACCTGTGAAAGCTTCGACTTGTCTATGAGCTCCCTGAGGACAGGGCCTGGCTCAGGGAAACAATTCCTGTCATCTGTGCAGTTTACCATCCCCTCACAGATCGCCTAATTTGATTTAACCAAAGCAAACAGGCCACGGAGGCAGATATTGTTAGCAATCCAGATCTCTCCTGCTACCTAGACTAAGCTTAACAAATATTTGATTGAGAGAGAGAGAGAGAGATTGGGAGAGAGAAACTTGAGTCACTTTGTGGAGCGAGGAAGCCCTTCTGGGCTAATGGAATGGTTCTCTGTAGCACATTCAACAGTACTCATAACAGCTAGCATTTGTTGAACTTAATTTTTTTTCTTTTGAGACAGAGTCTTGCTCTGTCGCCAGGCTGGGGTGCAGTGGCGCGATCTTGGCTCACTGCAACCTCTGCCCCCGGGTTCAAACGATTCTCCTGCCTCAGCCTCCCGAGTAGCTGGGACTATAGGAGCGAACCACCACGCCCAGCTAATTTTTGTATTTTTAGTAGAAACGGGGTTTCACCATGTTGGCCAGGATGGTCTCGATCTCTTGACCTTGGCCCGCCTCGGCCTTCCAAAGTGCTGGGATTACAGGCGTGAGCCACCGCGGCCGACCTGTTGAACTTAATTTTCTAATCTCTACCTGTGTCATCCTCACAGATATTCTGTCTGCAGCTATACCGGCAGGGATCTTTATGTCTTATCTGTTATCTTCCGGTGCCTAAACAAGGCCTGGCACATAGTAGGTGCTGAATAAATGGCGTCAGCCCGAGGCTCCTCAATTCGTGCCCGGGCTCAGGTGCAGCGCGGCGCTCCAGATCCTGCCGTAGCGAGCGGCAGCGCTGGGCTCCTGCCCCGCTCCCGGCGCGCTCCCCCAGTGCTGGGTTGGGCTGGGTTGGGCTGGGCCGGGCCGGTCCGCGCTCGGCGGCAGTTCCGGGTGCGCCGCAGGAGTGAGCGCGTGCACGGGGTGGGGCGCGGAGGGCCGGTCCCCTCCCAGCCGCGGTGCCTTCCGCATCCCCGCCCGCGGGGACTGTGGGGTGCGGTTCCCTCGCCGCCACTCGCTGCTGCAGGCCCAGAGTCGGGGACTGGACCTCAGACAGCCAGGAGACCTTTCCGCCCCGGCCCGCAACCCGTGCCGGGGACTCCCGGCAGCCGCGCCGCGCAGCGCCGCGCCCCGCCCCGCCTCGCAGGCCCCGCCCCCGCACCCCGTCGGCGCCCGCCTCTCGCGCCGCTCTCCATACTTGGCGATCGCCGCAGCCCCGCGCGCTCATTGGCCGCGAGCTGGCGGCGTGGGGGGCGGGCCCGGGCCGGGCCGGGGCGGGGAAGGAAGGTGGCGGCGGCCCGGCGCGGGGGGAGGGGGGTGCTGACCCGGATGTTCACTCCTGGGCACCCGGGGAAGTGGAAGCGCCGGGCCCTGCTGCGGGGGGGAGAGCCACTGACGCCGGGACCGGGACCGCCGCCGCCGCCGCCACCATGGTAAAGGCCGCACGGCCCCCTCCCCGGCCCGGGGGCCCCTCCGGAGCTCGCGTCCCCCTCCCCCTGCCCATCCCTGGCCTGGGACGGGTGGCTTCCCGGGGTGGGGGAGGGGCGGGGTCCCGGACCCTGGGTGGACCCGGTCCCTCCCCGCCCAGGAGGGTGCCGCCGGCGCGGACGACTTGGGTGGCAGTGACCCTGCCCCCGCTCCCAGCCCCCGCCCTTGGCGCAAGCTGGAGTCCCACTCACTACCTCTGTGTTCAGGCTGGTCTCTCCCATAGCCCAGGCTAGACCCTCCCTCCCGAACCGTGTCCCCAGCCAGGCACCCCCTCGGTGACCCTGGCGTGGGCCCCCTTCCTCCCCCGGTCTAGGGCTAGGTCTGCTTTCCCCCGTCTCTCCGGCCCAGGCTAGGCCGTCGTTTCTCCCTGCCATGGCCCAGGCTAGGCCGCTGCCTCCCTCTGTCCCTCCCCCTTTGCCTTCTCCATGGCCTCAGGCTGGACCCCGGTCAGCCCCTTCTGCAGCGGCCTAGGTTTGCTTCCCCTCTTCTCCGTGGCCTCAGCCTGAATCTCCTCTTCTCTCTGTGAACTTAAATCTGGACCTCCTCTTCTCCGCCCATGGCCCCCGTCTGGACCTCACTGCCCCCTCCCCACCATGATCCCCTTCCCTGGACTTTTCGCCACTCCTAGCGTAACCTGCGTCAGCCCCGCTCGGTCCCCGCCCTGAGCCTCTCATCAGGGTCCTGCCCCCTGCCTGGTGCACGACCCAGGGTCCCCTTCCCTGTACCTGGGGCGCGCCTTCTTTGCAGCCTTTGGGGAGCGAGGGGAGCTCTCCATCAGGGATGGGGTGGTCCCGGTGCTGTGCCTTCTCAGTTGCCGCTTCTAGGGAGGCCGCCTAGGAGCCAGCGAGGGAAGGGCGGGCATCGGTGTGCCCAGAAGGCAGCGCGCTGCTCTGCGGGCCCTTCTCGAGGCTGCCGCCGTGGGTGCTGTGCGTGCGAAGCATTCTGCAGGGCAGGCCGGGGTCCACGGCGCCCGGGCCTGAGTGGGAGCCGAGGGGCGAGGATGGGTGGCCCACAGGACAAGGATGAACGCACAATCGCCCTTGTGAGGCCGTGGCCTTGGGGGGCCACCAGGCCCTGGATCCAGCATATGGCCTGGACACGATGCACCCAAGCAGGCGCAGCCTCCCCTTCCCTCTGAACTGTCAGCTTGCAAGGGTTGGAACTGCTGATTATGGAAGTCCCTCGGATCAGGTGAGCAGAACGCCTAGGGAGAGTGCTGGCTCCGCTCGTGGTGTTTGTTTTGGTAAAGAAGGCAGATGCTATCCAGACTTTTGAGGAACCTGGGGTTTCACATAGGCCCCCACAGATAGACCTGCCCTCCTGCCACTTGACCCTTCTGCAGGACAGGCCCAGCACTTAGGTTGGAAGGGCCAGAGAACTTCTTCCTGACAGGATCAAGGGATTTTTGGAGCATGTTTGTATGTGGACTTTGGGCCTCAAAGTGTTTTGAGGACCATGGTTCCTTGTTTAGTCAAGGGATGTTGCTGCTGAACGAGGGTGAGTAGTTGAGATGGGTTAAGCTTTCTTTTGATGCCTTCCTGTATGCTGATTAAAAACATGGGCAATGCCACTTTTAAGGCCTTCGGATTTGTCCAGTAACTTTGGCTGAAAACTCCTTGTTTGGGGAGGTGGGCCTGGCCCCAGGCCTTGATGGAGAACGACTTCTCCAGGGCAGTGGTGGGTGAGGACTTTGAAAGTGGGCTGAAGTTTCCTGAGTGTGCACTCAGGACAAAGTATAAGGCAGGAAGCAGCGATTCTCGCCAGGTGATGGGAAAGTGCCTCAGTCCCCCAGGAGGAGCACATGACACCTGAAGCTTCTCAGGAGTCTTGTACTCAGCTCTCATCTGAAAAGGCTGGAAAGGGTGGAGGAACTGTCTGCCAGTCACTGTGGTGTGCTTCACCTGTACAAGCTGTTTTCATCCACAGGAAGCCCTTCTGGGGCTGTCCCCATTTTATAGATGAGGCAGCTGAGGCTCAGGAGGTGGAGTGACTTATTCAGGGTGTTGCTCAGCCAGTGGAGGAACCACTGTTGGTCAGTGGAAGCCCATCTGGCAGGCTCTAAACTGTTCTTCCCATTGTACCAAGCTGCTTGTATGTCAGAAGGTTTAATGATACCGTTTGAAAAACATAAAATGGGATATTCAAACATGGCAAGGGGGGAGGAGCAGTATTTATTGCCCATGTATTGTATTTTAGATCCTTTGTATAGGAAATCATGTTTATAGTGAAATAGCTGTATGGTGATACAGGCATATTTAGCATGGGCCAGAATGAGCTCTTGGAGGGCAGAGATTTGTGTCTTGTGTTTTCCGCAGCTGTATCCGTGGGGCCTAGAACAGCACCTGGCGTTGGAAGAAACCACTTGGAATGTTCTCTTTGGCATGTGTCTGTGTCCATGAACTTACCTGCTTGGATTTCATATTCATTCTCTCAGTCACTTGTTCTTAGTATCCCTTAGCCTTGTAATTTCTGACTGCTTATTGTTACGTTTATCCCCTATTTGAATACTCTGACCATTAAGCCGGTGTAGATGGTTGGCGTAGGACAGAAGTGGTGGTGTGAGGTTGCATTGTAGGTAAATGAATTCAGATCACCATGTTTTTCATTTTCAGTAGATTTGATGGTAGAGAATACAGCTAGATCTCTGTTATCCATTGAGGGAAATAGTGACTTGAGAATCTAAAATGCATTTGACTTTGGAATGAATTCCATGATTTTTGTTGGCATGAGTTTCTCCTTCCCAGTTAAAATGCATAGGCAAATGGAATTTATTTGCATTCCCTTAGCAGGTAATAATCTTACCACTGTCTGAGTGCTGTACAATTTCAGAGCACCGTTCCTTACACAGCTTCAGTTTCTGACTTGGGAATTATTCTTAGTTATGATGATGGTGAGGCTTTAGCAGGAACGGGGACTAGGGAGGCCCCCTCAGGAATTGCTGCTCCAGCTCACAGATGGTTTTGCCTGGCAGGAGCTGATGGGAACTTGGTATTGTTACAAGGTGAAACAACATAGTTGACATTAATGTCTCTTGATGTGGATAAGACACATTGTTCAACTCACATCCCTCTTGTCTGTCTATACAGCCCTGTTCATTTAAGCCCACCTGGCCTCTTTTTGGTGGCATGCTTATAAAAAGTAGGCAGTGATCAGTGGCTTGAGATTAAGGAAATGATAAGCCGTGTCTTTGAAAGCAGATGCTCCTATTTATAACTCAGACATCCTATACTTTTACATTCCATGAGGTGGGGAACAGGACATGACTGACCACAGGGAAATGGTGGCAGGGCAGGTGCCTCGCCCGTTAGAAGCCTGCCCTCCCTCCAGGCTGGGAAATGCTTATTGTTAGGCAAATACTGAGGCATGTTGTGGGGTACCTGCAGCTACAGGATAATGTTAATTCAGCTTTTTGTGTATTAAGTGCCTACTCTGTGGTGCTTATGTGCTGAGGATGCAAGACAAGGATCTCTGCCCTCATGGCTCACATTGTTGAGGGGTGGGGATGTCATCGTTACCTAAAGCTTAAGGGGGAAAGAGCCTTGTTCAGTGTACCTGCAGGCACATCTGCATGAGCTATGGCAGGAAACTGAAGAGAAAGCTGGGGGCTTGTGCCAGGCTCCACTCCCAGGCCTTTTGGGGTGTGTCTTCTCTTGTGTCTGCCATTGGGTGGAATTGGATTGCACGTGCACGCAGTCCGCTCCTCTGCACAGCCAAGGCTTTCTGGGGCCCCGAAATGAAACCTTACAGTACCTTGGAAGTCCAGCCTGGGTAGCTTTGTCCAGCCTGTCCAACCCGGGTACCCGAGGATCTGCTGTGACCCAGAAACATGACTTAGGTTATAGCCCAGCCCCCATTTTACTCACAAGGAACCTGAAGCTTGAGAGCTTGAGTGACCGGTGTGAACAGCAGGCCTGGGATTCGGATCCCTGTCAGCCCAAGTCATGTGCTGGACCCCACTCACTGTGTTTTCCAGAACACAGTGAGCAGAGGGCCCCGTAAATACAGGATCTTGTCCCATTTCCCCTTGCAGCAGATCCACCAGTGAGGGTGCGGTGTGGAATTCCAGGGGATGCAACTGCAAGATCACCCATATTGGGACCAGCTAGAGCCATATGCTATTTCCAGACCTAGGCTTTCACAGATTCATGTTTCAGTGGAAGGAAAGGGAGGTTTAATGGTTATGGAGCACCAGCCACATGCTATGCACTCTGTTAGAACGGTCCTCACCACAGCCTGACAAGGTAGGTTCAACTTTAGGCTGGAGGCAGCATAGTACAAGAAAATAGAGTTAGGAGCCAGACTGCTTTAGGATAACAGTACCTCTGCATAAGGTCGTAATGAGGGTTAAGTAATATCTGTCAAGTGCATCCAGTAGCATCTGGCACATAGTGATGTAAACATTAACTATTGTTATTATCACCATTTTCCAAAAGTGTGCAAAGGGGTGTATGGTTAGTCCCTGTCTAGCTACTAAGTGGAGGAATTGGGTTTTCTGACTCCAGAGCAAACCGTTTTTCTCCACTCCGTACTGCCTGCCGATGGCTGCTTTGGAGTTTGTCTGGCTCTGGGTTGTGCCTTGAACGCACAACTTACCTAATAGAGCCTGGGGCTCTTTTCTCCATTAAAGACAAGCTCACTGTGAGCTGGGCACCATGTGTTGCCAGAGCCTCATGCTATATGTCAGGCCCGAATTCCTTGTTTGTGCCAGTGGAACCCCCTGTGACTGGAGGGTTCCTGCCCTCTTCCAGGCTTGGAAGAAGAGAGACAGGGCTGGGGACAGAGCATATGAGCTCTGTGAGAGCAGGGACCTTGTCTGTTTGGTTCCCTCTGAGTACCCCACACCTTGCACTGGCCGCCTGGCACTTAGCGCCAGCTACATAAACACTGAGTGAGAGCTGAGAGGCGGCTGCCTGCTCCACAGAACATGGTCTCTGCAGTTGGGCACATCTGGATTTGAGTCCTGTCTGCCACTCAGCATGTGACTGTCAGTGAGGCGGCTAATTCCCTTGGTCTCAGTTTTCCTGTTCCGTCGCATGAGGATAACATTTTATAGAGATGGGGAGTAGGGGTGAAATTTGTAATGTACTTACTCCAGTGCTTGGCACACAGTAGCTGTGGTTGTTGCATGTCTTATTCTGCATACCACAGAATAAGGGACACAAATAGAAGCCATCATCCCTGTCCTCTAATCTGGGAGGGGGAGGCAAGATGCGTCCAAAAAGCCAAGTGCAGCAGGAATGAAGTAGTACTAGAAAAGACTTAGCCAGGGACCCATGGGTGCTGTGGTCTGCCCATCCCTGCAGGCCTGGCTTGCATTTCCCCCTCCTCCACGCAGCCCTGCAGACCACTCCAGCCTGCAGTCGGCTTGGGGGCTGGGCATGAAGCCTGGGAAGAGTGTGCTCAGGCAGAGAGGACAGGGTGGGGTATGGTCAAGGGGACTGGCACAAAAGCAGAGGTCAGGGGGTGTGGTCACACAAGCAGTAGATGCGAGCCCATGGGGTGCCTCAGTCTCAGGAGTGAGTTGTGGAGTGCCTGAGTTGCTAAGCTAAGGAGTTTGCATTAGATCTGGGACAGTGTGGAGCCAGTGAAATTTTTGACAGGGCAGGTAGAAATTCGAGGAGGCTGGCAGAGCGGTGGTATTTTAGGAAGAGCCCTCTGGCTGTGCATGCAGGAGGCCTGGGAGGTGAAAGAGATGGGAGAGAGGCCTCCACAAGCATCAGCTTGTGAGCTTATGAGGGTCCTGGCCACTGTGCAGCTGTGGGTGTGGAAAGGAAGGGATGGTGGAAGGAGATAAAGGCAGAGTGACACGGAATGATTTACCACCTCTGGAGCTGAGGGGGTCTGCCCCAGAGCTGTCCCATGTAGGTGTTCTGATTGGACAGTTTATCATTGACACACAGCTATTTCAGGTCAGTCTAAATCCTAGATAGTGGTGTCTGCAAAGCCTTGAGAGCCTGTTAACAACTGAATGGGGATTTCAGTCTGGGTAGCCCAGTGATCCATCCAGCCAGTGACTCTGTGACTGCAGGTGGCACCAAGTTCAGCCTGATGCACACAGCATTAGGTTCTGGTGCCTAAGACACCAGTCTGCTGAGGGAGATGGTGGGGTGGCGGGCTCTGCATGGCAGCTGTAGGAATAACAGAAGCTAGTTTTTTTTTGTTTGTTTGTTTGAGACAGAGTCTCGCTCTGCCACCTAGGCTGGAGTACAGTGGCACGATCTCGACTCCCTGCAACCTCCGTCTCCTAGACTCAGGGAATTCTCTTGCCTCAGCCTCCCAAGTAGCTGGGACTACAGGTGCGTACCACCATGCCTAGCTAATTTTTTGTATTTTTAGTAGAGACAGGGTTTCACCATGTTGGCCAGGCTGGTCTTGAACGCCTGGCCTCATGATCTGCCTGCCTCAGCCTCCCAAAGTGCTGGGGATTACAGGCATGAGCCACTGTACTTGGCCAGGAGCTAGTTTTGACTGATGACTTTTTAATATTCCAGCCAGCCCTACGAGGCAGATTCTCATGTCACCCTCATTATGCAGGTGAGGAAACCGAGGCCCACCTGGCAGTCCTGGCACTGCGCTATGCTCCCTTTAGTGATTTTTTTCCATCGGGTCATTCATTCCGTGGATGTCTACTGAGCAGTCAGGTAGACCTAATAGAATATGCCATCTGAGTCTTAAGGTTAAATGGAGGAAGCGGGTGGAAGCAAGTATGTCCAAAGTTCTGAAAGACTCAGGAGTGAGTGCAGAACCAGCCTGGGGAAGTCCACAGCGTCAGACAGGCAGGGAGGCTGCTTGCCTGCGTTTTTCCGTGCTTCCTCCTATGGTCACCCCACATGTTTCTGACATCTCTGGATGCTTGTGAACAGGAGCCTTTGCCTACAACTTTCTAGTGTTAGGTTTTCAGTTGTGTCGTCACGTGTCTTGTAAGGCAACAACCCTGGTGGTTGCCATTCACCTGGCACGTAGTGATGATTGTGAGGACTGAGTTTATGTGTGGAAAGTGTAGACGATGCCTGGCACGTTGTAAGTGCAGTAGGAGTGTTATCTCTTATTATTGTGGTTATTCTGTTAACATGGATGGATGATAGGTGGTGTTTCATTTAACTTCCCAACCAGCCTGGAAGGCAGGTGCTAGTTCCTTCTTCTGAGACTCCAAGATGTAGAGTCCCTTGCCCAAGGAGAGTGGTCTTAAGGGGCTCATTCTGTTTAAACACCAGACTGCTGAAAACAGCAGCCCAGGGTTTCTGGTCTCAAGAGCTCTTACCACATTGCAGCTTGGAAGCAGTTGTTACCACTGGCTCAGACCCCGCACTTCTCCACCCTCTGCTTCAATTGCTCTGTGCAGCTTCCTCTTCTAGTGCTGAACTCAGCATGATGCTCCTGAGTTAGGCTCGGTATCTTATTTAACAGTGTTTGGGCTTGCTGTCTCAGAGCCCTAGTAAGTGGATTCAGGCATCGTATTTACCAAGTGAAGTACTTTAACTTAAAATAGAAAGTTAAACCAGGTGCTGTGGTGTGTGTCAGTGGTCCCAGCTACTCAGGAGGCTGAGGTGGGAGGATCGCTTGGGCCCAGGAGTTCAAGGCCAACCTGGGCAACATAGTAAGACCCCATCTTTCTTTCAAAAAAAGTTATGAAAAGATGCTTTTGCATTGCACCCTATCTGCTGGAGCTTCCAATTAGAATTGAGCCAGTGGCATTTTCCGGTGGTACCGGTGCCCTTTTCCCTTCTCAGTTGCAGCAGTGATTGGCAGGTAGAGTGTTGCTGCTGAAGGCTTCTCCGTCGTGAGGCTTTGACCCTGATGGGCTGTCGTTGGTTTCACATGAGTGGGCTCCCTGCGTTGCAGTTTTGTGCTCAGAAACTGGAAGGAGGAGCCTTAATCCACCACATCCTTCTGGTGTGAAAAGTCTTGAGACACTGAGGAACTCAGACTCCAAAAGAGCAGCGGCCAGGCTTGGCTGTTAGTTCCTCTGCTGAGAATTTCCAATGTGAGCTGTTGTCATGTCCTCAGTGTATACCCTCCAGACACCTTCTATCCTGAAATCTCTTTTGGGCACAGGGTGGTGTGGACCCCTGGTTGTCCTGAGATTTGAGACCTTGTTCAGGCAGAGAGGATGGGCTGGGGTGTGGTTAAGCAGAGTCCATTCTTGGTCTTGAGGAGTGCACTCATGGCACAGGCATCAGGGGATGCCATGAAATGAAGGATACCTTCAGTCTGTAGGCTGGTATTGAGTGTTCACTCACAGAGTGGCCCCTTCCTTCTGCCAGTATTTACCGGATGCCCACAGTCATTGTCTGTAATTCTCTCAACACCAACCCTGTGAGGTCTGTTTCCTCATTTTGCAGATAAGGAAACCGGAGCTCAGAGAGGTGTAGTAACTTGCTGAAGGGCCCCCAGCTAGTTAATGGCAGTTGCCATGGAGGTCCAGGTCCACCGCACTCAGCGCATGCTGATGGAATTCCCCTCTCCTGCCTCTCTGGCACCAGCCCATGGGGATGTTTATTTTATAGATGAGGAAACTGGGGCCGAGAGGTTCCCCTGTACGTCTAGCCACAGTGGCTGAAGAGGTCTGGGTTTTGTTTAGGAGGTTTTTTTGGTTCCACTTGTTGAAATGCAAGGAGATGGAACTTTGTGAACTGCAATCTGTTTTCCAAAAGATAGCCACTCAGCTGAAAGGGCGAGATAGTCTTAGCCTAGCGTCGGCCACTGTGTGGCTTGGCCTACTGGACAGGACGGTTCTTTGTGCAGTAGTGTCAGTGTCCCTGGCTCTTCCTGCCTGTGACGTGAGTGGCAGCAGCACATCTTAATCATTGCGACAGCCCTCCATGGGGACTATTGGGTGACAAAGCCTTGCAGGATCCTTTGGCTTTTTCCTATGAAGCCCCATCCCAGCCCTGGTCACCATATACAGTGTAAGATGCAGGGATTCTGAGAGGAAAGACAAAATTGGCCTGTTTGATTGATTGATTGAGACAGGGTCTCATTCTGTTGCCCAGGCTGGAGTGCATGGTTCCATCTTGGCTCACTGTAGCCTCAGCCTCCTCGGCTCAAGCAGTCCTCCCCCTTCAGCCTCTCATGCAGCTGGGATAACAGGCATGTGCCACAGTGCCTGCCAGCTGGGATAACAGGCATGTGCCACAGTGCCTGCCTGCCTGCCTATCTATCTATCTATCTATCTATCTATCTATCTATCTATCTATCTATCTATCTATCTACTTATTTTTTAGAGACAGAGTCTTACTTTGTTGCCCAGGCTGGTCTCGAACTTGTGGGCTCAAGGGATCCTCCCGCCTTGACCTTCTAAAATGCTGAGATTATGGGCGTGAAGCCACCATGCCTGGCCAAAATTGGCCTGTTTTAGTAGTTACCTGAGCTCAGGCAGATCGAGTTGGTTACCCTTGTTCTGCCTGGTAAGTTTGTTTCTTATCCTTAGGAGGGAAGATGAAAAATCCTGGCTCTCAGTCTTGGGGTGCTGAAGCAGTGTTACACACTGGCCCTGACACAGCCATTGCTCTACAGGTGTTAGATGAATGACTGAATGTCCAGTAGGTCCTTAATAAATGTAAGAATCCCTCCCTCCATTAGGTTGAACCATATGAAGTTGCCATTTTCCTAGGTAAAAAAGGGTTGAATTAACCAGCCTTTCATGTGGTTCAACCTAATACAGACTAAACACTGGGGCCAGGCAATTCCACTGTGAGACTAGCCATGTCCAGATCTCTGGGCCTGAGCTCTCGGCCAAGCCTGGCTTCTCCTAGGGCCTACCCAGTTGTCAGTGTCAGGCTCTCAGTCGAGAACAGAGGAGCCGAGCGGGGTCTGCCCCCGAGATGGGGCAGTGCTCTCTTGAGCGGTTCTGCTGCTCAGGACTGCCCCAGTGGTGCTGGCCTTGTCAGGGTTTGGCCGTGGTGGGAGCCGTGATCCTAACAGCAGCTGACATTTACTGAACGCTGTGCACATGGTGGGCGCTGAGCGCTTGGCCTGAAGTCACACTGGTGGCTTTCTTGGAGTTTCTATGTGATCCCAGGCAGTCATGATTCCTAGTCCAGGGGCAGTGAAGGGCAGACTCTGGAGCCAGAGAGCCTGGCTTCAGGTCCAAGATGTATAGACCAGGGCAGTTCCCTTCACTCTGTGCCTCCATCTCCTTGTCTAAGAAATGGTGAGCATAAAAGTAGATATTTCTGATGGATTTTATGAGGATTAAATGAGTTAATATGTGTAAAGCCAGGCAAGTGTTAACCATAATTATTAACATTAACCACAACACGATGTTATTATCAGTGACATGGACTCGTAGTGTGTTATTAGAGCCGGAAGGGTCTTCGCATGTGGACACTCCCTTTGCTTTGTGTTGGGAGCTTGGACTTAGTGTGGACACCTGATCTCCCGCCTCCTCCATAGCTCCCTGCAGGTCCTTGTCAGTTCTGGGCCTCGCAGACCATGCACCTGCCTCTCCATGAACAAGTTGTTTGAAATGGTGCTTTTGTTTCAGGTGATAATACAAGTCACTCTTCTGGAAGACTTAATTTTTTTGTTTCTCTGGGTGTAAGTGGCCCACCCAGGCATGCCAGTTACATTTGGTACCCAGAGCCTTTGAGGCAGCCAAAGTATGGTGCCTTTAGATGCTCCTCGTCACCCGCACGACCCCCTCAACAGGTACTGTGTTTATTTTCTGGTCCATTTTCTCCTCTTGTGAAGGTGGCAGGTCTTCCTAGGCACTCTCAGCTTCTACTAACCCGTTTGCATTGGTAAACTGCCCCGTACTTACAAGCTGCCCTGCTTCAGGGTTTGATATTTCATTTTAAGGGCAGGTGTTTGATTCTAAGGCATGTGAAGTGTCAGGGTTTAGGTTTAAGAAGGGGGCAAGATAAAGGAATGCAGGAAGAAAAATAGGGCTTGTTGGAAGGCAGCCTGGGGTAGTATAGCGAAAGGAGCCTCCCAGATCCACACCCCACTGTGGCTGCTTATGAACTGTGCGGGCTTGAACCTAGTCACTTCATGTCTCAGCCTCAACTTCCTGAGCAGCAAAATGGAAATACTATTGTCCTCTTCCAGGGTAGTCCAGAGGATTAAGTAAGAATACTGTAAATAGGGCCCGGTGAGGTAGTTCACACCTGTAATCCCAGCACTTTGGGAGGCTGAGGCAGGTGGATTGCTTGAGCCAGGAGTTCGAGACCAGCCTGGCCAACAGGGTGAAATCCTGTCTCTACAAAAAATACAAAAATTAGCCAAATGTGGTGGCACACACGTGTAGTCCTAGCTGCTTGGGAGGCTGAGGTGGGAGGATCATTTGAGCCTGGGAGGTAGAAGTTGCAGTGAGCCGAGATCACATCACTGCCTTCCAGTCTGGGTGATGGAGTGAGACCCTGTCTCAAAAAAAAAAAAGAATGTACATAAAATGCTATAGCTTAGTTCTCCCATGTGGACATTTAATACAGGCTTGTGATTGTCCATAGGAATTCCATCATTTGTCATGCTATTAACACCATTGGATTGGGTCTAAAAATCTCTCTCTTTTTTTTAAGACAGAATTTCATTCTCTTTGCCTAGGCTGGAGTGCAATGGCGTGGTCTCAGCTCACTGCAACTTCCGCCTTCTGGGTTCAAGTGATTCTCCTGCCTCAGCCTCCCAAGTAGCTGGGATTACAGGCACGTGCCACTATGCCCGGCTGATTTTTGTATTTTTAGTAGAGATGGGGTTTTGCCATGTTGGGCAGGCTGGTCTCGAACTCCTGACCTCAGGTGATCCACCTGCCTCGGCCTCCCAAAGTGCTGGGATTACAGGTGTGAGCCACCATGCCCAGCCAGATCTAAAAATCACTGTGCTGAAGGATACTGTACATCTAAAATGCAAGCAATAGTGATCACACTAAGGACAGATCCTGACTTTCAGGCTCTAGGGTGCTTGCTCTTGGGCCACTCCTTTAAGCTGATCAGGCCTTTGCACTTCTGCTTATGGGGTTTATCATGCAAGGGGACTTGGATTAGGCTGGCCTCTGTGCTTAACCTTGTAGTTATTATTTTATGCAATTACTACCATAGCCTTGGCATGCCCCCATTTTGCAGATGTGGATATGGAGGCCTTGAAAAGTTAAAAAATACTTGTAAAACATCACACAGCTAGGAAGGGGCAGAGATGGCCTTTCAAGCCATTCCTTTCAGATTCTAAAACTTGTCCCTCGCAGGCACCCTGGAGTCTGATCCAAGGATGTCATTTTCATGTACAGGGGAAAGTGCTTTATGTTAGTGATTGCAACAGATGTTCTTTAGAGTTTTTTAAACTTCTGCAGCTGAAAGTGGAGTATTTCTTAGGTGACTCCCTCAGTTTTGCTTTAATGACTTGGAACCCATCTTAAAATGCAGGAAGAATGGGCCGGGCACTGTGGCTCACACCTGTAATCCCAGCACTTTGGGAGGCCGAGGCGGGCGGATCATGAGGTCAGGAGATCCAGACCATCCTGGCTAACATGATGAAATCCCGTCTCTACTAAAAGTACAAAAAATTAGCCGGGTGTGATGGCGGGCGCCTGTAGTCCTAGCTACTCAGGAGGCTGAGGCAGGAGAATGGCGTGAACCCAGGAGGCGGAGCTTGCAGTGAGCCGAGATCGTGCCACTGCACTCCAGCCTGGGTGACAGAGCAAGACTCCAGCTCAAAAAAAAAAAAAAAAAAAAAAAAAATGAAGAATGAAAGCGCAGTAGTTGCAGCTCTTCATCTAAAATGGAACCTCATTCTCTACATAGTAACTACTAATCGGTAGTCAGGGTCTGGAATCACCTTTGAGTCCTTGGGTACTGCATAGTCCTGCCCCTCACTTCCCTTTCTCCTCCTCTTCTCTGCACACATCCAGGCAGACTCTGGAATAATAGAGCATAGTATGAGGATAAAGCTGTCATTGGCTAAGCTGGTGTTCACACTCAGGACCAGCTGGTTCCTTGCCCTGGCTGTGTTACACCTGCGGCCAGGGACGAGCAGAGGCCACAGTCTGCTGCCTGCCTACATAACCGACAGGTTATTAGTTCATGCCCCAAGGGTTTGAGCCACCCAGAGATGTTGAAAGAGATCCCTAACCTCAGAGGGTTTAGAGCTCTAGGCTGTAGATGGCAACATCTGCCTTCGAGATGAGTAGGGTCTCCATGTCCTCAGTTCATGACAACCTCTCTTACTTTTTCATCCTACTTTGCACTAGGTAATATTCCTGGGAAACAGGCCTCGCATTTTCTTAAACACTGATTTCATCTGTCCTTCCTCTAATAACTTTATCTGGAGGCGTTTATCAACCTTCTAACTAGAATACCCTTGTCCTTTTGCCTGCCACAGAACTGGTTTTCCCTGTGTGCTGATGGCCCATGGTTTCTGAGCTTTCTGTATTCCAGATGGAGAGCACGTAGGAGAATCCTGGGAATATCCTCAAGGATCCTACTTTTATCTTGGTTACATACTATCTGTGAGATGCATATTGGTTGTTGAGGAAGCATTTCTTTTTTTTTTTTTTTTTTTTTTTTTTTTTTTTTTTTTTTTTTTGAGACGGAGTCTCGCTTTGTCTCCCAGGCTGGAGTGCAGTGGAGCGATTTCGGCTCACTGCAAGCTCTGCCTCCTGGTTCACGCCATTCTCCTGTCTCAGCCTCCCGAGTAGCTGGGACTACAGGCGCCCGCCACCACGCCTGGCTAATTTTTTTTGGTATTTTTAGTAGAGACGGGGTTTCACCGTGTTAGCCAGGATGGTCTTGATCTCCTGACCTTGTGATCTGCCCACCTTGACCTCCCAAAGTGCTGGGATTACAGGTGTGAGCCACAGCGCCCAGCCGAGGAAGCATTTCTCGACGTAACAGACAAGAACTGGTTGCCATGGTTCCAACGAAGGGCCCTCCCATCACGTGACTGATTGTCAGAACATAGACATGTAAATACTGTGAGTGTGGGATCCTCAGCCCTGCACCCTTGGGGTCTGTGCTCCGAGTGCTTCAAGAGGCTTGACTACTTACTCCAGTGTCAGTTTGAGGCATTGGGTTAACTGATAAAATTCCCACTTGAATTTCATTACATGTCAGAATCTAAAGGGAAACAAATGGGGAAAGAGTGATTTCCAAGCCTTAGGTGATGGGCCTCGTTTTGGAACAAGTATAATCATCCCCCCTTTTTCCATAGTTTCGATTTCTGCAATTTCAGTCACCCGCCATCAACCCCAGTCCAGTATTTTGAAGAGAATACCACATGCACGTAGCTTTTATTATGGTATGTTGTTAGAATTGTTCGATGTTATCAGTTATTGATAATAACTGTGCCTGGTTTATGAATTAAACATCATAGGTATGCATGTGTAGGAAAAAACAGTATATATAGGGTTTGGTACTATCCAAGGTTTCAGGCATCCACTGGGGGTCTTGGAAGGTATCCCCCGAGGATAAAGGGGGGCCACTGTACAAGCAGCTCACACCTCAGCCTTAGCATTCAGCAGGCCTCAGAGCTAGGAAGGCAGGCCAGGTGGTGGCATTGGTTCTTGTGCACTTCACCTGGTCCTCTGCATGCACCGTTCCGTTTCCTTCCCAGAATCCTTCTAAGCATGGGATCCTATGAATTTAGGCCTTTATGTAAATTCAGAATGATACAGATTTAGACTTTATATAAATTGCCAATAAGTGGCAGAGTCAGGTCTTGAACCCAGCTGCTCTGAATTTAAAAGCCTTTGCCCTCAGCCTCTGCTGTGTCATGGAATTTTACTGCTCACAGGGGTTTGGGGCTTGACCAAGGTCCCACAGTAAACCACTGGAGCACTGGGATCAGGTCCTATGTCTAACACTCTAGAATCTAGATTCTACACTCTTGTGTGAGTCTTTTCTGCCACATAAACTTAGGCCTGTTTCAAAGCTCATCTTTGAACATCCTTTTTCAGTGATGCATGGAAAGACCACATTTTCCAAATAGGACATTGTGAGAGAGCTTCGTGGCAATTGGGTCGAACAGTCAGAATGCCAATGGCCTGAGTTCAAGAAGAAATCTAAGGAAAGGTCCAGATTCAAGCCCAGGTCCCTTTGATCTGTAGCTCATGTTTATGGGGTACATAGGGACAGGAATCATCGTAACAAGACACTGGAGAAAGTGGTTGTCCAACAGTAGGTAAAAATGGTGGCACATCTATGCAATGGACTATTTTTTATTTTTTATTTTTTGGCGACAGCGTCTCATGCTTTTGCTCAGGCTACAGTGCAGTGGCGTGGTGACAGCACACTGCAGCCTCCACCTCCCGGGCTCAAGCAGTCCTCTTGCCTCAGCCTCCCGAGTAGCTGGGACTGCAGATTTGCTCTACCGCACCCAGCAATTTTTGTATTTTTTGTAGAGACGGGGTTTCACCGTGTTGCCCAGTCTGGTCTCAAACTCTTGTGCTCAAGCCACAATGGAATGGAATGCAGCCATTAACATGTGACATGTGAAGACGGTGTTGTAGTTTGGAAGATGTGCTAGTGTTGAGTGAAGCACAGTAGTCCGTCTGTCCTGGGCTTGTGGTTCTGTGGAATACCCCCCGACCTGGGTGCTTGTGGGCATTACAGAAGTGAACAATTTGCAAGCCCTTTACTGTGCTCTCTGTTGCTTGCAGTGGGCGGGCGTGTGTGTGTGTGTGTGTGTGTGTGTGTGTGTGTGTGTGTGTGTATTCTTTTCCTCCTTTTGAGTATCTTCCTTCCTTGAGATAAGTCCCCAGGAGGGAGAGTGTAGAGTATTTTTTCTCTCTGCACCTTCTTGAACCGGTCACTTTGCTCTGACAAATGCTCTCTCCGTGGCCGCCGCCTCACTGCCTGTCCCCAGAGCCCTCTGAGCTGACTCATCCTCCCTGCCTAGCAGGCTTCACTTCACTTCCTCAATCTCCCTGTTCTGGCCAAGTTGAGAGGACTCCCTTCCTGCAAAAATGTGTTCTAAGGTTAGCTCATGGTTTTTGCTGTATTAATCTCTATGCCAGAACTGTTATTTATTAATTTTTTCTTTAAGTTTCCTCACTTTTTAACTTAAATTATTTAGGAAGGAAACTTTGTCCTTACCATGAATGGAAAACAATATCAATTGCTGTATATAGAAAGTACACACTGAAATAAACATATAGTCATCTACTGCCGTAAAAGATGTTCATCTGTAGAGCACCCACAATCCTCTGGCCACCACCAGCTTGTGGCTCCCCCTTCCCTGCCTGTTCCCTCCTGCCTGTGTCTTTCTGTCTTACCTTTCAGGGCTTGGCCCTATCCCGTCTTCACCGCCAAGCTTCCTTTGACTACTGCTGGCCTTCGTACCCGTCTCCCTGTCCATTCATTCAAAGAGACATTGATTAATATTGTGTGCCCAGCTTGGGGGTGGGCATGAAAAGGTACTTGCCGTCGCTATATGGAGACCATTGGTGGGAGCCAGTCAGACAGACGGACAGACTTGTAGAATGGAAGATAATTGCTGTCAGGGGCTGTGTCTGAGTGCAGCCGTACATTGAAGGAGGCGTCTCGCTGAGAGATTCAAGGCACGGGTCCCAGGGGACCGATTTTGTTGAAGTGGAGGTGAGAGGGCTCATTTGCCAGGAGGAGGAGAGGTGGGCCCAGAGACATGGCAGGCAGAGAGACGGCGTGTGCCGACTCAGTGGCCCAGGAGGGCATGGCGGGTGCTGGGGAAATGACTAATTTAAACTCAGAGGAGCCAGAAGAGTGAGGGGTGGGAGAGCTTTCAAAGCAGCTGGGTGGGAGGCAGGGCCATGCTGAGAAGGAAGTCCTGGGTGGAAGGAGGCTCTGATTTACCCTCTTCTATTTCAGTACACTCTCCTGCCCTGCCCTGCTCTGCCCTGCCCTGCTCCGCCCCACCCTGCCGCACAGCTGATACCTCAGAGTTTATCATTGACTTCCTTTTCACGACTCCACCCCCAACCCCTGTGTATCATCATTCCCTGAGCGCCTCCTATGTTCCAGGCCTTGGGGACCCCGAGCTAGTGAAAGGCCCACAGGCTAGTGGAGGGGAGTGGATGGCGCTTGGTTGAGTGTGAGCACCAGTGGCAAGGGACCCCTCTCCCCATCAGGAGGGAGCCCTTTGTAACCTGATAGTATCATTAAATAAAAGTTTATTGTGTTTTTTTGTTTTGTTATAAAAGCAGTATGTTTATTATGGAAAAGTTTGAAAATATAGAAAAGAGGGAAGAAACAAAAATAATTCATAATCTTAGCTTGCCAGCAGCACTGTTAACCTTTCAATATATTGTTTCAGCGTCTTAGTCTATATGCATAGTTTGGAGTTCATATTGTCAGTGCCTAGCCCCCTTTTTTAGGAGGCGGGGTCTCACTCTGTCACCCAGGCTGGAGTGCAGTGGCTCAATCATAGCTCACAGCAGCCTTGGACTCCTGAGCTCAAGGGATCCTCCTGCCTCAGCCTCTCAAAGTGTTGGGATTACAGGCGTGAGCCACTGCGCCTGGCTGAGGGCTGCATTCTTAGGCCCTGCAGGGGTGGAATGGGCACAGCTCTTGAGAGCTCTGCGGCCCTGCAGTGTTTTCAAGCTCTAGTTCCCAGCATCTGATGCTGGTGTGGAAACGATGTCGGGGAAGCATAATGAGGTGTTATGTGAACCCAAATTGTGCTTTAAACCAAAACAGCCCTGGTCATTTGGGCTTTTGTGAATGGGGAGGCTTTCGGGGGCCCTCTGGCCTCTCTGCACTGGGAAGCATGCAGCAGATGGAAGAGAATTTAATGGGGACACCTGAATCACTCAGGCAAGAAAATGGATTAAATATCTGAGCTGATACCTGTCCCACATACTGGGATAGAGGGAGGCCATTCTGATAGTAGTCTCAGGGCGGGTGTTAAAGGGCCATTTGCTCCCTGTGATTGGGCTGATACACAGTGTTTGGACCTTTGGACCTTAGCACGTTTGGGGTGAGAAGAGCGGTGACTTAGGCTAGATAAGTTTGTAGGGAGAATGAGTGTGGCACATCCGTGTCCTCTGCTGTGGGGGCCTCACTCCTCAGCGCAAGAGCTGAGCCGCTGGAGGGGACTGTTCCTCTCTTTGCCTCCCTTCTCCCTTCTGTTTGCTTTATCTTTCCTTTTATTCCTTCTTGCTTTAGCCTGCTGCACTGCAGGAATGAGCCCAGTGTGGCTGTCTACCAGCACAATGTTTGCTGGATTTGTATGCTACTTTTATTATTATTTATTTGAGGCTTTCCTTAAAATTGGCTTGAGGGCTGGGCACAGTGCCCGTAGTTGCCAGGCATGGTGGATCTCAGCACTTCGGGAGGCCAAGGTGGGAGGATCACTTGGGACCAGCCTAGGCAACATAGTGAGACCCAATCTCTACAAAATAAATAAATAAATAAATAAAAGCTGGGTGTGATGGTGCATCTGGAGTCCCAGCTACTTGGGAGGCTGAGGCGGGAGGATCCCTGGAGCTTGTGTGTTAGGATTTTTCCTATGAATAACTCCTGCATTCCAGCCTGGGTGACAGAACAACACCCTCTCTCAAAAACAAAAACAAAAAACTTTGGCCTGAGCCTAACACCGCTATCTAGCCTCTTCGTAAGCAGAAACATCTACAAAATCATGTTTGATGTGCTAGTTATATTTTTCCTATGAATATTAAATATAGGTAATTATTAAACTGCATTCATCCATATGCTCTCTAAAACCTCCCTTAAACCCCATTGGCCTGCACAGCATGCCATGGGAAATGCTGCAGGCGTGAAAAGAGCACTGTACCAGGAGTCTGGAGCGTGACTTGGGACTGCATCCTGGCCTCTGATGTGCTGGGTGATGTTGAACTATTCCCGATCCCCCATGCCTCTTTTTCTTCTTTGCATATCAGACCATGTGAGCACCAGGGTCCCTCCAGGCTCACACGTTTTGAGTGACTGCAGGATGCCATTCAGTGGTACCTCGAGGTTACTCAGCCCCTCTCACATCACCTGCGCCGTGAGGAAGCTCAGGACTCTGACCTAGACATGTGATCTATGAGCTCAAAAGATTGAAAAACGTTGCAGCTCAGGAACATTTTGTCTTCACGTGTGCTGCTTGTTTTTGTTTGGGTTTCAGCTCTCACTGTTTATTAGCCAAGGAAGCAGCCTGGTCTAGTGCAAAGAGTAAGGGCTTTGGAGCTAGGCAGGACCTTGAATAGCTCCATGCATCTGGCTCTGCCTCCCCAGTGTGGGAGTGAAAGACCCTCCTGGCGGAGCTGTGGAGCTGGTGGAGTAGGCCAGGAGCACAGATTCACCTCTGAGTCTGATCCTCCACCCACCACACCTCAGCCTAAGTGCGTGCAGTGATTAGTGTCGCCTCTGTCCCAATAAAAGGGTTGTCCTTGGTCATGGATGGTAGCTGGGCTCCTGGGGCCAGACTGCCTGGGTTTAAATCTTTGTTCCCTTACACTTTTAGCTGTGTAGCCTTGGGCTTCACTTAACTCTCTGGGACTGGTTCCTTGTCATAGGATCGATTTGAGGCTAATTAAATGAGGTCAAGCAGGTAAGAAGGCCTGTCATACCTAGCACATATAGGGCTCCGTACATGTTGTTGGTCTTATCACTGTTAATGAGTTAATGCACGTCAAATGAGTCGTAGCACCTGGGACATAGTAAGTGCCCAATAAATGGTAGCTCTTGTCTTTATCACATGAGCCCAGAGGCCCAGGACAGGAGGCACTGGCTTCTGGGAGGAGAGGAGATAGATGGTTTTCTACATTCAGCTCTGGTTAGATCCAGAGGTTTTCATTCTCCCCACCCTCTAAGCTTTTGGTGCCTATATCCCTGACCAACAGGAACCCAGCAATGGACCACACCACTTCTACCTGAGCCATTGCACAGAGTCACCTCTGCAGTTGGCTTTGAAAGAATTAGAGCTCAAGTTTGGAATAGGCAATTCAGTCACAGGTTTCAAAAATAAAAATATATACATTGTCTTAGTCTGTTTGGGCTCCTGGAACAAATACCTTAAACTGAATAATTTGTACACAACAGAAATTGATTACTCACAGTTCTGAAGGCTGGGAAGTCCGTAAGCAAGGTCTTGGCAGACTCAGTGTTTGGCAAAGGCTTGTTCTCTGCATCATAGACAGCGCCTCACATGGTGGAAGGGGCTGGCCAGCTCCCCTGGGCCTCTTATAGGGGCATTAATGTCATTCATGAAGGTGGGGCCCTCATGATCTAATCACCTCTTAAAGGCCTCACCTCTTAACTCTGGCATTGGGGATTATGTTTCAGCATATGAATTTTGAGGGGGTACCAGCATTCAGACCACAACACACATAAAACACTGCCTTCTCTTCTCACATGCCCAGTGTCTTCCACTCTCCCCTGCCAACCACAGCTAAGATTTCTAGGGTCTTCTTTTTTTTGTTTTTAATCAGGGTATTATTTGCAAGTAATAAAATTAACCAGCTTTAAGTGTACAGTTTGAGTTTTGGTACTAATCATGTTGCCACCACCACAATCGAGTTATAGAACAGTTTCCTCACCCTAAAAAGTCCCTTCATGCCCCTTTGGCCCTTTTCCCCCTCCTAGACAGCCTTGTTCCCCATCCCTAGACAACCACTGATCTGCTTTGTCACCGCGGTTTTGCCTTTTCTATAATTGTAAATAAATGGAAGCAGATAGTATGGAGTCTTTTGTGTTTGACCTCTTTCGTGTAACATGATTTATTTGATTCATTCATGTTGCATGTATTAATATTTCCTTTTCTTGCTGTAGAGCATTCCATAGTATTCCATGGTATGGACGTACCATTCAGCAGTTGATGAACATTTGGGTTGCCTCCAGTTTTTGGATGTTGAGAGTAAATCTGTTATAAATCTTCACAGATAGGGCCGGGTGCGGTGGCTTACACCTGTAATCCCAGCATTTTGGGAGGCCGAGGCGGGTGGATCACGAGGTCAAGAGATCGAGACCATCCTGGCTAACAACGGTGAAACCCCGTCTCTACTAGAAATACAAAAAATTAGCCGGGCATGGTGGCGGGCACCTGTAGTCCCAGCTACTCGGGAGGCTGAGGCAGGAGAATGGCGTGAACCCGGGAGGTGGAGCTTGCAGTGAGCCGAGATTGCACCACTGCACTCCAGCCTGGGCGACAGAGCGAGACTCCATCTCAAAAAAAAAAAAAAAAAAAATCTTCAGAGATAAGCTTTTATGTGGACTTTTTCTTTTTCGGTTTTCTTTCTTCCTTTCCTCCTTTGCTCCTCTCTTTCTTTTCTCTTTTCTTTCTTCCCTTTTTCGACAGAGTCTTGCTCTGTTGCCCAGGCTGGAGTGCAGTGGCATGATCTTGGCTCACTACAACCTCTGTCTCCCAGGTTAAAGCAATTCTCCTGCCTCAGCCTCCTGAGTAGCTGAGATTACAGGTGTGCACCACCACATCCAGCTAATTTTTTTTTTTTTTTTTGTATTTTTAGTAGAGATAGGGGTTCACCATGTTGGCCCGGCTCAAACTCCTGGTCTCAAGTGATCTGCCCACCTTGACCTTCCAAAATGTTGGGATTACAGGCATAAGCCACCGTGCCTGGCCTGCTGTCCTCATTTCTTTAGGCATAACAAGCAAATACAAATATATTTCATTTCTCCTCTTTTTAACATAGAGGGTGAAATATTATCCACGTTTCTCCACCCTGTGTGCTTTGAAAGGGCCTCACCTCCAGATGAGAAGATGCATATGAAGTCTTTATAACTTGGCCATGTGTTCTAGTGTCCCAGGAGCTAAGGGTGCCAAGTGGTCTTCCTGGCTCCTGGAGTGTGTACCAGCCTCCTGGGGCCTCAAAGGAAAGTGGTGGAGGTGGGCATGGTGGCCACTGGCCCAGCAGCAAGGCTGGCACCCTGGGCAGTTCCAGCTCACAGGGCCTTTTGCTCTCCCAACCATTTAAGGTGGGGAGTAAGGTTATGTGAGCTTAGGTGGGGTCATAGAGTATTTTGGTATTCTGATGCCAAAATTTAACTGTAAAGGAAATGAGCCTGTTTACTGACTTCTAAGAAATCACATCCTTTTGCAAAACCACAGGTGTTTTGCAGAAGCAGCCGACCCAGTCTTTTATGGCACTCTTATGTAAGTGAGGCTTGGCCAGCGGTTGCCGAACTGTGTTAAAGAATGCTCAGTTTGCTGGTGTGGAGAAGAGCGGCACAAGTGAGGTGTTTGCACAGAACACATTTTCATAAAATCCTGTGTACTCTCACCTGCCCTCAGACCCCAGACATTGCCCTGTAGACCCGCGCAGCCACCTAATAATACTCTATTTGAACTTTCTGAGGGAGATTGGACTTGACAGGAATATGCAGATTTGCATAATAAAGCAAGGCTAACGAGGTCTTTCCCTTCCTGCTGCCTTGCAATAGGATTTAGGAAACTAAATCTGCTGGATGAGAACAGAAATTACACATTAATGATATCTTCTCTTTGCAGCTGTGCTGTCCACTGGAACTTTCTGTGATGATGGAAATGTTCTATATCTGGGCTGTTCCATAATCACTATCCACATACAGCTCTTGAGCACTTGAAATGTGGCTAGTGTGATTGAGGAACTGAATATTTGGTTTTATTTCATTTTAGTGGACTGAAATTTCAGTATCAGTGAATTCAATTTGATAAATTGAAATTATCGAAGGCTAGTGGCTGCCTTAGCGAACAGTGCGGGTGCTGATGAATGTTGACTCCCATTGAGAACTTTTCTTTAAAGAATTCTTCTGGATAGGAGCCAGAGGGAATGCCATTCAACTGGACCTGTTTTTAACTGTTTTGAAGCACATTAGGTGAATAGGTGAATATGTTGTTTCATATGTGGTTATTATTTATTCAATGCGCTTACTTCGTGCCTACTATTTTTTAAACACTGCAGTAAATGCTGTTGGACTATCAGGAGTTATCTAACATGCTTACCCTCCTTGGGCCTCAGTTTCCCCACCTGTATTGAGGGTTTGGACCAGATGACTTTTTTTAATTTTAATTTTTTTTTTTTTTGAGACGGAGTCTCACTCTGTCGCCCAGGCTAGAGTGCAGTGGCACGATCTCAGCTCACTGCAAGCTCCGCCTCCCAGGTTCACGCCATTCTCCTGCCTCAGCCTCCTGAGTAGCTGGGACTACAGGCGCCCGCCACCACGCCTGGCTAATTTTTTTTTTTTGTATTTTTAGTAGAGACGGGGTTTCACCGTGTTAGCCAGGATGGTCTCAATCTCCTGACCTCGTGATCCACCTGCCTCGGCCTCCCAAAGTGCTAGTATTACAGGCATGAGCCACCGCGCCTGGCCTTAATTTTTTTTTTTTAAAGAGATGGGGTATCTTGCCCAGGCTGGAGTGCAGTGGCTCATTCACAGGTGTGATCACAGCTCACTGCAGCCTCAAAGCCCTGGGCTCAGGTGATCCTCCTTCCTCAGCCTCCTGAGTAGCCGAGACTGCAGGTCCCTTCTTGTGCAGTCATTTTTATGATTGTATCATTAATAGAATCAGTAGTAATAGCACATATTTATTCATTGCTGTGTGCCAGAGACAGTATTCAAGACATTAAGTCAATGCATCATCTCACTTAAATGTAATGACTTAATCTTCATTCACCCCAGTGAGCTAGGTGTTATTATCCTAGTTTTAGAGACAAGAAAACTGAGGCTCAGTGAGGGTAGGTAATTCGCCTGTTATGATGTTTCTGGTGATCCATAGCATTCGGATTCCTACTCAGGCTTGCCCCATTCCAAACTCTTCTTCAGTTAAGTATTTATGCAGTGGCTTCTAAAAGATAGATTTCGTTTCCATAAACACTTAAAACTCTTATTTTAAGTAAAAGTTCCATCAGGTTTTTACAAAAATAGATTTTACCCTAGTGCTCAAGTCAAGGGGGCAATGGCCCTGCGGGTTTAGGATTTAGGATGAGGTGAGCAGGAAGCATGCGTGGAAGCCAGCTCATGCCCCTCATGCATATTCACGAAGGGCCTGCTTCTGTGAAACAGACCCCGACTGGAGTGCCTCTGGATGCCCATGCTCAGCTCAGGCTGGGTGAAGCTCCGCCTCAGCCAGGAGCTCCAAGGAGTGGCAGGTGGGTCGGGGGAGAGAGAAGGAGGCAGAGCCTGGTCCTACAACGTTCAGTTGTCCCTCTGTGTGACCTATGCTGAGGGTTGCCAGTTTGCAAAGCAACAGTGACCTATGCTGAGGCTTGCCAGTTTGGACCTGAAAGTGGGCTCCACCCCCTGCTTACTAGCTGGGTGACCTTGTGCAAGTCCCTTCACCTCTCTAAGCCCATATGAAGATCCATTCTCCCATCCACTAACAATACTTCTGGAGGCTCAGCCCATGAGCCACGTGCTGTGCTGGAACCCGCCCCTCCCCCCCCCGCCCCCGCCCAGGGGTGAATAAGAGACAGCTGCTCTGCCTACTTGAAGCTTGCATCTGAGTGAAGATGAACTTTCCTTTCCCAGCCTTGAGAGAGGGAGGCTGAGCTCAGTAGCTCAGCTCCTGGGTTGGTTTTGAACAGTAAATGATCTAGGTACCTGGCCAGCACAGCTCCTGGTGCCCCTTTCCTGAAGGCTAACAATGCAGTTCAAATTATATGCTTATGCATGTTCAGAACACAGTAGACATCATGTGTCGGTGGGTGTTGAGCTGGGGTCCCTGGCTGCCTGTTGCTCTTAAGGAGTGATACAGCCATCCTCCCCTATCCGTGGGGAATGTGTGCCAAGACCCCGAGTGGATGCCTGAAACTGCGGTTAGTACCGTTGATCAGAACTTGGTGGCTCATGCCTGTAATCCCTGCACTCTGTGATGCTGAGGTGGGTGGATCGCTTGAGCTCAGGAGCTTGAGACCAGCCGGGGCAACATCTCCACCAAAAATACAAAAAAAAAAAAAAAAAAAAAAAGCCTGGGCACAGTGGCTCACGCCTGTAATCCTAGCACTTTGGGAGGCCGAGGCAGGTGGATCACGAGGTCAAGAGATCGAGACCATCCTGGCTAACACGGTGAAACCTGTCTCTACTAAAAATACAAAAAATTAGCCGGGCGCGGTGGCGGGCACCTGTAGTCCCAGCTACTCGGGAGGCTGAGGCAGGAGAATGGTGTGAACCCGGGAGGCAGAGCTTGCAGTGAGCTGAGATCGCGCCACAGTGCTGTAGCCTGGGCGACAGAGCGAGACTCCGTCTCATAAAAAAACAAACAAACAAAAAACCAATACTGTTCATGTCTTCCACTCACAAATTTAATGCCTTTTCCATCTTAACTAAGCACTTACTACACACTGTGGCTGTAACTTTTGCAGTTTGAGGTGTGACAGTAAAACTAGCATTTATTTTTCCTTCACAATTTTACAGATAGAAGGTTTGTTCTTACTGTAGATCTTAGTAACCTCAGCATACAGTTTTTTTTCGTTCCTTATTAGATCAAGAACTTTCACCTTTTCACTTAAAGGAAGCATTTGGCAACTTCTCTTTGGGATAATGGAATTGACAGCATCACTACTCTTGCGCTTTGGGGCCATTATTAAGTCAGATAAGGGTGACTTGAACACAAGGACTGCAACTGTGTGATCACTAAGAAGGCAACTACGTGACTATGGGGTGGGCGGTGTAGACAGTGGATTCACTGGATAAAGGGATGATTTACGTCTGGGGCGGTACAGCAGGATGTCATCATGCTACTCAGAGCCGTGGGAAATTTTGAACTTCTGAATTGTTCATTTCTAGAGTTTTTCACTTAATATTTTCAGACCACTGTTGACTGTGGGTAATTGAAACTGCAGAAAGTGAAACTGCAGGTAAGGGGGACTGTTTTACTCTTCTTCAACCAAGTGGAAGGGTGGACGATGTGGCTAAAGCTCCCAGCACAGTGCCCGGCCCACAGTGGCTGTCCGGGTACTGGCATTTCTTTCTCCCAGCCCCTATCCCGTTTTTTGGATGAAGAAATTCTACCCCAGGTGTGGGGGCTGAGAGGCTGAGCAAGGCGTGGTAGAAGGTTTTAAAAAAATCAATCAAAGCAGGTCTCCTATTTTCTCTCTTTAAAAATATTTTAATCTCCGAATTGTCTTTCTGCCTGCAAAAGTAATGCTTATTTTATTTAAATAACACAGAACTTTAACAACTTTAACGACTTTTCATTCTACCCCTGAGATACTGCTAAGACTTTGATAGACATTTGTTGAGGTGTTTTCTGTGCCTGTGTTTGAATGATTTTTAAATGGCTCTACCCATACAGGTGGTTGTTCAGCCTGTTCTTTTCAGTGTGTTCTTTCCATCCTTTTTACTTTGTTGAGTAAAATTAGCCTTGTCCTCAGGCCAGCAAAGGGAAGCAAACATCCTTTAAGACTCTGGCCTGGAAAAATGGGACCTGGTTGAAGGTGGAGGAGGCCTTTGGAAGGGCAGGCAGGCGGGAGGGTCAGGCCCGTGGGGTGGCACTTTCCCTACCACACCTTCCTGCCAACGGTCTCCTGCCAACAGACTTTGCCTGCTGGCTTTCCTGACCTGGTGAGCTGTTTCTGCCCTTCGAATGTTCCACATGGAGGTGCCCTCTCCACCTAGTAGTTAAAAAGGAGAAGCCTGCCTGCATTTTTCAGAATTGGGCTTAAATGTGGTGAAACTGACTTTGGTCATTTTGTTTCTGTCCGTTGCTTCACACCTTAGAAGGATTTCTCTCCTTTTTGGATTACAGAATTCTGAGGACTGCTTTTAGACCACTCTATTTGTGTGTCACATGTGTTTACAGATCTGTCCTTAGACATTGAAGAGGGGTGGTAGCGCAGAGCAGGGGCAGATACTGTGAACATCTAAAGTTATTAAACCTTGCATAAGGCTGGGCATGGTGGCTCACGCCTGTAATCCCAGCACTTTGGGAGGCTGAGGCGAGCGGATCACCTGAGGTCAGGAGTTAAAGACCAGCCTGCCCAACATGGCGAAACCCCGTCTCTACTAAAAGTACAAAAAATTAGCCAGGCTTGGTGGCAGGCACCTGTAATCCCAGCTACTTGGGAGGCTGAGGCAGGAGAATCACTTGAACCCGGGAGGTGGAGGGTTGCAGTGAGCTGAGATCGCACCACTGCACTCCAGCCTGGGCAACAGGAGTGAAACTCCGTCTCAAAATTAAGCAAACAAACAAAACAAAACAAAACTTGGATAAATACTTTCATAAAAGTATTAAAGCTTTCATAAAAATACTTTCATAAAAGTATTAAAACTTTCAAAAAATATTATGTTGACCCATGTGAAAGTGCCACTTGTGTAGGTCAGAAATGGCTGTGTGTTGGCAATTTCATGTAGTTCAACTTAATAAAGCATCATTGTGGAAAGCTCAGATCACAGAAGGAAAAAAGTCACTTGCACCAGTTTAGTGTTTTTTTTTTTTTTTTTGGCAACTCCTTTTATTTCTTATATACATGAGGTTTTTGATTAGTTGTGGTCATAGGCTACATATAATTATTCATCTTCCTTTTTAAAAATTATTATGACCTAAGACTTTTCCCACATTATCAGGAAGTCCTTACAACCATCATTGCTTACTGGCTGTTTACTCCTTAAACATCAGATGGCAGGGGGGTAACTTCCCTGATGTTGCCCTTTAGGTTTTTTCCAGTTGTTGTTGTTTTTCTTTTTTTTCCTTATAAGCGATGTCACAGTGACTGGTCCTTCTGAAGTGGTTTCTGTGTTTGGATTCCCAGGAGTAACGTTACCGTGCCACAGTATGAACACTTTTACAGCTCTTGACAAATTCTGCCAAGTTGCTTTCCAAAGTGTCAGGCCGATTCATAACACCGTCCGCAGTGTGAGCATCAGGTTATTGCTTCTTTGTTAACACTGGGCGCTTTTCTCCCTTAATTTCTAATTTAGTCAGCAGTACATCGTCCCTCATTTTTCACTTGTATGTCTTCACTTGGCAAAGTTGAATATTTTTGTGCATATGTGTTTGCGGGTTGCAATGTCATTTCTCTCCACCTTTGAGCCATGTGCTTAAATATGCTTGTACCAAATTAGAGAATTATCAGTACATAGTATTGTAAGAGCTCCTCAAGCATGCGGTGGATCACACAGTGCCCTCTGAGCCAGCCTGTGCGCCATTGTTTGGGGAATTAAAGGTGCCTAATTAGTGCGATCAAGCCCGGAAGCGAGCACTGCGGACCTTGTCTGTAGTCTCTGGGGCCCACTGGTGATGTCTGTGTCATCTTCTACCTTCAACTGTGCTGTGAACCCAGTTGAAATTTGATCACATTACAGTATGGCTAAGGGGCCTAATCAGCCGTAAACCTCAGGAAATTCAAAAATTAGAGAGTCCATTAATCCCAAGGCCCCTCCCTTTGTGAGTGTCTCTAATTCCCCTTTGGTTTGCTCGCTTTTCCCGCTGTGCTTTAGTTCCAACAAGACTTGGGTAGAATGACTGCCTTTTTTCTGGAACTTCCTGCCTTTCTGGGGTTAACCCTAACCCTTTAGGCTACCCTCCAACACACACAGAGCTAATCTCTAAGTAATAGTTTGGAATGCTGGTCCATTTCCTGGATGAAAATCTTCAAGAGTGCCCTGCTCAAATGAGTATAATGACCTTTATTAGTGCTCTTACCATCTTCTGTCCTGGAGGAATACAGATGACCCATGCAACAATACCTTTTGCTGAAGTTGTGTTTGAGATTTAAGCATCATCTTCCCTTCTCCCTTTATAACATTATTGGGTTTTTGTTAGGTTTGGGATTCCTGTGATCTGAGCAGCCCCTGCCATCGGCCGCTCTGTTTGCCTTTCCCAAATAGACTCCATGGGCAGCCCCAGTGAAATAGTCTGTTCGAGGATGTCACGTTGTGGGATGGTCTGATCCTTAAAGACAGGCTGGGTCTGTGGGCTGGAGTATTCTTGCTCTGAATTTTTTTCTGTACGGGGGAATCGTGCATGGGTAGGGGGATAGTTCTGCATTCCATGTGAGGCAGTCGATGAACCAAGAACACCTACGTTGAAGGGAACCCAAGACTGGGATATTGAGGCTAACGCTGGAAAGATGGTCCTGTTGTATACCAGTCTCTGTGTGAAACCAGAGATTATCTTGTGGGATTTATTTTTTTAAAAAACTAGTTTCCAATGGAATACCTGATCCTGGCTTGGATTTGCACCTGACCCTCTTCTTAGAGGTGTCATTAGTATTCAGATTATTTTAAAATTTCTTTTGTTTACTTCTCAAAGCTCTTGCTTCTCTCTTCAATGTGTTCTGTTTACTATAGCAGCAGATTGTTGGTTGCCCTTAAAATTATGAGCCTTGTGGACCGGGCCTGGTGGTTCACACCTGTAATTTCAGCACTTTGGGAGGCCAAGGCAGGCACATCACTTGAGGCCAGGAGTTCAAGGCCAGCCTGGCCAACATGGCAAAACTCCATCTCTACCAAAAATGCAAAAATTAGCCAGACATGATGGTGCGCGCCTGTAGTCCCAGCTACTTGGGAGGCTGAGGCAGGAGAACCGCTTGAACCCAGGAGGCAGAGGTTGCAGAGCTGAGATCGTGCCACTGCACTCCACCCTGGGCAACAGAGTGAGACTTGGTCTGAAAAACAAATAAACAAGAGCCTTGCATATAAGAATCTTATAAAATGTAGGAAACTGGCCCTTGTTTTTCCTGTGTATATAACTTGCTTGAGATTGTGACCTATTCATGGCTTAGAAAGGAAGTGTATGTGTTGTAGCCTGTGGTACTGGATGTGGCAGTGTCCATGGACCTCTGAGTCTGCCAGCTCTTTTGGAAGGACCTGAGATGAGTGACAATTGGCGTCAGGGCCAATCTCATCTCTTTGTAGCTCCTCAGTGATTTTTATCAAGCAGGATGCAAATCCAAAGGCCCACAGTGGCTGGTAGATAAGAGTAAATAGGCCAGGTCAAGAGACCCAAGATGCGGCAGGGACTGTGACGGATTGGAGGGCACTTGCTGTGGGCATCCCGCTTGTTGGAAACCACTAGCGTGTGACAGGACAGACCATGTGTGTTGAGAAATAATAGTCCCAGCCTTAATGAGGCCAGTGGGGACCAGCAAGGGAGGCCTGCATGTCTTATCCATCACGTGGCCACCCAGCGATCTTCTCTCATCGTCCTCTTCTAGAAAGTAAAGTTTAATTTTATTTTTTGAGTTAAGAAATAAAAATGGAAATAGACTCTCTCTCTATGGGATCCCAGGAGCCCTGTGTTAGCATTTGCTGATGTGGAATCGTTTTGTTAACCATACTCCACCTTATTCACCCACACTCAGCACAGCCAGGCCTTTCATATTTTTTAGATGGACCCCTTTGTTTCCCCTTAACCCAGGAACCCTTGCCTGCTCCCGGGACGGGAGGCATGAATTGTCTCTGTCTGCCACTCCTGGGGGTGTCTCAGAGCTTGTCCTGCTCTGTCTCCACAGCCAGGCTGCCTGCAGGGTTCCAAGCCCTCCGGGCCCTCCGCATCCTGGCTGCTTGGACTGCAATTTGGCTTCCTCTTTGCGGGACCGGTGTCCTGTGAATTCAGCTGTAACTCACCCACTCAGCCCCTCTTCCTTCCCTTTACCAAGAGTTTATCTTTCCTTTATGGCTCCTGCTGATGTCTGCAGTTTCTCAGCAGAGGCACTTTCATGCTGCAGTGGGCATTTTAAACATCATTTAGATGAACGGAACAGTAATTTTCTGATGTGTCACCCAGAAATGGTTCTGCCTTTGCCTCACAGCCTCTAAGCTCTACTCCTTGAATGAGTATTTGTAAGTATTAATAGTTTAGAGAAGATCGTGACAATTGCTTTCTGAAATGAGTTAGTGAAGCCTTTGGCATTACAGTACAGACTGCGAGCTTGCACTCAGGCAGCCTAGATTTCCTGCTTGGCAGCTCTGTGGCCCTAGGCAAGTCCCTCAGGTCACTGAGCCTCGGTTTCCACAATTGTCATTTGGGATGATCGTGTGTGACTCAGAGGGTTGTTGTAAGGACCAAGTGAGGAATGTGCATAAATGTGCCACTACTCTAAGCGCTCAGGAGTGACTCTTAGGACTCTTATATAACTTTCCAAAATAAAAGCAGCAGGAAAGCCCTCCAAATATCATTTGCTTGACTTTCTCTGGAAAAGAGTTTTAAAGATCAGGATGCAGATATTATGGGGTAACATAGGGGACCTGATGGGACAAACTTGCTCTTTGGGGTTTACATCTTACGTGGCCAGCATTTCATTCTTCAGCCCACCTGAGGGACTGCCTTAGCCTACCTGTGAGTGCAGGTGTGAATTATCAGCACTGCAGGGATGGCGCTACTCATGGCCAGTCTTGCCTGCCTTTTATTGTAGGGTTTTCTAGCCAAGGCTTCCTTGAACTGCAGTTATTCCTGAGCTTTTATTCAGGACCTCCTGTTGGAGGGCCTGAGCCTGGAGAAACCTAAGATGTGATGCCTGCCCTCCAGGAGCCCTGGCCACTCTGGGGGATGAGTCTGTAGCCTTCTACAACTCCAGGAGGCAGCGCACTTAGGGGAGGGTTGAAATTGCAGACGCTGCAGCTGGCTGCCTGGGCGTGAGTCCCAAGTGGCCCCAGTCCTTAGCTTCTTTGTTCCTCATTTTCATCTGTAAAATGGCAGTAGGGATGTCTACCAGGGGATGAGTTAATGCATCTAATGTGCATTTCACTGCCTAGCCCCCAGCAAGGGCTCAGTAATTGTTCACTATTCACATAGTAAAAGGGGTGGATTCAGCAAATATTCACAGGGATGGTGAACAAGACAAAGCCCCTGCTATTCTGGGCGGGACAGATTGTGATTGTGATACAAACACAGTCATTTTGAGTTGTGAGATGTGTTGTGAAGTCAGGTGACAGGGAAGACCTAGAAGGAGAGAGAGGCCTTCCAGGTGGGAGGAGAAGACAAGGAAGGGGCCACGGGTACAAGGCTTCCCAGGTTGAGACATAGAAAGAGGCGCTGGTGGCCAGGGGCAGTGGCTCACGCCTGTAGTCACAGCACTTTGGGAGGCCGAGGCAGGTAGATCACCTGAGGTCAGGAGTTCGAGTCCAGCCTGGCCAACATGGTGAAACGCCGTCTCTACTAAAAATACAAAAATTAGCTGGCGTGGTGGTGCGCCCCTGTAATCCCAGGTACTCAGGAGGCTGAGGTGGGAGAACTGCTTGAACCTGGGAGGTGGAGGCTGCAGTGAGCCGAGATTGTGCCACTGCACTCCAGCCTAGGCGACAAAGTGAGACCCCAACTCAAAAAAACAAAACAAAAAAATAGAATAAAAGACGTGCTGTTAGTTATCAGTAGCACAGGGGCCCGGTGACACCGGGCCTGTATGCCAGGTTGTAAGTCTAACAGTCACAAGAAGCTGGAAGGTGTCAATCTGGGCGATGACTTTATTTATGTTAAAATAAATTATTCTGACTGCCAGCCAGGCACGGTGGCTCACGCCTCTAATCCCAGTGCTTTGGGAGGCTGAGGCAGGTGGATCACCTGAGGTCAGGAGTTCGAGACCAGCCTGGCCAGCATGGTGAAACTGTATGTCTACTAAAAATAAAAAAAATTAGTTGGGCATGGTGACAGGTGCCTATAATCCCAGCCATTTGGGAGACTGAGGCAGGTGAATCGCTTGAACTCAGGAGGCAGAGGTTGCAGTGAGCCAAGAGCGCTCCACTGCATTCTAGCCTGGGCGACAGAGTGAGACTCCATCTCAAAAAAAGACAAAAAAAAAAAAAAAAAAGAAAGAAATTATTCTGACTGCCGAAGGTGGGGCTTGGAGGGGAGTGGTGAGGGTCCAGTGGCAGGAGGGCAGTGTGGTGGAGAGGAGAGCAGAGGAACAGATGGGGAGTTTCTGCTGGAGTTGAGGACTTGGGCGTTGACATGGATTCCAGTGAGATCACACTTGGGGTTTGTCCGAGCTTGAGTGGTCACCATCAGGCCCCACAGGATTTGGGCGTGCTGACTCTGCCTTCAGGGTGTGTACGTGGCAGTGGAAGGCCTGCCTTGGCACCAGGATAGCTCAGCCCACAACTCAGACCCTGCTCCTCTTTTTGGTGCTCAGGCTAATTTGAGAGTCATAGAATTGTTCCGGGAATGTTTATTCATTGGCTATGAGCCGACCACTGTGCCGGACTCGGGCAGTACAGAGGCGACCAAGAACAGCCTCTTCCTTTGCTCCCCTGGAGCCTATGTCCCAGTGGGGGCAATGATCAACAACTACGGGGTCATGGCATCTGGAGGGAGATGCTGCCCTAGAGCCGTTGCGGGGGAGCAGGCTTGAGCTGAGGGGGTGGCAGTCCAGGCAGAAGGAATAGTACATGCAGAAGCCTGGCAGGAAGGAGCTGAGTCGGGGGCAGGAGCAGGCTGGGACATGGGATGGAGAGGGATGGAGGGATGATCAGGTAAGAGGACTGCAGGGGGTGGGCAGTGAGGACTGGCCAGGTAAGTCTTGGAAAGCTTGCCCTGACCCAGATGTGCAGAGAGGATGGGTTGGGGCAGGTGTAGGGCAATCACTGTGGTCTCTTGGACAAAGTGGGGGAGGGTTGGTACTTGGGTGGAGAGAAATAATAAAATAATAATTACAATAATAAACAGTAAATTACAATAATAAACAGTAAAATTGCTTCATAGCATTATTATTGGCACATAATAAATGCTCAGTAAATGTTAGCTGTTATCTGCATGATAACTGCTAGGTTTCGGTGGGGCAAACCTAGTTCGGTTTCAGCTATGTTGAGGGTGAGGCACTTTAAAGTCATCAGAGAGGTGGAGGCCATAATAAATAGATTAGAGGACACATTATTGGCTGATATTTCCACACTGTCCATGTGGAAAGTGATCACCCCCTGGTCCTAGCCTTGTCTCTGAGTAGCCACATGTTTCTGGGGACCACTCCCCAGAGCCTCTGTCTCCCATCTGCAGGGTGGGGATGGTGGCGTCTCCCTCTCAGTTTTGTCTGAGGGTCAGATCACTAAGGTGGGACACTCGGTAGGCTCCTAGATGACACGTGCCTGTAGGGTGGTATTCATATTATCTTACCCATTACCGTCCTTTCCTCTGCATCCTTCTACCACATGCCGGTGGGGAGCAGGAATAAAGAGCACATCATATGTTGCCAATTTCGGGATTGTCCATTTCCACTCTGAAAGGCCTTTTGCATGCCATCTGTGTCAGTGATTTCCTTTTATCTGTTGTTTCCGTTCCCTGTTTCTGTTCTCTGCCTCTACCATTCCCCTTTTTGTCCCATGACTCCAGTCCCCAGACCCATGGTGGGTTCCCCTGGGGAACTTGTGTGGACCCTGGGCATTTCCAAGCAACTCAACTGCTGAGGTTGATGAGTTCTTGGACTAAGATATGGTTAAAGTCTTAATGCGAAATAGCAACAGCTGGTCCTGAGGAGAGGTGCAATAACAACCCCTTAACATGGCTGATTTGGCGCATATCAGTTTGCCCTGCAGTGTTGTGAGTAACAGTCAGTGATAATGTTTGCAATTCCATAATTCAGCAGTCTTTCCTTGGCACCAGATGAGAGCAGTCCTTGCATGCAGGAATGAGTCATGTAATAGCAGAGATCATTCTTACAAGTAATACACATCTCTTTCCATTATTCCAAAGACAAACATTGGTGGTGGTGTCACTGGGGTTTTTCATAACCTTTTGTGGGCTCCTGACTTGTCTTTTCCAAAACAAATGTGGTATATGTGTCTGCATTTTAGATACTTTTTCCCTCTTGCTGCTTTATCCTTCTTCAGAAGTATAAATTTTGCAATACAAGCCTAACATCAACTGACCCTGCACAAGTGTGAAAGGATAGTTTTTCAGGTTTTTGCTTCCCTGGGGCCTTGTGCCCAGCTTCTCTTTTTTGGGATTCACCTGGGTCTCTGGAACCAGGCTTCCAGCTCTGCCACTTATTACCTGTGTGATATTTGGTAAGCTCCTTAACCTCTCCCTACCTCAGTCCCCTCATCTATGAAGTAGGATTAATAACATAAGCTGTCTTACAGGCATGCTATGAAGATTGAGTTGACACATTTTACATGCCTAAAACAGTGCCTGACACACTCTTACAGGCTGAGTATCCCTAATGTGAAAATTTAAAACCCAGAATGCTCCAAAACCCAAAACTTTGTGAGCACTGACATGAGGCTCAAAGGAAATGTTCTTTGGGACATGGATTTTGGATTTTCTGATTTGGGATTCTCAACCAGTAAGTATAATGCAAGTATTTCAAAATTGGAAAAAATTCAAAATCCAAAACACTTCAGGTCCCCAGCATTTCAGATAAGGAAAACTAATACTCAGCCTGCATTATCACTATTTCCATGTATTGTATTACTACATTTTTTCTTCTTTTCTTTTCTTTTCTTTTTTTTTTTTTTTTTTTTTTTTTGGAGACAGGGTCTTGCTCTGTTGCCCAGGTTGGAGTGCAATGGTACAATTCCTGCTCACTGCAGCCCCCACCTCCTGGGCTCAAGCAGTCCTCCCACCTCAGCCTCCTGTGAGTAAGTGGGACTACGGGTGCGCAACATCATGCCTGGCTAATTTTTTAATTATTTGTAGAGACAGAGTCTCCTTATGTTGCCCAGGCTGATCTCAAACTCCTGGGCTCAAATCGATTCTCCTGACTCAGCCCCTCAAAGTGCTGGGATAACAGGCGTGAGCTACTGTGCCCAGCCTATATTTTTTTCTTTCTCTTTCTCTCGCTCTCTTTCTTTCTTTCTCTCTGTCTCTCTCTTTTTTTTTTTTTTTTTGAGACAGACTCTTGCTCTGTCAACCAGGCTAGAGTGCAGTGGCATGATCTTGGCTCACTGCAACCTCTGCCTCTTAGGTTCAAGGTTTCTCATGCCTCAGCCTCTCAAGTAGATGGGACTGTAGGCACGCACCACGCCCAGCTAATTTTTGTGTTTTTAGTAGAGACAGAGTTTTGCCGTGTCAGCCAGGCTGGTCTCGAACTCCTGATCTCAAGTGATCTGCCCGTCTCAGCTTCCCAAAGTGCCGAGATTACAGGTGTGGGCCACAGCCCCCAGCCAGTCCAGCCTACATTTTCTTTACGAACCTGGGTTTAGCTGTTTCGTACTGTTCCACTGAGTGGACATACCATGGTTCACCCTGAGACCTGCTGGTTCTTTCCTCACCTTAAGGATGCTAGTGGATGGCATAGAGACAAGGTCTGATTCACTGGCAAAATCTTCCCCGTTCCTCAGCTCCATGCCTGACCGTGACTCGCATCTCGCCAGGCCAGTGCATTTCCTCTTCTGGCTGTCATCGGAATTTTCAAGTGTCAAGACCCCACTTTGTTCCTGTTGTCCTGGTTCCGGCTTTGGGAAGCATGACCTTTCAGGCCTGCTCAGAGACACCGCAGTGCACTTTGTGCGTTATCAGCCTTACAGAGACTCTACGGTCAGGAGTTTTTGTGGCAATGGAACTGCTGGGGTTTCATCTGCAAATGAAAACCATCTGGCCAGCTGCTTGGGTCAGATGGAAACCAGATGGGAGAAGTCAGGAGCGGGCAGCGAGCAGCCTGGGGCAGCGTCCCTAGTCACGTCATGTTTCCACTTCCTCTTGCCCCCTCGCCTCCCCTGCCTGCAAAACGATTGTTATTAACCCATCACCTCCTCCAATGCCCAGGCAGTTCCAGGATACAGGGTTCTCTCGCCCAGGCCTTGGCCAGCCCAGAAGATGTGACCCAGAACCTAGAAAGGTGACACGCACTTTAGATCTGAGGGGGGAGGAGGAGCAACAGGTGGCCGTGGCCATCAGGGTTGAAATGTTAACTGCCAGGGTGAAGGGAGAAGTAAATAGCAAAGCTGATGGAATCCACAAGGCACAGTCTACCCCCAGGAAATGTGTTGGCTAGGTGACAACTTTTTGCCCAAGTAGGGAGGAAAGTTAGTCTGGTCACCAGGCAGCTTCTAATGTGAATCATCTGCAGTTGAATAAGAAAAAACCCCTACAGCATTTATCATGGGTAGGTAATGATGAAACACTGCATCTTTCTCTGGTCCACAGTGCCCCAACTGCAACCAGGTTTGTTTCTGCGGTTCAGAGAAGAAACAGCTTGTGAGTTTTTACCTCTGGGCTTTGTGGATTAAGGCGGTTGTCAGAGAGGGAAGTAATGTATTATTTTCCATCTCTAAACACTCCTCAACTTGGGGCAACAAAAGTAGAAAAATATTAATCAAATGCTCTCCCGAAAGGGTGGAAGGGAGGAGGAGAGGAGATGTCCCATTCACAGTGGTTGACAGCCAGGAGTGGAGCTCTGCCACTTGGAAAAGGGAAAGTCCCTCATGGGTGGGCAGTGCCTGGAGAGAAGCGGGTATTTGGGATGTGCGCAGCGGCGCACCACCCTTCTTGCTTGGAGATATTTTGGCTTCCCATCCTATAGACTGTGGCCCCTTGATGCGCAGTTGGCTGATAGGTTGACTGGCTACTACTTAATTTTCCTCCGAAAGAAAAGCCCACCTGTGCCAGGCCTGAGAGGTGTCCTGAGCTCCACCCACTCCTGGGGGAGTGTGTTTCACAGTTCCCTCGAGTAAGCCCTCCCTCCGCCCTCTTTTCTTCACACTGACGGAAGCTTATTAGAGTGCAGGGGAGTGAGGGTGTGATTAGAGAGCAACATTGAGCCTGTTCTAATTCTTAAACCTAAAATGAACTACGCTTTCACTACTGTTAGTTGCCGATTGCTTAGATAGTACCAGTGCATCAGAGAGGCCCAGCATTCTGGCAAGGCCACCGAGGCGGAGAGGAGCAGTGTGGCCTGCGAGCTGCTGGGGCTGGGTCGGATGGCGTCAGTGAGCCGTGCCCTCCTCCACCAGCTCCCAGGGTGCTGCTGTGCCACCCTGGCCCTGATCTTAGGCTGGCATCCCCCAGGTGTATCTGTGCAACTCACCATTTCGCTGGATTGCTGCATGCACACAACACTCTTAGGAAGGCACAAAAAATAGATCTTGTGGTTTCAGCCTTCTATGATGATGCTGAGTTCCCTCAAAGATTAGGTCTGGGCCAGGTGCAGTGGCTCTCGCCTATAATCCCAGCACTTTAGGAGGCCGAGGTGGGCAGATCACCCGAGGTCAGGAGTTTGAGACCAGCCTGGCCAACATGGTGAAACCCCATCTCTACTAAAAATCCAAAAAAAAAAAAAAAAAAAATTAGCTGGATGTGGTGGAGCGTGCCTGTAATCCCAGCTGCTCAGGAGGCTGAGACAGGAGAATTGCTTGAATAGAGTGAGACTCCATCTCAAAAAAAAAAAAAAAAAAAAAAAAGATTAGGTCTGGTGCTGCCCAATGTCTCTGTCTATGTCGAGTTTTAAGTTCGTCAATATTTTTCTTTCCCACTTTAAAACAAAGCAACAACAATTACAAAATCCTTCTCTGCAGAAGGATGATAGAAGAAAGAGAGAGCTTGCACCCAGTGAGGGCTGGGATGGGCACACCTCCTGGGGGCCACCATAATCTTGAGTGTGGCAGGTGTCATTTTTTGGGCAGTGGGGTGGTAATTTGAGAAAACATACTCAGTAATAGTATTTTTTGTTTGGAAAATAAAGTGAAGCCTAGTTTTGCACAGTACAAACCATAGAGGGTAAAATTGACAAAATCCAGTTGGCGTGATGGATCACGGATTTTTAGAGACTGAAATCATGTGATGGAAAAAACTTGGAGTTCACTAAATACATATGAAAGGAGGGGAAAAAATCAATCTTTCCACCTAAAGAAAAACACTGTTAACGTTTTTATATATCATTTCCAGGATTTGGGCATTTTTTTACTCACTTGATAGTAAATTTTTATATTCAGTTTCGCTAATTAAACATAAAACATTTTCCCACGTTTTTAACACTGTGCAATTGTAAGGGTTACACAGTAGATGATCACTTCCCTGTTGTTGGGGGAGATTATTTCCAGTTTTTTTTGCCGTGGAGCAGTGGGTAGAGCAGTGGGCATCTTTGTTCATCAGCTTGAGTGGTTTCATTAGGGTAGATTCCTAGGAGGTTATGAATATTTTAAACGCTTTTGACATTTACTTGCCCATTACTTTCTAAGAGAATTGCACCCATTTGTACCTTTTCAGGCTTCCAGATTGCCTTTCTAGACTCAGATCATTGTGCCTTTTATGTAGTTCATAATCTTCCACTCACCTTTACTTCTTACATGGCTCACTGTCATATTACTCACTTTAACTTTTGCCGATGGCTTTTCACCGTAATTGAGTACTTCCAGGGACTAACATGTTGTCAGGGGTGGTTTTCAAGTTTCTGTTGAAACAGAGAAAAATGGTCTCAGTTTTCCTGCACGCAGTGCATCCTGAACTTGGTAAAGTATTTGGACACCCCGGCCAGTGCTGTTTTCCTTTGGCCTGGCTTTAAAGCGAGCCTGGCAGTGCAGCCTGAGCCTCAGGAATGCATTTTCAGGGCTGGCGCTCTTCCTGCCTCCCGTGTAGACTGGAACTGACCTCGCTGACCCTGCCGCTCTCAGGTTATCTGTTGAGCCTCTCTGCCGAGGGCTGTTTGTCCAGGTGATGCCGAGAGGCCTCCAGCTTCCTCTGTTCCTGCTACAGGGTCTTACCATGTGCTCTTGAGGGCAGAGCATAAAGCCATGGACTGCCCTCCTGCACAGCCCAGCACTCCCTGCCTCTAGTGGTTGTTTTGTTCTTTTTTCAGCTGCTTTATTGAGATCTGATTTACATATAAGATTCCCCAGCTTTAAGTGTACAGTGCGGTTTTGTACATTTTTAGGAAATTTACAGAGTTGTGCATCCATAACCACAATCCAATTTTGGAACATTTCCATCACCCCCAGAACACCTCCTGCATCCATTTGCAGTTATTCTTCATGCCCACTCCTGCCCCAGCTCACCATTCACTTTCTGTCTGGCCATTTCATATGTATGGAATCATGCGGATTATTTTTTAGAGAAATTATTTGATTCTAAAAGTAATCCCTGTTGGAAAACATCTGGAAGAATGGGAACCAAGTTATTATTGGCAGTTACCTTTGGGGAGTCTCTAGGTGGTGAGATCACAGGGGGATGTTTCACTTTCTGTAATGCTTTGAATTTCCTACAGAGAGCCTATGTTCCATTTATAATCAGAAGGAAAGGGCAAAGCGGGGAAAGTGCATGTTTTACTCTTGGAAAATGCCAAAATGTATAAAGAGAATTAAAAAAAAAAAAGTCACTCAAAATTCCCCCTCATGGATGAAACAACTTTTGCTTTTTTGGTGGGTTTTTGTTCGAGTCTTCTGAGCACATTTTTAAAATATGGCTCTGAAATTTGCATCCTGCTTTTTCCTATTGGGTCACATAAGTCTTATTCCCACTTGCTTAAAACACCTTTGCAAACTTCCTGTTAGTGATCGTACAGTGCTTCATCTTACAGTTGTACCTTAATTTACTCATGTTGGACATGAAGGCTGTTTTCACTTTTTGCTATCATAAATAATGCTGAAATGGATATCTTTGTGTCAAAGATCTCGTGGGTCAAAAAAATTTTAAAAAGGCCAGGCGTGGTGGCTTACACCTATAAACCCAGCACTTTGGGAGGCCGAGGCGGGCAGATCACTGGAGATTAGGAGTTCAATACCAGCCTGGCCAACGTGGTGAGATCCCGTCTCTACTAAAAATACAAAAATTAGCTGGGTGTAGTGGCAGGCGCCTGTAGTCCCAGCTGCTTGGGAGGCTGAGGCAAGAGAATCGCTTGAACCTGGGAGGTGGAGGTTGCAGTGAGCCAGGATTGCGCCACTTCACTCCAGCCTGGGCAACAGAGTGAGATTCCATCTCAAAAATAAAAATAAAATACAAAAATTTGTTTTCTTCCCAATTTGGAGCTATCTTACAAAATTGCTTTTTAGATCACCTCTCTGAATTTCAGCTACACGTTGTAATTGCTTACTTTGGCTGGAGGATTGGTTCCTTTGTGTCAGTTTCAGGCATGAGGTGGGGAGTGGCAGAACAGCCAGGCCAGGGCCTGGGAAGATGGCAGGGTCCTTAGAGCCAGTGTGCAGTTATGTTTATAATCTAGATGGGGCTAGGCACGCTGTTTTCTGTAAATAGTCCCTTTGTGTTCGTCATTAGTTTTCAGTAAAGGTTTGTTTGTTTATATGAGTGAGAAAATGTTTTCATTGTTTTAAGAGGGTTGGACCCTAGAGTGTTTTAATAAGATACAAGCCCAAGTTGTCACAGGGTGGGGAGGTGGCAGCTGGGTGTCTGAGACCTCAGGGCTGGGGGGTGTTGCAGACTGATGGAGGGGCAAGCCCTGGGGCCATGTACACCTCAGGAGAGAGAGGGATTGAGGCCAGAGACACACCTGCCTCTTTCTATGGGAGACACTCCTGCTGAAGCTCTTCATTGATGAAAATCTGAATAGAATTTTTTTTTTTCCTTGAGACGGAGTCTGGCTCTGTTGCCCCGGCTGGAGTGCAGTGGCATTATCTCTGCTCCCTGCAACCTCTGCCTCCCAGGTTCAAGCAATTCTCCTGCCTCAGCCCCCTGAGTAGCTGGGATTACAGGCGTGCTCCGCCACGCCCGGCTAATTTTTGTATTTTTAGTAGAGACAGGGTTTCACCTGAATAGAGTTTTTTTAACCAGAGGGGACGTTTGGGGAACAGAGGGGCACTATGAACCCACCAGATATTTCATTCAGACTTTTGTGTGTGTGCACTCCCTGGGGAGAGAGCCCATAGCTTTCATCACAGAGTGCCCCAGAAGGCTTTGAGTCCCTCTTGGTGAGGAAGGCTGAGTCTGGGACATGCCTCACTCTGCGGCCACACACAGCATCTGCCAGGCGGCCTTGCCCAGGTGACCTGGCCTCTCTGTGCCTTGCTTTCCTTGTTTGTAAAGTACCTGACACAGTGCCTGGCACACCGGAGACACTGAGTGTCACATCAAACCTGTTGTCTTTTTTTCTTTTTAAAACAACAACAACAACAACAATAACTTAAGCATACCCTGAGAGAAAGCTGTTGTTTTAATTTTGGCTCAGGGAGGTTTCCAAGGCAGCTGTGGACCAGAAACTGACGTCAACAGTCTGAGGTCTCCCTAAAGCCAGGCCGTAAGTCCAGTGGTGCTGCCGTGGCTATATTAATATTATACAGTGTCTTATTTTAAAAAAAGGAATGGATTTTTATCTTTTATTTTTATTTTTTTGAGATAGGGTCTTTCTCTGTTGCCCAGGCTAGAGTACAGTGGTGTGATCATAGCTCACTGAAGCTTTGACCTCCCAGGCTCAGGTGATCCTTCTGCCTCAGCCTCCCGAGTAGCTGGGACTACAGGCACGCGCTACCATGCCTGGCTAATTTTTTTGTATTTTTTTTTTTTGTAGAGATGGGATCTCAGTATGTTGCCCAGGCTGGTCTCGGAAGTCCTGGGCTCAAGCCATCCTCCCAGCTTGGCCTCACAAAGTGCTGTGATTACAGGCGTGAACTACCACTCCTGGCCAGGAATGGATTTTTAAAATCCTGTTATAAAAGTAAGAAAGGTCATTGTAGAGAAGGATGTAATTATGATTTTAAGGTTTTTTTGTTGGGGGAAGGGTATGAAGTCAGTGATAGACATCTACGTGTTCACTCCTCTGGACGCTGATAGGATGGATGCAAGTAGCGAAGGCCTCCTTCAGCACCACTGGCGTAGAGGTTGTTTGCGCCGCACAGAGGAGGTGTATTTGTGTAACGTGGAGTAGGCAGCCAAGCTGAAGGCAGGAGCAACGGAACTTTCCTAAAAACAAACCGGAGTTGGAGATTCTAGGGAGCCTGCGGCATCTTTACAGGAAGCCAGGGAAGGAAAAGCTGTCCAAGCCAAAGGGTTTTTTGGTGATTTTTGAGGACCCTGTGTTTTTCAGTCCTTCAGAGCAGCTGGGCTGCTACAAAGCTGCATTTAGGGTTTCGTTTGGCCCCCTGCCCCGGGAGGGCTTTCCTGGACCGAGTGCGAGTGTGAGTGTGAGAAAACTGCCTAATGTCCAGTAAACATTCGACTCATACTGGCCTTAAAGCTTGCAAGAGCCTAGGAGTAGGTGGCAACCAGGCCTTACCGTAAGGGAACTTTAAGTTAGTGTTGCCTGATTTAAATTCAGAGAACTTTTTGTTACAGAGAATTTCAAGCACGTGATATAATGAGCCCCCAATTATCTGTCACTCAACTTCAGCAGTTATCCTCCGTGCCCAGCGTTGTTTCAGCTGCTCCTGCTCACTCCACGCCCCCCCACTCCCCAGCTCGAATCAGTTTGAATCAGATCCTCTGGTGTAATTGTCATGAGCAGTCTGGGTCTCTCCATTCTGAAAGCCAGATTCTAATAGTGTACCCGATGTAAACAACAGGACTAAGCACTGACTTTTGTTTTTTGAAAATTGTCAGTTAAAAAATTTGTGAGCCTTTTTTTTAGGATTACAGTAATAATGTAACAGGCTCATTGAAACTGGAAATCACAAACAGGGTTTAAAGATGACAGAGCCCTTCATCTTTCAGCATTTGGAGCTATCACTGATGCTTTTTAAGGGCTGTGGATACCTCTCCTGTGCTTTTTTTTTTTTTTTTTTTGGAGACAGAGTCTTGCTCTGTCGCCCAGGCTGGAGTGCAGTGGCACAATCTCAGCGCACTGCAACCTCCGCCTCCCCGGTTCAAGCAATTCTCCTGCTTCAGCCTCCCAAGTAGCTGGGATTACAAGGCATCCACCACCACGCCCAGCTAATTTTTGTACTTTTGGTAGAGATGGGGTTTTGCCATGTTTGCCAGGCTGGTCTCGAACTCCTGACCTTAGGTGATCTGCCCGCCTCGGCCTCCCAAAGTGCTGGGATTATAGGCATGAGCCACTGTGCCCGGCCTCTCCTGAGCTTTTGAGCCGCTTGGTGCTGCTGTTTTTTTTTTTTTTCTCTGTCTGCCTTCTACACTGGGGACCCCACCCAGCATCACTTGGGAAAGATGTGATGTGATGCTTCTTCAGTTCCGTAGTTCTGAGTATACTGGAGCCACCCTGGGTGTATGTTGTTATGCAAAAAAAGGGGTGAACATGCCCTGCTGTGTATACTAGGTAGGTACTCAGTAAATGAAGCTGAATGAGTGTGCTATACCTCACTCCCCTGAGGCCAACAAGGTTTTCTCTTTCTTCCTCTGAAACACTTTAAAACTCCTCTTTCCCTGTGCTGGGCTGGGCAACAAAGCCGAGTCCCAGATAAAATGCAGTGTTCCTGAGTACACCCTTATACTTACTTTATTTCCAAGAAATGTCCCCAAGCAAACGGACTCCTGTTGTGCTCAGGCCAGCAGTGTGCCACCTGTCCCCATCCTCTGACTGCAGGGAGAGTACAGACCCAAGGCTGTAGCTGGGTCACGAGCTGCATGGGCAGGAATGCAGGGTGAGCTAACTGGGATTCACGTGTTTTCAGCCTTGCTTACGTTTATATGATGTATATTTTCAAATTTCGTGGACTTTCTGCATAAGGTTTTAGCAGCTATAACTGTTTTGTTTTTTGTTTTTTGTTTTTTGTTTTGAGATGGAGTCTCACTCTGTCGCCCAGGCTGGAGTGCAGTGGCACGATCTCAGCTCACTGCAAGCTCCGCCTCCCGGGTTCACGCCATTCTCCTGCCTCAGTCTCCCGAGTAGCTGGGACCACAGGCACCCGCCACCACACCTGGCTAATTGTTTGTATTTTTAGTAGAGACGGGGTTTCACCATGTTAGCCAAGGTGGTCTCGATCTCCTGACTTTGTGATCTGCCCTCCTCGGCCTCCCAAAGTGCTGGGATTACAGGCGTGAGCCACCGCGCCCGGCCTAGCAGCTATAACTTTTTTAAAACATGGCTTTTACTGTAATAGTCTGTCTTCAGGATGAACTGGAGTAAGTCAGTAGCGTTGGGTGCACGGATGCCTATCCAGACACTAATTCTGAGTCACTCTGCCCAGGGGACCTCAGCTTGGATGTCTGCCCAAGTCCCTTCCCCCCACACTGGTCATAGGAGCACAAACCAAACACCTAGCAACATCACAGCACCTTGCTTTGAATCTAGTGGTTGCCATTCAGAACGGTTGGCCTTAGGCTGGTCTGGAGTTCACCTTTTCACGGTGAGGAAAAGTTTGGACTGAGCTGTGAGGGTTGGATTTCAGGGGAAATGCTTAATCTGCATAAGAGAGATTAAATAAAAATAAAAAATTGTTTTTACATCATCTCTTCCAGTATCTATTTCTCACATATTCATTACAAAGGTGTATTTTATGGGCCGGGTGCATGGCTCACACCTGTAATCCCAGCACTTTGGAAGGCTGAGACAGGTGGATCGCTTGAGCCCAGGAGTTTAAGACCAGCCCGGGTAACATGGTGAAACCCCGTCTCTCCAAAAAGTACAAAAATTAACCAGACATGGTGGTATGCAAGCAAGACCCTGCTTCAGAAAAACAAAAAGAAAAGAAAAACAAAGGTATTTTGTATTAAGGTATTTCCTGAATGGTTCTGCCTTGAAGTGCTTTCTAAGCAGGTTATTAGATTTGCAGTAATATATGTATTTTACGTCAGCTGTAGGGAAAACCGGTAGCACCCCCACCTGGCCACGCTGTGGTCCTGTCCCGCTCTCTTTGTGTCTGGGCAGATGATGTGGATGGCAGCCAGAGAGACTGCTGAGGTTCTGGATGTTAGGGCCTTGATTCCTGCAAAAAGAAAAAGCACAAACAAAACCAAAACAGAATACTTGCAGGGGTTGCTCTCACGGGAATAAGAGGTGGTTTCTGAAATGGTTGGCGCCTATTAAGCACCCAGTGATCCAGTGGCATGAACCCCAGGGGACAGCCGAGGGCGAGTGGTCTCGGAAGCGTGCCATGTGCAGGACACAGCAGAGCTGGGAGTGTCAGCCGGGAGGGAAGCTGCTTGGAGGGAGGCTGAGATGGCTCACTTCAGGTGTCTGAGGGATGCCATGTGGCAGAGAACTTGCACATCCTTGAGGTGGTTCTGGACAGAGGACTCTCTGTGCTGGAGGCTGCAGTGTAAGGCAGAGCTGCCAAACAGCCAGCACCGCGTGACACAGGCTGACTGGGGACATGGTGCATTTTCCCCATAGTCAAGATCAAGCAGGGGTCAAAACACCTAGTGCTTTAGGGATTTCATACGGGGGAAGTGGGACTCCAAGGCCACTGAAACTGAGATCCCGTGGTTCTTCAAGAACAAAAGACCTTTAATTCAAATACTTTACTATTAATAATTGATACCATATTTTCCCATATGAGTACAAATGTACATGGGTATGTTCTACAGGAAGGAGGTTATAGTTGTCTAAGATGGTTTTAAAACTTTATTCCTGTAAATATAGAACATTTACAAGAGTGGGACAGTCTTGTGCTTTATCTCACCTTTCTGAGATGGGAGTTTTGGGGATAACTTCCAAGAGACGTGTTGCTTCCTGTCCCTCAGATGGGCCAGCCCAAGCCGGGAGGCTTCTTGGCCACAGGCAGCTCTCACCCAGGATGTGCCACCATGCTTCATACCTCCTGAACGCTTGTAGCCATGGGTGGAGCTCTGTGATGTTTACAACATGTAAGAATGAATCCCAACTGATGAGGGAATCTGGTTTCCATCATTGATTGGAAACGGATTCCTATCCCTTTCCCTTGCTCTGGATTTAATCTTCCTGTGAGAATGATCTAAGCCACTTTCCTCTATCAGAGGACAGAAGGGAAACCAGGAGAAAGGGAGGGAGCGACCGTTCCTAATGATCTCTGAGCCACCCAGTGCCCGCCGGCCCCGGTGGGGAGTCACGCACAGCACCTGTGTCCTTGCCTTCGTTGCACCCCTCCCTGTGTTAGAGAGCTGAGATCCTGATGTGAGTACCTCATGTGGCCTCGTGTGTCCTCTGCTGAGTCTCACTGGGAAGCAGCACAAGAAATGGATGAGGCGGAGCAGACCTGGCCTTGGAATCTGGCCCCGCGCTTAAGCGAGGATGGTCTTCGTGGCCTTTCTGAGCTTGGCTTCCTCTGAGTGGCGGGAAGCCTCATTGGTCATTTTTCAGAGCCCCTTGGTCCACTCCTCGGCACTAAGACACTTGAGAAAGGCTCCTCTCTTCACTCAGCATGCTATGGGGTTACTTAAGTTTATTTCTTAATTGAATTTTCTCATTAAAACCTGCTTTCCCAGATCTGTTTGGCAGCAGGACAGTTTCGAGGTGGTAGAAGAGAGGCCCAGCTTCCTCTGTATTTCCTTTCCCTGACTTTCTGGAGGCATTATCGAAGTACGCTAAGCCGCACGTAGCTGAAGTGCACAACTGGATGGCTTGTGTTTGTTTCAGTGATAACACACAACATCTGCCTCCCTGCTCTCCCCAGCCTCCCGTCTCTGATCGCGCACTCCCTAGTTTTCCAGCCTCTTCTTAAGCAGCGATTCCAGCTGGCAGCGCCGTGACAAGTGTTTCCGTAAGCATTCCCACGATCCTCTAAGTGAGGAGCATGACCTCGGAACCATGTGCCCGGTCCCCTCCCCTGACGTAGGAGGTAGTGGGAGGTAAGAACAATACTTGGATGGATGGATTCCTCGTCTGGGGCACTACTGGAAAGCTGAGCATTCGTAGGCCATCCAAATACGATCGTTCTCCAGGGATTCAAGGGTTAGAAGGGGAAAGCGAATTGATTTCCACCTTCGTGTTAGAGGAAGGAGCCTAGGAAAACAACCCCCTCTGCTTTTCCGAGCTCTCCTCCCGAGCCTTCTATTAGTTTTGGTCACAGAACTTATGAGCTAAGTATTTAAAAATTGGCAAATGAAAGCAACAATGTTTTCTCTTTGTGTCATGAAGTTCTCCCACTGGTGAGTTTTGAGGCTCGCTTTGCTGGGGTCCCTGGTAAACAGCTTATTCGGTTTCCCTGGGCTGGCGGGAGCAAGGGGAGGTGTGTTCCTAGCTTTGGAATACTAGAAGGGTATCTTGCTGTGACAGTACCTGGAATGAGTCTCGTGCCCATGGTGTTCTGTTCCTGATTGCTTTTCCAGTTTCCCATCAAGTCTTTAAGACTGTGGAAGGTACACAGGCTTTCGAGGCTAGCGGACTTAGCATTCTGTATTGACAAGACCTGAAGACAGGAAGCAATTGATGACATTTATCTGCTTTATTGGAAGTTAACAGCAACCCACCCAAACACTTATTTGGGAAGGTGTGTCTCCTGGGACTCAGCGGTGCGTGGCCTTGCCTGTGATTTTCGTTTGTAGGTGAGGAATGTACTGACTGGATGTTGTTAGGGTTATGATATCCCAGTCTTTGAGCTGGTCAGCACCTTCTCAAATTTCTCCCTCTCTCACTCTCAGACACAGGCTGAGGACTTGTGACATTTCATATATTCATGGAAGGCCTTCCTAGCTTACGGTTCCTTATTGCAAGACTGTTTGCTTTTAATGAAAGCTCTCAGTCAGCAGATTTATTTGTCTGGATGAGAAACCTTTTTATCTGTCATGAAACAGGAAAACACCTTTCTGAGAAACTGAGCATTTGGCTTCCTAAAGAATCATCATATCAGCCATCCCTGGGCGTCCACTTTGTAGAGGTATGTGCTGAAACTTGCTCAGCTTCGATCACTGAGCCTAATCCAGCCCTCCTTGGCTCAGACAACTGAACCATCCAGGCTCCACAGGTCCCAAGGTCTTCCTGGTGTCTGCAGTCCCAGCCACACTGCGGGTACACAGAGTCCAGCACTGTTTTCTGGAGGTTGGCAGAAGGCCAGCGAGGCCTTTGTTGTGAAATTGTTAGATTATATGCTTTTACTTTCTTGTTTCTTCCTCTTTTCTGTTGACTTAACATGTAGAATTTATGGAGCAGTGACTATGTCCCAGGTATGTGCCAGATGCTGAATGAGGATTACCCCCACATAATCCTTAAAATAACAGTATAATGTATGTATAGCAGTTGTCCCTCCTTAGCTATGGGGGATATACTCCAAGACCCCCATTGGATGCCTGAAACCACAGATAATATCGAACCCTATATGCTTTGCATTGAGGTGTGACAGCAAAACTAGCACAAATTTCTTTTCCTTCAAAATTTTAGATAGAAGACTCATTCTTACCATAGATCTTAGTCTCCGCATATAGTTTTTCCCTTCCTTTATTAAATTGAGAAATTGCACTTAAAGAAGCCCTTTTGTCTTCACTTCGGCATATCTGAATTGCTGGCATCACTACTCTTGTGTTTTAGGGCCATTATGAAGCAAAATAAGGGTAACTTGAACGCAAGCACTGTGACACCATGACAGTGGATCTGAGAACCGAGCTGGCTCCTGAGTGACTAACGGGTACATAGCTTGTACAGTGTGGATACGCGGGACAAAAAGATGATTCATGTCCCAGGCAGGATGGAGTGGGAAGGCATGAGATTTCATCACGCAGAACGGCGTGAAATTTAAAACTTCCAAATTGTTTGTGGAATTTTCCACTTAGTATTTTCAGACCATGGTTGACCACAGGTAACTGAAACTGCCAAAAAACAAAACTGCAGATAAGGGGTGACTACTGTGTTACTACCCTCATTTATAGATGGGGGAACTCGAGGCTCAGAAGAGTTTAGTGACTTGTCCAAGGTCACACAGCTGGGACCCGGTGGAGTCAGGATTTGAATGCAGACAATCTTGCTTTCCAACCTGTATCCTTAACTAGAGAGCGGTGCTGCCTTCCTCACTTGTGACTCAACTGTGCAAAAGTAGGTGCTAAATAACCCGCTCCTCTTCTTTTGGAGACTTTAAAACAAAGAGATGGCAGTGGTTCTTAGCACAGGTGGCCCAGCTGCTGGGCTCTGTGGAGTATTGAGTAGGCACACAGGTTCTGGGGTCAGATGCACCTGCCTTTGAACCCCAGCTCTGCCATCCATTTAAATGTGTAAGCTCACCACTCTCTCCGTACCTCAGTTTCTGCATCTGAGACTGATACTGGCACTTAACTCCTTGGTTCATTTTTAAGATTACATGAGATATTGGCATATAAAGCACTTAGAAGAATGGCTTAATAAGTTTTAGCTATTACTATTATAGCTGTGTTTTAAGCCCTAAGTCAGCGCCTGCCGTGCACTACCTGCTTAGTGAAAGTTGTTAGTAGCAGTTGGTTGTTGTGCTGTGTTTGGCAGAGCCTGCTTTAGGTGGTGGTGAGAGTCAGTAATACTGTCCAGGGCTGGGCTTAGTTCCTAGTTATCAAAAAGCTATTTTGGAACTGGAACTTGTTGCTTCCCTTTCTTTAATTCTTTTTGCTCATGGAAGGATGTTAAGCTCCTTCCTCAGCCAGCTTTCTTCTTGAGACATAACACTCAGCGTTTGATTGGGGATGGAAAGAAAGGTTTTGAGCTTGCGAAATATGTCTTGTTGGCAAGATGTTCACCAGCTCTCAGGAAACTTGTCTGTTGATGGAGGAATAATGTTTCCACTAGTAAAGATCATTTTGGCTTACCCAAAAGAACCAAAAAGGAGCGGCCTTGACTGATTTGATTTTCAGGCCCCATGTTCCGGGGCTACCCACTCTCATGCCTTTAGGGAATGTTAACTTACATAAGTGAGAGTGTGCGTGTATATGTTTAATTCCATATTATAATGAGTGTGTTTTTTTTTTTCCTTTGAGACAGAAAGGAAAAAAAAAACTTTTTGACTGACTTGATTATCAGGCCCCTTGTTCTGTGGCTACCCACTCTCCTGCCTTTTGGGTGTTTTGTCCCCCAGGCTGGAGTGCAGTGGCACAATCGTGGCTCACTGCAGCCACGACCTCCCAGGCTCAATCTGTCCTCCCACCTCAGCCTCCCAAATAGCTGGGACTACAGGCATGCCCAGTTAATTTTTGTATTTTTTGTAGAGACGGGGTTTTACCGTGTTGCCCAAGCTGGTTTGAACTCCTAGGCTCAAGTGATCCTCCCATTTCGGCCTCCCAAAGTGCTGGGGTTCCAGGCATGAGCCACTGCGTTGGCTAGAAACATTATAATCTTATGTTTTCTGAAATGAAGTTCTGTATAAGAAGATGGTGATAATACCTGTTTTGTATTTTTTTAACCCTTAAAAAAAAAAAAGGCTTACTCTGTTGGTCAGGTTGGTCTCAAACTCCTGGCCTCAAGCTGTCCTCTTGCCTCAGCTTCCCAAAGTGCTAGGATTATAGATGTGAGCCACCATGCCCAGCCAATGCCTGTTTTTGTTTTTTTTTTATTTAATTGAATATTTGTTGTTTTAGGAACTATGCTACTTTCTTTACACATATTTTGTGATATTGTTCTCAAAATAACCCTGTAAGATAGGTTTGATTATTATTGCCGCTAAACAGATGAAGGAATCGAGGCTCAGAGAGGTGAAGGAATTATTCAGACCTTAATTGCTAGGAAATGGCGAGTATGGGCTTTGAACTCTTGTCTGTCTTACTTCCAAGGTCTTTCTGCCAGCTGCAGACCTTCAAGGACTCTGTCTTTGGTCTGGAAAATCGAAGCCCAAAGGATGTCATGTTTCAGGCATCTCCCTACCCAGTGGGTCCTGACATTAATTGGAAGAGGGCAACGTTATGACAGGTCTTGGGTTAAGTTTGCAAAGGTATCATGGGTGGGTAGAGTGTTGCATTGTACATTTCTGTCACTAAAATATGTTTAAAACTTTGGTGATCTATTTAGGGGAGCCAGAGGGCCAGTTGTTGCAGAATTCTGTTGTGCTCTGCAGTGCTGGGCCCATGGTGTCAGTGTAGAGCGTGGTGCTGTAATAGAGTTACCCTTGAGCTGGATGGGGAAGGCCGACAGGGACAAATAGAGATTTGATAGAGTCTTCCATATTGAGTCACACACAGGCATCTGAAATTGGAGCCCAAGAGCCCAGGGAAGAAATAGCCCAAGTGGTTTGTTGGATCAATAAGCACTGTGTTCTTTTCCTCAAGCTTCCTTTTGGACATAAGTCAAAAAAGCAGCACCACCCCCTTCTAGATAAAATATTTGGATTGATGGAGCCTTCGTTTTTTCCAGATCCTTTAAACCTTTTTGCTTTCCCATCCAGACATGCCCGTTTGTGCTGTTTGCAGGTTGGACTGAAGCTTCTCCCCGATGTCTTTGGAAGCCATGTGCAGGGTTTTGTTGGAGTAAACCTGTGTCCAAATATTATAGATTTCATCTAGGCCATCTTATAAATCTGTTTGGTTTATGTGAATTGGCTGCTTCTGCTATGAAAAAAGGAGTTTACTTTTCTTAGCCTTCGTCAGTGAACACGTGGTCGACATTTTTCTGAATTGTTTTTTCTTTTAACTGTTATTTGGAAGACAGGAGCACCCTGCTTTACTCAGCTTCCACTTTTGTGAAAGGCTTCTTGAATTTCTCGTGCCATTGAGTGGGAAATGGACAACATGTACGGCATCCCTTGAAGACGTCTCAGGATTGCCCATAATTATGTGTCTAACTGCCAGTTGACAAAGTGCAGGGATTAGTCGCTTGTTACATGAAACCAGCCAGGATCATGTGGAGGCAGCAGCTGTAGACATCTGTGAAACATTAATGATCAGACACAAGGTGATGGCGCCTTGCAGATCTTCTCAAGGGGTCCAGGAAACCGTCAACCAGAGAAACTGTGTGGGAGAGGCTTTCTTGTTTTCGACAAATCCACCTGCCAGGGATAGTGTTTGTGAGAATACCGTCTGTAATCCACGGTGACAGATTTCAGAATTTGGTAGTAGATGACATTGTCCATAATTTGTTCATCCCGGGAGAAGAGACTCATTGCCCCTATCTGATTTTGTGAGCTTGCAAGTTGTTCCCTACAAGTCGTTAGAAATTAATTTTATTTCATTGGGAGTGTTTAACATTCTTTGGAGAATGTTTGGGCATGGGAGGGGACCTGTGTTATGTCCTTCTGTGTCATTCAGTGCTCTGGGGCAAGTCACCTAACCCTTCAGGGCCTCATTTTACTTATCTGTGAAACTGGGGTACCCAAGAGCCACCTCCTGCAGCTGTTGTGAGGCTCTCCTGAAACCCACAGGGTGCAGCGCCTGGCCCATGCCGGGCCACCCTTAGCAGTTGTTAGTTTCCTTCCCTTTTGCGTTTGAAATTGGTTTGCCTTTTGGATACCTAGTATTCTTAATAAAGATCAATTCACTTAAAAATAAAAATAAAATTATCTGGACAATATATAAGTATTCTTTTTTTCAAATTTTTTTTGAGAGAGGGTCTCACCTTATCACCCAGGCTGGAGTGCGGTGGTGCTATCTCAGCTCACTGCAAACTCGGCCACCTAGGTTCAAGTGATTCTCATACCTCAGCCTCCTGGGTAGCTAGGACTACAGGCATACACCACCACGCCTGGCTAATTTTTGTATTTTGGATGGAGATGGGGTTTTGCCATGTTCTCCAGGCTAGTCTTGAACTCCTGGCCTCAATGATCTGCCTACCTCGACCTCCCAAAGTGCTGGGATTACAAATGTGAGCCAGTGTGCCCAGTCTGGACAATATATAAATATTCTTAATACTGCCATTGTTAATGCTAATAATGTAGAATTTTATTCAAAAGAGTCAAAGCGTATTTTCTTTTTTTTTCTTTTTTTTTTTTTTTTTTTTTTTGAGACAGGATCTCATTCTGTTATGCAGACTGGGCAGCCTCAACCTCAGGTGATCTTTCCGCCCCAGCCTCCCGAGTAGCTGGGACTACAGGCATGCACCACCACACCTGGCTAATTTAAAAAGTTTTTTGTAGAGACGGGGTCTCGCTGTGTTTCCCAGGCTGGTCTTGAACTACTGGGGTCAAGTGATCTGCCTACCTCTGCCTCCCAAAGTGCTAGGATTACAGGTGTAAGCCATTGCTTGCAGCCCGAAGTAGTATTTTCTTGGATAAAATCAACTGTATTCTTTTTTTTTATTTTTTATTTTTTATTTTTTATTTTTTGAGACGGAGTCTCACTCTGTCACCCAGGCTGGTGTGCAGTGGTGCAATCTCGGCTCACTGCAAGCTCCGCCTCCTGGGTTCACGCCATTCTCCTGCCTCAGCCTCCCAAGTAGCTGGGACTACAGGCGCCCGCCACCACGCCCAGCTGATTTTTTGTATTTTTAGTAGAGACGGGGTTTCACCGTGTTAGCCAGGATGGTCTTGATCTGCTGACCTCGGCCAGATGGTCTTGATCTCCTGATCTCCACCCACCTTGGCCTCCCAAAGTGCTGGGATTACAGGCATGAGCCACCGTGCCCGGCCCAAAATCAACTCTATTCTTAAATTTTGACTGATGATTAAACTACAGGTTTCTTATCCGAAATGCTTGGGACCAGAAGCATTTTGGATTTGAGACTTCTTTGGATTCTTTTCAGATTTTGAATATTTGCAGAACTTACTGGTTGACCATTCCTAATCCGAAAGTCTGATATGCTCGTTGGAGCCTCATGTCTTCGCTCAAAAAGTTTGGGATTTGGATTTTTGGGTTAGGGCTGTTCAACCTGTATAAGCAGAAGCGCTAAACTGTGTACTAAAGAGATTTGTTTTCTGGTCATGGTTCATTTGCCATTATGTGATGTCTCATTTGTTATGGGTCAGTCCAGGCCTCAATTTTCCACCGTTTATATGGTTTCTAGGGTCCCCTTTAGTGTAACATCCCTGTTGATTCTGTGTTTTAAAGTTGGACAGGTGGAGGGGTATGCACACCCAAGAGAAAATGCTCCAGCTCACTCAGTTGGCCAGCAGAGCCAAGCACAGTGCCTGAGAAACGTGGCGGAGAGCCATCCTGAGCAATGAGTTTGTTGGTTGTCATGTGACCCAGGGTTTTTCTGTGCATCAGGTTAGCCCATTGTATATGTTGTAAAAAGCAGGCAGTGCTTGCCTTTAGGTAGAGCTGCTTGGAAGCTTCAGTGCACGGCTCAGGGATCAGCAAGCTCTCTGAGGTGCGGGTGCAGGTGCGGGTGCGGGTGGGCGGCCGCCAGCTGTGTGCTAGGAGTGACTAAAGTTGGTGGGTGCAGGGGTAAGAGATATATGCCTTAAAGGGGAAATAGAAGAGCAGCAGAATAAACCCCTGCATACTCTTCCTTGCTGGGCAGCGACTCTGCTTTGCCAATTAAAATGTGCTTGTACAGCCACCCTCCTCTGGCACTCTGGATGGCTAACTCCTTTTGGAGAATTTTTGTCATTTCGCCAGGTTCACCAGGTAAGCTTTGATCTCTGCAAAGGAACTGTTCTGTGTTCAGCAATTAGAGGTTTTGGAGTGTAAACAGTGAATTGGTTATCCAAAAAAACTACAGTGGAAGTATAGCTCCGACTCCTGAGTATGACTCATTTCGGATATTTCACTTCCTGGAGGGATGTGTAAGGGAAAGATCAACTGATGGCTGTTGTAGAGTTTGACACAGAGCCTGTGTGTAGTGTGTAGGTTGCTAAGTTTTCCTCTGGAATAAATATGCCAGGGAGAGGCGCGTGGAAATTTTCCTTGCCAGGGAGGGTGTCAGGGTAGTTTGGGGACTCTGCTAGTGCTGCCACAGTTGTCTGGTTTCGATGGCCTCAGATGGGGTTGGGAGCACCAGTAAATAGGGAGAAGGTTCAAATAGATGAGATGGTGGAAATATTTCTTGATGCTGTCCTGGGCTGGGGAAATGGAGCAGAGGGCTTCAGAAAGCAAGCTGCATGAGGGAGTTACTAGAGTGCAGGAAAACAAAGGGAAGGTGATCTTCCATGGACACATGTGGAATTCCTTCAGCTCTCACTGTCCCTGCCTCTCTTCTCCTTGTGGCTTTAGGGAAGCCATGTGCTCCGTCGTACTCAGGGCAGGGGCGGTTGTGTGGAGTGAGTGCTGTGCAAGCCTGCCCTCCTTTGTGGGTGCTTAATGACTTGGAAACTGACATAACACTCCGCCTACCTTTCTAGAGACTCCTGGCAGCCTGAATGGAAAACCTGTGTCAAGTGAGGGAAAAATCCAGGCAGAAAGGACCCTCTAGCACCTAAAAAATGTTATGTAAAAGTCCTGGCAGATAAGCCATGTGCTTTACTCTCTGGGAGAGTTCCTACCCTTTATGGAGGATGCTCTGTGGGCGGTGCCCTTATGGCCCAGACGTGGTACCTCATTCCCAGTGGCCCGTGAGGTAGACAGTACCGTCGGACCCAGGTTTTAAAGAAGACTGAGGTTCCAAGGGATGAGGTGGTGACTTGCTTATGCAGGTTGTATGGGAAAGTAGGAATTATTAGTATATCGTATCTCTGCCTTTAGAGTCTTGAACTTCTTCAAGAAAAGGAAGAAGTAATCTTCATATAGTGTCAAGGTACTTACAAACTATTTGTGGGCTGTGACTCTGGACCCCAAGTTATCAACCTGATTTATTCCTTCTCTCAGAGTTTCTTTTTTTTTTTTGTTTGAAATGAGAGCAGATTTCTAATTTTCTGGGTTCTCAACCTCATAGCAGATTAGAAGCAACATATTAGTTGAGGAAGTGTAGCTGACAGCCTGGCAGAAGAAGCAGATAAATGTAAAAAGCAGACACAGGGTGCTGTTCCAAGAGTGGCTACTCATACACTGTCCTTAGGCTAATGAGAAATGGTTTAGCTGTGTTCATTGCATTGTCCTGTGATCATTTGCATTGTGTAAAAATGTAGAGCAGGTAATACATTTTAGAGAGATTGCTGTCTTCTAGAATTTTTTTAAAAAGTTGATACCTTGATGACCTGGACAAATCACTGGGAGGACCAGTCCTCGAAAATAATGGGGTAGCTGGGATGCTGGGCGTTGAATGTAGGAGGATGGTGTAGTTCTTTCCTGCTTTTTTTTTCTGGCTGTCCTCTACCTTAGGTCACAGCTCCTTGAGGGTGAGAATCTCATCTCACTGTTCGGTTGTGTCTGCCAGTCACTTACACAGTCCCTGGATGAAAGACTCACGGGGGAGAAGGGCTCGGGGCAGAGCCAGGCCTCAAAACACGAAGAAGATCCAGGTTTAGGTGCGGATTTTGCCTCTATCTGTGCAACCTGGCAAAACTTGCGCTGGACCTCATTATGCATCGTCAAATGAAGGAGCAGGACTCAGATGAAATTGAGATGTCAGTCCAGATCTAATTTCTGTGATCCCAACAGAATTTTTTTAAAGGAGAGACTTGTTTATAAAAGAAAAAAGAGAGAGACACATAAAGCAGTTATGTTTTCACGGTAATCCAAATGACCTTAACATAGCCACTGAATTGTTCACTTTAAAATGGCTTATTTTTCTTTTTCTTTTTTTTTTTGGCAGGTGGGGGGAGGGTGTGGGACAGTCTCACTCTGTCACCCAGGCTGGAGTGCAGTGGCATGATCTCAGCTCACTGCAACCTTCGCCTTCCAGTTTCAAGTGATTCTCCTGCCTCAGCCTCCCGTGTAGCTGGGATTACAGGCATCTGCCACCACGCCCTGCTAATTTTTGTATTTTTAGTAGAGGTGGGGTTTCACCATGTTGGCCATGCTGGTCTTGAACTCCTGACCTCAAGTGATCCACCCGCCTCCACCTCCCAAAGTGCTGGGATTACAGGCGTGAGCCACTATGTCCAGCCCTAAAATGGTTACATTTTATTCCTCAGATGAGATAGGAGTTTATTTCTCATATAACAACAGGTCACCCATTCTGGCTGGTGGGTCATCCACAGAGCCAGCCTCTTCCTTCATGTTGCCCTGCCATCTCCCAGGGTTTTGTGTTTGTCTCTATGGTCAGAGTAGGACTAGAATGGTTACTTTTATGTTGCATGGTTTTTAAAAAACAAAACAAACAAAAAAACCTCAATTTAAAAAGATGACATTGACTTGGCTATGATGGTAGACAGCAGACCCCAAAAGGTTGAAGAAGGCTTGGTCCGCCAAGTGGACTTCTGTCGTGGCTGTGATTCCCTTGACAGCGAGGGTATTGGATTTTCCCATGGGAACAGAAAGTCATCCAAGGAGTATTCGTGTGTTTGTGGTTGAGGCATCTCCCTCCTGCACAGCTATTGTCACATCCCAGAGGACACTCAGGCAGTGGAGGAAGCACTTTTCTTTTTATTAATCCAAAATGTGCAGTTTTCCAGAGTGACCTAAAGATGAGTGGTCGGCTGGGCCGGCCCAGGATTCCTTCTCCAAATCGCCCCCAGCACAAACTGTTCCCGGGCCACATGGCAGAAAACAGATTCGACGTTTAAACAAAGTTGCTTATTGGGTCACGGATTATACAAGACAAACCATGGTTAAGTGAGACTCCATAAATTTGTGGTAAGTCATTCTGGGCGCCAGCAGAGTTTACCTTTGTGCTGTCTATGAAGTTATTTGCTAAGCCTCTCGGGAATGTAAACGAGTGAAGGTCTTGATGAACTTAAGAACAAACTCTGAAGGCCTTGAAGCTTTGGTTGGTTGTTTATGTACAGACAGATGCTGTTAAGCACAAATCTGCCTTAACCAGCCACTACAGCAGGCCAAGCAGGACCTCTGCTTGCAAGCATTAGCAATTTGAGTTACTGCCTGTGCCTGTCTTTGAAATTAAAAACAGTGGGTTTTAAAAGCACACACAAAACGTACACACTCCGGTGAGGCTGTGGCACCATCCTCTAGCAGTTGGCCCCAGCTAGGAAACGTAGTCATCTCAGGCTCCTTGGGCTTCTTCCCATTTCCAGTAACTGACCTCGTCCTATCTGTTGTGACCTTAAAGTCTTTGGCTCTCCTCCTCTCTGGCCATCCAGCCAGAGACCTGGTTGCTGTAGAGGCTCCTCTGCTAGCTCTTCTGTCCCCAGTTTCGTCTCTGGTCAGGCTGTCTCCCCAAGGTCACCAGACAAATCCTTCTGTGTCATTTACTGTTGCTGTCTAACAAAACCATCCCGAAACCTAGTGACTTAAAGGAACAATTCATTTCATTGTCTCTGATGGTTTCTGTGGGTCAGGAGTTCAGGAGGGCCTTGGCTGGGTGGTTCTGGCTTGGGGTCTCATACTATTGCAGTCAGATAGCTGAAGCTGGAACAGTGGGAGCCTGGAGCACCTGGGGGCTCAGTGGGCCTCCCTCTGTCCATGGAGTCTCAGGAAGTCTTCTGCACAGGGTGGCCTCGGGGCAGTTGAGTGGGCTCCAGGCCTGTGTGTTTAGCAGGCAGGGAGAAGCCGCGTTGTCTCTTGTGGGCTCACAAGTCATAGGGCATCATTTGTGCTGGGCTCTGATGATAAAAAGTTACAAAAGCTCCTCCGGTTCCAAGGCGGAGGGGACACAGCCCCCCCCCGCCCCACCACAAGTGGGAGGAGTGTCACAGTCACGCTGCAAGAGGAGCATGTGGGATGGGACTGCTTGTTATGGTCATTTTTGGAAAATATAATCTGCTTCGCCTTCTAAGTCACAACAGCAGTCGTCATTCCCCTGTGGAAAAATCTCTAGGGGCTCCAAAACCTTCACAGAAAAGTGGATTTTAAAGAATGTGGCACAGATGCCTTACCTATAAACTGGACAGGAGCAAAAAACTGCGGGGAGAAGTGAGATTCTGAGCCTAGCTCCTCGGGCCAGCATAGCTGCCCCCTGAGTAGTTTGGGTGTGATCTGGCTCTTGTGACAAGGCCCCAGTCACCTCCCCAGGCCATGCCCCATGGTTCCCCACCTCCTCCTCCACGCACCTGGCTCACCTCTCCTTAGCCTGCTGCACCTGCTGCCTGGAAAGGCACACCTGCTTATCCAGGGCTAACCTGCTCCTGTGGCCCCATTCTGAGACATCTTCTGGGGCTCCCTGCCCTACTTAGTGGGCACCTGTACTCTGACATTGACATTGTTGTAGATGGTGTGTTTACTCTACCAAACTTGGAGTGTAGGTACTGGTTACATCTCACTTGATGGTTTCCAAATCAGACTTTGCCCTGGAGTTTGCCTAGTAGGCCAAGTTTTCCTGTATGCAGATGATTTCATAATACCGTCGGATGTCTGAACACTGTAGCAGATATTTAGATGGTGGGGTTTTATTTGACTGATTTCTTATTCTGAAAAATTGTTTTAGTCCGTATTAATGGTGGTTTTATTTATTGCAGGGTGATTTAAGCAATTTTATGCTTTTTCTTTAAATCATGTGAAAACAGGAGGTGAAATATTTCTTATCTCAGTTTATATACCAAAATAAGAAAATAACACAAAAAACCCCCTAAACCTACCCCTTGGAGCCTTGCCAGCTTAAAATGGGGTAACTCCCCTCCTTATTATTTGACATCCTAACAAGGACTCTTCCTTGATTTTTTTTTTCCACACTGATTTTGACTGCACCATAAGCTCCATGAGGAGCAGAGACTTTTATGTTCACCACTCAGCATCAGAAACAGTGCTTGTTACCTAGGAAACACTCACATAATGATCAGATGATTAATTGAATGGACAGAGAATTCCAGAGGATAAGGAGAAATGGTCCTTCTTTTACTATTTACCTTTCCACCTGGAACACACCATTGGGTGGTGGAACTGGTGAAGCTCATTGTATGAAGGAGGTGCCTGGACCAGTCAGAGTTTTGAAGGAGCTGGCCTGTGGAGAGCTCTTAGCCACCAGGTGACAGTTTACTTCCCCTGACTGGCCTTCTGTTTATTTTGTAGCCATGTGAGGGAGGGAAGTCCTAGGAAAATAATTGACACAAAGAAGTACAAATCAGTGTATTGTGAACTGTGCCTTGTCTCTTTGTACCTTCTCTGTCTCATCATTGTACACACCACACGACCTTGTGGTTATTTGCTGTTTTATGGACAATTGGTTCCTTGAGGCTTGGGACTGGGTCTCATTTGTTGGGCCGGATTCAGGGCCTGGCCCAGGGTTGGCACTCAGTGCACAGTTGTTGAACTGTAGCCCAGTTGCTGGCCTGCAAGCGGCCAAATCCAGGATGATGGTCTTGTTTTGAAGGGTGTGGCGGTTAGGCATGTCTGCTCTCGCAGTAGGATAGAGGGCACTCCATCTAGAAGGAGTCTTAGAGTTCATCTGGGCCAAATCCCAGGCCACGAGGTTAAGTGAGCAGTCCAAAGCACACAGACGTCTAGTGACAGGGCATACCTTGGACCCTGGACTCCTGAGTCCTAAGCCCTCTCTTTACTTGCTCTTCCTTGTATTTTTTGACCTGCTCCGTTTCTGTCCTGGGCCGGTTCACCCCTCCTTAGGCAACCTGGTGGTTCCCTGCTCCCAGGAAGTCACCATATTGATGCCAAACTTAGTGCGGACACCTGATGGGCATAGCACACTACAACCCAGAACTCCTGGGCTTGAACGATCCTCCTGCCTCAGCTTCCCGAGTAGCCGGAACTACAGGCACGCACCACCACTCCCTGCATACTTGTAGTTTTTTCTATTACCTTTAAAAAAAGTTTAGATATCTGATAATCATAACTTAAGCATCACGTTGATGATGAATACCCTTGAACCTGCCATTCCATGTGAGACCTAGACAGTATAGCTTTCATCTTCCCCTCATGGCTTCCCTAGAACTGCTCTTCTACTCTTCTTAAATGTTGTATTTATCATACCTTTGTCTTGGCTTAAAGAAAAAAAAAAGCCTTGTTATATTAGTCTAAAACACGTGTCTAAATAATAAGAGTGTTCATGGCCAGGTGCAGTGGCTCACGCCTGCAAACCCAGCACTTTGGGAGGCTGAGGCAGATGGATCGCTTGAGCTCAGGACTTTGAGACCAGCCTGGGCAACATAGCAAAACCCCATCTCTACAAAAAATAGAAAAATTGGCTGGGCATGGTGGCTCATGCCTGTAATCCCAGCACTTTGGGAGGCCGAGGTGGGCGGATCGCTTGAGGTCAAGCGTTTGAGACCATCCTGGGCAGCATGGTGAAACCCCATCTCTACCAAACTACAAAAAATTAGCCAGGCATGGTGGCCCCCCAGCTACTTGGAGGGCTGAGGTGGGAGGATGGCTTGAGCCTGGGAGGTGGAGGCTACAGTGAGCCGACATTGTGCTACTATACTCCAGCCTGGGTAACAAAGTGAGACCCTGTCTCAAGAAAAACAAAAATTAACCAGGCATGGTGGTGTGTGCCTGTAATCCAAGCTACTTAGGAGGCTGAGATGGGAGGATAGCTTGAGCCCAGGAGACAGAGGTTGCAGTGAGCTGAGCTTGTGCCACTACAGTCCAGCCTGGGCGACAGAGTGAGAGCCTATCTTTAAAAAAAAAAAAAAAAAAAAAAAAAGAATGTTCACTATTGCTTGTTATTGAGCTTTATATAAAAGTGACAGCATCCTAGGGAGGCCCCTGGGACTAGCCCCCTCCCTCTGTCCCCATCGTTCCATTTCCTGGGTCACTTACGTTGTTGCTTGTAGCTGAAGGTCATCCACATCTGCTTCATTCTCCGGTACCGTTTCCTGTTTGGACCCCTTAGGGTTTGGGATGACTCCCAAGCAAATGGCTCCAGTTAACTCTAATTTTAACGTCTTAAAAGCTGTCATTAAGCTTTCCCATGTTGCTTCACTTATGGGAAGCATTTAGTCATTTCCTCATTGAATGATAGTTAAACATCCTTAACCTTAGAAATTTGTAGTGAAACATTTCCAATTAAGATTAATTGGGATTAATGCAAAATATGAGTCAGATCCTTTTGTAGTAGTATTCTAGTGCTGTCAACTAGATACAGGTCTACAGAGGACTGTCCGGCCCCTTGCGGGGTGGGGATGTGATCAGCATATTGGAACTGGGCTTGTGAACAGGCACCGAAGAAGGGTTAAAACAGTGTCTTTCACCTTGAGCTTCTCTGGTCAACTTAGGTCTTTTCCTAGATAACACTGCTCAGTTTTCTAGTTAATCCCTTCTGTGTTCTGTCTGGATCACCGTTTCAAATTAGACAGGCTTACTTATATCTTAATTTGCTTTTCATTTATAAGGAGGATTGCTAATATCTAGTTGAGATACTTTCTGAAGACCAGAAATTTTTAGGGGTTATGTGTGGGTTTGTTGTTGTTGTTGTTGTTGTTGTTGTTGTTTTTGAGATGGAGTCTCGCTCTGTCGCCCAGGCTGGAGTGATCTGGGCTCACTGCAAGCTCTGCCTCCCGGGTTCATGCCATTCTCCTGCCTCAGCCTCCCGAGTTGCTGGAACTACAGGCGCCCGCCACCACGCCCGGCTAATTTTTTTGTATTTTTAGTAGAGACGGGGATTCACCACGTTAGCCAGGATGGTCTCAATCTCCTGACCTCATGATCCGCCCGCCTTGGCCTCCCAAAGTGTATGTGTGGTCTTTAAATTAGAATTATATATAAAACGTTTGCCTGCATGTGCAGTCTTCCTGAGGGGGACTTTATTGTCAATCAGATTCTGGGAATCTGCAGCCCCCAAACCAATTATTTTTCGCCCAGGGCTTCTCAGCCTTAACTCTATTAACGTTTGGGCCGGGTGATTCTTTGTTGTGGGGAGGCTGTGTATCGCGTTTTGGGATGTTTAGAAGCATCCCTGGCCCCTACCCATTAGATGTCAGTAGTTTCTTCTCTCCCAGTTGTGACAAAAATGTCTCCATACATTGCCAGATGTCTCCTGGCAGGGTTGTTGGAGGTGTGTGTGTATGTGTGTGCACGTGTGCAAAATCATCCCTAGTTGAGAAATACTAGTTTATACCTTTTAACGAGTTTGACTTGAATCATTTAGGGTTTTCTATTCTTGCTTGGCCAAGAGAATACGTAGCTTTGTATTGAGTTTGAACATTAGCTCTAGTTTAAGGGGAGCAAGAGAGAGAGAGAGAGATCCAGGGCTGGGTTGAGGGGCGGGGAGGTTGGGCAGGGGAATCATTTAAAATTTTTAAAAAGATTTAAAAGCTGTATGTTTATTTGTATGCACTCAATATCCCCAATCATTAAACACATACTACTGTGTATTAAATGTTCCACATGCATTACTAAATTATTGTCACTCTCTAAGGAAGATACTGTGTTCCCATTTTATGGATAAATAAATAGAGACTTCTAGAGATTAAGAAACCCACCCAAGGCCATAAGTTAATGAATGGCAGTATTGGGAATTGAATATGTCTCTCTAGAGTCGAATCAGCTTATCTGTGTGTTCTGCCCAAGACGTGGTGTTAAAATTTCCTCTCATGCCAGTGGGCCAAACCCATCACTGTGGCCTTGGCTGACACATGTTGGCATAGAAATGCGTGGCACAAGTAGGGAATTCATGGTTGCTGGCATTCAGCAAAACAAGTGGTAGAATTTCTGGTGTGGTGTTTTTCTTTTCTCTTTGCAGGGGAGCCAGTTCGTTGTGTGTTCCAGGATGAACTGTCACTGATAGCCATCTTGAGCAAGGGACAGGCTTTTTCTTTTCTTTCATTCTTTTTTAAAACAGCTGGCTGTATATGCCATGTCAATATCTTTTTTTAAAAAAATGAAATTGACTCTCCTTAATAATGTGTTATGTCTCTGGTGACTATGAAGTGGGTCCTTGCCCCACGGCCTACTTGTGGTTAACAGACCTGGAGTGTAAACGGTAATATTCAAAAGTTATATTTCGTTAAGGCCAAATGTGGCATTTTGAGGATTACTTTGTGTATTTTATGAGACTGTAGCTTGTTGATTTAGGCCTTCCAAAAATCCTGAAATTGGTCTGAGCAGAGCAGATTCCAGATACAAATCAGATAGTGGCTGCTTGGGTAGTGTTGGGGACTCCATCTGCCTTACTTGGAGTCACCTGTACTTCTAAGAGTTGCATACACAGGTCTTCACCCTTGTACCTGGCCCACCTTTCTCACTTTATTTCTTGTCTCATCTCCTGAGGTCTAGCCTTCTGTGTTAGAACCCACTGTGCATTGAATTTACTTTGCATTTTACCAGCCTTGCCTCCGCTCTGTTCCCTTCCTCTCCCCCTCCCTTTATTTATTTATTTTTTATATGTTTATGGTGACTGGCACATGGTGGCTCTGAGTAAATATTTGCAGCATATGTACTGTGAGGAGAGTATGGTGAAGCACAGGATGCATAGCTTTAAAAAGGTGCTTGGGCTGGGCACGATGGCTCATGCTTGTAATCCCGGCACTTTGGGAGGCCAAGGCAGTTCGACTGCTTGAGCCCAGGAGTTCAAGACCACCCTGGGCAATATGGCAAAACCCCATGTTCCCCCCCTCCCCCCCAAAAAAAACTACAAAATTAGCCAGGTGTGGTGGCATGCACCTGTGGTCCCAGCTACTTTGGAGGCTGAGGTGGGAGGATCACTTGAGCCTGGAAAGTGGGGGTTGTAGGGAGCCAAGATCATGCCACTACACTCCAGCCTGGGTGACACAGCAAGACCCTATCTTTAAAAAATGAAAAACATTTTTTAAAAGAGTGCTTGATAAACAAGAGTAATGGTTGTCTTTCCAGTCCTTGCCTCTGCAGTGACATAGTTTACTGCATTTGCAGTCCAGTTTGCTGGGTGGAGTGAGCTCTTGACTGTAGTGTGGTTCAGGTCTTAGTGTCCTAAGTTTCTATTGAATGAATGAAGCACTTTTAACCCCGTGTGCATCTTGCCACTTGTTCTTTGCCTGGCTTTTCTCCCTCCCTTGGAGCTTCTCAAGGAACCTGGCCTGGGGATGTTACCTGATGTTTACACCCAGGTTACAACAAAGGGCAAAAGTAATCCGCTACTGGAGTGTGTTCACCATGGAACCAACTGGGGGGCACGACATCTGCAGCCACCAGGGCCTGTTGAGCAGGAGCAGGGGAGCCGGTGAGGGAGCTTTCTGACGTCTCCAGCCTGCTTCCACTTCTTTCAGGGTCTTTTGGATGCCCCCACTTGAGACAGAGACTGCTGTCAAAGGGGAGCAAACAGCCTGCACAGTCGCCCCCCGCTCCAGGCTGCTGGCACACAGAGACCTGGCGGAGGGCCCACTGCGTGGCTCTTTGGGTTTTAGAATGCCTTGGGCAAGCATGCTTTTTAAAAGGAGTTTTTGATATTCCTTCTGGCAAAAATGACTGACGCACTTGTATTTCTCCCTCCACAGAGTGATCAGCAGCTGGACTGTGCCTTGGACCTAATGAGGCGCCTGCCTCCCCAGCAAATCGAGAAAAACCTCAGCGACCTGATCGACCTGGTACGTGCCTCCTTCATATGGTTCCATTTGAGACTGCGGCTAAGAGTTAGTTGCTTTTGTGTAGCTTTTTCCATGCAGAATTCACAACACAGGAAACCTTTTCTCTCCCTGGCAGACCATGCCACTGGACTATGAGATTCCTCCAGGCAGAGAGAAGATGGATTTCATATGGTGGTCTGTCATTCAGAACCATCTGTGTTGTTGAAGCCCAAGTTAGGAGTTCTAAAGTTAATGACAGTCTGCTCCCTCCCCAGCTGCCTTGTCTTCAGTTTCTAGAAGCTTGCATTTAGACGTGGTGAGGAAGAGGCCATACCCATCCCGCAGGCATTCAGCAGTGCACGCAGGCCAGACGCTGTCAGTCTCTGCTATGGTGTGAGTTTCTCCAGCCAACACAGTACAAGCGTCTACCTGTAAGATGCTTCCGTGGCTTCATTTCTAGTTTGAAAAGGTATAACAAGCAAAAGTTGGCTTGTTAAAGGGCCCGTCACATCTAGTTTTTAAATATTCTATTCATTTTCATAGATTTTTATGCTCAGAATGATTGGTCTCAAGATGTTGCCTCAAATTCACTAGCACCATATTATTTGAAGAGTGCTCAAAATATTCAAAAACATCTATAAAGCCATAGGAAATATTGGAAAGAAATAAAATCAGGTCCTAAGAGGCCAGCCGAATCACCCTGATCACTTGGCAGTGAGTTCTGGTGCTGGGTTTGGAACGTGAGTCCCTGAGTCTGGTCCTCTGTTTTTTCCACTGTGTCCTGTGTCTTCTTGGATGTAATTATCCATTGCCAAGCATGGCTCATCAGTGAGGTATCTTTTTAGAGTGGGTTGGGAACTTGTTCATATGCTGTAGTGATTTATTTAATTCCATTGTATGCATTCAGAACATTTTTACTAGGAAAAATATATGACTGCTAGGAGAGGCACGGATGTCATTCACAGAAAACTTTATACAGCAGCCCGAAAGGTCTGTAGTGCGACTATTTGTATATTTATAGGGATGCAAACTCCCAGCTGAGAGGCAAGTGTGTGACACAGAGCGGAGCCTGTGGAGGGAGTTGGGAACCTGCTGTATCTCATTCATAGTAATTCAGGAAGTGGGAAGAAAGAGGTTTCTTGAGGTCACTGGCTGCTCAGAGAGACAACTGCACATGCTTGTGATGTAAGCGGAGAGAAGGCAGGTATCAAAAAGAGAGGGTCCTGCCAGACAGTCGACATTTCAGGGGGGTAGTAACATAGTTGTGATGCAAATGAACCCACTGTGTGCTCAGGATCAGGGGTCCCCGGCCAGGAGCCAGCGAGTGAGGAAGATCATTGAAGTGGGCATGGTGGGATCTGGAGGCACAGGCCCCTGTGGGAAGAGCAGCTGCCCTCGTTACTCCTGGTGCTTGTTGCCCTGTTGGAAGCCTCTGTTGCTCATTTTCACATTTTTCTAGAGGAGCCATATATTTGGGGTTTTATGTAAAATTTCCTGGTTTGTTTGTGTGTGGTGGTTTTTTTTTTTTTTTTTTTTTTTTTTTTTGGTGACAGAGTCTCATTCTGTCACCCGGGCTGTAGTGCAGTGGGGTGATCTTGGTTCTCTGCAATCTCCGCCTCCCCGGTTCAAGCAATCCTCCTGCCTCAGCCTCCCCAGTAGCTGGGATTACAGGCGCCCACGACCGTGCCCAGCTAATTTTGTGTTTTCATTAGAGATGGGATTTCACCATGTTGGTCAAGCTTGTCTCAAACTCTTGACCTCAAGTGATCTGCCTGTCTCGGCCTCCCAAAGTGCTGGGATTACAGGCGTGAGCCACAGTGCCCAGCAGAATATCCTGATTTTTAAACATTGGGCTGCACGTTAGATTGGCCGGGTCCAGTTTTGTGTAGAACCTGGGCCTGAGCATGTGAAATGTGAGCTGGGGGCGGTCGGGCAGTGTGGGCTGGAGGGGTTAGAGGAGATGTCCTTTGTTGAGAAATACTGAAGTATAAAGTTGGATAGGTAGGAGGTATCCTTGAAAGTGAGGAGACCTTGGACTTGATGTGGTGAGAATGGTCACCATCAGCCCACTGACGGCTGAACTTGTATGCAGTGCCTCATGCGCAGCCATATTTAAACTCTCATCAGTCCTATGAGGTAGGACTACAGAATGTGGTCTGGGAAGTGCTTTAATGGCTTTGCATTTTTCTTGGTCAGAAATCTATGATTGATCCTACGTGGAAGAGGTGGGCAAAAGTTGAAGGTGTGATCTGCCTTTAATTTGGTCAGCTGCAGGGGCTTGTTTTTCCTCTAAACTCAGCATGAAAGCATGCTTGGCTGAGTTTAAATTTAGTTTGCCAATTTAGTTATTACTGTATTTTAGAAATAAGCCAAACATAGAAGTAGGAAATGATGAGCAAATTTTTCTCATTGGACCCTTCCTGGTGTTTAATAGGCTATTTTGTTCTTATGGCAACTGAAGTGTTTTACTACAGCTGTGTCTTTTCTCCGGGACTCCCTCATCACTCTCTCTTTCAGGGATGTGCATGTAGCTGCTTTTATGAAAACCTGGTCAACTGGCTCCCTTGCTGCCCGTGCGGGTTTTCCCTGGGCTCAACAGGGAAATTGCAGCATTGATGGTGAATGAAGGAGAGTATCAAGAGCTGTCTTTCGCCATAGCCAGATAATGAGAGAGATCACCTCTGAGGCTTAGTTGCAGGATGGTACTTGGACACAGGTTGAAGTGCCAGGCCGTATCTACCACTGATATATGGTGTACTGTGTGACATTCTATAGATTACTGTCAGAGCATACTTTTTTTTTTTTTTTTTTTTTTTTTTTTGAGACAGGGTCTTGCTCTGTCACCCAGGCTAGAGTGTAGTGGTGCAATCAAAGCTCAATGCAGCCTCCTAAACTCCTGGGCTCAAATGATCTTCTGCCTCAGCCTTGCAAGTAGCTAAGACAACAGGCGCCCACCACCACATCTGGCCAATTTTTTAAAATGTTTTATTTTGCATAGAGACTGGTTCTCCCTATGTTGCCCAGGCTGGTCTCGAACTGCTGACCTCAGGCAATCCTACTTTTCTGTTTTTAACTTTGTCTTCTGTAGAATGTATGCTAGAGCTGGTGGAGGTGGGCTGAGGTTGAGGTGGACAGCTGACGTGTTGAATACCTGCCGTGTGCCCAGGACTAAGCTGGGGACTTCTGTTTGTGTTGTTTATTGTTTCTTCAAAGTCATACAACACCCCTGTAAGGTACATATGGCCACCTCACCTCCTTTAGATGATTTAGACTCTATGGGGAAGAAGCCAGGATAGGGATGTGGCTTGGGAGCGCCGGGAGGTCTGGTTTCTCCTGCTTGCCAGGTTCCTTTGGGTTAGTCACACTGAAAGCAACAGAGTAAATGTGGTGTGTCTATGTGCTGTGTCAGTTTTGCCTGTTGGGAGAGAAACTGTTAATTAAATTCATTAGTAATCTAAAATGTTAACACATAGGTATATTATGGAGAATAATGTTAAATTCACATAATTTAAAAGCAAGAACTAGACACGGGGCAAAAAAACCCTTCTCGGAACCAGGCCATTTATGATTAGTGGTTCTCTTTCCTCCACTGCCTCGGGACGGCCTGAGAGGCACCAGCTCCCTTCACCGGCTGTGTGGAGGCCACCTGGGGCCTTGTCTACCTCAGAGGCTGAACAAGAGGCCAGAGTGGATTCCCATCGTCCAGAGTGGGTTGGGGAAACGGTGTTCTCATTAATTTTTTAATTGAAGTATGAGGAATGTCAAAATGGAAATGGAGCATGACTTTTCAACAAATTAGGATCTGGTAATGCATGCCTCATTAAAACTATATTGACATGCATTGGCCAGGCGCGGCGGCCCATGCCTGTAATCCCAGCACTTTGGGAGGCCAAGGCAGGTGGATAACTTGAGGCCAGGAGTTCGAGACCAGCCTGGCCAACATGGCGAAAACCCATCTCTACTGAAAAAAAACTATATTGACATGCTTCAGAAGCCACTTTCTGATTGATGGCCTGGCTTTGAACTCCTCGCTACGTGCGATGCTCATATAAGGGGCAGTGCGCTGGCTTTGTACTGGATCCTGTGACTGATCCTGGAGGTTTCTTCTTTGAATGTTTTATTTTCATCACTGCCAGTGTTCTCTGGGAATGACAGTTTTTCTTTTTTCCTGTTTAACTGAACTTACGAAATGCTTTTATTCTGTAAGGATTGGTCTGTGCTGAGTATACTGTTGTAGCATTGAAGTTCACATGCAGTTTTAGTTTCTTCCCAAAGCGGTAGTTTCAGAAAATTCACACTATTATGCACCTGTCTAAAGGCAAAGGATCCAGGCCTTTGTCTCGTGTAATCTGGGATCAGTCAGATGTTTTGAAAGTAGCTAATGCACTGCTGCTCCATGCAAACAGCAGTCATTCCTCCCTGCTCACCTGCCCAAGATAATGAAGGGGGGGAGATTGTTGTTTTCAAGAAAAGTCTCCAGTTTTAAGATGGACGAGAATGTTAGGATTTGCCAGCATTCCCCATGAAGGGAATGGCCTCGCTTAAGATGTCAGGGCCAGGGAACTGTGGGGGAATGGATCCAGTCCACCATGGTCTGATTACAGAGTGGTATTGAAGAGAAATGTGAGGGATGCTTGGCAGCCAGGCCAAGGCAGCCCAATTTATCATGCCAGGTCAGCTTTCTTTTTTCTTCCCAGCATCAGAGAGTTTTTGCTGCCTTGGGATTATGAGGCCTGCTCTGATTGGTGGGAAATGACCTTCCTTTGCAGATGGCCAAAACATCATTTTATTACATATTAATCCCATTGTGCTAGAGTGAATCCAGCTGAAATCCGTTGTTAAGCTGTTTCAAAAATACCCACACATCCATGAGGGCCAAGAATCATATGATGTGAAGATGTTCCCTTGGCTTCATAAACTTGGCCCTTCTATGGCCTTACTCTGCACACTGGCAGCAAGAGCAGAAATGTCTCAGCTGGGGTGTATTTTGAGCCCTGAGCTGAGGAAGGAGTTTGTTTCTGCATATTGGCACCCAGCAGGCCTTCCATCCTTTGCCTTTTTAAGAGCAAACCAAAAATAGCCGTGAATCTGTTTAACTAGGCAAGAAAGTCTCTGCTTGCAAACATTGGTCACTTCATGTTTTTAGTTCCTTCACTTCTTTCTTTCTTACAGTTGTCCTAAGGCTCAGCTCTTGGGTGTCCCCAGACTTTACTCTATCAAGGGGAAGACATCAGGGCTGGGAAAGTATCCAGGCCAGTGAGGTAAAGGTGGAAGAGACATCCTGATTTTTTACCGGGGAGTTGATAACTTCATAGGTTAACTGTTTTCAGCATATTCTTCTTTTTAAGTAGCCAGAGCAGCCCTCTAGAAATAGAGCCAGCTGGGCACAGGTATTCACACTGCCAGCCTCAGCGGTAGCCATGCTTTGAAATTATCCCTGTCACCCCCGCATCGCCACCCCCATCGGGGCAGCATGATGTCTGCAGGGAGTGTGATTTGACAGATGAGAAGGCTGAGTGCTTGGGGGACGTGTCCACATTCGAGCCTTAGTGAACGAGTGAGTGGACACCCGCTGCTTACGTTTCCAAAAACCTGCTCTCCGTGAAGCAGCCCATGGAGCCAGCTCACACACATTTGTAATTGACTGGTGACGTTAAGGATGATACTATTAGTCAATAGTTCATTAATACGATTGATTAGCAGAATATCTGATGTCTGCTAAGCAGTGCTGCTCAGTTTTCAGTCTTTAATAGTCAAAGCAATGAAATCTGGAAATCATTTTTCCAGGGACAGCTGTGTGGAGTGAAGCAAAACTCAGTTTTGTCCCCCAGGTGATGAAGCTGCACTGGGCCTGGGACCCAAGACGACTACCCCTGCCTTTGGGGATCTTGAAGGCCAGATAGGATCTGCTTTATCTGTGTTAATAGAGTAAGCAGGCTTACATTTTCTTCTTCCCTAGCTTCCCCTTTAGCCTTGTCATTCAAACAATCTCAGACCAGCATTTTTCGTCCTTTATTTCAAAGACAACATTTAAAATGTCTTCACTTAAGCTGGGCCTGGTGGCTCACACTTATAATCCCAGCACTTTGGGAGGCCAAGGTGGGAGAATTGCTTGAGCTCAGGAGTTTGAGACCAGCCTGGGCAACATAGGGAGACTCCATCTCTACTAAAAATTAAAAAATGTTTTGGGCATGGTGGCATGCGCCTGTGGTCCCAGTTACCCAGGAAGCTGGGGTGGGAGGATCACTTGAGCCCAGGAGGTCAAAGCTGCAGTGAGCTATGATCACCCCACTACACTCCAGTTTGGGTGAGAGAATGAGACCCTGTTTTGTTTTTAAGTTTTTGCCTTTCTAAAAGGGTCTCAGCTGAAGTAAGTGAAAAGGTAATGGATTCAGTCGACATTTATTGAGCACCTCCTGGAAGTCAGGCACTGTGTTTAATTCTGGGAAGAAGTGCAGCCTTTATTCCTTGCCTTCTCCTCCACGGGTCAAAATGCAAGGATTCTTCAGCTTGATCCCCGAAAAGAATGACCCTAGTTGGATTCTCTCAGGCCATTGGTCATTGACCAGTGAATAAGCTCTGAGGATGAGTAGCAAGAGCTGCAGAACTGAGTTATTCTTTCTGCAAACATTTATTAAATGCACCATCCATGCACCAGACACTATTCTAGGTGCCGGGGTTTTCGTGGAGAACCAGATGAAAAGCCTCGCTCTATGGAGCTGACATTTTATGGGGAATTAATTTCTGGAAGGAGGACCTGGCTGTGGTCAGCTTTGCACGCTGTACATCTGTTGAACAGGATAACTGGCAGCTGTGCTTATTTGTTTTTACTTACTCATAAAGGTGTTAGAGGCTCTTTAATGGTCGTGCCCAGCTATCAGTAAATGTTTGTCCACTTCTGCAAGCCATTGCTCGCCACCTTTTAACCGGTTTCTCAGTGACTTGTGCCTTGGCGCTTCTCATTCTTTCCCCAAAGTACTCATGTCAATAGAGGAAGAAAGAAGAGCAAATACACATTTCTGGGGTTTTAGGGGAAAATCCACAGGTGCCTGCCTCAAGGAGAGCATTGTATGTTTTGTCTTATTTAAAAATTGTTTTCTCTCTGGAAATGTGGCATTCATCTGAAGTTACAACTACTTGGGAGGCTGAGGTGGAAGGATCGCTTGAACCCAGAGTTTAAGACCAGCCTGGGCAACATAACTAGACCCCATCTCGTAAGAAAAAAATTAAAAAATAAATTGTATTCCAATCCATAACATGCCCACATGCAAGACATTTTAACATTAAAAAAATGCTTTTTCCACCAGAGTTCCCCGTGGGTTTATGTTAAGGGTGGGGAAACTTGGCTTCCTCTCTCCTACCCATCCTAGGGTCTGCCTGGAAGTTTTCTCCTCTGAGCCGAATGTTATCTCTGGAGCAGGAGCCGCGGAATGGATGGAATCACTGGTAATATGCACCAGCCCCTACATAGTCTCTGTTGTGACTGATGTTTCTGAGCGTATTCTGAGCTTTCCTATAGACAACACTGCTATAGTTCCCGTTTTACAAGGAGAAAAAACATTCCAGCCAAAAGCCTCCAGCAGTATTTTAATAAACTCCATTCCTTGGAAAATTGTGGTGAGTCTTTTCACGTGAGCCTTTTGCTCTGTGAATGGGCGGCAGCTGTGGGGACTGAGGCAGGGAGAGCAGGAGGCATGCTCTGGACGGTGGGTGCCAAGCTGGCGTTTCCTGCCCATCCTGGCCTCTCCGGAGGATGGCGGCCCTTCATGACCCCGGCCTGTTATCAACCTGAGGACCTGCCACCTAGTAGTGCAGCCTCTGATTTGTGTCCAGGTGGCAGCCAGGCAGCCCTTCACCAGGAAGAAATGGCATGATTTGCTTAGAAAGAGGAAGTGGGGCTTCCTGGGGTGCTCTTACCTGACCAGCTCCCTCATAGATTTGGCCAGAAGTGATTTCAGATTCTGATGAGTTCTGTTACATGCAGCGTAATGGTTCCTCATTTTATCCAATTAAGAATGCGATTAATTGCCTTCTGTAAAGGCAATCCAGACAATTACGGTGGAATGAATGAAAGAGAGGAGTGCAAGAGAAAGGAAATGAACCAAAGAGATTAGTAGGGCCATTGGCTTTATTTTGTGTGTGTGTTCCTTGGGGAGCAAAGACTGATTCCAGGAGACTGCAACGATGTATCCACCAGTCCTGAGCTGTCCTAGAACAGTAATGGTTGATTTTCCATTAGGGGAAGGGGCTTGAATTTCTCCAAAGCCAACTATTTTGAAAATTGATGCTCTCCCATCATCTTTAAGATAGCCACGCAGTAAGCTTTGGTTATTTTTCAGAGAATACAAATTTCAAAACAGAAAGTATTTTTTGTTTGGTCTCAGATTAACAATTTGACTCTTCCCTCTTTCATTCCCTATAAAATACTTTTCAATTACATGGAAAAAAATTTTTTTCATCTTTTTAAATTAAACATAGAAAATAGAGATGGGGGTCTCACCATGTTGCCCAGGTTGGTCTCAAACTTCTGAACTCAAGCAGTCCTTCCACACTCAAGCAGTCCTTCCACCTTGGCCTCCCAAAGTTCTGGGATTATAGGTGTGAGCCACTGTGCCTGGCCAAAATAAGTAACTTTTAATGGATCTCCATCAGATGTCAGCAAGTACTGACAGATGGGTCTCATTATTAATACGCTTCATCCAGGACCTTATCTGTCTTCATAGCCATTCTGTGAAGTGAGTGGGAGGAAACTGAGGAATGGAGGAGGGCAGTGAGTCTCTGACCTGATAGGTGATGCGTGCTGTGGGGTTGCGGGGAAGAGGTGTCAAGCCCACCTCTTGATTCCAGTCAGTATTTTCCACTGAATTACAGCCTTACAAATGAAAATATTATAGTATGCCATTTCTTAAATGTCCTGCCAAAGCTAAATAATCTTTTAAAAGTGAAAATGTAAAGGAAATTTATAATGAGGGCCTGGGAAGAATGGTCACCATGGAAGTACCTAAGGGAAAAGGACTTGAACTTCTCTTCCTGCCACTGCTGGTGTGGAGCTCTGGGCAGGCGATGTTCCTCCAGAGCTTGACCAGCAGAGGAGCCGCCGCTCCCTTCAACCGGCTGGGCTGTGGGGAACCCGGGCTCAGTTGGAACAGTGGGGCAGAGGCAAAGCTTCCTATTGCAGCCCCCCACCACCCCCCACCCATACACACTTTGCATTGTGTGTGTTTGGGGGGAAAGTGCTATTTTGAAAGCATCCTGCCCAGACACAAGTAGTATATCACTATACTTTCAGTTAAAACAAATGTAAAAATTTTGGAAAAAGCAGTGCACTGCAAGAACCAACGGGATGGTTCAGTAAGGGAGCTTATTTCTAGGTGGCATCTCCTTTTGCTGTTACAAATGGGCTCTTGTCCCTCCATCTCCCCTGGCATCCTATCTGTTCTAACTGATTTATGCTGGAGCACAGGCTGATTTTGGTACATTTAATTTAAAGGCAGTCACCTAAGAGGCAAGCAGGCAGTGCGTGAAGACAGCTGCAGAGCTCCAGGCTGAGTGGCGGAAGCAAATCAGTCAGAATTCTCAGAAACAGACTCAGTAATGGAAGAACTTAGAACAATCACAAGTGGTATTCCTATTTGGGAGAAAAATAATTGTTCAATAAATGTGTTGAAACAGCTAATACTTTTGAAGGAAAACACACTAAAACTCTATTGCAACAGCATGTAGTCATATTGCGTATTTCTCATGGACTGAAGAATTAACTATTAAACGAACATGAAAGACCCAGAGAGCAAACATCAGTATTTGATCTTGAGATGGAAGAGGCCTTTAGAAGGTGCATAAGCCAGTGCCGAAATGATAGCTTTGACTGCATGCAAATTTAACTTAGAAGTTTACACAAAATTAAAAAGCAAGGAACACACTCTGAAAAGCATTTGTACCTTTTGGCAAAACGCTTCTCTCTTTAAATCTGAGAACACCTGCTGAGGCTATTAGAGTTGTCCCCATTGGACAGATGAAGAAGCAGGGCCTCCAGCAGTTTATCCAGGGTCACCAAGTATGATGGTGGAGCTAAGCTTTGAACCCAGACAACCTGACTCCGGGGCTCTTAACTACCACATGGCATTGCCTCCATCAATAGGAGAAGTAGGAATACTTTGTTAGAAGAAAGAGCTGGCTACATAGGCAATTCACAGAGGAAGAAACACAAACGCCTAATATGTGAAACTTTGGTCCTCACTAGTAGTTAGAAGTGCAAAATAAACCGAGATGGGATGGCTGGAAAAGCCTCCTTCATGGATGACTGTTCCTTCTGCTTGGTGGGTGGATTCGTTTCTTGTTGGACTGTGACCTGCACATTTCGTGACTTTCTAATGAAGTGGATCCCCTCACCTTGGCATTGAGTCTCTTGAGGGATAAAGGGCAGCGATTGACTGGGAGAAATCCAGAGTCTGGATAATCAGACTCCATTATCCATTAAGAGCATCATCACCCATGTTGGCATATTAAAGGCTCTGAGAAGTCCCACAGTTAATAAAAAAAGAACTGAACCTGTTATCCCAACTCACGTTCAAGGAATGTGCTTTGGGAAACATTGTTTTCCTGGGAAGGATCATAACCTACACACTAAGTGGCCTGGATTCTACACCCTTTTTTGACAATGGCCCTAAGTGTGATATTAGCCAAACCTTTTATTTTCATAAGTGTTTGGTAAAATGGGGTAGAAGGAAACATAGCTTTTTTGGAATTATTTATCTATTTGTGCAAATAGAGAACTGCTTCAGGAAACTTCCTGCTGCTTCAATAGGAGGGACAAAGGTAGATGAAAAGGAAGCACTATGTCCATTAAGAAGGTGCCTTGGCAAATCTTACTGGAAGTCAGGAGACCTGGGCTGTGGCTTTGAGTCTGCCACTAATTTGCTTTGGGAATTGCAGGTCTTTGGGTCTCGGGCCCCCACTCTGCGAAGTGCAGGCCTGATGGTCTCTCAGTCTCTCAGAACTGGAGGTCTGTTGCCTAGAACTAAAAGAACATCACCATGGATACCCTTCTGTTGATGTCACCACTTTCAGGCTCCCCTTTTGCTGGCAGAAGAGACCTCAGTTTCTCTCAGGCCTATGAGCTGCCCCATCTGGTAAATAGGTGGAGAGAACAGAGCCGGCAGGGGCCTCCAGCAGATACTCCAGCCCACAGTCTTTGTCCCTGGGTGGCTCACTAGAGCCAGAAGAGAAGGCTCACTAGGACTTGAATCCTGGCCTGGTCACCTTCCAGCTTTGAGACCTTGGACAAGGCACTTCATCTCCCACAGTTTCCGAAAGCCGAATTCATGAGACGGTTGTGAGGATTTGGGGTGCGTGTAAACTGCAGATGTGAGTGGAAGACAGGCACTTAATTGATGCTGGCTGTTGCCTTTACTGCCTTTGTTGGCTTCCTAGGGCCGATTGGCTCACTCCTGGGTTCCACCAGCCTAGAGGCTGTGCCCTGATGCCCTGGGCAGCCTTTTGGGCTGAGTTTTCACAGGTGAACCAAGTCCCAGCCTTGGCTCCCACAGTGGGGCATTTTATAACCCAGTGCACGTTTGCAAGGACTTGGCTTATTTAACTGAGGAAGGAGATTAAGAGGCCCTCCATTGAGGCCTTGTAGATAGTCATGAGAACTTGTCAAGGTAAGGATCCCTGAATGGGAAGCTGAAAATGCCACGGCCCCCCACCCAAAGGCGAGTCATGGAGGTCAGAAGGTGAGCCTCCAGACTTTGGCTGGCTGGTTTCCATTCTGCAGAGATAAGGGTCATCTGACACCAGCTGCACAGTCCGCCCTGGTGAGGGTCTCTCCCCCTCCTCTTCCTGATTGCTTGCTAGGCACTTTTCTTCCTGCTTCTGCTCCCTGAATGAGGAGCTGACCCCGGTTATCATTGGGAAAGTCTTCGGAAGCCCTGGGAGAGAAAGCTAGACAAGAGCGTGGCTGGATGGTCTAAGGCGGCAGGAAGGAGTCTTAGGTTGATCTCAGTGTCCAAGGACAAGCCAGCCTTGCAGCCTCCCAGGTCATCAGACCCCTCAATCCTCAGCCTTCCAGAGGTGCCAGGTCACCTGTGAAACCTGGGTCCTCAGGATCCTTTCTGTCGGTTTCCCAGCTTCCTTGCCATTTACCCTCTTCCTTATCAGCACTGCTCACCTCTTGCTCCTCTTTCCTCTGAATCTCTTGTCCCCTTCTTGAACCTACATCTCTAGTCTCCCCCCAGGTACCCTTTTCCCCAGCTTGAGAGCCCCCCAGTCTATGTGTGAGGGTCCTACACAACCTCCCAGTGATGGGCCTCTGTTCTGTATCTCTGGGCCTCTCCTGGGACTGCTTTCTGGTGGGGAGGCTATTTTAGCAGCTCACCTGCTGCTACCTATTCATGACCCTGATGCAGAAAATGCTTGTGAGGTGCCACTAGCCAAGAAGCAGACCAAGGCTGGAAGTGGAGTCCTCATTTGTTTTGCAGACTTCCTTGGAAACAGATTGGCCATTTAGTGCCCCCTACCACACCTTTATATGCCAGGCCAGAGAAGCCTGTTTTGGTGTATTTGGGAATTCAAATTCTACAAAATTCTTGGTTAGGTGTTTCTAGGCTGTTAGTCTGAGGATGCCTGAAATGCTTGGTTAGGAGCATTGAAGTTGATAGTGGAGTGCCTTGAAATCGAAAGGCACAATCCTGTTCAGCTCTTGTCTTTACCACGTCTTAGCTGTGTGACCACTGAGCCTCAGTTTCCTCATCTGTGAGATGGGCATGACACTAACTTCAAGAATGAGAGATGGGGGGTGTAAAGCTTCTAGCATAGTACCTGGCTTGTAGTAGCTGTCTGCATGGAGTTCTGAGGTCATGTCAAACTTGCGCAAAATACTCTGCTGTTCTCCCGGGTTTTAAGAGATGACTATCGTGTGCCAGGTACTGTTCCAGACCCTTTGCTTATTTAAACTGCACACCACAAGGTTGATCTTTTATGCCCATTTTACAGATGAGGAAACCAAGTGAGGTTTCATGAGTTGGTCCAAGCCTCACAGCTAATTAGTAAGGAGCAGAGTTGGGATCTACCCGTCTGCAAAGCCTGTCTTCTCCGTCACGCTGTTTGTGCCCAAAGCTGCCCCAGGAGTAGCTTTCTCCTTGTCACTGCAGGTCACCAGAGGATGGCTGACTCTGAATGCAGCTGTCTTCACAATTCTTAGCACCGGCAAGAAGTTACTCAGTCTCCGTAGTGGGTAGCTTCCCCCTTCCCACGTTGAAAGGGCGTTCTGTTCTGGCCTCCTGTGGTTAAAGGTGCACTGCTGATGGAGACGGAAGCATCCGTGGTAACAAGCACAAGACCCCAACATCCCAGCTGCCAGCTGCCAAGCAGTAGTGCCGGGGGGAGGGGTGCGTTGGGTTCCAGTGCACCCAGAGGCTTTGCATTGCTTACATAAAGAAGCTTCAGAGCTTTAGAAGGGATGCGTGGGGGAGGAATAGTCCCGCCCTCCTCCTTTTTTGGGTCATTGGCCCTCACTGGGCCGGACACTTCTTATTCACTAATCAGACGGTTTGCGGTTGCCCTTTGCCACATCTGTGGCTGCCTTCCTGGGCCTGTCGAGCTCACAATTAAGGTTCATTAGAGACCCTGTCAGTCATAGCACGCACAGAGCCTGCCTGAGAGAGGCCTTGCCAAGGGGCTGGCCAGCCCCATGCCCCCACCAAAATGAGTCCCTTTGCAAATGACTGCCAACCAAATTCTAGAGGCTTTGTGTACAGGAGAGGGGGTGTGAGCAGCGCTTGTGAAGCTCCAGACTCTCGGGTCCTAATGGGCCCATTGCCTTTTATGTAATTGAAACCTTCAGGCGAGCTCTCGAATTGATGTTCCAGATGGTGGCGGCGGGAGTGCTGTCAGATGGACGCTTTGGAGGGATCATCTGACAGCCGGCCCCTCCGAAAAGAGATTTGGAGCCAAATGCAGAAGAGATTTAATGATCGTTAATCTCCCTCTCCCTCTTTCTGGAATATATTGGGACTCTTAATTACTATTGACTGGAAGCTAAAACAACACTCCTAGTTCAGAACAAAACTCTTCAGGAGATTTGCCCCAGGCTGAAAGGATTATCCTTCATACAAGGGGATTTTTTTTTTTTTTTTTTTTTTTTGCCTCTTTCTAGCTATGTGTTGAACATCAGTTGGGAGTAGAGGAGATATGTACATCAGGTGTTTTAAAGAGGCTTAATACTTCTTCGCCCGCATTGTTTTCCTGTCTCATTGACCTTCCTAGTCCCAAACGCTGCCTGTAGGGGCAGCCAAATCTCCACGTTTTATCTAACGCACTGAAAGCACTGCTGTGTGCTGTAACTGTACTCTTAGCACTGGAGGGCCCTCTGGCTTCCGAGCACCTGCGGGATGCCATGATGCTCACCTCTATCCCCAGACCCTAACACAGTGCCTGGCCACATGTCGATATGGCCACAAATAAATATGAGATAATGAACCAAAAACCCTGCTATCCCCAAATTCTGAGGGGAGTCCACATTAGACATTCTAGGCTGTGTGATCTGAGACCCAGAGATGAGAAGGGACGGATGCCTCTTGGAGCTGAGCTATGACTCAGGAGACCTCAGCCCCTGGGACTCAAGGGCTGGTGGTCCCGGCAGGTGGCAGTATATGGACAGAGTCTTTAAGGTCACGGAGTCATGAGTTAGCTGGGGCTGGGAGCATGCATCCTGAATATCTAGGTGACCCTCGGTAAGCTACCAGACTCCAGGCCTCAGTTTCCTCATCTGTGTAATGGAGAGAATTCTGGATTTGCCTCACTCTAAAAGAGGACAATTGTGAATATTAAAGGAAGTCATGTAGGGAAAATACTTGGTGCAAATCATCCAAAGAAGGTGGTGGAATCCCTGACAGGAGCGGCTGGAATCCACTGCTTTCCCATGATTGCTGAGCTGTCCTTTTAAGGAGGAGGGTGCGTGCCCCTTGTCAAAAGCAGCCTGCGTTTCCCTGTTTGGCCAGATAGGTGGGTGAATGCTGCTTGATCGGGCTCTGAAATGTCCTGCCTTCTTCCAGGTGGGAGAGGGACTGTGAGGTGAGCTCAGATCTTGCAATGACAAGCGAGCATTTTTCCCATTACCTCTTTTTTTTTTTTTTTTTTTTTAACATGGAGTTTTGCTCTGTCACCCAGGCTGGAGTACAGTGGCGTGATCTCGTCTCACTGCAGCCTCCACCTCCCGAGTTCAAGTGATTCTCCAGCCTCAGCGTCTGGAATAGCTGGAACTACTGGCCTGTACCACCGTGCCTGGCTAAGTTTTGTATTTTTAGTAGAGATGCGGTTTTACCAATTTGGCCAGGCTGGTTTCAAACTCCTGACCTCAAGTGATCTGCCTGCCTCGGCCTCCCAAAGTGCTGAGATTACAGGCATGAGCCACTGCGCCCAGCCATATTTTTTTTTTTTTTTTTTTTTTTTTTGAGATGGAGTCTCAGTCTGTCTCCCAGGCTGGAGTGCAGTTGTACGATCTTGGCTCACTGCAACTTCTGCCTGCCCAATTCAAGCGATTCTCCTGCTTCAGCCTCCCGAGTAGCTGGGACTACAGGTGTGTACCACTATAGCCAGCTAATTTTTGTATATTTAGTAGAGACGAGATTTCACCATGTTGGCCAGGCTAGTCTCAAACTCCCGACCTCAAGTGATGCCACCGTGCCCGGCCTACTACTGTTACCTCTTGTACTTCAACCTCTTGAGTCTTGATGCTGCAGGCGTTAAGTAGGGCATGTGACAGGGAGGAACTGCGGCTGGAGTCCAGGAGGGAGGCAGGCAGAAGGGGCACTGGGTGCAGCTCAGGCTGCTGAAGGCCAGTGGAGATGTAGTTCCACCTGCCCAAAGCGGGGTCACTTTTTTACAGAGTGCCATCCACCTTATCCAGCCTGTTGGGTGAAGGTATGTCCCAATCCTCATTTTAGAGCAGTTCAATGAATGTTTATTGCTACTGCTCCTCCCTGCATTACTGGAGTGTTATAATAGCCTGTAGACAGGCCTTCCTGCCTGTCATCCCCTGCCTGCTCTGCATACAGAGTAGTCTTGCCAAAATGCACTTCGGATAATGTCCCTTAATGACTCCACATTGTCGGGATCAAGCCCGGAGAACACATCTAGGTGGAAGAGCTCTTGATCTGGCCCTGCCCCTTCCTCCTGTCTCCTTGTCTTGCACACTCCCAGGCCTGTGCCCTGTCTTGTTGCATCTTTGTACATGCCGTTTCCTTGACTGGGACACATGTCCACACCAACTCTGCTCCCTCTAACTGCTCATCTTCCCATCTCCGCTGGAGCCTCACTTCCCTCACCCTGCCCCCCAGCATGCCCCTTGCTTCTCCTGTCTCTTGGACTTGCTCCATCCTAGGAGCTTTGGCTCTTGGAGGGCAGGGATCTTTTCTTTTGTTCACCTTTGTATCCCCACTGTCAAGCCTGAAGCGGACATTCAGTGAGTGCATGCCTACTTGAGCCCCCATGAATGCAAGGCCCTGCCTAAGCTGAAGCACCAGGGTCAGAGTGACAACAGAATAGTTGTGTCTTTAAAGAGCTCATAGCCACGGTGGGAGCCAGATAACCCAGGATGGATAGAATGCAAGGCTTCTTTTTTTTTGTTTTGTTTTAGAGATGGAGTTTTGTTCTTGTTGCCCAGGCTGGAGTGTGATGGCACAATCTTGGCTCACTGCAACCTCTGCCTCCCTGGTTCAAGCAATTCTCCTGCCTCAGCCTCCCAAGTAGCTGGGATTACAGGTGCCTGCCACCACCCCCAGCTAATTTTTTGTATTTTTAGTAGAGATGGAGTTTCACCATGTTGGCCATGCTGGTCTCGAACTCCTGACCTCAGGTGATCTACCCGCCTCGGCCTTCCAAAGTGCTGGGATTACAGAGGTGAGCCACCGCTCCCAGCCAGAATGCAAGGCTTCTGATGTGAGGAACATGGGCACTGCAGAGCACCACAGAGGACACCGTGGCCCACCCTTGGCAGGCAAATCCCAGGGAAAGCTTAGAGTGGGCAGAGCCTGAGATACAGCTGGTGGGTGGTGGGAAGGTACTAGCTGGGCAGGGACTGAGCAGGAGCAGCTGGGTTTCTGCCTGATTAGATAGAGCGTGTGAATTGGTGTCTAGTGAGCTTTGAGTTTTGATTCAGGCCACATGGGTCCCTTACCAGAAAGCAGGTGATGGGCGCACACTCTGGTTTTGCTGAGGATCAGCTGTTAGCTCCCACTCAGACTTTCTAGATGGGTAAGGGACAGAGATCAGCAGGTTCCCTGCAATTTTAAGATCGTAACTGAGAAATGTGCCCTTGTAAGCCTGTTGATCCAAGAGCCTGCCTGCCTCTAGAAAAGCCCACATCAGTCCTTTCCTAGGAGGCAGTGGCCTTGTTGCCTCTGTTGAGACAAAGTTCTTTATTGACCTCACAGGGAGCTGGGACTTTCTGAATCAGACCATTCAGGTGTTCTCTCAGTTCCTGTTGATTCCTTCGCAGCCCTGGTGGGAACAGCTGCTGCTCTTGAGGGAACCTAAAGTAAACTCCTGGCTTGCCATTTTCCTGAACTCGTAGATTTTGGCAGAGGAGAAGGGTGGAGAGTCCAGGCCTTTGTTCCTGATCCTGTCACCCTTATGAGTTAAGATTTGGCAACCCTTCTCATAACTGCTGGGGGCATAGGGTATCCTCAAAAGTAGAGTTAAATTACTGGTTTAAAGAGTCTGTGCTCCAAACTCCAGTGAACTTCATGATACAGAAAGCAAAGAATTGAAGGGTATTAGCTGTTTGGGGAAAACCACTGCTCCCACCACCTGGAAGCCAAATAAGCAGATGTCCCCTCTGGGTGGAGCAGGGGGCCAACATCACTTTCTTATGTTATTATAGGTCGTCAGCCTATGTGTAGGCCATTTCAGTCTCATTGGAAATACCTGGAAAAATGCCTGGACTTGGAAAAATGCAAACAAAAAACACAGCACGTAGCTCTAAAGGGGTTGTTTAGTCCTCCCCTGAATTCTGTTTCTGCCTTAAAACACCAGAAGAGCTTTGGCTGTGTGCCATCTGCAGGAAGCACCCTAGGAAGGAGAGGATCCACCCTGGCTTCTCCCAGGCTAGGTGGTCCTTCGTTTTTCACCTTTTTAAAAGGCTCACCTGAGGCTGCTGAAAAGGTGGCAAAAGACAGGACTGCATGCTTCATTCCCAGCAAGAGTGTCAGGCAAAATTCGAACTCCTTGATCACCCATTGGTTTCCACATTCTTTCCATTCCGGAGACCAAGGGGAGATTTGCCGATGCTGATGCTCCCTGGGCTTTGCAAAGCTTTCCCTAATTAAAGTCCTCCCGGCTGTGTGCATAGCTCTTCTGCTGCAAATCTTTGCCCTTTTGTGTTTGTGTTTAAAATTCCATCTTTCCAAAATGTTTGCCCACTCAGCAAGTCTCCTTGAAAGCCCTCACTTTTGTTTGGGGGAAGTTTTTTTTTTTTCCTTTTTGGTTTTTATTCTGCCTATGTGTAGGAAATTTAAGTCTCTTAGGAATTGCTTGTGAAAATGCTCTCTGGTCTTTTTTTAAACCATGATGAGTGTCTCTCACCATGGCATTGGAAGCTGGCAAGGGATGCCCCTGGTGTCCGTGCTGTTAGCTGCCACTTGAGCTTTTAGATGGAGCTACTGGAGTATCATTTTGGTTCCATTCTAAGGAAAATGAACAAAAGAGCTTTTCCCTCCTGTTCAATGTGCAACAGTGCTACAAGGTGAGAGAAGTATGTTAGCGAGGAATCTGAACCAGGTCAGGATCGGGGCAAGGTGGTAGGAGGCTGAGCTCTCCAGTGGTGAAAAAGATGGCTCTTGTCACCTAGAGCCAGGAGGCATAATTCAAGTGAAGTGCATATAGGCCCGTTCCTTGGCCTTGTCCTCATAGGATTTTTTTTCCTACAAGATCTATCCAGGTCCTTCATTTGGGGAACCTTATGGACTCCTGTTGTTGTTGGAAGCCGGAGAACAGTGTTTGGAGAGCTTCCATTGAGGATGGTCTGAAGACTCTCACTTTAAGTTAGATCCTGCCCTCTGGTTGATGAGAAATGTGAGACGTAAAAGTGAATTGGAGAGAGATCCCACTTCCCCACGTGCCAGAAAAGGCAGACAACAACTCCCTCCTCAGAGCTGTTAGAAAGCCAACATCTCGCGGTTGGCAGGCACTGGCCCTGGATGAGGAATTCCTGGGTCGCCCCCCTTAGAACATGTCTGGTTTTGGAAACAGGTTAAAAATACTTGAGGAGGGCATGGCACGCTCAGTCTGCTTCCCTGATGTTTGAAATAGGCCAGGAATGTGGGCCGGGAAGCCCAGAGGAGCCTGCGTGTCCCGCAGGGTTTTGTAGTTGGAGCCTGGGGTTTCTCCTCTCCATCATCACCCCCTTTAACTGCCAGTGACCACATGCCAGATTCATGAAGGGCACACTGAAATTGACGAAGACCTGTGCCATGGGTAGCGGGAAAAACTGGGCTCCCTTTAGTAAGCAGGATGGTGTTGAGGTCTCGGAGGCAGGCAAGGGGTGGGCTCGGAATCTCTCCTGGAAGAGAAAAGAGAAGGGAATTTGGATTCTGTATACAAATATAGAAATTCCCTAAGAGTTTAAATTTGAACATGGCATTCAGGGGAGAAGATTATGGGTTCCAAGCCTTTTCCTTCTTCCCCTTCTTGTGAATAACTCACTCAGCTGCTTGCATCTGTGTCCTAAGGCTGTGAACCGAAGAGCTGGGCAGTCCACAGTTGGTTTGAGCCTCAGAGTACCTTGCTTAGTAAAGGTTTGTTTTAGGAGGGATGACACAAACTTTTGAGTAACTCTCAAGTCTTGAACTATGAAACTTCGTAGGATGTCAACACTAAAATGAACCTTACCGATTATCTCATCTAGTGGTTTTCAAACATTTGGAAAATTGGTACAGCCCTTTTTTTAAGCAAAATCTTAGAACTTGAATAAACCAGGTAGAAGGTGGTAGGCCCAGACTTCCTCTCCCACTCTTGACACCCTGAGCTCCTCCCTCTGTACTCACAGCCCTCAAAGTGCTCCTCTCTCAGAGAACCATCCATTGCAGAGACCAGGGAGCTGTGGCCCATGCCCCATGTAGCACCGTTTCATGGCAGAACCAGCTCTGACTTCCAGGCCAGTGGCAAGTCCCTGCAGTACCTTGGTTTATTTTGATGTAGGAAAAGCTCTGGGTAGTAAGAGTGAAGAGTCAAACAGCTACGACTGAGAGTGAGGAGAAAGACAACACTGCCCATGGTTCCTGACACCCAGGGTCACTTTTTACCAACCTAACTCTGGGTCACATGACGTACTCGTATTCTGAAACTGTTGGTTTCCTGGATGTCTACCTGTGATGTCTTGGATCCATGTGGTTCTCTCTGCCTAAAATATCCTCTCTTGATTCACCTTCTTAACAACAGCTTTCTGGAGATATAATTCACATAACATAACATTTACACTTTTAAAGTGTACGGTCCAATGGTTTTTAGCACACGCAAGAGTTGTGCAGCTAGCTGGGCATGGTGGCTCATGCCTGTAATCCCAGCACTTCGGGAGGGCAAGACAGGCGGATCACTTGAGTCCAGGAGTTCAAGACCAGCCTGACCAACATGGTGAAACCCTGTCTCTACTAAAAAATAAAAAAATTAGCCAAGCATGGTGGCAAGCACCTGTAGTCCCAGCTACTCGGGAGGCTGAGGCAGGAGACTTGCTTGAACCTGGGAGGCGGAGGTTGCGGTACTCGAGATCGCTCCATTGCACTGCAGCCTGGGTGACAAAAAAAAAAAAAAAGAGTTGTGCAGCTATCAGCATTCGGCATCCCACGCTGTCTGCCTTTGACAGACAGAGATGCTCTCTGTCTGCACCTTAGTCCTTGGGCTGCTTTGCGACCTGCCCTAACTGCCAGCCCTGCCTCACTTTCTGTAACTCAGCTCAGATGTGGCCCCCTGGAGATGTCCCCTCCAGTCTCCCCTGCTTGGTCGTTTCTATGGGTGACTCAGTGAAATTACAGCAAAACCTGATGAGACATCCCTCCAGTGGAAGGAATCCAGTGTGAAACATTGTGGCCAGACAGCCTGGGTGACTTTTGTGCTGAGAACAGCGAAGCAACCCGACTTGTTGAGTCTGCCTTAGCACCCGCTCCCCCACTCAGACACGTAAACATGGCACAAACACTCCCACTTGAAGGGAAACAGAAGTATTACTGGAATCATGGTAGGTCATGGAGGTTTAGAAGCTTGTGATCGTGAGGATTTTTGGAGAATCTGTTGGAGGAAGCCAGACCTCCGCCCTCTGACTCAGTGGCTCCGTGCTCTGAGCTGGTCAGCCTCTGCTGTGGCTTCAAAGGTCATTCGCCTCCCAAGGGGCTATCAGGACCCCTGGGGCGAGGAGTACAGGGCTCAGCACCTCGCCTGGCTCATCGGGAGACTGAGCAGGTGTGGCAGGATGACTGTGGCTCACCTCCGTGTGTGGGCCCTGGAGGTCACGGAGTTCCTCATCATGGAGCAGATCCTCTCGGACTTGAGGGTGTTTCACAGGCTTTCAGATTCTAAAGTATCCCCTGCGTTGCCATTGCCCATGGTTGCCTGGCCGTGTGACTCCTTATTGTCACTTTCTGCCTCAGGTGTCTCGTTTCTGCTAAACAGAACATGTGAGATTTCCCTGGCATCCCCACCAGTGTCGACGTGCAGATGAATATCAACCCACAGACCCCGATGCTGTTGGTCTGTCCCTCTGGGCGATCATGAGCCCCCCAGATCAGTGGTAAAGAACAGCCCTTCCTATGCTGCCCCATCTGGCTCCTCCCGCATTCGGGTGGCGCGCGCCCTCAGGCTTCCCCCTGCATTCTTATTTTGTAACTTCCATGGTAGCCCATTCATAGTTTTCACCCTAAACTCTAGGTTTAGACGTGGACATTTGGCACACATGTGGTTTATAAAGCCTGAGGCCAGGCCTAACCCTTAGTATCCAGTGATGATGAAATGGATGCATTTCCCATTTCCCTCCCTGAAATTAGGTCTTGATGCTGTACCCTAGTAGGTGGCTGGTATGAGAGGTTCCGTTCGCGTTGACCTTGTGTGAAAAACCAATCTTGCCAAGTACTTCTCTCTGCCACCATCCAGCTGGTGACTCTTTCAGCTGAATTATTTTGCCTGCTAGGTTACTCACCAGGTGTCATTCTAGAGTCCGCACGGCCTTAGGGTGGGATCGCATGGCTTTCATTGAATTACCTGCTGTGTGACCATAGCCAAGTTGCTTAACCTACCTGTGCCTCTTTTTTTCACCTGTAAACAGTAATGTGGGATAATAACACCCCTGCCTTCTGCAGGGTTGCTGTGATGATAAAATGAGGATGTGTGTTACATGCCTTTTAAATGGTAAGACCTAAACATCTTTGCTGTTATTCCAATCATAACTTTGATAGTTCAGTAAGTCCTCACTTAATGTTGTCCATAGGTTCTTGGGAATTATGACCTACAGCAGGCCCTTGAATAATGTTTCATTAAAATGTTGACGAGAACAAAAATTTGGTTTCACTATGTATCTTTTCACTTAAACGAGAGGACAGAGATCCTCTGTGAAATTACAGTGTCTTTGGAGAAAAATCAACTTATATATGAGTTATGTTTGTGTATTTTTACCTGGTCTTTTCCCAAAAAGATTTCAGGTGACAGAAGAATACAAGCCAATACGATAATCTTTTTTTTTTTAATTTTTTGAGACAGAGTCCTCTCTGTCACCCAGGCTGGAGTGTAGTGGCGCCATCTCGGCTCACTGCACCCTCCGCCTCCCAGGTTCAAGCGATTCTCCTCCCTTAGTCTCCTGAGTAGCTGGGATTACAGGTGCTCGCCACAGTGCCTAATTTCTTTTTTTTTTTTTTTTTGTATTTTTATTAGAGGTGGGGTTTCACCGTGTTGGTCAGGCTGGTCTCGAACTCCTGGCCTCAAGTGATCCTCCTGCCTCGGCCTCCCAAAGTGCTGGGATTACAGGCATGAGCCACTGCGTCTGGCCAATAATCCTTAATAAAAATGTGGACTGAGAAAGCTGGACCGAGGACTGAGGACCGTCCGGGAAGAGAACAGCAGCTACCCCGTGCTTGCCTTCATGCTGGGAAGGCTGCGGGTCTGGCTTTAGGAGGAGCCTGTGTAGGGTACGAGGGGCAGCGGCAGCTCCACAGCAGGCGGCAGCCCACGCCCAGTGGGTGCACACCTTCATCCAACTCAGGGCTGGCAGTCAGGAAGATGAAATGCCATCCACGTCAAGTTTCGGTCTGTCTCCCACTCACCGAAGAATAGTCCCTCCTTTAAGGGAGGTGCTGAAGAGTGCTGAGAACTTGCTTCCCACCAAGGCAGGCTTGGGCTTCAAAAGATCAGAACCTGACCCAAGTGGCCCTAGTTTTCCACCATCCCACACCATCCCACCAACGCTTCAGAAGTCCTGCCAGCATCAAGCCGGGCATGAGGCCGTCCAGACAGCTCATCACTGCCCTGGGGAGACACATGCATGTCACAAACCTGTGAGGCTCAAGACCGCATCCTGCACAGGGTGCAGGAGTAGAGGCGGGGCAACGGCCTCTGCCGTCGCGGCTTTGGGAGGTTGCAGTGGAAGAGGCAGGCGTGGCCGAATCAGACCCTGAAGGATGACTTAGGTGGAACACGGGGAAGAAAGGTGGTCTGGATAGACATGCAGGATGCTGGGTGTGGGGCAAGCCTGAGTCAGGGGAGCCTCCCTGTGCTCCTTAGCCTGAGGCCATCGCCTGGCTGTAGGCGGCAGCTTCTCCTGCCGGCTGGCTGGCCGGCTGCAGGCAGTTCTCAGCACTAAGTCCAAGATGACTTCCATTCTGGTGACTCGAAGGTGGTTTTGTATGTTGTGCTTCATCTCTCAGGGACGAGTCCTTAATTAAAAGCAGCCGGGAGCTTAGAGAGACCCTGGCTTCTCTGCACACAGGTGATGGGTTGTGTGCCTGGCCAGGAAATGGTTCATTTAATTAGGCTCCGAGGGCCTGGTTCATCCCCTTCAGGGAAGCTTAAGGTTACATGTGGACAACAGGAGCCTTGTGTGTGCCTGTGGTTGACCCAAATGTAGTGATTTTCATTTCTCCTTTCCATTTGTCTTCTTTGTTCTGCCCCTTCCTGACCCTTTCTTTAGGAAACCGTTGTGGCCCCTTCCAGGCTGTGAGATTCCAGAGGGCAAAGCTTTGGGGTTTGGAGTATGAATGGCTGAAAGCGAGCCCAGGAGGCCTGCTTTTGTTTATTATTTATCTCTGGATGGTCAGGGCACCTGTCTGAGAAAAGAAAGAGATGGAGGGGACTTACCGTTTCCTGAAAAAGCTCTTTGTTGTTAATGGCATGTGGAAGACTCATTTCTAAGTAGAATAAATCATTTGTTGGTCAAAAATGGCTTCCTAATGTTGGCCCTCTCGGCCAGCCTCAGTTGTATTAAACCCTAGGTAACCAACCACAACCCCCGCCTTGAGTCATGTGCCTCATATGAGCAGGTACAGATGCTGCTGCACCCTCGAAGGGGTTACGTGACGAAAAATCCACTGGAAGTAGAAAATGCTTTTAATCCCCCTAACCTGCCAAGCGTCGTGGCTTAGGCTGGCTGACCCTAAATGTGCTCAGAACACACCTACAGTTTGGTGAAAGCACCTGGCGCGCGGTGGCTGTAGAGTGTCATCGCTCACCTTTTTGATCACAGGGCTTGTGGGGAGCTGTGGGAGCTGCTGTCTCCCTGCGTCATGAGGGAGGATCAGACCGTGCATCGCTAGCCCAGGAAAAGATCAAAATTCAAACTACAGCTTCTACTGAATACTATCGCAGAATCAAAAAAATCTTAAGTCAGAAACATCTGTGTTACTCCGCCAGATGTGCTGTATGTACCATTATCTCAAATCTATGTTGCGTGGCTTGCTCACTTTTTTTGTTTGTTTGTTTTGTTTTGTTTTGTATTTTGAGACAGAGTCTTGCTCTGTCACCCAGGCTGAAGTGCTGTGGCGCGATCTCTGCTCACTGCAACCTCCGCCTCCTGGATTCAAGCAATTCTGCCTCAGCCTCCCAAGTAGCTGATTACAGGCCTGCGCCACCACGCCCGGCTAATTTTTGTATTTTTAGTAGAAACAGCGTTTCACTATGTTGGCCAGGTTGGTCTCAAACTCCTGACCTCAGGTGATCCGCCCACCTCAGCCTCCCAGAGTGCTGGGATTACAGGCGTGAGCCACTGTGCCCAGCCATCGCTTGCGTTTTAATGTTGCCAAAATTGGGAAATTGCTTCTTACACTTAATGTGTACACTTAGCGATGTTATAATTACTGGTGCATCTTACAACTTACAGCCTTCACAGGAAGAAAGCAGGCTGTGCTTGCACTTAAAGAATATGGCCCTTGGCCAGGCGCGGTGGCTCATGCCTGTAATCCCAGCACTTTGAGAGGGCAAGGAGGACGGATCACCTGAGACCAACCTGGCCAACATGGTGAAACCCCATCTCTATAAACATATAAAAATTAGCTGGGCATGGTGGTGCACACTTATAATCCCAGCTACTCATGAGGCTGAGGCAGGAGAATCACTTGAACCTGGGAGGCAGAGGTTGCAGTGAGCCGAGATCGCGCCACTGCACTCCAGCCTGGGCAACAGAGCGAGACTTCGTCTCAAAAACAAAACAAAACAAAAAAATATGGCCCTCAGCGCCAAGTGACTTCTTAAAGAGGAGAGAGGCTGGACCTGGAAGTGTCCTCTTGTGTGTGGCCCTGGCAGGCGGGGGGCCAGTTTCTCACTAGGCTCTGCTGGGCAGTAGGCACTGAGCCCCTGCCCACACGCCAGGAGTCCCCGAGGCCCAGAGTGGAAAGGTCACATGTCGGATCTGCTGTGGGCTGTGGGCTGTGGTGAGGGGCAGGAGAGCCCAGCCCTGCAGCCCTTCCCAGGCGACCCCAGGCACCTTGGGTCTGCCGTGACCGGGCACTTGGGGGAAAAAGCTTTGGTCCTCACAGTCCCATAATTCCCCCAATTCTATTCTTTTTTCCTCCCCTGTCCCCTGAGCCTGACTGGGGATGGGGGCAGCTCGCCTTGTTGACCCGGTGGGGCCTGGTCTTTGGAAGAGCTGGGTCAGTCTCAAATTGAGATTCTCATTCCTCTCCACCTCGTGTTGGCTGGGACAGCCGGGGCCAGCAGCTTCCCCGTGCCTGGGTTTTCTCATCCACAGGTTGGGGGGTGCCCTCAATCCTGCCTCCGAATAGGTGCGCCATACCCTAGCTCACGTGGCTATTATCCTAAGGAGATATGTTTTGATGCTTCCTGGGGTGAGCGGGAGCCCCTGGGGTCCCCCTCTGGTTACTCAGGGGTACCACTTGCCTGAGTCTCTGGGAGCACAGCTGCTTCCCGTCCAAAAACAAGCTTGGCCACCCGGGTGTGACTTTCAGGCCCGGCGCGAAGCTGCCGCCTGTGCAGGTGCCTTCTCATTGCAGAGGTGGCCATGCTCAGAGAGCCATTAGGCAAAATGGGTCGGAAGCTCCAGCCTCGGCTACATGAAGCTGTGCTTCCGTGGCTCAGTGTTCCTAATGACAAACTGGGGTCCCTGTAACGAAGCTGCCCTTGGGGAGTTGGGGAGCAGGCTTGTGTTTTCTCTACACTAAGTAGTGGTGGTGGGGTGGGGATTCCTGCATCTCTCATAGGCTGGTGGAGGCCATGTGTCCATCTGGACAGACCGGTGAAGGGAGCCCCACTGAAGGGATCCTGACCTGGAGGCCATCTCCCTAGGCGAGGACAGCCAGCTTGCAGGCCCTCACTGGGAGGCCTTTCCCAGCATGTGCTCTTGTACCTTTTTGAATTCTGACCTATGTGAATGTATTACCTATTATACATAAGTAAACACTTTTTTTCTTGAGTCAGGTTCTTACTCTGTCACCCAGGCTGGAGTACTGTGGTGCAAACACGGCTCACTGCAGCCTCGACTTCCCGGGTTCAAACAATCCTCCCACCCTAGCCTCCTGAGTAGCTGGGACTACAGGAACATGCCACCATGCCTGGCTATTTTTATTATTATTATTTTAGTAGGGACGGAGTCTTGCCCTGTTGCCCAGGCTGGTCTCGAACTCTTGATCTCAAGCGAGCCACCGCAGCTGGCCTTTTTTTTTTTTTTTTTTTAATTCTTAAGAAAAGCAGTGTGCCAGGGCCTGCCCTCACACTTGGAGTGACCCAGGAGGTGCTGCGTGCTGCCTCACTGGGTCTCACTCCAGCCGCGCTTTGCTCCTCTCTGTTCTTGCACTTGCCTCAGTGGCCTCTGCAGCAGAGCCTCATGCCAGCTCTTCCCTCTTCTTGGGATGCCCCTGTTATTTTTCCCTGCAGTCTTGGAGGGCCGGCTCCTTGGTCATTATTCACATGTCATCTCTGTGCCACCTCCTAGACTGCTGACTTGCCCCCACAGCAACCCCCTTCTGTCGTCTCCTGCAGGTTCGCTTCCTGCCTCTTTTTTTTTTTTTTTTTTTACCTTGAGACAGAGTCTCTCTGTGTCGCACAGGCTACAGTGCAGTGACACAGTCTTGGCTCACGGCAACCTCTATCTCCCAGATTCAAGTGATTCTCCTGCTTCGGCCTCCTGAGTAGCTGGGATTATAGGCATGCACCACCACACCTGGCTAATTTTTGTATATTTTTAGTAGAGATGGGGTTTTGCCACATTGGCCAGGCTGGTCTTGAACTCCTGAACTCAAGTGATCCACCCTCCTCAGCCTCCCAAAGTGCTGGTTACAGGCGTGAGCCACCATGCCTGGCCTACCCTTGCCTCTTGGAGATGCCTCTGTGGCTGGACTTTGCTGTCAGAGCAGGGCCGCCCATGTCCATCTCTTCCCGTGCTGAGCCCTTGCACCTGACACGGGCCTGGAGCGGGCATTCGGGGTTTATGGAACAGTGTGAATTTCTCCTTGACATGGATGTTGTAACCCCCAGTTCCAGAGACTTAGGAAGGTTACACTCAGCCAGCAAGTGACTGACCGAGGATTTGAACCTGTTCGGTTTCGAGGTTGGTGTTTTTACAGAATGCCACACTGTATATTTTGTTTCTGACACGAGTGTATGTGCCACTTGAAATGCTCTTTTATCTTTTTAAGAAAGTTTTGGGCCTTCTGGAAAAATAAAAGGAACAAATTGTCACAGAGCCCTCTGCTGGACGTCGGCAGCTGCAGCATTCTGGCGTGGCAGTTTCCTCTGAGTGCACCCAAGTACGCAGAATCTGTTTTTGATTCCTATCTTGCTGGTGGTGGGCTCTCGGCCAACAGGCAGATCAAAAGATGGAATGTGTTCATTTGGCCATTTTTTAAAAAACCGAGGTACAAGGGTGCACTTCTTAAAGACAAGGGCGCCGTGGGTTAGACTCCGTGGGTCTGAGCTGCTCTGGCTTTTGTGCTTTTTTTAAGGGTTCATCTCAAGTTTCTTTTTCTGGTTGAACAATTTTTTTCAACATTAATAACTAATGGAGAAGAGGAAGAGGCAAAGTAGAACCATATGGCGGCACAAACACGAACCTCACTTGTGGCCGGAAACTTCTGATTTGTATCTCTTCGTGTGATCAGCTGTTGGGTTGGATGATTTAAGAAAAAAAAAAAGTGTTCAGTTTGGGAAAAGCAGTTTCTTTTTGAACCTAGCTGTGCTGTATATAACTGCATGTCCTTCCTCAGACATTGGCCCGTAGCTGCGTGGCTCCGGTCAAGTTATTTCTCTAAGGCCCTGTTTCCCCTTCTTTAAAACAAGGACTGGAGTGCGTGTCTGTGTGAAGAGCCATTGTCAGGATCATAGGGAAGGGCAGGGAGAGCTGCTAGCATAGTGCCTGCCACGCAGGGCAGGGCTATTACGATCACCTGGTCCTTCCACGGATTATTATTCAGGTGTCACCTGAGGCCGTTGCCAATGGCATCCTAGTCTCTCCCTTACCTTCTACCTTCTGGGGTTTTTTCTTTTCCCTGCCCTAGTTCACTTTACCCACTCCCCACCCGTCTTTCCAGTGGCCTCCTGGGTACCACCGAGCCCGGCAAAAGTATCGGTGGTGAAGGACTTGTGGCTCCTGCTCCCTGGGGTGGGCACACTCCTGTGGCAGCAGAGGAACTGGTGGAGCCCTGAACTCCCACCAGAAAGACGGCAGGCACTGTCCTGACCAGTGTAGTGTTTATTATTCCAAGTCACTGGGAATTATGTTTAAATCCCCCCAACAGCCTGGATTGGTCTGACACCTTTGGTGTTATCTGAACCTTCCCTCCAAGGCCGTTAGGCAGTTCAGATGGGTGGTTTAGACAGAAACCATCCGGCTGCCGCGTGTCAGCACCGCTCCTCCTCCTCAGAGGCCCTCCCTGGCTTTGGAGGCGACAGAGCCAGTGCCACATGCACCCCAAAGTGAACTCTCGGCTTTGTTTGGACCTGTCGTTTCATTTAAATCACTGTACAAACCCATGGTCTGTGACACTTAATGTGATTTCTTCCACTGCTCTAAGCACTCGACATGAGTAGGGGGCGGGGGCCGGGGTTCAGATGAGTGTAGGGACTGGTTAGATTACAGAGATACACTGCCTTCATTCTGGTTCTGTAATATGGCCTCAGACCACAGGATTAATATCCACTTACATGGAATCAGCATGCATTGACTGATCCCTGCTGCAGCGGGCGTGATGCTGCGCTGAGGCTGGAGGGCCTGTCTTGGCCTCTGTAGGTGTGGAGTCAATTCACAATGAAAAATGCTAAGTGGTGAGGAAGGAGTAAGGTGAAAGTCATTGGCAGTATTAGAACAGCCATCCCCAAAGCATTTAGGATTCAGTTGATATTAGTGTTACTGCAGGAATTCTGAAGAATTTGACATCTTGATAAAGAAGTTGGAGTTTGGGCCAGGCCCTGAAGGATCAGTAAGATTTAAGAGAGCAGTGGGGATTGGCTGTCAGATTTAGCAAATAAAAATACATGGCCTGGCCAGGCGCAGTGGCTCACACCTGTAATCCTAGCACTTTGGGTGGCCGAGGTGGGTGGATCATGAGGTTAGGAGATAGAGACCATCCTGGCTAACGTGGTGAAACCCCATCTTTACTAAAAATAGAAAAATTAGCTGGGCGTGGTGGCACACACCTGTAATCCCAGCTACTCGGGAGGCTGAGGCAGGAGAATGGCATGAACCTGGGAGGCGGAGCTTGCAGTGAGCCGAGATCGCGCCACTGCACTCCAGCCTGGGTGACAGAGCTGGACTCCATCTCATTGAGAAAAAAAAAACACACGACCCATGTAACCTTTAGGAAGTAGTCATACTAAAATGTTATTCATTGTGTATCTGAAATTCAGACTGAACTGGCCTCCCTCTGTTTTATCCAGCAACCCTCAATGGGGAAGATGTTTAAGTGGGGGAATGCACGTGCATGTTCAGGGAGTGGTGAATGGGACCGTGTGGTTGTTTGAGGAGTTTCGGGCAGAGGTGGAGGGACGGCGTGGGTATGAGACGGGATCAGTGATGGTGCCAGGTCGTGACTAATGCACCTTTGGGCAGCTGCTGTGGTCCAAGTCTGTGGGCACACCATGTATTATTCCACATTTCTCATTCCCCATGACAACGAAAATGTTATTATTCCAGAGCAGATTATCTTTGATCAAAAGAAACAGCGCTGATGGAAATATGGCCAAAACTATGGCCCAGCTTAAGAGTTGATCCAAAAGGCAAAAATGGTGCCTGCTTGGGTGGAGTCCGTTGGCCATATCAAGTCCCAGAGGCTTTTCACTGTAGGACAAGCAGTGCCAGTTTTTGAGTTCCAGTTTAAATGTATGTTTTTCTGGGGTTGGTTAGTACCTGGCATACTGGCTTTCAGAAGTCCCATCACAGATCTTCAAGGGTGGTCTGTCTCCGTGCAGCTCATCTACTGTGTTTGACAAATGAACAGTCTTGGGCTTTGCCTAAGGTTCCGTGGCCAGCTCACAGCAGAGCAGAGGCTAGAACCCAGGTCTCTTAGTTCTCACTCTTTCCACCAATGCTGTGGCTCCTTGAGGTCATATGTTAATAAAAAATGCCAGGGCTTTCATGACAGCTCCGGTTCTCTTTGTTCAGTGCTTTCCCACCATACCATGGTTCATATCTGAGAGTGCTGGGTTGGAACCACACAGGAAACTTGTCATCAGCATCCATTCAGATTTAGTTCTGGACAAGTGCTTTTGCTAAAGATTCCTATTACCTGCCAATTTATTAATTTTAAAGTAAAGTTGATTGGAGTTTGGGAGGCTCCGTGTTGTAAAACTCCTCCTTTCCTCCCTCTTTCCCTCCTTTCTTTCCTTCCTCCCAAATATATTAAGCATTTGCTGTGTGTCAGGCACAGCCACAGGCACTGAGAATCCTGCAGTGAGTAAGATCGAAGTCCTTGCCCCAGTAAAACTTACATTCTAGTGAGGGATACAGATAACTGATCAATGAAAAAATACTCCACCTGGTGTTAAGTGCTAGGAAGAGATTACTCAGATGCTTTCGATTCATAGATGAATCTCTTGGATAGGAGTAGAGTCAAGCCTCTTTTATACCAAACCCTATTTTCTTGTGAGCTTTCCTACGTTGAGGGGACTTAGCTGCAAGCAGTGTGCCTGGCAGGAGAAGGGAAACAGCTGGCTCCAGGTGGAACTGGGGTGAAGCACCGGATCCTCACAGGTACGTTTGTACCCTGTGTCTGAAGCAGCACAGTGAATTCAGGTATGATCCAGGCTATTGTTGCCATCTGAGAGTAACAGGTGACAGATGATATTGTCTAAAGGAAGGGAAAGGAACCTGAACGTGTCAGGCAGTAACATACGTGCATTTCCCTGTGCCAGGCTCTGCCCTGAACACGGAATGCATTGTGTCATGTGGGTCCTCAAAATCACATGGGCATGGGCACCCAGATGGGTTGGTTTTATTATCCCCATTTTACAGGTACGGAAACCAAGTCTTAGTAGAGAAGTAAAATGACTTACCCAGGCCATAAGGCTACTTGTACGCAGCGGAGTCAGGAGGTCTAACTTCAGACCCTGTTTGCTCAGTCTCTACTGTAATTGAGGAAAAATTGAGCTGATGGTGTCAGGACTCCAACCAGAGAGAATGGGTTCCAGGCAAAAGTTGAGGCCCAACAGATAAGCCAAGGCAGCATCCCAGCATTATAAACAGAGATGCTTAGGGACAGGCATGATGTGTTAGGTGAGGTGGCTTCATTGGCTGTGGCAGCACAGCAAGGCCTCTTTCAGGTCCCAGATGGCCTCGGGTGGAAGCTGTTAGACCTTCCTTCCTCAGCCAGGACTTCCTTCCAGTTGAAGGGCTCTGTGGCCACAGCTAAGCAGGGCTGGGGCTAGGAGAGGGCTGTTTGCCACCAGAGGGTGCCTTTAGCATGCACTGTCCTTCCCCTTAGCTGGACATTAAACCAAAGTTAGAGTAGGAGGAGTAGGGACTTTGGACTCATCTGGCCCTGGTTTTGTTTTCTGTCTCCACTGCTTGCTTCTTGTGTGGCCCTTGGGTAACTTTATGGCTCCCGGCCTCAACTCTAATCTGTAAAATGGGGCTTTGCATACCCACTTTGCAGAATGCGTGTGAGCTTTCAAGTCAACAATATGCTCTACCATAGTGCGTGGTGCATGGCAGGCACATGGAAATGGTAAGGTGCATGATATTATCACCAAAACCAACTTTGAAAGTAGCCCCCATTTTTATTATGTTTGTTAGGAAAGGGCAGATACACATGGAGAAAGAATTCTGAAAACAAGCACAGGTACAGGCCAGGCCTGGGGGCTCACACCTGTAAGCCCAGCACATTGTACACAGGGGTTGGTGGTGTATGTCTATCTCTTTGGGTACTGTCCCCTGTATAAGAAACAGATCATCTCACCAAGGCCAGAATTTCTGTGAGTTATGAGGCAGGGTTACAGTCCTTTAGTTGTGCTGGGCGTTGCTTTCCAAGCTGAGTTCTAAAGCACCCTGGAGGGGCAGCAGAGGAGCCCGTGGAGGCTGGGTGGTCCCTGTGGTGGTGGGACTCCCTGTCCCTGCCTGTCTCTTGGATGGTGGCAAGGGCCTTCTGGAAGAACACAGGAACCACTGTCGCTGTCAGCCCGTCTGCTGAGCTGCTCTGCTGGTGTCTTTGCCATACGATGGAATTTTTCCACTGGGAAGGGTTATTGGTGCAACTGGCAGGCACTTTCCTGGTAAACGATATGGTGGAGCCCCCATAAACCCAGGCCCATGAAACAAATAAGTCAGCACATTGAAAATATAGCGTGGAAGTGACTCAGGCCTGAAGGAATCCATTTCTGAAAGTGCTGCCATCCCTTTCTGGGATATTTTGGTAGAAATTGATGTTTGAGTTGGGAGGAGGAGGCCAGTGGCCTGGTTACTTGCAGAGCCTTGTGTCAGAGTCGCAACATTGGCCCAGAGTTTGAGTCCTGCCAGCCCCCGACCGCGGGGTCATCTTTCTTGGTGAGGCGGCCCCCTGGCAGGCCAGCCGGAGGTGAGCCCACTGGGGCTCTGTGCTGTGGGGGAGCCGGGGTGAAGCTCTCTTTGCAGCAGATAGAGTTGACTCTACAAGCCAACTGGTAACACTTGGCTAGGGGCCTGGAAAGTACTGGAGACTCCACCCAGCATAGGAGCCTGTGGGAGTTCCCGGCACGGACGAGTTTTTCTACTCCGAGTTCTTTAGATTCCTGTGTATTTGAAATGTTTACCTTCTTCTCGGGACTTCAGCTTGTACTTTGCCCACCAGAGACCAATACCAAGCACATACACACTTAAATTTACTAGGCCACCCTGGTGACCAGGTAATTAAAGCTGCACACAGTTTTTGGAAGGAAGACTGTATTAGAAATCACGCTCCACTGTAATTCAAGAATGGGTTTCTTTATAGAGGGACACAGTTGGTGTCAGACACATGTGGAAAAGAAAAGAACAGGCCCATAATTTTGTCTCAGTGCCCAGGGCCAGATGTTAAAGGTACTGACCACAATATGGCTGCAGTATTGTTAGCCACCTGAGTTTGGTGTGCTGTTTTAACCTCTGTTTCGACCTTGTCCTTTCTCTCTGCCAGGTCCCCAGTCTATGTGAGGATCTCCTGTCTTCTGTTGACCAGCCACTGAAAATTGCCAGAGACAAGGTGGTGGGAAAGGATTACCTTTTGTGTGACTACAACAGAGATGGGGACTCCTATAGGTGAGCTCATGCCCCGGGGATGCAGCAGGCACAGCAGGCACACGCGGGCTGCCGTAGGTACCTGCTGCAGAGCACGGGGACCTTGGACTTGGGCAGCTGGCAGCCCATTCAGCTTTCCTTCCGTTTGTTCCCTGCCCTCCTCTCCTTTCTTCTCTTGTCCTCCCCATTCTTCTCATCGTTCCATCTGTTATTCCAATCATGCAGCAGACGTTTGAAGAGTGCCACCCACAAGCATGAGAGATAGAGCAGCGGACCAAAGGCCCCCTGCCTTCATGGATCTTCCAGTCTAACGGGAGAGGGATGTTGTTCAAAAACAACTGTTCTATTATAATTGCATTCAGTCCTGCGGAGGGCAGTGTACAGGGTGCGCATATGATGGGGATCCTGAGGGCTGGGAGGGTCTCTGTGGTAAGGGATCTACGAACGCAGCTCTGTCAGATACACAACTCTCCTCTCTCTTTCCGTCACCTCGCCCAAGGCTGTAAATAACTAAGTTGACATTAGTCCCTGCCCTGGGTGTCTGATCACCAGGTCTAGCATAGGAGACACATTGGGTAACTGGTAACTGTATGATGTGATTCATACAGCCAGTGCAAAGTCTGTTCAGGGTGGGACGGTAGCACAGAAGAGGCCATGGTCAACTCCAGGAGGACTTCCTGAAGGAGGTGATGTCTGAGCTGGGTTTTAAGGGCATGTAGGAGTTATACCTCTATTTTTTAAGAGTGGGAATCCTTAAACTGGCCCAGTGTTTCCATGATGAATTGCAGTAGTCACTGCCTTGGAGAATGGTAGAGGAACACAGCCTGCTTTAGGTTTATTTGGAGACCACAGAACCAGGGTTGTCTTGAAGCTTCACCCTGATGCTCTCTTTGGAGATGGGGCAAGGCTTCTGGGAAGTCAAAGCAGGAAAAATGATCAGGAGTCAGCCAGTGTGGGCTTCAAACCAGCACAGCTCCCTGTGTCAATGGGACTTTGACAAATCACTTATTGTCGCTGGTCTTTTAGTTTTGTCATCTGTAAAACGGAAATAGTAGTGTTTCTTTACTCAACAGAATGCTTCCTGAAGAAAATAAAGAGGACAGTGGGAGGGAGGGAGAGGACGGGCAGGCAGGGAAGGCTCTCCCACAAGTGGGAACTGGAGGATGAAAAGGTCCAGGTCTGGGGAAGAGCCTGCTGGGTGCTGAGGCCCTGGGTGATGAGCTCACCAGGATGGAGCTGGCAGAAGGCCAGAGGTGGAGAAGGCAGTGAGGGGAGGGCAGTGGGGGCGGAGATGAGGGAGGAGGCATGGCCAGGGCAGGTCTGGCAGGGTCTTGAAGGCCAGGCTGAGGGTAATAAAAGTTAGCACAGGGTTATTTATTGGGGGGATAAAAGAAGTAACACACGTGAAATGTTGAATGGCACAGACATTGTCATATACTTAAAAAGTTTAATACTGACTTATAAGAGACTAGACAACAGTTTTATAATCATGTCCCTTTCCTGGCTTTAAATGGAAATTAGGTAGAGATTATATTTTGCCCTCCTTCAGACCACAGACTAGAGTTGAAATGGTGAGAAGTGGTGAGATTTGAGGTCACTTTTAAAAGTAGAGCCAGCGGCCTCTGCAGGTAGGTGGGGATGGAAGAAGAGGAGGTGGGGTGTGAAGGGTGATTACAAGGCTTCGGACCTGAGCCACTGTTGATTGAGGTGAGGAGGACTCGGGGAGGAGCAGGCATAGGGACACTTTAAGCTTGAGAGGCCCATTAGATCAAAGTGGAGATACCAGGTAGGCTGTGGATGTACCATGTGGAGTTCCAGGAGAGAGGTTTAGGCTGGGGATGTGGCTGCAGATGTCCCAGCATATAGATGGTGATACAGCCCTGAGGCCGATCAAATTCATCCTTGAAGGGCTCATTCTGTGCCTGGAACTGCTGGTCACAGCATGGCGTCCAGGTGCTGTCCTTGGGAGCATCTTGCTCTGTCGCCCAGGCTGTAGTGCAGTGATGCGAACATGGCCCCCTGCACAAGACCATAGGCATGTATCACCATGCCCAGCTAATTTTTTTTTTTTTTTTTTTTGAGACAGAGTCTCACTCTGTTGTCCAGGTTGGAGTGCAGTGGCACGATCTCAGCTCACTGCAACCTCTGTCTCCTGGGTTCAAGCAGATTCTCCTGCCTCAGCCTCCCAAGTAGCTGGGATTACGGGTGTACGCCATCGCTCCCAGCTAGTCTTTGTATTTTCAGTGCAGACAGGGTTTCACCACGTTGGCCAGGCTGGTCTTGAACTCCTGACCTCAAATGATCCTCCTGCCTTGGCTTCCCAAAATGTCAGGATTATAGGCATGAGCCACTGCGCCCAGCCCCAGCTAATTTTTTTGACTTTTTCTCTCTCCTTTTTTTTTTTTTTTTGTAGAGATGGGGGCCTCATTTTGTTGCCCAGGCTGGCCTCGAACTCCTAGGTTCAAGCAGTCCTCCCACTTCAGCTTCCCAAATTGCTAGGATTACAGGTGTGAGCCACATTGCCCAGCCAGGGAGCCACTGATGAAGTGGGTGGACCAGCCCTTAGAGAGAGAAGTCCAGTGAAGATGGTGAGTGGTCTGACAGACCAGGGAGCAGGCAGGGAGAAGTATTCTCGCCCGGCATGCAGTTCAGGGAACGCTTCCTGGAGGAGGTGTTCCTTGAACTGGTCTTGCTTAATCAACATCATTATTATATTTATTATTTCCACCTAAAAACTCCAGTTGACTGTGTAAGGCAGCTGTTCTGCAGGAGCTGGTGGAAGGACGGGATCATGTCTAGGTCCGTGGCTAGGCCAGGCTCTGCGGGAGACTTGGTACCTGCAGCCCTTCCAGGTCACCCCTTTGTCCCCCACCTGCATTCCTGAGGCCCTACCACCAGCTCTGGGGGATCTCAGGCCTTTAGAGAGGAGCCTGGGGTGTGGAGGCAGAAAGTATGTCTTTCTTTCTCCTCTTCTCGATATGAAACTTCAAGGTCTTCTGATTCTGTCCACAGATTTCCATCCTGACTGTGTTTGATGGTTTGCTTAAATAAGATCCTTATGGTGTGACCGTTGCCAGCAGCACCGTTTGAAACCTGTTAGCTGAAACAAAAAGCCTTCTCGGAGGGAAATGAAAGTCCTGACTTTTGAAATCTAGGCATTCCTGTCCATCTGTCTTTTTTCAAATGGCCTCCATTTAAGCTCTTAAGTGTGTTCTGAGTGCCCCTTCCACTAAGAATATTCTGGTTAATGTTATGATATTTCCCTCAGCTACAATTACCCTGGCTTCAGGACTAACAGCTTGAAATGCTATCGTCTGTGAGCCAGTAGAAATGTGAGTTACAGGCTTCTTGCAAATTGCAGGCCCCCAGTCTGCCCGAAAGATGGGCTCTTGTGTCTAATCAGGGTGCCTTGAAATGAACGCCACTTGGGTCGGGTCTTCCCAGCCTACAGGAAGGCGATGGCTGTCATCGAACTGTGGGAACGGTCCTGCGTATGAGTGTGCTGCAGAGTCTCAAAGGGCCACCCAGGGGAAGGAGGGAATTCAGCTCCACACCCTCAGATTCTTATCCACTCCCCCGGCCAGCAGAAGAACCAAGCCTTGTTTATAGATAAATCATGGCGACAGCATCTTTTCACCTGGATCTTTGTCTCTGAGATCTGATGAGAGGCTTTTGTTGATTTGGTGTTTTTGTTTTTTAGTGCTTAGGTGAGGCTGAGGCAGGAGAATCTGCTTGAACCCAGGAGACACAGGTTGCAGTGAGCTGAGATCATGCCACTGCACTCCAACCTGGGCAACAGAGTGAGACTCTGTCTCAAAAAAAAAAAAAAAAAAAAAAAAAATTAGCTGGGCATGGTGGTACATGCCTATGGTCCTGTACAGTGGACCATGTTCACATCACTGCACTCCAGCCTGGGCGACAGAGCAAGATGCTCCCAAGAAGGACAGCACCTGGGCGCCATGCCCGTGACCAGCATGAAAAAGCCAGAAAGCTGCTCCATCTCTTGGTTTGGAGAAGTGGAACACCAGCAGAATTCCCCTTTCTTCCTCTCCCGGGCTGTGAGGCTTCGGTCCACCAGCAGCATCTGCTTGGCACTAACTCAGGGCTGGGTACTGGGGACAAGGGCAGGCAGCACAGGCTCTCTGCTGTCAAAGACCTCTTGCAGTCGAGGGTGAGGGAAGAAGGGCAAGGATATGACAGGCATGAGGATCAACATCTGTGTGAGAGGGAGGAGGGAGTGGTTGGTTCTGTTGTGGTGGGGGGGCGGGGGTGCAAGAATTCATGCTTTTTTATTTTATTTATTTACAACTGTGATTGGACAAGAAGAATTCATTCATTTTTTTTTGTTTGTTTCCCCGAGATGGAGTCTTGCTCTGTCACCCAGGCTGGAGTGCAGTGGCGCGATCTCAGCTCACTGCAGCCTCCGCCTTCTGGGTTCAAGTGATTCTCCTGCCTCAGCCTCCTGAGTAGCTGGGATTACAGGTGCATGCCACCACACCCAGCTAATTTTTTGTATGTTTAGTAGAGATGGGGTTTCACCATGTTGGCCAGGCTTGTCTCAAACTCCTGACCTTGTGATCCTCCCGCCTCGGCCTCCCAAGGTGCTGGGATTGCAGGTGTGAGCTACCGCGCCTGGCCAAATTCATTCTTAAAAACATTTTTTTTTTTAATGAGCGTGTAGTTGAGTGCCAGGCACTGTTCTAGGTGCTGAGCAACCCGAAGAGAAGATGACAGAAAAGGCTCTTGCCGCCTCCTAGCTGAGGTTCTAGAGTGAGCTATCTGCATTCAAATTGATTCCCATTAAATAAAATTAAGAATTGAGTCTCTTGGTCATACCGGTCACATTGTAAGTATGCAAGTAGCTACACATGGCTAGTGACTTGTTTTGGACAGCACAGATTTAGAACATCTCCATCGTCTCAGGAAGTTCTGTTGGGCAGCCCCGTTTCAGAGGGAGGAGCGACAGGCTACAAGAACTGACAGGTCAGCCCGCGCTTGGCTTCTCAGGAGAACTGAGGCATCGATTGTGGGCGGCACGCCTGTCTTCCCAGCCATCTGGGGTCCCAGCTTGTTGACAGTTTGCTTCCCATGGTGTGCGATGGCCCAGTGTGACCATGAAAGCTGGCTGCTGCTCATGGGGCAGCAGGGGGTGTCTCACCCCATTCTTGCAAAGTCTCTACCAAAACTGCGGTGAGCAGCAGAAAGTGGTCAGCTTGGAAACAAGGATTTCCAAGGCTCCTTCTGCTTTGAGGTGATCAGGAGTGTAATTCCTGCCTGGAGACTCTTTGGGGACACCAAGCACAGCAACTCTTCCCCTACATACCGTTTGTGAACCAGCCTCTGAGAAAGCTGCCTGCGGGTGGCTGGTGGAAGAGGCCGCCCAGCTTATTCTGGTTCCATACTCCATGATCTACTGACGTAGGTGCCTGGTGGAGCATCACTTACCAAGAAGAAAGATGTCTGCGTGCAGAATTCTTTAAAACTGGGGTTTGGAAGATGATGAGCATACTTTTTTTTTCCTTAACATGCATTCCACATCACAATGATGTGGTCAGGAGGGGATGCGGAAAAGGCATTGTGGGTCTCTGACAGTGGAAACAGCGAGGCGTTTAGACCAAGAGTGTGAAGGACTTTTTCTGAATTCCATGTTGTCTTCTCTGTCTTTTCATTCCTCTCTCACCTTTTTAATTCTGCTACTTTCTCTGAACACTCGGCCCTCTGAACCCCACCTGCAGGAATTAATGAGTAGATCTTTCCCTTATAACCCCCTTTCCAGTTCTCAGTGTGATTAAATGCTTTCCTGATGTGGCAAAATACATTTCAAGAAATACAGCAAGTCTTTTGGGCTGCAAAAAGACTGGTTCTCATTACTTAGCAGTCTTCATATGTGTGCATAGCTCTTGGATGTTGGAAAAGCTATCCTGTGTTCACGTGGAGAACCTGATTGCTCAGGTTTTCTAATGTAATCAGCATTTCCCTGTGGAGCTGTATCTCTTGCCCGCCTCTGTAACTGACAGCTCTCTTCTTAACGCTTACTATGTAAGAAGGTCTTAAAGTTTATGTAGAGCCTCCAGCAAATCAGGGAGGAGAGAGGGGCATCTGTTGAACTATAAGGTGGTGAACACATGGCCAGGCGCGGTGGCTCACACCTATAATCCCAGCACTTTGGGAGGCTGAGGCAGGGAGATTACTTGAGGCCAGGAGTTTGAGACCAGCCTGGCCGACACGGCCAAACTCCGCCTCTACTAAAAATACAAAAATTAGCTGGGCCTGGTGGCTTGCACCTGCAATTCCAGCTACTCAGGAGGCTGAGGCACGAGAATCGCCTGAACCCAGGAGGCGGAGGTTGTGGTGAGCCAAGATCACGCCACTGCACTCCAGCCTGGGCGACAGAGCTAGACTCTGTCTTAAAAAAAAAAAAAAAAGAAAGAAAAAAAAATAGGTGGTGAACACAAAACTGAGAAAGCGGGTAAGAAAGAACTAGCATTTGTTGAACACTGACAGTCTGGCAAGCTCTGGGCTGGGCGCTTGATCTGCTTGTCTCATTTCTCATGACGACCCTGTGTGCGGAGCAAGTAGCAGCCGCATTTTACGCAGGAGAAAAGTGAGGCTCAGGGAGTTGGGACACTTGCTGAGCATTCACAGCCAGTGAGAGGTGGAGCACGGGCGTGTGCCCCAGTCTGCCCGCATCAGAGCCCTTGTTCTCCAAACCTCCAGAAAGCCCTGTTTGTTGCCAGGACCCAGAAAAATCTTTGCTGGAGTTAGCGGCTTTGCCTCCGAGATTTCAGATAGCCAGGGCTCAGGCTCCCTGCTCGCTGGCCGTGTCTTCATGGAACGATTCATGGTATATACTTTTCCTTCCTTCCCTCCAGGTCACCATGGAGTAACAAGTATGACCCTCCCTTGGAGGATGGGGCCATGCCGTCAGCTCGGCTGAGAAAGCTGGAGGTGGAAGCCAACAATGCCTTTGACCAGTATCGAGACCTGTGAGTCATTTTCTCCTGTTGCACTTTAGCGCTTGTGAGTTTTGAGAGGTAAATCCTAAGTGGCAGTGTTCTATCTGGAATCTGTTACCTGGCCAAGCATTCTCCCTTGAATCTGTTACCCGGCCAAGCATTCTCCCTTGAATCTGTTACCTGGCTCACCTAACTAAAATTGGGAGCCTCCCATAGCAGGATGCAGGGCACTCGTTTGGTGGTTGGGTTGGTTATGAGATGACTCGGTCATAGAATGCTACCAGACTTCACTATGTGCTGTTCCCCTGCATCGTGATTCATAATAACAGCAGGTGCCACTGGTACAGTGCCTACTGTGTATAAGAAACAGTGCCAGGTATTTCTACATAGCATCTCAAATCCTCACAAACATAGCTAGTTTAGTCCTCGTTTCTCAGATTAAGAAATTAAGACACAGATTAAAGTATTTGTCCACAGCAAGGGGTAGAGCCAGGAATTAAAGTCAGACCTGTTTATCTCCAAAGGCCCGTATGGATTTTTTTGCCATACCACACGCTCACTTCTGACCTGGAGCTCAGGGGCCTCTGCCTCCAGCTGCTCTCAGGCCAAGATAAGTGCAGTCCTTACAGAGCAGGAGCAGAGCAGCAAACATCTTCCTGAATCCTGAGTTGTTTGTGGCCTCGGCACCTTCCTTAAAAAGCGTTTTGCTAGATCTGTTGAGATTTCTTCCTGCTCCGTCTAATCCTGCCTCCCAGCACCACAGCACCAACATGTCACTTAATTGTTCAGGCTTACAAGGAAGGGCTCCAGAGAAAGTTAGCCATAATCAACAGAATCTCATTTATAATTAAGCTCTATACTGAAAATACAGCAAAACTGTAAAATAGGCAATACTAATTCAAGTTGGCAGACTTTTTTCTGTCAAGAACCAGATCCTAAACGTTTTAGGCTTTGCAGGCCACATAAGGTCTCTGTTGCTGCTTCTTGGTTTGTTTTCTGTTGAACCTTTAAAATGTAAAATTCACCTCTTGAGCTTTGAGGTGGGTGGGGCTTGGCCCCCAGTCTGTAGTTCTATTATATACGAATATTTTATATACATTATCTTTACTCCTTAACAAGAACCTCTGGGGAAGATGGTTTTGTTCCTCCTTTTACAAATGAGACCAAGGTTCCAAGAGGTTAAATGACTCACACAAGACCACAGGACATGGAGGTGAAAAGCTAGAATTTGAACCCATATTTATCTGAAATTCCCACAAATTGTTGATTTTCACAGTTAAAATAGGCTTCAGTCTTTTAAAGGTTCTTACATCTAGAACTTTGTCCTATTGTAGAATAGTTCCTTCCCCAGTGATACTGAAAAGCTGACTCATTGCTCTATGGTAGTTTACTTGTAATTGTTTTTTACTATCTTCTTTTACCTGCCCATTTGGTAAGAAGCCAATCCAGCTATTAAACAAGAATGCCCAAGTAGAATTGGTTTAATATTAAAGTGATAATACTGGTAATAAAATAACGATGGTGATGATAACAGTTACCAGTGGCCATGCAAGTGGGCCTCCAGGTATTCTCTGTCTCATTCGGTCTTCACAAGAACCCATGAGAGAGGGTTATCCCCCTCTTACAAACGAGCTGACAGATCAGAAAGGTGATATAACTTACCCAGGTTCACAGAGCTAGTAAGTGGTGGAACTGGGATATCAAACCATCCTTACCCAGCTCCAGAGTCCAACATCGATTTATTTACTCAGCAGACATTTGAGTGCCTCCCATGAGCCGGGTGCTTGCTGAGTACCAGGGATGCACCTCGTACGTGGTAGATGAGGCCCCTGCCCTCACCACACTCCATTGTGGAAAAACAAACAGTGGACCAGTGAACAAGTCATTGCTGCTAGTGATAACAGGGAGCAGCTGACTTGTTATGTAGAGTGGCCCATGAGGCCTCTTGAGGAGACACTTGACTGAGGTCTGACATTGAGGAAGCCAGCCAGGCAGGGGGGCTGGTTGTGCCAGGGTCTCTGAGGCAGGGGCAAACTCACCTGTCTAAGGCCCTGAGACTGGTGCCCCTTAATGTGCACACACAGCTGTCAACCAGCAAGTGCACACCCTCAGCCTCTTTTAAATTGGAAGTCAATTTGAAAGAGATTTGGGCAAAATTGGCCCCTTTTATATGTAAGCTTCTTGGGAGCCATCTCAGGATACTCCAGGAATACAGCCTGCCCTTTCAGCTAAGTTTGAAGGTGGAAGTGGAAAGTTCCCCCTTGAAAGTGTTTGCTAGATTTTCCCCCAGCTTGGGGAGCTAACGTGCCATGCGTGTCATCCCCTAAGCCTGAGGAAGTTGCCTGGCCTCACCCCTTCTGTTCTATGAGGAGGCTGTACTCTGGCTTATTACTGGGCTGCATGTTGAGATATGGAGGTGGGGGTGATTCTGATTCTTTATGAGACTTAAGTGTTCATGTTGTTACTCCCTTAATAAAGTGAATCAGATGTGTTGCCTTACTTCGCCATTTAGGGCCAGCCTTGGGGAAGAGCCCAGTTTCATCTTGGACTTCTGCTTCCCTTGTTCTCCCTTCCCATCTCATCGTTCACATATGTAATGATACATGGTGTATGGTTCTGCAGGGGCTTTTATGGCCTGTTATCATGAGAATTTCCCTACTATCATTAAAACTCTTCAGAATAATCACTGAATCCTTACAGTGACTATAGGACAAGTGGGAGTTATTCCATTTGGCAGCTGATGAAGCTGAGGCTCAGATAAGTACTCAAGCTGGTTAACACAGCTAGAAAACCACAGGAGCCGGGAGTCATAGCTAAGGCCTCACTCTTCACGCTGCCTCTGGTGAAGCCTTTCCCTTCCCTGGGAAATGTGTATTTGTAAGGTGGCTTTTGATTTCTGTGTGCCTTTGACTTGCCTACACACTCCTCTCTGAAGGTAAACTGACTCGGGGGAGTTGAAAGAGGGGTGACGACAGCATCCTGCCCCCAGTTGGGGGTCGAACTGGATAACCCAGACCCCGAGGGTCTGCAACAGTGTGTAGTGGGATCCAGGCTGGTGCCGTTCTGTTCCCAGCACCTCGGGAGGAAGGAGGAGAGTGGCCCCGCAGGAGAGGCAGGAGGCCCTTCCTTACCTTGCATGTGCAGGGGCAGTGGGGCCAGGCTCTTCCTGGGTGACAGGGACCGCAGACCACCAAAGGGACAGCAGTTGGAGCTGCCATCCGGGATACCAGAGGCATGAATTTTGACTCACCCAGTGCCATCGGAGTGTGCTGAAGAGCTCTCTCTCCTGGGACCACATGCGAGGAACGTTTTCCCAGCTGAACCACATGTGACGAACCAACCCATTTATAGTCTAAAAATTATGAGAACAAGTCTCTTTTTTTTCTTTTTTAAAAACATCTTGGTACATTGTGGTACATTGCTCATCTCCAGAAGTTCCCATTCCCAGAGTGCCCCGCGAGGCTGTTGGTGGCCACATAAGTGACCACAGCAGGCCCTGGAATGCAAGCTCTTTTCCCCGTGGCTTTGGAGCAGAGGGGAGTCAGCTGGGTGGCCTTGTCTCCTGAGGGGCATTGGCCAGGGTCACACTCGGTTTTCTAGGGACCAGGCTGTTCCATGGGGTGGAGAGGCAGTAGGCCATCCCTTTCTCTTCATCTTTTATCTAGCCCTTCCCCATACAAACACTTTCTCACAGAAAGACTTGTTTGTTGTCCCCTGAGCAAGGCCACAGCTCTCCCACCTATCTTCTGTTCAGGTTGGCAGATGGGTTCAGGCAAGGGTCATTCTGAGAGGAGACCTCCACCCAATGCTCCCGTCTGCTGGCTTGGTCACCCTGAGCTGCTGCCTGAGGGGCCAGGAAAGTGGCTGGTGTCCCCGGCCTGTGAGAGATGGCCAGAGCCTCAGCCAGACCCACCCTGCCAGGAGAAAAGGGGAGTGGCCGGAGAAGCCACCCCTTGAGAGCAGGCTGGGCTCGCCCTTGTGCCCAGGAGGGCTGCACAGGTGCAGCTGCCACTTTCAGACCACACACTTCAAGCTAGAGCTTGGCCTGCGCCCCTGGTGGTTGGGGGTTGGAAGAGCAGACTGTGTTGACAGGGTCTTTAATTCACGATTCCAGGTGCTTCTGAATTGTTGGATCCTGATGAATCGCAATCAGGACTATGTTTGGCTTGAGCTCCAGCCTCATGACCACCAACCCCATCGAATGACTGAGAGCTGCCAGGCTCCTGCCACGTTGGAGCTCAGAATCCTCCCGTGGGGACACTGTGCTGCAGCCAGCCTCCAGGGAGCCGCTTGTTTTATGGCCTAAAAAGTCTCTTTATGCTGAGAAGGTCACACTGGACTTTGCTCACACAGAGATTTGACCCAAGAAAAGGAATAAAGAGGCCTTGGATACCCTGTCTTGCCCCTGTTCCTGCCCCCGCCGTACCCTGCTGGCTCATGCCAGAAGACTGGACTTGCTGTCTGTGGGCATGTTTGTTGTCGGCTGACGTAGCACCCACAGGCACTGGCCGTGTGTGTGCCACAGTCAGGAACGAGGTGCCTGCCCCCCACCCATTAACCCATTAGCTTTGTCCTTACTCCTTGAGGCCCTGCTTGAAAAGATTAGTGGTGCTTTGGGAGGCTGAGGCAGGAGGATTGCTTGAGGCCGGGAGCTCGAGACCAGCCTGGGCGACATAGCAAGACCCTGTACCTCCAAAAAATAAAATATAAACATTAGTCAGGCATAGAGGCACACACACACATAGGCCTAGCTACTCAGCTGAGGTAGGAGGATTGCTTGAGCCCAGGAGTTCAAGGTTACAGTGAGCTATAGTCATGCCATCATACACTCAGCCTGGGTGACAGAGTGAGTCCTTGTCTCTGGAAAAAAAAAAAAGAAAACTAAAAAATAAAAAATATGTGAAAGGAGACATTGGTAAAGAGATAGGCTTGAGGGTCCAGAGACCTAGAGCATGATCCAGGCAGCCCACGGGCCACACCAGCCTCCTCAGATAGCAGAACTTACCGTCTCCCCAGAGGCTCCCTCTGCCACCGGAGAGAAAAATCTTCTTCACTGGATCCTGAGGGAAAGACGTAGATTCTGTCTTCAGGCTCTGGGCTTTGATCCCTGGCTCTGTAAAGGCTCTGACTTTGTAGGGAGTTGGATTTAATCATAAGCACATGGAATCAATGTCAGAATGATGGAGCTGGGCCAGGGGACGGGTTGACCAGCAGGCCTTTCTGGCTTGTAACTCCTTGGAGATGTGGCAGCCCCTCTCCCCTGTGGATTGAAAGGGCTAGCAGTTGGGAGCGTGACTCCTTAAGGTGGGCAAAAGGCGAGTAGGGGTGCAGGGGGCTGAGCCGTGTGTCCTCACGGCTCCCTCTGAAGTCCACTAGCTCCTGGCTTGCCCTGCCTCTGCTGGGTCCCTGCGGCATTCTCACGTCCAGGTCCCTTCCATGCTGATGATTCCCTTCTCTGCCATCCTCAGGGGCAGAAAGAGATCATAGTAGTACTTTCCCTAGGAGAGTAACTGTCACTACCCAAACAGCCTTGTTTTTAGATGAAAAGAGCCAGTTTGCGCAAATGCTTAGGAGATGACAAGCACATTTTGCTGGTGTGCTGGGGCCAGGTGAGGGTATTATCTGCTCGCAAGTCACCTTCATTTTCATCACTTCCCCTCCCAGCCAGCCCACCCACCTGGTCCCCAACATCTAGGCTATTCTCTCTACCAAGCCCCAAGATGGTTTTCTGCCTGTAATTGATGGGCCTGACTCATCCAGGGGATGTCACGAGAACTGAGCACTGAGGCAGAGGGGAAGACAGCCGAGCGGGCCGACTCCTGGGCAGCTGGCTCGGAGGATCATTTGACACTCTTTCTCAGCAGAGCCGACTCTGCTTTCTTAGGTCCAAGCCTAGGCTAGCTCATCAGTCACAAAACCTCATCTTTTGACCTAAGTGATCTTTCTTGGGAGAGACTTAGAAGTGGAGACTTTGCTGTAGGTCAGGCACCAGCAGCTGTCAGAGGAACATCTTGCTGGTGTGAGCGACCAGTGGGCTGCCATGAACCCCAAGATTAACACTTTGATTTTTCAGGTTCCTGGAGAAGATAGGAAACCTTCCCTGCTCCAGCTTTCACATCAAGTCTGGCCCTGGCCTGTGTCGGCCCCGGGTTCTGCCTGGGACCAGATGTTCTGACCAAAGGGCTGGCACTGCCTTCTTCCAAAGATGATTACTCCCATCTGCGCCAGACATCTCGCCCAATGCTCTGAAGTCCTTGGCTCTTGGCTTGGAGCAGATAATACCTTCAAACATGCGGTTGCAATTTATTGGCCTTATAAGTTAATTTTAGTGGGTGTGCAATTGATTGAAATCAAAGCCTAATGAAGGCCAGAGTCTGGGGAGTGGAGGAGCAGGGTGGGAGGGTATTTTGTGTTCTTCCTTGCTTCAGTTCTGAGATAATCTTCAAAAGCTTTAATTAGCTTTTCCAATCAGCCCTCCTTGTCTGGAAGAAGTTTATAGAGTGAAACAAGGCTGGCGTCCTCATGGCAGTCCCAGGGCCCAAGGGCCTCTCCAGGAGTGGAGCAGCCAGGAGCTGGGTGGATGGGCCCCACCCCCCGGCCTGGGCTCCCCAGCACCTGTCCCCTCTCTGGGCCATTTCAGAACTGCAGTTGTTCCTGCTCCTTCCCGCCATTTGATGTTTGAGGAACATTGGCCCAGGAAGGGCAGGATGTCCATGTTCACATGTGAGAAATGTTTGCACCTGATTTCCGGGGTCCTTGAAACTGCAGGTTCCCAGCCCCAGACCCCTCAGGGCACCCCTTCCTCGGGACGTGAGTGTGGAGGAACTGCAGGCGGTAGGGGGAGATTTTCCAGGGAAAGAGTGCAGAAGTGTGAGCGGGCAGCTGAGGTGCTGGGGGGCTTCCCAGGCAGAAGGCACCACCACCTCCCACCAAAAGCCTCTGACCCTCACCCATGGCGTCTGAGGCCCAGCCACGGAATGGAGAGGACCTTGGCTTTAAAGAGCTTTGGACTGGATTCTCTCTTTGTCTTTTCTTGCTGACTGACTGGGCGAGTGAGTTAACCTCTCTGAGCCTCCGTTTCCTTACCCATGCTGTGGGCTGAGGCGTCACTCAGTGACACACTGTGCGTCAGACCCCTGCTGCACTCACGCCTTGCGTCCAGCCAGCACCTTCCAGGCTGCTGGGTGACAGGGCTCTTCTAATTGTGCAGCAGGTATCTGTACGTGCATCTTACATTCTGTACCTGCATCTTACATTCTGTGCGTTTATGATCACAGATACGGGACCATTTGGGTGGCGGACCTGATGGGGTAGCAGGCTTCGTGATCATGCGAGAAGGCCGTAGTTTCGGGATGGGGCTCTTCCACCACCTCCCACAGCAAGGCCTCCAGGAAATCTCTGTCTCAAAAATGGAATTAATGATTCCTGCTCAATCCACATCATCAGGGTGTAGTGAGGCTGAACAGAGATGCTGGTAGTGCCCGTCTGCAGTGACTGGAGAGAGAATCCTTGGGATCGGTCACCAGGTCCTTAATGAGAACCTGCCGGGGATGGTGTCATGTGCCCAGGGTCAGTGGCAAATGTGTCAGGCCCAGTCCCTCCCTCATGGGGCCCATGTTTCAACACAGGAACAAGTCAGCAGATGAACACAGTACTTGCACAGTTTGATAAACGCTGCAAAGGAATGAGAGCTGGGTCCTGCGGTGGGGAAGAGCAAAGGGTGTGGATGTTAGGGAAGGCTCTGAGGAAGGAACTGTGGGTCGGTTACAGGGGGGTTGCCCTTGAGTGGAAAGGGCTAACAGAGCTGGCCTGAGACTGCTGTCCCTCGGAGGCATGCTTGCCAGCTTGGCCCGCGGCTGGCAGCTGGGAACTTGGGTTTCAGGAGGGCTCTTACCACTCCCTGATAAGAGTGACTTCCGACGTCTGAACTGTGTGCAAACAGTGTGGCCTTCCTTCTCCTTTCCTTGTGGGCATCTGAAATTTCACCATGTGCTAGGTAGAGGGTGCTTAGTAGTACAGCCCTGGGCACTGAGTCCCTGGCTTGCTTCACCAGTAGACAGTACTTCACACATGCCGTCAAGCCCATCCCTGGGGGAGTGTATCACGTCCTGTGTGACGTCATGGAGCAGGACGTTGAAAGCTGGTGCCTGGTTTCTCAGGACCCCAGCCCCAGCGCCTTCTCCCTCAGCCTCCTTTGCTCTGTTCCCTTCAATAACCCTTGGCCCCGAGGGCAACTTTGTGCCACATTCCGTGAGTCCTTGTAGCGAATTATGGAGCCTCGGGTGGTCTGGGGATCCCGGGCACAGCCCTGTACTGTGATGGGAGAGGACAAGGACAGTGCCCTGAGCAGTGGGAACCGCCTGGGCCACGCCCTGAAGGGATTCCCAGTGGTCGTGGGCAGTGAGTGGAGGCCGGAACAGGACAGGGCAGTGGGGAGAGGCGCACAGGCCTGTGGGGTGCGGGCTCTGGGTGTCATTCTGGGAGCCTTGGGAAAGGTCTGGAAGGTTCCAAGGGTAGGACAGCTCTGATGTGCATCCAAAGAAGTTCCTCGGAAGTAGTGTGGAGGCTGGATTGGAGAGGCCAGGAGCAGGAAGGGCCTGACAGCTCAGCTAGAGTGGAGGGCTGCTTCCTTTGCTCTGGCTGAGTGAACTCTGCAGTTCCAGGTGCCCCGGGGGCTTTTTCCACCGCTGGAAACGGCCAGGCCTGCGGACTCAGAGCCCCACTGGGAGGTGGGCAGAGTAAGGGGAGTAACGGAGAATGCTTAAGAACATCCTGGAGCTGCAGGGACGGTTTGGTTGGGGACATCCCCCTTCACTCCCTGTCCCTTCAGCGAGGTCTGTGTTCTCATTTCCTTGCCTAGAGGTAGGACCTTTCCCCAGATGTAAAGGCCTCCAGAGGGATCCCGTGACGGGCACCGCTTGCCACTCATCTTGCACTCGGGACAGCAGGGTGGAGCCAGGCCGTCTCTGGCTTCTGGCATGTCCACAGTGTAATTAGCACTTGGGTTTGAACATGTTTGTGTCTTCAGCCATGTGCGCACAGGGCCTCTGAGAACCCGCCCTGCCTGCTGTGGGACACCGGCTTGCCACTGCCTGGGGCTTGTGAGAAAGTGCCAGAAGCACTTAATGGGGAAACCCAAGCCCACCTCTATTGTGTTGTTTTCACAGAGCAGAGAGAAAGGTCTGGAGAAACCTCACAGCTTTGGAGGGGTACAGCTGAGCCTGCTTCCTGCTCTCGCAGTGCGTTTCAGCTCTTTCGTGACCACTGCTCCTAGTGGGGGTGTCTGCTACAGTTATCAAGTCCCTAAAGAGTGGATCTAGACAGGCTTGCATGTTGCCCCCTGTCCTGGGGTTCCCTTTCATCTGGCATCCCAAGGCTGCAGGCCAGTGTCTGGTTGCTTGGCATGTGCAGTCTGATTTTCATCTGCTGAAAGAAAGTTAAATGGAAAACAGGAGTGTGCAGAAAACAAGTTTGCTTATGAACATGATCCCCACGTCAGCATCAGGGACTCTGATGCCTCTAGAATTCTTGGGTTCCTCTAACCAGATGGCACACAGTCACTCTTTGGTTTGGGCCGTTGCACATGTTGGAGTGAAACTCTGCTGCTGGAAGCAGGGACCAGCTCCCTCCCTTGGTCAAGCTCCCCCATCCTGCCAGAGACCCTGCACTCCCCTCACTGAGATGTTTCCGAGGCTTCTGTGATGGAAAACTGCTTTGTGCAAGTATCAAGAATAGGTGCGGTGGGGCACAGTGGCTCACACCTGTAATCTCAGTGTCTGGGGGCTGAGGTGGGAGCATCACTTGAGCCCAGAAGGTGGAGGCTGCAGTGAACTATGGTCCCACCACCACACTTCTGCCTGGGTGACAGAGAGAGACCCCATGTCTAATTAAAAAAAAAAAAAAAAAAGGCATTCTTGCAGTGACCCAGCCAGCAGCCCCAGCTGCCTCAGTGAGGCAGAGAACCCTCCAAAATCCCCAGTACAGGGTGCTCGGGGCATGTCCCGGATTCCTGGTCACCCAGCGGGTTCCTTTTTTAACTCGGACTCTCTCCACCGTTTTTTTTTTTTTTTTTTTCCAAGAAAAAAAATGGAGACGGGGGCTCTCACTCTGTTGCCCAGGCTGGTCTCAAACTCCTGGCCTCAAGTGATCCTCCCATCTTGGCCTCCCAAAGTGCTGGGGATTACAGGCATGAGCCACTGCACTTGGCCTGACTTTCTCCTCTTTGGGGCAGCTGTGTGTTCAGTGGTGTGGCTTCATACGGGCATCTAACCTACTGGCTGACCCTGTTCTGTCCGCCTGCGCTCCATCCCACCACAGCTGGCACGTCTCAGGATGGCCAGGCAGCCTGGCATGGGGCAGAATATGGGCACTGGGGCCAGCCAAGCCTGACATCTACTCCCAGATCCCTGCTTCTCAGCCTGTGACTTGGGCACGTTCCTTATCTCTCTGGGTTACAGTTTTCTTAACTGTAAAAAAAAGATATGCAAAGCCCCTGACACAGAATGAGTTCTCAACAATGGCAGCTTTGGATGAGAGTGATGACTTGGAAGCCCAGAAAGCCCTGACTGTTGACGGCTCATGAGGTAGCTCCATGGGGCCAGCAGTGTTTTCACAAGTAGTCCAGAGGGCAGAAGACAGTCGCAGTGGTGCCAAGTGTGGACAGTTTGGCCAGATCCCAAAACCAGATCCCAGAGCCAGATAGCCGGCCCCTGCAGCGGCACCATTGTTTCCAGAGAGGCCTTCATTATTTCTTTAAGTAAAAAAATAAAAGCCTCGTAAAAGCGAGACACTAAAGCGCGGCAGCCACAGTCCAGATGTGCCTTCTAAGTGCAGCTGGCATTAAAGTCGCACATGCCTAAGCTGATTGGTATGTTGACTCGGGGGATTGTTGCACCTGTGTGTACTGGAAGGAATTTCCGCTGAATACCTGTCCCGTGTCCATGGGCAGCCTCTGGGCCGTGTTCCCTAAACCATGGTGAAAACAGCTGGTCTCAACACACAAACAAGGGTGGTTGAGTTTCAGCATCAGCTCTGGACATGGCCCGCCCAAAGCCAAGCATTGATCTTTCTCCATTTTGTGTGGAGCCTGTGCCAGTGGGTACGGAACCGCTCCCAGTAAGCGGCACTTTGTGTTTCTGACGGACACTTCCAGGGCAGCTCACAACACGTCGAGGTTGCCTTCTCCTCCCCTCTGTTCAGAAAGTAAGAGCCTGATGAAAACCAGCAGCCACCACTTGTTGAGTGCTTGCTCTGCCAGGTGCCATGGCAAGTGCTTGCCCGTTCATTTTTTTCTTGTGATCTTCCTTATATCTCCTCATGCTTGTTTGCCAGATGCATCTTGAGTGCAGGCTGGTATAACCAGTGTAAGGAAGAGAACCCACACTCTCCAGCCCCTCGTGTGCCGTCTGCAGCTCTCTGGACTTTGCAACATTGTGCCCACTGGGCAGCACCCACGCCCATCCATTGGACAGGGGATGCGCTCAGCTTCTTTTTGAAGTTGGCTAGATGGCAGCCAGCAGAGCAAAAAGGAACGTTGGTCTACACCACGAGGAAGGGAGCCAGGTTTTGGATGCCCCTCTGAGCAGAATGGACAGTTTTCTCTTTTTCCTGAGGTGGAGTTGGATTGTTCCCACCTGTGAAGACCAGGTGCCTGTTTTGTTGTAAGGATGTTAAGGATGATCAGAAAAACAAACTACTGCTGATAGCTGGGGATTTTAGTTTCTTTTTTACCCTAGGAGGGAACAAAAAGGCATTGTTTTAGGGCCAGAACCTCAGCTGCCGGGGAATGGCTCTGCCTCTGGGTTTTATTCTCTTCCTCTTTGCCATAAAATCAGTCATGGAGCTTGGGAGTTTCTGTTTGTTTGTTGTTGTTGTTTCTTTTGAGATGGAGTCTCGCTCTTTTTGCTCAGGCTGGAGTGCAGTGGCGCCATCTCAAGGCACTATAACCTCTGCCTCCCGGGTTCAAGCAATTCTCCTGTCTCAGCCTCCTGAGTAACTGGGATTACAAGCACCTGCCACCATGCCTGGCTAATTTTTGTATTTTTAGTAGAAATGGGATTCACCATGCTGGCCAGGCTGGTTTCGAACTCCTGACCTCAGGTGATCTGCCGGCCTCGGCTTCCCAAAGTGCCGGGATTATAGGCATGAGCCACCGCACCCGGCCAGGAGTTTGTTTGAACTCATGCCTGTATGACCTTGTCTTTGTCATGACCAAGCACCAGTACAGCAAAAAGTGTCCCTCATGACCATTTATTTTATTTATATATATATATATATATATATATATTTTAAGACACGGTCTCACTATGTTGCCCAGGCTGGTCTTGAACTCCTGGAGTCAAGTGATCCCCCCACCTTGGCCTCCCAAAGTGCTGGGATTATAGGCGTGAGCCACCATGCCTGACCTAAGACCACTTATTTGTCCCAAGTCTTGCTGCTACTCCTTGGTGAGATCCCAGAAGCAGAACACACCATACATGTGACGGGAGAACATAGGGTAGGAGAAGAAAGACTCGTGGAATCTTACATGTTGGAGCTGTTTGAGGGCCCAGGTTCCTAGCTTAGCACCAGATCATAGAGGAATTCTGCTTTTTTCAGTTACATCAACACTTCAAATTTTTTAGCCTGAGCTCTTCAGCCGGCATTCCAGCCAGCCCCACCTCCTGTGTTCCCTTCTACTTCTGCCTCATCAAGGCTGTGGGCGTTTCCATCTTTTCTTTTTCTTTTTTTCTTTTTGAGACGGAGTTTCACTCTTGTTACTCAGGCTGGAGTGCAATGGCATGATCTCGGCTCACCGCAACCTCTGCCTCCCGGGTTCAAGCGATTCTCCTGCCTCAGCCTCCCAAGTCGCTGGGATTACAGGCATGCACCACCACGCCCGACTAATTTTGTGTGTTTTTTTAATAGAGACGGGGCTTCTCCATGTGGGTCAGGCTGGTCTCGAACTCCTGACCTCAGGTGATCTGCCCGTCTCGGCCTCCCTAAATGCTGGGATTACAGGCGTGAGCCACCATGCCCGGCCTGGTTTCCATCTTTATACTGACTCCAACATGAAAAAAGTGCCCAGACCAGAGCCCTCCTTCCTGGTGGACCATCAGTTTCTCCACAGAAGCCTTCACTAGGGCTGCCCGTGCTCTTTCTGGAAATCCACGCGATCTGGAACTCAGTGACATCCTCATTTGCACAGTCTCCTGCTTTCACGTATATTCCTGTGCATAAAGACTTCGGGGGAAGAGTGGCTTGGATAGAATACAGATCACAACAGCTTCGGGATCCCAAAAGAGACGTTGAAATGTTGAAGCCATGTCTACGAGAGTGATCTGTCACAGATTTGAGTGGAAAGTGATATTCTTGGGTCCAGTCTACCAAGTTCTCAAGTCCAGGATGTGAGAGGTATTTTCATGGCAACACATAAGAAAAAATATTCAGCTGTACACGGTGACTTATGCCTATAATCCCAGCACTTTGGGAGGCCGAGGTGGGAAGATTACTTGAGCCCAGGAGTTCAAGACCTGCCTGAGCATAGCGAGACCCTGTCTCTACAAAAAAATTTAAAATTACCCAGGTGTGGTGGCATGCACCTGTAGTCCCAGCTACTCAGGAGGCTGAGGTGGGAGGATCACTTGAGCCCAGAATGTCGAGGCTGCAATGAGCCATGGTCATGCCATTGCACTCCAACCTGGGCAAGAGAACGAGACCCTGTCTCAAAAAAAGAGAGAAAAAAAAAAAGAAAAAATACTCCATTTGAGATGACTGCAAGTTCAGTATGTGTAGCATGGATTAGGTGTGATTGCTAATGAAAGCTAATTTGGTCTTGAGTGCTGGAGGGAGGAGTAGCCTGTTTGCCAAGAGATGTGCTGGTCCCTGCTATGCATTGGTTAACACTTAGTTGGGGCATTGTTTTCTGTTCTTTTATGAAGGACATTGACAAGCTGGAGTATGTTCAGAAGGATAAACAAGGTATTGAGTCGTATGAGGAATTACAAGGAGGAGAAGGCCAGAAAAGAGAAATCTTGGTGTAAGCCAGTTTTAAATGTTTGAAAGGACTATGCAAGGAAAGGGCATGAAGTCCTTGTTTTTTTGTGATTCTGGAAGGCAGTAGTGAGAAGTCTTCACTCAAGTCCAGAGAGAACTGTCTCAGTTGTTCAGAACAGAAATGTTTGCCTCAGGAATGTAATGAGTTCACTGTCACTGGAGGTGTGTAAGCAGCAGTTTGACAGAGACTAAGATGTTAGGAACCTGCCCTGTGGTGCTCAGTCTGCCTCATACAGGCCCTGATGCAACCACCAAATCCTGGAATGTCAGAACTGGGAGGACCCTCTACGCTGGCCTCTGATCCAGCTCTTTGATTTTACAAATAAGAAAAAAGTCTTTTGCACTGTGTTGGTGCCAAATATTGCCTTTCCCTTGGCTTTATTCAGTGAAGTTGACTGCAAGAGAAAGCCCTGTTCCAGCACCTATGGAGCTCACCTTAATAATGCCCCTAACTTGGCTGCTGCCTGTGCCTCAGCGTCACAGGTATCTCAGGCCAGAGGTCCAAGTCCTGTGAGTGTGGCCCAGCCCACTAATAGCCAGAAGGACATGTCTCAGTGAACCCTAGAACCACAGAGTCTGTTTCTTGGCTCATGCTGGAAAGCCCTGCTCCCAGCAGGTCTGTCCTGGCCTTGGTTCTTGTGGCATGTGGCATGTACTCATTATCTGTTGGGAGCCTTTGTATTCGAGCCACGAATCCAGCTCTTCTCCCAGGAGGTGATGTGAAAGGAAGGAGTAAAGAGCAGCTTCAAAGCCCCTTCTTCCCCTCCCGTTTTCCCTGTTAGATTTGCAGCCCCGTGTTGGCCAGGCCTGGGAATTGGGTCATTCATAGTTACAGCTCAGATTCCCCGAGCACGTTTCCACCCCACGCACACCTCAGCTTCAGACACTCCATAAAGCTTTTGGAGCTGAAACATTTTCTTTTCTTTTTACTTTTGTGAATTAGGTCATTTTGAGTGTGAAGTATTATGTTTTCCCTTTTTTCTCCTTCCCCCCAGAAGTCCTGTGGTTGAAAAGTTACGGACATAGAATCTATATCCGTGACTATGACATTATTCAACTGGAAGAGTGATTTTCAGGGAGAAACGACCTAAAACTCTGAGAAGAAGAGAATTACTGACACATTAGGCTTTTAGCTGATCCACGTTTAGGGACCAAGGTGACGATAGACAAAAACCCAACCAGATGTTTAATTGTAATTGGCTGTGCTGATAAACGGCTTGAGACCAGCCTGGGCAACATAGCAAGACCCTGTCTCTAAAAAAAAAAAAAAAAAAATTTTTTTTTTAATTAGCCATGCATGGTGGTGCATGCCTGTGGTCCCAGCTGCTTGGGAGGCTGGGGAAGGAGGATCACTTGAACCCAGGAAGTCGAGGCTGCAGTGAGCGGTGATCGCACCACCACACTCCAGCCTGGGCATCAAAGCAAGACCCTGTCTCAAAAAACAAAACAAGATGTTAATCTGTGTTAGGAAAGTCTTAAAAGGCGCCGGGACCGTTGGTAAAACTGATGGCACTCAGTTGAAAGAGTTAGCTCTTCAGTGGACGCAAGCAAACAGGTGACTCCAGCACTTTGCTCCCAGTCATTCCCAAGTTGGTCTGTCATTTCACCCCCTCCTCATCTTCCTGGAGCTTCTGAGGCCCCCCCACTTCATGGTTCAACACTTGTCCAAGTTGACTTCTCTGCAGTCTTTGCAAGCTAGTCCCTGTGTTGTCCTGGCCACTGGGGAGCTCTGATTTGAGCATGTCATTCAGCCTCTTGACTGTGGGGATTGATTTCAGCCCTGTGCTGCCCGTGCTGTCTGGCTTTCCATTTAGGAAAGAAGCCTAGGAAAAGCTCATGCATTTCTCTTTGGGCCTCCACGGTTTTTTTTTTCTTTCTTTTTTCTTTTTTTTATAGAGGCTGGCCTCGAACTCCTGGGCTCAAGCAGTCCTCCCACCTCAGCCTCCCAAAGTGCTAGGATTACAGGTGTGAGCCACTGCGCCTGGTCCTAGGCCTGCATGTTTAAAAGAGGTTCTTGACCAGACGTGGTGGCTCACGCCTGTAATCCCAACACTGAGTGGAGACCGAGGCCAGGAGTTAGAGACCAGCCTGGGCAACATGGTGAGACCCAGTCTCTACTAAAAATACAATAATTATCCAGGCATGTTGGCAGACCCCTGGAATCCCAGCTACTTGGGAAGCTGAAGCAGGAGAATCACTTGAACCCGGGAAGTGGAGGTCGCAGTGAGCTGAGGTCATGCCACTGCACTCCAGCCTGGGCGACAGAGCGAGACTCTGTCTCAAAAAAATAAAATAAAGCACTCCAGCCTGGGCGACAGAGAGACTCTGTCTCAAAAAAATATAATAAAAATTTCCCCCTTCTACCTCCTTGACCAGAGACCTCACTGCAGGGACTCTCTGGGATTTTCCTCTTGAGCCCAAATCAGCTGAGCTGTGGTAGTGAGTCCTGGGCCCATTCCTCCCTCCCTGCAGAGTTGGGAGATTTTGAAATTATCAGGCATGGGCAGGGGCCAGGGCAGGGCGGATTAATTCCTCTGCAGCCTGCTCTCAGCGCTTGGCCACATTTGATCATTCACTCACATGGAAGTACAAGGCCTGAGAGTGAGTCGCTGGCGATGGTAGAGCCACCTTATTGAAATAGCATGTTAGCATTTAAACAATATTAATACTATTTGACTCATTAAATATACAAAGACCAGTTAAACTGCTTCCATGTATGTGCTGTTAATTCTGGCGGGCGACTCCTCAGATGGCTTTATGTGGTTTCAGACAACGTTTTAGCACATTCTTAAAATACCCACAAAAGCCTTTATGTAAAAACTCATAAATGCAAACCACATAAAAATTATTTTTTCCTTGTTTCATATCATTATGATCAAAGTACAGTAGGTAAGAAATAAATTTTCAAAAACGTGTTGTGGTCCCCCTTTAATTAATGCTTCACGCGCAGAGCAAAGCCATAAACCATGTAGCGGGGGCGCTGTCTGTGCGCCCTGCAGTCACCTCCCTCCTGAAGGTGCCGGAGCGCCCTGATGGCACTCGCAGGAGAGGCTGGTGCTTCTGGGCAATTCTGAAACAGGCCTTTCTAACCATGCAGTCCTCTGCTCCCTTTGTCTCGGAATGTCAGGTTGAGACTTGTGGCTGCTCCAGTCCCTGGAGATCCCTTTTGGTGAATGGAATGCAAGTCCATTCTTGAATTATTGTAGTGTTTGAGCTGTACCTGCAGAGGCCAGGTCTCAGCACGTCTGACTCACCTCAGTTGGAACACCCCGATTCAGAGAGGGAACAGATTCGAAGTGAGAGATTGACCACGCCGCCTCTAACTCTGTCGCCGTTGTTTCTTTATTAAAAGTCAGATTGATGGTAAATTAGGATACTACCCGACTGAATACTATCCTTGCTGTTAAAAATGATTATGGAGATCATGCGGCTCCATGGAAAAATGCTAATGATTCTGTGCCAAGTGTAAAAAGCCAAATTCAGCATGGTACTCTTGCTGTGCTTACAGTTATATAAAAGTCATGCATCTGGACTGGAAGGGAATTTGGAAAAATCAGATTTATGGGATAAGTTGATTTATGGCATTGTGGGCTAATTTTCAGATTTCCTTTTTTAAAAAACAATAATGTTCCTGCAGTAAGTTTTAAAATTGTGGGTAAAAGAATAGTAACCCCACAAGGAGTGACAATTGAGCTTGCATTTTTACCTCCCCTGGCTCCAGCATTTGAAACTTTAGACCTGGTCACCGTGGCCCGCCAAGGAGAAGCTGCCCGTAGTGGGAGCCAGGCCACAGGGTGGGACATTGGAGTGGAAACGGCCAGTTCCACCCTATAAAACTTTAATGCGGTTGTTTTATTTTTCTGGAAGAAATGAAACGCTCAGGGATGGGACTGAGGGGAAGCAGCCGTGGGCCACCTGGTGCTTTTGAACTGGTCACCGGAGGGTGTCGACAAGGGCTGTCAGGCCATCGGGATTTCTCCTGGTTCCCCTCCAGGGCATCCTGACCTGCATCTCCCCAGTGTCCCAGCACACAGAGGAGAGCAAGCCTTGGGCAGGCACAGCACCGCAGCTCTGCATGGATCTGTGAAGGAGTGGAAGGATGAAATGCCCCTGGGCTGCAAGCCTTCTTTCCAGAAGGGCTGAAGGAAAGAACGGATTATTGGCCCATCCTTTTTGCCAGCAAAGTAGGGTTTTTTTGTTTGTTTTTCTTCCCCCTCTTTTGATGTGGGGCTGCTCTCCCTGTAAGCCGACTGAAAGGGAAAACGGTGTGCTAGAACCAAGCCATCTGTTGCCAACAGGAAGGGTATTAGCAGGTCTGTTATGAGTTGCTCTTCCGTTGGTAGTATTGATGTGCCTCGTAAGTTAACTTGCAAGAATCCAGGAGAACAAGCCAGAAAGGCTCACGGAGCCCATGCTGCCAGTCATCTGAGCCCTGCTAACCCTCAGGTCCAGCAGGGGCAGTCCATCCCTCTCCAGGTGTTCCAGGAACATTGCAGAATGGCCTGATCTCTCCAACTCTGTGTGGGCCCGGTCCAGACCAGGAGGGCTCTATGGAGGCAGATGGGGTTTTGGGCCCTGGACCAAAACACTCATCTGCTTACCTCGCCTCGCCCCAAGAATGGGGACTTTGGAGCAGACCGGAATAAAGGAAATGATCTTCTGGAGTGGGATCTCTGAGTGCCAGTGTTGGCCGGTTTCCTGGACATCACCTCTGCCAGCAGTGAGCTCTGGGCCTCACAGGTGTGTCTGTTCATCCAGTGGTCCTTTTCCTCTCGTAGGAAAGGATGCCTGTGCTGCACCTGGCCAGAGCCAGACCCTTCCCCACCCTGCGCAGTTTGACCAGCGATGGGCTCAGCATCTGACACCTGACACCTCCATCCGACAGGTGTTCCCTGAGTGACACTTGGTTAGCCAGACAGCCCTGCCCTCATCTGCCCTCCTGTAGACTCACCCGTGGACACACCATGGTGTACTCGGTTTGAGAGCTTAATCATAGTGGGTAGTGCCGGAGAGGGGAATGGGACAGGATGTGGTCCTGCCGCAGGGGCTGGCCGCAGCCTGCCTGAGGGAGCCCTGGGCAGGGGGCCAAGGGTAGCCCACCTGAGTATCGGCCCCCTGGATGCTCCGCAGGTCTGCGGGTTGGAGTGAGGGCAGACCAGCCAGGGCACCCTCATTCTCCTGGGAGGATGCCTTGCTTTCTTGGTCTGGTGGTCTCTTAGTTACATTACACTCCGGTGTATTCGTGTACTGATTTTTCACAAAAGCTTTTTAGTTTGGAATGGTATGACTTACTGTAAAATTGCAAAAAAAAAAAAAAAAAAAAAAGAGTACAGAGAATTCTTGTATACCCATCACCCACATTCTGTAAATGTGTATTTTTTGTTATATAATAGCTTTGGTGAGACATAATCTACAGATACATGTTAATTTCTAGTACTTAATTTTACATTAACCGTTTGGCAGGTGTCTACTTTTCCTAATTGTTTTTGTCTCTCAACAGCCGTAGAAAGTAGATTAAGTCCCTGAGGCCCATATTCACACCGCTGGTCCCTTAGTAAATAGTTGTTGGACGCATGCATGCATGAGCATAACTCATAGCTGGGCGTGCTAGAGCTGTCATTGGGTCTGTCTGACTCCCAAGCCTGTACCCACCCAGTGCACTCTGCGGCCCACCTTCCCAGCTGTCCAGGGCTGAGGGCAGGGTGCTCCCAGAATGCACCTGCCACACCGTGGCTTTGGGGCTTAATAGGTGTCAGAGAGGCCCCAGACTTTCTGATAAAGATGTGCTCACCACGAGAGATGAGATTTCTCTCTTTGGGGCTTAATTGGGGTCGGAGAGGCTACAGACTTTCGCCACAAGAAATGAGATTTCGCATAGTTTTTGTTGGTTATCAACAGCATTTGCGGTTCCCATCAGCTGACTCCACCCCTCACCTCTGCTCACGGCAGTCCCAGTGAGCCACAGTAGTTGACCTGGGTCTGTTGGGTTTGGGATCCCAGACTGATTCCCATTTCTCATCTAACCTTTTCGTTCCCTCTTCCATTTGATCGTAATTAGAAATCCCTCTTCCATTTGATTATAATTAGAAATGTTTCTGGGCCAGGCGCAGTGGCTCATGCCTGTAATCCCAGCACTTTGGGAGGCTGAGGCGGGTGGATCACTTGAGGTCAGGGTTTTGAGACCAGCCTGGCCAACATGGCAAAACCCCATCTCTACTAAAAATACAGAAATTAGCCAAGTGCAGTGGTGCACACCTGTGATCCCAGCTACTCAGGAGGTTGAGGCAGGAGAATCGTTTGAACCTGGGAGGCGGAGGTTGCAGTGAGCCGAGATGGTGCCACTGCACTCCAGCCTGGGAGATGGTGAGGCTTCATCTCAAAAACAGAAAAAAAGAAAAGATGTTTTTGCATTGCGTCGGATTTGAGGAGGAAGCACTGTCTCAAGCTGAGCCCTTCATTTCCGGCTAGCGCTTTGTAGGAGGTTGCTCCGAAAGACCAACTGGAGCCCTGGTCTGCCAGGCTCAGGAGGGATCAGGGTGTAGGGAGTTTGTTGCTGTATTTTCTCATCTGCCCTGTAAAATATCCCAAAAGACAGAAATATCGAACAACCGTGGTGACTCCAGTAGTCATGGCCTGCATGGATTGTCACTGGATGTCAGTCGTGCTGCATTCTTTATCTGGGAGGAGTGTGACGCCCAGAGAGGTTCAGTAAGCCAAAGACCACACAGATAGAGGAGGTGGCAGAGTCCAACCTCAGATTCATCTTTATGACGCCTAAACCTACTACACCCCCAGGAATGCTGCACCCCCTCCCCCAGCCACAGAACGATCAGAACACACCCAAGGATCGGCTCCCATAACTGTCGCAGGGAGGGCCCTGAATCCCAGAATCTTTGCTGAGCAGCAGCCTGGGACCCAGGCTGATGATCTGTCCTTTAGCATCTAACAGGCACATTGGCCTGTTTCCTGCAGGTATTTTGAAGGTGGCGTCTCATCTGTCTACCTCTGGGATCTGGATCATGGCTTTGCTGGAGTGATCCTCATAAAGAAGGCTGGAGATGGATCAAAGAAGATCAAAGGCTGCTGGGATTCCATCCACGTGGTAGAAGTGCAGGTACTGCCTCCCAGCAGCTGGTGGCCCGGGCCACTAAGTACAGATGGCACACCAACCAGTGCCGCGCTGCTCTCTAACAGATGCAGTAGGGGGATGCTGTGATCTCTGAACCCCTAATTCTGAGAAATGCCTCAAAGCCATTTGGATAAAGATAAGTCTGCAGTAGTCATTGATGATTAAGTTCCCAGAAGAAATACATAATTACAAATGTCCCTTTAAAAACCAGTTGAGATTTTTTAAGAAAGACAATATTGTGAGGCCAGGTACGGTGGCTCGGGCCTGTAATCCCAGCAGTTTGGGAGGCTGAGGTGGGCAGATCACCGGAGGTCAGGAGTTCAAGACCAGCCTGGCCAATATGGCGAAACCGCATCTCTACCAAAAACACAAAAAACATTAGCCAGGCGTGGTGGCGGGCGCCCATAATCCCAGCTACTTGGGAGGCTGAGGCAGGAGAATCGCTTGAACCTGGGAGGTGGAGGCTGCAGTGACTTGAGATCGCACCACTGCACTCCAGCCTGGGTGACAGAGCGAGACTTTGTCTCCAATTTAAAAAAAAAAAAGGTAATATTGTGATAATGACCTAGGAAGGGAGATGTTAGGATGACCCTGAATTCCAGGGGCCACTTCAGGCTCTCCCTCAGCTCAACAGATCTCTGTCTTGTCCTTCCAGGAGAAATCCAGCGGTCGCACCGCCCATTACAAGTTGACCTCCACGGTGATGCTGTGGCTGCAGACCAACAAATCTGGCTCTGGCACCATGAACCTCGGAGGCAGCCTTACCAGACAGGTAGAGTTACCCGCTCATAGCCACTTGCCAGTGCCCACAGGTGCTGGCCTCAGTGCTGACCTGCAGAGATGAGTGAGCAGGTGCCCCATTTAGGGTAAGCATGTTCAGCCAGCTATAAATCCACCATCTAAGTAGGGCTTTGCATTTTCAAATAAAAGCTCTCTGGGCTGTGCAAGGTTGCCCACAGCTGCTGGCACTCTGCTGGCCTCCTGCTGAGGGAGGCCGGGTGCTGGCTGTGGCTCCTCCTTACCCCTCAGGGCCCCGCACATCCCCATGCTTCAGCTCATGTTGTGCTGTGAGAAGTGGTGCTTGGCCCTGTTTGCCGTCTCTGTGGCCATGCCCAGCCCATCAGTCAGGCCAGCTCTCTGGGAGCAGCTTACCTGAGCTCAGAGTGTCTGCACCTTGCTGCCCTCAGAGTAGTCCAAGGACCAGCATCAGCATCACCAAAGAGCTTGTCAGAAAGGCAGAAATATCAGGTCCCACCCAGACCTAGCATATCAGGATCTCTGTTTTCACAAAATTGCCCAGGTAATGTGTGCACATTGAAATTTCAGAAGTGCCCTACTGGATACCTCTCTCTTATCCATCTTTTGTTTGGGTATCACTAGCAACCCTTCTCCACGATGTTGTTCCCAGGTTCTGTCTAAGGCAAACTTGGACTTGGACTGGAAGGTACTGCCTCCCCTGAGCAAACTTGCCCGCCCTTCTACCTTAGATGCTCCCATAAGCATCTGGGTGGGTTTAAGAACCTTGTATAAAGGTCCATGTTCAGGACCCTTTACATTCCCATCCCAAGAGAAGGCCTTAAACCTGTGCCAGTGCAGTGCCACAAGATGCTTGGCGTAAAGGGGGAAGAGAAAGCATAGACCAAGCACAACTGGGTTTCACAAGGACCCCTCTTTGCCTTCGGAGAAGTCGGTATTGGCAGAAACGGCACAGCCTTGAGAGCCTCAGCGGGGCGCCACTTTCTGCAAGGATGCCCTTCCGTTCTCAGTTCCAGCAGTCCCTGACTGTCCACTGTGAGAATTCCTTTTAACATCAGAGATCTCTTTCGGTAAGATAATTATGCTCTCAATAGCTGTGGATAGAAAAAATATGACCGAAAGGATCGATGCAGTAAAATTTTTTTTTTTTTTTTTTGAGACGGAGTCTCGCTCTGTCACCCAAGCTGGAGTACAGTGGTGTGATCTCGGTTCACTGCAATCTCTGCCTCCCGGGTTCAAGCGATTCTCCTGCCTCAGCCTCCCGAGTAGCTGGGATTACAAGCGTGCACCACCACGCCCAGCTCATTTTTTGTATTTTTAGTAGAGATGGGATTTCACCATGTTGGCCAGGCTGGTCTTGAACTCCTGACCTCAAGTGATCCGCCCACCTCGGTCTCCCAAAGTGTTGGGATTACAGGCATAAGCCACCACACCCGGCCCAGTGTAGTAAATCTTTTAAGTGAATTTGCATTCTACTAGTTACAACAACATCTACATGCATTGAAAAAATAGTGGCGCAAGGTGAATGTCAGCCGTCATACCTGGGACCCTCCCTCCACCTATAGAAGCTCCACTGCCTCTCCTGTGTCAGAGGGGCTGGAGGCCAGAAGGGATGTTGCGGTCCTCTTTTTGGCCTCTGGGCAGGGATGTCACAGTCCCATCCCAGGACTACTCACTAGTGCACACAGGGGGCACTTAGCCTTTTTGCGTGGAAGTGGACTCCTATCTTCCAGGGGCCATTGGCTAGGGAGGAACAGCCAAACCCCCAGGCAGCCAGCTCCCCTGCAGCCTGACTCTCCCACATCCTGCCACCTGGGGAGTGGGTGGAAAATCCTGAATCTGTATCCAGAGACTGCTTCCTGTATCACTTACCACTCCAGGCTGTTGATAATTCCACCCGGTTTACAGTGACCTGGACAAATATTTAATCCTCAGCCCTCCTAATAGTTTAAATCAGAGCTGTCAGCCCATGGCCAGAGTCTGGTTCCGGCTTGCCGTGAGCAGTGTCTCCTGCCAAGCTAAACCCAGGCCTGATGAGTGCCTGTCCTCAGCACACCTTGGCCAGGGCTTCGGACTTTGTTTGCGTTGCCTTTTGCTCTGGGGGCTTTAATGAGGAAATTAATGCTCTGCCATCATTCTAACGGCCGATCACCACATCATTCATTTGAGGTGCATTAAAGCTGGGGCTGGGTTCCAATGTAAGTAACTACAGAAGGGGGAGGGATTGCAATGAGGTAGACAAATCTAAGTTAATGATGCACAGCTTCTGAGCAAACAGGGGAAGTGAGGGTTGCAGAGCTTGGCTACGGGTCCCAGAGGAGCCTTGGAAAAACGCCTGTGCTTGTTTGGATGGGAGGCGAAGGGTTCTGGGAGAAGTGAGCAGCTCAGTGAGCATGAACATGCATGGTTTGCAGGCTGTCCCCTTGGATTAGATTGTAACCAAGGTCAAGTTATTCTCATTTAACAGGTGAGGAAACTGAAGTTCAAACTTAAATAATTTGCCCATATAATTTAACCAGTAAGAAGCAAAGCTGGGATGTGAACCCAGATTTGCCTGGTGAGAAAAAAATATGCTACTTTCTACCATGCCACAACTGTTTTGGTCTTAATTCGTCCTCTGTGCCTGCCATTCGGTGACTGCTAAATAGTCAGATGGAAGTGCATGGAGCAGTCAGCTCAGTGTAGACAGGACTCTGTCTCAGCAGCCGGCATGAGCAGCTGCAGTGGACCTGTAGCCTCAGGAGCAAGCAGGCCCCGCAAGCAGGATCAACCCTGCAGAGCCGCACACGGCGTCAAGGCTCCCCAGGTGTGTGCTGAGCAGCGCTGCCCTCTGGGCCCCTCCCGCAGGTGTGCCTTTGTCTTTCAGGATGATCTCCTGCTGGAAGCCACTTGGCCACTGGGGTGTGTTCACTACTAGAGGCTGTCAGGAGGGCTTTGAGGTTTCTAGGGAGTCCAATGATCTGATTGGATCTGTGTTTTCAGAAGGTGGCTCTGCCAGTCGGCTTGGGGGATGGGTGGTCAGGGGGAAGCTGTTACAGTCATCAAGGAGAGAGATGACAAGGGCCTGGATCAGGCAGCCCTGGGAGGGTCAGAGGGGACAGCCCTGCAGCAGAGAGGTCAGTGAAGAAGCTAGTGTCAGTCTGAGGCATGAGGTGGCAAGGGCAGAAACAGAAGGGCAGGGGAAGAGGGGCAGGCTGGGGGGCATTCTGGCGTGGCGTGGTCAGGGGCTGGACGACCAAGATGTGAGGTGGGGGTCAGATGAGAGCCCCTCACTCGAGTTCCTCCTTACACAGTCCTTACAGCAACCTGGGCCTGGGTTTTTCCTCTGGAAACCTGGCCTCATCCAGGTCACCCACGCTCACATGCCCTTGCCCCACGTGTGTCAGGAAGGAAGGCTGCTTGGTTTTGGAGCTGTCTCCCCAGGCCCACAGTGCCAGGCCCTAGCCCCAAGAGCCATCCCAGCCAGCATCAGCACCCTCAGCAAGGCCCCATGGGTCCTCAGCTTTCCCAGGGTCCTGTGGCCCAGCCTGCCTCACCCCGGCAGCAGCGGCAGCTGCCCTTCCCTGTGTGTGGCCCCGGGCGCACCCTTGTCTTCCTGTTTCCCACGGCCCATCTGGAGAAGGCCGCCAGCTTTGGCTTGCTGGCACCTCGCAGGGGTCCCTTCCGTGGGCACATCAGGCTATGCCCTGTGCCCACTCGTGCCCCAGTGTAGGCGGCTGGTGGTAGGCCAGTGGCCGGGGCAGAGCGCCACTCTCCTGGGCACGTGGCCTGCCAGCCAGCCAGAACACAGCCAGACCAGGCGATGCTGCCTCCACCTAGCCCTGCCTCCATCATTTTCGGCTTTTACTTCTCCCACCTCCAACCACCAAAAGATGTTTCTCAGGGACGTCAACTGGAAGACAAGGTAAACAGCTAAAGTATTCTGGCAAATTCCCGCAGCAGTGAGGCTGTCGGAGTGAAGGTGAGCCGCAGGCCGGCCGGATCATACCTTCCTGCCCAGGCTTGTGGATGTGTGTGAGGAAAGGCGGGCAGAAGGTACCCTCTGGTACACTGCCACGTGGCCCCCCATGGGAGGGTTGTAGAGCAAGCGAAAAAAGGTTGCAAGCCCCAAGTTCCAAAATGTTGAAAAGGAAGTTGTACTGAGAGGTCACTTCTCCTATGTGACAGCAGAGACGTGGGAAAGAGGCGAGATTGTAAATCTCTGGAAAGAGATCCAAGGTTTCCCATCCGGGGAAGGGCCCTGCAGATGTTCGTTTGATATTTTCTCAGCTTCTAAATATTTAGAAATGAAGGTGGAATGTTTTGTTGAGTGGGGAGATCAGGCAGGTCATTGGCTAGTGAGCAGTCTCTCCCCACTCAGCAGAGACACCCCCAATATATCTTCAGGCAGTAAATCCCCAGTAGAGGCACTTGCCTGTGTATCCTAGCAGGAACATCCTCTTTGACTTGCGTTTGGCAGTTAGGCCAGGCAGTATATTTTTGTCACAGGGAAGAAGCCCATTGCCCTTCCAGATGCAGGGAACAGAGGGTGGGCCGGGCCCAGCTTGGCAGTTCCAGGAGTGCACGCTCGCTGGGGAGGCCTGGCTGCAGCTGCACACCCGCTCCTCGTGTCCTGTGGGGTTGCCTGGGTTCAGGGGTGGAGATGCTTGAGCAGCGCAGCTTCAAGGGGCGTCTGGGTTTTTGCCAGATGACCTGGGGTGGAGTGACCAGTGCCTGGCTGAGAAGGAAAGCTGGCCTGAGACAGGCTCCCCACAACCATCCCGTGCTGTGAAGGGCGGAAACAGGAGACGAAGGGACCGGAGATCCCTGGCAGGAGGCGGCTGAGGCAGGGATGGACCCTGCTCAGGTTTTCTGAGCCCTGGATTGTGGTTTGTCCTTCAGTTTTCTGGTAAAGGATGTATGTGAAATTGAGCCAGCAGAGAGATCTCATAAAAGGAAGCAGGTTTCAGAATCACCCAGACCTTGATTCAGATCCTAGCTCAGGAACTTTCCAGCTGTGTGACCTAGACAGACCTCCACCTCTTTGAAACTCAGTGTTGATAATGCCCATTTTGAAAGATAATAGTTCCAGCACTTTGAGAGGCTGAGGCAAGAAGATTGTTTGGCCAGGGGTTCAAGACCAACCTGGGCAACAGTTGCACTGCCCCCCACCCCTTCACCCCTCCCAACAAAACAAAAAGTTATCTGGGTAGGGTGGCATCTGTGGTCCTAGCTTCTTGGGAGTCTGAGATGGGAGGATCACTTGAGCCCAGGAGTTTGAGGTTATAGTGAGCTATGATTGCACCATTGCATTCCAGCCTGGGCAGCAGAGCAAGACCCTGTCTCTAAAAAACATAATAAACAAATTTTATTAAAAAAAAAAAATGGAAAGATCGGGTGCAGTGGCTCATGCCTGTAATCCCAGCACTTTGGGAGGCCAAGGCAGGTGGATCACGAGGTCAGGAGTTCGAGATCAGCCTGACCAACACGGTGAAACCCCATCTGTACTAAAAATACAAAAATCAGCTGGGTGTGGTGGCATGCACCTGTAATCTCAGCTACTCAGGAGGCTGAGGCAGGAGAATCACTTGAACCCGGGAGGCAGAGGTTGCAGTGAGCCAAGATCGCGCCATTGCACTCCAGCCTGGGCGACAGAGCAAGACTCCATCTCAAAAAAAAAAAAAGGAAAGATCATTGTAGAGTAGAAACAAAAAACTGTTTTACACACAGTTTTATGCTCAATAAATAATAACTTTTGCCAGGCGCGATGGCTCATGCCTGTAATCCCAACACTGGGAGGCCAAGGCAGGCAGATCACTTGAGCTCGAGAGTTTGAGACCAGCCTGGGCAACAAAGTAAGACCCCATCTCTCTACAAAAAATACAAAAATTAGCCAGGTGAGGCAGCAGTGTGCCTGTAGTCCCAGCTATTCAGGAGGCTGAGGTGGGAGGATGGCCTGAACCTGGGAGGCCGAGGTTGCAGTGAGCCGTGGTGACAACACTGTGCTCCAGCCTGGGCAACACAGCCAGACCCTGTCTCAAAAATAAAAATAAAAACAATTACTGCTACTACCATATATCTTGCAAGGAGAGGCTTTTTGAATATGTACAATTCTAGATTCAAAATTTTCCTAAACTGGGCAACCGTAACTTTCCCTGGGAAGCCGTCTGACCACCATCTTCTGGCCTGGCTGCACGCCGGGTCCTGACCTCCAACCCACAGCACAGTGTGGTGACCAGGAGGATGCCAGAGGCCAGAAGAGTGCTGGGGATGGAGCTGTGCTTTGACAATCGGTGAGAGCTGCCATTCTGGCAAGTCCCGCTCTAGGCCTTTTGTGTACATTTGTTTATTTAGTGCGAGGTGAAGGCAAAGACATGGAGGCCTAGACAAGCCCAGGCCCTTTCCTCTCGGGCTGCAGCACAGGAGCTGCGGGGCCTCAGCGCCGGTGAGTGGGGCCCATGCCTTAGGGCCACGCCCTGCGGGTCGCGCTAGAAGATGCCACGTGGCAGTGGGAGGTGTAATACATCCCCTCTGGGGGAAAGGCTGCCAGCTTCCAAACACTTGCCTGTGTTAGGGCCATGGGGAGGAGGAGAGGCGCCTGCTGGGGACACACGGGCCAGGCTCCGGCTTCAGACGCCATTGGAACCACCTCGTGGAACATCTGCAGCCACAACACATGAAAATGTTTTCCTTCCGGCAGCCACTTTTATAAGGATGTAATAATATATGCAGTGCACAAATGGTTCTGTTTTTGGTGGGTTGGTATTGCCACCGAGCCGACCCTGACCAGGTGTGGAGGGGAGTGAGCAGGGGCGGGCAAGGGGGCTGTGGAAATACGGCCGGGTGCACCGAGCCCTGTGCCCCTCACTCCCCAAGCACCTTTCTCCTTCCCTCCCCAGCCGCTGCGTGGCCATTTACGTGGGCTCAGCTTCCCTGCCATGGGCTGAGGGGGCCTGTGTTCTAGGGGATCAGTCTGCTCCTGGGGACAGTGTCGCACACTGCAAGACCCAGCCCTCTCCTCCACCCGACCTCTCCTACCTTTGTTGGCCAAGGGGTTTCGCCTGTTTGTTTTAAGATGGCTCTTGATTCTGAAACACAAAGATGGTAACCAAGAGGCCAAATTGCTGATGTGACTGGACTTGCCCAGGTGACCCAGGACCTTTGCCGATGGCCGCGGCCTCTCTTTGGGCTGTTGGTGCCCATTTAAAATGGGGCCCACAGTGAGCTCAAAACCCTCATCCCTTCCCTAGGGTGGCCGGGAATCTGCCGTCCACATGGAGCCGGGGAGGAGGAGAGACTCTGATTTGCTGGAAGGACCTCATTCATTTCCATCCAACCCCCAGGCTTCCCTGCCTGCCGAGCTGACTCCACCCAGCCCTGAGCCTAGGCACAGTAACCACCTTCACGTCTGGGAGAACACACAGTCCCCGGGGGCCAGCATGCAAAAGTTCTTTTTGAAGCTGGGTGGATGGAGCCCCCTCCCTCCTGAGGGTGCTCCCCAGCTCCTG